>NC_000005.10:71359807-72609807 GCF_000001405.40 Homo sapiens | reverse complement strand
CTGTGTTTGACATATAAAGACTTTAACATATGAAACTTTTTTAAAAAGAAGGATGGGCCTATACTTTACGTATGTAAGGATATTTTAAGAGAGGTGGTAAAAATTAGGACACAGATTATATTAAAATTCACTATACCTAATTCAAATGTAGCTCAGCGGCTCACAGAGTACGCAGTGTCAAGCCAGCTATTTACTACGATCGTGGTGAGCCTCAATTTTAGAAAATGGAACTCATGAAGGCTTGAAACGGCACATAAGGACATGAAAGTCACAAATGAACAACTAGACTGGTTCACTAACTGAAGACACTATTTTATCCTTTTTTTCTTCTTTGCTACCAGTGCCTTATTGAGGTAATTTTATACACATTAAAATTCATAAATCTTAAGTGTATACTTTGATGAAGCTGGACAAATGTATTCAAGGGTATGCTGGTAAAGTGGCCCTCTGCAGAAAGACCCAAACTTGATTTGTAGCATTTGTTGGTTTGCATGGTTTAAATACTCCCACCATAGCTGATTTTAAGCTAGCGATGGTTTAACAATCGGCTTACAAAAATTCTACCCTCAGGAGTGTAAGAGACAGACTCAGCATACTACTGATGGTGTTAAATCATGTAACTATATCCCAAATCAAGAAACAGAAGGTTTTCATCACTCCACAATATTCTGTCATGGTTTTTTCTGGTTAATTCACCCCTTATCCTGCCATAGACAAACACAATTCTGGCTTTTATCACTGTTAATTAGTTTTGAACTTCATATAAATGGTTCTACAGAGCAGATACTCTTTTGTTTGTGATTTCTTTTGCTCAGCTTAATATTTTTAAAATTCATCCATGTTGTTGCAGAAAACACCATTTTAAAGTCGTGTGTTTACCTGTAAATCAATTATCTATGTCCTTGTATTGATCCTTGGTCTATTACTGGAATAGAACCTGCACTGTAAAACAGTTTTCCTCCTTTCAAACTCCTCTTTCTTATTTACTTCTTCTAATTGCTCCATGTATTATGTTGGCCACCCTGCACATAGGCTGCACAAGAAAGCAGATTTTATGATTATTTATTTTGAAATTTCAAATGTCACATTTTATCAAAATGAGTAGAAAAAAATAATAGACTATCATGGGAAGCTGTTCCTCAGTTGATTTCTTTTTCTTGGTGTGCGTGCGTGCGTGTGTGTGTGTGTGTGTGTGTGTGTGTTGGTAATTTTTGAATATCATTCAGAAAGCCTGGCCACAGATAGTATGCAGCAGCCAGCAGCCAGACTCAAATCTGAAAACAGCCTGACTTTGGTTCAGCAGCTGTGAGTGCTTTCCATGGCAACGCTCCAGGCTCATCATAAAGACCACATTAGAAATCAGAGGCTAGGGATAAAGGCCACAATATCCAGGCAGAGGCCTTGGTGGCTGAATGCAGGAGCTTCCCAGATAAACTGAAGCCTCCGATCCCTGCGATGCCGTGCGCCATCACTAAGAATTTCTGTAACACTTTACAATTTCATGGTATTTTTAGTCATTGCCCCAAGATTTTCCAAAATAGCCATCCCAACTGCCCTAGAATTGCTGTTTTTTAAATTTTTATTTCTATTTCAATAGTTTTTGGGGTATAGGTAGTTTTTGGTTACATGCATAAATTCTTTAGTGGTGATTTCTGAGATTTTGGTGCACCCATCACTCAAGCAGTGTACACTCTACCCAATATGTAGTCCTTTATCCCTCAGCCCCCACAACCTTCTCCCTGAGTCCCCAAATTCCATTATATCATTCTTATGCCTTTGTGTCCTCGTACCTTAGCTCCCACTTTTAAGTGAGAACATATGATATTTGGTTTTACAAAGAGAGAGGGAAACAATGGGATCTTGAACAAGAGGGGATTTCAAATTTTCTGTTCCCATTGGGGATAAAATACTGATCCCTAAATTCTGATCAGCATTTATTTAAATGTGTCAGTTGGGGCTAGGTGAACATTGGGGATGGATTTCAAGGAAGAATTTCTGGGCACTCGCATTGACTGGATTTTTATTATAAGCTGAGCTAACTTTTGGGTTTAAATGAACTGCTATAGACCCAGCATACACCCCTCTCCTTTAAACCAACTAGGTCAGATTCCTGCGATCCTTGGAGCTTGTGTGCTGCCAAATGGCTGCCCCAAGGGCCCCCTGGGAGGCAGGTGTGAGTTTCTGCTGTGTCCTGGTTTCCAGGCTTGGCCTCTCGCCTCTACTCTGGTCTGGCTCCATTCAGGTGGTCTGTTATCCTCTCTCCCTGTTCTGGGAGGCAGGTAGGCTGACACTGGGCAGACTGTGGAGACAGGTAAGAGGGAGGGACAAACACACCACTGCTGCCTCTGTGTGGAGGGCCCACCTCTTGGAGGCTGCTCCCTGCCAGTGTTCCATGTGGCAGAGGTACCAGAGCAGATAACTTCCAGGGAAATGGGGCCTCTCTGCTAGCTGACTTTGGGCTCAAGGACTCCCCAAAGGCTTCGCTGAAACTGTCTTGACCTGCATGCAATCTAGGAAGCTTCCACCCAATCTTCCCTGCCTCTATCATTCACTGAGGTCAGACTTGCATCTTGGTGATGGCTCTCCCAGCCTTTCCTGGCCCCCTTCCTATTTCTTTCATTCAGGTACTTCAACTAATAAAATCTCTGCACCTTTTTTGGTTTTTTTTTTTGTTTTTTTTTTTTTTTTTTTTTTTTTTTTTTTGACATGGAGTCTCGTTCTGTCACCCAAGCTGGAGTGCAGTGGCACGATCTTGGCTCACTGCAACTTCTGCCTCCCGGGTTCAAGTAATTCTCCTGCCTCAGCCTCCTGAGTAGCTGGGATTACAGGCACCTGCCACCATGCCTGGCTAATTTTTGTATTTTTAGTAGAGACGGGGTTTCACCATGTTGGCCAGGCTGGTCTCAAACTCCTGACCTCAGGTGATCCGCCCGCCTCGGCCTTCCAAAGTGCTGGGATTACAGAAGTGAGCCATTGTGCCCAGCCAAAATCTCTGCACATTTAATTTTGCCTTGACATCTGTTTTTCAGAGTATCCGGTCTAATGCAGGCTATTCAAGCACAGCTTGCATGTCTGCTTGTGAAAGATAGCATAGGTAGGATTCAAAATCAGGCAGGTGGTGACTTGCTGATCTTAAGTTCTGCTTCAGCGCTGGCATGTATGATCTACTTTTCTAAGTTCCCCTGAAATTCCTTCCCTAGCTTTGGCCAAAGAAGGGCTCCTTCACAGCAGCAGCAGCAGCAGCAGTCTTGGCTGTTGCCACAGCCACAGGGGGACTGTGGAGGAGCGGCCCTCGGCAATGTATGGCTTGGTGTCCTTACTCAGCATGTGTTCTCTTGTCCATGCCATTTTTGTAGCACACAGGACACCTCCCTGCATTAAAGGCAACTCTGGGCTTAAAATCAACAATAAAGTGGGAATGAAGAGTGGATGGATGTGAAAATCTGGACCAATATCCTTAGTTACTCTAGAATCAACCAGAAGACAAAGGAATGCTGTCCAGACACTGCTCCTTCCGAGTATCACGGAGAGCAGTAACAGAGTCTGCCCGTCAGGCCAGATTCCAACAGTAGGCAGTAGACACAGGAGGAACCAAGAAGAAGAGAGAAGAGACTAAAGATCTTTGCCTTTCCCCAACATTTCTAGCTGCCATTTTTAGTCAACTATTGAAAATCGAATAGGAAAGTAGTTAAACAAAAATCCTAAAGCCTGTTTCCTCTCTTCCAGCTTCAAAGGGTCACTTACCATTAAGTCCTAGGAAAGTGGTCAGAAAGTTGGGATAAAGAAGGCTACTCTCTTTTCTGGTGGCTCAGCTGAACCAAAGCTGGTCACTCTGGATCCTAGGGATTCCTCAAGGGCTGGTTTGTTTCAATCTGGCAGGGAAATCTAATCCCTTGTATGGAGGGCCCAGAGCCCAGTTCTGTCCAAGGCCTTGCTAGAGACAGCCAGAAGAGAGCCACATCTGGATCCAGCTTTTGGTCTCATCCTAATCCAGATTATACTCTGGGAACTGGGCCAAGTTCTATAAGCATCTGAGAATTGGAGGAGGACTTGGGACTAGAAAGTGAAGGATGATGTTTTCTGGGGCTCACAGTCAGGCCTTAGCACAATCAGGCTTTAGTGGACCAACTGTCTCTCTCATTCTTTTTTTTTTTTTTTTTTTGAGATGGAGTTTCACTCTTGTTGCCCAGGCTGGAGTGCAATGCCCCGATCTTGGTTCACTGCAACTTCCGCCTCCCAGGTTCAAGTGATTCTCCTGCCTCAGCCTCCTGAATAGCTGGGATTACAGGCATGTGCCACCATGCCCAGCTAATTTTGTATTTTTAGTAGAGACAGGGTTTCTCCATATTGGTCAGGCTGGTCTTGAACACCTGAACTCAGGTGATCCACCCACCTTGGCCTCCCAAAGTGCTGGGATTACAGGCGTGAGCCACCGCGCCTACTCTCTCATTCTTAAAGTGTGAAGAAGAGTCCTCTGTGCTCGAGCCAGGACCTTCTCCGCCTCTCACGAAGGGTTTCTTCAGGGCTGAATCTGCACGTGTGCAACCCACTACAGGAATGTGTCTAGTGAAATTATTGGTTTTACTTGATTTTACAAAACAAATGAACGTTTTTTTCATCCAGCGATAATTTGGGGCAATGAAACAAAAATTTCCAAACTTGGGGGACACAGAAGGGATATAGCTAAGCCATAGCAGCTTGACATATGCTTGTTAAACCATCAGGATTTGAGAGCAAAATTAAACCATTCTCTGGACCCAATTCACAAGGCAGCCCTAAGTACTTAGAGACACATGGCTAACAGGAACTGGACACACTAAATTAGCTCCCAGATGCACAGTCTAAAATATAGGCATACAATTTGAATACCAATTGTCCCTTTGCCAAACCTAGCAATATTAAGCATTATTGGGAAGATGGTCTCATTGCAATTCATCCTGCTTTTGCAATCTTCGCAGCCAGCAGAGACTTGATATATCTATATCTTTCCTCCTCTCCAGGAAAAACGTCATTTGCAAAGCTAAGCCCGTTGGCAGGGGCCTCTGGGGTTGCTCTATTATGGGCTGTGGGACACAAATTAATTCTTTCATTTCTATTCTGGACACAATTGCATGCATATGAATTCCACAGGTGCATGCTTTTTTATTAAAAAAAATAACAAGGGAAGTGGAGTTAGACCTTGGAACAATTTGTTCCATAGAACTGAGTGAATCATCTCCTATAATGAGCAGCGTTGGCCAGAACTGCAGCAAACATTGAACATTCCCGTTTATCAATTATTCAGGGGCCTTCTGCCTACCAAGGACATTCATTAATATGTGAAAAGCTGATTGGCTCTTTGCTCGGTTACTCAGCGTCCATCGGAAGGATATGGACTCACTTGCCATTCTTACTGAACAATTGTGTGCATTTCCATTAAAGATAAGAGGCTTCATTAAGGAGAATTTTCCCCAGAATGTCTCTCCCCATAACTGAGGACCCAATGCCACGTGATGTGGAGTCCTTTTGTGAGGACCAGGAAGCGGACGGGGTTGTGCTGTGTAAGCCTGCATCCCAGGAGCAGTTCTTGTCCAGTCAACAAGTCTTTGACTGGAGAGAAGCACGGCTCTCAACAAACAAGTTTTTGTTGACTCTATGCCAAGTCCTTGCTACCCAAAGAGTTGTCTGTGGCATGCACGTGGATGCTTGTTAGAAATGCAGAATCTCGCCTCTATCCCAAACCTACTGAACCAAAGTCTGCATTTTAATCCAAGTTTGAGAAGTACTTTAGAAAGCAACAGGGTACTGAACGCTGGAGATATAAAGCATCCTGGCCTCTGCTTTCCCAGAGCTGCGATGAAGGTTGGGAATGTGTTAAAAGAAAACTCCTTCCACGAGGGGCATGCTATGGTAGCTGTTTGTACCACGTGTTAGGTAACAGAAGAGACAGTGGTTGCCTTCACTGGGGTGACAGGAACTCTGGAAGGTGATAGTTTTCCAGGTGAAGAAGGGACAGTAGGTTTCCCTGCTTTACTGCTATCTCCCTATGGCCTTCGGTCAGGCCTGAACTGTGATGAGAGTCTCTGCCCCTGCTCTTTGGGATTCCTCAAATATCCTCCCTTCATTGTTCCCTGAATTATCTAGATCAATACAAACCAATCCCTCCTCTGCTTAAAACTTTTAATTGCTTACAGGGGAAAGTGCAGACTCCTTAGCTGGCGCACAAGCCTTTTGCACCTGGCACACATAGAGCTTTCTAGGGCTATCTCCTGCCATTCTCTAGCCTGTCTCCTTCTGCTCTGGTTCTCCAGAACTGCCCATGAATTCCCTCACATGCCTTTCTGGTTTGGGCACCTGACCTTTTCAGCAGCTGTTCCTTCTGCCTGGACTGCTTTTCCTCCACGTTCACTTGGTGAACTTCTCTTCATCCTTCAAAGCTCTGCTCTAGCATTACATCCTCAGTGAGGCCTTTCATGAATGACTCCTAAAGAAAGTTAATCATCTCCGACTTTGGTCTATTTCGGCACTTTGCATATCTATTACTTTATAGATCAGGTTCTATTATTTGCTTAGTGGGCGGTTTATCTGCAATGGTGGTTGTAAGTCTATTTATTGAAGGCAGGAAATATGTTGATTTGAATCCTCAGAATGGCACATAGAAAGCTTTAAGTATTGCTTTTTGAATGAACTATAATTTGAAAAAAAATGGAAAGCATGAAGGTGCTGCACATGTTGAGAGATGTGCAGTTCTTTTGATCTGGTTTCAGCACAAAATGAGTGAGGGGATGCAGATAAACACTGCAAAGGTAGCTAAAGCCTAAGTTGGGAAGGGCCTTAAGTGCTCCACTAAAGAGTTTGAACTCTCAGAAATCACTAATGTTATTTACAGCAGGGGGATGATGTTACAAGATCTTTGTTTGGATAATTGGCTGGAGACAGAGGAATGAGGGATGGGCAGTGAGAAAAACAGGAACCAGGGAGGCCAGAGAAGCTGCGATCCTAAAAGCCTGCATAAAGAATGACAGAGGCCTGAAGCAGAGCTAGGAAGAAGAGGAAGGGAAAAGAGTCCATGCTTGTCTCTTAGAAAAGTGCCTTCAAAACAGCCTAAACAGTGATCTTATTGTTTGAGTGTTTATACTAAGGCCAGTGTGTTATTGGAAGCATTTGCTTTAGTAAACAGACATTTGTGAAGTTGGGTCAATACGGATGGGGATTGAGATGGGGATAGGGGGTGCGTTCTGATTAATCGAATTTTCTGGTGAACTCAGAGTATTGGAAAATTCATCCTTTTTGTTTTCACCAATATTACATTTTTTTTCCTGCAGTAACTATTTTCCTGCCTTAAGTTATACAACAGAAAGAACATGTTGCATTGGCCTTTGAGTGGGGCCATGGGCTAACAAAGGAGCAGAGTGGAAGCTGGGAGGTTGGATTTTGGTCCCAGTTCTGTCATGGCTTTGTGCAAGTCACTGAACCTTCCTGGGCCTTAGAATCCTCCTTTCAAAAGTGAGGTGTTTTCCTCAGACCATGCTAGAGGGAATGTAAAATGGTGCAGCCTCTGTGGAAACAGTCTGGTAGTTTCTCAAAAGTTAAACAGAATGATCACATAATCCAGCAATTCCACACCCAAGGGAACTAGAAAGATGTTCAAACAAAAGCTTACACATGAACGTTCATGAATTCTATTCATGGTAGCCAAAGAAGTGGAAATGACCCAATGTTCATCAACTGATGAATGAATTTTTAAAAGTGGTATATCCATACAATGGAATAGTATTCATCCATAAAAAGGGAGACATACTAACACATGTTACAACATGGGTGAACCTTGAAAACCTTGAAAATGAAGTGAAAGAAATCAGACACAAAAGGCCACATCTTACAGGATTCCATGTATATGAAATGTCTAGAACAGGCAAATCCATAGCAAAAAATAGATTATCATTTGACAGGGGCTGTGGGGGAGAGAGAAATGGGAAGTGCCTGCTAAATGGGCCCAGGGTTTCTTTTGGGAGTGATAAAACGTTCTGGAGCTGCTAGGTAGTAGTGATGGTTGACAATATTATGAATAGACTAAAAACCACTTAATTGTATTAATACACTTTAAAATGGTTAAATGGTGAATTTTATGTTATATGACTTTTATCTCCATTAAGAAAACGAGAAGTTTAAACTTAAATGTCTCAAAGATTTCTTAAAGCTCTAAGACTCGGTGATTTAATGACACCTTTCTAATACACAGTAAATGATCATTAAACGTGTGATGAATTGAATGGAAAGAAATGTTGCAATATAACTCAGACTATAGACAATACTTTCCTAATTGTAAAGGTAGCTGGATCAGATGACATCTTCAGGGTCCTGATATGGTATAACCTGTAGGAAAGAATCATCTTTAAATTAATGCATTTCACCAAATGTGTGCTGGTAAAGGCTTAACAACCAGTTCTCCAAGAAAAAAATAAAATATGCAATATATATGTATGCACATTTATTATAAATTTTTGCATCACCTCCCTGCAAAAATACTTGCACTCGAATCCTTCTCTCTGGATCTCCTGGGGAATGCAAACTGAAATATCTGTGTAATCTATTTCCTGCATTAAATCTTCTCTACTTTTGTACTTGTATAGTTTCTATTTTCCTGTTTAGACTCCAACTGCTGCCTCTCCACTGTGACACGGATCCCTGCCATAGCCCTACCTTTCTACCTTGCTAGGAAGGAGAAGGAGTCCTGCCAGGCCACTGTTCCTCACAGCAGCCTGAAATATAGGTCTGAATATATATAAACGATATAAATTAAGAACCTATAGGAGGCAGAGAATCCCCATTATCATTATGCATGGCATCATTGAACCACTCCTCAAGGTCTGGAAAGTGTTTGAATCCAGCCTGTTTGATTTCAAATTCTCTCAGATACTGTTCTATGGTGACTCATGCTTGGGCAAGTCTCAATGTTCTAGTCTTTTCCTTCTCAGGATTAAAAGGGCCCATTCTAGCTGTCTGCTACATGGTGCATCTGCAAAATAGGGAGCTGCAAAGGAGCTTTCTAGTGGGTTTGCTCAGTGCTGGATTACTTGGATGGGTGGGCTACTCAGGAGTTTATTGCACCAAACGAAAAAGCGTTGGAGGGGAACTTATGTTTGATATTTCAAAACTAGCATTAACACAGTCATGAGAAAAAAATGCCACAGAATTTTGTTGCATTTCATCACAAGTTTTATGACTTGTGCTTTGTCATAAAACAAACTTATTTTATGGCTTGGGGTTGTGCTTGTTTTACATGACATCTGTGCACAGTGTTGCATGACTATCGGATAGACACACAGCCCTATGTGACTAATGCCCCTGTGGTTGTGTGATGCAGCAGCCCTGGGAGAAGGAGGCATGAGAATAATTTTGATGCTGGTGGCTTCCATACATTTCAATATGCTCTTGGGTCTTTAATATACAGGGGAACTAGAAATCAAGAAGTTATGTGACTGCATGACATCTGGCTCTTAGGAGGTCAAAGGACGTAAATATCCAAAACAACAACAGCCAAAACCCAAGGTGTCTGTTAAGGGAAGCAGGCTTAGTGGGAAGTGCCCAGGAAAATCTCCTTGGAGGGTTTGTTCCTCAGGGAAGAGAGTAAGAGAGGAGAGAGAGCCCTTGGCTCGCATAGCTAATTGCAAGCAGGAGGAAGCGGAAAAAGAACATGATTAGCATGTTTCTCTCCTTCCCTCTATAAAGATGACAGAAGCAGGCAATCTGCTGTTTGTGCAGAAGGGGCATAGGGAAGGAGAGAAGAGAGCATCTGTTCTGAGAAACTGCTGTTTAAAAATGCAAGAAGAACACAAAGCAAAGGAGGAAATCTCCATTGTACAGGCCACTGGCTCTGAAAACCATGAGAACTGGAGAGGTACCTGCCGAGAAAGCCTCAGGTTGCCCTGACTCTGGATCTGGCACCTGGGCTCAGAAGCCCTGTTGGGGGCCTTCTTCTCTGCCCTTCAGAGCTGAGGCTTTCAGTTGTGGTCCCTGGCTGTGACCTCCAACTAAGGAACAGCCTTCCTAAGGACAGACATGCCACCCACGTCTGCAGTCAGCCATCCTCACCCTTACTGACCAGGGCTGTCAATTTTTAAAGTGAGTTAGCAAAGCTTCCTGGCCAGAGAGTGAGTCACAGTCTCTACCCTCACACCTCCTCCTCTGTTCTCTGTCCAAGAATTGATGCTAATTATTTTTGTGGAAAATAAGGAGAGCCAATGTCTCCAATGGATGATGTAACTGGGAATCCCAAAGTTTGAAGGCCTCCATGCTTCTGGAAGAATCAGGGAATGCCTTCGAAGGAGCCAGCAGAATGACCTCTCAGCCAAGCCAAATATCTGATGTCCTGAGGGTTGGTCTTGGCCTCTAGAGCCTCCCTCTCTTGTGGGAAGTATCAGGAGCAAGGTCCCCTATCACATACCTCTAGCTGCCTTTGATAGGCAAATCCACCTACTCAAAGGCCATTCATCAGAAGGGATGTAGTGTGACCCCAGATTCTGTAGGTACTTTTCTATTTATATTCTACCTCAGTTTATTTGTAGACTGAACTGGATCGTAAACATGTGTGGGTGGCAGCCATCCTTGCATTCCTGGTGTTGATGAGCTCGATGCTATTCTAATAGTAGGTACTTAATAGTTATTTAAGTTTGTGAATAATTGGCCCTCAGATCTTGCACCTCTATCAGTTAAAATGAGAGAAGAGAGAAAGAGACCCCCCCATATTGTTCTATATTGTTTTATACTCAGTACCTGTTTTAAGAAGAAACAAGGAAGTGAAACCAAAAGCAGGCAGCCCGGCACCAGGCACCAGACCCAAAACCAGACCCAAAACCAGGCCTTGGCCTGCCTGACTTTACCTGATAGTTAAAATTCAACCCGTGACCTAGCAACCAATCTTATCCATAGATTCCAGACATTGTATGGAAGGACATTGTGAAACTTCCTGTTCTGTTCTGTTTCACTCTGACTACCAGTACATGAAGCCTCTGTCACATACCCCCTAGATTGCTCAATCAATCACAGCCCTTTCATGTAAAATCTTTAGTGTTGTGAAGGGACAGAAATTGTGCACTCGAGAAGCTTGGATTTTGAGACGTTAGTCTGCTGATGCTTCCAGCTGATTAAAGCCACTTCCTTCACTACCTCAGTGTCTGTGGGGTTTTGTCCACAGCTCATCCTGCTACAAAAATAAACCAGCCTTGCAAATAAGAACAGAAATCTGAACAATCTTCTTTCCTGATGATATGGTTTGGCTGTGTTCCCACCCAAATCTCATCTTGAATTGTAATCCCCATAATCCTCACGTGTCATGGGAGGGACCCCATGGGAGGTAACTGAATCATGGGGGTGGTTTCCCCCATGCTGTTCTCATGAAAGTGAGTGAGTTCTCATGAGATCTGATGGTTTTATAAGCATATGGCATTTCCCCTACTGGCACTCATTCTCTCTCCTGCTACCTTGTGAAGAGGTGCCTTCCACCATGATTGTAAGTTTCCTGAGGCTTCCCCAGTCATGTGGAACTGTGAGTCAATTAAACCTGTTTTCTTTATAAATTACCCAGTCTCAGGTATTTCTTCATAGCAGCATGAGAACAGACTAATACACCTGAGTCCCAGGGGTCTTTATCCCGCTACTTACTGGAAGAAAGGATCACTTTCAAATCTATTTTCTCATAGTAAAGTGGGAGTAATAACAGAACCTTCCACAGGATTTAATGAGGGCAGGCATATAAAACAGCACAATATCTAATGCTAGCTGTTTTATCATCACTGTCATCATCATTTTTCAGATTGTTATTTCTAAGATGAAGCATATTTTCTCCAGGGATTCTGTGAGCAGGGTGGGCACCCTCTGACTCTCCCCTTTGAAAGAGAATCATAGAAACATGGATGACAGATAAGAAACCTAGCAACAGTCACGCTGATATTCTATCAGCTCCCTGGCAGCCATTTCTCCATGACTAAGCACTTGCATTCCTTAGCCTGTCTGCAAATCCAGTGATATCCACAGACACATATCTTTCCTTCTCCTGTTACTGAGGCCAAGCATTGCCATTTCCTTGAGATAAGTACTGCCTGTAGCCCTGCCGTGGGTGTGAAGGGATACTTTCATCTGGTTTCGGCTTGCTTTTAGGTCAAGACAATTTATCCTCAGGCTTCAGGCTCTGAGGAAATTATTGGCAGTTGTAAAGAAAAGATGTATTGGTATACCTGTGCTCTGTGACAGCCCCCACAATAAGCCCTGTGCTCCTTCTCACCCACAAAGTCCAAGGAGGCACGTGGTTAGCTAGGATGATTGACGGGTTTATGACCTGCCTTGCAAGAAAGCCTGTCACTGAATCACATTTTAATATTGTATCCTAGTCTTTTAAAATCAGGGGTTAATATAATAACAGACATTTAAAGAATGTTTATGTGTCTTCAATACAACCATCACAGAACACATTATTATTATTTGCTGGTGCTGATACTCTCAGTCCTAGTGCTAGTAACGATATTTTAAATTTGTAATGTGTTCATTACGTTACAAGTCACATTACAGATGGTGAAATGAGATGAGAAAGGTGAAGTGATGGTGTAGGTGGGGCTCAGGCCCAGTGCCATGGGTATCTGTGCTCCAGAACCTGCCCTCCCTTTGTACCACATTGGCTAATGTGCTGCGCTGGTATAGTGAATCACACAATAAAGTCCTCTAAGAATAAAGACCAGAAAAAAACACTTTCATTGCCTGCTTTCTTGTATCAGATAATGTTTTACTTTGGCTTCAGAGTGTCAGTGAGTTCAGAAGCAAATGCCAAGGTCAACAAACCATATCAGCCTAGGCTTCTGGAATTCAAATGTCCCCATCCATTTCTATTTCACTTGATTTTTAAATTTCCATTTTAATGGTTTTATTGTTTGTGCTTTTTATTTTACCACTTCAGTCATTTGGGAAGTAAAAAGGGAATACACATGCTAAGAAAGACAAATCCATCCGTCAGTTATTTCAGTTTGACTCAGTAGGAAAAAGGATCATAGAACTTTCCTTTTGTGCCAGATGTTTTGTTGCTCTGCTTTCTTGGGAAATGTCTATTCAGGGTAAGGTTGCCAGATAAAATATAGGGCACCCAGATAAATTTAAATTTTAGACAAATAATGAGTAGTTTTTCTATAAATATGTCCCAAATATTGCATGTTAATTTTTATACTAAAAATTATTTATTGCTTATCTGAAATTAAATATAACTGGAGGTCCTGTATTGGATCTACTAAATCTGGCAATCCTTATTCAGAGCCACAAAGATCCTAGACGTGTAACTTGTTTTTGCACCTAGGCACAGAATCTGGCTAAGGATCAAGGTGCAAAATTGAAACAAGTTTATAATAACAGTTAAAACCATGAAGATGAGCTGGGCCTGTTTAAAGACAAATTTTGAACATCTGGCCTTTGGAAACCATTAGGTTCACTGGCTGGAAGTTCATTGCCTAAGGCCAGAGGTGGTACACTCTACCAGGATAGGATCTGATTTTTAGCTTGAGATCCTTGAAGACCACCTGTACCTGCCTGTGGTTTCCCAGAGGCTGGCAAGCAGAACTTGACTGTGCCTGCCTCTCCAGAACGAATGTTTTGCCCAGTTTTCCCAACCTTTTTTTAAATTGCATTTTTAACTCCCATTTTCCCATATGTCACATTAGCTTTGATGATTTCACTGATTCCTTGAATCCTGCTTCCTCACTCCCACCTCCATGTAAAGGAGGCAAAATTCTTTCTCTGTCCCAATCAAAAATATCTGCCAATTACTTGTGGGATCCTGAGGGTATTGTATTGGAACACCCAGTGTCTTCTCATGGTCTCCTTCCCAGTCCCCTCATCGTTGTCTGTGCTCTCAGTTAAATGAGGGGGCCTGGCTGCTGGAACACGTCCAGTGAGCCACCAAGTGGGTGTGGCTGCTGGCCTCCTCTCCCATGGACCCCCAAGCCTGCAGATCCCTACATCTCCTCCAACCTCAGTACCTTGCTGTGCTACAGGTGGAAAGGCAGAGCACCATCCCTCATGAACCCTGTCACTCTGCTCACACATGGGCCCCAAATCAAGTGGGGCTGCTTGGGGCCCCCACGAGTCACAGAGTGCTTGAGGACCAGTGCTCCTTCTACCTTTCCTGAAGTCCTCCCTACAGGGCTGAAATGACCGATCCCTGGGGCCTAGCCCGGGGTGCATACTTCACGTCTGCTTTCATTTCACCTGACAGCAGAGGGCAAAACCTTCTCCTAATAACAATAAAAGCCCTCATGCAAATTAGCTTATGATGGAAGCTCTGGTCTAGAAGCATTTCCAGTGGTTTGCTAAACATGCTTCATCTTAAAATTCAGTGGGGGAACAGACCCTACAACTCACACTGTGTTCTCATGACACAAACCATGTCTGACAAGGGGACGGTAGGTAGGTGGCCTCAAAGAAGCTTGTGCCTGTGATCCTACTCTGTTTAAATCTGTGTTCCAAGGGATTTAGACTGCCTGTCAGATGCTCATACCCCTTTCCCCTGATGCTGCTCTTTTGCAAGCATGAACTGCAGATTTTTAAAATTTACCCCAACCAGGCTAGTAGCCAATAACCCAAGATGCTGCAGAAGGGATCCAGGGGCAAAGAGTCCTGCTGAGTTCAGAGTATGTGCTCCCCATTGAAGACAAGGAATGGGTGGCTAAATAAAATCTTTACAGGGCACCTGAACGTGCTTTCTCTTTTTCTCCTGTATTTTTTGCTCCCTTCTATACAAGTGATGGATGATGTTGCCTGCAGAACACTGAGAACCTTCATCCCCATGTGCCGATGCATCACTTCTCAGCACTGGTACTCTGACCTGACTGTGCTCTGCAGGCGCCCCTGGGTGTCTTTGTTCCGTGCTAGAAGCTGACCGAAAGGCACCGGAAGGGACGGCCATGTGATGTGTTTCTCCCTTCTAAGGAGGGTGCCTCTCATTTTCTCAGTGTAGTTTGTTTGAATGAATCCAAGGTTTCGTATGTCCCAGCCACTAGGCTGGAAGTCCCTGAGGGCAGGCTCCCCCAAAAGTTGACCTTGAAACAAGGATTTGGGTGCAAGTAGTTTGTTTAGAAAATGATCTCAAGAATTACAGTGAGGGAGTGAGGAAATGAGGAAGGGAATGGAGGAGAGTCAATAAAGGGAGCGTTAATGATATTCCTGATGTGAATTCTAGAACTGGGGCTTAGCTTTCCTGGGGAGTCTTGGATAGTCTGGAGCACACTTCACATCGTCCCACTTAAGGGCAGGGAAGCCGGGGCATTTACCCAACAGCTCCTGCCCCTGTGGGCTGAGGGACACTCCTGTCCATGGGCTAAGCATGCCATGGCCAGAAAACACCCTCAGGCAGAGAGAGGCTGGATGCCTGTGGCCTGCAAAAACCTGTATGCTGGGGACCTTCAGGATAGGGGGATATAAGTGGGGCACGAACAGCCTCTGTGGCAGGAACTATGCCTTCTTTCTCTCTGCATCCTTAACACCTAGACAGCACCTGGCATTTCTGATACTCAGTAAACATTCGTTGAATAAGCACATGAATGAATGAGGAGCACAAGTACAGAAATATAATGTAATGGTTCAGCAAATGCTACTCAATAGGAAAAAATTATCTAGGACCTTTGCAAAAACCAACTCAAGTGCCAATGACAGCAGTTAGTAGAGGGCATGCCAAAACAATGGGTCTGTTTTCAGTTTGAAGTTCTTGACCAGAGTGGACTGGGAAGAACCAGCAAGTTCGTCAGATGTAAAGCCAAAAAAGAGCGTCTCCCCATAAAGCACCTCAGAAACGATAACGTGTGATGCCAATTAAAGATACCACCTCATTTCCTGGCTTTATCTGGGCATAGAAGACTCAGAACCCCACTGGACAGCCTATCTCACTGTTATGTAGCTTTGGTATTTAGGCAAGCCTTTTTAAATTATTTATTTATTTATTTATTTATTTTGAAATGGAGTCTTGCTCTGTCACCCAGGCTGGAGTACAGTGGCACAATCTCAGCTCACCACAACTTCCGCCTCCTGGGTTCAAGCAATTCTCTGTCTCAGCCTCCCGAGTAGCTGGGATTATAGGTGCCTGCCATCATGCCTGGCTAATTTTTGTATTTTTAGTAGAGACAGGGTTTCACCATCTTGGGCAAGTTGGTCTTGAACTCCTGACTTCATAAGGCCCACCTTGGCCTCCCAAAGTGCTGGGATTACAGGCGTGAGCCTGTGGTGGCTCACGCCTGGCCTAGACAAGCCTTTTTATAATGTACCATAATCTGCCTCCTAATGGCTCACTGCTTTCCAATGCTTCAAATTCCTGCCTCAACATTACTAGCTGTGTCACTGTGGTTCAGAGGCTTATTTTTTTTGGTGCCTTGTTTTCCTCACCTGTAAAATGCCTATGGTAAGCATTGTGCTTAAGAGCTGGACTCTGACTTCCAGCTGCCTTGGTTCCACTTCAGGTTCCACTGTGTACTAGCTTGATTTAGAATGGGCTTCCATAACCTCTCTGTGCCTTTGTTTCCTTATCTTCAAAACAACACTATAGCACTAACACATGGGGTAGCTGTAAGCACTTAGTAAGTGATACATGTGTTAGTTGTTATTTTACCTCTTAAGGGTGTTTCAGGTATTAGATGAGAGAATACACATAAAGCTTCTGTAGAACACAGTGTCCGATGTAGGTTAAATAAATGTCAGTTATTATTTTTAAACTGCAGCAATATTAAGATACTTTGCCATTTATTTGTGGCCCCTACTATCTTTCGCTTCCAGACTAATCACCTGTTCTTCATAGCACTCATAGTCAAGTGTTCATCCGTATGCATGATGTGACCTGTGCAAATCCCCTGGGACCGTCACCCTGCCTGCCCTCTGTACTTTGACTGTGGAGATGAAAATTGCTATGCTCCAGTAAAGTATTTTCTTTTAATCTTCTTCACAATCACTCAAATATCAATTATCATCAGCAAATGGCACCATATTTGAGCATTTACCAAAAGGCTGGGTCAATGCAGCCTACAGCTGCACCTTACAACATCTGCTGTCTACAGAGACCTAGCTTTGTATTTTGGCCAAATAGCCTCATTTTCTCTCCAACAAGTCCTGCCCCACTAGCCCAATTTCAAACCAAACAACAGAATCTATGTTTGGAATTCATAGAGAGATTACATGCGAGAGCAGTAATCTCCTCGTCCACTGAAGCTGAAGTTTCATGATTCAGCTTCAAGTGTCCCCCATGGCCACATCTTGGGCACTGTCATGCATCTGACATTAGTTTTTTCTAAGACCTGACCATCAATTGCCCACTTTGAGAATTCCCTTTTTTCAGCTTTTTCATCTCTTTGAGACCTTATACCTTTCGTTCTGTTGACTGCAGTCACCAGTCTTGTGCTCTTGCCTCCACAAGCCCTCAGGGAATCACCCGGTTTCCCTCCTGCCCCTCTATAGCTCTTTCTCTAGTTCTGTCATGGGACTGCCTTAAATCCTAACATCCTTCTCTATACTGTCCTTCGGTGTTCTCACTGACACCCACACCTTCCACTAGCATCCACGCTCTGACAACCTCCAAGTCTAAATCCCTAGCTCAAACTTCCCTCCTCTCTTTGAGACTGGCCCATACACTGCTAACCTCTAACTAAACATTTTTATCTAGATTTCCTGCTAGTCCCAAAATTGACAACGTCCAATATGAAACTCTTTATTTCTTCCCATCTCCAACCTCTTCATCATGCTGTGTTTTCTGTTTTGGATAATGATGCAACTGTCCAAACCTGAAACCTGGGAATTATTGCAGATTCCCTTTTCCCCCACTCCAATGGGATCCCATTGATGGTATTTATTATGTATTTCTTGCATCTGTGTCATCTTCTGCATGTCCCCTGTCAATGCCATTATTTAGACATTTTCCCACTCAGACCATTCCAACAGCTTCCAAAAGATCTCTCTGCTAGCATCATCTCTCCACTTCTTTCCCCCTTCTACCTTTGTCCTCTACTAGACCATTGAAGCCACTTCCTAGCTTGCAGGCATTATCATCATTGACATGGTATTTATAGCTCTTCATCAACCAGACCCTCCTTACCTCTCCAGGTATTTGTCAATACCTAAGGATTAGTATTTTATTTCTCAAAATCAACCAGTTAAAAATATTTTTTAAACACCTTCCACATGCTTAGGATTGTGTTAGGTCTTGCGGAGGACATAAAGAAGTTTAGTAGATGTAATCTTCAACTTCTAAAGACTTTCAAAATTAACATGAAAAAATATTGCATAATTAAGTGCTTCATTGTGTGGCATAGTCTATAGAAGCAATATGAAGTGTACCTTTAGGCTGCTTTTCCAAGGTTTATAAAAGTTCACAAACATGTACAGTCAAGCATCGCTTAATGACGGGGATATATTCTGAGAAATGCATCGTTAGGTGGCTTTGTTATTGTGTGGACATCATAGAGTGTACTCGCCCAAACCTAGATGGTATAGCCTACTACACAGCTAGGCCATATGGTATAGCCTTTAGCTCCTGGGCTACGCCTGTACAGCATGTTACTGTACTGAATACTGTAGGCAATTGCAACAATATGGTAAGTACTTGTGTATCTAAACAGAAAAGGTACAATAAAAGTACGGTATTATAATCTTACGGGCCCACCAGCATACGTGCAGTCCATTGTTGACTGAAACGTTGTTATGCAGTGCATTACTGTATATGCACATAAATTATGTATGTGAAAGTCCCTGATAAAAAGTTTATAATACAATTTGCCTTGGTAACTCTAGTTATTTTTATTATGAAGACAGAAGGAAGTCACCTCTATCAGATAACATACCTTCATTAGTTAACTTCACAAGAGTGCTTATTTTATTGAATATTCATTCTGTTCTCTTTTCAGTAGGAAGAAAAATAGTTTCTGTAATTGAAATACAAAAATGGGCCATTGCTTTCACTCCTTAGAGGGACAAAAATCAGACAGAGTCAACAGCAGGTCAAACGGGCAAGGGAAGGAAGAAAAATAACACATAGCTTTAGCATAACCACCTAAATAAATGTGTTGCCTGGCTTCAAAATAAAGAAATCTAGCTTAAAGCAGATGATCTCTCAAACAGATGGGACCTCCACAACCAAGAGCTAGCTACAGGTCTAGCTCTTCCACTATGAAACCCAGGCAGGCTGGCCTGTTGTGATGCTCTCTTGTGAACCCCCAGTGCAGAACTCCACAGGGAGGCTACAGCACAAGTACCCCTGTTTTCCTCCCAGAAAAACAGATGGACTTGGCTTTGCAAAAAGGGAATCAATTTAGAGAAAGCCTGGAGTCTGTGACTTTCCTCATGCAAATTGCTCTAAGGTAAGGTATCAGAAGTCCAGGGGAATCATATAATCTTTCCTAGTTCTTGCTCATTAACTTGTATGGGCTTGAAACAAAGCGCTAATAGGTTTAAATCATGCTAGAGGGTTTTCCAGGATGGGCAGAGTTTTGGACTAGGAGCCAAGAGGAATAAGCTCTCTTCCTAGCTCTGCTGTTAACCAGTTGTGTGTGCAACAAGAAACAACAAAATGATCAACAAAAGCCCCTTAATTTCTGGAGTCTCAGTCTCCTTATTTCTCATAAAGCCTTGTTGGTGATAAAAACATTCAGTGTAAAAAATATTTCAGGAAGTTGAGTGTTCTAAGAAACAGAGGCAATCTGAGACTCTCATGGCAAAGCTTTCAAGCACCCTGACCATTTTTATCCCAGGGCCACAACCCCTTCGTGACTTGCCTCTGTGCCTAGTTTACCATCATGGTGAGCAGAACCACCTGCTCACTTGTTCCAGGGCCAAAATTAGATTTGAAAGGACCTATCGTATTAACAGAATGTTTGGAAGTTTTGAAAACACTTTCACATTTCCCATTTCATTGAATACTTAAAACACCTTTGAAATAGGCAGAGCTAGTCCTCTTCTTGTTCCTAATTTGGGGGCGAGGGAATTGAGGCTGAGAGTCCAGAAACAGTGTACCTCTCTCGACTCCTCCCAACTCCTTCCAACTCCCCAGCCTCTCTCTCTTCTTCCTTGGGCTCCTATGTCTGTTTTTCAGATCCTACTAGATCCTCTGTGCTTTTGGATTAGAACCTAGAAGCTTGGATTTGTCTTCCCACCCACCTGTAAAGACAAATTTTGTCTCCTGCTCCTTTTAATCCCAGGGAGAGAAATGAAAAATCCCACCTTCTCCGCAAGCACATACTGACTGCCTCCCCTGTGAGGGTTTTCTGCCTGTTCTCCTCCTTCCTCCACTTTTACTCTCCATCATTATCAAAAGCATTTATTTATTCCACAAATGTTCCCCAAGTTTCTAGTTTTTTGCAGGGCACTATTTAGATATTTGGAAGTGAAGGTAGCAGGCACACACGTGAGGTGCTCCAGTCGGTGGGGCAGCTAGCTGCATTGTCAAGTGGTATGCCTGTTTTATGATTGCTCTGTGTTCCTCTTCATTTGTATTTTCAGTCTTGGATTGTAAAATACACAGAAGGGGTCCCTGCATTTTGAACTCACCCCTAAGTGGTATATGGAGAGAGATAGCTCAAAGGGGTGTTTTGTTTTGTTTTGTTTTGTTTGTTTTTGCTAAGCTGATTTCCATTGATATCAAAAGTCAGGACTGGTAGAAACAGAAAAACAAAACAGTTTCATCTTAAGAGAAATACCTGAAGAAATGGTGGCAAAACCAGTATCATTTTAATTAATTAATTAATCACAATAATTCTTAATTCTTAATAATTATTCTTAAGTCTATTTACAAGACTACAGAGATTCTTCTACACTCGGTGTTGGATTAATGGAAATTTTCTACTAAGAACCAGCTCCATTTACTAATGCTCATTTGTGCATCTGGTACATGAAGCCTGCACTGAAGTAGAAGTTCAAGACCTTTCTAATTCATTAGTCAGTGACTTATTGATTCTGAAAGCTACAGACCCTGCGCCTTGTCATCATTTTCATAAAGCAATCCTCAGGGTAGTGTTCACTGTAAAATATTGAGCTTATTAAGAGTTTTTGGGCCTCGGATTAACTTTCACAGCAAAAGCTATGTTAAGTAAATTAGGTACCAAATAAATCTAAAATGATTGTAGAAAGTCATCAGCTAAATTAAGACGCTGACAGCTCACATAACAAGATGCAAAGCAATAGTAATTAAGAAAAATAATCACCTCTGCTGCTGAGAGGATACGTTTGGCCCCAGGTGAAGTAGCTCCCAAGGCATCTGCTTTCTAAAAGGAAAGTCTTGCTGTTTTGTTCTGCTGTGAAGGGGTGAGGGGCAAGAGATCCTTTTCTGTATTGCAGCATTCACCACATACTCTAAAGGAGAGCATTATCTTTGGGAAATAATCTTATGTGGGGCAGAAAAACAGATTTGCAGAATTACCCAAGATCTCTTATAGCCCTAGTGTGGCAAACATTGTGAACTGGCCCCACTGGCACACACAACTCCTTTCTCCCTGCTTTCCTCTAATGGAGAAGTAAGAAGATGAAAACATTCACCTCTTAGACTCCTTCGCCAGGAGTAGTGGTCATGTGACCCAGTTCTCGTCAATGAGATGGGCGTGGGAGTTGCTGGGTAGAGCTTCTAGGAAAGCTTTTAAAACGGACAGATGAGACTGGATGCCCATTCTGCCTTTTGCATTCTTGTCTTTCTCCCTTCTTCCTGCTTGGAACATAAACAGGAAGTCAGAAGGAGACTGGGTTGCCTGCTCCTCACTGCCTGCTCACTGGAGGGAAGAGCTGTATCTGCTGAAGCCATTTTCAGCATGGGGTTTATTGTTTGAAGTCAAATACAAGCCTAACTTTAGGACTTTTCAGTTCAGAGGATAATTCCTCAGCAGTGCTGTGGGCTTTAGTAGAAGTAAAACCACAACCAAAAACAACAACAGTATTGTATCTGTCTGCGTACCAATTTCCATTAGTAATTTTTAGGCAATGACATGAATTTTTTGGAGAACTGAAAGCCAGCCCTGTGAATGCAATGCAGGCGTGCTTGTCATCGGGTCCTTTACTCTCTTAATCTGGTGACAATTCTCTTCTCTGAAGATAACTTGCGACCAATTCCAGGGGATGTGTTTGAGAAGCAGGATTGTATTTTCCTTGCTGGCTCCTTGGAATAGTGCATCTGTTTTAGCTATCTTGAGATTTAGAATTTAAGTTCTTCCTGCTCCAAAGGATGCTTCTAAATGTATAAACATAAGATGACGTTTCTTGGCTGTATTGTTTTTACCTACAATACTTTGTTTTTTCTTGTAATCCTGGAAAATGAAGCAGTGATAACAAAGATTATTAATTCAGGCCTAAAAGAGAGGGAAGGAGAGAGAATCAGTGAGTGAAGAGCCTTAACTCCCTTATTATCTCCTGGGTCACATTGCCTGTTTTTCTTGCCAGTCCACATACATTTTGGACATTCCTTGCATATTCAAGGAAGAAGACAACAATATACAGTCTACATTGGTCAACAGTGAAGTGAATCACAACATCTTTCCTTGCTTTCTTTTTGTATTTTGGGCCCATAAAGAGGGTATATTATGATTGAGAGTCAACTTTTCTCCCTGCCAAGGGCCTAGGAGTATATGTTTGAAAGGTTTTTTTGTTTTGTTTAGTTTAGTTACTAAGCATACTTGGGATTTGGTTATGTTCCTTCTTGAGATATGATTTATTTCCTGGACAAATATTTATTAAACACTGTATTAGTAATCTATTGCTACATAAAAAAATTACCCCCCAAAACTTAGTGGCTTAAAACAAAAAAAAGCATCTATTATCTCACACAGTGTCTATGGGTCAGGAATCAAGGAGCAATTTAGCTTGGCCATTTAGTTGCAGTCAAGATCTTGGCAGGGCTGCAGTCATCTAAAGGTTTGACTGGGGCTGGAGAAGCCACTTCTAAGATGGTGCATTCACATGGCTGCGGGCAGGAGTCCTGCCTCAGTTCTTCACGGGCTGTTCACAAGAGGCCTCACTAGTCAGTGTTACTCTTTCCCGGCATAAGTCTTAATTGTGCTTGGCTCCATGCTCTGAGTTCTTGGTTCTACCCCCGAGTCATATTTGTTTTTCCATAAAAGGTAGACTGTATATGTAGCTGCAAAGTTTTCTCAGTTACAAGACAAAAGTGTAATTTTTTTGTAACTTAGCTTCAGAAGTCACAGACCATCATTTCCTCAAAATCTTATTGGTTGCATAAACTAGACCTATTCAATATTTAAAGAGACCACACAAGGGCATGAAAACCAGGAGGCAAGAACCACTGGGGCCATCTCAGAGGCTGATTATCACAAACATTTACCAAGGCCAAGGCTCTATGCAGGGCACACTGGGGACAGAAGACCAGGTTCTTTTTCTCAAGAAACTTATACTCTAACTGGGATGATTAGACACACACACACACACAAATAATGTGAAAAATATCGCTGACTTATATAACCAAATTGCTGTAAGGAAAAAGCACTCACTTGGTATATCTCTCTGTTTGTTTCTCCCACTAGTTTTTAAGCTCTTGGCAAGGCATTTCTCATCTTTATTCCCCACAGGGCTTAGTTCAGAGCCTTGCCAAAGTAGATCTTTAGTAAATATTTTCTGAGTGGACAAAACTCCATGGAAAGGTCAAGAAAGTCTGAAAACTAAGAATAGGTCATTGGGTCAAATGATTCAATTTTGATTATTTTAATTTTCTAGGAAAATAATTCCAGGAGACTCTTGGATTAAAATTGAAATTGCAAGGCATAAAGAAGGTGGCAAATTCGATCATTCAGCAAATTTGGAAGTAAAAGGGAGGGTGAAAATGGATTTAACTTGAGAGGAATTGGCCAACAGATTCTTTTTTTTAAAGTTTAAGTTTAAAGTTTTTTTAAAGTTTGAGTTTAAAGTTTTTTTAAAAGTTTTGTGGGCATTTTTCTAGCTAAGGGAGGAGTCATAAAGAGAAGAGAAAATGGAAATGAAGAAGAGAATGTTGATAACTGATGAAGCAATGTCCCAGGAAGGGTTCACAAGGACAAAAGGACTAGACATTGAAAAGAAAAGGAATATTTCTTTTTTGGAAAGGACAAAAGATAAAGAGACATTGTAGAGTGAAGAAAAGGGAAGCTTTGTTAGGTCATGTTGAATGGCCTTGATTTTTTTCAGTAAAGTTGGGGGAAGGCAAGGTCATTCTACAGACTGAGGGGATCCAGAAGGGGATGGATCCAACAATGGAATATGCAACAAACTATTGGAAGAAATTACAGCGTGAGTGACCCGAATACTCACTGGATGGCAGTGAGGGGCATCTGGGTTGGGAGAACCAGTATGCAGGAGGACACAATGTCCTCTATTACTACTGGAACCATGGATGAAAAATAATAGCTACCTACACAAATGGCCATAGCTGGGAACCTTGGGAGACAGTCCAGCAGGTTTCTACCCTGACTGAATGTTCTAGTTCCATGATATAATTTCTTTCTTTTGAAGATCACTAGGAACCTTGGGCTGAGAAGAAGTGGCATAATCTGCCACTTAAATGTGTGATGTGCAATGTGGAAAATATGGAAAGTGTTTTCAATCTTTCTAGCAATTCTTAACATGAGCACTTTAAGATTCAATTACTAATGAGCACTGCTTCAGATCATATAAATGATGTCAATACCCTCTTCATATTAGCCAATGTGAAATCAACACTTAATTCCCACGTTCTTCTGTAGGTAGGTCCTACATCAAACTACATAAAGACAATGGCATTTTATGGAAAACATTCTCAAATGGATAGGAAATGACTAGATTGGGGCTTAGGAGACCTAGTTCCATTCCAGCTCTGCCACTATCTCACCCTAGGCAAGTCACTTAATCACTTGCCTAGTGATAGAAAGATAGTAACCACTCATTTGTAAAGCTAGAAAACTGGATTAGATGCTCTCTAGTTCTTTCCAGCTTGAGCATTCCATGATTCTGTGGTCTCCAGTCCATCAAATCACCTAGATTTTCCCCTGTGAGTGCCACACAAGTTGTACACTAGGGGTCACATTTAGATAACCACTTACAAGCACATCTGTCTGAATCTCCTAAACACGCTTCATTTACTTCAATAGGAGGCTCTTAGTTAGATGATGATTGACCTAGTTTCTCAATACAAAGTCCTTAGATGGGATCATGTTATTTCCTTTTCTGGCTGGCTGAGAAATCTAGGGGAAAGTGAGAAACACGGGTTTCTCTGACTCAGAGACTTTCATTTTGGGTTAATGCTATTTTCTTTCTGTCACACATGACCTCAAATTAGGCCAGTCTTTTACTCATGGGGCAGATAGATTCTTCTTGAAGCTTTCATAGATTTCGTCCATGAATGCTCCTTAGCTGGATGGGTAGTGTTCCCATCCAGATCATGTTATTAAAAAATCAGAGTTGCCTTCAAGGAAAACCAGTTTTGATAGCTCCTCATTGAATGATCAATATTTCTTCCACAATCTATTTCATGGCAAAATGAACAGTATCTTTCACCATCTGTTTCATGGCTTATTTTGCTTTCAGGGGAAGTCAACCAGAGAGATGGGCTTCTTCCCCAATCTCTTTGCCAGAAGATCCCTGAAATCTTTCTTGACCATGTTTTAATTATAGCATTAGTTTGTCTAACTTAAGTCCAATTTTCCTCATTTTAAAGGTCAATTCTGAGGGAAATTAAAATGATTAGCCATCACAGGAAGTGATAATGTTATAAATAAACCTTACCAAACTTAATAGTAATACTTCCCTTCATCTATATGGCTTTACAGTTTTCCAAGGGTCTTTACATATATTATCTCATTTAGAGTATCAATTGTAGTTTTTCTTTCCCCTTTCCCCCCATATCTCCTTTGCCAAAAAATAAAACCCAAGAGGGGTATAGGAAGGAAGGGACAGCAGAGAAGTCCCAGTCCAGTCGGCCTGGAGAAATGGGTGAAACACTCATTTGTGGCGACCTGGATTGTAGCCCGATTCTGTTTCTTACCAGTTGTGTGTCTTTTAGCAAGTTACACTCACTCTCTGAGCCTGGATTTCCTCACCTGTAAAGTATGTATATGAATGCCCCCTCTACCTAGTTGCACTGCGTTATTACCATCCCTCTTTTCTCATTCTCTCTTGAAGCTTCTCCAATCAAGTTTTTGACCCTATCACTCCTCAACATTGGCTATAGTTGAGGGCACCAGTCTTGTGGCTTCATACAACATCTATATGTTGAAATACCTACATTTCTGTAATTTGGACACCTCCTTTAAACTTCAGACTCATATATCTAATTGCCCTTCCAGCATCTTACTCGAATGTTTGTTGAGTCTCCAGATGGAACAGATCCAAAACAGAACCCGTGAGTTTTCTTTTCTTTTTTTTTATTATTATTATACTTTAAGTTTTAGGGTACAGGTGCACAACATGCAGGTTTGTTACATATGTATACATGTGCCACATTGGTGTGCTGCACCCATTAACTCATCATTTAGCATTAGGTATATCTCCTAATGCTATTCCTCCCCCTCCCCCCATCCCACAACAGTCCCTGGTGTGTGATGTTCCCCTTCCTGTGTCCATGTGTTCTCATTGTTCAATTCCCACCTATGAGTGAGAACATGCAGTGTTTGGTTTTTTGTCCTTGCGATAGTTTGCTGAGAATGATGGTTTCCAGCTTCATCCATGTCCCTACAAAGGTCATGAACTCATCATTTTTTATGGCTGCATAGTATTCCATGGTGTATATGTGCCACATTTTCTTAATCCAGTCTATCATTGTTGGACATTTGGGTTGGTTCCAAGTCTTTGCTATTGTGAATAGTGCCGCAATAAACATACGTGTGCATGTGTCTTTATAGCAGCATGATTTATAATCCTTTGGGTATATACCCAGTAATGGGATGGCTGGGTCAAAAGGTATTTCTAGTTCTAGATCCCTGAGGAATCACCACACTGACTTCCACAATGGTTGAACTAGTTTACAGTCCCACCAACAGTGTAAAAGTGTTCCTATTTCTCCACATCCTCTCCAGCACCTGTTGTTTTCTGACTTTTTAATGATCTCCATTCTAACTGATATGAGATGGTATCTCATTGTGGTTTTGATTTTCATTTCTCTGATGGCCAGTGATGAAGAGCATTTTTTCATGTGTTTTTTGGCTGCATAAATGTCTTCTTTTGAGAAGTGTCTGTTCATATCCTTTGCCCACTTTTTGATGGGGTTGTTTGTTTTTTTCTTGTAAATTTGGTTGAGTTCATTGCAGATTCTGGATATTAGCCCTTTGTCACATGAGTAGGTTGCAAAAATTTTCTCCCATTCTGTAGGTTGACTGTTCACTCTGATGGTGGTTTCTTTTGCTGTGCAGAAGCTCTTGAGTTTAATTAGATCCCATTTGTCAATTTTGGCTTTTGTTGCCATTGCTTTTGGTGTTTTAGACATGAAGTCCTTGCCCATGCCTATGTCCTGAATGGTATTGCCTAGGTTTTCTTCTAGGGTTTTTATGGTTTTAGGTCTAACATGTAAGTCTTTAATCCATCTTGCATTAATTTTTGTATAAGGTGTAAGGAAGGGATCCAGTTTCAGCTTTCTACATAAGGCTAGCCAGTTTTCGCAGCACCATTTATTAAATAGGGAATCCTTTCCCCATTGCTTGTTTTTGTCAGGTTCATCAAAGATCAGATAGTTGTAGATATGCGGCATTATTTCTGAGGGCTCTGTTCTGTTCCATTGGTCTATATCTCTGTTTTGGTACCAGTACCATGCTGTTTTGGTTACTGTAGCCTTGTAGTATAGTTTGAAGTCAGGTAGCATAATGCCTCCACCTTTGTTCTTTTGGCTTAGGATTGACTTGGTGATGCGGGCTCTTTTTTGACTCCATATGAACTTTAAAGTAATTTTTTCCAATTCTGTGAAGAAAGTCATTGGTAGCTTGATGGGGATGACATTGAATCTATAAATTACTTTGGGCAGTATGGCCATTTTCACGATATTGATTCTTCCTATCCATGAGCATGGAATGTTCTTCCATTTGTTTGTATCCTCTTATTTCACTGAGCAGTGGTTTGTAGTTCTCCTTGAAGAGGTCCTTCACATCCCTTGTAAGTTGGATTCCTAGGTATTTTATTCTCTTTGAAGCAATTGTGAATGGGAATTCACTTATGATTTGGCTCTCTGTTTGTCTGTTATTGGTGTATAAGAATGCTTGTGATTTTTGTACATTGATTTTGTATCCTGAGACTTTGCTGAAGTTGCTTATCAGCTTAAGGAGATTTTGGGCTGCGATGATGGCGTTTTCTAGATATACAATCATGTCATCTGCAAACAGGGACAATTTGACTTCCCCTTTTCCTAATTGAATGCCCTTTATTTCCTTCTCCTGCCTGATTGCCCTGGCCAGAACTTCCAACACTATGTTGAATAGGAGTGGTGAGAGAGGGCATCCTTGTCTTGTGCCAGTTTTCAAAGGGAGTGCTTCCAGTTTTTGTCCATTCAGTATGATATTGGCTGTGGGTTTGTCATAGATAGCTCTTATTATTTTGAAGTACGTCCCATCAGTACCTAATTTATTGAGAGTTTTTAGCATGAAGGGCTGTTGAATTTTGTCAAAGGCCTTTTCTGCATCTATTGAGATAATCATCTGGTTTTTGTCTTTGGTTCTGTTTATATGCTGGATTACATTTATTGATTTTCATATGTTGAACCAGCCTTGCATCCCAGGGATGAAGCCCACTTGATCATGGTGGATAAGCTTTTTGATGTGCTGCTGGATTCGGTTTGCCAGTATTTTATTGAGGATTTTTGCATCAATGTTCATCAAGGATATTAGTCTAAAATTCTCTTTTTTTGTTGTGTCTCTGCCAGGCTTTGGTAACAGGATGATGCTGGCCTCATAAAATGAGTTAGGGAGGATTCCCTCTTTTTCTACTGATTGGAATAGTTTCAGAAGGAATGGTACCAGTTCCTCCTTGTACCTCTGGTAGAATTCGGCTGTGAATCCATCTGGTCCTTGACTTTTTTTGATTGGTAAGCTATTAATTATTGCCTCAATTTCAGAGCCTGTTATTGGTCTATTCAGTGATTCAACTTCTTCCTGGTTTAGTCTTGGGAGGGTGTATGTGTCAAGGAATTTATCCACTTCTTCTAGATTTTCTGGTTTATTTGCGTAGAGGTGTTTATAGTATTCTCTGATGGTAGTTTGTATTTCTGTGGGATCGGTGGTGATATCCCCTTTATCATTTTTTATTGCGTCTATTTGATCCTTCTCTCTTTTCTTCTTTATTAGTCTTGCTGGTGGTCTATCAATTTTGTTGATCTTTTCAAAAAACCAGCTCCTGGATTCATTAATTTTTTGAAGGGTTTTTTGTGTCTCTATTTCCTTGAGTTCTGCTCTGATCTTAGTTATTTCTTGCCTTCTGCTAGCTTTTGAATGTGTTTGCTCTTGCTTCTCTAGTTCTTTTAATTGTGATGTTAGGGTGTCAATTTTAGATCTTTCCTGCTTTCTCTTGTGGGCATTTAGTGCTATAAATTTCCCTCTACACACTGCTTTGACTGTGTCCCAGAGATTCTGGTATGTTGTGTCTTTGTTCTCGTTGGTTTCAAAGAACATCTTTATTTCTGCCTTCATTTCGTTATGTACCCAGTAGTCATTCAGGAGCAGGTTGTTCAGTTTCCATGTAGTTGAGTGGTTTTGAATGAGTTTCTTAATCCTGAATTCTAGTTTGATTGCACTGTGGTCTGAGAGACAGTTTGTTATAATTTCTGTTCTTTTACATTTGCTGAGGAGTGCTTTACTTCCAACTATGTGGTCAATTTTGGAATAGGTGTGGTGTGGTGCTGAAAAGAATGTATATTCTGTTGATTTGGGGCGGAGAGTTCTGTAGATGTCTATTAGGTCCGCTTGGTGCAGAGGTGAGTTTGATTCCTGGATATCCTTGTTGACTTTCTGTCTCTTTGATCTGTCTAATGTTGACAGTGGGGTGTTAAAGTCTCCCATTATTATTGTGTGGGAGTCTGAGTCTCTTTGTAGGTCACTAAGGACTTGCTTTATGAATCTGGGTGCTCCTGTATTTGGTGCATATATATTTAGGATAGTTAGCTCTTCTTATTGAATTGATCCCTTTACTATTATGTAATGGCCTTCTTTGTCTCTTTTGATCTTTGTTGGTTTAAGGTCTGTTTTATCTGAGACTAGGATTGCAACCCCTGCCTTTTTTTGTTTTCCATTTGGTTGGTAGGTCTTCCTCTATCCCTTTATTTTGAGCCTATGTGTGTCTCTGCATGTGAGATGGGTTTCCTGAATACAGCACACTGATGGGTCTTGACTCTTTATCCAGTTTGCCAGTCTGTGTCTTTTAATTGGAGCACTTAGCCCATTTACATTTAATATTGTTATGTGTTATGTGTGAATTTGATCCTGTCATTATGATGTTAGCCGGTTATTTTGCTTGTTAGTTGATGCAGTTTCTTCCTAGCTTTGATGGTCTTTACAATTTGGCATGTTTTTGCAGTGGCTGGTATCGGTTGTTCCTTTCCATGTTTAGTGCTTCCTTCAGGAGCTCTTGTAGGGCAGGCCTGGTGGTGACAAAATCTCGCAGCATTTGCTTGTCTGTAAAGGATTTTATTTCTCCTTCACTTATGAAGCTTAGTTTGGCTGGATATGAAATTCTGGGTTGAAAATTCTTTTCTTTAAGAATGTTGAATATTGGCCCCCACTCTCATGTAGAGTTTCTGCTGAGAGATCAAGCTGTTAGTCTTATGGGCTTCCCTTTGTGGGTAACCTGACCTTTCTCTCTGGCTGCCCTTAACATTTTTTCCTTCATTTCAACTTTGGTGAATCTGATAATTATGTGTCTTGGAGTTGCTCTTCTCGAGGAGTATCTTTGTGGCGTTTTCTGTATTTCCTGAATTTGAATGTTGGCCTGCCTTGCTAGATTGGGGAAGTTCTCCTGGATAATATCCTGCAGAGTGTTTTCCAACTTGGTTCCATTCTCCCTGTCACTTTCAGATACACCAATCAGATGTAGATTTGGTCTTTTCACATAGTCCCATATTTCTTGGAGGCTTTGTTCATTTCTTTTTATTCTTTTTTCTCTAAACTTCTCTTCTTGCTTCATTTCTTTCATTTCGTCTTCCATCGCTGATACCCTTTCTTCCAGTTGATCACATCGACTACTGAGCCTTGTGCATTCATGACGTAGTTCTCGTGCTGTGGTTTTCAACTCCATCAGGTCCTTTAAGGACTTATCTGCATTGGTTATTCTAGTTAGCCATTCGTCTAATTTTTTTCAAGGTTTTTAACTTCTTTGCCCTTGGTTCGAACTTCCTCCTTTAGCTCGGAGTAGTTTGATCTTCTGAAGGCTTCTTCTCTGAACTCGTCAAAGTCATTCTCTGTCCAGCTTTGTTCCGTTGCTGGTGAGGAGCTGTGTTCCTTTGGAGGAGGAGAGGTGCTCTGATTTTTAGAGTTTCTTGTTTTTCTGCTCTGTTTTTTCCCCATCTTTGTGGTTTTATCTACCTTTGGTCTTTGATGATGGTGATGTACAGATGGGTTTTTGGTGTGGATGTCCTTTCTGTTTGTTAGTTTTCCTTCTAACAGTTGGGACCCTCAGCTGCGGGTCTGTTGGAGTTTGCTGGAGGTCCACTCCAGACCTTGTTTGCCTGGGTATCAGCAGCAGTGGCTGCAGAACAGCGGATATTGGTGAACCACAAATGCTGCTGCCTGATCGTTCATCTGGAAGTTTTGTCTCAGAGGAGTACCCAGCCATGTGAGGTGTCAGTCCGCCCCTACTTGGGGGGTGCCTCCCAGTTAGGCTACTCAGGAGTCAGGGACCCACTTGAGGAGGCAGTCTGCCCATTCTCAGATCTCAAGTTGCGTGCTGGGAAAACCGCTACTCTCTTCAAAGCTGTCAGACAGGGACATTTAAGTCTGCAGAGGTTATTGCTGTCTTTTGTCTGCGCCCTGCCCCCAGAAGTGGAGCCTACAGAGGCAGGCAGGCCTCCTTGAGCTGTGGTGGGCTCCACCCAGTTCGAGCTTCCTGGCTGCTTTGTTTACCTATTCAAGCCTGAGCAATGGCGGGGGCCCCTCCCCCAGCCTCGCTGCTGCCTTGCAGTTTGATCTCAGACTGCTGTGCTAGCAATGAGCGAGGCTCCGTGGGCGTAAGACCCTTGAGCCAGTTGCAGGATATAATCTCCTGGTGTGCCGTTTGTTAAGCCCGTTGGTAAAGCGCAGTATTAGGGTGGGAGTGACCCAATTTTCCAGGTGCCATCTGTCACCCCTTTCTTTGACTAGGAAAGGGAATTCCCTGACCCCTTGCTCTTCCCAGGTGAGGCGATGGCTCACCCTGCTTCGGCTCACGCATGGTGCGCTGCACCCACTGACCTGCACCCACCTTCCGGCACTCCCCAGTGAGATGAACCCGGTACCTCAGTTGGAAATGCAGAAATCAGCCGTCTTCTGTGTCGCTCATGCTGGGAGCTGTAGACTGGAGCTGTTGCTATTCAGCCATCTTGGCTCCACCCCCTCCCTGAATTTTCTTTCTTCTCCCCTCAACTGCTCCCCTTGCAGCCTCCCCATTTTAGTTGATGGAAACTCTATTCTTCCAGTTGTTCAGGCCAAGAGCTTTGGAGTCATCCTGGATTCTTCACTCTCACATCTAATTTATTAGCAAATTCTATCAGCTTCACCTTCAAAATATATCTAAAATTTGACCAATTCTCATCACCTCTGTTATTTACCACTCTGGTTCATGCTACCATTCCTGCCCATCTAGAGTATCTTAATTGTTTCCTTACTGGCTTCCCTGTTTTCACTCTGGCCCCTGTAATGGTTAATTTCATGTCAACTTGGCTAGGCTATAGTTCCCAGTTGTTTGGTTAAATATGTCTAGATGTTGCTATGAAAATATTTTTTAGATGTGACAGACATTTAAATCAGTAGACTCTGAATAAAGCAGATTACCCTTCATTATGTAGGTAAGCCTCATCCAATGAGTTGAAGATCTAAATTATTAGGTGAGCCTCATCCAATGAGTTGAAGATCTTAAGAGTAAACATTGAGGTTTCCTGGAAAAGAAGGGATTCTACCTCCAGCTTGCAACATATGATTATCACATATACAAATGTAGGAGTTTCAGCATATAGATGTGGTATTAAGTCACAAGACTGGTGGCCTCAACTATGGCCATTGTGGAAGAGGACCTGATGGGGTCAAAAGCTTAACTGGAGGGGCTTCAGAGAGAATGAGAAGAGCGGGGTGTAATGAGAAATTCTGCCTGAGTTTCCAGCCTTTGAACTCAAAACAGCAACATCAATTCTTACCAGAATCTCAAGCCTGCTGGCTTGCTCTGGGGATTTTCGACTTGCCAGCACCCCCAGTTGTATGAGGCAATTCTTTAAATCTCTCTCTCTCTTTCTCTTACGTTATTTCTTCTATTAGTTCTGTTTCTCTGGAGAACCCTTCCTTCCTTCCTTCCTTTCTTTCTTCCTTCCTTCCTTCCTTCTTCAGTCTTGCTCTGTTGCTCGGGCAGGAGTGCAGTTCTCTTCATATAGCAGTCAGAGGGAGCTCCTTAAAATGAAAGTCAGTGCATAATTCCTTGATAAAAAACAAACAAAAAACCCTGTTCTCCTGGCCTCTCATTTCAAACAGAGCAAGAATCCAGGTATTTACAATGGCTTGCAAGTCATCTGGCTTACCCATTCCTTTTCTAATATTGTCTCCTATTCTCCTTTTCAAGCCAGTTCAAGTTAGACAGTGTTGTTGTAAGGATACAGCAGGAAATATCATGGACACATGTGGATGATACAAAGACAGGAAACAAATTACATGTCAGAGGCCTAATGGGAATTGGAATTGGGAACTGGAAAGTTGAGGATCATGGCTACTCTTTCTGTCTCTCAGGACTTTACAGTCTCTCCTTGCCTTGCTTCCCCTCTGCCCCGCTATGTATATTCTCTTCTCTGCTCCACTCTGCTCGCTGTCTTGCAGACGGCTTCCAAATGGATGACTGATGGATTGACTTTGGTCCAACAAGTATTTAGTGAGTGCCTAATATGTGTCAGTCACTGTTCTAGGCCCTGTGAAGAAGGCACTGAAGAAAACCAACAAAAATGATTGCCTTTCTAGGGCTTACGTTGTAGGGTGTGTGAGTGAGTAGAGAGTGCAGAAGTTAGAGGGGAAATGCAAAATAAACAAAATAAATATGCGAACTATACATATGTCACATTGTTATTAAAAACTGTTTCAAAAATAAAGCAGGGAAGAGGAACAGAGAACATTGGAGAGGTGCAATATTTATCAAGGTGGGAGGGAAGGTCTCATTGAGATGACCCATAAAAAAAAATCTGTGTGAAGTAAGGAAACAAGCAAGGAGAAAGGGTGGCTGGGGAGAGTAGAAGGAGTGAGGTTAGATTGCTGAGTGGTAGAAAGTGGATTAGGAAGGGCCCTGAAGACCATAAAGTTTCTGGCTTTTATGTTGGGTGGCATGGGGAATTCTTGGAGGGTCTTGATCAGAGGACTTCCATGGTCTGACTCACATTTTAACAGGATCACTCTGGCTACTATGTTGAGAATAGATGGTAGGGAGACAAGAGCAGAAGGAGGGATTCCATTAAAGAGTCCATTGAGAATGATAGGGACAGCTTGGCCCACAGTGGAAGCAGTGGTAACCTTCCACTATTCTGGTGTGGGCTGGAGTGGATTCTTTGTAAAGGGTTTGTGGAATAGATAAGGAAGAGACCAAAACATGACCAAAATATGATTAAGGTCTGCTTTGAATAACCCTCCAGGTGGCTGACGCACTCTCTGTGAGCAGATGATCACCAAATTTGATCACTAAAGATTCATTTTTCACCCACTGTCCCGACTCCCTGGGGTATTTGACAGCACTTGTTCTACATGAGGAAACTAAATTTTAACATAATTCGTTCAATGAATTATTTAACTAGAAAGGAGCCTTAGCATCTTTCACTGACTTTTATCTTTATTCAGAAATTAGTTGATAACGTCTTCCAGGAGACCTACGGCCATCCTACTGATATGAACCAGATCATACCTGCCCTGATGGGATGCCAGAGAAAGACTGCTGCAAGGTACGCGCCACTCACAGACCTCTCCATTTATCTCACTGATGCAAAGGACCCTGAGGTAATTTTTGAAAACTTTTTTTCCTGTCTTAAGAAGATAAATGAAATGAATTGAAATGTTGGAAAACTTATTAAGATAGTATGAGGATTATAGTAAATGGAAAAATGAGATAACCTCTAGGAATTTCACTCTGGAGTACTCGTCTATCCATTTAACTCACTGTGCCTCTTCCTTTTGTGCACAGTAGGGATCCTCTGGAAACAGAACAGAGGGAAGAAGATACCTTCCCTGAAGCCCAGATGTTCCAGAAGCCTGCGCCTCATTCACAAAGTCACCCCAAAAATGCCCTAGAGTTTGGAGTTTTGAAGAAGCGGGAAGAAGGCCTGAGTAAGGGCCTGGGAACCAAGTTAGATCCTACTTCAGCATCAGCACATGCCAGCGATGGTGCACACAGGTGGAGAGCGGCCTGCCCGTCTTTTCCATGGTGCCCACAGACCCATTTAGGATGAAAGATCAGAAAATTCTCTCCATGTCACCGCTTCTGAAACATGTGAATATTAATATTTGGTGCCTAAAAGGCCATGGCAAATTTTCATTGGTTTTATCTTATTCATGATTATAGAGTTGAAAGAATACATATTCCCATGGGGATCAATGAAGACATTCTCATTTTGAATGAAGTAGAATATAAGTTGTAAAGATATAGAATTTTCCTGAACTGAACCTTGAACCAAAAATCCCCTCAATTAACCTGGAACTAAACACAGTCCCTGAAGATAACAAGGAGTTTCAGGATGCCACAGGGCTGTCTGTGCAGTATGGGGCTTCTTGCTCTATCTCTGGTATCTGAGGCAGATAGGCTACTCAGGCCCCTCTCTGGTCTCAAGGTGGGCTGGCTGAGATGTCAGTTTCTTCCTCAGTGACAGCTTGGGTACAGTATGTGTAAACTGATTGTCAGCTGAGCTGAAGGGACTCTGCCCATATTGGAGTGTTCTACAAGAAGAGGTGTCAAACCTAAAGGTCTAAAATTACTATGAAAGGAGTATTGGAAACCACTGGGACAATTGTGATCACAACTGGTGGTAGCCTTCTCGTTTGGGTGAGAAAGACAGAAAGGAGGAAGATGTGTTAGTCAAGGTTCTCTAGAGGGACAAAACTAATAGGATATATGTATATATGAGAGGGAGTTTATTAAGGAGAATTGACTCACTTGATCACAAGGTAAAGTCCCAAGATAGGCTGTCTGCAAGTTGAGGAGCAAGGAAGTCATTGGTGGATTGTTCTGGGTACCAAAACCTCAAAAGTAGGGAAATCGACAGTGCAGCCTTCAGTCTGTGGTCAAAGGCTCGAGGGGCCCTGGCAGACCACTGGTGTAAGTCCAAGAGTCCCAGAAGCTGAAGAACTTGGAGTCTGATGTTTGAGGGCAGGAAGCATCCAGCACAGGAGAAAGACGGATGCTGGAAGACTTAGCAAGTCTGTTCTTTCCAATTTCTTCTGCCTGCTTTTATTCTAGCCATGCTGGCAGCTGATTAGATGGTGCCCTCCCAAATTGAGGGTGGCTGTGCCTCTCCCAGTCCACTGACTCAAATGTTAATCTCCTTTGGCAACACCCTCACAGACACACCCAGGAACAATACTTTGCATCCTTCATTCCAATCAAGTTGACACTCAATATTAACCATCACAGAAGGAGAATTTCAGGCTGAGTCCAAACACTATGGCCCCAGCCCCAGCTTCCCCTTTCTGGGTTGAATAACCAGACTGAGCCTAAGAAAAGGAAAAGAGTTGACTTTCTCCCAAAAGGCCTGCAGCGGGTTAGAAAGCAATGGTTTGGGGACCATACTGAGTGCCTAGGATGCTCTGGACCACAAAGCTTGAAGTCAAATTGTTCATGCACTTGTTTCATGATAGGAAGAGAGAGAGAGAGAGAGAGAGAGAGAGAGAAATTTCCTTTCCTTGAAGAATGGCAAAACACGTCTCTTGTTCTGGGGGCTATATCTTGAAGGGTATCTGATCTCCCCCTCATGGGAGGAACTAGAATGCCCTAAGGCAGCCGTGGCTCCTGGAGCTGAGAGATCTTTCTGACACTTTGTGAGAGCTGCAAGGCTAAGTCTGGAGCCAGAAAAGTCCATGTGGACAAGTGCAGAGCAAGCAGATCTGAGACACATGTGGGAGCAAGCTGGACATGTCCAAAAGTCAGAGGAAGCAAGAGCAGACATGCATGAGCAGGCAGATGAGGCTGGTGCCCAGGCAGCAGGCTGAGGCTCTGGCTGGGCTTTGGATGCTCCTGAGAGTCCAGTTAGAGACCAGTGAGCAAACCCACAGTGAACTCTTATTCCTCACGCAGCAGGACGAGGGATTAAGCACAAAGCCTTAAAGGTCTGAGTGTCTCTTTATCCTGACCTCAGGAAAGAGAGGCAAGTATCATGTTTCTAAAAGTCTGAGAAGTCTTCACATGACAGCCTACACCAAAAGAACTCAAATGCACATCCACTGCATACACGCATGTGTGCACACATATACATGTGTACACATGCATGCCCACACACAACCCTCTGGAAGAGGAAGTAAAGAGACTTTATGTTTTCAGCCCCTCTTGAGGAAACTTAAACTAAGTCTTTCTGTGGGGTTAGTGGTGGAGACAGAGAGGGTCTGGGGTCACCGAGGCCGAGGTGGCTGGACCCAGAGGGTAGAGCTGAGGGGATCCCCTGAGACTGGGAAGATGGAGCAGAAGCAGATGGCAGATGGCAGCAGGTGAGAGCAGACTGGATTTCTCCTAAATCACCAGATCCAGCCAACCTTTCTTTCCTTAGGGACACCTCTAGATCCCATTCCAAATGAACTCTTTCTCTGACCTTTCACCTCAATTCAGAATTTGGGAAATTTAGCCATGATCTTAGGAACACAGAGGCTTGAAACAATCTTTTCTAACCACCCGTTTGTTCAGACTGTGTAAGTTCTGCTTCTGCATCCAGTGTCAACACCCAAGAACCATTTTAAAGGGGAGCCATCCTTTGAAATTAAACTTCTTTTAATAATAAAGACAGATTTCAGGGTTGACATAAAAGATAGCCACAGTAAAGCCAATCCTCCAGTGTATAACATTTTTCAAAGTTTCCTTCCTCTTCATTGCTGGTGTTCATGTACAGTCCAGAGTTAGTCTACATTAAATTATAGATTGTTTTCAGCAATAATGCAAACATTTGGAAGCCTTCAAACTCTCTGATAACTAACTTCTACATTCTCTCTGCTATTATTATATAGAAAGGGAAATTTTACCTGATGCTGTTAAAGTCCTCACGAACATAGTGATCCGAATTGGCTGAAGTGGAAAACTAAATGTTAGCTGATTTTCAAAACAAGATTTCCACTCTGAATTCCCATTTTTCACATGTGATCATATGCCTTGTTGTGAAGTTGAACTAAAAAGAAACTCCATGCCCACTGGCTTAATGCTAGAAGATAATCTACAGCATAGTAATTTCTTAGACTTCACTTTATTAGCCACTAAACTTGGAATGATTATTTCTATGTTCAATTATTAAGTCTATATCTCCATTTCTTAAAAAGGTCTGAGGCAGCCCCTTTGAATATTAATACGCATTTATTTTCACCTCTCAAATAAAAAAATAGTTCACAGTGGTACTGATATGTCTTCATTTAAAAAACATTTAAATAATTTTATCAAAATCTAAAAAATATATATTTATAGTATTTTAAATAATCAACTATTATTTGGTATATTGCAGTTTTCCTAAATAATACAACTCTATCAAACTTGAAATTTGCCATTTTGGACTTCACATTATCATAAACAAGTTGATCACATGGTTCAGTTCTATCTGAAAACCAGCCAGAAAACCCAAAGTCATCAATCTTTCCCCCACTGTCTTGGACCGGCAGCAGGCACCATATTAATTCTTACTTCTCAGCATCAAGTATCTAGATGAATCTTACCAATTCTCCTTTTACTCTGTTGCCTGGCATTGATTCTACTTTAATTGGAACTCCATCTTTGCCTTCTCGATAAGTTAGCTTGCTTTCTCATTCCTTTTTTTCTTTCTTTCTTTTTTGTGTCTTCCTCAAACTTACCCTTACCCTGCTATCTCTTCCTGTGTGATTATTTCACTCTGAAGTTTTGTCACAGTTTTTTTTTTTTACTGCAGCTTCCAAGGTCATTTGAAATTTGTGTGTTCATGGTAATTACCACTCTGCTATAATGTTGGAGTAAAGGCAAAAATTGTCATTCATTCTATATTGGCTTTTCTCAAACTATATTCTGGAATTATATATATATATAATTCTGGAAGAATTATAATTCTTCCAGATGTTAATGTTTGTTATGAGAAAAGGTTCCATGATTAGTGTGGCTTGGGAAATGCTGGTGATTCATTACACACATTAGCATTTAAAAGGCTCCAAGAAGTCATATGATAAAGAAAATTGCTTAATTTTATTTAATCCAGTATTTCCCAAATTTATTTGCTAAAAGACTCCACCATTACCACCACCACTTTCATGAAATATAGTTTGGGACACATATATTCATGGATCTTACAGACTAATAGAGTTAGCCAGTCATTATCCAGAGGACACAGGTAAGGATATATCTACAAACTGAGTTAATTACTCTTGAGGAAGGGATGGCAGTTCTGTGAGAACATGTAACAAAAGACAGTGACTTAGGCTAGGGGTAGAGAATATTTTCTCAAAGATTCCACTCTTTTGCTGAGACCTGAATGGTGAGTAGGAGCCAGGGGCCTGCTGGGGGACACGGGGTGGGGGAGGAATCTTCCTCACTCACACAGTCCATACTTACGTCTGAGTGGAGTGGCTGGCTTCTAGGTCAGCTCTGAAGACAGGGATTGGGAGCAAAGATTTCATTCTCTTGTGACATATGGCCGTCCATTTTCGTTTCTGTTAACATTGAGATTTCTTTAGAGAAAAGGACAGAATAGAGAAGCTACTAAAGCTTTTCAGAGAAACAAAATCCCTCACAGGATCAGGAGACAGCTGGGATGTGGGAGGTGGTAGCTGGAGGGAGTGAGGAGAGAGATACCAAAAATAACACCCATTTTTGTAACAAGACTTGGTTATTTTTACAAATGATTGTATAGATTGTTCAACTGTGGTCTGTGAAATACAGACTGTCACTCGTCAGTAGTATGGTATATTGGGTAGTACAAACCTCAAGAGTGTAACATACTTCCCACCACACACTTGTTAATTAGATGCTGAAATTATCCACCTTTACCCATGAATGGACTAAAGTTAGTGTTTAAAGGATTGAGACCAGGTGCAGGAGACATTCACAATTAGGGAAGCAATTGTGCGTTTATTTAAAGACCATAAAGTTGAAGCCTCTTTTCTTGATTTGATTTGACTTTTTTTTTAGATTTTCAGGGAAGATGATATGAACATTCTGCTCTCTCTGGCAGAGCAGCTACTTTTGAAAAATCCAACATTCACTTGCTTCTAGGTTCCTGTAAATTCAATACAGTACAGTAAGCCAGACCTTAAGTACAGCATAAAACACATGATGATGGCTTGTCAGAGGTGATGTAGGTCTTGATAAATGACCAACACAGAACTATTAATACACAATTTAGCATGGTAGACACTTGGCTTTGGAGGTCAGATGGCCAGAAATCTAGTGGGAAAAGAGAAAGAGATAGGAGAGAGAGAGAACACAAACAAAATACTGAGACCTGGGAGTGTCGATAGGACGGATTATCCTAAGAAAATAGGATCTCTGAAGGTTGAAGCTAGGAGAGGGATAAGAAACCAAGAGCACTAGGTTTATTGCAGTTTTCCTAAATAATATAACTCTATAGAACTTGAAATTTATAAGTATATTATATTATATATTATAAATAACTCTATAGAACTGTATAGAACTTGAAATAACTCTATAGAACTTGAAATTTCCTGTTTGCTGCTTCCAAGCAGTGGTAAGCCTATTGAGCACCTTGAGATTTCAATCTGGCTCAATAGTGTACATTCAGTTTGGTGCTATGGCAATTCCTCACTTGGTTCCTCACCTGGCAGCAAATCCAGTACTACTAGATTGGCCCTGGGGGTTCAGGAAGCAGAGTTAGAAAAGGGCAATGGGTTGTTGTGCAAGGGGCAGCCATTAGAAATGAACTCTTCTGGTCCCATGTTGATCTTTGGGTTGGGGTACTAAAAAATTAACTCTTAACCATGAGCAGTGAAAACATGTCATGGGAAGGCCTCGCTATGGGCTTGCTCTGGGGGAACATCACTAGTTTGTAGTGAAAGTTGAGAAATCTCTTTGTGATTTAACTGTCAATATAATGCAGTCTTCAGAGTGTGGGTTCTGGAGTCACACAGACTGAACTTCACATCCTCACTCTGCCTCCTGGTTAACTGTTGCATCAGTCAGGTCCGTTCAGGAAAACAGAGCCATGCCAGGTAATAGGTGAGATTTACCATGGAGAACGAGTCACAAATGGTTTGAAAGAAGTAAAACTCTAAACAAGAGACAGGAGGCCACCCAAAGATTAGCAAAAGCCAGAAAGTGCTACCATTCTTAGGACTGGGGGGTTGGGGGTGGCCTGGTGGGAGGGGACTGGAACATGGAAGAAAGGCCCTCTCATGGGATCTGGGACACGAAGAAGGTGTAACCCTTGCCAGAGATGCCGCCCAGAATACACAGGGAGAAATATCCTGGCTTCTCCCTTCTTTCTACTCATAAATTTCCCTCCAGTGACCCTCTTGGTGAACCAGAAGCCAGTTGGCAAGGGAGCCTACAAAATAGACTTTGCTCGGCCAGCAAAGCAGAGGAAGGTGGGGAAATAGATGTGAGGTCACACAGGCAAACAACCATCCCTTCAGTTCCATGATCCTGCTGCGTAATGTCCTGTAGCCTCAGTTTCCTCACTTGTAAGATGGAAATAGTACTCCTACCTCACAGGGCCATTGAGAGGATTACATGAGCTAGCATATGTTTCAGTTAGGTTTTCTTGAACAGTCTCACTCAAGAACCTCAAGTGATTGGAGTGAAGGGAGGAAGACAGTTAGAAAGAGATACACGAAACCAAGGAAATAGGGGTCCAAGCCCAGAGCTTTACAGTAGCTGAGGAGGAGCCAGACAACCCATCCCAAGAAGAGCAGGAATTACTGTGGAGCTGGGTCTCATGGAGACTGAGGTCAGGAAGACCCTCAGCATCCAAAGCACTCCTCTGGATCTCAGCAGAGGGAGGTGTAGAGTTTTGCTTTTTCTCTTCTACATTAAGATGACCCCAAATCTCTCTCTGGGTCTGGTTTCCTCTTTTAGCTATCAGGCAGTTATCCTCCAGTCTAAAGTTATCCTTTACTTATCCTCTAGCCTAAAGCTTTTCTCTGAAGCTAATAAGTTTTTGATCTTAGAATTTCTGCTTCCCATGGCTTTGGCTTGATCATGAACCTTTTGCCTCCTCTCAAACTTAAGATCTTTCAGCTTCAGCTTCCACTGAAAATTGTTTACTTCCTCCAACATTTCCCAATTTAATTTCATTGGAACAAGAATCTTATAGGGCCAGCTCTTTTTTATTTGGTAGAACTTTTCATTCGAGATCCTCTCACAGCAGGTATGGCTTCAATGTTTTGGGGGAAGTGCCCAGGCTTGGTCCAATTATCAGTTTTGGAGGGAGAGAGGCAGGGCAATGTGGTCCAAAATGTGGTTGCCCCATACCGTCCCTTCAGAAGGGGCTGTGGATGGATAACTAAGAGCTTTCCCCCACCACCACCACCACCTCTGGGGTAGTTTGGTTCCCATAACCTCACAGAAGCTAGAACTCTGGGCCACCTCTGTTGACTTCTGGTTCAGACCTCAATGGTTTCACATTCCACCTGTTGTTTCTCTTCTGATTCTAGTACATAGAGATACTTGTCTTGTTTTAGCATGGCCATGGCTTTTGATTTTCCTTTTTCTTCTTTCTTTTTTTTTTTTTTTTGTTTTTGTTTTTGAGACAGAGTTTCACTCTTGTCAGCTAGGCTGGAGTATAATGGTGCCATCTCAGCTCACTGCAACTCTGCCTCCCAGGTTCAAGTGATTCTCCTGCCTTAGCCTCCCAAGTAGCGGGGATTACAGGCGCCCGCCACCATGCCCAGCTACTTTTTTGTATTTTTAGTAGAGACGGGGTTTCACCATGTTGTCTAGGCAGGTCTCAAACTCCTGACTTCAGGTGATCTGCCTGCCTTGGTCTCCCAAAGTGCTGGGATTACAGGCGTGAACCATCACGCCCGGCCTCTTTTTTTTTCTTTTTTATAGGTCATGGCAATCAATGACTTTGAAGCAAAACAAAGCCTCAATTTTTGAATTCACAATACCATCTTGTCTGGAATTCATGCCAATAATTTCTAAAACTTAGAACAAATACAAAGCTAGACATTACCAAAATTAAGTTCTTATGAGAAACTCTTTTAAGAAGAGGGAGTGACCAAATGGAGAAAAGAGGAAAAAGTTGAAAATAACCTAGTTCACAGATTGAGAGAACATGAAGACAATAATATCACTAAGGGTATCTGAAAACTAGAGTACTGCAGGGAATAAAGCTTCAGGCACACATAGTTTGAGAGATGGAGATGAAGATGGACTCCTTATCTTAAAATCAATAACCCTCTCACCAAAAAACCAAAACAAACCATAAAACCCATAAACAACAATAACAATAAAAATCAATAAACAACCCAAATATGGGTATTCACGAGTGAATGAGTCAAAGTGATGAAGGGAAAATGAGCTTAGATAAAGATAATTTTCGAGACTGAAATGAGAGGGTCACTTTATCTTCAAATTATCAGATCCTACTCGCCATCACCCCCACAGCTGGCCAAGAACCCTAAACCAACAAACAAAAATTCAAGAATAAAATGGGACTAGGCCATATATGGAACCACATGAAAAAAATGAACTGCTCACAGGCTTTATCGTTGAGTGAATGAAGGTTCTAGGGAGAAAAGGATCATAGAGTAAGACGTTGCAAGCATATCTCAGCTTCTGTGGTGGGGTGGACAGAAAGGAGGACAAGACAGAAATAGCTGACTCAGCTCTGCCTCCCACACTTTGGGGGTCAGTGTGGGTTCAGAGCAGCACCCCAGACTGGCTGTGAATGAGGACATGGTCTTTTCTCAATGCCCCTGTGGACTGTCAGGACTTATCACTACTTCGTACCTCATCAACGCATTTGTGGGAGCTCCTTCCTTATCGGGTGGGGATAGGGCAAAAGAGGATTGAGAAGTTTGTGGCTTTGGCATTCCCAGGGAGAGAAAGGCAGGGCTTTCTGAGAATTAGAATGTAAACTGTGGGGCTTTCTTTAGCTCCATACCTATTTCCAATGCATGTCAGACTTACAGAGTGAATACAGACTGACTGAAGAGAGAAGGAACTGTCTTCAAGAATGGGACACTTCCCTGGTTGAACATATTCTGGCTGGATTGCTGACTGGACAAAGGAAGACTCACTTGGTGCTGCCAGAAAAGAACACTCTTGGCTGACATCTGCGGGGTTGTTCCTGGCCTCAAAACAGACAGGGTATCGACTAGTTGCCTCCTGAACTATTACACGGAGGCTGGAAAGTGGACCAGGCCCTGGTAAATCAGAAGGAGATGAATCAAAGTGAGTTGAATCTAGCCTGGAGGCGTGGAGGGTTGGCTAGGGAGTCAAGAGATCTAGGCCCCCTTCTGAGTCCTGAGACTCTCTCACAGTGTGGCCCAGACTTCTTTTTCTTCTTCAACAAAAGGAAGGATTGGACATGATTATTTTCAAAGTCCCTCTAGCTCTAATAGTCATTCATGTAGGTGGGAAGAGGGTGGGAAGTGGGGACAGACAGGGCATAGACAGTGTTCATTTGGGAGCAGAGGGAATAATTCAAGCTTAAAAATCAAACTGATAAAAATGGTAAAGAGAAGAAAGGACTTAATCTCTCTCCCCTTGGAAAGATCAAGAGCTTTTAGATCTGGTCTCATTAAATTTTTTTTCTCTTTTCTCTCTCTCTCTCAAAAAAAAATCATATTGTAATTTATGTTACTCGTAATCCCTTGTGATGACTTTAATACTTTTTCAGCCTTTGTGTAGCTACTGGTTTTCACATTTAAGACAGGAAATCTTCATTTAGTGATCTTAAAAGTGTTGGTATGGACCCCACCAATGGCCACACTCTAGGAAACTATGGAAGCTGTGACTGGTGTTTTTGTTCCTTTTCTGTTTATTCAGATCCATCCCTTTGCTTTTTCTTCCAGATAGAATCGTCCAGAGGAAATGCCTTTTTACAGTCACAACTCTAAAAAGTTCAGTCTTTATTCAATATTTCTTCAGAGCTGCTATGTGTTGAATGCTAGCACTGAGATAGACGCTAGTGAGCAAGGAGAAAACAAGACAAATGGGATCCCCATGTTCCTGACATGTACAAGGATTTGTGTGTGTGTATGGTGTGTGTGTGTGTGTGTGTGTGTGTGTGTGTGTGTTTAGATGGCACGGCCTTGAAACAGGAAAGCAGAAAAATAAGTGAAATGATTATCAGACTATGTATTGTGATAAGAGCTATAAAGTAGACAAAGGGCTGAGATAGAGGAAATGGCAGAGCAATGATGTGTCCATCTGGGTGTGGGGAGGTGATTATGGCTTGGATCTGTTTTCCCACCCAAATCTCAGGTTGAATTGTAATCCCCAGTGCTGGAGGTGGGGCCTGGTGGGAGGTGACTGGACCATGGGGGTGGATTTCTCATGAATGATCTAGCACCATCCCCTTGGTACTGTCCTTATAATAGTGAGTTCTTATGAAATCTGGTGGTTTACAAACGTGTGGCACCTCCTTCCCCCCCACATCCTGCCCTCGCCATGTGATAATGCCTGCTTTTCCTTCACCTTCCACCATGATTGTAAGTTTCCTGAGGCTTCCCCAGAAGCCAAGCAGATGGCAGCATCATGCTTCCTGTACTGTCTGCAGAGCCCTAAGCCAATTTCACCTCTTTTTCTGTATAAATTGCCCACTCTTAGGCATTCCTTTATAGCAATGTGAGAGCAGATTAATATAGGAGAGGTGCAAGGTGAGTGGGTTGCTTTTGAGTTTGTAGCCAGAGAAGGCCTCTTTGCTAAGGAAAGCAGCTACACCAAGAGTGGAGACCTGATTGGGTGGGTGAGAGTGACCAGTGGAAGGAATTACTGCATCTTCATAGCAGCTGGGAAGATGGATGCACTAGTATCCTCTTCTCTACACACTAGAATACATGAAATTTTTATCTGTGAGATTAAGTTTAGCTATCAAAAAGAATGTCCTAAGCTCACATATATTCACATGTATGTGAATATATGAAGCATTGTCAAGTCTCCTTAAGGCCAGTCTGGAACTGCTCAGCAGGCCCCACCTTCTTTAGCACAGGCTCCAGAGGAAGTGGGCTCAGTGTGTTGCCTCTTTCAGTGGTGAAGGCAAGCCGGGATACTGTGTGCAAAGTTTGGGACTGAAAATAATCTCCACTTAAAAAAAATCCTTCCATCAGGAGGAGATCGAAGAATGAAAAATAGAATCAAATAATAATAATTGTTGTCGTTATTATTTTTATTAGATTATCTAATTTATGCCAGGCTCTTTCTAATTATTTTACAAGTTTATTTTAAGCCCTGACTCATCTGCATGAAGTAGGAATTATTGTTATCCCAATTTTACAGATAAAGACAATGAGGCCCAGAGAGCTCAAAGTGCTTGCCCAAGGTTCCAGAATGCATTCCCTTAACCTTAGGCAACACTGCTTTGGAGGGGTTAGTTTCATATGAGTTAGTTTCATATGAGTATTTTAGGTAGCACACATTAGGTAGCACAACATTAGAAAGTAAGAAGTTCTTTTCGGAGTTAAGAGAATGCCAGTTTTCCATTTGAGAGTGAGATTTCCCATCATCTCCAAATTAGAATCTCTGGGTGTAGAACTCAGGTATTTGCACTTTCTAAACACTGTTTGCACTTTCTAAACACTGTTTGCGAAGCATGGTTGTGTGGGCACTCACAAGTATGGAGCCAAGAGAGTAGACTCTGAATTCCTTCAAAAATAATAATACTAATAACAACAACAACAATAATAATAGTGATAATAATGCTATTTCTTGAGTGCCTTCTCTGGGTTAGACATTTAGCTGTTTCCATGTGTGATTATATTTAATGTTGACAACTCTACAAGAACTGTATGATTTTTTACCTTTTACAAATGAGGATAAATCTAAACTCAGAGAGATAAGTAACTTGCCTAAAGTCATATAGACAGAGAGTTGCAAATCTGATGTTCAAACCTCATCTGCCTGTTCATGTTCCACAACTTCATGTTTGTTATCTGCAATTCTATAGGCTCATTTTTAGATTACAGAGATCAACCTAAAATTTTTGATCTTGTCTCATCTCAAAACATAACCAAATGAACAAATGACATTTTTCCAGGTATATGGTCTTTGACAAGTTGCTTAGCCTCTCATTTTCTTACTTATAAGATGAAAATAGTAGTGCCTACCTCATGAGTTTGTTGTAAGGATTAAATGGGATACTCCATGTATAGCCTGGAAAGCACCTGGCATTTGGTAAGCACTCAATAGATGTAGCTGCTCTCACTAGTACCATGATTATACTGCCCAACTCTTCCTAAGTGAATTTATGCAATTGTTCCATAATTAGAATTTCTGTCCACCAATATTGATTGCTGGTTTCCTCTTGGCCATATTGAACTGACAAAGATCAACCTACTCCTTAATAAGCAAAAACAAAGAATCCTCAGACGTCTGTGACTATTCCTGTGTTCAAACTTCTTTCTCCCAACTGACTTCCAGGAAGATATGCCGCTTCGTCAGCTGAGCTCTAGTTGCCAATCTGCAAAGTCACTGTCTCCTTCCTACTATCTTCCCTTTATCGGGGAAACTTACACTTTTCACCCATCATTGACATCCTCTTCATTCAGTCACTCATTCATCCAGCAAATATTTATTGAAGACCTATTCTGTGTCAGGCACTCATTATTCCAGGCACCATAGATGCAGCAGTGAACAAAGATCTCTGCCTTTTTGAAGCTTACATTCTAATGGGAGCTGAGCAAGACAGACATAAACAAGTTGAGTATAACATATGTTAGCTGGTGATAAGTTCTATGGAGGAAACTAAAGCAGGGAAAGGGGATAAGGGTTGCAGGGAAGCAGGGAAAGGGGGTGATGCAGTTTTATGTAGCATTGTTAGAGAAGCCTTCACAACAGGAATATTTCAGCAAAGGCTTGAAGGAGGTGAGGGAGTGAGTCATGAGGATTTCCGGGGAAGAATTTGCCAGGTAAAATTTAGCACATAAATAGTCCTTGAGGCAGATACCTTTAAGTGGCTGCTGCAGATTGAGTAAAGGCTGCAGACTGAGTGAAGGGGACTGTGATAGGCTATGTGCTCAGAGAGATAATGGGGATGGGGATGCATAGGGCCCTGTAGGCCACTGTAAAAGTCTATTGCTTTTAATCTGAGTGGAATGGGATGCATTTGAGGGTTCTGAATAGAGAAATGTTATGCTATAATTGATATTGTTACAGGAACTCTAACTATTCCATTGAGAACACCTGCAAAAAATGGCAAGGCTCGAGGTAGAGAGACCACTCCGTGACTTGCAATAATCCAGGGTAATTTAAGAAGAAAAGAGGCCGGGCACAGTGGCTCACTCCTCTAATCCCAGCAGGTGGGTGGATCACCTGAAGTCAGGAGTTCAAGACCAGCCTGACCAATATGGTGTAAACCTGTCTCTACTAAAAATACAAAAAAAAAAAAAAAATTAGCCAGGCGTGGTGGTGCATGCCTGTAATCCCACCTACTTGGGAGGCTGAGGCAGAAGAATTGCTTGAACCAGGAAGACAGAGGTTGCAGTGAACTGAGATTGTGCCATTGCACTCTAGCCTGGGCAACAAGAAACTCTGTCTCAAAAAAAAAAAGAGAGAAAGAAATATTTTATTCAAAGGATATTGGGTAGCTTATCAAATATATCTACAAGGTCTAAAACCAGCTCCATCATAGTATAGAACTGGTCCTGCAATGCCCTCTCCACTGCCAGCACTGCATCCCCAATGTTGCAGCCTGCCCCCACCAATGCCCTTGATACTGGACCCATCTGCTAGAACCACTGCCACTGCTGCATCTGACAACTAAAAATAGCTGCCATCATGCGTCACTTCTGGTCACTGAGCTTTTGATTCTAAGTCTGGGGATTGTCTGTGCTTGGTGGACTCTGGTCAGTAGCTATGCCCATGCTTTAGCTACAAAGGCAGCATACAAAGTGTGTGTCTGATGCTCTTAGCTTCTGTCAGGGGGGTGGGTGATTCCCAACCATAGGGCAGAGATTCAGTTGTTAATTGGGGGAAAAAAATGACAACTGCTCCCTACTGGTGGGTCCTTGTGTTCCTTAGCTGCTGCATTCCTACCTGGTTGCATACCAAATGGCAGTTTGGGGTCTGTCGTCTTGTTTTCAACAGCGGAAGCAGCAGTAGAGTATCAATTGTTCCCATAGTCATCCACAGCAAAACCTCTCAATGTTGCCGATTCATATACAGAAGGGAGCCATGTTTAGATGTTACTTCCCCATTTTCCCATTGTTCATAGCTTCTTACCTAGTTCATCACTGAAGGCCTGTTTTTTCCCTCCATCTGCTCTTATCATTTTAACTGACAGTTCAGAATGGGGAATAGATGGGGAAATTGACAAGAAGTGGAAACAAGAATGAGTAATAAACATCCTGGTAGTTTCACAGCTGTTGATATTTTTACTTCAATCACTTTATCATCAGATGATTCATGTTATGAATGAACCACGTGTTTGAAATAAGCAGAATTTAGAATTTCCCATTCTTCATTTATCTTAGAGACTGGACAATGAGGCATTGTGTCACTCCCTGAAAGACCCCTTCTCCTCTCTCCCCTTTTCTATTTATTTCTTTATCTTTGCGGCCCCATGTCACTCTGTCACCAGGCTGGAGTGCAGTAGTGCAACCGTAACTCAATGCAGCCTGGAAGTCCTGGGCTCAAGTGAGCCTTCTGAGTAGTTGGTACTACAGGCATGCGCCACCACCCCTGGCTAATTTATTTTATTACAATTCTTTTTTTTGGTAGAGACAAAGTCTCATGTTATTGCCCAAGTTGGTCTTGAACTCGTGGGCTCAAGCAATTCTCCTACCTTGGCCTCCCAAAGTGCTGAGATTATAGGTGTGAGTCACTGTGCCCAACCCCCTTTTCTATATAAATTCAATATTAACAGGTACAAAATGACCTAGGAGGAATTTATACGATTTTCAAGCCCAAAAACTAAAATGACCCGAAAAGGCTAATTTGTAGCCTCTACTTGCAAAATGCTTAATTCAAAAGTTAGTATTTAAAGATAGTTATCAGAAAGTGGGAGAATATTACCCTCTTCCACTCTTGTTCGATATTGTACTTTTGATGTTCACTCCTTGCTTAAAGCTTCTGGCACTGTAAGTAAAACCGTGATGGGACTTTAGAAGACAGTTTCCCTGGTCAAATTAAATAGGGAGCTGCCAAAAATACCTACATCTGGACTCACTCAAGATCTATTAAATGAGAGTCCCTGAGGCCCAGCCCCTCACTCCTCCTTGATTCTAACTTACAGCCAGAGCTGAGAACCACTGGTCTAGGCCTTGGAGGCATTTGTGTATTGAATCAAAGAACAGCCAGGTGGTGTGGCTCAGCAGGTAACTCAAACTTGACTCAAGCAAGAAATGGGAATTTATTAGGTGGCCTAAAGATAGTATAGGCTTTAGCACGGGGGCGGGCGGGGGGCAGGAAGGGGGAAACAAGACAAATTAGTGAACTTGAGGCTGTATCAGGGGTAGGGGAGAAGAGATGAGGTTGCAGGGAACACTGGTGCTTCCTGCCAAGGTCACACCATTCTGTTCCTGAACAAGACCTTAAAAAGCTGACTTTCACCCAAGGGTAAAATCAGCCTTAAAAACAGGTGGATTGCTGTCTCAAATGAATCAAACAATATGGGTTGAAGAGGGTGGGCCTTCCCAGGACCAGAGACAGACCTGCAGGAATAATAACAGTCAGAACTATTAGGTTGTGTAAGACTTTGATTTGGAAGGCAATGCTGCAATGAACATGGTATCTTGAGAAAGCGCAGTTAGCAGAAGCAGCAGTGCCAGAAGCCCTAATAGATGCCTTGCAGGCCTGAACAGGTGGTGCAAGCTGTGAGGCCCATGCCAGCTGCTGCAGCAGGAAGAATCTGCAGGAGAATCTGGTGATGGGATTTGAGAAGCCTTTCTGGCTTCATGGCTTCCAAGCTGGATTCCCCAGCCTTCCTAGGGATTCTGGTCCTCAGCATCCCTTAATAAACGGCTGTTGTGCTTAAACCAACAGAAGCTCTGTGTTTATAATTAATATCTCCGAATGACACACATTCATTCTCATTTAACATTCATTCAATCCAGTGGGATAGAAGATATTATCCCTATTTAATAGAAAAGAAATCAAAAATCAGAGAAGTTAAGAAGCTTGTCCGAGGCCAGACAGCCAGAAAACGGCAACACTGGAGTCAGATTCACACGTGAATGATCCCGAAGCCCATGCTCCTTCTCTGTCCGGCTCCAGGAAAGGGGCCACATACGCAGCGTAGCAGCAGCGAGCCTGTCTTTGGCGCGGCCTCCTTTGTCTTCGTGGTTCAGTTGAGAAAAATGACCTGAGCCCCAAGGTTGCCTAAAATTTGCCTGCTAGCGTCTGCCTTTTACTAAAGTTCCTCACAAGAATGTGGGCTCTGATTGGATGCTTCTACGGTTTTGTGTTTTTGTACTTCATAATTTCCTAGCAAAGTGTCTCTCTGAAAAATGACTTCCTTTCAGCATTGAACTACAGGAAAAGAGATTTTTCCCATGTCTAAGCCAGTGGCAGGGTGGTCATACGTGTGTGGCTCGGAGACCCAGTTTTAGAAGAACTGAGGCAGGTGGTGAGTGTCCAGGAGAGAAGAAACCCGGGGTCACTGTTGGCCCCTCTTCCTGAGGGCAGCTCACAGATGCCACCTACCCGTGGCCCCCAGAAACAATGTATTTAGACCCCAAACCACTGTTCTAGAATAGCTCTATCCAACTTCCAGTTCTCTAGTTCAGGAAAGTCCCTGAATTTAAAAGCTGGAAGAGACCTTACAAATTTCATTTTGCATATGAGAAAACTCAGAAAGGATTTTCCTGAGGTCACACAATTAGTGGCTGGGCAGGATTATTGCTTACAACAGAAACTACAGAAAAAAAAATTGCTTAAAGCAAAAAAAGCATATGGCTCTTTATGCTTCACAATTTACCTGGGAGACATATACCGAGAGATGAGACATCGTGTGAACTGTAAACGTCCTACAGGAACACAGGCGTGGGGGACCACGGAGGCCGCAGCGGTTAGAAAAGGCTTCAGGGGAGGTGAGGGGCTAGCGTGGGCCCCTGGAGGACGAACAGGAGAGCCTGGCAGAGAGAGGGCGACGGCGAGGAAAGGAGCAGAGAGACAGGGCCCCTCTCTGGCTGGGCCTAAGGAAGGGGAGGAACCCTGCCACCCCACCTCACCCCACCCCTGCTCAAATCTCTGGATCCTGGAGCAAAAATGGGAAAAAGCGACCAGACAGCACTGCGGGGTGGCTCCTCCTTCTCTCAGAGAGTGTTAAGCAAGCCCATGTGTTGGGACGCGGCTAAGGGGATCCGGGCATGCTTGGCGGGCGGCCAGGAGGAGGCGCCCGCCCCTGCCCGAAGCAGCCCCTCTGGGCCCCTCCCCGCCGCCCTTCGCTCTGTCCTCCGCCTGGCTCCGTACTGTAGGCTCCCAGTCACCTCTCCACCCGCCTCCCTCGTCGGTCGCCTATTGCTGCTTTAGCCGTGAAAGGCCCAGAACACGCTGCCTTTTCCAGTTAACGTGGGGGCTGGAGGGAAGGAGAGAGCTCGTGCTCCCCTCCTTTTCCCTCCTTTGTCCTCACCCCTGCCCTGCTTGTCTAGGCGAAGGAGGCCCAGGAAAGCGGCCCTGCACGCAGCTCTGCCGGCCTCAGCTCGCGCAGTCCACCCTTAGATCTTACAACTGAAGGTGGCGCTTTCAAATCCCCGTTTCATTACCTATTTGTGCTTCCTATCTACCGGATACCGCGAACTGCTCTTCATGCTACAGGGGGAGAAAAAGATGCATTCAGACCTTCAGTTTGTTTACTACAGTAACCATGACGCTGGAAGACCGGGCGTGCAATATAAAACCCAGGAAGGGAGCGATTAAAAGAATAGAAACAAGACAAACAGGCAACACAGCCCAAATCCCAGAAAGCAGAAGGGGCATTGCTCTCAGGTTGCTGCCTCGGCCCCGTCAGCCGGGGAGAAGGGCTTTTTGGAGCATTTGTTAAGTGCCACAAAGCCCTACCAGGATTGATAAAAAGCGTTTTCCTCTGAGGTTTTCATGCATTCCTTCAACAAATATTTACCAAGTGCCTAATATGTTACAAACATTGTTCTAATTGACAGACATCTTTGCCCTCATAAGAACTGACATTATCATGGAGGAAAGAGAAAATAAAGAACAAACATAATAAATAAGTGAATTACATATTGGAAGGTAATTTTTAAAAAACAGAGCAAGCTAACAGCATGAGTGTGTGGGGATTCCAGTTTTAAAGAGAGTGGCCTGGGTGGGCCCCAGGGGGAAACCTGCTGGCAGGAAATAGGCAATCCCAGATTAGCCTGCTGTGCCTATGAGCTCACGGGCCCTTCCTTGTGCTCATACATGTGCATAGAGCTGGAGACCCTTGCAGAGGGTGGCTGTCTTTTACTGCTTGAATAGGATGAGAGGTGGGGCATCAGTTATTCACACTTTAATAGACCATTGCAGCTTTGACTTCCCCTGCTTCCATTCCTAACCTCTGGAGAGCTGCGAAATGGTGCCGATTTCCGAAAACAGGTAGGAAGGTAAGGGAGGAAAAAACCCTAAAATGAGGAGTTGTGTGCTTTGGAGAGGCACTGGCATCCCCGGATTGACTCCTGAGAAAGCTAATGGAAGATGGATCCAGGTTTAGGGTAGGAACTAGCTATTTATCTACTAGTCAAGGGACATATTTTAACCATCCTGAATTAGATTTTGCAATCAGGTTGATAATAATGACAATAATAATTAAAATAGCTGGTGTTTATTGAGTACTTACTAGGTAACAGGTATCGTGCATAGGTTTCACATGTAACCTTTTAGTTTTTTCTTCAGCTAGAATGTCATGTAAGCTCCATGAGAGTAGAGACTTTATTTTGTTCACTGCTGTGTCAGAATCAATGCCTGGCACCTAGATGGCACTCACTGCACGAATGAATGAATGATTGCATTCTGGTAAAGAGGTTCAAGGCGCTCCTGCTCTGGGCCTTACAATGAGATGCTGAGGAGGTTTTAGGCCCTTCCTCTTCTTCAGAGTGCAGCAAACATAACACATACCTGTTTCTTGTTATTGTTGACTGCTCTATAGATACTCCAGGCATTGTTAGAGGGACAGTTTCTTCTCTTTACTGTGTTTTCCACCCTCCCCATCTCCTTGATGGGCAGGTGGTTAGAGGAGGAAAAAAAGGGGGTGAGGGGAAAACAAAACTTTATCTTGCCATTCATCCATGACTTCATTTACATTTAGTTCTTACAACAACCCATTTTACAGAAGAGGAAACTGAGACTCAGAAAGATTAAGCAGCTGTCAAGGTCTTGTGCAAGTTAATGCCAAGGAGCCTCAGCCCCTGGATCTGTGCTCTTACCCATTACACTAGATGGCAGGGCAAAGAATGCAATATCACTATTCTGCATTTTTTCTGTTGTTTCGCTTACCCCATCTCCAGGGGTAGGGCAATGTTTAGGGCAGGTTCCCTACTGTCTAGGGGGATATTTAAAAGCATGCCAAATATTTTGACAATGAATTCAAAGCAAGAGATCACATTATTTTCTTTCTTGGAATTAACAGTGAACTGGCTAGAGTTCATTATTACTAACAGTTGGCTCAGTGGAGGAATATTGGGCCATGAAGCTTATTTGGGCACAGGGTGTTTGTTGTTGTTCGGCTGCTTACCTCCTTTGGGGTTGTCAAGGAATAGGGGTTTGTTAGTGCCTATTATACATTTGGTGCTTAAGCAAGTTACTGAGTGGGGAGGGGCAGGAAGGATTAAAATTGCAGCAGAAGTCCTGCTTAATCTGACTGCACTGATGGCTGGCAGCTACTAAAGAGAATAATAATAAAAAAGACTACTACCAGACCATCCTGGCTAACACAGTGAAACCCCATCTCTACTAAAAATACAAAAAATTAGCCGGGCATGGTGGTGGGCACCTGTAGTCCCAGCTACTCAGGAGGCTGAGGCAGGAGAATGGCGTGAACCCAAGAGGCAGAGGTTGCAGTGAGCCGAGATCGTGCCATTGCACTCCAGCCTGGGCGACAGAGTGAGACTCCATCTCAAAAAAAAAAAAAACAAAAAAAAAAACAAATAAAAAAACTACTACCTAAAACATTTTAATTGTACATATACCTGAAGTTAATATGTAAACATATAAATTCATATAAATACATATACATATAAATTCAATTGTCAGTTTTTCATGGAAAGCTAAGACCTGTGCTTTGGTTCTAGATCAGCTGATAAGAGTTCCGTATGATCTTTCTGGAATACATCATATCCATAGTGAATAATCTATTATTTCCAGTTTTGGTTTCTTTCAAGTGACTCAACAACATAAAGACAGTTTTCATGCAAGCTGACTGTGGATGACTTACAGATTTTTCGTATATTTCCCCCTATGTTATTTGAATTGTCTTTCTCACACCTAATTTGAGAATGAAGTTTTTGTGTATGTGTGGTTCAATTTTATGTGTCTTTTCACAGCATTCAAATCAGTTTTTGTAGAAACAGTTTTTTAATTCACGTGCTCTAAATTTATCTATTAAGTGAAAGCACTACTGATGTAAGGACATAGGGCTACAAACATGGCTGATCCTTGGCAAGCTCGTAACTCAAGGGAAGAAGTAGACACAGAGCGACTTCCTAGCTGAGAGACTTCTCTATGCCATGGGCATGGAGCAGTAACTTTTCTAGAGGAAATGGAGATCGTAAGTAAATTTGGAGAGTCAGCCAAGTGGAGGCTGAATAAGGGAGCTTCTACTATATATGTACCTGAGACATGTCACTATTCTAGCCCTCCAGAATCTCACAACTTATTGGGAATATGTCCTAGAAATGTGTCCCCATATGCCTTACTCATAATCCACAGAGGTCTCCTCCCCTAAATCATTGTTTAGAACCAAGGGGTTCAACTTGCCTTATCCCCCAGATCACTTGAGGTGAACACCCCACCCACAGATAGCTGCCCACGCCTTGGAGTCTTTATGGAAAAGAAAAGTCATGTCAATTATATTCCCCTAACAAGGAATTTACACTTAGGAAACAGAGAAACTCAACAAATTGGTGATGGGTGCTCAAATGAGAGGTCATGAAGTCAGGTTTGGGTAGCTATGATGGGACCATTGGGGTTTTGAGAAAACAGAAGTACAGATGGACCAGGTAAAGAAAAGCGGAAATCTAGATGAAATAGTTATGCAAAGAAATAGGCAGTCCATAAGAGAGAGGGAAATGAAGTGTGGCTGGTCTTCAAGATTCCTGGCTTTCTCCCTTCCTGGATCTTAATTGTTTTGCATTTCCTGAATCTCTCTGTGACCTTGCTATAGTCTTGCCATTTGACATCCCTTTTAACTTGAGTTAGTTTGAATAGGTTTGTGGCCCTTGCAATCCAAAAAAAAAAAAAAAAAAAAAAACCCAATTAGATTAAGAGACAAGGTGAGAATAAGGTAGTATTAAATTGTATGTTTCTATGCATTAAGAATTCCCAAGAGTTCAGAGAAGAGAGAGATCGGTCGATATCTTAATTTTTTGCTCTTCTATTCTGCTAAACTTGGAAGATAGGCTCAAATAAGCTCTGCCATTAGTTCTGCCCAGCCCATTTCAAACATCGAACACTGCATTTACCCATCCTTGCTCCTTGGCCAGGATTCCATCCTTCCCTCTGTTGTTCCCACTCTGATTTTGTATTCTAGACCAGTATCTCCTGTCTCTGCCCAGTCCCCAGTGTCCACCAGTTTTAGTGTACTGGAACTGAGATTTGCCTTTCTTCCTTCTTTGGAGCTTCCAAGACTGCCCCTACCATTGAAGCTGCTCATGTGGCCAGTTCCAGCTACTGGCTGAGGCCTCCTCCCTGACGCCTTTCTCCCTACACTCCCTCTTTATTATTGGCTATAGAAACCTCTCTTAGTCACACAGGCTATTTCCCAGGATCTTGCCCTTCCCTGTCCTTGTTCTTTTAATCATTATTATCTCAGGAATTTCACAGACAAGGTGGGATTTGGCTGGGCTTGGAAGGATAAGTGGATGTGGTTTGGCAGAGGGGCAGGAGAAAGGCAGTCCAGTTGTAATGGTTTATACCAACTTCATTCTCATTGGCTTTCAGACTATGGCCCTGTTTTTAGTAAGAGCATGATATCATTGTCGTAGGAATGAAGAGCCATCTGTTTACCATTTTACGCAGGGACAAATGTATACGTTTGTTAGCTGTGATATGAAAATTTTTAAAGTCAGTACTTGCACATGATGCCAAAGCTTAATTCCATGAAAGGCCCAAGAAATGTATGAGTCATGTTTCCTGTAATTGTGAGAAGTTGTGGGTTAAATGGAATAAGGAGCATCGGTAAGAATACTCTCAACCATTCCAGTTAAAAAAGGTAGCTACGCCTGTAATCCCAGCACTTTGGGAGGCTCAGCGGGCAGATCACAAGATCAGGAGATCGAGACCATCCTGGCTAACACAGTGAAACCCCGTCTCTACTAAAAACATGCAAAAAAATTAGCCAGGTGTGGTGGCAGACGCCTGTAGTCCCAGCTACTCGGGAGTCTGAGGCAGGAGAATGGCGTGAACCCGGGAGGCGGAGCTTGCAGTGAGCCGAGATCGCGCCACTGCACTCCAGCCTGGGTGACAGAGCGAGACTCTGTCTCAAAAAAAAAAAAAAAAAAAAAAAGGTAGCTATACTCAGTACTCAGCAGAAGACTGACTGATCGTAACATTACAACTACCACTTTAACTCCTCAGGTTAAAGAAAAAATATTTACCAATCTACTATATCATCTGAAAGGGAATATCTAGTAACCTCTCAGTTATACGGTATTGAGAATAAGTGAACTTTTTACATAATTGAAAGTTATTCCTTTAAGTGGTAAAATGTTTATTGGAAGTTGTATCAGATTTTCCTGCTTTTATCAAACAGAGAGTTTTAAACTAAATACTCCTAGGTGGTTCAAGTTCTCCCTAGACATTTTGTAACATCTGTTTGCCACAATTTCCACTGATGAGCAGGCCTAGGGTAGCTATGCTTTGAAGCATGTGACTCTCCTCCCAACTGATTGAATAAAAATGGGCACCTGTTTCAAAAGTAGCCAGTCTACAAGCTGGCCAATGATGATTGACCTACAGTCTGGCTTAAAAAGTTGAGTTGGACAAATAGGATGCTCAGTAATTTAAGCCAAATATGGAAAGAGGTAAAGATTTGCAAGCCGAGCCTAAATAAAACCTCTGTGACATAAAGTCAGGGCTGAAGAGTCCATGATGGACTATAAATAAGCAAAGCTGTGAGGAAGCAGTCACTGTGGTGAGGCAGATAAAGTCAATTGAGGGAAGACTAAGGAGCTGATATGCAGAGATCTCTGTTCCTAAAAGCCAAAAGAATCTAGCTAGAATGAGGGCCCTTCCTTCATTCCTTTAGCACCATGTGTAGGCGTTCAGCCATCCTGAAGTGTTCAGGGCAGGGCAGCTAACACTGAGCGTCTCCAGTTTGCTCTTCTTTTTGGGCTGGGGCTACTTGTCCTTGGTAGTCTTCCGGGTTCCCATAAGTCCCCTGTCTTCACTCTTGGGAAGTCTATATTTTCCCGAATCATCAACATTTCTAGGCTTTGCTCTGGCTCCTCTGTTTTGGCCAGTTGGTTGCCATTTTTCATCACTTTTTCAGTTCCTTCTGTCCTAGGTCTCCTGGGATTCTGGGTTTTGACATTATTGTGGACTGGCTTCTATAGCCTTCAGATGTCCTGCTCTCTTAGGTGTGTGCTGTTGTCTAGAAAAAGAACCAGTTGCCTCACGTCTTCTGTAATCTTCAAGGTTGGATCTTCCCAAAGTGAACCACTGCTCACTCCCAGAGGCCTTTGGGGGCTATTTCAAGTTTGCAGCTGTTTTGGAGAATAGGGGGTACCAGATGTCAGAGAAATACCAATTGGCTAATAATGTATTATGTTCTTTTCTTTTCTTTCCTTTTTTTTTTTTTTTTGGCAGCAAAGGCTTGCCTTTCAAGTCCCTTGCTTATTTTAAAATTAGTTTGCCTTCCATGAGCTTAAACTATTTGAGCTGTAGGGGGTAAATGAGCTGAGATGTTTGTTGTGCTAAATTTCAGGGAAAAGTCAACCCGAATTAAAATTCGACCTCAGGTAATGAACAAAATAAATATTGTTAGATAATTAAGAATTGATAATAGTGCTGATTCTACTATGATATAGAAAATACCTGAACACAATATTAACAAACAAAATAGAACAATTAAGAGGGAGAATTTTAAACTTTCTAAATGCCAGGTGAGCAAACATACTATTAGTAAATCTCTTACTGCCCATTTTCTTGAGAGATTGGAATACCTATGCTCTGTCTAGCTTCTGGATTCCTGTGGGCCTTTTATGTCTGATAATCTGGAGATGAAACTAAGGGTCACAGCTTGGCCTAATAGCATGAGAAAGTAAAGTGACCCAACATCTTTAAAACACCAATCATTTTCCCCTCCATATGCTTTTAGAAAGAAAACATGGGACAAATTGACTCCAAGCATAGCTTCCCACCTCCCTTTTCTCTGGCCCCAGTTTGGAAAAGAAGACAAACAGCTCTCCCTGCGATCCTGCATCTTCCTGTGGAGCACTATTACCCTGAGCTGTAAAAGACTTCTGGGTACCAAATAAAGAATTTAGACATGCATCCCTTCTGAGAGAGAGTCACAGGAAAGTAAAGGAAAGGAAGGTTTGGGAGGAAATATTAAAGATGTGGCACTGTTTCATTCAGGTGACAAAGTCATGGTGAGTTTCTTTGCCTCCATCCATCCATCCATCCAGCCAGCCAGCCAGCCAGCTATGTAGCTTAGAATGAGAATTCAGAAGTAATGTTTGCTGAGGAATGTGTACTAACATGTGTATTTGAAATGATTTAGAAAACATAATAGAAAGCCATGTCTATATGAAAGTAAGCCTGATTTGCTAATTAATTTGACAATGACAACGGCTTTGCCAATTATGTTATATGGTGGACCTTTTCTATAAATTGTATGAGCCAATGCAGTTTCATTGTTTTTTTAAAAATAAAATATTTAAACAATTTATAAGATGGTAGAAATTTCACTCTTTGCATTTATTTAAATGAATGATAAAGATGCCAGCTTAAAAATGTGGATGGGTGTAGAGTTTTAAAAAATTATTTTGCCCTGGAAATACTAGAACAAAAGAATTGAGTACCACTGCTGTAAAGAATGGTTAAGAGAGCTATGGTATTTTGCTTGGGGAAGATGAAGACTTGTGGAGGTGGTGGGGATGTGGGGACTTGTTCTTAAACAATTCAACTAAGCAAGTGTTATAAACGCTTTCTTTGTGCAGAGCACGGGACAAGGTGCTGTGGTCACACAGAGATGAGTAGATGCTGATGACATTGCCATGCCTTTAAACTAGGTTAATTTGTATCAAGAAAGATTTATGCTATACATCATTTTGGGAGGAGTAGGTGCTCTAATGAAATAAAAATGGGGTATCATAACTCCAAAAATGTTAATCTTGGGAGTGAACCATCTTCCTCATAAAGAGGGCTAGACCACTGATGGGAAGCCCTGCATCAGACTTTTAAAATAAGATCTGGCATGTGCAAGAATGTTCACAGCAACACTACGCACATGGTCACAAACCAAACCAACCCAAATGTCCTCTTCAGTAGAATGGATAGAAAAATCACATATTTAAACAACAGAATATTGTAGAACAATGAGACCAAATGTCAAGAAACTACAACTATGCACAATATGGATGAATCTCACAAACGTTATGTTTAGTAACAAAAACGACATAAAAGGTCACCTACAAAATATAGAAAATTAACTCAAAAGGTCAAATCTAAGAACTATTGGTGTTCAAGAGGAAGTTGAGCAACAGCAAGGGGTAGAAAGCTTTTTAGAGATATAATAACAGAAAAATTCCCAAAACTTGAGGAAGGTATACATATCCAGGTACAGGAAGGTCAAAGAACACCAAACAGATTTGATCCAAGTAAGACTAACCCAGGGCATATAATAATCAAATTTTCAAAGGTCAAGAACAAATAGAAAATTCTAAAAGCAGCATGAGAAAACAAGTAAATAACATATAAAGGAGTGTCAATTCATCTGGCAACAGACTTCTCAACAGAAACCGTACAGCCCAGGAGGGAATCCTGAAAGAAAAAAAAACTGTCATTTAAGAATACTGTATTCAGCAAAGTTATCCTTAAAATATAAAGGAAATATAGTCTTTCCCAGGCAAACAAAAACAGAGAATTCATCACCACCAGACCCATCTTATGAGAAATACTAAAGGAAGTTCTTTTATCTGAAAGAAAAAAGCACTAATATTAAAAAGAAAACACAAACATTTAAAAATACAAAACCTACTGGTAAAATTAAGTACATAGACAAACCCAGAATAGTCTAATACTGTAATTTTGGTGTATAATACACTCATAACAGTAGTATGAAGTCCCCCATCAACCTATCAAAAACAATAATACCTACAGAAACGTGTTAAGAGACAGGTAACATAAAAATATTAAATTGAGGCTGGGTGCAGTGGTGTATGCTTGTAATCCCAACACTTTGGAAGGCTGAGATAGGAGGATTGTTTGAGACCAGGTGTTTGAGACCAGCCTGGTCAACATAATGAAACCACATCTCTATAAAAATTAAAAATTAGCCAGGCATCCTGGTGTACACCTGTAGTCCTAGCTACTCTGGAGACTGAGGCAAGAAGATCTCTTGAGTTGTCTCAATGTACATATATATATATCTGTTCTTTTCTTTGTGATCTAAGACCAGTTGCCATCTCTTTAAAATAACTTATTTCTATGAGATGGTTTTTGTAAGCCTCATAGTAACTACAATGCAAAAACCTATAATAGATTCACTAAAATTAAAAAGCAATACATTAAAACATACTACCAGAAGCAATTACTTAACCACAAAGGAAGATGGTGAGAAAGGAAGAAAGGAGCTAAAAAGCAACCAGAAAAGAAGCAACAAAATAGCAGTAGTAAGTCCTTACTTATTAATAATAACACTGAATGTAAGTGAACTCAATTCTCCCATTAAAAGGCACACAGTGGTTGAATGGATAAAGAAACAAGACCCAACCATATGCTGCCTACAAGAAGCCCATTTCACCTATAAAGACACACATAAACTGAAAATAAAGGGGTGGAAAATGATATTCCATGCAACTGGAAACAAAAAAAGAGCAAGAGTAGTTATATCAGGTAAAAAACTACAAATTAAAGACTGTAAAAGGAGACAAAGGAGGTCATTATATGATGATAAAGAGGTCAATTCACCAAGAGGATATAACAATTATAACTATCTATGCACCTAACACTGGAGCATCTGAGTATATAAAACAAATATAAATAGAACTAAAGGGAGAGATAGACTGCAATACAATAATAGTAGAAGACTTCTACACCTCACTTTCTATAATAGACAGATCATTGAGACAGAAAGTCAACAAAGAAACATCAGAGTTAAACTATACACTAGACCAAATAGGCCTAACATTTACTGGACATTTCACCCAACTGCTGTGGAATACACATTCTTTTCATCAGCACAGGGAACATTCTCCAGAATAGACCATGTCTCACGCTACAAAACAAGTCTCAACAAATTCCAAAAGGTAGAAATCATATCAAGTATCTTTCTGGCCACAATGGAATAAAACTACAAATCAATAACAAGAGGAACATTGAAGACTTCACAAACACATAGAAATTAAACAACATGCTCCTGGACAACAAATGGGTCAATGAAGAAATTAAGAAGGAAATTAAATAATTTCTTGAGGCAAATAAAAACAGAAATACAACATACCAAAATCTATGGGATACAGCAAAAGCTGTGCTTTGAGGGAAGTTTATAGCTATAAATGCTTATATCAATTAAGTAGAAAGACTTCAAATAAACAATCTAATGATGCACCTTAAGGAGCTATAAAAGCAAGAACAAACCAAACTCCAAATTAGTAGAATGAAAGAAATAATAAAGATGAGAATAGAAATAAATGAAAATAAGACCAAAAAAAAAAAAACCAATACAGAAGAAAAATGAAATGAAAGTTGTTGTTTGGACAATATAAACAAAGCTGACAAACCTTTGGTTAGACTTTGGTTTTCAAGAAAAAAAGAGAGAAGACCCAAATGGATAACATCGGAAATGAAAAAGAAGACATAACAATGGAAACCACAGAAATACAAAGAATCACTAGAGACTATCATGAACAACTATATGCTAACAAATTGGAAAACTTAGAAGAAATGGATAAAATCCTGATCACATACAACCTACCAAGATTGAACCATGAAGACATAGAAAACCTCAATAAATAAATAATAGGTAATGAGATCAAAGCCATAATTAAAAGTCTCCCATCAAAGAAAAGTCTAGGACTTTTCTTTGGCTTCACTGCTGAATTCTACCAAGCATTTAAAGAACTGATGTCAAATCTACTCAAACTCTTCAAAAAAATTGATAAAGAAGAAATACTTTCAAACTCACCCTACAAGATCAGAATTACTCTGATGCCAAAACCAGGCAGGGACACACACACACAGAAAGAAAACTACAGGCCAATATCAGTGTTGAACATAGACGGAAAAATTCTCAACAAAATACTATCAAACTGAATTTAACCATACATTAAAAATATCACTCACCATGACCAAGAGGGATTCATCCCAGGGATGCAAGGATGGTTCAATATAAGCAAATTAATAAGCATAATACATCACATTAACAGAACCAAGAACAAAAGCCACATGATTACTTCAATAGATGCCAGAAAACATTTGATAAAATTCAACATTCCTGTATTAAAAGCCCTCATCAAATTGGGTATAGATGGAATATATAACAAATTAATAAAGGCCATATATGACAGACTCACAGCTAACAACATTGTATGGAAAGGGGAAAAATGGAAGGCCTTTCCTTCCTTTAAAATCTGGAACAAGTCAAGGATGCCCACTTTCACCTCTTTTATTCAATATAATACTGTAAATCCTGGCCACAGGAATTAGGCAAGAGAAAGAAATAAAGGGCATTCAAACTGGAATGAAGAAGTCAAATTAGCCTTGTTTGGAGATTACATGATCTCATACTTAGGAAAACCTAAAGACTCTACAAAAACTGTTAGAATTGATAAATGAATCCAGTAAAGTTTCAGGATACAAAATCAACATTCAGAAATTGGTGGCATTTATAACACACTGAAAGCAAATAATCTGAAAAAGAAATCAAGAGAGCAACCCCAGGCTGGGTGCAGTGGCTCACACCTGTAATCCCAGCACTTTGGGAGGCTGAGGCAGGCAGATCACAAAGTCAGGAGATCAAGACAATCCTGGCTAACACGGTGAAACCCCATCTCTACTAAAAACCCAAAAATATTAGCCAGGCGTGGTGGTGGGTGCCTGTAGTCCCAGCTGCTCAGGAGGCTGAGGCAAGAGAATGGCATGGATCCAAGAGGCAGAGCTTGCAGTGAGCTGAGATAGCGCCACCACACTCCAGCTTGGGGGACTAAGCAAGACTCTGTCTCGTCTCAAAAGAAAAAAAAAGAGAAAGAGCAACCCCATTTACAATAAAAGAATACAAAATACCTAGAAATCAATCTAACAAAGAAGTGAAAGATCTATACAAGGAAAACTATAAATTAGTGATGAAAGCTGCTATAAAGACACATGTACACATATGTTTATTGCGGCACTATTCACAATGGCAAAGACTTAAAGACTTGGAACCAACCCAAATGTCCATCAATGATAGACTGGATTAAGAAAATGTGGCACATATACACCATGGAATACTATGCAACCATAAAAAATGATGAGTTCATGTCCTTTGTAGGGACATGGATGAAGCTGGAAACCATCATTCTTAGCAAACTATCGTAAGGACAAAAAACCAAACACTGCATGGTCTCACTCATAGGTGGGAACTGAACAATGAGAACACTTGGACACAGGAAGGGGAACATCAGACACTGGGGCCTGTTGTGGGGTTCGGGGAAGGGGGAGGGATAGCATTAGGAGAGATACCTAATGTAAATGACGAGTTAATGGGTGCAGCACACCAACATGGTGCACGTATACATATGTAACAAACCTGCACGTTGTGCACATGTACCCTAGAACTTAAAGAATAAAAAAAAATAGTGATGAAAGAGACAAAAGAGGATACAAAATAATAGATATTCCATGCTCATAAATTAAAAGAATTAATTTGTTAAAATGACAATGTTACGCAAGGCAATTTACAGATTCAATGCAATCCCTATCAAAATACCAATGACATTCTTCACAAAAATGAAAAAACATTCCTAAAATTAATATAGAACCACAAAAGGCCCCAAATAGCCAAAATAATCCTGAGCAAAAAAACGAAGCTGGAGGCATCACACTCTCCGACTTCAAAATTTATGCAAAGCTATAGTAACCAAATCAGAATGGTACTGGTACAAAAACAGACACATAGACCAAGTAACAGAAGAGAACCCAGATATAAATCCATACATTTACATCCAGTTCATCTTCAACAAAGGCACCATGAACATATAATGGGGAAAAGACAGTCTCTTCAATAAATGGTGCTGGGAAAACAGGATAACTACATGCAGAAGAATGAGACTAGGCCCCTATCTCTCACCATATATAAAAATCAAATCAAAATGGTTTAAAAACTTAAATCTAAGACCTGAAACTAGTCTGAAAGTACTAGAAGAAAACATTGGGAAAATGCTCCGGTACATTGGTCTGGACAAATATTTTCTTGTGCAAGACCTCAAAACCACAGACAGCCAAAGCAAAAATAGATGAATGCGGTTACGTCAAGCTATAAAGCTGCTGCACAGCAAATGAAACAATCAAAAGAGTGATGTGACAACCCACAGAGTAGGAGAAAATATTGGCAAACTATCCATGGAACAAGAAATTAAAAACCAGAGTACATAAGGGATACAAACAACTCAATAGCAAAGAAACAAATAATTCAATTTAAAAATGGGCAAAAGATCTGAACAGACATTTCTCAAAAGAAGACATACAAATGGCCAAGAGATATACAAAAAAATGCTCAATATCGCTAATCACTGGAAAAATGCAAATTAAAACTACAATGAGATATCTCACTCCAGTTAAAATGGCTATTATCAAAAAGGTAGGCAATAATGGATGCTGGTGAGGATGCAGAGAAAGGGGAACCCTGTGCACTGTTGGTGGGAATGTAAATTAGCACAGCCACGATGGAGAACAGTATGAAGGTTCCTCAAAAAACTAAAAATGGAACCACCATATAATCCAGCAATTTCACTACTTGGTATATACCCAAAAGAAAGGAAATCAATGTATTAAAAAGACATCTGCATTCCCATATGTATTGTAGCACTATTCATGATAGCCAAAATATGGAATCAACCTAAGTGTTCATCAGTGGACTAATGGATAAAGAAAATGTGGTATATATACATAATGAAATAGTATTCACCCATGAAAAAGAATGAAATCCTGTCATCTGCAGCAACATGGATGGAACTGGATGTCATTATGTTAAGTAAAATAAGCCAAGCACAGAAACAAATATAATTCTCAGTCACGTGGGAGCTAAAAGGTGGATCTCATGAAGAAAGAGAGTAGATTGGTAGTTACCAGAGGCTGGGAAGGGTAGGCAGGAGGGAGAGATCAAGAGAAGTTGAATAACGGGTACAAATGTATGTTTGATAGAATAAATAAGATCTAGTTTTACATAGATCAGTAGCTTGATTAGACTTTACAATATCTTTTTTTAAAGACACTTCTATAAAGAAATACAATATCTATTGTATATTTCAAAATAGCTAGAAGAGAAGAAGTCAACTGATTCCAGCAAAAAGAAAAGGCAAATATTTAAGGTGATGGATATTCCAAGTACACTGATTTAATCTTTGCAAACTATATGAATGCATTAAATTATCACATGTACCCCCAAATTATGTATATTTATTATGCATCAATAAACATTTTTCAATTTAAAAAATTAATAGAGCTGACTATGATTTGTCTTTTTATGTATATATGTTACACATCAATAACATTTTTTTAAAATAACAAAATCTCATGGCGTTCAATGTTAAGTTAGTCCTGGGTTGAAAGGATCATCCTGTTGCTCTGGATAACTGTACATGAAGTAGGAATAAAGACACCTCAGAGGTGGAAGGCCATGTTGAATAGAGTTTAGGATTTTGCTGTGCCCATTCAGAGTTCTGCTACTGCTGCTTCTACCTCATCAATCACAGGCCATGGTCCTCCTCCATCTCCCCACCTCATCACTAGAGCTGTCAGAGCTCTGGCTCTCATTCAAGCTGTGAAATGGCACACAATTTGAAACTTATTTACTGGGTCTGAGCCAAGGCCATATCCCATTCCTGCTCATGCATCTCAGTTGGCTCAGCACAAACTTCCATTCCCTTCACTTTCAGTCAGGATCCAGATAAGCCAGGACAGAGCTAGAGCTCCAGTGGCCTGATTAGAAATCTTTCCATCCTAGCTTAATGGGAGGGTTGGGAGTTTCAGCTCCTGACACCCAGTGGGTGGTTTCACAAGTTTTAGAAGGTGATTGTTCAGGTGATTGGCAGCTCAGGGAAAGAGGGAAAAGCCTTTTCTGTGAATCTCGCAGGCAGGGTTGCAACGCGGTGTGAGCATGGAGCAGCTTGGCACAGAGCAGCATTGACAGTCCCCTGGCTGGCTGCGGGGATGATATCAGATCCCAACTGGATGCTGCCCCCATTCAGTCAAAGCCGTGCAGCCTGAAATGGCACATGTCCCCGCGGGTCAGCTGGCCTGGAGAAAACATGGCCTCAATGTGACAGTCCCCACATTCTGCAGACTTAAAAGGGAAATCCCTTGGATTCTGCCTGGACTCCTGGGGCTCAGCCCTGGCCTTGCCCTGGGGCTGCAAAGAGAAATAAAAATATGGGAAGGCCTGTGTGTGGCTGCGATGGATTCTTCAACGATCAGAGGCCGTTTCCTGCCTGTGAGAAGTTGGTAGCCTGAGCGTCTTGTTCCTTGGATCCCTCCTTTCCTCTGCTGCTGATGTGTCCAACACCTCACCCCCTCCCTATTGCTTCTCCTCACCCCACCTCACTCCCACACACACACACACCCCTACCTAGAGGCTGAATCAGAATGTTTCTTAGCCTTGACTCACTTTAGCAGCTCCTTGCTATCAGGTGTAACTCCACACCCCATTTTATTTTTCAAAATTTTGTGAAATGAAGACATTAATTCAAGGCTGATTTTCTTTTGCTGCCACAGATGTCCACATAATTGTTGGATCCTCATAGTGGCGAAGGTGGTCTGCTGTCCCTACCTCAAGGCAGACAAAGGGAATGGCAGTTAGATCCAGAGAGACACGATAAGACAAAGCGATTCAGAGATGTAGAGAGCAGAGTCTGGCAGAATTAGATATAGAATTGCACTAGGGAAGAGTACTGGGTTACATGTGGGTTTTTGCAGAATCCACTTGACCTGCTCTCTACTTGGTGCCTTGTGGCTGCCACTAACTTCTGTGCTCAAAGGGACAGTATTTTTCTGATTAGCCAAACCCAGATTCTGCTTATATTTGCACCCACATCCTTATATGATGTGAATAGGTCTGTTACCCTCCAACATCAATTAATTAGGATAAATATTTCTCACTTTCAAAACAATTTACACAGAGTTGGGATTTTGTTTCAAAGTAGAAGGGCAAATGTAAATGGGAATATCTGTGTGAATACTCAAAATCCAAGTCAAAGAGAGTCTCAAGTTTACTGTGGACTCAGGACTGCAATATGACCTAAGGATTAACTTTCTGTCAGAATATAAAATATGTTGCTTTCTATTAAGAAGAAGAAGAAAATAAATATATCTTTTTTTTTTTTTTTTTTTTGAGACGGAGTCTCGCTCTGTCGCCCAGGCTGGAGTGCAGTGGCGCGATCTCGGCTCACTGCAAGCTCCGCCTCCCGGGTTCACGCCATTCTCCTGCCTCAGCCTCCCGAGTAGCTGGGACTACAGGCGCCCGCTACCACGCCCGGCTAATTTTTTGTATTTTTAGTAGAGACGGGGTTTCACCGTGTTAGCCAGGATGGTCTCGATCTCCTGACCTCGTGATCCGCCCGCCTCGGCCTCCCAAAGTGCTGGGATTACAGGCGTGAGCCACCGCGCCCGGCCATAAATATATCTTAATACCTGCTATGTGCTAGGCACTTTACATATATTATTTTATTTGATTCTAATCATAACTCTCTAAAGAGATATTTAATTCCCTTTTCACTAATGAGGCAACTTGAAGAGGATACAGAGCAGCCATAGAGCCAAAGCCAGAGTTGTAACCCACACACTGAAGCCACTAATTCCACATGACCTCATCAAACCATAACACTGCCATCTTCTTTCACCACATTTAATTTCATTTTGTTCCTGGTACTATGCTGGTGCTATGACTATTATAAAAGAATAAGATGATCCCTCCCTTTGAAAGCTTACTCATTTGAGAGAAATTAGAACCAAAGACACAAAAGCATTAGAGCATATCTGGTATATAACTGAGATGGAGGAGGATCTTGAGTTAATGAGTGAATCAGATTCAACTAAGTACAAATAGATGGATGTCAGATGAGGTCCAATTAGGGAATCCACCATAGAACACATGGAAAGGTTTCATGGAAGGAATGGCACTAGGTCCTGAAAGATAAAGTTGGCAAAGTGAGAAAGGAAAGATTGGCTGGCTGTCTTGGGGCAAGAAATTCAACCCCCTGCAGTGGTTAGCCCCAATACATTCATTTCCGTGGTAGTTGGTAATAAAGAGATTTAAATTGTAACTGAATTTGATAAGAAACTATTGCTGTAATTTATCCTTTGTTTTTCTGTGCCTTATTTTCTTTTTCTATGTCGTTTTAAAATTATGCCTTTCAAATGGAGGGTTTTTCCTTTTTTCTGCTTATGCAAAACTAAGCAAAGAGGGGCTATCCATAGAGAAAGCTTGTCTTCTATCTTTTTGGAGTTGCCTATTTAATCCCTTGAAGCCTCAACTGCATTCCCCTGTATCTGTGTTGTTTGAAATTCGTGCCAATAATTGACAGGAATGTAAATATCCTGGCTCTTTCACCTCTCATGGAGGATGACTCTGTGGCAGGTGTTTTATCCTGGATCCAAGAACTTCCTCAATGAAAATTCACTTCAGTTGCCATAGTCATAGCTGGGTTGATAATCCACTTCTAATCATCTTCCCTGTCTCACTTTCTTATCCCACTTGCCCACTTCTTACCTCCCAAATAAACTGCTATCATTCTAATCCTTGCCTTTGATTCTGCTTCTAGGAGAGCCCAAACTAAGACAAACGTATAAATAGATCTATAGTCAGAGAATGAAAAACAAACGGAAATTATACATATTTATGAATAAATTATATTTTCCATATGTGGCATCAGTTGCAATATTTGTACTGAATGTGGGCTATATTGGTACAATAAACTCAAAATTTCAAATGATTAAAAATAATTTTCCTAGTTGGGTTTTTTAAATGCTTTGGTATTCTCATTTGCTTATGAAAATAGCTGGTGGCTTAAGAATTTTCAGGATTTCAAATAAAATAATGAAGCCACTAATTAAAAGACTCTTCCTCAACTGCTTATCTTGTTCCTACAAACTCTATGTTAGAGAAGTTTTACTTTGCCCATTGATGTTAAGCACCAGCTTAAAATGCATGTCTGCTGTAGTTTTTCTTCATATTATTCCTGGTTTTCGAAAAATTATTGTTTTCATTTTCTCTTTTCTTCTAGGTGCCTGACTGGATAGGAAAGATGGATGTAAACAATAATATAAGCTGAATAATTTTCAAATCTACCTGCTTAATTACAAGTATTTGCCCATGGAACTCCAAACAAGGTTTTCTGTGGATAATGCATTTTATGTTTTTGAAAAGAAGTTGCATCTTTATCTGCTAAAGATATGGCCACTTTCATAGGAAGCCTATATGTCCAGATTTCCAGGAAGGCTTGGGATGAGAGCATTGGAGACCAGGAAGACACCGGTCTCAGCTCACATCTCATGTTCCCAGACATGTATAAGATTCTCATCTGACCACAAATTTCTTCTGCTGGCATACTTCAGTTTTAAGTAATTGAATTTCTTTATGGACCATGTCAAAGGATTATTTTCTTCATATTAGTTTTTATCTGTCTTGTCTCTCTAGTTTCTGAAACTTCATCTAGCTCTCTTCCTCTTTGTTATTTCCTTCAGACTTTTCTAAAAACAGTTTGTACCCAAGAGGATTTCATTACCCCCAGAATACACTTCGTAAGGGAATCTTCTAGTCTATGATCAGCTGTAAATTGCACTCCAATTGTTTCGTGTGTAATCTAGTTTTTCCTTCAGCTAAACTGTAAGCCCTTGAAGGCAGGAATTGAAGCATCTTTTTGTATTTACCATAAAATAGCACTGAACACATAGTAAGAATCAATACATACTGACTAGTTGGTTCACTCTTGCACTGTATGACAATAAATACAATATCTGCAGGTCCTTTAAGTTTAATTGAGAATTCAAACTAGGAAATCGCACATAGAATGGCACCTCCACCATGGCTATCTTGCTTATCCAAACAATTTTGCAGCTGTTTAAGGCTGTATAGCTTACAAAGCACTTTTAAATGTTATGTTTATTTCATCCTCACAGTAGACATTTGAGGTAGAAAAGGCAGGGATTAGATCTCCATTTCACAGTTGAGAAACCAAGGGTAAGGGATTTGCACATGGTTATGAGGCTGGTGTACTGTGGAGCTGGAACAGAGCCCAAGCCTTTTCAAATCAATTTATTCCATAAAGATCTTACTACCTATAGTGCTGTGTATTAAACTGGAACTAGGCTCAGAGGAAATTTACCATCTATTCCTGAGCATTGTATTCACCCAATTTTATGACCAGCCTTAAAGATGCCCCGTAAAGTGCTTTCGCTTAATGCTTATGAGCTTAGGTACTGCAGTCAGCCTGCCCCAGCTTCGCCACTTAATCTCTGTAAGCTTCAGTTTGCTCAGCTCTAAAACGGAGATGATAAGTATACTTACCTTCTAGGCTCTTTGTTAAGATTGGGCCAGACTATATAGCAAGGATTTAGCATAGTGCCTCCATAAATACTAGCGATTATCCCATTACTCCTTTGTAATCTTTGGACCTTTTTATCCCTGCCTTGTAAATCATAGCCATTGTTTTGAAACTTCATTGGTTTAACTCTTACATTTTTAAGTTTACTTTTATTCTACTCTACATATAATAAAATGTACCCACCAGCAATGTGTCAGAGTTTTAGTTGCTCTATATTCTTACCAATACATAGTATTTGCAGTCTTCTTCATTTTTGCCATTTTAGTGGGCATATAGCTGTATCTCACTGTGGTTTTAATTTGCATTTCCCTGACGATCAGTCATACTGAGTATCTTTTCATGTGCTTATTTGCCATTCGTATGTCTATTTTTGTGAAGTGACTGCTCAAATCTGCCAATTTTTAATTGATTGCCTGATTTCTTATTGAGTTGTAAATTCTGGTTCTTCATTAAATATGTGTATTTATTAGTCAGGGCTCTCTAGAGGGACAGAACTAATGGAATAGTTATATATATATATATAAAGGGGAGTTTATTAATTATTAACTCACATGATCACAGGATCCCACGACAGGCCATCTGCAGGCTGAGGAGCAAGGAGAGCCAGTCCGAGTTCCAAAACTGAAGAACTTGGAGTCCAATATTTGAGGGCAGAAAGCACCCAGCATTGGAGAAAGATGTAGGCTGGGAAGCTAGGTCGGTCTCTGCTTTCACATTTTTCTGCCCACTTTATATCCTAGCTGTGCTGGCAGCTGATTAGATTGTGCCCACCCAGGTTAAGCGTGAGTCTGCCTTTCCCAGCCCACTGACTCAAATGTTAATCTTTGGCAACACCCTTGAAGACACACCCAGGATCAATACTTTGTATCCTTCAATCCAATCAAGTTGACACTCAGTATTAACCATCATATGTATCACAAATATTTTCTCCCATTCTATGATTTCTCTTTTTATTTTCTTAGTGGTATTTTTCAGGGAACATAAAATTTTAATTTTGAAAAAATCTAATTTATCAAAGTTTTTTTTACAACTTTTTTTTTTTTTGCATTCTAAGAAATCTTCGCCACCTCCAAGATTGCAAGTATTTACTCTTGTGTTTTATCCTAGTTTTATAGGTTAACTTCTTATATTTAAATGTGTGATCTATTTTGAGTTAATTTTTGTGTATCACGTGACGTAAGGGTTGAGGTCCATTTTTTTGCCTAGTAATATCCAATTATTTCAACACCATTTGTTGGAAAGTTATCCTTTTCTCATTGAATTGCCATGGCATCTTTTTTAAAAAGTCTATTTACCATTGATGTGTGGGCCTATTTCTGATCTCTCCATTAATCTAAATGCCTGTTGTTCTGCTGATACCAGACTCAGTTTCTTCAGCTTTATAGTAAGTCTTGAAATAAGGCAGTGTAAATCCTTCAACTGTGTTCTTCTTTTTCAAAGTTGTTTTGGTTCATCTAGGTACTTTGCATTCCCATATAGATATATAATGAGCTCATGAATTTCTTACTGCACACACATACAAAAGCCTACTTGGAGTTTGATTGGAATTGCATTGAATCTATACATCAATTTGGGGATAATTCACATCTTAACAATATTGAATCTTCTAATTTGGGTACGGCATAACATTCCATTTATTTAGGTCTTTTAAATTTTTTCTCAGCAGTATTTTCTAGACTTCACCATACAGGCATGTACATATTTTGTTAAATTTATCTCAGTGTTCCATGTTTTTAGAAGCTATTATAGTATTCCATGTTTTAGAAGCTATTGTACATTGAAAGTTAAAATTTTATTATTCAATTATTCATTTTAATATATGTAAATACAAATGATTTTGGACTTTTATCATGTAAACTTGTTAAATTCACTTCTTAATTTGTAGATTTCTTAGGATTTACTATGTACAGAATTATGTTTTCTGCAAATGCATTTTTTATATATGTGTGTATTAGTTTGTTTTTTATTGTTGAATATTATTTCATTTTATGAATATACCCCGATTTTTAAACCATTCACTTGTCAATTGACATTTGGGTTATTTTCAATTTTGAGGCATTACAAATAAAGCTCCTATGAACATTTTTAACAATTTTGTGTGCGGACATATGCTTTAATTTCTCTTTGGTAAATATCAAGGAATAGAATGGCTGGATCAGAGAACAGGTGTACATTTACCTTTGTAAGAAAACACCAAAATATTTTCTGAAGCGGTCGTGCTATTTTACATTACCACTAGCAGAAAACGCAGTGTATTTCTTCACACTGTAAGTGAGAAGTAAGGAGGAAATACTGTAAGTAGCCTCAGCTCTCATTTTATTGCTTGCTGTAATGGTCATTTTCTTTCTTTTAACCATCTTCTGGATGACCATCTATGCTCCAGACACCTGCTCCCTCTCAGAGGCTTAAGCACACAAAATCGTTCCTGCCTTATGGCCTCCATGCAAGTTTCTTTCTCGGCCCGGGACACTCTTCCTGTATCCCCTCACAGGCCACCTCTATCTTGTTGATCAGCTCTCAGGTTTGTGTATCACTTCCTGCGAGGCCTTTTTTAACCATTCTATCTAGGTAGCTCCCACCCCCACCCCATTGTACTCTATTGTTTCTTTCCTTTGTAGCACTCAATACTACTTGGAATTTTGTTATTATTTGTTTCTTTACTTGATTTTGACTATCTCTCTAGCTAAACAGTAAGTTCAGTGAGAGCAGTTTTATCTACCACATATTTATAAGTGCCTAGGTTAGAACAGAGTAGATGCTCAGTTAATATTTGCTGATCGAATAAATGAGCATCCCCTTCTTGGGGAACTTCAGAGTCCTTGCCCTGCCTTGACCCCCTACTCTACATGTGATTGCCAGGCTTTGTGCCACCTGACCTGCCACCCTGGGTGACTCAAAATGCACATTCCCATGTTGAAGGCTCTGAAAGCCCCTACAGGAAAAAAAAATTCCATTTAACTCAGTATTTCTCAAAAGTATTTGATAATCTAATCCTTTCTTTGTGGCTTCTTTATTTGCTTCCTACACAGGAACATCCTGTAGAATCCTTATTTGGGAAATTCTAGCTAAAGCCAAAGCTAGATCCCAGCTCAGTTAAGCAGACTGAGTTGAATGCATGAATAATGATCAACATCCCTTCCTCCCCTTCCTCCTCTTTAGAAAGGATGAGGTGAAGAATATGGTGAAGAACAGTGCTATGTGTTGCACATACTTGATCAATAAAAATACCTTTTTGTATTTGATGCAGTTCAGTTGTTTTATATTTTGATGTCTCCCTCAAAATGGATTTATCAAATCAGCTGATCAAATTGTCTTGCCTTGATTTGAATGAAATTTTTCAGTACAAGTAAAAACAGGTCAAATAGGATTATAAATAGGAATTGTGAAGTTTCCTATAATTCTTGTATACTTTGAACATCTTCAAACATTTTCCAGTCTATAAATGTTTAGTACATATAGGACTACTAAAGTTGGTTGCTTCTCCTTTTGGGAACATCTTTTCCATTAAGTCTTTGAGTACAGTTATAGTAGCTGCTTTAAAGTACCTGCCTGCTAAATTCATCTGTGTTATTTCAGGGTTGGTCTCCCTTGATTGCCTTTTTCTCTTGAATATGAGTCACATTTTTCTTTTCTTTTTTTGTATGTCTAGCAATTTTTTATTGTATCCTTGACATTGTGAGCAATACACTAAGGATATTCTCTATTCTGTTATTAGGTTGGTGCAAACATAATTGCAGTTTTGCCATTACTTTAAATTACTTTTGCATCAATTTAATATGTTCATTCAAAGAATATTGATGTTTTTAAAGCAAGCAGAACCAAAGTCTTAAATATAATTTCAGTGCTTAGCCTTAATTGGGTTGCTTGGAGTCTGCCCCACACATGATGATTCAAGAGTCAGCCAGAAATGTGAGTGGTTTATAAGCAGATTTGGGGACTCTTCCTCTCTGACTCTGTTCTTTCTGGAATTTCTCCCCTCACTTTCTTTTTTTTTTTTTTCTGGAGACTGAGTCTCACCCTGTCCCCCAGGCTGCCAGGCTGAAGTGCAGTGGTAGGATCTCGGCTCACCGCAACCTCTGCCTCCCAGATGCAAGCGATTCTCCCACCTCAGGCTCCCAAGTAGCTGGGACTACAGTTGTGCACCACCACACATGGCTAATTTTTCTATTTTTAGTAGAGATGGGGTTTCATCATATTGGCCAGGCTGATCTCAAACTCCTGACCTCAAGTGATCTGCCCTCCCTGGCCTCCCAAAGTGCTGGGATTACAGGTATAAGCCACCGTACCCGAGAACCCCTCACTTTCTAGCTGGTATGATTGTCTTGATCTCTGTCTCCTAATTCTTTAAGCAATAAGATTATGGGTTTCTATGTCCTGCAGAGTGTGGACCAGGTCTGCCTTTAGGCTAAAAGCTGTGAAACAATACAAAAGAAAAAAATAGGAAACTCATCTAATGTCACTGGTCTCTTCTAGATTTCAAACCCTTTCTAGTACCTACCTGCTCTTACTTACTCTCCAATACTTTCAGGTGGTGGTTCTAAAATACTTGGTCCAGAGTTTCTCATTATTATTTGCAATAGGACCTCCTCAGCCATTACTGGAAGTGGAAACTGTCCTCGTGGGAATGTCCAGTTCCGACCACAATTGAGAGAAGACCTGAGTGGAGACATAATTTAGGCTTTCTTGCAAATCATATGACAACTTATGAAAATTCGTGTGTAAGTGTGACCCTATAATGGTTTTTGTGTCTTTTTTTTTTTTTTTTTTTTTTTTTTTTGGACGGAGTCTCACTCTGTCGCCCAGGCTGGAGTGCAGTGGCGCGATCTCGGCTCACTGCAAGCTCTGCCTCCCGGGTTCACGCCATTCTCCTGCCTCAGTCTCCCGAGTAGCTGGGACTACAGGCACCCGCCACCACACCCGGCTATTTTTTTTTTTTTGTATTTTTTTAGTAGAGACGGGGTTTCACCATATTAGCCAGGATGGTCTCGATCTCCTGACCTCATGATTCACCCGCTTCGGGCTCCCAAAGTGCTGGGATTACAGGCGTGAGCCACCGCGCCCGGCCTTTTGTGTCATTTTTTAAAGAGTGTCTTACATCTAAACAAGTTAATTTCCTCTCAGAGGCCATTTGCCAGGGCTCCTTGCCTACACGCAGGAGAATGGTGACAGAATCTTCCCACAGGCTAGGGCTGGGCAAGCAGAACCAGGCTTCCAGGGCAGAAGTCCTTCAGAACTATTTCCCTGGAGGCAAAAGCAGACCCAGAAACTGCCTCTTCTATATGTTGGCCTGGACTCTCTAGTGGCTGCTCAGCTTCCCAGAAAACCTGCCTCTCTAGGCATAGAGAGTTTCACTGCCTGGTCATTAGTTCACCCTGGTGGCAGAGGCATCCAAACCCACTTCAAGTGGCAGGAATTCAAAATAGTTCTGCTCAAAGACATATTGGATATTAGAGAAGGAAAAAAAAAAACAGAGAGAGAGAGAGAGAGAGAGAGAGAGAGAGAAAGCTAACAGAGCCGGTCTTTGGGAAAGCATTTTCTTCTTGGAAACCTGCATGCAACTTTACAACTGGTCTTGCGTAAAATGTCATTAGACTGGAAATAACCCACTCAGTATGCCCTCTTGGCATCATTCCACCCACACTGAACAATGTAACACTTTCCTCTCCCAACCCTCTCCATCTGCCTCTGCTACCAGAATATTGTCCGGCCTCAGAAAGTACACAGAGGGATGGCCTCCCTTCCTCACATGTTATCCCTAATCCTTCCACTCCCAACACAAAGGAAAGGCCAATCATAATTCACTCTTCAAACACATGGCCACTCAGAGGAGTCTGAAGAAACTTGGGACTCTATTGGAAAAGAGGAAGGGAGAAGAAATTGTTGAGCAGATAGCCAATTATATCAACTTCACCTCAATATTTTTAGTAAACCTATTTGGATATTAATATGTTTTAAAATATTTGTTAATAATTGACAACACGGATCATAGTCAACTTGTTCTCAAACCTGACTTCATATAGCAATCATTTAGGGAGTTTGAGAAAATGCTGATGCCAGGGTGCTTCCTCCAGAGATTCTGGTTTAATTGGTTTGGGACACAGCCTGGGCGATGGGATTTTAAAAAGCTCTCAGGTGATTCCAATATACAGAAAAATTTGAGAACCATTGTCGTAGTCTGCTATGGTTTGAATGTGTCCCCTAAAATGCATGTGTTGGGAACTTAATCCTCAATGCAATAGCGCTAGGAGGCAGGGCCTCATGGAAGGTGTTTAGGTCATGGGCACTCCACCCTCATGAATGGATTAATGTTGATTATAAAAGGGCTTGAGACAGTAAGTTTGATCCTTTGTGCTCTCTCATCCTCTCTTTACTCTTCTGCCATGGGATGACACAGGAAGAAGGTCCTCACTGGACGCCAGCCCCTTGATCTTTGACTTCCCTGCCTCCAGAACTGTGAGCCAATCAATTTCTGTTTATTATAAATTACCCAGTCTGTGGTATTCTGCAATAGAAGCACAGAATAGACTAAGACATAGTCCATCACTATTTCACACATTCCATCTAGAAAAGAGAGCCAGAAAGGTAGTTGCAGTTAAAAACTAATGTCAATAAAGCCAGACCGTTCATAAATGGTATTTTTTTATCTACTGTAATTGGTATGTGTACATACAAAGTTAAAACTCCATTTTAGTGTTTGAAATAATCATTTGAGTCTCCTCCCTGTGCCCCCCACATGCTAATCGTAGAAAACCCGCCTCCCTCTCTAGGAATCCCCCTCATTCTGACCTTGAATTTGTCCAAGAAAATCTTGGCGCTTACTGAGTACCAAGTGCCGGTCCTGATTCTAATCATGGATAAAGAAATGTGGGATGTGTTCACTCCTCCAGCAGGCCCTTCATCTTCTCCTGCCATCGCTTCTGTGCCTGCCACATGATGCCATTTCGTTAAGACAGATGTACGTGTGCTGTCTGCTGCTACCAAGATCACTCTGCCAGAAGCAGCCAGCAATAGTTATTTGGCTATTATAAAAATAATAAAGCTACACTTCACTAGGTACCCACTGTGTGTTTTTATTCACTCTTGCAAGTCCTTAACTCAAAGGAAAAAAATTGTTTTGTTTTGTTAGCTGGTTAGATGAAACTTGAGCTAGAAAAGTTTCCTTTCAAAACTTGCTCCTGACTTCTTTACCTGCCTGTAATCTAAGTATCCCCTCTTACTTATACAAACATAAGGTGAGCAGGCACTTAATACTCTGGAAGTTTAAATGACATTTATGACTTAAAAAAAAACTTTACTTTTTGTTGCAGTACCTCTTTTTATGCAGAATTGGCCCATAGAGACTTAAACATTTTATAGAGATGGAGGTAAAGAACGCTTCTGAAATGAGAGAGATAAGATCTCTCCTCTTTTGAAGTTGAATATGGTTTTGACTGAAGTATATCAGCAGGACAAGGCCTTGAGGGCCCTATCAGGATAACCCACAGCAAGGGAAGGTGGGGAAGGGGCTGTGGCCCCTGACCAGGGCTCACTAGCAGTCTTGGATGTTCCCGTTTGGAGTGCTGGTTCAGCTCATCATGTGTCTGAGACCAGAACACATCCCCAACTCCCCAGGAATAAAGGGACAAGGTGAGTGTGAGCCAAAATGCTTATCTTGGGAACTCCAACAGGGGGCCTCACCCAGTCCATTAACAACCCTGAATGCAGCAGTGAGAAGGGGCAGCTGCAGTCCCAAACACGCATGCTGGGGCACTGTCTGGATGGGCAGCCACTAGCCACACATGGCTTTTGAGCCCCTAAAATGTGGCTATTCTGAATGGAGACATGTGCTCTAAGTGTAAAATGCACATTAGATTTTGAGGACTTACTGTAAAACAGGATTATAAAATTTCTCAATTTTTATGTTGATTACCTGCCAAAATAGTATTTTGCATATATTGGGTTAAATATGGTATATTATTAGATTTAATTTCATCTTAATGGGGTTATTAAAAATAATTAAAAATCACATATGTGGTGCATATTTGCGGCTTGCATTGCATTCCTGTTGGACAGTGCTGGTCTAGAAGATCCCATTGTCACTGCTGGAGCCATTTGGAAACAGGTAGTGTCATTAGGATGTCTTAGTTTCAAGGAATAACAACCCCAACTCAAAGTGGTATTAATAATAAAGAAACACATTATCTCAGAGCAGTTCGAGGCTGGGGAGCACCAGTGTTTCGAACACCATGGCTTGCTGGCATCATTAGACCCAGTGCTTCTCACTTTCCCACTTTGCTGTCATCTGGCTCATGCGAGGTCAATGTGTATCTATGGAAGTCCCAAGCGTCCATCTAATGTCCAGAGAAAACTAGGTGGCGGGGGGGTGGTGTTGCCTTTTCTTATCTCCCTTATTAGAAGTGGAGACATCTTTCTAGATGTCTAATTAGCCATAATTGGGTCACATAGTTTTGCTGAACCACTCACTGGCAAAGTCGTCGGATCCTGAATGGCTTGGAGTAATCTAGAGTAAGAAGTCTGTTGGGGAGGAAAGAACCAAGGCCATGATAGGAGGAACGAACATTTTGGACCAAATAACCCTTGATGTTCTTGGACAATTTAGTGAAACATCACAGGTCTCACAAGGACTACTACATATTCTGCTACTGAGACAGGGCTTATTTAGTTTGAAACACAAAAGAGATGTTATTGTGTTTGTATTCATAGGCTATTGTAGCTTAACAAACAAATAACTTTATATAAATAGACAAATAAAGCAAATAAAATCCCATAGTTCCATGTGGCAGAATGGAAAGAACACTGTATCCAAATACCACAATCTAGAGAGTTGGCTTTACTAACACCTTGACTACTAATTTGTTGTGGCACCTGTAAAGCTCAGCTAACCTTTCTGTGCTTCTGCTGGTTAACCTTTAACATGAATGTCCAAAGATTATGAGTCCATATGGCAAAATAATCACATGAATTCTTCACTTATTCTCTAATACAAACATATAACGCATGGTGATAGAAATGGAATATAACATATTTTTAAAATACATGTCTTAGAGAAAAAGGGAACATCTCTTTTAAAAATAAAAAAATAGCAAGTGTTTGGAAAGTTGAAGTTATGGGGCTCATAGGGAGTAGGTGCTGTCAAAGTTCCTTTGGAAATGAGGGTCAAGAGAACTCTATTTATTATGAGAGACCAAGTTCCTTGAATTAAGCAGGGGGCTGGACAGCACCTCCATCCAGGGAACTGGGACTGAAATTTTTCTGCTTGACCACATAGCTATGGCTAGAAACATTCTACTTGTGTAGAGAGGAGCCCATGTAATAAAGAGAACCAGGCTAGCACAGGGCACAGGTGTAATGCATTACCTGCTTGAGCTGAATGATTGGAACTTTCATGTAAGACTATCCTGGAAGTGTGAGGTCTAGAAGGCCAGGCTAAGGCAACCATGGGAAGGAACAGGCATTCAGGAAAGTTTCATGCAAGATGAAATCTCAAATAAAATCTACAAAGCACACACAAAAAATTATTGCAACACGAATCCATTATGAGATTCGACGAGTGAGAATTCATACCCAAAGAAACTGGAATGACATATAAATTTCAAATAACTTTAAACTTAACATGCTTAGAATTCTTAAAGAGATTAAGGATGTATTAATAGCATTCTTTCGATATTAAATGGGAGGTTATATGGCAAGAACAAGAAGATATAAAATAAGCTTGTTGAAAATTAAATTTTATTCCCTGAATTAGGAAAAAACACACTCAAAAAGTAAACCTTAATACTTAGCATAAACAAGAGACTGGGCAGACTTGAAGGCAGAATAAAAGAATTGGAAGATTGCGCTGAGAGGGGTCATACAGAACTTAGCCTAGACCTAGCCTAGAAAGAGGAGATAGAATAAAAGAGTTCAGGTAAAAGAAAAATAGACAGAGAAACACAGACCACACATCCAATGGGAGTTCCAGAAGGAATGAATAATAAAAATTGGGCAGAAAAACTACCTAAAAATATAATAACAGAGAAAAAATTTAATTGAAAAAATATAAAAATCCTCAGACTGAAAAATCATCCTGAATGCTTAGGAGGACAAAAATAAATAAAAATAAAATTCACATTTAGATAGAGTGGTCTAAAATTAAAATGGATATTAAACAATTAAAAAGTTGTCTTGATTTTATGAAATTATTTTGAGGCTCAAATGAACAATGGGTGGGAAGGTGCCCTGTGGAGAAGAGCAGGTAATGCTACGATGTGCTGGGGTTAGAGTTGATAATCAGTCATATCTCCCCCCAACTCTGAGTTTGGAACCAGCTGAGAAATAGCCACAAAAGATAGAGAATGAAGATACAAATATCAGCTTTATTATGGATAAGTCTAGATTGGAGAACACTATCCACCTTCAAGCAAGATGATTCTGATACATAATAATACTTGGGGGCTGGCCGCAGCAGCTCACGCCTGCAATCTCAGCATTTTGGGAGGCCGAGGTGCGAGGATCACTTGAGGTTAGCAGTTTGAGAGCAGCCTGGCCAATATGGTGAAACCCTGTCTCTATTAAAAATACAAAAATTAGCCAGGCGTGGTGGTGGGCCCCCACTTGGGAGGCTGATGCAGGAGAATTGCTTGAACCTAGAAGGCAGAGGCTGCAGTGAGCCAAGATCGCACCACTGCACTCCAGCCTGAACAACAGCATGAGACCCTGTCTCAAAAAACAAAAAACAAACAAAAAACAAAAAAGACGAATCACTTGCTGCATTCCTTTTCTTTCTTTTTCTTTTTCGAGACAGGGCCTTGCTCTGTCACTCAGGCTGGAGTGCAGTGGTGTGATCTCGGCTCATTGCAACCTCTTCCTCCCAGGTTCGAACAATTCTCCTGCCTCAGCCTCCCCAGTAGCTGGGATTACACCTGCCACCACACCTGGCTAATTTTTAAATTTTTTTGTAGAGAAGGGGTCTCACTATGTTGCCCAGGCTGGTCTCAAACTCCTGGACTCAAGCAATCCTTCTGTGTTGGCTTCCCAAAGTGCTGGGATTACAAGTGTAAACCACCATGCATGTCCACTGTACTCATTTTCTACTGCTGTGTAATAAATATTTTAAATTTACCAGCTCAAAACAACACAGATTTATGATGTCACCATTCCTGCAAGTCAGGAATCTAGACATTGCTTAACTGGATCCTCTGCTTGGGGCCTCACAAGATTGTCTGCAAAGAATTGACCAGGTCTCCTTCCTTCCTGGAGCTCAGAGTCCTCTTCTAACCCTAGGGGGATGTTGAGCAAGAGTTAGTTCCTTGTGGTTACAGGACTGAGGCTGGAAGTTTCCTAGAGACTTCCCACAATTCCCTGCTTTGTGACTCTCAACATATGCAGTTGATGTGATGGCAACTTGCTTCTTCAAGGCCAGCAGGAAAGTCTTGCTTCTTCAGTCTGCTAAAACTTCTATCACAACATAATTATGGGGTGACAGCCCGACATCTTTGTTGTATAATCTAATCTAAGCAAGGGAGTGATCGCCTATCACTTTTGCCATATTCTGTTGAGTAGAAGCAAGTCACAGATTCATCCACACATACAGGGAGTGGATTACAAAGGGCTTGAACAGCAGACAGCAGGAATTACCGGCAGTCACCCTAAGGTCTGTCCACCACGCTCACTGTCCTAATCTATAAAATGGGAATATTTCACAAATGGGAATATTTGTTATGTGTATCAAACAAAATAATAATATGAGAAAGGGCTTGACACAAAGAAAATGCTCAGTAATGTGAAATACCCTTTTCTGGCCCAAGAAGAGGGTCAGTGACGATCAGACCACAGGGTAGTAATTTAAATTTTTAGTCAATGCCTCAGTGCTGATGCAGATTGTCTAAGGGCTGTATTTTTAAAAACACAGAGAGGATATGTCATCTGCCCAAGGTCCTATAATGATAGAGCACAGACAACCTGGAGTCTTTGTCTGACTTCACAGTCAGCACATCACAGTGCCCAGCCGCTCCTGTCCAATGACCTGAGGCCTCTCAGTTCCCCTGTAGCCCTACAATTCATGTCACTCTGAAGGTCCACCCAAGAGCTCTGCTTTTTAAACTAAGTCTGGAGTCTCCAGATTTCTTTATGTACCCCTTCCTCAAATTTGAGCATACATCCCCAAAATGTGTATCTGTGTTTGTTTATAAATTATACATATAAGCTATCATATTAGTTTATTATGAAACATACCCAAAAGAACTTTTCAAAAGATAGAAAACATGTAATAAACCATACGTTAAAGTTTTCTGCCAATTGCAATGGCTCTTCTTCATGAGCTGGTATTAGTTGGGGTTTCCATTAATTGATGGGTTAAATCTATACTTCAAATAAACTTCTTGGTGGAGTTCAATACACTTTGGCCTCTGTGTAGGCTTCTTTGTGGATCTGATTCAATTATCATTATTTTTACTTTGTAATATGATTGAAGGAGTAGGAAAAATGTCTGCTTTGCCATTTTCTTATTCTTTGCAGAATTATTAACTGCATTATTATTAATTGCACTATTATTTGATTTAACTTATTATTCTATTTAACTTGTAATTCTATTTAGTTTGTAATTTAGAGGGCAGGAGTCTTTTAAAAAATTGTTAGTTGACAACATACAAACTGTATTGTGTCACAATACACTAAACACCAGTGAAAGAACGGTAGTATAACAGTCAACCTCTTCACGGTGTGAATTCCCACTTTTCCTTCAGGATAACTCAAGTTCTGTTTGTGACCCATGACCAGCTTATATATGGACCAAGTGAGAGTACCAGTGCCATTATGTATACTAAATGTTGATCAATCTAGATTGCTTATGGGGGAGGATGAATATAAATAACTTTGGAAGTTCTGCAAACCTGTCTTTAGAGACCAGTGAATAAGATTTTTCAGTTGCGAATCCAAGTTAATCAATATTGGAGATTCTGGCATCAATATGAATAGTCATTTTAAAAAAGTATTTATCACACCTTTGCCACCTCTAATGTGTAACATTTCCATATGTCACTTAAGATATCTTGCCAAGTGAGATAAATGAAGCTTAAGAGAATTCAGTTTTATCTCAGCAGAGGGCGTCCCTTCCTTCAACAAGAGGCTGTCTTAAGACCTGGAACCTAAGCAAAGAGGTCATGAGAATAATCTCTAAGTCTAAAAGGACTAAATGAAGTTCATCCATTATCCAACCTAATGTCCTAATTTCCTGTGTGAGCTGAAGTCCAGAGAACTGCTCAGAATTCCATGGTTAGCTGATGACTAAAGAAGGACTAGAATTCAGGCCTCCTATCCTCAGCTCAGGGCATTCTCCAATATTCCCCACAGCCCTTTAATGCACATTTATTAGGAAATATTTATTAGGAATAGTAAGGCTAGCTCATTTACATTTAATGGAATCACTGATAAATTTGGGTTTTAATCTAGCATCTTATTTCATGATTGATATGTTCTACCTCTTCTATGATTCTTTTTCTCATCTCTTGACTTCTTTGGGATCAACTAAGATATTTTAATCATTAGTCTTCCCCTTTACTATTTTGGAAGATTTGCAATAACTATTCTTTTAGTGGCTGGCCTAAAAATTATTATTGTTTTCTATTTATTATTTTATTTTTAACCTTTCATTGCTAACTTATCCAAATATAATATAAATGTTAATCTCTATCATTGGCCTATACAATTCAGAAAGCTTAGAACACTTCAATCCCATCTATCTACATCCCAATTAATTGGCGCTTGTCACAATTTAAAATCCTATGTAATTTTAAAATTCTATAATATATTTTTATTGTTTTTTGGTCTTCACTTCCTGAATCTCAGATTTTCCATCTGGATCATTTTACTTATCCCTTAAATAATCCTTTAAAATTTTCCAAACTCTCAGTTTTTTAGAAAAAAGTATTTATCTTTACCATATATAATATAAATGGATATATAATATAACAATATATTAATAAATAGAATATCTCCTGGGAATAGAAATCTAAGTGAGCAATTATTTTCTGTGAACATGTTGACAATACTATTTTACTGTCTTCTGACTTCAATTATTAACTTTTAAAAGTCAGCTGTCGATTTAATTTTATTTCTTTAAAGATAATATGTCCTTTTCTTTATGGCTGCTTTTAGTATATGGTGGGCTTACAGTTCAGTTTCTTTGGTTTCCTATGGTTTCACTATAAAGTTTCTGGCAGTGCTGTTCTTTAAATTTATATTGTGTAAGCTCTATTAGGCTTCTTGAATCTATTGATTGATGTCTTCTATTAGTCCTTAATATTCTTGGCTATCATATCTTAAAACATTGCCTTTAGTTTATTCTGTCTGTTTTCTTCTTCAAACACAGCAGAGTTATTTTATAGTTTGTGACTAATAATTCCAACAGACATTATTTCCAGTCATTATGGGTCTATTTGTGTTGTCTGTTGTTTCTGCTGGTGTTGTTCAGTGAACTCTGTTTCCATGTATGACTGGTTGTTTTTGACAATGTGTTGGACATTGTGTTTTAAAGATTATTTGTACTAATTTTCACAATAATTTGAGGCCTAGCGTAACATCATCTTCTTCCAAAGAGGATTTTCCTCTGCCTCTGCCAGACACTTGAGGTGCTACCAGTCTGGGTCTATCTTAAACCAAGTTCAAGGCTTGCAGTTTCCTGGACCACCCGAATGACATAAAGCCAAATCAAAATTCTTTGCAGGGATTAGCTTACTCATGATTTACCTTACCTGGATCCTTTGGGATCCCAATTTAAAATGGTCATGATTTATTAAAATCCTGACTTCTGGTGGATTACAGGTCTTGCCTTTTGCCTCCTGGCCCCAGGAATTTACCAAAAATGAATTTCTTTAGGCTTAGCAAATGTTCTTAGAGCAAAATCAGATTCAGATGTTGGTTTTACTCTCTAGGTTCTCCTCTTCTTGATTTTCTTTTTGTAATTCCTCAATATATTGTTAATACTTTGATTCTTTTAAGAAGTTTTTTTTATATTTCATTCAGTTCTTTATGTTTCCTTAGTGGGAGGATTGGTCCAAATTTTCTAATCATCAATTATTGTGAGTAGAAGTTTCAGTTTATGTATTTATCAGCAGGAAAAATATCTTTCATAGCTTTCTATTTCTACTTTATGTTTATGAAATTGTTAGTCACTATAAAGCACTTTATATATACCAAGAATACATATATATATATATATATATATATATATATATATATATATATATATATATAAAACATATCCTACAGAACCAAAATTGTTATGTAGCATTTATCAAGTCCCTTTAAAGACCCAATCCGGTATGATATGAAATTGTTTATAATATAATTTTAAGTCGTGACTACTTCAGGTGTTTGATATTCAGTATGATAAATGTGTGCTTTACCAACTCATAAAAATATAATGGAAGATTCAGTGATCTATATATAACATACATACATAATATCATATCCCACCAAGTGTGCTTATTCATCCCACTGAATGAAAGTGTATTCCCCTTCCCTGGCCTCTTTCAGGTCTTTTCTCTATCCTCATCTTCTCAATGAAGACTTTCCTATATATCCTATTTAAAATTGCAAACTCCCCCACCCTATTCCTGCATTTCTTAATCTCTTCTTGTTTTTCGCTTTTCTCCATCATACATACTTATATACTAAACATTATATATCCTGGCTCTATCTATCACTGCCTCTGCAATCTTGGTAAATCTACTTAACATCTCAATTCCTCATTTTCCCTAGGTATAAAACAGCATGAAGAAAAGCATCCAACTCTTCTTCATCTGGATGCCTCACAGTGAGTATGGTGATAGATCACAAAGGGGGTTAAATTTTAATAAGATTGTTACCATTATTGTTGCATAATAGCATTTTTTATATTAATGTGCTGGATTGTAAGAAATGACCACAAATTCCTCCTATCTATATATGCACAAATACAGTCTAATCTTCATTCTCTTATATCTGGATAGCCTTATGACCTGCTTTGTGGTGGAAATGACACTGTATGTTTTAATTGCAGGCTTCAAGAGCCTATGTAGCATCCACTCTTACCCTCCTAGAACCCTGAGACATTTATGTGAAAAAGTCTGGGATAGCCTTCTTGAGAATGAGAGACGACATGAGAAGAGAGGCCCAGCCAACTTCTTGCATCGATTGCCAGTGAGTGAGAATGTCTTCGACCATATAATCCCAGTCAAGCCACTGGAAGAATGCAACCACCTAGGTAACAATAAACAAGACCAGCAGAAGAGCTGCCCATCAATCCCAGCCCCAACTGCTGACCCATAGAACCATGAGAAAATAAATAGAAAACTGAGACAGAAACTATTTGCTAAAGAGCAAAATTGACTAAGTCTTAGAAAATATTTGAATAGTTATTTGTCCAAGAAGCAAAAGAATAAAAGTTATACTCCCTTTTATAGTAATAAACCCCTACCTACCCAACTTTTCTGCAGATAATAATTTAAAACTTCAGAAAAATAGAAAAATATCTGAGGGCAAATAAAAACAGGCAGATATTACAGAAGAGTCTATACTTGAAGAAGGAAATACCACGAGTTAAGTTTTATGTTTTTCTTTTTTGTAGCTTTTATCCTGAGAGCAGGCTATAGCTGGTGCGACATGGGGGGTCACTGAAACTCAGATAGAAACCCACAGTTTTCCTGGCTTGCAGAACCAAATGTCAGAGTTCAAGGTGGCCACAGCTTCTTGAAAATAAGAGGGAAATTCCATGAAGGAGATAATCAGAGAGAAAGAAAGAGAGAGAAAGAGAGAGAGAGAGGGAGAAAGAGAGGACACCCAAATGTTGCCTAGAAATTTCTGGTTGAACCCTATGTCTCACATTTGTGGGACAGAGCTCAGGCCTCTCAGCTGAGGCTAAGAAAACAACTTGGATTTGAGCTGCTGCCTACTTCAGGGCATACAGAATTTGCAATTTGAATTCAGCCAAGATACCTGCCTGCCTAGAAAAAGCTGCACAATATTCTTTAGAACAGCATAACAGAATACAGAGTCTCTTCAATATATCATTTATAATAGACAGAATACATTCCAAAATTGCTCAACATTTGAAGAAAAAAAAAGACCCATTCTGAAGAGAAAAAAGAACAATTTGAAGATAATACAGGTGATAGAATTGGCAGACTAGATTTTAAAGTGGTTATTGTAGCTATACTTAAGGACATAAAGAAAAACATATTCCTAATGAATGAAAAGATAAGAAAGCTCAATAAAGAACTAAAAACTATTTTTTTCTTAAAAGAACCAAATAAAAATTCTAGAATTAAAAATTACAGTATCTAAAATAAAAAATTTACTGATTGGCCTTAACAGTAAAATAGAAATAACAGAAAAGTTAGTAAGCTTTAAAATCATTCAATAGAAGTTATTCAATGTGCAGAACAGAGAGAAGAGACATTGAAAAACAATGGGCAGGTCCTCTGGGAACAGTGGACAATATCAATAGGTCTAATACGTATGTAACTGGAGTCTGAGAAGGAGAAGAGAAAAAAATTGGTCAGAAAAAATATTTGAAAAAAAGTAAAAGGTGAAAATTATTCAAATTTAGAGAAAGGCATAAAGTTACAAATTTAGGAAGGAGAGCAATCCCCAAGCAGAAGAGGATTAAACACACACCTACACATGCCCACACACACACAGGAACATCAGAGTCAAACTGCTAAAAACCAGAGAACACAAAGGATCTTATTGTAGACTCATTCTACACCAAATAAAATACTACATCCAGAGTTTCATGAACTGTTTTTATTCAGGAAATTTTCAGTGTAGGATAAATTGCTGCTTTTCACTGGAGACACAAATCCTGGGTGTGAGGAGTTCATCCACACAGTCAGGGCCCCAGGAGGTGGGTGGTTGAGGAGGAGACTACCAGTCTTTCACTTCCATTTCAGCTGGGGAAGAGCTTCTGGAGGAGACAGGATGCTGTGAGCTCTCTGGAAGACAGAAAGATTTTGACATAAATAACTCTAAAATCAGGGAAAGAGAAGTGAGATCCTCATGGTAATCTTGAGAATGACCCAACCAGAGAATCTAGTGCCTTGGAGCCAAGGGAGTTTTTGAAATGGAATTAGCAGAAAGAAATCTGGGGGGAATGGGGAAGGCCCAGAAGATTTTGATCCTTACAGCATGTATTTCCTCATATGCTTTCCCTCCTTTCTCCCACAATTTAGCATAACCCTATTCAGGGTGGATCACTTTGAAACATAGGGAGGTAGATTCTTTCCCTTCCTTTTCACCAATAGATCAGAGATGTCTGGAGGTAGCTGCCTTGGGGAATGTGTGGCCTTGTTTTGACAAATGTGGACCTCTTAGTTCATAGAGGATGATGTTAATAATTGAAAACAAATAAATAACAAAACCTCCAAATGTAAACCCAAAGTTTGCTGCTTGTTATAATTATGTTTTTCATACTAGACTAGAAATAAGGCTATTGTGTTTTTGTTTGTAGTGTAAGCCTCTTTTTCTCTTTTTATTGCCCCTCCCTTACTTCTTCATCCCTCCATCCCACACCATCTTGTTTTAGGGGCAATATTCCCAAGGGAAGGTAGTAGTCCAAGAAATAGCTGGAGGCTGGTTGCCTGAGGTTGAGGCAAGGGCCTGGTGTGATCCCAGGCTGAACACCAGTGGGGAATAGTGCAATCCAGCAACATTATGGCCGGTCTTTCAGCCCGTCTGCAGCTCTTCCTGGAACACAGGCCTTTTCCTGTGTTTGAACTCACCGCCAATGGCTGTCCTACCAAAGGTAAACAGCAGCAGTCTAAGCAAACTACTCTGTTTCCAAAAGAAAGCTTTTAACTTTTCTTCTGGAGGAGGCAGGAGGGGGTTGTTTGAGGACTGGGTGGAGGAGAGAGAGGAGGTTAGACCAGAGGAAACACAAGTGACCCTGGAGCCTTGCCCTGCTGTGTTTCTTTCTTTTCTTTTCTTTTTTTTTTCTTTTCACCGCTCTCATTATTTTTGGCTGGCTCCTTTGTGCGTGCTGCCTCTATTCACTGACAGCTGCTTTGAACATCAGTCATATCAGGTCATGTGCCAAGCTGTGCGCCTCTGGTCACATCGCTCTGAGGCCTTGGGTTTTTTAGCTTCAAAGCATCTCACAAGCAGCGACCCGCCTCCTTCGGGGAGGGTGTTAAAAAAAAGGGGAAGCTTGGGACAGACTCATGAAACCTCTGGTGTTAAGGCTGGAAGCTTCGATCTCGTTTTGCAGAGGAAGAAATTAGGACTGAAGAAGTGTGGCAGAGGCCTACTTCCAGGGCCTTGTGGTCAGGACCGGGGGTAGAAGCCAGATCTATTCTTATCTAGTCTGAAGGTGTTCTTCCCACTCTTTGGATTTCAAACCAGATTTCTTAAGAAGTCTTAGCCTACCTCAAATGTGTCTCATTGATGATGATATTTTGAGAGCGAGGTGGGTGAAGGGGTGGGGCAAGGCGAATGCCCCATGGACAGAAACATCCTCCTCCTCCAAGTGAAGCCTCTTCTCTTTGGTCTCATTTACTCACATATTCATTCATTCAAAGTTGCTTGTTGAACAAATTTCACATGCCAAGTGTCTTCCAGACACCGGAATACAGCAGTGACCCAGCAAAGTCTGATTCCCATGAAGCTTACATTCTGTTGTTTGAATTTGTTTCCAAGGAGGATTATTTTTTGGTGAAAGAGTTCTGTTGATTTTTTTTCTCCTTTAAACAAAATAACATCTTTTCAACATCTAGCCTTCAGAGTATTAACTGGCATTCGTTAAGGACTTGCAACACTAGGTATAGTCACCATCTAAAGCAAATTAGCTGCTTATCTTCTAACCCATGGTAATGTAAAATCTATGAAGAAAAGACACCTAAAAAGAAAACTTGCCTAGACAGCATCACCTCCACTCACTAACAAATGTGGGAAAGAAATAAACAAGTCGATGGCGTAGTTGGTGAGTTAAACTCCTGTGGCTTGTAGTCTACAAAGGGACACTAATACATTCACTTTTTTGTTATCTCATATACGATACAGGGTGGTGAAAAAATACGTGACTATTTTACAGCAGACCCCTTGGTTGGTGGTGTGGTGAAGGTGGATGCAGCAGTTAACAGCCTTAGTCAGTTTCAGAGTCAAACTTTGAGAGCCACCCACCTGTGAATATTCCCACCTGGGATATTTGGTTTGAAAAGTTAGAGCCAAAATTGTAAACTAGCAGCCTCTCAGCTGCTGAGTATATCACTTATCTTTTGTTACATAACAAATTATACCAACACTTGCTGGTTTTAAAATAAATGTTTATTATCTTATAGTTTCTATAGGGCAGGAATTCAGAAACAGCTTATCTGAGTGGTTTGGCTGAGGATCTCTGATGAGGTTGCATTCAGTGTGGCAGGGGCTGCCATGGTCTAAAAGTGTGACTGGGCTGGATGCTGGATCCATTGCCAAGACAGTGCACTCAAAAGGCTGTTAGTGGGAGCCTCAGTTTCTCTCCATGTGGCCCTCTCCATAGATTACTTGGGTATCCTCATGACATGGCTGCTAATTTCCCCCCAAAGCAAGCAATCCAAGAAAGTGTAAAAAAGGAGGGAACCCCAATGCCTTCAGTGACTATGTCTTCTAAGTCCCTTACTGTCACTTCTGCCTTATCCTGCTTTTATGTCCAACTCACACTGAAAGGATAGGTAATTAGATGTCATCTCTCAAAGAAAGGAACATCAAAGAATTTGGGGACGTATTTTAAAACCCTAACACTAGGTCCCCTTCACACATATAATTTATTTTTTTCTTAAGTTATTTTATTTTATTTTATTTTGAGAGGGTCTTGCTCTGTTGCCAAGGCTTGAGTGCAGCGGGGTTATCACTGCTCACTGCATCCTTGACCTCCCAGGCTCAAGCAATCCTCTCACCTCAGCCTCCCAAGTAGCTGGGACCACAGGCGTGCACCACTCTGCCCAGCTAATTTTCTTATTTTTTGGCCAGGCGCAGTGGCTCATGCCTGTAATCCCAGCACTTTGGGAGGCCAAGGCAGGCGGATCATGAGGTCAGGAGATCGAGACCATCCTGGCTAACATGGTGAAACCCCGTCTCTACTAAAAATATACAAAAAATTTGCCGGGTGTGGCGGTGGGCAGCTGTAGTCCCAGCTACTGGGGAGGCTGAGGCAGGAGAATGGCGTGAACCTGGGAGGCGGAGCTTGCGGTGAGCCAAGATTGGGCCACTGCACTCCAGCCTGGGTGACAGAGTGAGACTCCATCAAAAAAAAAAAATTAAATTAATTTTCTTATTTTTCTCCTGTAGAGACGGGTCTTGCTATGTTGACCAGGCTGGTTTCAAACTCCTGGCCTCAAGCAATTCTATGGTCTTGGCTGCCCAAAGTGTTGGGATTACAAGCCTGAGCCACCATGTCTGGCCCAATTCTAAAATTTTTAAATTGTAGATTCCACATAAGTATTCAGATTTTTTTCTTACTTTTTAAAAAAAATATGGTCACACTAGGCCTATGTGCTCACAAAACACTTTATATTGAACACAAACTCTTTAATTTGCCATACTCCCCACCAAATCCTCTGTATTAAACATAGCACACTTATTTAACACATGTGTGTTACCTGCTTGGATGATTTAAAAAGTTGAGTTTAGAGCTAAATACTGATCTAGATTTAATGAGACTGGAAGACATGGCAATGGAATTGAAGAAAGAAGCCTGACCCCTGGTGTGAGTTGAATCCCAGAAGATTGGGAAATGAGACACGTTGTGGGTTTTCTTAGAGTGGCAGCAACCTTGCATTACACCTGCATAGGACTGTAGAGATGACAGGGGCAACTGTGGCGATCTGGGCGTGAGGCAATAGTCAAATAGATTTGGCAGACATTCTTGTGGTGGAACTTGACACTGAGTGTGTAGAGTCACCAGGGGAACCAGCCCCCTTGAGAGGACCATGAATGACCCAGCGTGGATAAAGGCTCGGTGCTGTCTTCCTGAAACTGCCTGAGCCCTAGGTCTGGGACTACCTAAGGAAGGATCCATGTGGGATCCATTAAAAATAATGATATAGAACTGTTAGCCAACTTTGTCAAGGAGGGGAACTCTAATCATATTTAATTTAATGTATAAAAATAAATAAAGTTATTTCCTGTCCCTGGTGTGCCACAGACACATAAATAAGCATTTAGAATGCTTGAAGAGAGCCTACAAGCAGAGGAAAAGGCTTTACAACCTCTCTGGAGGAGACTGTGAAAAGGTGAGCTTTACTAAATTACGGAAATGAATACTGGAGAATGATTAGCCTAATAATAAACCCACAGTTGACAGTGCACTCAAAAGGCTGTTAGTAGGAGCCCTCCGTTTCTCTCCATGTGGATCTCTCCATGGGTTACCTGGGTATCCTCATGACATGGCTGCTAATTTACCCCCAAAGCAAGCAATCCAAGAGAGAATAAACAAGGTCATGCCTGTAATCCCAGCACTTTGGGAGGCTGAGGCAGGCAGATTATCTGAGGTCAGGAGTTCGAGACCAGCCTGGCCAACATGATGAAACCCTGTCTCTACTAAAAACACAAAAATTAGCTGTGCATGGTGGCACGTGCCTGTAATCCCAGCTACTAGTGGTGGCTGAGGCAGGAGGATCACTTGAACCTGGGAGGCAGAGGTTGCAGTGAGCTGAGATTGTGCCATTGCACTCCAGCCTGGGCAACAGAGCGAGACTCTGTCTCAAAAAAAAAAAAAAAAAAAAAAGAGTAAACAAGGAGGACTTGTTTTACTTGTAGTATGACTACAGCCATTCCCCAACTTAAAAATGTTTGTTTGCTCATACCAGATATTTGGAGCTCAGACTGCATGTTCCTTGGTGGTTAAGTCCGCAAGCCAGTTGTGATATGGTGAAATATATATTTGGCCTTGGTCCTCATTTCCTGGCATACAACTCCTAAAATCCTTGGAATCTTCAAAATGATGTGTCTTTTGGTATGCTAATGAGTTGACTGGTGGCCGGCAGCCCAAGGTAGCTTCAGAATGGGGGCTGGTCACAGGAAAGACCAAGTTGTAATTACAGAATTGGGACTCTCAGCCTCACCCCCCTACCTCCAGGAAGGGGAGAGGGGCTGAAGGTTAAATTGATATCAATGGCCAATGACTTACCCAATCATGCCAATATAATGAAACTTTCATAAAAACCCAAAAGGACTGGGTTTGAGAGCTTCTGGATGGCATGCCCAGAGAGGACATGGAAGTTTCGCCCTCCTTCTTCCATATTTTGCCCTATCCAACTCTTCATCTGGTGTTCATTGGTATCCTTTGTAATATCCTTAATAATAAACTAGTAAATGTAAGTAACCTGAGTTCTGTGAGCTACTCTAGCAAATTAATTGAACCTGAGGAGGGGGTCATGGGCATACTGATTTATAGCTGATTAGTCAGAAGTACAGGTGAAACAACCTGGGGCTTTTGATTGGCATCTGAAGTGGAGGAAAGTATCATAGGACTGAATCCTCAACTTGTGGGATCTGATACTGTCTCTAGGTAGATAGTGTGGACACTGAATTGAATTAGGACACCCTACTGGTGTCTACTGAAGAATTGGTTGATTCCTAGGTGTGTGGGGAAAACTCTCATACATCTGGTGTCAGAAGTGTTCTGTGTTGTGAAAGCATAGCAGGAAAAACTGAGAGTTTCTTTCCTATATCCCCAGACTAGTTCTTAAAACCATATGTGCTGGAACTCTGTTATAACACCAGCAATCTACAAAGTGTAACAGTTTTCTTAGAAATTTCAGCCTGGGTTCTACATGGAACGCCTGGGGTACATTTTCCCCAATGCTAGTAGTTCAAACACTGAGTTCTACTCCATCCCTCCCACTTACCACTCCTGGGCTAGCTTGGAGGATGCCACTAGCTTTTTGGTAACAGCACTGGGTGTGTGTTAAAGGAAAAGGAGCTCTCTGTTGGGTGAGTATTGAGAAATTTAGACATGGGACAATGACAGCAAGGCAAGGCAAACAGACAGGAGGCTGGGGTGGAATAAAGGAGGGTAGGCACTCAGCTTTGGAGGCTCTGGAAATTGGGGATGGCAGGGCAATGGTAGATGTTGCTGTTTGAAAGTAGGAAGCTTTCATAAGCCAGTTATTCTTAGGCCAGGCATTGCCTATATTAATTCTCCAATAGACTCTTGTCATACAACATCTGAGCACAGCTCTCAAACTTGGTTGTCCTATGACCTCTCCAGGCACTGACATTGAAACCGCCTTTGCAAAAATTATAACTGAGGAAATTACGACAGTGAAAGAAATCAGACCTAATTGACTCCGTCTTGCTTCTAACCTTTAAGCTGTCCTTGTTCATTCCTGGGCATAGGCTGAACTAACTTTGGGAAGGAATTCAGTTCATGGTTTGACTCTGAAACAAAATTGAAAATAGCCCTTTCTGGAAAAGACCCCCTTCTTGCCTGGGGACCAGTCTACCTTTGCAGGACTAACAAATTAGCTATAAGATTAGAAATTACAGTTTATGGGTCATGTAGCCTCTGGCTCCAAGAGACTGAGCCTCCCCAAATTGCTTCTGGGGATAACATCACTGTTGTACAACCTAAGATCAGTGTTTGAGATAGTTTGCAGACCCTGCACTGGGTGGATCAGCTGACACCACCTAGACTGGTAATCTGGCTCAACCAGTTCTGCCATCCCACCCAGGAACAGAAGACAGCAAGAAAACCTGACTTCCACCCCCTGTGATTCCATCTCCAACCTGACCAATCAGCACTCCCCACTTCCCAAGCCCCTACCCGCCAAATTATCTTTTAAAACTCCAATCCCCAAATGCTTGGCAAGACTGATTTGAGTAATAAAAAATCTCCAGTCTCCCTCACAGCCAGCTCTGTGTGAATTACTCTTTCTCCACTGCAATTCCCCTGTCTTGATAAATGGGCTCTGTCTAGGCAGCAGGCAAAGTGAACCCACTGGGTGGTTACAACACGCCCACCTATGTCTCTTGATAGGCCCTATTGGCAGGATTGAACTTAGCCTAGATTTTTACAGCTGCTCATCTGCTCCCACTCTTGTCCTCCTTCATTCTTTGCACAGTGACCAAAAATAGTCTTTCTGAAATGCAAACCTGATCATTCTATACCCTTAGTAAAATCTTTAATGATTTCCCACCCTTCTCAGGATCAAGGTCACAATCTGAACCCAGACCTGTCTGACTGGCCCTTGCATGAGCTGCTCCTCACCATCTTCCCTGACTCATGCTCATTCTTGAGGTCTCAGCTGACATGCCATTTTCAGGAAGAGCCTCCTGACCTTCTTGCCCAGATTTGGTCCCCTGCTATATGCTCTTGTAACTCCCAGACTTAATCTTCAGAGCACTGACTGCCGTGGTAACTGTTTAGGTATTCAGGTATGGTTTGTTTGATTTATTTAACGTATCTCTCCTCTACGAGGCAATAAAATCCAGAAGCACGTTAACCACACCTAGCATGGGGCTTCCTGGTCCATAAGACATGCTTATTAAAGGGTTGCCCAATGAACCTTTGTGTCTATTATAAACCTGTGGTTCTCCAATTTTAGGGAGCAGTCATTAGTTTTTACTATGCGACATGCAGTGCTAGTTTAGAGAGCAAGGTATGTTAGCTTTGTGGTTAAAAATTAGGGCTCCGAGCCAGAATTTCCTGGGTTTGAAATCTACTATTTGTGTGGTATCAAGGAGGTAGTATGATGTCTCCATTACTCAGTTCCTTCATCTGTAAAAAGGGCAGGGGGATGGTGGACGATAATAGCACCTACTTCATAGGACTGTTGTGATGACTAAGTTGGTTTGATGTGTGAAGTGTTTAGAAGTGTCTGGCACATGGTAAGTATGTGAAAGATGTTAACCTATTCTTATTTACTCCAAATACTGTACAAAATAGATGTGTTCTTATCCCCACTTGTCATATGAAAAAACTGGATGCATAAAATAGACTTTCTTCAATAACTTGTCTAAATGAATCCTTCATATTATCTTTTCATGCTAAAAAAAAATTTAAAAGGAAAAAAGAAATGAACATTCTCACATTTTTGAGAGTTGGGACTTGGAGGCTTTGGGGGTTTGGCAAGTTGAAGACAATAAATCAAAGAAACTAAGGAAGTTTCAAAGCAGTTTCAGGCCGGGGACTGCGCCATCCCCCCTGCACTTTCATATAACAAAACTCAGCATGTTCGTGAGAAGCCCAGAGCGGGGAGGAGAGACACATTTTCCATCGAATCTGTAGTGGAGATGGGGAGCCGCTGGAGCATGACTCAGAGCAGCAGGAACTAGCATCTCCAGGTTGCTGCAGGAAGTGAGAACAGTGGCTCCTAACCAGTGCCCAAGCGCCTCAGGAACTCTGCCAGTGTCTCCAAAGGCATGGCCGTGTCCTCAAATCAAAGTCATTTGATTTCTTTTTTTAAATCTATGCTATGCATCCCCTTTGAGAGGAAGTGAGTGCCAAAGGATACCAAACAGAAAGACTGAGTCACTGGAGTGGCCAATCTTCCTGGAGAGAGATGAGTCCTGCATCAGGCTTCTAAAAAGACATCTGGCAGGGACAAGAATATTCCTGGCAGCCCATTTGTAATGGCTCCAAACTAGAAACAATCCAATGTCTGTGTTAAGTAGAACAGACATCTAAATGGTGGTATATTCACAGAATGAAACCCTATCCAGCAATGAGAGCGAATGAGCCACAGCTACACTCAACAATAGGGACGAATCCCATGAATATACTATCGAGGCAAAGAAACCAAATGAAGTGCAAGCCAATGCCATTTTCATGTAAATTCAAAACCAGGTAATGTGCATCCATGTCAGGTGCTGGAAGTCAGGGCACCTGAGAGGAGGTAGTGACAGGAGGGGCTTGGGGGGCCTCTGTCCTCTTTCTTAATCTGAGGGCTGGCTACTCAGATATGTTCCTTTTGTGAAGTTCCCTGACCGGTACACTTACGTTTTGTGTACTTTTCTGAAGAATATGTTCTATTCCAAACCTTTCTCCATTTTCTCCTACGCTGCTACCTCCATGACCTGAAGTCAAGTTAGTCTGGGAGTCAACAGATAACCCCAGAGTCTGTGTCATTGGAAGCTGGTGCCATACAAATTAGGACGCTTCAGAGGCAGGACGCCATTTTGAGTAGAGCACCTATTTCTGTGGTGCTGGTTCTGAGGGTTAGGGTCACAGCACTGTCCTCACCTAGGTTTCTCTCCTGTCCTCCTATCTCGTCCCAGGGGTGGGCAGCTCCTCTCTCTACTCAAGTGATCTCTATGATACGCTGTGCAACATGGGGCTTTCCTGAGGGGTGAGAGCCAAGGCCATATGCCATTCCTGCTCATGCGTCTCAGTTGGATCCTTCACTTTTAGTCAGGATCCAGATAGGCCAGGACAGAGTTAGAGCTCCAGTGGACTGATCAGAAATCTGTCCTGCCAAACCTAATGGGAGGGTTAGGAATTTCTGCTCCTGACACCCAGTGGGTGGTTTCACAAGTTTTAGAGGGTGACTGTTCAGGTGACTGGCAGCACAAGGAAAGAGGGAAAAGCCTTTTCTGTGAATTTCACAGGCAGGGTTGCAACGCGGTGTGAGCATGGAGCAGCTTGGCACAAGGCAGCCTTGAGAGTCCCCTGGCTGGCTGCGGGGATGATGTCAGATCCCGACTGGATGCTGCCCCATTCAGTCAAAGCCGTGCAGCCTGAAATGGCACATGTCCCCATCCAGGCTGTCTGGGCGGGTCAGCTGGCCTGGAGACAACAACACAGCCTCAACGTGACAGTCCCCACATTCTGCAGACTTAAAAGGGAAATCCTTTGGATTCTGCCTGGACTCCTGGGGCTCAGCCCTGGCCTTGCCTTGAGGGTGCAAAGAGGAGTAAAAATATGGGAAGGCCTGTGTGCAGCTGCAATGGATTCTTCAAGTGATCAGAGGCGGTTTCCTGCCTGTGAGGAGTTGGTACCATGAGCGTCTTGTTCCTTGGGTCCCTCCTTTCCTCTGCTGCTGATGCCCCGCACACCTTGCCCCCTCCCTATTGCTTCTCCTCACCCCACCTCACTCCCAAGGACGTCTGCTTTTTTATTGTGAATTTCAGCTGCCTGCTTGTTTCACCTCCGGTTACTCAAAGGTTTGCCCCAGTGTTTCTCCCCCTTTAAAAGACTCCATTCCTAGGCCTTCCTGCTCCATTCCCTCATGCCCTTCCCTGGCTTTCTCAGATTTTCATTTTCATTTCCCTTCCCATTTCTACAAAGGCAGGATGTAGAGGAAGGCCAGCAGAGGGCAAAGAGCCCGAGAGCCGGGATCAGGAGACAGGAACGTGTTGGCGTGTGGCTCTAAGCGAACCAAAGAGACTGTCTCTGGTCATCCGTGTTCCCCACTGTTGGTGAGGCTGGGTCACCCAGGCCAGAACTCAGTGCCATGGGTTGTGCCAGTGTTGGTGCTGTGGCGGATGCAAGGAATGGGACTCTGCTCTGGCTTGTGCACACCTACCGAGTAACAAAATCTTCATGTCTCTCTCTGATACATGCACACATATTCAGATAACTAGATAGACAGGGAGATAGATAGATATATGGATAGATTAGATAGATAGATGATAGATAGATAGATAGATAGATAGATGATAGATAGACAGATAGATGATAGAAAAATATCTGTCAGAATAAAAACATAATCCTATAGGCCAATAAGGACTCAATCAAAATCTTACAGGGTCACTGAATCAGAATCATTCTTCCCCTGAACTCACTTTCATGACTCTTTGCAATCAGGTGTATCTGTCCACCCCATTTTTTTCACAGTTGGGTGAAATGAGGAAGTAGTGTAAGGCTGGTTTTTCTTTTGCTGCCACAAAGGTCTACATAACTGCTGGTTCCTGTTCACAGTGAAAATGGTCCTAACCAGATGAATAAGGGACACAAGAGACATAACACAAATCAGAGAAGTTAAAACCAAGCTTATTCCTAAGTGCAACTAGCCTAAGCAAGCTCATGCCTGCCTGCTGAAGCCCCAAGTCTTCTACCTTGATAAAGGTTACTCCCTCCATTTTAACTGCTCCTGCCTCCCCTATCTTTTTTCGAACACCATGGCTGATTTATCTAAACCCTATGCTGCTTCACAGTATTTTGAAAACAAATTAGAAATCTCCTTCCAGTTTTCCAGAGGTGATTAAATCCAAGACGCCTTAGGAATGTAGAGGATAGAATAATATAAACAACAGATCTGAGATAACCATGGCCGGCAGCAGTTGTGGTTAGTTGCTTCTTTTCCTTTTTCATCCATCAGTGATGGAAGCTGGATTGGGTCCACTGTATAAAGTTCGGTGGGCATAAATCTGCTATTTGATCCTGGAAAAACTCTAAGGATCTAGAGTCAGCGAGGAATTGCAGCAATGCTGGTGTTTCAAAGGGCCTAAGAAAAGCCAGGAGTCCTGGCTGCCCAGCCCCGACACTGTCTTACAGGCTGCAGGTTTACCTTGGTTAGCACAACAGGCCAAGCTCTCCCTTGCTCTAAGTCGACATGACATGATTTGTTCCCTTTCGGCTGTGTCAGTTCTGCAAACCAGATACCAGAGGCTGCAGGCTCAGGAGAGCCTGCCTGTCTGGAACACCGTTTGTTTGGACAGGACAGGCCACTAAGGCGTTTCATCTCTTTAAAGCTCCCAGGGCAGAGAACATATTTGAGGAATTCCTTTTTTCAAAGATTTTTTTTTTTTGCCCCTTCCAACATTTTGTTTAAGAGAAAATGAGATGTCTATCTTCTGTTTCCTTATTTTTTTTCAGGAAAGCAAAGGGTTGTTGACTTCCTCCCTCTCCCCTCCCTTCCTTCCTTCTTCCCGAAGGTACTCATCTGAGAAAAAGAGAACGAAGTATTGTTCCTGTTCTCTTTCTTAAGTCATTCGAAACACTGTCCCTGCGAGTTCTTTAAGTTCCCTGCAATCTGTACACAAGAGAAAGAGGGAGAGAGAGAGGGAGAGAGACAGAGAGAGCAGGGATCAGGTAAAGGAGTGGGGCTGCTGCAGCCATTCAGACCTCAGGAGCTGGTAAGTTACCCATGCAATCATTTCTGCTTCCTTTTCAAGGTTCCTGGGTGGATACTGCTGTGGGCATCTTCAACAGAAAATACCTTACTGGGAGTAGTCCTTAACCAAAGGGTATAAGTGATAGATGGCCCAGAATTTCAGCTAATACTTTTTTTTGGTAAGAGAATACTGATGCTTTGCAGAACTAAGGCTGGCAAAACTAGAAATAGAATTACATTGGGACTAAAGAGGACACTGCGTTAAATCTGAATTTTGGCACAGATCATGTGGCTGGGAGAACCAGGAGCCACTGGCGTGTGAGATGTGTCCCACTGGAGAATTTGCTCTTCCTCAGTACTGTGTCCTGGGAGCCTTATCAGGGTGTCTGTTAAGGACTGTGGTTTGCTCTGGGGTTTTTGTTAATACGTTACCTGGATTGAGGTGCCCTTCTCCTGTTCTTTTCTTTCCATTCAGCATCCCCCTAAAGGAGGATTGTTAATTGTTATATGATGGTTATTCTGCATCACTGAAGTAGAAGGGAAAGAGAGAAGGGAATGTCACTTGGAAATAGTTCTGCATGTGGGGAGCTTATGTGTTCAGGTTCCCCATGCGGGTTGAGTGTAAATTTATTATTCACTGTCAGTGGAAGATGTCATCTGCCACATGATAGAAGGCAAAGGTTTTGGGGCATATAGCTTTAGTTTTGGAAAACAATATGCAGCTAGAATGGGAGGATTAAGATGGATCATTTATGTCAGTAGGAGGGAAAAACTAAGTTACAGACGCAATTGAAAAGCATTCACCCAGTGCCTGGTTTTCCAAGCACCAAATAGGGCGTAGCAAGCTAGTCAAGCTAACATACACAACTAGTTTTTAAAAGTCTAACTTGCTTCAATTAGATTAGTCATAAAGGATAATGTTACCAGCACCTATCATCGCAAGCCATGAGGGAGCCGAAATCATGTTGTCAAAAATAGGTCAGCAAGGTCACTCCGAGAGACTCGTTATGTTTCCCAATATTAATACTTTAATTCAGAGAGATGCCGAATGGGTAAAAGCCAATGGCCAAGCATACTTTTTAAAAATATTCACTGCTATGAAATTTACTGATTGAAATCACCTGGGATGTGAAGAATAAGATAAAAATAGCTGGACTCTCATTTTAAAAATTAATTTGGCTAGACTATGCTTTAACCACATTCAAGTAATTAATCTTTATTCAAAATTGAACCATCATCTTACTAAGGATGAGAAAACATGACAGAACTAGACTGTGATGTAGCTTTTGTTCCATTAGTCAGACCTCTTTTTTCTTCTCCTTTTTTCAAGGATTTTCTTTAGGAGCATCATAAAACGAGCAATGTAAAGAGACGTGAATAGCGTTTGCCAGCTTGCGGATGCAAAATTATTCTAATAACAATTGAAAGTGTTTTACTGCTACCCTACCACCTCCCCTAACTACTCCATTTCCATAGATCTTCAGATCAAGAGGTAGCTGGAATAGATTGTCGAGGGCATTATTGCATCATTTATCAGCAACTGTGGCCCCAGAAGAAAACGCAGGTCTGCGATCTTGACTTGCTCCTTTCAGTTTCATTTCTCTTGATAATGTATTGAATTTTGTGCTCAACTAAAACAACATCACAGAACACATTCTAGTTTTGTTTACTGAGTAAAAGCATCAGATGCAACACAATAGGAAACAAATGACAGCAGAGTCATTTGTTAAAGACAAGGAAGGCAATTAAATTAAAGACAAGGAAAGCACAAGGTGGGTAGGCCAGTGGCTCAGAAAACAGCCCCACTGCTAGCATGACTATGGCTTGAGATTAAGAAGCTGAGGATATGCAGTTTTCTTTTAAAGAAAAAAGTGTATTCAATATTTCCATTTAAGTTGTTAAGTCATTGCTGTGAAAATATTTCTTGGATACTGGGGGAAATGAATTTTAGCTACCCGAAGAATAAAAGCCATCGACTAGTTTCATCGAAGTCACTACCACTCAATCTATCTTTACTCACTCACCGCCAAAGAGTGAGTTGGCATTTGTGGAAACTTCCAGTGTGTGATTATTTGGGGGTCATCAGAGGCTCTTTTGTGATATCATTGGGGGAATTCCAGTTTGAAGTGATCCAGAATTTGAGACACACAGTATTTTATTCGTTAATTTCTGCCAAAACTGTACACATAACTAAATTACAATTTCTTATACACATTTTAAATTATGTTAGGATGTGTGTCCTGTAGATCTGTGTGCTGGGATGTGAGTCAAATTAGAGTGAGTAGAGCACAGTCTCTGTTGTTGTACTACTTTTGGTTTGAATTTCAGCTTCGTTGCCTACTGTTTATGGGCCTCGGGGCAGGTACTTAACTGCTCTAAATCTCAGTGTCCCCAAATGTAAAATTGCGTCAACATAATGGAGTTGTGAGAATTAAATACAACTATCGGCATAAAACACTTAACATAATGTTTGGCAAGTAGTAGGAGTCAATCAGTGTCAGTTATATATTTTTTAAGGGTCATATATTAACACTGAAGAGTACTGTATTTTGTTAATACAGAGAACAGAATGAGTCTCCTATAATTTGTGTCATTATTCTTGCTTAATACTATACCAAGGATCTATCAGAGCAGATATTATTCCTCACAGCTTTAGAGTTGGGCACACACTGAGTGAAGATATTCTAAATTCTAAATTCTTATAAAATAAAAGAGTGTAGAGTTTAATGTATTGATATTCATCTTCACGAATGGCAGAAATGGCAGATTTAGCTTCACTGAATGCAGCTGTATTCAACACAGCTCAATGCAGGGGAAAGTTTGTCTCGGGATAAAAGTTTTCAACTTAGATGAACGTGCAAAGAGAGTTCAGTTATATTGTGGACATTTTATTCTCCCTTTCACCCACTTCCCCAACTGCTTGAGCTCTGTGTTATTGGTGACCTTTTCCCTGGTTGTGGAGGGCTGGAGACACTTTTTTTGGAGACCATCGTGGTTGTACCATGACTCAGCTAAAGAGGAAAGGACTTAAAGTGACACATTCTCCTCCTGCCCAGGGCTGAGCACACTTGGGGTTCTCTCTCCTCAAACATTGTAACAGTGAGCCACTCACCTTCACACAGAGAAACAGAACACTATATATCACCATGGGTGTGCGTGTGTGTGTGCATGCACGCGTGTGTGCGCGCGCATGTGTGTGTGCGTGCGTGTGTGCGTGCGTGTGTGCATGTGTGTGTGTGGTGCCTGATTGATCCAACTGCTATTTTTCTTTCACTCTAAACTTTAAAACCTGTATGACCGTTAGTTTGTCAAGTAATAATGATACTTTTACTTAGGTCTTAGTTAAATTTCTCTCCACTTTCCAAAAGCAAAACACACAACAGCAAGAATAACAAAAAATCTACCACCAATAACCAAAGCCATTCAGGTCCTTTTGTTAGACTGAGAGCTTGTGAAACAACAGAGACATGTTTGGACACTTAACCTTAGGGACAAATCGAAGCTGAGTTGTTCTGCACTAACGTGCAAAAGGTGCCCTCTCATGTGGCTTGGTGGAGTAGAAAAAGACCAGATTGGGAGTCAGAACACTGCTGTTCTCATCCAATCTCTGCATTTCCTATATGCATGACTTGACAGGTTGCTTTACTTGCTTGGATCTCAATTTTCTCATCTGTGAAATGACAAAATGGGATAAATAAGTAATTTTCGAGGTGTGCGTGTGTGTGTGTGTGTGTGTGTGTGTATTAGAATTCACCTACGGGCTTGTTTATAGTCTCCTCCTGCCCTGTCCACTTCATGGGATGATCTGTGAGACCCTTTTGCTGACATGCTGTGATTCTCCAAAACAGATGGTCAGTGTCTTGCTCCGTCTTCTTCTGGATGGCATTAACATTAACTGTAAATGCTCGTTTTAAGAGCCATGCTTTTAAATGGAATTCCTATTCAGCACTGGATGTTCTCTCTAGAAGATAGTTCTGAGTATATCAAATGTTATTTTAGAAGCTATTAGTATTATGGAATAAGGAATGTCCTAGCCGGTTGAGCAATCTGATGATAATGATCAGTGTTCTAGAACCATATGTAAATCACAAGATCAATTACTTAGATCTGTAAACATTATAAATCAATATAAATAGCACTTTTTTTTTGAGACAGAGTCAGGCTCTGTCACCCAGGCTAGAGTACAGTGGCACAATCTTGGCTCACTGCAACCTCCGCCTCCCAGGTTCAAGTGATTCTCCTGTCTCAGCCTCCCGAGTAGCTGCGATCACAGCTGCCCGCCACCACGCCTGGCTAATTTTTTGTATTTTTAGTAGAGATGGGGATTCACCATGTTGGTCACACTGGTCTCGAACTCCTGACCTCAAGTGATCCACCTGCCTTGGCCTCCCAAAATGCTGGGATTACAGGCATGAGCTACTGCGCCCGGTGGAATAGCACTTTTTGATTTATCCATTTCTATATTATTTGCATCTTAGAGTGAGCATGTATTTGTTAATCAAGAAAAACACAGATACTAAGCTTTTTCTATTCCCTTTAAAAAATATTAGTAGATTCTATCTCATAAGGTTTTGTTTCTTATTTTTTTACAACGTGTGCTGTGATGAGCCTATTTTACAAGTTAGATCCTTGTCCCTAATTTAATGGTGATGTAGAAAGGCAAAAAGATTGATAATGGTGTTTGAAAAATCAGCATTCACAGGTCATATTGTATGCTTCAATTATAAGGAAAATATAAACCTTATAGAAAAAGTTGTTCTAAATTTCCTGATTGAGTTTTTACCTAAATCACTCATTTTTTTCTTATATGTTTATATGGATAATGAAATAAAGCAGCAATGGACACAGATCTCCCTCTGACAGGAACATAGAGACAGCAAATAATTTTAATGTGCACCCTCAGAAACAACTAGCCTAATGAAGGCTGTTCTTTTAGACTATTCAAAAACCAAATACATTTACATAAAACAATGGTATTTACATAAAAGAATAAGAACATGTCTTCATCCAGCGTTATGTGTAATACATAAGTTCACAAGAAAGGAAGCAGCATGAGGACAGGGACTTTGTTTTGTCCACTGCTGTCTGCCCAGGGCCTACAATAGCACAGAGCCTGTCATAGATGCACAATAAATATTTGTTAAATAGATGAGTTAATGAATCAGTGGGCTGTAGAATGAAAGATGCTATCTTTATACAATGCCAAATGAAGCCATTAATTTGAAAAAAAAAAGTTAGTCAAACTTTTCTGGAGTCTAGACAATGCCAAACTGCCAGCTTGATGGATTTATCCCTCACCTGAATTGACTGGAACTATATGGGCTTGTTCTGCTGTTGTGTGCATGGGGCTGCTACATGTGTATTAAAATGTCGTCTTGGCAAGCACCCCCACCCATTTGTTCATGGGAAATTAACATTTATCAGATAGATACACAGAAAAGACTGTTGTTGCATTTTATTTTCCATTTATTTTCTGGGCAGATGATGGGTTTGCAAATTGTTTTTGGCGAGACAGAGAACGGTCATTTGTTTTTCCTTGACTAAAAGAGCTGTGAGCCAGGATCCAGCCTTGTAGGAAGTGTTCAGCTCTCTGGTTTGTTATAGGCAAAGGCTGTGAATCCAAGCTAAAGGAATGCCACTTGGGCTGAATTGACAAAACACCATGGGGTAAATTCAGGGAGAGAAATGTGATACCCTTGTTGAGCACAATACCCTTTCCTTTCTTTAATTCAAGCCAATTGAAGAAGGCCAAAACCACTGGATCGAGTCAGTTTTATACTTATTTGGCAAATTTAAAGTGGCAAATCTAAACACCTAGTAACAAAAGTTGGGATTTTGGATGATGCTTTTTACATTTAACAACATTGGGGTTCTAGGTGTCTGTTAATTGGAGTAGAAACTGAAAAGGCACTCTCTATTAACATTGATAGAATCTCTCTTTAGTGTCAAGTACCAGGGCACACAAAGAGAATACTGGGCAATTCTCCTATATTCCTTTGATAGATTATGGCCCCACTCTGACCTCATTCTTTGATGGCCACTGATACTAAATGGGAGAGTGATTTACCAACAACGGCACTGCCACCACCAGCGCCAACAATTATGGAGGAGTCATTACTAGGTTTGGGGCCTCCTCAGAACTTTAGATACTTCATTTCACTTACCCCATTCTCAAGTACGTGCCTTATTCTCCTCATCTTAGAGCTGAAGAAAGGCAACCACCTTGTTTAACAGATAAACTACAGAAAGTACGTGATTTGCTCAAGGTCAGTAAATTAATGTTGCTTGTTTTCAGTTTCCTTATAAGGAAAAAGTGTCATCTGTAGCTAATAATTTCTTTAAAACAAATATGTATCCTTTAAGGTAGTAGCCTTCAAATGGGGTCCAAAGACCAACACCATGGCACCACCTAGGAGCTTGTTAGAAATGCAGAATAAATCCCAGCTCCACTGCAGATCAACTGAATCAGAATCAGCATTTTAACAAGATCTCCAAGTGACCAGTTGCACATTCAAGTCTGAGCAGCACTGCCTTATGGTTTTGGACTGTTGCACACAGATTGATCAGGGAATGTAGGACTCTATTCCAAGGAGTTACAAAGCCATTTGTTAACTTTGACCTTGTCCAAGACAACATACCTCCCTATTAAATAGTGGCATTACTGGACAAGTCTCCAATCTATTCAGCTCTGAGCAACAGTAGGCATGATTTCTGTGATCTCTCCCATGAAGTTAACTCCATATCATGGGATCCTAGCACTCTCAGAAAGGGCGAGGGTATTATTTTCAGGTGCTTTCTGAGCACCAATCATCAGAGTTACCTGGGGCAGATTTCTAGGCCTTTCCCCAGATCTAACAAAGCTGAAGAGGGGACCAAGGCTCTGCTTATTATTCAAGCTGCTGGCTCAGGGTAAGGAAGCCCCCAGGGAGGGTAGTGATGAGTATTTCAGGCAGATTACCCTAAAAAATAGTTTAGCTTTTTTCAGTAGCTTGAAAAAAACATTTAAAACCATAGTGCACACATTAGGGCACCGCAGAGTTCTTCCAGGAAGAAAACGTACTCTGCCGCTTTCTTCCTTTGAATGCTTGAGAATAAGGATGAGAAATCTTGCTGTCTGCCCTGTGTCTTCCTCAGGGAGAAAGGGAGGACCCGCTTCTCCAGCATCACAGCCAAAGAGGAGACGCCAGTCCACACGCCTCCCTCTTCCCAGTGAGAAAACTCTGTGGAAAGAATCCTTAGAGTTTCCTTTGCACTGGGGACTCACCGTTCTCTCTTGGAACAGAAATCAAGAGGAGACTATTGTTGGAGGGGTGGGGGAAGGAAGCAGCGCCGGAAGAGAGCGAGGGAGAGGACCGGAATCGCCTCTGGTTTGCTGAAGCCTGGACAAAATGGGGCCTCTGCCTGGATGGAGCCCATGGCATCTCTCCCGTGACTGAGGCCCTCTGGCCACCTTCCATGGAAAGTGCAGGGAGATGAGGAATTTCAGGTTTTCAGCGCTGTTTAATGGAACGCCTACCTCCATAGTGTCCACCACTTGTTTCTTGCTGTTTTTCTAGTTCAGGCATTTTCTTTCCCACGACACGGTGGAATTTCCTCCTCTCACCCCTACTTCCAGAGAACTTTTTCAGTTGTTTTTTTCTTTTTTAAGTACAAAGAAGGGTCTTCTAGCATTATCCTAAAAAATCTATATATTGAACATTTTTAGGGTACCAAAGAGTTCTATGCTTAATCTATAAAGGCGGGGTTGGTGACAGAGCGAGACTCCGTCTCAAAAAAAAAAAAAAAAAAAAAAAGGCAGGATTCCTGAAGTGCTAGAATTTGAATTCTTAGGGTGAGGAATATGTGAAAAGTTCTGAAAGGTTGCTGGCAGGCATATCCAGAATCTCACCTCCTACCTGGCTTTTCAGAGATCTGGGCAAGGAGGGACTATTCCCAGCATCGTCTTTCTTGATATTCAGGAAACAATCAGTGATGCAGCAGGCAAGCAGGCGTTTCCTCCAACATGGTCTGCAGCCCTCCTAGCACCCAGTGATTTCATGGCACAATCACCTGTCTCTGGCTGGGGAGAAGTCTCCAGGGGCAGAGAGTTCTTCTGGTGGCAGCCTGGGCCTCAGATCTAAATGGGGATGTTTGTGAAGGAATAGAGACACCAGTTTTGTGGGTAACAAAGTTCTGCTCAAAACTGCATCATTTTGCAGAAGGCAGTCCCATTCCATGTGTCTTCACATCCTCCATATGTTCAGACACATCCCACTATTTAGAATGACTGACATTGACTCTTTTCCCCCTTGAGTCTCCTAGGAGAGAAATTTCAGCATCACATCTTTAATACATGCAGTTGGGAAGGACATTTAATGGTGAGAAAATCCCATTTCAGAAGGATTAGGACATAAAATGCCAAATGTATTTGCTCTTCAAGCAATATGGATATTTTGGGAGGAGCAGTGGTTTGCTGAAGTGCTATCGCTAGGTACATGGTACATGTACCTTACACTTGTGTATACATACACACACTGCCTACCCAAAATCACTGGTTGTTATAAAAGATTATGAGCCAATGGGTTAGCCCCAAATTGTTTGACTCAAGAATGTAGTATCTGATGTTCAATCTCTTAAACTTCCAAACAGATTTACTGTCCTAATTATATTTTTCTTAGTGATGTTAAAAAGAGTTTGAATATTGTTAGCTAGTGGGGGCAGGGAGAAAATGAGAGAAGATTTAAGTGTTACTACTAGCAATTCATAAAGCACTTCATTCACTTACTGTGTGTTGTTTTGAGAATGTGAGTAACGCAGGAAAGAATGCTACTTGGAGTCAGAGAATAGAGGATTGAGTGTGTGTACTGACACATGAATGGATGGCAGATCAGTGAACTAAAATGTATATGGGAATTTAGTACATGATAAAAATAACATGTATATCAGCGGAGAAAGTTGAATTATGTAATTAATGAGATTGGGACAACTGGGTAGCTATTTGGGAAAAAAATAAACTTATATTCCTACTTGATTTTTTAAATTAAAATAAATTCCAGATAGATGAAAGACTTAAAATGTTAAAAATAAAAATATACTGTGAACTTAAAATTTTGCTTTAAAAAGTCTTAAAGAAAACATAACAACTGTAGAGATATTTTTTTTTCGAATCGCAGAGTAGGAAGGGCCTTTCTAGTTTTACGCAGAGGCCTTAACATTTATCATGCATTTTATTGCATTACAATAAAAAGCTTCTGCAGGGCCAAAACTCAATAAACAAAGCCAAAAGACAAACAAAACAAAAAATGGAGGAAGCATTTGCAACATGTATCACAAAGAGCTTAGTATAAACAGAAAAATGAGCAAATGACATGAAACACATACTTCACATAAAATGAAATATAGTTGGCTTATAAACATGCACAAAATAAAAGATATTTTAATTCATAATAAGAAGCAGCAAATTAAAACTATGAGATACCAATTTTTATTTACTTGATCGGCAAAGATGAAACATTTGTTAACACACTTATCTCTGGGGTTCTGGAGAGAGCTCTCAGATATTTCTGGTGTAACTGAATTAGCAGAACATCTACAGACAGCAATTTGTGAATGTCTATCAAAATGTAACATTGACTCCTCTTGAATTTATCCTATATAAATAAGATGTAAAAAGACATACCTACAATGCAATGTATCTGCCACAGCATTATTTGGACAGAAAATAATTAGAAATAGCACAATTGTCCATTAATAACAGACTGGTTAAATTAGTACAGGGCATCTGTACAATGGAATATTGTGCAGACCTACTAAATGAGGGAACATAATAGAGTCCAGAAATGGACTCTCAGTATATGTTCAATTGATTTGACAAAGGTGTCAATGAGGGGAAAATAGTCTTTTAAACAAATGGTACTGAAACGATTCCATATCCATAACAAAAGAAAAAATGAACTTTGGCTCTTATCTCACACTATACACATGTATTAACTTGGAGTAGATCATAGGCCTGAATGTAAGTGTTAGAACTTTAATATTTCTATAGGGAAACACAGGAGAAAATCTTTGTAACTTTGGCTTAGGCAAAGATTTCTTAGTTACGACGCAAAACATGAAATACATGAAAACATTAATAAATTAGACTTTATCAAAATTAAAGACTTTTGCTCTTCAAGAAAAAGATACCGTTATAAAAATAAAAAGACAAGCGGCAAACTAGGAGAAAATATTTGTGAAACATATCTGATAAAGGACTTGTTTTAAGAATATCTGATAAAGGACTTGTTTTATACATATTTTAAAACTCTTAAGGGAAACAACCCAATTTAAAAATGGACACAAATTTTGAATAAATACTTAAAAAAGATATAGAAATGGCAAATCAGCACATCAAAGATATACAATATTGTTAGATTACGAAAATGCAAACTAAAACCATGATGAGATATCACTACACACCCAGTAAAATGTCTAAAACCAAAAAGATGGAAAATATGAAGTATTGGTAAGGACGTGGAGAAACTGAAATTCCCATATGTTGCTGGCAGGAATGTAAAAGGGTACTACCTCTTTGCAAAACAGTTTGGTAGTTTCTTAAAAAGTTAAATATATGCTTACCATACAACCCAGCCATTTTACTCCTGGGTAACTACTCTCAAAAACTGAAATCATATGTTCCCATGAAGACTTGCACGCAATGTTCACTGCAGCATTATTCATAATGCCCCCAACTGGAAACAATCCAAAGGCTCATAAATTGGTGAGTGGATAAGCAAAAGCTGGTTTATCTATGCAATGGAATACTACTCAACAATAAAAAGGAACTATTGACATATGAAACAATGGATGAATCTCAAAATCATCACACTGAGAGAAAGAAGCCAGACACAATATTATTAAAGGAACCAGACACACAGTAAATATCAAATGATTTTCTTTATAAGAAATTTCTAAAAGCACAAAACGATAGAGACAGAAAATAGATTGGTGGTTTCCTGGGGCCAGGGGTGGGAGCAAGATCGGCTGCTAATGGACATAATGGAACTTACTGGAGTGATGAAATTATTCCAAACTTGGATTTTTGGATGGTTGCACAACTGTATAAATTTTCTAAAACACATCGCACTGCATATTTTAAAACATATGAATTGTATATCATGTAAATTATACCTCAATAAAGCTGTTTAACTTGAAAAAAAATGAGGCAGCTTTATAAGTTCTGATAAGGGAGCAATCTCCAACCTGTATAGTTAAGTAAAAAGGCCAAGGTACTTTAATTCTACAGAGTGCTATCATTTTTGTAAAAAAAAAAAAGTGTATTTTTCATATGTATAGAATATCTCCAGAAAGATACAATAGACTGGCTAATAGAATTTGCCTTTGGACAGGGGAGTAGGATGGCTGGAAGACAGGGATGTAAGGAAACATTTAACTGTATTTCCTTTTTGTACCAGGGTGGGGTGGGGTGGTTGAGACCCAGGTCAGCCATACCAGCTCTTTTATAGTGGGCAAATGTCTGAGCCTTTGTTTTCTCATCTGTAAAGTAAAGTTGATCTTTAAAGATACTTCTGATTTTAAGTACCATGCTCTGAGAATTTCTTTAAGGATGAGCATCTCTCGCCTGCCGACATTCCTCTTGTTCTTTCCCTGCCAGCATGTCACCAAATGCCACATATAAAATCACAACCAACGGCTTTGTTCCTTTCCATTCAGTTGACTCTCCGTTTATTGGGACCATGTTCTCTTGTCAAATATGTAAAATATGTCAACCATGGTGAAACGGCAGCCTAGAAAGCTAGGGGCAAACACACAAGACAGTATACAGGAGCAGTTACAACCACGTCCTAGGGGCAGCTGCTTGAGATGAAACCCCAGCCACCTTGCTTGCTAACAGCATGACCATGGGGAGTTCACCTGTGCGGTTTCTTCATCTGTATGACAGGTATAAAATAGCATCCCCTCTTTGGGTAGGAATTAAGAGTGATAATTCATGTAATTAGTAATATTCAATAAACGATTAGCCCCTTTTAATTATTAATCTGAACTCCCCTACTCATGGGACCAGGAGCTTTCCTGGGAGTGGGGAAAAGAAAGGCGTGTAAGTTAACAGGTTGTATATTCTTTACCACTGTGAACTGGGAGCCCTGGCAGTGATGAAATGGCTTATTTTTTCATGCAACAACCCAAAGGGAGAGGCTGGAGTAAATTCTGCTCCCCACAAGCCAACATCAATGAGGGAAACTTCTTCAAGAAACTTCTTCCAAGATTCCATCCCCTGGAGTCAATTTCCTCCTGAAAATGTGAAGGCAAGCCGTAAAACTACAAGATTGTGACATTATGCGGGGGGTTGAGCCAGTTAAGTTACAGTGAGTTTCAGTTTACATGATAAATGTGCCTTAAATTACATTTGGATTAGAATATTATTAAATATTAATATGGGGACAATTGCATAACCTCCTTGCCATAGTAGTCATTCGACAAAAATGAGTTGCTGCTTCAAATCAAACGAAACCAAACCAAACACCTCTAATTACCATGATATGTGCACGCCCCTGTTTCCCAACTTCAGTCTCAGTGCAGAAGCAAGGGTTTTATCTAAATCCAGACAATTATCTGTGAATCCCTGTCACTTCAAGTGTCTCAGTCATGGATAGTAGCCCTCCTGACACCAAAAAAAAAAAAAAAAAAATCTCTGACAGCTTTTAAAGGAGCTGAATTTCCCCTGTGTGTATAAGGTGATAGCAGACTCCTTTTCATGATCAGATCACATTTTAGAACTGGATTCTAGAAGGCACAGTTCAGTTTAGTGGTTGCTCTGCTTAATAATTCTTTCATGTCTGTCTGCTCTTCTTAACTGCATCAGAACTGTATTTGTCAGGAACTGTATTTTAAATGATGTTTGTACTTTCTAGGACAAGAGGCCCTCCAAATTCTTGCTGGTCTCACATTAATTCTCTCAGATACTTTGAAGAAATAACAGCTCTTATTATCCCTACTTTAGAGATGAGGAAACTACAGCTCAGACAGAGTAAAGGATTCGGCTGAAGTCCTATAGCTCCACGGATCTTCAGGGTAATGTAGAGTTATTGCAAAAAGTCTGTATGTAGATGTCAAGTGCTTAATGTTTTTGGACTGACTAGTATTTAGTCATATGTTATGGTATATGTTATGTTACGTTTATGTTACAGTAATTAACTCATTCATTGATTAAATATAAATTTTAAGGCTGGGTGTAGGGGCTCACTCCTGTAATCCCAGCACTTTGGGAGGCTGAGGTGGGCAGATCATAAGGTCAGGAGTTCGAGACTGGCCTGGCCAATATGGTGAAACCCCACCTCTACTAAAAATATGAAAAAAAAAAAAAAAAAAAAAAAAAGCTGGGCATGGTGGCTCACGCCTGTAATCCCAACTACTTGGGAGGCTGAGGCAGAGGAATTGTTTGAACCCAGGAGGCAGAGGTTGCAGTGAGCTGAGATCATGCCACTGAACTCCAGCTTGGGCAACAGAGCAAGACTCCGCCTCAAGAAAAAAAGAAAAAAAATGTTTAATGTTACTGAATTCAAAATAGCTTTTATTTTGTATTTTTCTAACTTATTAGTAATGTGCAAAATGGGTTTATTTTTTAAACTTACAGGAGGTCCTTGATCTGAGAAGTCTGGAATCCGCTGAAGTAGACCAAAGCTAGGGCTCACTAACAAGTTGCAGAAGGTGTGTTTTGAAGAATCTAGGTCTTCTGACAGCAAAGAACATTTTTATTCTTCAATTGCTACCTATAATAGGTTTGCATACTTGATCAAAGTCTAGAAAATGCTTGGAAGTATTGATCATCATTGTTAAATTTCTTCCTTCATCTAACAACTATCTCCCAAAAAACTTCTAATTCTTTCCTTTATTATCTGTGTGACCTTGGGAAATTTGCTTAACTTATTTGTGTCCTAGTTTCCTCATTGACAAGATAAGGAGAACAGCAATACCTACCTCAGAGGGTGCTGTGATGATCACATGAGTTAATGCCTATGATGTCTTTAGCACATTCTTGTCACATAGGAAATACTCAGCAAACGTGATTGTTGCTGAATACTTGAGACTGTTTTTGACACGTAGTTGGGGCTCAATAGACATTTTTGGAATGCATTAGTGAGTAAATGAAAATGTGAAGTAGGAATAAGGGCAGTTCTATATATATAATTTTCTAGTTACATTTCCTTGGTCACAGGCAGGCAATTAAGACAGTTGCTTTTGTGCAGAGGCTACATTTGGGGAATATTCATTTTGGTGAGCTCAAGCTAGAGAGCTGATGATGTTTCTATATTTTCTGGCCCAGCAGACTTTACAGGTTTATCAGCTTTATCTGCTAGATGTATCACAACATGCATTTAAGGGATCAGGCGGGAAGAATTTGGGCTTGGAACTGATGTGAAGTAAAGGCTTTATTCCTCATTAAAAACCATCAGAGGAAATAAGGCCATTAGACCCTCTAAATGGGAGAAGAGAAGCGATGCTTTCTTGCCACAAACCAGAATGCTGAGGACCACAGCTGTAAGAAGGTCAAAGGAAGTTAGAATGAACTTTCATAGCAGGCTCAATGTTTAGCTAGCTTAAAATTTTGCTTTCAGATCATCTCAGGGATAGCTATTTGGTTTACTACATAAACAACCTTCTAGCCTTATAGAAACAGTTGTTTTTGCTTTTGCTTTGTTTTTGTGAGGTTTTGAAGATAGGAGAAAAGAACCTATTGCTTGACTTTAAAAGATGAGCTGTCCTGAGTTTCAGCACTGGCTGACATGGTTGGTTTTTGTTGTTGTTGTTGTTGTTTGTTTGTTTATTGTTTAACAAAGGTATTTCGCACATGGGCCAATGAAGAAAAAATTAGTTTCTCAGACTCCACTGCTTTTTCCAAGACTAGGCAATAATCAGATGACAGGTCATAGTGATGATAGCAGCTAGTGCTCCTTGGCACTCCATGTTGGGGAGGCCCTGTGCTGATGCTACAGGCACTAAAGTAAGACCCATTTTCTGCCTTACAGAATTTTCTAGGCATAGTTACAATAAGGGACATTAATACGCTTCCCTGTCACCTATATTCACTGGCCCCATGTCTACCCACTGGGATCAAATGAAACAAATCAAGTTATTTCAAGTGTAAGCTCTTTGAAGTATTTAAACATAAGCTATCAAGAACCCAGGTCTCCAACACACTTCCTTATTAACATACTAGGGAACTCCAGCCATCTAAGTAAGGTATGGTTTTATGTCTCCTCACTAGTAGGTCACGTTGCTTTGCACACTCTCTAATTTTTTCCTGTCCATATGTTTGACCTAGAACACTCCTCCACCACCACCATCCCAGGGGTTTTGGCCAGTACAGAGTAGAGCTGGGCTCTCCAGGGCCAATATTCAATATTCAGAGTCACAGCAACTGCTGGAATTCTTCCTCAAAAAGCCCAGGTGAAGGGACCTTGAGTAAATAAATAAGAAACTTGAAATAAAATGATTGATTTTCTTTACTATATTTTTAGATCCCCAGCCCTAATCTTGTCTCAGGTCTTCCTCCTTTCTCTGTAGAACCATGAGAATACCTTCTTACCAGTGTTGTTAGGAAAACCAAATACTAGTATAATTGCCATTTATTAAGTGTCTTTTTCTGGTATCAGGTGCTTTAATTTATTATTTTATGAAATCTTATAATAACCAGGCAAGTTGGGTTATTAGTGTTTTTTATCCCCATTTTCCACAGGAGGAAACTGTGGCTTAGAGATTAAGTAACTTGCCACAGTTCTAGAATTCAAACCCGGGGGTGCCTGACTCCCAAGCTTCTGCTCCTTCTCACAAATCACTCAGTGTATCTGTGATATATTAATAACATACTTGGACATACTTAGTACTTTGGCTGGCCATGCTAGGTGCTCAATAATTGTTAGTTTCCCTTTTTCTCATCATCCTTCTTCTTCTCCCAAATAATCACATGCAACCTAAAAATGAGGAAGAGGGCTTAGAGTGGACAAAACTGTGTGCCAGGTTCCCAAAGTTGTCAGATAACATGAATTCTGCAATGATGTGTCTTTGGCCACGTACACCCCTTTTGTGGGGCTGTGGGCCAGCTCTACATCTATTAACTTGTACTAGGCCAACTTGCATACTATCAAGGAATGTCTAGGAGTTCTTTCTAACCAATCCCTACCCCATATAGTTTCTCCTTATTTCTTCAAATAATTATATGCACTCCCTAAACCACTCCATTAAATCCAGTGACTTTTGAGATCTCCACAGCAGCTCAGAGCTGACCCTGTCTTCTTCGGACTCAGAGTCCACAGGTCAGGGAAAGATGTAGACAGCACATGCCATCAGGGAGAAGAGGGTCTCAGGGCAGGCTTCTTTTTGGCTCCTACCACTGCTGGGGTTCTTTGCACTCCTCTGAGAGCTGTGTACTATGTTACTTACAGCAACTATCATGCTCAAGTTCAGTAGTTCTCAACTGGGGGCAGTCTAATGCCTACAGAGGCATTTGGAAATAGGGAGGATCTTTCTGGTTATCACAATTACTAAGGGGCACTTTTGGCATCTGGTAGCTGGGGGTGGGCAGGGATGTTAAAATTCTGCAAAGCACACAACAGTCTGGCATGACGAAAAATAGACCCCAAATAGCAATGCCATTGCCCCCATTGAGAAGGCCAGGGCCACCACTGTCTTCTTGCCATTGTCCCTCCATGCCCAGCACAGTGCCCATGCCTCCACGAAAGCTAAGTACAAATCTCATGAATGAATGCTCTCCTTGGTACCTTGCCATCTTTCAGCATGTCTCCTCTCCCAGGGGAGCTGTCCTGCTTGCTTCTCATTTCTGGACCTGACTTCAAAAGTGGAGGCTTTATTCAGCTCTATCTCATCTGTTTTCCATTCCTTTTTCCTTCCCTTATTCTCAAAATTTTCAAAATTTACCTTCTAAATTGATCAATTATGATTTACCCTTTGAGTAAAACTCAAAAGACGTGGTTTTCTAGAGTAATTTTAGGTAGGAGCTTTTATCTCCACAGTAGATGTAAACACTCCAAAAAGGTATTATGTTGATGGCCTAATTGACTAGGTTATTAAATGATTAAGTGATTTGGCCAAAGCAGCAACATTGACCCTGTTGACTTCCCTTCTCTGACCCTTGAAGCTACTCTTGAAGCCTGGAACTTGTGGAGGAAGGGAAGGGAGTCTTAAGGAGTCAGCAAGGAGGAAGCTCAAGCTCAAGCTCTAACCTCTTCATCATTCCTGCTGAAATGTCAGAAAAGCTGGTACTAAGCAGATCAAGGACTGCAGCTCCCTCCAGACAGATAACCTGCTAGAAAAGAGTCAGAAATGTGTCCCCATGAGATGCCTGTATCCTGATTCCAGTTAAGTGATAGCAGCATGATGCTGCTGCATTGTGGAGCATTATCTGTGGTTGGAAATTTTCAGAGGTCATGGGTTTTACTTTCTGGCTGATTCCCTTGAGAAGACCCTTAGCTCTTTTCTTCTTGTAAATTTCAGAGAGAAGGTTCTCTTCCCATGGTGGGAATTCCCAACTTTGCTCCATTCAGGGGCTCTCCCATTTTCTTAAATGGTATTAGGGAATACTTTTAAAGGTCTTAAAACAAAGTTCATTCTCATTCTTCTCAAATTGAAAACAACTTTCTGAAGGGTAGCAAAGCTCAGGGCTGGTAAGTGTGGGCTGGGAAAAATCATGGAGCAGAGAAATTTGGTAAGAGGGGAAAGAACAAACATTTACTTAGCACTTGCCATGTGCCATGCACATTACCTATTAGGTACATTATTTAATCTTCCTCCAGCTCCATGAAGAAATATATTAGTCAGGATGGATGAGGTTATGCTCCAATAACAAACAACCCCTAAATCTCCCGGCTTTAAAAAAAAGAAAGAAAACAAGAATATATGCCTTACTTGTATTACATATCCACTATATAAATCCAGGTCATCTTACCTTTGGGCCCTAGACTGACAGAGTAACTGTTATCTGAAATGTTTCAGGTTGCTATGGCAGACAGACAGAAAATAATATGAAATTGTGGACTATTTCTTTTTTTTTTTCTTAATTTCTTTTTTGAGATGGGGTCTTGTTGTGTTGCTTAGGCTGGTCTTGAGCTCCTGGGCTCAAGTGATCCACCCACCTTGGCCTCCCAAAGGGCTGGGATTACAGGCATGAGCCACCACATCTGGCCAGAATTGTGGGCTATTTCTTAAAGATTCCACAAGGAAATGACACATGTCATTTGTGCTCATGTGCTCACATTTTATTACACAAAGCAAGTCATGTGCCATGCCTGCCTATAAAGGGATAGGAAAATGCAATACAACCATGTGCCCAAAAGAAGAGCTAGAAATATTTCATGAATAAAGTATTATTGTCTCTGTTTTATAGCTGAGGAATTGAGGCTTAGGGAAGTTAGGAAGTGATGGAGCTGGCTTTCAAGGCCAGGTTTTGTGATGTCAGCTTCTGAGCTCTTTGCTCTCCTATAGTGGGTGCATTTCACAAGCATGTTCCATACATGGTACCCAACCTCTTCTCCAAATGCGGTTGCTGGGCTAAAGTGTTCTTGGGGCTTAAGGGGGTATGCACATGCCCCAGATGTGGACAGGTTAAAGCAAAATCTAAATCACTGTGGCTCAGCTATTATTTCGTTTTACCCACTTCAATTCTCCTTCAAGGGATTCAACACATTCGATGTGAAATCATATGAAAAGAAGCGGTATCTTTGAACACATGCTAGATTTTTCTTTTTAATCCTAGTTTCAAGTGTCATAGATTTCCTTGCTTATTACTTTTATTTGTTAAATAATAAGAAAAGAGTTACTCTGCTCTTACTTTGGTAAGGCTGCTGCCTGTTGGATGTTCATAATCCAGGGAAAGGGATGTTCCCAAATTCCCTCTATTTTTTTCACCCAAAACAGTCTCCAGGAAAAAAAATCTTTGTTCAAAGGAGCAATAAAATAACAATACTTAAAGACTGATGCCACCAGCCCTTAGAAAATCAATTCCAGCATTTCTTCCTCCTGGAACCCAGAGGAAACACCCTGCTATGTAAGTTTTTTTTTTTTTTCTTTCAGATGGGGTCTCACTCTGTCGTTACCCAGGCTGGAGTGCAATGGTGCAATCTTGGCTCACTTCAACCTCTGCCTCCTGGGTTCAGGCGATTCTCTCCCCTCAGCCTCCCCAGTAGCTGGGACTATAGGTGTGCATGACCACACCTGGCTAATTTTTTTGTATTTTTAGTAGGGAGGGGGTTTTACCATGTTGGCCAGGCTGGTCTCGAACTCCTGACCTCAAGTGATCCACCCACTTCAGCTTCCCAAAGCACTGGGATTACAGCTGTGAGCCACCGCACCCAGTACCCTGTTATGTCAGTTCTTCTCAGACTTTCCTATTTCTAATGGGGGAGAAAAATATGAAGAAGAAATCCTAAGCAGTCTGCCACAGGTAGAATTTCAGACTTTAACCTGTCCTGGTATTTTGCATTTTGCAAAATACCCATATTTGTCCACTACTACATAGGCCAAAAGATACACTAACTTATTCTGTGGTTTCCACCACACCTAGGAACTTGAGCTTAAGCCTTCCCCATCTTTTAACAGCAATATGCTTATCTGAAAGTGGGTCCCTGAGGGAGAGGGACAAGGGTTGCTGTCAGGCTAAGGGCATGGTAGTTGACCCTTGGCAGCTAGAGTATCCCAGAAGCCAAAGAGGGTAAAGGAAAAGAGGAGGAGGGAGAGAGGAGGGGAGAAGGACTGTGAAATGATATCAGAAGACTAGGAAGAACCCCAAATATGGCCTTAAAAGGCATATGGAAATGACTTGGAATCAAATTACTGAAAACATAGTTGTTAGGGAACCACATTTTTTATTCATTATATTTTTCTGATTCATTAAAAAAGACAAAGTACTTTGTTTAGAGCAAAGCAGGTTTTAGCCTGAGGCAAATTGTTTAACCTTGCTGGGGTCCAATCCATAAAGCACGAGCTCAAGCACTGCTCAGCCTAATGAGGTGTAAAGTTGCAAAACTCTTTGAAGACAGAGAGCTCAATTTCAGTATTATGCATTATTGAATAAAATGCCAGTTTAGGAAGGAAACTCTCCGGTAGCATTATATATGCCTAAACTGGTAGCCAACTGGAAGAGCTGGTTGTCAAAGCTTCATGACAGAAAGAACCTAATTGTTGATCACTTAAAATGGAAAATAAGAATCAGGGCGTAGTGGCTCATGCCTGTAATCCCAGCACTTTGGGAGGCCAAGGCGGGTGGATCACAAGATCAGGAGTTCAAGATCAGTCTGGCCAACATGGTGAAACCCCGTCTCTACTAAAATACAAAAAGCAGCCAGGCGTGGTGGCAGGCGCCTGTAATCCCAGCTACTCAAGAGGCTGAGGCAGGAAAATCGCTTGAACCCGGGATGCAGAGGTTGCAGTGAGCCCAGATCAGAGGCCATTGCACTCCAGCCTAGGTGACAGAGTGACTCCATCTAAAAAAAAAAAGAAAAGGAAAATAAAAGAACAAAGATATAAGCCAGGCAGTAACAAATGGCATGCACCATTACAGCATTGGCTTGGTTCAGAGACAGATTCCTGAGCTAAAGAAGGCCTCATTTACTGGAATGGAAAAATGTAAGGCCAGGAAATTGCTCAGAGGTCTCCTGTCCTTTCCTGTACACATGGGATGCACTATGTGTTGGCTACTGTTTTGGATCAGAATCTCACTTTTAGAAATAGCCCAAGTCTGTCCTTGGGAAGGGAGAGAATGTTGTGGTATATTTGTGTGTGGTGGTGTAGGGCAGGGGAGGTACACAGGATGTTGGGAGGAGCCAGTTAGACCCTCCCTGAATCCAAACTGTTTCCTTGGGCCTCACAGTCATCAGAACTGAGCTGTAAGATTGGGCAGCCAATCTGAGTGCAAGGAGCCTCCAAGTCTCCTGAACTAGCACCAAGGTAGAGCTGAGTTGGTCCCACTGACAGCACAGGCCAATTCTGCATGTTCAAGCCCAATGGCTGGTCTCAAGTCTGCCTATTTTTCAGGTGCATAGGCTAAGCTTTAGTCTCACAGTCAACAGATGTTTACCAGGCAACAACCTCTCACGAAACATTATTTTAGGCAGCAGGAATATATAAGGAAACAAAAGACAAATATTCCTGTGTACACAGAGTTGCATTCTAGTGGAGGAAAATGAACAATGACTAAAGTAAGGTGCACAGTGTGTTAGAAGATATGGAGAAAAATTAAGTCAGGAAGGAGAGAGAATACGGAGTGCTTGATAGCCAGAGTTCGGGTGGCCTCACTTCAGACACAGTATTGTGTAAAAACTTGAAGGAAGCAAAAGAGGCACGTGGGTATCTTGGGGAAGAGCTGTCCAGGCAGAAAGAACAGCAAGTGAAAGGCCCTGGGGTAGGAGAATGCCTGGTGTGTGCCAGGAACAACCAGAGGCTGGAGAGTGGGAGTGGAAGAAGCAAGTGAGCAGGTGGTAGGGCATGAGATCATAGGAGTAACAGGGAGAAACTTCATGTAGAGACTTGTAGGCCACGGCGCGGACTGTGGCTTTTACTCTGAAATAGATGGAAAATCACTAGAGAGTTTTGAGCAGGGGAATAACAAGATCTGATTTACATTTTAATAGAACCTGCCTGACTATTGTGTTGAGCAGACAGGAGCCCAAGGGAGAAGACAGGAGAAGAGTCAGGAGGCTGTTACAATGATCCTGGAAGGAACCTCTGGCGGCCTGACCAGGATAGAGGCAGTGGAAGTGGTGAGAAGTGCTTGGATTCTAGACAGACATTGAAAATGGAGCCCGTAGGATTTGCTAATTCATATACCAGGTTACTCAGATGGCCTGTCCAAGAACACATTAGTGAACTGGGAAGAGGTAATAAAGAAGGAAGGGACACAGCTAGAGCAGGCAGGATTCCAGTTGTTCTTCCTTTGTTCCTTTCTTTAACTGAGGGTCTGTTATGGGGCAGGCACAATAGTGACTGTGAACTAACAGGATCCCTGACCTCATGGAGCAAACAGTATGGAGAGAGTCAGACATTAAGTGAATAATCACACAAATCCATGTAAAATGACCACTCTAACATGTGCTGAGTGTCAATGTTGAAAAATATTTTTTCCGCATTTAATCAAGAGAATACAATAATTACTAAACATTTTTTAATGTTTTTTTACTAAATTTTTGAAATCCAGTGTGCATTTTACATGTACAGCGTACCTCTATCCAGGTCAACTGAATTTGATGTGCTCAAAAGCCACACGTGGCTAATGATGAGTACTGAATTATACAGCACAGCTCTAAACCATCAAGCCACACACATTTTAAAGTCATGAACAAAGCACTGGAAATATAGGTCCTTCTATGGTAATTTAAAAAGCAGGTAAGACTTAAATAGAGCCTCTTGCATTTTAAAATTGAATACTTTGTCATTAATTAGCTGTGTGCATTTGGGGACATCAGCTTACTATCCTGTGCCTCAGTCTACAATAAGGAAGTGTGATGGGGCTGGGTAATGGGTACTTACCCTTTCAGTCTTAATGATCATTGACTCTGGATAAGGAAGTCCAAATAGTTTTTCCTTCTCTTGTCATCGCTCCTGAAGAGATCTTTCCTTTCAACCTTAACACCTCTATGATATCTGAAAGGTGGAATTTGACTAGTTCAATAGTGAACTGACAAAACTCCAAAATGGCCTTCATTCCAAAGCAAAAGAGTTGAATTTTTCTAGAGAAATTTGAATACTGACTATTTAAATGATTAATGAAATTATTATTATTATTATTATTTTTTTTTTTTTTGAGACGGAGTCTCGCTCTGTCGCCCAGGCTGGAGTGCAGTGGCGGGATCTCGGCTCACTGCAAGCTCCGCCTCCCGGGTTCACGCCATTCTCCTGCCTCAGCCTCCCGAGTAGCTGGGACTACAGGCGCCCGCCACTACGCCCGGCTAATTTTTTGTATTTTTAGTAGAGACGGGGTTTCACCGTTTTAGCCGGGATGGTCTCGATCTCCTGACCTCGTGATCCGCCCGCCTCGGCCTCCCAAAGTGCTGGGATTACAGGCGTGAGCCACCGCGCCCGGCGATTAATGAAATTATTGAGTTTTAGGTATAATATACTATTGTGGCTAAGTTTTAAGAAAAATTACCCATGTTTAAGAGATACATTCTGAAATATTTATAGATGAAATAATATGATGTCATGGATCTGTTTCAAAAGCATCCCAGTCGGAAGGTGGGGAAAGTGAGTGAGGTATAGATGAAATGAGATTGGTCATGAATTGAAACTAAGTATAAGGACAGATATTATTCTGTCTACTTTCATAGTTTGAACTTTTCCTTAATAAAAAGTTTTTTTTTTAAGTAGATCTTCAGACTTTCTTAGATTTTAAACTTTCCCCTTAAATACTGTGTATCCCTCATGGTACAGATGAAAAAACCTGCTTGAGGGCCAGGAGCACATGATTCTTACTTAATACTCCAGTGGGATGAAGCCCCAGGCCCATCATTCCCATCACAGTTTAAATATCTCTGGCAGTTTTAGTAGTAACACAACTTTGTTCTCTCATCCTTCCCCTTGGTACAGTTTAGGATCAATATCTAGAAGTGAAAGGCTGTCTCCCCTGTGATTCAAGGAGAGCCCCCAAACTCTGCCAGAGCCACACAGGTGTCCAGGGAGCATGGCGATATATCACTGGTTTGTACAAAATACACTGAAAATCTAGAAAGGTGCAGATGCTTGGCTCACAGGCACAAAGAATGTTACTTCTTCTCATATTGTGGAAGCTACATGCCACAGAGACAGGTAGGGGCTATCTGAGGAAGGATCTCAGAGGGAATGTGACCTCAAAGGCCAGGAAGCCAGCATCTGGGACCCACCACAGTGGTGGGTATAGGTCTCTTGTTACCCTGGGTTGCCTGGGCATTATCTAAATGTCTGGCATAATGCTCTAAGTTCAGTGTGAGCTTTCTTGTCTCCACCTGTTCACTTTACCCTCTCAAACATCATGATAGAGGATGAAGAAGCTGGACCTCACCTCTGAGTTACTACCCAAGACATTGTGAGGGGCTGAATGGTAAATGGAGAGCACAGGACAATCTTGCAGGATTGACACCTTCAGGTACCTTTGCCTGACCAGCATGGATCTTCTAGCTTTGACACCACTGGATGCCTGACTTCTCACCATGAATTACAGCAGGCACTCATTTTTACTTCCAAAGGAAGACTACTGCTAATTTCTTTAAAACAGCATCTACAGAGAAAGAGAACAGGACTCAGTCTGGAAATGTTTTCCTTTTGCATTTTCATCAGCCAAAAAAGTATTGAGTTTAGGGTACTAACATACGGTGCAAATGTTAATTTTAAGGGAAATTTGGCACACTCAGCATGCCAAACTGTGCTACTTTCTACACATGTGATACTTGGCTTCAGTGGTGGCAATACAGTGCCAGATTTTCTTAAATGTCAGGCATTTTAAGAGAAGGTTTCTCAGAATTTAAAATCACACACACACACACACACACACACACACACACACACAAAATAGAAATGCAACTGTGATGTTTCTAAATAAAATAAATTTGACTGCCATAGGAAGACAAGGCAACAGCTCTCCGGAGCCTGTGGTGGACCACAGGTTGATGCTCAAACACCTGCACAGTGCTGTTTTAAGCTCTAAGCAATGTATTGTAATCCCATAATACATTAACATGATGATAATCTGCAACATAGAATATTCAATCTTTAGGGCTCATAGATGGTTTCCCTGGAAGGTGTCCCCTGTCTGTTGAAAGAACTCACTTATGCTACCTAAATCAGAGAAGCAGGTGAGAATTATCCAGAGGAGTCCCAGCAAATGTCAGCATTTGGTAGTCCTTATTGTCAGAATAGTCTGATACTGAAATACGTTGAGCCTGGGACCCTACACTTCTTCTTACTAAACTTCCCCTTGACTACTTTGGTTTATCAAGTTTATCCTAAGCACAGATCTGACTCTCTCAACTTCATTGGCTCATTACATGATGTTGGGGGATCTTTTCTAGGTTTTCACCCACATCATAGGTAAAACATTCATTTCAAGACTGTTTTGTCTCTACTTATGAGTCCGAGTCCAGATTTCTAGTTATTTTCATACTCCTGGAAGAGCAAGAAACCTAATGGTGTACTTCCCAATGGACTGATGAAACAGTGCAGAGGAGGAGGAAATTAAGAATGATACAAAGCTTTACACGGACCAGGATAGAGTCAAAGTCATCCAGTAAGAAGGAATATATGAACCGAGATTCCTGACACTTGGACTCTAGAACTTTAAAACTCTCATATCTTGCCCATGCCTCTATCGGATGAATGAAACCTGAACTAGAGGATATCAGAAACCCTTTCCCATGCACTAAACATTCTATAATTAATTCTCTTCACCTCAGGGGTTTGGGGGGAACTAAACATACTAATGGGTATGAAAATTTTGAAAGAATTGGGAGTTATCTCAGTGTAAGTTAGCACAACGTCATGAAATAATTATCTCAATAAACCTAGAATTGTTTCTTATTCTTATTATAATGTTGGGTCAAATGTAGGAGCTTACTTAATGTCAGGTGGAAAACAAAAGGAGTCACAGAAGACAAAAAGATACATTTATAGAAATGAGTAATATAAGTATAAATTAGGTTGATCTTTTGGGAAAACAATTTAGCAATATGTATTAAGACCTGAAAATTAATATACTTTCACTTTGTAATTCTATTTCTAGAGAATCTAATCTAAGGAAATGATAGAGATGTAACAAGGATTTATGAACAAAGTTGTCTACCGCAGTGCTATTTGTCTAGTGCATAGAGATATATAATAAGTAGTGCTGTAAAAGAAAATATATTCATGCATAGTAAAAGACTTGAAAGAAACGGACCAAAATATTAACACAGTAACTCTTGGTGGTAGTATTATTGATTATTTTAATTTTCTTTCTTAGATATTTCAGCCTTCTATTTACAATGGTAATAAATTATACTATTTAAAGGTCATTAAAAATAAATTATATAGAATTGTTCACCTTAATCTAATTCGGGTACCAACACATTTTGTCTTTTAATATATCTGATCAGTAGCCAGCTTATCTCTACTGCTTTCAGGACTTTCTTCTGTTCTTTGCTAACCATGAGGCTGCACGGGCTTTTTATTACGGCTGTTATTTGCCAATAGCCCTCTAACACCCAGAGAGCTGAGTCACCTGTCCGTTTTAGGGTGTCCACACATGGTGTTCCTTCCGTCCTTCAATATTTCCCGCACTCTTTCTCCACATGAAGTTCACAAGCTGTGAATTGGCCCAGGGCTCACTTCTTAGGCAATACGATATACAGGGGCTCTTAAAGCGTGGCTTGCTTAATCCTCCCTACAAAGCAGTCTTCACTCACGTGGAATTTTCCATGAATTTCTACAGAATAGCTATTTACTCTGAGAACCCAAAGGTTTTAGAAACTATAGGCAATTTTGCAAACTCTAGATTGAATTTGCTTGTATTTTGTTGTTATTAAAAAGACTCAAATGAATTATCTCTTTCCAGGTGAGACCTTCAGTAGAAAGATGTTTTATTTATTCACTCCATTATTTTTTTATGCATTCAAATTAGTTCTGTCTTAGGTTCGCCTCACCAGTTCTTCAATCAGTATAAATGAAGATGAAAACTTGAAAGGTTCATTTCCCAAATGCCCATTAATTGTTATCTAATGTACTCCTTTTATAAGGAAGTTAGAGAAGGTTAGTGATAAATCAGAATCAACCTGTTACTCCACCAAGACAGGGGGATTGTGGGGAAGCATGGAGTACAGGAAGGGAGGGATATTGATTGAAATCCACCAGAACCAAGTCATTCCAAACCACTAAAAGTCGAAAAGTTCCAAGGAACAGAAAATAAGTTACGGGAAAGCACTTAAAAGAACTCTTTCTTTTGCCAAACCTTCCAAGAAAATATTCTTTATGCAGAATCTTCTTCTAGATTCAGTCTGTGGCATCCAGTCTCTCAGAATAGGCCCCTCAGTGTCTTAATTGGCTTTCCCTCAGTACCTCATCAATTTGTCACACAATTCTTATTCAATTTAGATCCAGCTATTTCTGCATACTTTCACACTGATTTGGAAAATGTCCTTCACACTTTGGTTTTAGTCTCTATTCATGAAGTGTCATTTGCTTTAGGATGATTTAGTTTCATGAATGGATTTTTCTCATGTATGATTCTGCCTTAGATGAGCCTTGGACCGTGTATGCCACATTCCAGCCATTGCTGCAAAACAAGACTTTGTGAGCCTGCTTGCATCTCCTCCTTAAATATATCTGTTTTTTCACCCTTTGTTCAAGTTCTCAGGCTGAAGTCTTGGTTATATTAGTATGTGTTGTTTTTACAAATTTTAAACCTGAAATTCAGTCCAATCCCTGTCTCCAGTCTTATACCTTCCAGTCATCTAAGCTGTCTCAGGCAGGTGTGTGTTTATATAGAGATTACACATGCTTGTGCACACACACTCATGCAACTTAAATAAGCCAGATATGATCCTGTGTATTTTGTCTAAACATCTCTATTACTGGTGATTCTATGATAACTAGGAATCTGGTGTTACTTGAAACTAGCCCCAAAAAAGTTTTAAAAAATTCATCATTAGTATTGTTCTTCTACATTGCATTTTGGTGGCTGTTGACCAATTTTCTACTTTAAGTTGTCACTTTTGTGATTGATTTATAGAAGCTTTTAGATGTTCAATAACATTAATTATTTGTCATATGTTGAAAAAAATTTTTTTGGTTTGTCATTTCCTTTTAAATGTTACATGATTTTTGACATACAGGATTTTTTTATTTTTCTTTTTTTAATTTTTAATTTTTTAATTTTTTTAATAAATAGAGACAGTGTCTCCCTATGTTGCCCAGGCTGGTCTCAAACTCCTAGGCTCAAGCCATCCTCCTGCCTCAGACTCCCAAAGTGCTGGGATTACAGGTGTAAGCCACAACGCCAAGCCAGGATTTGTTTTCTTGTACAATCAGGCTATTCAACCTTCCTAGTTTCTGACTTTTAGCCAGAGGTTTAAAAAATCATAGGGGCAAGGCAGACTCACTAAAGCCATCTCTACCTATGAGTTGGAGCTTTGGACCTGGAATGAACCTGGTACAATGTTTCCTGTTACAAAGATATTGTTGAAACAAATGGGCAAGAGCTAGGTCTGGGATAAAGGGCTGGATTTACACTCATCCTCAGGAGGAAGAGCCCATTTGAAACTAGAACAGAAGTAGGAGGAAAATCTCTTGGAGGAAAACAGGGAGGGAGGCAGGGATGGTGATGAAACAAGTGTTTATAAGAGTCATTTATGTGAGTAGAAATTGAATGACTATTCTGTAACCTTTTCCAAGTTCCTGGGCTTTGGACTGATTTCAGGGGATTTTTAGAGGCCAATGTCTTCCCAGACTTGAGCCGTCTGAATGATTCAGTAGACAAAGTCCCCTTGGGGTGAGCAAACCCTTTCAATGGCCAGTTCCCTGGCAGGTGCCACCACTTTACATTTGCAGAATATTTCCACCCTTTGCAAAAATCTTTCACCTACTCTATCTTGCTTGATTATTACAGCAACATGTAAAATGAGTAGGATTACCAGGGTTTCCTTTTCTTTTCTAGGGGTAAAAATAAATAGACTCTCAAATTTAACTGACTTTCCAAACTCAGTGACTGAGTTAAGCAAGGTGAGCTGTGCAGTTCACTCTAAAGGAGCAGTGTGGACTAATGAAAGATGTACAGGCAAAGAAATTGGGCACATTTGGGGTGGAATGCCAGCTCAGCCACTTACTCACTCCCTCACCTCAGGCAAGCCAGTTCCTTTCTATGCTTTGATTTCTCATCCATAAAATGGAATAATGGCACTGTGTTGCAGGATTGATGCAGGGATTAAATGATACAATGCTCCATTTCCTTCCATTATTCTATCTTTGTGGTTGTGTGTGTTTTTGTGTGCCAGCTTGAAACCTGCATAGAAGGGGTGGTATATCAAGACACTGAAGAAATGGGTGACTGTGAAGGGCCCCCACACAAGGCCTGGCACAGAGCAGACATTGCATAAATCTAACTCCTCTTTCACTGCCCAGCTCACAAACTCCTGGGAGCCATGACGCCCTTGGAGGCTTTCCCCTGAAGGTTGCTTATGTAGTCTTACAATCCTACTCACTGAAATGTCTTTTCCCACCAAAACTTTGAGAGTGTTGCTGGAATTCAGAAATAGGATTCATTAAAAAAAAACAAACCCTCAAATATTTATCCAGAAGGCCATTATATAAGTGGGCTCAACAACTGTTTGCAATAGTTCTTATGTCATGACTAAGAGCAGAAATTGGCAAACTATAGACCTCAGGTCAAATCCAGCCCACCACTTTTTTTTTTTGTAAATAAAGTTTTATTAAAACACAGCCACTTCCGTTTGTTTATGTGGTGACTCTGGCTGCTTTCATTGCCACTGACAGGATTGAGTAGTTGCAACAGAGACTGTGTGCCTCAGAAAGCTGAAAATATTTACGGTCTGATCCCTTACTTCCAGGTTATGTGACCGTAGATAAGTCATTTATATTCGTTGTGCCTCAAATTCCTTACCTATAAAATAGGGATAATTGTACTGATTAAACCATAGACTCCATATAAAAGACTTGCATGTGGTGAGTCCTCAGTTAATAATAGCTATCATTATTGTTACCAGAATTGTTGATTTGCAGCAAAGCTCTTTGGGTAAAACACTAACCCAGGAACAGAAACCTATTTGGTCACCCTCAGTTTTAAAGGTCTCTCCTGCAGATATCAATAGCAGCTAGAATAGTCATCCTTCCTTGTCACAATCATGTTTTCTTAAGATCAGCCATTTCAATGCCATTAGCTCAACTTCCAGGACATTAAAAGCATATCCTCCCATTCCTCCACACTTAATGTAGACGCTTGGATCAGTGCCACTGGATATTTTCCAATATTCTGTGTACCCTCTCTGGGAAAGAAGGAATTGAATGAGGCATTTTGTTAAAATTAAATGTCAAGAGTACCAGCTGCTTATTTCTAAAAATATGAGCTAGATATTCCAAAAGGTGTGAACCATCAATCAAAGTACAAGGGAAGATTTTGCATTTAGTTGTTTGTTGTTAGAAATTTTTTTAATATTGTAAAGAAAACCAACCTTTTGACAAATGGCATTGAAAGCCATTAAGGGAGTTGAAAAACCAGCAGTTCCACTTTGTCTCCTCTATATGGTGGGAAATGCTTTCTCAATGTAAAGAAATTGTATCCTGAAGTCCAACCAGCATATGGAGGTGATTTCCAAGACAGAAGTGAAAAAAAAAAATCCCACAGCCCGACCTTTCAGAAGTATCATAGTCATGCAGAGAGAAAGCATCCTGCCCTCTTCCTCATTGTTAAGCTTTGTGGGTTAGAAGAGCCATCCCTATGGTGGTAGCCGTATCTCCAACCCAGCTTCTCACCAAGTGGCTGGGCAGGGTCTTGATGTGGGATGGAGAGAAGTCTTCCGCTCAGGGCTCACATGCATACAAATGGTGCACCTGTGAGCACTCCCCACTGCTGCCAGGGGAGAGCATAACCTGTTCAGGACTTTTCCTTTGTGATTACCTGGACCCCAGATGGCCATTGCCATGGCTGTGCCTCATCAACTCAATCTTGACATACAGAAAAATTTTCTCCACACCTCCAACACCCCACCATTAGTATCCTGGGTGGGTGGTGGAAAGGGAGGGATGACTGCAAGTCATAGGGCTTTTTCCAGCAGAATGTCTCTGCTGCCATGCTCACCCACTCACCATGTCCATTCACACTTCCCTTATTGTAGAGACTTCCATTTACATCGAACAGAGATTCACTGAGTACTCCCTACAGTACTTTTCAGCCTAGGATGGCCATGAGAATCACCTACAATACAGAGCTCTTAAAAAACATCGATGCCTGACTCCCACCCAAGAGATCCTGAGGTGATTTTGGTCTAAGAAAGAGCCTAGGTTTGCATTTTTTAAGGGAGGGGGCATTGTATGTTTAAAACTTCCAAAGTGATTCTCGTGTGCTGACCTACCATGTACCAGCCATTCTTCTAGAGACATACAACAGTGAACACAGGCCAGGTACCTGGTCTTATGAAACTTAGGATCTAGTGGGGCAAGTCAGATAATAAACATATGAATGACCAAGAAATTTTTTTATGGTGCTACCAGGAAAATAAAACTTGAGGCTGTGAAAGAGACAGCCAGGGATGCAGAGATTTGTAACTTTAGAGTGGTCAGGGCATCATTGTTATGGGGTCATACTTTGCTTCTTTACACGTGGTGAGCTCAGTGCTACAACAGGGCTGCAGTCAGACAGATCCTGCTCCTTGTTCATGACGGCATGGTGTCACCGTGTTCCCCGAGGCCAGATTTTACGGGCTGATGGACAATGAGAGCCTCTGATTGGGCAGATCAGCCCAAATCAACCACTGTTGCTGGAAGCCACCTTAGAGGGCATGTCTTACCCTCAGTGATTTGGTTTCAGAATGCTCCAGTCTTTTTGTCTTTTACCTACTATTAAATCAATAGCAGAACTCCTTTGACTACCTCACTCCAACATGATATCCTATTATCAGCATCATCTATTGAATACAGTTTTCTGACTTGTATATTGATAGTACTAAAAGCAGATCAAAACTCACTTATTCTGTACAGGCCCTCTGCAAGATAATGGTCTCATTGAATGAATTGCTAAGGTAGGCATTACCAGTTGAGTTTCATAAATGTGGAAACCAAGCCTCTGAAAGTTTAAGAGAATTTAGTGCGGCTTACCTCTGTAGTCCTTTTAGGTTCCTTCCAGCTTAGAAAATCTATGGTCCTATGATCTTTAGTGAGTTTCCTCCAGTGAGGTAGCAAGCCTCTAAGGGAAGGCATTTCATCTTCCCTTAGAAGGAAGATCTTTGCAGAAGACCCCCTTCTCTCCCACCCACCATGGGCCTTCCTTGTGTTGGGCAGTAAATACATCAGGGACCAGTCTGTGAAGGCAGCTTTCTGCTCACTTTTGGGTCCCTGAGCCCTACAGGAAGGTCTTCAGGCTGCGGGCTTCAGGATTGCTGCTCATAAGCTCCTGCATGTCAGAGCAAAGATGGTAACTCTGGCCTTTCTTCTCAAGACTCCAGGGTGGAGTTCTCAGTAAGCAACATTGAGCCTCCTCAAAGAAGCTCCCAAAGCACCTCATAGGCTTTTATAAAGGCTTCTGTGGGTGTTTGTCCCAAGATCTGTACCCTGGACAGAAAAGTTCAAGAGAAACAATTCTTTTATGCTACCCCTCCTTTCTTTCTAATTAAATTTTTAAAAATTGAGATTAAAATGCCAAATAAAGAGTCATTGTAATTCCTAAATTAGGAATTATTATTCAATAAGGCAGACTTAGAATTCCAAATAGTAAGTGGATTCTGTGGTTAAAGATGTGGAGGATTCCATACAGAGAAGGAAATTCCAGTAAGGTTGCTAAGGGAACTATATCTTTGAAGGGAACCCCCTATTTTGTTAATGTAATGCACACACAAAGAATAAGCAACTTGGATTACTTTACATGGCTTGTGTGTGTGTCTGTGTGTGTGTGTGTGTGTGTGTGCATGGGTGTACATTTGAGACAAAGAAAAAGAAAGCAAGGTTATGAATGTGATGAAATCTTATTAAAAAAATTAACATAGAAAACTGAAAAATTACAGTAACCTTCCTTTCTGAATTTGGACTTTCCCTCCCTTACTCTGATGTCCTTTTTTATTTTCACAGTTTAAGTCCCAAAAGAGAGATACAAACCTGTCCAAGATATAAGTCCTGTGATTATTTCAATGTAGTGGAAGAATACTTAAACCCTCACAGATTTAATCAACAGTGGCATTTTCCCCCCTCCCCTGTCCTTTCTCCTTTGTGTGCAGTGGAGAACCACAGCCCTCCAAGGAGACTTTCAGGATGGCTTAGCTGCCCCAGCTCCGTGCAGGAGCCTGAGAGTTCTGAGCCTTTTAATTGGCCTTTGTGGTGCTTCTGAGACAGTGTCAGAAACTCCTGATCTCATCTTCTTGAGGCCAAAGACATAGATTTAAGAGGTTAAAGGTTCATCTCCAGTACCAACAAATGCTCTTTAAACAATGTGCAAATTCAACATAGTGCTCACAGCAATAAATAAGCCATAATGATAATGTTTGCTGCTGCAAATTTCTCCACATGGCAAATTAATTCATTCTGATTCTGAACTGGCAACCAATGGCAACATTAATTTGCCAGATGGAGATACAACCTAAATTCACATGTGCTCTTCAAGCCACAGACAAACCTCTTTTCAAAGGCAGATATAGCAATGCATAGTAAGAGGATCACAACCAAGCAAGGGATATCTACTGAGTATCTTCATGGTGACCAGTACAGTGCAAGGTGCAATGACAGAAGAGAGTATGAATCCTAGGCTGCAGGGAGCTTAAGCACTGGTTAAGCACTAAACCTAAACACAAAATAATCAGAGTGCAATATAGGGGGAAAACATACATTTAACCCGGGGATCAGTGGGTTTAATGTCATAGGATTTGAAACAAGAGACAGATAACTGAGTAGGGAGCAAAGGTTTCCGGGAAGAAGCTGAACTTAAGTTCAGCCGGGAAGAATGGAATGGGTCAATGAAAAGAACATTTCTGGATGGCCAATCAGTCTAAACAAAGGCAACGAGGAAGGAATTATTATGCCTCTTGTAGCTAATTGTGAAAGTCTGATCTGACTGCAGTTGACAGGATTTTAGAGAGAAGGGGAACAGAGTTGGACTTGATTATGGAGAACTTTGACAGTCAGGTAGAGGAATTGACATTTGATTTGCTCTATATATCAGATAAGGATTGTGTTTCGCTGCAAGCCACAGAACTCTGAATACATTTTCTTAACCAAGTAAAGGATTCATTTTCTCAAATAACAAGAAGACCAGCACCAAGTGGGTACAGGAGCTCCACACTGACAATCTCCCTCTACCTCTTGACCATACATGGTAGGAAGCATTGTTGCCTCATTGTTCCAATATGGCTGCTCCTCCTCCAGCCTCATATCCACATTCCAGGCAGTTTTATCTACTATTTATTGTAAAAGAACAGAACAAAATTCTCTTAAGACTAGCAAATTATAGCAATTTGAAAATCCATCACTTACAAATGTTAAGTACTGGTGATTGTATAAGATAGTGACAACGCAGAAAGGTTTAGGAAATGGTCCCTGGCTTCAAGGAGATCCCAGTGTTGTGGGAGGTTAGATTATGCAATACCCCATGAGGAAGCTCCCTCGAGGGTGTGGGCATAGTCTGTGGGAGTTGAGAGGAAGGGGGACTGATTCTGTCTGAGGGCTGGGGCATGATTTGCACTTTGATATTGTGTGGTTCTACAGTGGTACAAATAGGACTGGACTTTTCATTTACCCTGAAAGCAGCTTTTAAGCAACTCAACTACATTAGGGCCCCGGGGAAGGACTTTACATTGCCAAAATCTACAGGGCTCACCCTTGACACGCCAGAGTGCCCTCTCAGCACTGGGGAAGAAGCCAGGGAGAAACTCGGAGGGCTGGAATGGAGAAACTGGATTAATCATATTTGCAGTGTGTAATTCTGTAATTACTATGAATCTTTCTAACCGATTCTTCTTTATTTCAAGGTTAACTGCAGTTCATTTTTGGACTTATACTTACTGGCTTTCTTAATGCAGTTAATTGAAGGTCAGCCTAATTTTGCAAGTCCCCAAATTCTTCCTCTGTTCTACAGAACCCACTGGTAGGGAAGGCTGTGGCACTGGTTGGGAAAGGGGAAACTTTTTCTCTCATCCTTCACATCCAAAGATAGTCCTTCATCCTTTTCATGTTGTTTTAACTGACATTTTAATGATTAAATAAAAACACACAAAAAAAGAACATTTTGAAAGAAAATAGTTTCTGATGTTAGTCAAGGAAATGTAGTTCTGCTTTTTGTTCTCTCATGTTCAGTAAATCAACCAACCAGTTCAATATTCCTCTAGTAGCTCCTAAAATGTTTTGCACGACATCTGGTTGTCAGTTTCTTTCACTAGATGGTGAGTTCCTTGAACCTAGTTTTTGGTTTATAAGACATTGTCCTCCTGGCACCCAGCATAGTGCAGACACAGAAGAGACACTTGAAGCAGTTTGCTGAGTGAATACCTGCAGGGCAGTTCCTCACAGTCTGAGTTTTTACTGTGGCTTGTATTTATTTTCCTGATGATACAAGCCTAGGTCATAAAACTGTATGCCCAAAGAAAAAGCCTGGGTGAAGTCTGACAGGAGCATCCAAAGACCTTAGGCAGAGGCTAAGACTGGAGGATCACTTGAGGCCAGGAGTTCAAGACCAGCCTGGGCAACAAAGTGAGACCCCGTCTCTTAAAAAAAAATTTTTTTTAAGACCTTGGGCAGAAAAATCAAGGAGTCTATTAAAATGCCTCAAGAGAATTTTTCAGAGCTCAAAAGGAAGGGAATCCCAAGTCTAATTTTGTCTGAGTGTTTGCTGTTTGAAAGCCAATATGAATTTTTACATTTTTAATGCAAGTGTTTGAATAGCTAAGTCATCTACAGTGTATAGAAGTATAAGTTGCAAAAGTATACCATTAAAAGTTTCCTTTCCACCCAGGCACTGAACAGCTGCAGAGGCACCCACCCATAGACTATGATGGGAACGGCCCCTCCATAAATTGGTAACTCAGCTGCTTCACTCCCAAACCTTCCTCCTCCAGCCATACAGTCCTTTTCCCCAGAGACAGCAGATAATACCAGATTCTTCTATTTCCTTCTAGAGCTAGGCTATCTGTACATGTACACAAGGAGATAAGTGCATGTATTTTATCAGTATGTATATTTTATAAGAATGATTTTAGTGAGCAGAATCAATAGAAAAAAATCAATATGAAGCAGACGAATGAGAAGACTTGGAACAATAAAAATGTAAAGTGGGGAGAAAAGGTATCCAGATGCAGAGTGATCATTCATCAGAAGGCAGAAATATAGCAAGAAGTCTACTACATAAAATAAAAAGAAACAGTGAACAGTGGGGTCACAGACCCATCTGCCCATGAGGATGGGCTTTTCCACAAAGCGAATGAGCATTTGCATGGAGAGTCACGGGGAATCTGCAGCTATTGAGTCAGTGAGGGAAATCATGGTGGCCTGCTCCCCCAGGACACACTGTATTTGCAGGAATGTGGGTGTGTTTTACTCTGTGGTTGCATACTCACTGAGAGACTCATTGGCATTTGCCCACTGTCACCTTGGGCATTTTCAGAACCTTCCCACATTCCTTTATGTTATTTCAGTGAAACAGGACATTCTATCTTTCATATCAAAGGAACATGCCACTCATTGGCCAAGGAGCCTGAGCCAGGATGAAGCAGGGGCCATCCATTCTGAGGAGCACTACCCCAGTCCCTGCTATGCCATGGCTAAAGCACCTTCCTCATGGGAGATGTTCTTGGCAGTTAATTTACGCGAGGTTGGCTTGGGATAAACTGGGACAGGACAAGTCAACCAGTTAGTCCTGTCTTCCGGAAATGGAAAAATTTTGCTTGGGATCAGGGAGCAAGAGAAACCTAGGACACGGTTATTTGTCAAGTAAATTTCCAAGTAATGATTGGATTTGAACCATGTATGAGGCACCAGGCAAGTTTCTGACTTTCTAACCAAACTATGTTAGAAATATAGGACATCCACCCACACAGAAAGGTGACTGGCAGCACAGGACCCTGCCAATGAGTGGAACATCCAACAATTGTGATAGGCTTCAGAGAAGTGAGGGGTTCACTTCTGGCTCTTTTGGAAAGAAAGGTTTCACCTAGAAGTCTCCATAAAGACTCCACTGGGGAAGGTTCTCTCCTCCTCCTGCCCTGCAGAATCTTGCAGCAATATGGCGGATACAGCCAATGAAATGTCAAAGAAAGAAGGCAGTTGGCTGCTCAGGTAGGCTGCATGGGAGAGCAGCATCTGGTGGGGCCATGGCAACTTAGGATTTGGCCTGCAAGTGTGGAGATTATTATAATAAACAACTTCCATGTTGTCAGAGAACTCAGTTCATCAAGCTTAGGGGATATGATGCCCAAGAATGACCTATCAATACCAATCTTTGGATTTACAAGAGGTAGAAGTATATTTTCTAATGGCCAGAATGATCTTGTCCACTGATAGCAGACTACTTCATTATTATTATTATTTATTTTTTAAGTCGGGGTCTTGCTGTGTTGCCCAGGTTAGAATGCAGTGGCATGATCAGGGCTCACTGCAGCCTTGAAATCCCGAGCTCAAGCAATCTTCCCACCTCAGCGTCCTGAGTAGCTGGGAAGGCAGGCCCATACCACCATACCTGGCTAAGTTTTTTGTTGTTGTTATTGTTGCTGTTGTTGTTTGCAGAGACAGTGATCTCAAACTCCTGGCCTCAAGCAATCCTCTGGCCTCAGCCTCCCTAGTTGCTGGGATTACAGGCGTGAGCCACTGTGCCAGGCTCCAGATGATTTTGCATTTCAAGGAATGTTAGGGCAATTATAGAAGATTGTTCACTGAACATGCAATCAAGGCAAAAGACTACCTTGAAGGATAACTTAATGCATCATCCCTGCCCCCACAATATTCTTGCTGAATAGACTATACACACACAAAAATGCTGGTATCTACGATATTTAAAATCTCCCCTTTGGAAAGAGCAGGAATTAAGATCATTAAATTCTCATAACCCTGTTCCCCTCTGTATATATCATATGAATATCATTGGACACATTCCACAAATATGAATTGATTATTGGGTGGGGTCTGGTCACCTTGGCTATTGCTAGATGTTTTCTAAATATCCTCATATACACTTTTAATATCGACGTGCAGAATAGCATTTTTTGTATATTTCTTTTATATTTTTTAACATTTTTAATTTAAATTCAGTAAAATTCATTCCTTCGGTTCTTTAAATTTTGACAAATTACAGAGTTGTGTAATTACCACCACAAGCAAAATACAAAATATTTCTATCAACCTCTCCCCAGCTAATATTTCCTTGAGTTATGCTTTTAAAATAGGCTCCTTCCACAGATGGCTAACCTCATCAATTATGCATTGATTCTCAGCACTTTTGCTTGCAGATCATCGTATTTTCTGGTACTATCTACCAGACTGAATTCTGGAGCCCACCAGACTGAATATGCTGTCATTTCCAGAGGTGGACAAAATGAAGGTTTCTAACACACATATGTATTTTTTGTGTAGCTAAGAGTAAGTTTATCAAATTTATTTGATATATGAACATGAACAAACAACATATATTCTAAAGACATTCCCTCCAAAGAAAGTTGGAGAAAAATTCTAACATTCTAGTTAGAGCACCATCTATAAGAGATATACTAGCTCTGAGGGTTGGGGAAGAGAACTGCTAAGTCATATCTCCAATTCATTTCCTTCCTTTAAATGGGTCACGAGGACAGAGATAACCCCAACACACTAGCAGCTGTTCCAAGCTCAAATAATTATATTCACTCCTGCTTTCCAAAAACTAGGCCTAGGTATTCAGCACTTAAAAGAAAAACTTCTCTTTCCTAAATGAAACCCACATCCATTTTAACCTATGCAAGTTAGTAGCTGAATCTGTTGTTGATAATTTTTTTACTAAGGGCTTCTTATCAATATATACATTTAAGATACACAAATGGTAAATATGCATGTTCATTATGGACAATTTAAACAATACACAACTAAACTTGACTTTATATTATGTCTTGGTTGTATTTAGGAACTTTCAAAAATTGATTTTGTGAGTTCAATTGGCTGTTTCACGTGTGAACAAGTCTCATCACCAAATCGTATTTTCTGGCCACCTAGAGGACTTGGTCCACATCATGGGCTGACAGATTATTTTTATAACAAAATGGGAGGAATTGGGGTTTATAAATTAAATGGGGGCCAGAAGGGCATCTGGAAGGGTCCTGGGGCCTGGCCCAGTATCGGGTTACCTCTTTTTGGTTCTACCACTGACCCAGAGAGTGACGAGGCAGAACATTCACTTTTTTGACCACATATTGCTCCATTTGCCAGCTATCTTTTGAGACCGTTCTATTCCTGCCAATCGCAGGAATGCCAGACTGAGTCATCACTTGCCAAATATCTACAAATGAAGAACTCAGCAGTACAAGTTCATATATATTAAGACAATTATGTTGAAACGTTAGAACATTTCATTTTAAGACTTAAAAATCCCTCTTCAGAGGACCCTCACTAGGAGATCTTTTGTATGAACAGAGAAGATAACCGCCAGTTCATGTCTATCCTCCTCTGCCTTCCTGTAGTCCTCCCCACCCCCTACCCTTTGCTTCTCTTCACACTGCTATTTATTCTCACTATTTTCCTTGACTCTCACCTTTTCCCTGCTTCCACCTCTGTTGAGAACAGAGCTCTAGGGTACATCACATAAGTAAACTGCCACTCTCATATTACAAGGGAAGTCAGGGCCTCCAGGAGTAAAATGTAACATTTTCCAATGAAAATGGGAAAGCTTCAAGGAATAAAGAGTTCATTTTCTCTCTTTCGTGGAAGAGTGAATATTCTTTTGTGAATTTCAGGACCAACAGAAGTCAGTGTGGTGGAGGAGAGATAAAGAGATTTGCCCCTGGCATGCTGGCTCACTGTGACTCTTTCAAGAATATTTACTGGAATGACCTTTGATTTGAATGCGAACCACAAAATACCAGTAATTTTATCTGGGGAATATTTATATTTTGGTGCAGTAGGTGATTTCCCAATTAAAGACCATTATTAGCAGCATATTTCCCCCAAAACTAAATGTGGTTTTATCTTGGTCAGGCCTTGGATTTCTCTCATTGGTCCTTATGGGTCAAAGAGGAGGTTTTGGTTTTGGTTTTAAAATTCATTCATTCCCGATTTCCCTATTTCTATAACCAACTCTTATGGATAATAGCAGTTAAGGAAGCTATCTGAGCCCCAGATTCCTTTAACACAGATGAACCCAATATTTTCCTTTTCAAACTATTTGTTTCTTGATTTATAGCCTATTGGGTTTGGGTGATGCATTGTAGAAAGCCAGGGACCTTAGAAAAATGTCTGACCGTAACAATGAAAATGTATGATTATTCTAAAGTCTTCTCCCTCTTATTAGTACAAAGAATGGGTTGCAACTAATTTCCCAAACATTTTTTTAGGTGGAAGAGTGAAGGGTGACTACCCATTCTTGGTTTACATTTCCCTTTCTCAGTCCAGGAGTCTTTCTTTCTACCCATGACTGCCCTTCGGCCTTTTCAGGAATCTGTTTTCTGGCTGGGTTGCAGAACTTGGTGGCACTTTGATAATGGCTCTCCAGCATTAGTGTACCAGGCCTTAGGGCTTACCCTGAATCTGAGAGTTAGCTCAGAGAATAGTGCCCTTGGATGAGGAGGGTACGCAACAACTCACACAAAGCGTGTGTATCAAGTTCTTTTCATAACTACCTAATAACTTATAGATGTGCTGATGATTTCATTAGGGAAATATCGAAAGTCATCCACAGTCTAAATAACACAAGATAAAATTATACCTTTTAAAACTTCATGGGAGACTTTAAAAACAAGAACCACCCATTTCTTCTCTCATCCCAAAGCAGTTGATTGGGCATCTACTTTGAGCCAGGTTCCATCCCGGGAATTGAAGATGCAGCAGTGAATAAAACAGATCCAGTCCCTGTCTTCACAGTTTAGCAAGAATTGCAAGAGCTGGTTTGCTAGTGTTGACCCAGCACTATTCTAGTGTCTGAGACTTTGGGTTTGACAAACAGGTCCTCCTGTCCCTAGGAAGGTGACCTCTGATGTTAGATTCGGGGCAATGTTTCAGTTTCTCACACACTGGCTGAAATAGCTCATGAGATCAGCCTTTGCTTCAACTCCCCATTCATCAAAGCAGACTGTTATTAATATAAGCTTGAAAACATCTCCGTAATAGCAAAAACAGCCATAGAGAAGGGATGGGGAGGTATTCTTTAACTACATGGTTTATCGCCACATGGTATGAATAAACTCACCCTAGCCTTATCCATAGCCTTTTTGAGCGTGGTTCACCTTCGCTGCTGTGACAAGACCAACTCAGGATAAATGGGTAAAGTCGTGGTTAACTTGCAAGGCAGAGGCCCAGATGCCATGAGTCATGATCAAGAGCTTCAGCTTAGAAAACAGACATGATGTTAGACAGCATCAAACCACTGATCACAACCCAGTCCCCCTCTCCTGTCCACTCTTTCTCACTCCTTAAGGGCAGCATACTGTCTAGTGTTTAACATACTTTCTCATACACATTCTAAATTTCCAACAACCCTATGAGGATATCCTAACTCCCATTTCATGAATGAGAAAATCAAACCTCAAAAGTAACTTACTCACTCTCCCACAGCTGCTAGCACAAAGCCAACATTCAAACCTAGACTTTCAGGCTCCAAACCAACGCTCTTTCCATTATCCCACACGCAGCGGCTTTTACATTTTCAGTTCTTCTTTCTTTTTGCACGTTGTTTCAACTCTTTCTGGTGGGGAACTGTCTTACAACCTGCTGGTTTTCTCCAGGGTCTCTGGAGGCAGCCATGGATCAATGACTCAGAGGAGGGCTTGCCCCACCTCCTCATGTTTTGGGTCTCTTAACCAGATTGCCATCCCCAAGCCTCTCCTGCCTCCTGCATAAGAATCCTGTCAGTTTTATGGGTGCCTGTGGATCTACTTTAAGAAATAGAGCGGAGCATGTGGGTGGTACACATTGAGGTTTTCTATGAATCTATTAATATTTTTGCTGAGGACACCCAGAATTTTAACTTGACTGATTTCAAGATAAATTACCTCCTCAGGAAGACATCCTTCCCCTGCTTTTCCCTTCAACACTCCCCTTCCCCAGGATGGTTTGTTTGCTAGATTTTGTTGTTGTTGTTGTTTCACCACCTCGGGCTTCTCCTTATCACCTGGTGCTGGTGCTCAAAGGCAGAGATATTAATAGCTAGAAGCAGCCACAGCTGATCTCTCTTTCAAGCAGGCCAAGGGGAAATCAGATCTAGTTCTCCTTGACCTCTGTAGGGACCGGTGATGATCCTTAAGGTCTTTATGCAGAAAAACATCTGTATTCAGAAAGGGACTGCTGTTTTAAATGTCTGTAAAAATTTCCCTGGATAGATCCTACTTTTTTCTTTTTCTTTTTCTTTTTTTTAGACAGAGTCTTGCTCTGTCACCCAGACTAGAGTGCAGTGGTGCAATCTCGGCTCACTGCAACCTCCGACTCCTGGGTTCAAGCAATCGTCCTGCCTCAGCCTCCCAAGTAGCTGGGATTACAGGCACCCGCCACTACACCTGGCTAATTTTTGAATTTTTAATAGAGACGGGTTTCACCATCTTGGCCAGGCTGGTCTCAAACTCCTGACCTCATGATCCACCTGCCTCAGCCTCCCAAATTGCTGGGATTACAGGCATGAGCCATTGCGCCCAGCCGAGATCCTACTTTTTAAAAAACCTTCTGGGTTTCTGATTTTATTCTAGTGTGCACAGACTACTATTTTAAGGGTGGGAGAATCATTATACATACACACAGAAACTGGGGGAAATTAATATTATGACATTAAGATACGTAAAAAATTAAAATGTATGCACCTAAATTCTCTGCATTTGGGGACATAATTGTGCCATTTATGTTTAAAGAAATAGCCACATCATCTCTGTTCGACATTTTTTTTTTTGCTTTACTAGGACAATGGTGACAAAAATTCAAATGCTGAAAATAAATATGCTTTTGAGATTAACATTATATTAGGAGTATATTACAACTCCTAATGTATTAAAAGGAAACAATTAGTTGATTATGTCATAACTAAAAACAAAAATATTAAACAAAGGCAATAATAACGTGCATAGACTGAAATAACTTCCGTTTCACAATTAGTGATAACATTCCATTCCAAGTCGGTAGCTTTCCAGTATAAGCTACAGCACGTTGTATAAAGATACAACACGTCATTAGCCATGTACTTAAGAAGAAGTAACTTCTTAATAATAAAATACACAGGAAACTCAGTACGTTTTGGCCCAGGTTCTGACATGTTTCTTTTTCACTAATTCTCAACCCAAGCTCTCTAGCATGTACCAGGAATTATTGCCTCTTTTAATCAGAGGAAATTTTTAAAAAGAGAACCAGTTTGCTTCTCGATGGGCTCTGCAATGGTTTGCCATAGGTACTTGTAGTCTGGAAGAGACTTTTCCAATCTGAGCAGCCTTTCTACTAAAAGAAATTTATCTCTCAAGGGGTTATAAACCGACTGTGTTCCAAATGAAATAATAGGGAAAGGATCTTCCATTTTCCCCTCCAATTCAGCAGGACACGTTTAGTCTTGTTGAAAGTCAATTATTTTTATAGATGCAACAAATTCTTGGGCCAGGGCCACACCCTCTATAACTCTATGTGAATCTAGAGATCAGGACCTGCTGGATTGCAAGCTAAGAGATGATTTAGTAAACAAGAAAAACCATCAAATAACCTCTGTTTCCCCATCCTCCTGCTGGTCCTTTCTGATAGCGCAGCACGACTCTCATTTCACCCACCCACACCCCTCCGGGTCTCATAAAGCTAGACATTTCATTCTCCCACTGCCCTTGTCACTTCCTACAATTGCCTGGCCCCTGAGGCAGCAGTGGAAGAAGATCTAGCATTGCAATAAGAATTTTAGGAGGAAGCAAAGCTAAGACACAGGCTGGGCCTACCATTTGCTGGACATACAAGAGCTTGCTCATAATTACTAAGCCCCAAACCCACGGTAAGAAAGACAAGCCAGGGCTATCTTTCCACTCACATAAACACAAAGCAAATATTAAGCATTATTTTTTTAGTTATCTGTCCAGCTTTAAATAATGCCCAGATAGTTAAATAATAAGGCACATATTTTTTCCTCATTGGATTGTCTGTATATAGACTAGGTAACCAAACAAAAAAAGGCTCATTTTTGTTTTAATTGTACTGCAGCTCTCAAGCCTCCCAAAAAGACACACATGCCATTTAAGAATTTAAGAACAGCTGGATCATTGTAAAAGCTGTATCCGACTCGCCAAGGACCATAGAAAATCACTGAAAACTGTTGGCCCTCTCAGCCCTGGGACCTTCACCCCATATTGCCTTGTTTGTAGACAATCCCAAGGGCTAGAGCCCTGAGTTAGTCTAAGACTCTATGTCAGCCCTATCTCCAGTGGCCCTACATCAGACCTTACACCTGGCCAAGCCAGCTGGCTCCATGGGAGCATCTGATGAGCAAAAGGGATTGATCCCACTCAAACTCAGAGGACTTGGGTAGAACTGACCCTTACTGGAAATGTGGAGTTAGCACTTGGTTCATTCTGTCAGTATCCATATGAAGAAGACAGAAAACTGGCAAGGATGGGTGCAGTGGCTCACGCCTGTAATCCCACAACTGTGGGAGGCCGAGGCGGGTGGATCACTTGAGATCGGGAGTTCAAGACCAGCCTGGCCAACATGGTGAAACCCCGTCTCTACTAAAAACACAAAGATTAACAGGGCGTGGTGGCGCACACCTGTAATCTCAGCTACTCAGGAGGCTGAGGCACAAGGGTCACTTGAACCCAGGAGGCGGATATTGCAGTAAGCTAAGATTGTGCCACTGGACTGCACTTCAGCCTGGGCAACAGAGCCAGACTCCATCTCCAAAAAAAAAAAAAAAGAAAGAAAGAAAGAAAGAAAGAAAGAAAGAAAGAAAGAAAACTGGCAAGGAGACGTGAAAAACACTGCCCCTTGTTCAGACTCTAGTCCCACCACCAGCTCTTTCAGACATGCCTATGTCTCAGGACACAGTAACTGGCTGTGTCAGCAGGGGACATGTCAGGCACCACAGGAGTCACCAAGCCTGCCCCTTACTTTGACACCTGTCTGAAAGGAGAGACCCATGTGCGGCTTTATTTCACATAATAAAGGAATATTTCATTCCAGCTTGCTTCAGGTTTAAGAGTGGAATGTGTACATTGCCAGGATGACTTTATAACATTGAGCTACTCAATATGCTTTTTAAAATCATGTTTATGTCATTCACTCCCTATGCCTTAGTAGCACACCTTACTCAGAGTGGATACTCAGAAACGATTAGATCTGAGTTAAGCATTAACATCCCTTCTCCTATGAGGCTTTGAATATCCTCATTTTCCAGCAGCAAAGGCCCAAGCAAGGGAGTAGCAGTGAAAATTGGTTTCCTTACACAAAGAAAAGACCCTAAAAGTCACTTTCCAATCACCATTAGTAGATGTAATTACAACTCAGATTGAAAAGCTGCAGCAGAATGGGTCTAGTGCTCACTCCTTCAGTGAGTACCTATGTAACTTGAGAATGTCATTTCATTTATCTGGACTTTGGTACCCTGATCTTAAATGGGGACAATGGCCAGATGAGTTCTCAGGTTTCTTCCCAAACTAGTCCACTTCCCTTGCTACCATCACCCCTTGTGGTTTTGTGGCTGGATTTACACTGGAGCCCAATTTGATTCAGCCCTAGGGTCACCCCAAGAGGCCAGTGCTATCCATATTGATAACTGGGTTTGCAAGGAGAAAGAAAAGCGATATTTTGAACAGCCCTAGGATAAATGAGGGTCCATATTAAGCAAGTACTACTCTTCATAAATTAGTACTGATAAATAGCCATAATCCTTAAGGAAAAAGAGAATTTTAAACAAAACCAAACCAAAACACACAAGTTTCTTTCTCTTTAAAGGAAAATTGCCAAGGATGCAGAAGGAAATGAAGATGATCAAAGACGAGGATGTGCATTTCGACTTGGCTGTGAAGAAGACCCCCTCCTTTCCCCACTGCCTGCAGCCAGTGGCTTCTCGGGGAAAGGCTCCCCAAAGACACCCCTTCCCGGAAGCTCTCCGAGGGCCATTTTCCCAGTTTCGGTATGAACCTCCCCCAGGAGACCTAGATGGGTTCCCCGGGGTCTTCGAAGGAGCAGGGTCTAGGAAACGGAAGAGCATGCCCACAAAGATGCCCTATAACCACCCTGCAGAAGAAGTCACCCTCGCCCTCCACTCAGAGGAGAACAAAAACCACGGCCTTCCCAACCTCCCTTTGCTGTTCCCGCAGCCCCCGCGCCCCAAGTATGACTCTCAGATGATCGACCTGTGCAACGTGGGCTTCCAATTCTACCGCAGCCTGGAACACTTTGGGGGCAAGCCCGTCAAGCAGGAACCCATTAAGCCCAGCGCCGTGTGGCCCCAGCCAACGCCCACTCCATTCCTGCCCACGCCCTACCCCTACTACCCCAAAGTCCACCCGGGCCTCATGTTCCCCTTCTTCGTGCCCTCGTCCTCGCCCTTCCCCTTCAGCCGGCACACCTTCCTGCCCAAGCAGCCCCCGGAACCTCTGCTGCCCCGGAAAGCCGAGCCCCAGGAGAGCGAGGAGACCAAGCAGAAGGTGGAGAGGGTGGACGTGAACGTGCAGATCGATGACAGCTACTACGTGGACGTGGGCGGCTCGCAGAAGCGCTGGCAGTGCCCCACCTGCGAGAAGTCCTACACCTCCAAGTACAACCTGGTCACCCACATCCTGGGCCACAGTGGGATCAAGCCGCACGCGTGCACGCACTGCGGGAAGCTCTTCAAGCAGCTCAGCCACCTGCATACCCACATGCTGACCCACCAGGGCACGCGGCCCCACAAGTGCCAGGTGTGCCACAAGGCCTTCACCCAGACCAGCCACCTGAAGCGCCACATGATGCAGCACAGCGAGGTGAAGCCGCACAACTGCCGCGTGTGCGGCCGCGGCTTTGCCTACCCCAGCGAGCTCAAGGCCCACGAAGCCAAGCACGCCAGTGGGCGCGAGAACATCTGTGTGGAGTGCGGCCTCGACTTCCCCACCTTGGCCCAGCTGAAGAGACACCTCACCACGCACCGGGGCCCCATCCAGTACAACTGCTCCGAGTGCGACAAGACCTTCCAGTACCCGAGCCAGCTGCAGAACCACATGATGAAGCACAAGGACATCCGGCCCTACATCTGCTCAGAGTGTGGCATGGAGTTTGTGCAGCCGCACCACCTCAAGCAGCACTCCCTCACCCACAAGGTACTGCGGGGCCTCTGGTGGGGCGGACGGGGCCTTGGGAAGAGGAGCGGGGCCCTGAGCAGAGCACTGGGGAGCAGGACGCCTGTGCCGCTCTGCACCTTACCCCGAGGAGGTGGGCAACCCCGGACAAGCGGTCCCTTGGCCGAGCCCTGAGGTCCTTCCTCACGTTTAAATAAGAGAGAACGATTCTCGACCAAGCCCTTTGCCCCAGCAGCCTTCTAGACTCTAAGGTAGGCCTAGAAATAAATAATGCAGACATTTGCAGAGGAGATGAGGAAGGATGCTCCCTAGCCTCCAAGAATCTTGCAGATTCGGTTTCTAGAAACTTCATCCAAGGCACTAGCATGAGTAAGTCATCAGACCCTAGATCAGCTCTGTGCCTGGGATGTGCCAGGGAGCACCTTCTGGATAATTCTCTTCGTCTTGTACTGTTGAAGCAGTGGAAAACTTTTTGGATTGTTTTCTCCCTCAACTGTGAGACCTGCTTCATATGCAAGTTCTCCAAGGGAAGCAGAGCTTGGCTGAGGCCGGCAGGGCCTATACCTCCCTGCGTTGGACCCGTGCCTAGCTGGGTGAAGTGCCCTGTGGTTTACATTGTAGGAGGCATGAGAAAGCATCCTTCTCTGTTTGGTTTTGTTTGATCTTCTCTGTGCTCAGGTCTTCAAGGGGAAATACAGGCCCAAGAGTCTGAGTTCAGCCCAGTTTGCAACCATAGCCCTGGAGTCATTCAGGCTGAACTAAAACAAGGCCCTAGTGGTGTTCCTGAAATCTTACCCCAGCTAAAGTATGGAACCTGCTCTGAGCCTCCGAGAGGGAGTTTTGCCCCCACTGACTCCCACTCTCACACCCTTAACCTCAAGTGGTTTTCTTGGCAGGAAAGACTTCTAGCAAGCCAGAGTTTCTAAAGCATTCTTTAATTCTGAAAGGTCAGGAGAGGACTTTGCCCAGCCAAGATAATGTTTCTGCTGTGCTATAATACGTTTCACTTCTTAGGTTAGGACAAAACACAGGGTATTTTCTGGCTCTGCCACAGAGATGAAATGTGTGGCTGCCTTGTGGGCTCTGCACAAACAGCTCCTGCCCTACAAAAGGTACCTGTAGATACTATCCAGAGGGGAGTCGCCTGCCAAGTGCAGGAACCATCAACAAAGGACCCAGACTGGGATTCAGCCGTAAAGGGGACCATTCGCTAACTTCAGGGGCTCCTTTATATGTGGGAAAGGAATCAAAAGTGCATTTTAGAGCATATGAAGATCCTGTAAGATGGTAGAAAATGAAGTCAAAATGGGAGAAACAGCCTGGTGTCTGAAATAAGTTTCATTTGAATTTTAATTAAAACAAAATACACTTTAATGAGAGGTGTCAGCAAACAGTGAGAGGTAGTATTTGTTGAACACTTGCTATATGACAGGTGTTTCACTCTTCATTTAATCCTCATTTACTTCTCAACAACTCTAAGAGCTACTCCCGATCTGCAGTTGAAGACACTGAGGCATGGGAGGTCACTCAGGAATCTCTGACACAGGCACCTGTGCCTTGGCCACTCTACAGTGAACACTTCCTCTTTTCCACCTGCTTCCCTGTTCGCACCCCTGACCACCTGACAGGCTCCGACTCTGTGATTCCACTGATCCTATCAGAGAGACAACAGCTTCCTTTGTTGCCTTAAAGTTGTGTCCAGGCTCCTGCTCATTTGCATTCTAGGCCAGCCCACAGGTGAATCTTACTTTGGACACAGAATTCTCTTTAAAGAATTCTGAAAACAGTGATAAGCAGAAACGTCTCCTTGGTTTCAGGACAAATGGATCAGATCCAAGCCCAGAGAAAATCTTGAGAGAAGAAAGATGCTGGCCGGGCGCGGTGGCTCACGCCTGTAATCCCAGCACTTTGGGAGGCCGAGACGGGCGGATCACAAGGTCAGGAGATCGAGACCATCCTGGCTAACACGGTGAAACCCCGTCTCTACTAAAAATACAAAAAATTAGCCGGGCATGGTGGCGGGTACCTGTAGTTCCAGCTACTCGGAAGGCTGAGGCAGGAGAATGGCGTGAACCCAGGAGGCGGAGCTTGCAGTGAGCCGAGACCACGCCACTGCACTCCAGCCTGGGCAACAGAGTGAGATTCCGTCTCAAAAAAAAAAAAAAAAAAAAAAGAAAGATGCTAAAATAAAATTTAAAATCCATTAAGAAAATGTTTTTCATTAATTTTATAATCTTAAACTCAGTGTTTGAATATGCACTACATTTTAAAGATTCATCTCCATAGGCAGAATCAAAATTTAATTTCTAAAGGAGGTTGATTTCTAGGTCTCCTTATTAACATAAATGCATACTCATGTACCATCATCTGGACTAGACAGTGCTTGAGTTAGAAAGAACCCCAGGGTTCTCATGACCCACCACTTCATCTTGTGATGAGAAGCCTTCACTAAAAAAGGCCACACGACTCATCTAAGGTTTTACAGCCAGTAAACAGCTGGGCAGAGACCTGAATCCACCATTTAGTACCATGGGCCCACCAGAACTGCAGAGTGGTTCTTTCTTACCATGCCTCAAAGTAAAGAAATGGAAACATAGACAGAGAGAGTCAGAGATGAGCTTGGAATCCCTCCTTCCCTCCTTCAGCCACTATGAATACCAGGCAATATGGATTTCATCAGGTACAGTTGTTAACTAAGTAACTTGTTCTAATCCTATGATAACCTTCAGTTTAGTGCCCTGGTTCTCTAAATTTTTCTTCCCAAAAGTCATTCAGGGTCAAGACCTCTTGCAAAGGCCTTTGTGGGGAAGCAATGGATAGTCAGGATTAGTGAATGCCCGGCTCAAGCTGTGAGTCCCTGGAAATGCTCTCAATTAAGGGCCTTGGTTCAAACACACCTTCATGCACAGCAAGGAAACAAGAAAGCCTCCTGTCCTGTTCCTTAATTCAGAAAGCTACCTCTTGCCAAATTTCTTTATAAGAAGGAGCTGGCTTAGGGAAGGCTCCATAACCATGTCATTGTGGAGGTCAGTGTGGCCTGTGGGAACCCAGGGGACCAACTTGAGAGGGTGATTATCAAGTTGTAATTTAAGTTGTAATTTACTGCAGTGTGGATATAAGTTGTTCTGGGATTTTCAAGTCCATTAATGAGAACCCAAGAGAACATTGGTTTCCATAAGGGAAATGATAATATCATTTTGGAAGATTTTTTTTTCATTATCATGAAAGCTGGATTATGGACTCATATTGCATATCAGCCCATAGTGCTCTTACTAAAAGCCTGTTAATCCTCAAGAACTATCACTGGAGACTTAACCCCAGCAGCAGCTGGAACAACAAAAGCAAGAGCTTTCTTTTCCTCTAATAGTCTGGCTAGTTTATGGTTTTCAGAAGGAAAAAAAAGGTTATATAATCAACACTTTTCAAGAAAATAGTAATTTAACAAGGCTGAAGCTACACCATTTGAAACTCAACATCTATCACCAAGCTCTTTGTGGATTTATGTGGCAGAGAGGAAAATGAAGCCTATGATCCTGATGAAAGCATGTTACCTGTCAATCACCACTTTTCTGAATCTTGCCTCCCTGCAGGGTGTGAAGGAGCATAAGTGTGGGATTTGTGGGCGGGAGTTCACCCTGCTGGCCAACATGAAGCGACACGTGCTGATCCACACCAACATCCGCGCCTACCAGTGTCACCTCTGCTACAAGAGCTTCGTGCAGAAGCAGACCCTCAAGGCACACATGATCGTCCACTCTGACGTGAAGCCTTTCAAATGCAAGGTGGGCAGTGGGACTAGAGAGGAACCAGAGGGTTGTGCAAATGCCTGATGGGAAAGGGTCCCCAGGGAGCCTTCTACTCTGTTTCATCAGTGGGGCTACGGGGGCTCAGAGTAGGTCCGTGGCCAACCCCAGGTCCCATCTGCCACTCTATCCCTCTCTGCACGCCCCACTTACATCATGCCAGGCTGGAGGTCCCTAAGGAGCCTGCCCTATTTGTCTCACTGTGGCATCCATGCCCAGGGGTAGAGCCAGGCACTAGGGAAAGGTCTGAGGGTGGAAGGCCCTTTTGGAGAAGGAGGCTGTTAAAGGATGCAAGTAATGTGGAGAGCCTTTGTTCTAGAGAGGAGAAGGCAAGTTTAGCCTTCTTCTCCTTACAAGGCAATGAGCAGGACATAGAAAAGAGTCAGAGAAGCTTCTAGCACAGCTTCCCCCCCACCCACCGCCACCTCCTCTCCTCTCCTTGCCTCTTGACACTTGGGCTGAGCCATATGTTTAGTTTGAGGGCAGGCCTCCTAGAGACGGTGAGAGGGATTCCAAAGCTAGCCCCTCAGAGGCCCTCAGAAATGCTTGCTGGGGCTGTGGAATAACTGCGAGCACAGTCACTTCAAGTGCCTTTCACCTATTGCTAAGTGCCATGTAGCACAGGGATGGAGCATCTTTGTTAAAATATCTGTTAGACTAATTTGGTTGGGTTTGTATTTCATCAGCCGAGAAAACGTGTGAGCTGGAGATTTGTAAAACCCAAGGCGCTGACGGGCATTACTCAGAAATGCTCCGGCTCCCCGAGGCTGTCCCCACCCCACAAGAGTGTTTCCTCTCTCTACTTCTAAAATGAGGAGAGAGCATTGGCCATGACTGGGTTTAATCCGAGTGATGTACTGGCCAAGTGTCATCCGGTCATGAAGAAGGCTGAGGGGGAAGAAGAGGGAAATTACCACATTCAGATATCGTTACAGCCCTTCTGTTTGAAATGGAGGTTTTTTCTCTCTGCTACTGGGTACCTAATCGGGTTCAAATGATACTCTGCTGATCTATATTCCTGAAGTGGGGTTCCCTGTTTCCAGGGACTGTTCCTGCTTTAATACCTCTGCAGTGTGGCCCCACTTGAAGGAATCCCCTGTGAAGCTGACTTCTTTCCTGTGTTGGCAACTCTTGGAAGGGGTGAGGGGTCAGACACCAGAGCTTCCCTAGACCTGTGTGGGCATTGTCCAGAGGTGGGAGAGGGAGGCTTCTCCCTCCAGCCCTTTTCCTGCCACCCACTTCTGTTTCCCCTCCTTTTCTTCATATTCCCAGTGGTTCGAAAGTCAATTTACATCCGTCTAAAGCAAGAATCAGCTTCATGCAGCACAGGCCACATATTTTTCAGGACTCAATGCAAAATGGAAATGCAAGGCTCCTTGTTCAAACATTACCAGGAGTTAAAGATGATGGAAGCAGAGCATTAAGCCAAACTCAGGAGCTTTCTGACTATGGGACCTTGTGTTGTATGCCCATGAAGTGAGGCCTTGGCTGCATGCAGCGATGGACTCCACGGCCTCCTCTTCTCTCTCTCTTTAGGGACTTCTTTCATTTCCTTCCCACTTCACTGAGCCCCCAGAGCACTTCACATTTCACAGAGCTGTTTCTTCTTGCAAAGGGTTTACTGTCTCCTACAATGGAGGTTCAAGCAGGTCTCTTTGCCATTCTTCATTCCTTGTGTTGAGTTTACTCTTGGGCTTCAAGCATTAACTGAATTTTTAATCTTATCAACTGATAGTGGTGGAGTCAAGTTGCTAAAATATGAAGAGAGCCATTAACATAGTTTATAATCCCCTGAAAATTCACATCTGTCAAGTTCAGCCATCTCCTACCTCCACCTCATCAATTCTGGTCCAGTAGCAGTGGTAAAACCAGGCAGAAAACGTTCCTGAAATATAGGGTTAGGTCAGGGGGCAAAGCCAGTGTAGGTTGTGTGTGGTTTGAGGGTACAAAGGCATTTCTGCTTCTCTACCCTCAGGGGCTTGGAGGACTTCTTGGACCAGGTAGTATCTGAGGATCTAGAGGGTTCTCTCTAGTATTAGTGCACAAGAAACTGCAAGGTGCTATGGAACCTGGGCCTTTGATGCAATGAGCAATCCCAGCTTGATGTTCAGGGCCTCCTTTCATGAACGATGGCTCCTTCCTGCTCCACTCCAATGATGGTGCATGTACATGGTCCAAAAGATGTTGGATGCTCAGCTTTACAGTTCAGAAACTATTTTACCCATTTCTTGAGGTTAGATGAGGCTCCATGTCTGGTCCACACCATCACAACCCATAAGAGAGTGGTTTATAAAGTAGAATGCCAGCTTTGAAACAATGCACAGCTTATATTTTACAATGGGAGAGATGGGCCTGGCACAGGAATTGGACTGGTCATTTGCAAAGGTTGCTTCTTCCTGTTGGTAAGTCCTCTCAGGAGACCTCACTAGAGGTCAGGAGGCTCCCTAGAGAGTGTCATCTATCATCAGACAAAAAGAATTGGATGTGAAAGGGCGTTCTTGTGAAGCAATGGAGAAGGTGGGCCTTCTCCATTCTTAGCCATTTGTGAAACAAGAATGAGTGTCAGCCACCTTGACTCACAGCCCTCTGTCTCTGAGACAGTGCTCAAAGCATACAGTCAGGGTCTTCCTCTCCCTGTCCCCATCTCCCATCAGTGTCACCCTGCTGGGTGCCCTCTTTGTACCATTGCCCTTCTTCATTTCAACAGACTTGCAGAGCATGTCTGGGTTTACAGATTATGTCACAAGGCTCTTTGCATTTGTAAACTAGCTCCAGGTCACATGGTGGCGTGAGCCATCTCAAGATGCTGTCCTGTGGTTCTTGCTTCCCAACTATGCTGTGCTAGATTCTTGGAAATTTGGCCTTGGTTGAAGGTTGTTGGGGATTTGGGAGTTGACAGAGGGATGGAGGGCCATTTGCCCATTGCAATGCAGTTCACAGCCATCTGAGAGACATGGCTGGCTGGCTGCTCCGTGGTGTTGGAGTACAAGCCAGGCAACTGAACTTGTGTTTTGTTGCCATAACAGGGAAGAGCCATCCACTTCATGTCTTGTGATTGACGTGGCTGGGCAGAAGAGGCAGTCTTCGTTCTCTCTCCTTTACCCAAAAACTCACAACAAGGAAGAGGCTTTTAGTAACAGAGTCTAATTTTGGGGGATTCTCACCATTAAAATTCCTTCTTAACATGCATCCTTCCTCCTGTCTCAATATGAACTGATCTTCTCCAGCCCAGTGCTCAGTGGAAACAGCTGTCCCTAGCACGCAGAAATGTTCACTCACTGTGGGATTAGGCATTAACAATAGGATGGAAAATTAGAGGAGAGGAAAGGTTTCCATTCCATGTTTCTTTTCTTTTTTTCCTTATAAAAAAGTTACTGCCCTTCTCGGCTCTTTTGCTGTTGGCTGGACTTTTGGACTCGTGCTTCTTGGAGCCAGCTGGAGTTTTTCCAGAGATCTGCGCCTGTAGACTTAAGCCACTTTTCAGAAATATGCTTCCCAGATTCTGGGTAAGCACACAGGGGTTGATTTGGAGCCTATCCTTGTAGTGGCCAAACTCCATAACAGCAAAGAACCAGCTGCCGTCTTCGGGAAACCTGTCCAGGAAAAACAGCCATCCAGAATTTCCGGGACAAATTCTCTTTTGAGATGGGTGAAGCCGGCAGCTGCCTAAGTTATGAATCACCAGGTCATCTGAAACCTTGTCTGTAGCAGAAGGCTGAAGGCCAGAGGGCAGAGCTGTCAGAATAGGGATGAGATCTCCCTGCAGAGGGGTTCCACCACTGTTGTCAAACTGGCTCCATTTTCCCCTCACTTTCTTTGACGCTCCAGGAAGGAAGAAACCAGATGGGGGGCTTTGAGGGGCCCAGTGTTTGGGGTCAGAGTTTTCAGGCTGGCATGGAGGGGGTTAAGGCAGTGACCAGATAGCAGCCTTTTGGCAGCAAAGCCCTCCTCAGCAGAAGGAAGGATATAGCCGTATGAACTGCCTGCTTAACAATGCCTCACATGTCCCCAGGGGACCGCCTGCAAATAGATTTCATCTTGCTTTCTCTTGTACTTTTCAAAGCTTCCTGTTTTCTCACGGTCCTTTTGGACAGTTTACAGTCTCTCTCTCCCTCCCTCCCTCTCTCTCCCTTTGAGGAAAGGAACACCCTTCTTATTAAAAGAGAGAGAGGGAGAAGAATGTGCGGGAAGGGCAGTTTCACGGAGGCCATTCTCCTCAGCTGCAGGCCACAGCTCTCTGACCTCTTCTCTCTGAATAGGAAAACACAGGCTTCCTGGTGCATCTCATTTTTAAAGCTCACACCAGGCTGGCTGGGGCGAGGCGGTGTGCTGCTTCTGGCCCCAGCCCAGTGGCTGCCCACTGCTATCACCCTGTCTCTGGCCACAGCCGACTTCTCCATGGCTGTCAGCATGGCCACTGGGGTTCATGGCAAGTGCCTGAGGTGCCTCCAGGCTCTGGACCAGGGAGGAGAAGGGTGCCAGGAGGCCGGGACGAGGAGGCCCGGAGCACACAGGCATCCGTCAGCTGTTCAAAGGGCAGACTAAGGATGGGGGAGCCAAATAACTCGGCCCTCTCCCAGCCCTGAACCTTGGATGAAGCCTCTTTTTCCATCCTCATTTCCTAGACCTGGGGCAGGCACAACCGCTTGCATTTCTACTACACTCCAAGTAGCCTGGTGGGTATATTTACTAAGCAGATTCCTCATTTGGCTCTTCCTTTAATATTCCCCTCATCTTCAAAGAGCTTTCCATTTCTGGAATGTAAAAGAATCTACTATATACACCATAATGATAGTAAAAAGAGCTAATATTTATTGAGCTCTTACTATTTGCCAAGTCCTTCTTGTGAATTATCTCACTTGATCCTCACAACAACCTTCATAGGAAACAATGACTATTATCAACATTATACAGAAGAGAAAATGGAGCAAGCTCTCTGTCCTTCTGTGTCTACACCTCCTCTCACTACTCTGACATCTCAAAGCCTAATAACCCATGCAACCCACGTTTAAAGGGCACTTTAAAATATTTTTTTCCATTTTTTATTAAATTTTGAAGTCTACCTCCATCTTAAAAAGCGGGTGGATGGAGAAGCTGAGATTTCATGTCAAGACACACTGACGGTGTTCCTTGGAGTGACCGAGAGGTCAAGCGGGGGCACGCTGGTGGAGATGCGCACCTGCGCAATGAGATCAGAGTCCTCACCACTCCAGCGGCTTCCTGAACCAACATCCACTCCTATTTTCATCTCCACAGACCTTGGCAGAGATGATTCAGCAGGTCCTGCTTGGGCACACTCTTAGCTTCACATCACATGATTTAAGGAGACCTTGACTTCAATGGCTGCTTTTCTCTGGAGAAGAACCTAGAGATTTGGTGGTCCTTCCTATCCATTCCTCCTCCCTCTCGTCTAACTCCCATCCCCTAGTGTGACAATTCTGCTTGGGGCTCACATCTCAGGCTCCACCCAAGAGCACTGTGATTCACTGGCCCCATCCTCTTTCTCTGGCCTCTCTTTACTAACAGTGTGTGAGAGGTTTCTCTCTTGAGTTTCACAGACATAAAATATCTCCATACACTTGGGTGTTTTCAGATGAGGACAATCTTCTGTGAAAGATGAGAAGGCCAAGTGTTCTGGATAAGAACCTAAAGGCTTGGTGGAAGGTCAGAGGCTGAGAGGAAGAAGCTAAGTACCTACCGCCCAGGTGTGAATGGAGCCCGAGTATCTCAGGTCCTGTGTTAATTGGCTCTATCCTTCTGCCACTGAGGAGTTTAGTTTGAAAACTAATAGGTTTTGTGGGAAAAGGATGAGAGCTGGTGATGGCTGCTTTTTAGAATTTTGCATGAAGTAATGATATTTCTCTGACTTGTTTATTTCCCCAACCAAAGACTTAGGCATTCAGAAGTGTACCATATGTGTAGTCCTGTGCTTGATACTGAGTTGGCTGCAAAGAAAAGGAAGTCAGCTCATTGGAGACTCCCTGGGATGCTGTTTAGAGCCCAGACACCATTTTACCAGGCGCTCACCCCTGTGCATGGAGTTGGGGAAGGGAAATAGATGGGACCTTGGGGCAGGTGAATTGCAAGGTCTACAGTACCCCAAGGTCCCAGAAGGTGTGGCAGCAACAAGAATTTGATCATTGTCACAATAGTAGTTACCTTACTTGTGGTGTAAGGTTGACTGAAGTGTCTGAAAATATCTTATGAAGAGACTTTATCTTTGTGTACAACAAACTGCACTCTACACATTTTTCACAGTTAGGCTAAAATTCCATCCCCTTTCCAAAACCTTCTCAGACCAGTTCAGTTTCTAAGGCTTCAGCAACCACAGATAATAACTGAAAGAATTTCTCTCATCATGCGAGCCAAGTGCAGAAGGTGCTTGTCACTTCTTTTCAATGACCTCTTTCTGGCCTATAGGACCACCAGACCCCGTTCATGCCTGGACTAGTGCAGTAGCCTAATTGATCTTCTGGCCTTCAGCTTCTCTCCCGCTACATGCCTTGTCCTTAACCACTCATGGCTTTTCCTTTGATCAATTCTTCCGTGGCTATGTTTCCCACCCCTTTCCTCACTCAGCAGATGCTTACTGAGGAACTATGATGTGTCACGCCAATACTAGGCAGATAATAAATAAAAAAGCAGGCAAAGCTTTAATGCATGTTGCAGTCTCCTGAGTGAGAACATATCTGAACCAAATACTGGTTATACTCAGCAATTGTAACAGCAGCTTCACTCCAAATAACCAGGAACCATCCCACAATCCAAATGAGGTAAGCTTTTTCTAAAAATGACCCGTGACTGGAAATCCCTAATGTAGAATCTCTAGGTTCAAAGCTTCTTTTTGGCCTGGCATGGTGGCTTACCCCTGTAATCCCAGCACTTTGGGAGGCTGAGGCGGATGGATCACTTGAGGTCAGGAGTTTGGGACCGGCCTGGCCAACATGGCCAGAGATCCCCATCTCTACTAAAAATACAAAAATTAGCCAGGCGCCTGTAGTCCCAGCTACTTGGCAGGCTGAGGCACGAGAATCACTTGAACCTGGGAAGTGGAGGCTGCAGTGAGCCAAGGTGGCACCACTGCACTCCAGCCTTGACAACAGAGCGAGACTCCATCTCAAAAAAAAAAAAAAACCTTTCAGCCATGATGGTGGAGAAGTGGGCAAATTAAGCTAATAAATACAACTCTAATAGAACTTTTATACATGTGCATGCTGAGCCACAGATTGATACATCTTAATAAATTATCTCAATTGAGAATAAAAGAGTCATCTATCTTACATATTGCTTTTCTTGAGAAAGTTGGAATTAGACCAATTCTGTCATCCTTTTCCCCTCTTAGGTCACCATTTTCAAATGAATGTGGTGTGCAGGTGCTCTGTCTGGATGCTGAGCTTGGAACCCCACCCTGTAGGCCAAATTCATTCATGCTAGTAAGAGAGAGCAAAAGTGAGGAAAGTACTTACAATTCTCAAACATGAATCATTCAAGAATACAGAACCAGCCATTTATTATCCATACATGGACCCAGCATTCTTCTACGCTAAACTCCCCAAATCATCATTTGAGAGGTCTATCTACTCTTTCAAGACGAGCTCAACACTCATCTCCCATAGCCAACTAATGAAATTATTGCCTTCATTAATAAAAATTAGTCCAGAATCCCCAGCATTGGCCCTAAAAATATATCTCAGTGAGAAAGGAAAACTGGTGTAAGCCTCAGAGGATGCCTCACCCTGAGTGTCTCTGTGGCCTCTCTCACTACATAGTGCAGCCCCAGCTCCACTGGCCTCTGAGGTTGGGGAGGGAAGGAGAATTCTCCTCCCTTAACATTCTTGTCCAATCACAGACACAAAATCACTGTTTGCATTCCTCCTGCCACAGCCAAGGAAGGGCTGAAATTGTCCTGTTCTAGTAAGGCTTGGGGACAACAAAAGCACCCCCAGAGAAGTCTGCTTCTGGGTTGCGCTTTCTGCATATACAAAATCACCTGTGAGAAGAAAGTTCTGCTCCTCTTCCAAAAGCAGTTGGAGAACCAGTTGTCCTTCATGTATTTGCACTTTGATTGAAATAGAGAGAATGACGAGAAAGAAAGAAAGAGTATAAAACATGCTTACTTCCTGTACACCTGAGATACTACTCTCACTACTTCAAATTTCTACCCAGAGAAAAGACACACTCCTTCCTTAGATGATTTTTCATTTTTTTATCTTTGAAATCCATGCCAGTAATTAGAAAATAAAGCAACTTAAAAAGCATTGTCTGATACATTGTATACAATAATACAGTGTATTATAATAATACATTGTATATAAGAATACAGTGTACTCTTTTATTCTCTTCTGCCTGATACAGAAGAGTTGTGTTGGGAGACGCACAGTATGGTCTGGTGGTTGACCATGTGTTCTCTGGCATCTGATGGCCTGAGTTCATTAACCCAGCTTCAGCACCCACCACTTGTATGCCTCGGCCAAGTGACGTAAGTCCTCAGATTGTGCGTCTGTAAAATGGGGGTGGTAATAGCAACCATCTCATATGATTGGTGTGAGAATTAAATAAGATATTCCATGGTAGACTTAGAACAATGCCTTCCATATTGCAAATGCTGCATAAATATTAAACACATAATCACATTCTTATTATTAAAGGAGGAACACTTGTAGCCACTGCTTTTTAGATCAGCTCTTCTCCTTTTCAAAAGCTTTTATTCAAAAGAAGCTTTACAAGCTTTGATATTTTTACTTTGAATTTAAAGATCTCTGAAATCCAGGAACAAATCTCATGAATCTACCCCTACTTGCTCCACCTCTGAGGCTCCTTCCTGATTTCCTTATGGACATTTTCCTTGCAAGCAGATTAAAATGTCAATGTCCAAACAAAGTAGAAACGGTATCTGTGCTCCAGGGGCCTGGATGGGGCTTCACTCGGGCAGAGTAACCTGTGTTCTCATCCCCATCTTCAACAGCTTTGTGGGAAGGAATTCAACCGGATGCACAACCTGATGGGCCACATGCACCTGCACTCAGACAGCAAACCCTTCAAGTGCCTCTATTGCCCAAGCAAATTCACCCTGAAGGGGAACCTGACACGCCACATGAAAGTCAAGCATGGAGTCATGGAGCGGGGCCTTCATTCCCAAGGTAATCACTCTTCTGGGAAGCCCTGCAAGTCAGTCCAGTGGACAACAAATGGGAGCTGAATTCGTTTTATGGGGCATTACCTTGAGGGTTATTCTTGTCAAGACCACAGCAGAGTAGCAAGAGTAACCTTATAATGTTACTAGAAAAAATCTGATGCTAATTTCTGACATAGTAAGTACAAGTGAATTAGAGTAAATTGGACTATCATCATGATGCCAGTCGGTACCATTATTTGTTCCTTTGTTCCAGACACTACATCAGGTGGCTTGTCGCTAATATTCATGGCAACTCCAAGCTGGAAGAACTTCTATTATTTCTATTTTACAGCGGGGGAATGAAGGCTTCAAGAGATCAATTTGCCCAAAGTTGCTCTGCTGAAAAGTGGCAGAGTCAAGATTTGAACCTAGGCCTTTCTGACTGTGCAGCCTTTATTGTATCCTCTTCATGACTTTGCTGTGAATGGGCACGCAATTTTTCTTTCCTTTTTAGAAAACAGATGTGCAAGCCTTACTGTTAGCAGAAGTATGTTGGTAGCAGGCTAGGTCTTTCCTACTTGTTCACAATCAGACACACCCAAGGACAATTTTCCTGCTTGGTAGGTAGGGCTGATTGGCCCATATGCAGAGCAGGGGTTTACACCTCCCCCACTGAATCCTCACTGAACTAATGAAAAGTTCTCACTGCCTTTACCTTCTCAGTCCCAGAGCCCTTGGCAGTGAAGAGTTTATGTTCCAGATCTACTCAATTCAGCAGGGTTGCTCCTTAATCGTCTAATCAACCAGCCCTTCAATAAACAGGCAATAAATGCACTTGTGTCCAAAGCAGTGAACTACACGCAGCGGCAGATACTAGGGGAAGGAGACCATCTGCCCTCTAGGATGTCTGTGTTTGCAAAATCATATTAACAGCTTTTCGGTCACTAGTATGATCAAAGCACAGGGTGAGACACCTTAGGGACATTATTGCTTGGCCCTACAATGCCGTGAAAGAGACTGTGTTATTCTCATTTTATATAAGAGGAGACCAAGGCCTAGAGGTGTTAGATAAACTGCTCAAGGTCAAACAGCAAGTCTGAAGACAGAACTGGGATTCCAGCCCAATTTCTGAATCAAGCCAGTGCTCACTACCCTAGGCAGAAACATGGGGTGATTTGTTTATGTGCTGTTTCACTCACCTCCTTACAAAAGAGATGGTGGAGTGGACAAGCATATTCATAAACAGATAGACATATGCACACACAGTGTGAAACAAAATGATTGTAGCTTTCAGGTTTTTTACAGTACCCGCTGAGTTTCTAGTGACTCCTGGATAACAGGGAGCTGTGGTCACAAAAAAAGGGCTGGAGTTTGTGCAAAAGCCCTGAAAAAAATTGTAGTTAAAACAAAAACAATTTTATTTTTCCTGCAAAAGTTTTTCCCCTGAATTATTCACTGAATCTCTAGTTGCCTGAGCCACTTCCCCAAGCTAGACCTGGATTTTTCCGGAAGCGGTGAGGTTTGCTCTGTCATCAGGACGGGAGACATACAAGTCAGTGAGGAGACCACACTCCAACTGAAAGCATGACCTGGTCGCCATGATTTACCCCACACTGCTGCTCAAATCCTAAAAGACACCTAACAGCTCTGTTGTTCTGGAAAAATAACTATCAGAGGGTTGCTTTGAAAAATTTTAACAGACTTTCAACAATCTCAGTGTTTTCATCTACAAAGGGTATTAGCTTTTATTTTTCACTCTAGCTTTTGAAATGGCTCAAAAATCATTAAAAAGATCTTTCCTGTCCCCTGACAGGATTAAAGATACAGACAGCTTCATTGCCTGACAGCATCAAAAAGTGAACAAAATTGGACATCATCGCCCCTACCCTTCTTTTTTCACCCCCTCCCAGAAGCCTGGTCTGGCTGCACCCCAGGACCCCTCCCTTCCTGTTGCTCCTCCTCAGTGTCCCGCCCATCCCTGGAGGCCTGACTATTGGCTCATCAAAGGTCAAAGCCTTAAAGACAGGATCAAATGAAACTGCCATGCTGAAAAGCCCATCCCTACAGCCCTGCAAACTGAAGGCAAAAGTGAGGCCTCCTTGAATCACTGTGCCCAACAGCAGGGACACTGGAGGTCAGACACAGGGGCTGTGTGAGCTCCTCAGAGGACCTCTTCATGCCATCTCTACCCTGTCTATGAGTAGGCTGTTGGCAAAGGGGCCACAGTCAGGGGTGGTGTCTGCTGCCCCAAATAGGTTCTCTTTGTTTTGTTCAAGATGAAAATGGCTTTATTATTGATTTACTTTTGTTTATGATAAAACATATGCTCATGGTAAAAAATAAAACAATAATACATTAAAAGTGAAAAGAGAGTGTTCATTAATTTAAGATTTTGACATCCCTCCTTCCAAATATTTTTTAATAGAAATGGCTAGCTAGATAAAATCAGGTCTGCACTATAAATAAATACACACACACATACTTACATATATTTTTGTTTTTACTTAAAATACATAGCAAATATCTTTTTGTGATCATTAGTAGGTCTCTACATCCCCTATGCATAATTTGCTATATGGATATATCATTATTTATTTAACCAAACTCCTATTATTAAATACAAAGTTTTTTCATTGTTTGACTGTGATAAAAAAAAAATATGGTGATATGCATCCACACAGTGTTTTGTGCACCTGCCTGCCTATTTTTTCAGTTTAAATTCTCAGTAGCATAATTGCTAAGTCAAAGCTTATTTTTAAAGCTTTTGGTGCATGTTGCCAAATTCACCTTAAAGGGATTAAACCGATTTGGACACTGTCTGTTACAAGCCTCCCAAGACCACATCCTTACTGGGAATGATCTATTTTTAAAATACGCATCGGAATACATTAAACGGCCCCGGGCTGCTCCCCTTCCTCAAGGTCCCATTTCCACAGCATTTCCTCAGGTGCATGAATTCTTACTCTGCTCTTGCAGGTCTGGGAAGGGGGAGAATCGCCCTGGCACAGACAGCCGGTGTCCTGAGGAGTCTGGAGCAGGAGGAGCCCTTTGACCTCTCTCAGAAGCGCCGGGCCAAGGTGCCGGTGTTCCAGTCAGACGGGGAGAGTGCCCAGGGCAGCCACTGCCACGAGGAGGAAGAGGAGGATAACTGCTACGAGGTGGAGCCCTACAGCCCTGGCCTGGCCCCCCAGAGCCAGCAGCTCTGCACACCCGAGGATCTGTCCACCAAGTCGGAGCACGCCCCCGAGGTGCTGGAGGAAGCCTGCAAGGAGGAGAAGGAGGATGCATCCAAGGGAGAATGGGAGAAGAGGAGCAAGGGTGACCTTGGGGCAGAGGGCGGCCAGGAGAGAGACTGTGCCGGCAGAGATGAGTGTCTCAGTCTCAGGGCTTTTCAGAGTACCCGGCGGGGCCCCTCTTTTTCTGATTACTTATACTTCAAGCACAGAGATGAGAGTTTGAAAGAATTACTGGAGAGGAAAATGGAAAAACAAGCAGTGCTTTTAGGTATCTAAGTGGACAGTTTTAAAATTACATTTGGAAAATGAGAAGGAGGCAGTTCAAATATAGCTTTCTGCATGAACTGTCATTTTCTGGAGACTGGCGAATAGTACCAATCTCTACAAATGGCTTAGACTAAATGAGCAGGGATGTAGGTAATGGAAAGCCTTCTCAGGTCATTCACGGGGCCCTTGATACCCTTCACACATGTGCAGGGTCTTCATCAGTGGCGTTTTATGCATTGCCAGTATAATAAACTGTGAGTATTCTTCCAGATATCTAATTGTAAGCTGATGCTGAGGTGCTTTTAGAAATTCTACTTTCCTTTGATTCATATGCAATACATGGTAAATTTCTAATTGCAAAAATATGGTGCTTGAGGTGTCACCTTATTAATAACTATTTAGGTGAATTTGTGAAGGTTATAATATTTTCCATATAGATGAAAATATTAGTCGTCATATATATAAAAATAGCCTTTATTCTATAACCAAAAATGTCAGAAATGGCACAGGAGGATGAGCTATTGAAGAGAATGCTCTCCAGTAGTTGCTGCAGATATAAGGTAAAATTTCAGGAGAAGAATAATTTTGACTAAGGGAAACTGGTGACCTAGAATACTTAGATTCTCTTGTTCTGTGTCGGCTGTCTTCATCAGATTGAGCATTTGGAGCATTATTTTTCAGATGATATGATGATGTTTGGGGCCCTGGCTCCTCAGACAAACCCTCACTTCTCGAGCACGGCTCCCTCCTGGAGACCATTGCTGTCTTGCTCTGAGGCCTCATGCCCCATAAGACAGATGCAGGGGCCGGGCGCAGAGGCTCACGCCTGTAATCCCAGCACTTTGGGAGGCCGAGGCAGGCAGATCACTTGAGGTCAGGAGTTTGAGACCAACCTGGCCAACGTGGCAAAACCCCTTCTCTACTAAAAATACAAAAATTAGCCAGGCATGATGGCAGGAGCCTGTAGTTCCAGCTACTCGGGAGGCTGAAGCAGGAGAATCGTTTGAACCCAGGCAGTGGAGATTGCAGTGAGCTGAGCTGAGATCACGCTACTGCACTACAGCCTGGGTGACAGAGTGAGACTCTGCCTCAAAAAAAAAAAAAAAAAAAAAAGGACAGATGCAGGAAGACTTGTCACCAGTGACCAGGGGGCTTTCTCCTCAGAGCTAGAGCTGGGGGGGTGACCTCAGAGAATTCTCCCAGAAATCTAAGCTCTGACTTATTTGGGGTACTAGAATAGTTGACAGCAAATCATTAGTAAAGAAGACTCTGGACTGTGTTTTCAGTGCTGGCTGTACATTAGAAGCATCTGGGGTGACCTTTAAAAAAAAACCACCAAACCAAGGCCTTACCCATTAAGATTCTGATTTAATTGATCTGGAGTGGAGCCCTAGGACTGAAATTTTCCAAATTGCTCCTGGCAATTCTTATGTGCAGCCAAGATTGAGAAGATTGAGGGGACTAAAATAGAACTCACCATTTCTGTGGCTTCCAGGACACTTCCCAGAGACTTCATAAGTATTTCTGTTCCTAGCCTCAGACTCTTTAAGGTTGAGAATAGGAGACCTCACAATCATACTGCTGACTTAGGCTTTCTTACCTGTCTGTAAGAGCCTTATGAGCGGACACACACAGTCTATATATAGATACACACTTTTTACATTATACTAGAAGATGATGCCTGTGATGTTTATGGTCACTTACTATGTTTAAAAAATGCATGACTGGCCTATGGTGACTCATTATTTCTTCCCAGATGCTTGAACCATGATGCCAGTGAGTGGAAATGACTCTATTGGGTGGGATGGGCCCAGCAGGTCAGACTTACTTAGGCACTGGCACTGAGAAAAGCAATACTGACTGGGTGTCGTGTACGTGTGACTGCCCATAGCAATAACCCTCTGGTACTGTGTCTGTTTATGTAAAAACTTCTTGTTTGGTAGTTTTGACTCGTATTTGTAGAGCTAGGTACTGGTTATTATTGTGCTTCATCCTATCCCAGATTTCCCAGTACATTCCTTTAGAAGACATGTCCATCTCCAACTGCTGGGGGCTGGCCTTTTCTGTAGGCCAAGGTGCTGCCCCATTAGCCCCACCTGGTTGTCATCACTCACCCATGTGTTGTGTCCATCTCTGACCCATTTCCCCTGCCACCTTGCCTAAAGCTTCTCCTGTCAGCCTCCCCACCACCATGAAGTGCTAAGAGTACTATGTCCTGAGGTAAGGGCACCTGCAACGGAGATTGTGAAGAGAAGACTGTGGGTTTCTGTGGTTACAAGCACAACTCTGGGTCAAAAACCCATTCCAAGTCCTCAGAGGGGCAAGTCCCTTCCATTCAGTATTAATATAGCTCATCAGTGCCTCTGATGAAATTGCCCAGGATGCTGGCAGTGTGGCCTGGGAGGCTTCCAGCTCTTGGGGTCTGGTTACACATTTATTCACACTGCGGCCATGTGTTGAGGACCTACTATGTGCTGTGTTTGACCACACGTCCTGTAGAATGCCGTTTGGTTCTGAGTATGCCTGGCTGGAATGGAAACCAGGAAATTCTAGAGTAACAGGCTCTAGTCCTTTCCAACCAAAACAAACCTCATGGGAATGTTTGAGGGACCAGTTAATGTTGAGACAGAGAGAGTATGGTCTAGAATGGTGGTTTTCAGATTGTGTTTTGAGAAGCCAGAGGTCATCTTTAGGCCTCTGAAGAGTGGTAAGGGGAGGAGAAGCTCTCAACTCCCACACCCACCTCACTCCAAGCAGCTCAAGTTCCATCTGATTTATACATTAGCATTCTAAGTAAAATTTTATTTGGAGGCAGTAAAAAGGTCTAGGAGAAATAAAAACAATTTGTTATGGAGTGTATTCCAGGGCCTGTTTTTAGTTGTTGACTCTGGGCATAAGACACTTAATTAGATCTAACCTGATGGTTAATACAGCATTAACCTGAGCACCAATGCTAAAACATTGGTTTTGTATGCTGTTGAGTGACCAACATCCTGGTTTGCCTGGGATGATCGTGGTTTAGACCTGTTGTCCCAGGATAATTATTCAAGTGTCACCTTAATTCTCAAAAGTATTCCAGTTTGGGTGAGAAATTACATGGACACTTTATGCAAGAGCACAGAGTTAAGGGAAGGGTTGGCCAGCCTTGCCTAATGAGCTGATGAACCAGAAGGCAAGCCTTGAAGGAGAGTCCATGTGGGCCATCTCAGAGAACTAAGGGATGAAGCCTTCCAAGATTACCAGCATTCCAAAACCAGAATATCATATTGTGAGACTCTGAAAATAGGTCACTACCAAATGCTTTCCAGCCTTTTGACCACTGTCACTTTGAACAAATCAATGGACCAGCAAAGTGGCATATTTTTCTTTTATTCTTTTTATTCTTTCCTATGATTACTCCTCATGTTACCTTTCAATTCCTCTTTCTGTCTCTCTTTTTAAAAATTTGACTCCCCACCGGCCATGAGACTAAGGCTGACCTTTCATAAACCCACAAGAGTAACTGGTATATTTGTATATGAGTAGTTGCATGAGAAAGCTCAATGTGCATACTGTATTTATTAAGCCCTGAACGCATTTAATAAAATATTAACATGGTGTTTTGAATTATGATCTTTGTCTGCTTTGCTGGAACAAAATATAACAGAGCTAACGTTTGAAATCCTTCGCATATTTGGACAACATTACACCAAATGTTGATTTTGTACAGAACTCTGGCTTGCTATTTAAAAACTAAAACTCTAAGTATATAGCAGCCCAAGTTGTGAATATTGCTTTCTGCTTCACTGAAAAAGCAGTTTACCTGAAAAGAGCATGTAACCTATATTTTGTTAATTTAAGCAAATAAAGACATGTTGAAAAAGCTGAGTTAATTATTTGCAGATAACTGAAATTTTGCAAGGAAGCTGACATTGTCAACATCTCACTCCTTCCATTATACCCTCGGCCAGGGTGGTTCCCAGTGCTTGACTCCTCAGCCCCAGGGATACAAGTGTGTTGGATTCTCCCTCTCTCAGGCTTCAGAAAGAGAAGAATGAATTTCAATCTATCTGCAGGAAGGTGACATCTTCCTCATCCTGTTGCCCTTTCCTATTCAGAAAAAAAATTATTCTGGAAGGATGTCACAGGCAAGTGGGAGGTGAAGGCAGGATTGTCTCATTCTGCCTCACATTCTTTGTAAAATAAAGTTCAACAAAGAGGCAGTAGACGCTATAAGCAAAAGCCCAAATTCTGCTCCCAGGTGGCCTGTGTTCAAAGCCCAGCTCTCCCACTTCCAATCTTTGGGACCTCAGACCAGTTCATGAACCACTTTGCACCTCATTTCCTTATCTGTGAGATGGGACTAGGAACTCTACCTTTTTCACTGGGTTGTTGAAATGACTTAAAACATGCAAGACACTTGGAATGTGCTGGGCTCACAGTGATGCTGAGTTAAGAATTAGGCACTGCAAGGTCGGGCACAGTGGCTCACGCCTGTAATCCCAGCACTCTGGGAGGCTTAGGTAGGCAGATCACAAGGTCAAGAGATCGAGACCATCCTGGCCAACATGGTGAAACCTTGTCTCTACTAAAAATACAAAAATTAGCTGGGCGTGGTGGTGCGTGCCTGCAGTCCCAACTACTCGGGAGGCTGAGGCAGGAGAATTGCTTGAACCTGGGAGGCAGAGGTTGCAGTGAGCTGAGATCGCGCCACTGCACTCCAGCCTAGCTACAGAGCGAGATTCCGTAAAAAAAAAAAAAAAAAAAAAAAAAAAGAATTAGGTACTGCGATTGTCAACAATGTGGCCAGAAGACTGAGCACTCAGCTTCCTGTCCTCAGCAGAAACCTCACAAAGTTGTGTCAGCATGGGGGACTGTCCATTCTTGGGGAGCTTCCCTTTAAAACAGCAAAACTGCAGCACATATTGAACACTGTGATATACCAAGCACACTGTGCCAGGTGGTTTACATAGTCGCATATGTATGTATATGCCCCAAATTACCTAGTTAGCAAGTTTCTCCTTTGTCTGTAGCAGGCAAAGCATATAGCCTATAGCCTGTTGGGTTCTCTGGAAGCAGATGCTGAGACAAATTTGGATGGAAGCTACTTATTAAGGATGAACACCAGTAAAAAGAGGGAAGAGGAAAGAAAGATTGAGCAGAGGAAGAAAGCAACCTGCAGTGCAGCCCTGACAAAGCCTCAGCCAGCATGGTGGGCAGCTCTGGGGCAAATGTTGCCCATCAGAGTTGTGCCAATTTGAACCGAAATGTCCATTCCTCTACACCCCTGCCTGGCTCAGTCACCAGATGTGGGCTTCCCCAGGAAAGGTGTGACTCTCTGCAACTGAGGCAGACCCCGAAGGAGCTGGCAGGTGGAGGCTGTCTGCCAACTGCACTCTCATAGCTCAGGTGCAAGTGCTTCCTTGAAGAGAGACTAGGTGACTCATCTCTGCCTCACCCCAGTCCACTTATTCATGCATATTCATGAAGCATCTCCTGCAGGTTCCAGTGGGCTTCTCTTCTCGATTGAAAACTTAGAAGAGAAGGTGACCACAAATTTCAGCCCCCACAGCTGCAATGAATCTAGGGACCAAAACTGATACTCATTTTCTCTTTCTCCATTACCCAGTCTAGACTCCCCTCACCATCAGATACCACCTCTGGCAGTCTTGGTGGTTTTCCTAGTGATTTCATCCAGGTTCTCATCTGCAAGAGGTCTGAGCCCTTGTCACCATGCTACTATGGACTGAATATTTGTGTCCCTCCAAAATTCATATCTTGAAACCATAATCCCCAATGTGATGGTGTTTGGAGGTAGGGTCTTTGGGAGGCACTTAGGTTTGGATTTAAGTTATGTATGGGGCCCTCATGATGTGATTAGTGCCCTTAGACGAAGAGGAGGAGACTAGGCCTTCTCTCTCTCTCCCATGTGAGGATGTAGCAAGGCAGCTCTCTGCAAACCAGGAACAGAGCCCTCACCAGACATTGAATCTGCCTGCATCTTGATGTGCACTTCCCAGCCTCCAGAATTGTGAGAAATAGATGTTTGTTGTTTTAGCCACCCAGTCTATGGTGTTTCGTTACAGCAGCTCATATGCTATTTGACATATGCCTTTTGCGGAATAAGGTTGCTGTGCCTGTTCATTTAACATCACAAGTGGGCCAGGAAGTATCAAAATGAGCCTAAGTAGGTCGTTGGGTTCAATACTATACTTCCTGACCCACTGTAACAACAGCCCTACTTCCTCCTGATGATCAGGTCAATTACCTCTGCCAAGATGGTGATTGTCTTCTCCTTGTCTTCTGTACCCTGGAGGCAAGGAATAAAAGTGTCCAGGTGGCAGCTGTGGCTTATAATTTAATGATACTCTTGCTATGTTCCAAGGTGAAAGTGTACCATCTTTGAGAATGGGAGTTTCTAACCCTGCAGAGCCCAGAGTTACATGATAAGAAGTACAACACCACCACCCCCTGCAACCCGCCAATCACCCCAGAGTGTTATTGGGAGTGATGGCAAGCGGGGCCACTCCCACTTCCTCTCCTGGTCCCTGGACCTATGCAGTCTTTCTATTAGGACATAGCAGCACATAAAAGTCTTTGATTCAATTATATACCAGAGGGTGGCACCCCATCCTTCCAGAGTATTGCCTCCAAGAAGCACTGTAGGGAGCTAGCCACTTCTGGGTGGTGCATATTTGATATGATCAGTAGATCCTGTGGCCAGGGCTCATTTCTAACCTCAGTTACTATAAGCTGAAGGCCATGGCTTGATGCGATGTTATATAGGATTCTATGCCAACATAGCAAGCATTCCATAACCCCATCCCTTGCATAGTAGTGCTGGCTAAGTTCCCATGAGCAGAAAAGCAAACATATACCCAGAGTATGTGTCTATGCCTGTAATGAGGAACCACTGGCCCCTCAGGATGAAAGGAGCTCATTAGAGTCAACATCTTACCAAGTGACTGATTGGTTTTCTTGAGCAGTGGTGTCATACTGGAAACCCATCACCAGTCCTCATGGTTGGCATGTTGGATATCCAGCAGTGGTAGTAGCTAGATCAGCCTTTGTAAATGCAGTTCTTGCTGTTGGACCCGTGTGTAATGTCTGCCAATGTGGCTACTTTGTTCACATGTTCTTTGCTCCAGCACTGGGGTGGCTGAAGTCAACTGGTGAGGTCATTTTTGTCTGCCAGGTTATTTAATGTCTACTCCATGGTAGATGCTATCTAATGATGTGTATTAACATGTGATATAAAGATTTTCATACTCTGTGTTCACTCTCATATGTCTATCCACATGCTCTACCCTAGACAGAGAATAATAGTGAATGCCTACTTTAAGTAAAATGGTGAAGAATTGCCTATCTGAGGAAGTGAAATTTAATTTGAGAACTGAAGTATAGAAGAAACAGGCCAGGGAAAGAGAGAAGAGCATTCCAGATAGAGCAGACAGCAGATGCAAAGGTCCTGGGAGATATATATATATATATATATAAAGTATGGCCAGTTTAACAATTCATTATATTAAGCATTCTGGCAAATAATTTTGTTTCTTCTTCTAGGAAACTGGTATCAACCTTGTGTCAAATGAGGGGATAGATAAGGTAAAATCTATTCATCATCTTCCACCTGCACAGACTGTTGTTGTGTCATTTATCATTGCTGAAGGACAGCTTCCCTTCCAACCTGTGGCAAGTCTAGCGAAGAAAACAGTTTCACTTGGAATGGCAGGTTATCCAAGTCAGGACAATATTTAAAATCCTCAGCAGTGGTTTTGCAAGAGTGTATACATACAAGATTGAGTCAATTGCCTCTCTTCACCCCTTAAGACGGTGTGGTAGAGCACAGCAGGAGAGGGTGTGTGCGGCAAGGTGAGGCTAACATGGAAAGCCATTGAGCAAGGAGGTGAAATAATGAGATTCAGTTTTTGAAAGCTCATTCTGACTATAGTGGATAGGGTTGGAAGAAAGCCAGGATGATGCTAGAAGACCATCAAAAGGCAGTTTCCATAATCTCTGAGAGATAATACTGGCCTGGATTAAGGAGGTAGCAAATAATTTAGAAATGAATGGTTCAAAATCTGACGTGGAGGTCCAATGGACTTGTTATACTGAAGGTAAATTGTAATAAGATGCATATTTTTCTAAGTTCAAAATAAAATGCCACTTGATATAAAGTCCATCTCCTCACATAATGACTGAAGGGATCAATTAGATTTTTATGCTGTCATGAAAACCGTGCTCTTCACTTAGTTGGCAGGAGGGAAGATTTACTAAGTAATGTATGTAAAACTAAGTCCATCTGGTTTCTCTCAGTTTTGCCTATGTTACAACTGGTGAAGAAGTAAATAGTCAAGACTGAGGAAGGCAATGAGGCTTCTCAGACACAGATTCTGGGAAGAAATGACAGAATAACAATGCCAAATGAACACTGAGTTAGAAGATCAGAAAACTAATGGAAAGGCTAGAATTTCAAGACCATCATGTGAGGCTGCAGAGTCCTTTTCATCTCCATAGACCTTGAGGACATCTTTGATACAGCCAATGAAGTAATACACCCATGAACATGAACTTGCACAATCAAAGAGTTAACAGTCTTTATTGTTTTTATTCACTGAATGGAGTCCAGATACATTTCCATTTTTAAAATACAGTTCTCAAAGGATGACAGTCCAGTTACCTGGAAAATTTTATCCCATGATCATCTTATTTAGCAACGGTGTAGAATAAATGAGATATCGTCACATTTTAAGTCCCAAAGTTAATTGGCCCATGGCATCACTGATAGCACGTTAAGAAGAAACAAAAACACCAAAACATGTGGAAGGAATTTGTTCCTGCCCTTAAGGAACACACTGTTCTTAGCTGGCCTGCTGAGGCTGGCAGGAACATGGCTAATGATTTCTGAAATCTCCTTTCTCCAAATCTCCAAAGCCTTAAAGCTAAAAATCTCTGTCCTGTGAAAACCCAGGTGTGAACACAGCCTGGTTCCCTGAAGCACTGTGGCATTTCTTTTTCTTTTCTTTTTTTCTTTTCTTTTTATTTTATTTTTTTCAACATCAGAGCTGAGCCAAGAGTAACTTCCATTCCCGTTAAAAACTCACTCTGCAAGTGGAGGAAGACATGCTCATTTGATAGCTGGGGAGTGACCCTTATGGGGTCCCTGGGGACCCAGTATCAGTGGCGCTCACTGTTTCCTCTTCCCTGGATGCAACAATATATTAAGGGAGAAAACAAAAAAGAGGAGGTTGGCTCTTTTCATGATTTTCCTTTTTAATTTTTGTTGAAAATGGAACAGTGTTCTCTTGATCCTTCAAACAAATGGAGGGGAAGTGGAAGCCCAAAAGTTTCTCTTACGTTCCCCAGAGAGGGTGGCTGTGTTTGTAGTGTGATGTGGGAAAGTCCTTGTGTATCTACTGCATTGTCATGGTGTACCAATGTGATTTGCAGTAGGAAGTGTGGGATGAATAGAATTTTTATGTAAGAGAGAAAGTGATGGAGCCGCATTCTTTGAATCAAAGATCTCCATTTGCCCTTCATCTCTAAGGCATGCTTCCCCTGATGCCACCCCTTATCTTTATTAGCTGATGAGAAAAAACATAAGAGCTCTCTCTGAGCCTGACCCAAACAATGAGTCCAAGCAGAAGTCCTTGCTACTCAGAATGCACTTGGGCAACGAAAGTGAGAGAGTGAGGGTACTTGGCAGGACACACCAGAGATCACACAGGCAATGTGAAGGGGAGGCGGAGGGCTATTAAAACTTCTGGCATCATACCTGAAGAATCATTTTAAACGGACGTTTGAAATACACCATGTGACTCTTTTCACAGAATGGATCTTAATAAACAAACGGTCTTTGTAAGGAAAATGGATAGATATATTAAGAGACATCAAAAAGATTACAAGGATAGTGCTTTCAGCTTAGAAATTCATCATATTAAGCATGCTGGCAAATGGTTTTGTTTCTTCTTCTAGAATGTAGCAATAATGAAATTGGTCTCTCTTTGTGTCAAAGCTTTTGGAAATAAAGCTTTGGATGAAGCAAGATCTATTCATCATTCTGGACTTGCAGAAACAATTGCTGTGTCATTTATCATTGCTGAAGGACAGCTTCCCTTCCAAACTGTGGCAAGTCTAGCGAAGAAAACAGCTTCACTTGGAGTGGCAAGTTATTCAAGTCAGAATAATATTTCAAATCTTCAGCAGTGGTTTTACAAGACTGTATACAAATGGCATAGAGTCAATTGCCTCTTCTCCCTCCTTAAAAACCAATTGAAAATAAAAGAAATATGAAATCCCCAGTAACGGCAAAGTCCTTACAGAAAAAAAAAAAAAGCAAAAATCAAAGCAAAGTTATGCAGAGCCTCAGAAACAGATAATTACAATGTCAGCCTCCCCAGGGACATTCAATAAACATTCGTCAGGTATACTGATGCATCTCTCTGAAGCACACTGTTAACAGGGTCTAATCCCCTTAGAAGTCACTCTAAGCCCCTCTCTGAAGACACAGGTGATTTTGTGGATTTCAAATGGCTCTATTTCCAAAAGCTCCATATGCCTCCATGCTATTAATCTCCTTACCTTCCTGCAGGGATACTTTACTTTTGATCTCAGGTTTATCTACTCAAATGCTTTGCCTTACTCAGACTGTTAGCTCTCTGAGCGAAGGGCCTGGCTACTACTACACCATCTTCAGCAAGGTTTTAAATATACTTGCAATTGGATACAGCCACTATCTCTTCTTCTCCTTAGAATTCCATCAGACCAAGATTGATACATGAATTTATCAGGAGAAGCCTTCAAGAGGACTTCTACAAAATGCTGCTATTTTAAAAGATGCATTTTCCACTATGGTTAATTAAAACTCTATGAGGAAGAGAGGAGCTTCCAGAATGATAATGTAATGATGCCAGTGAAACTTCTCTCCCAGGGAGACATCTATTAAACAGGTAAAAGACAATCACTCAAAAATCTTTGGTGATTGGCCAAAGGGCTTACAACAATTTAAGGAATATTTATTCAACAAATCTACAGAAACTCAGTAGTAACAGTGAGAGGCCATGGCAATCAAGCTAGGATCTTCACCCTTCCCCCTCCCCAGCTCCAGGTGGCTTGTCCAGTGGGCTTGGCAGCCAGGTGGCAACTCCCACCTCCCCAGCCTATACAGACAGAAGATCTCTCCTGGGTGGGCATCCAGGCGACAGTTTCCCCCACCCTCAGCTGCTGCTCAGTGGGGAGGAGCTGAGCGGAGAAGCTGGTGAGGAGTATAGCCCCTCTTTCCCCGCAATTCTGTGTTGTGGTGGAGCCGTTCTAGTGGGTTCGGCAGCTAACTGGCATTCCCATCTCCCCATTTCCTGGTGTAGGAAAGCTATTCTAGGCCAACTGAGCAGCCAATGAACACCAACAGGTTCCATTTCCCCTGGCTGTGCACTGTGGCAGACCTACACTGAGGGAGGTAGCAGAGCATGGTGGTGATGGTTGTACAACATTGTGAATATAATTAACCTATTCTTAGGTTTTACAATATCATCTTTATTGTTGTAGAAATACAGGCCAGGTGCGGTGGCTCACATCTGTAATCCTAGCACTTTGGGAGGCCAAGGTGGGCGGATTGCCTGAGCTTGGGAGTTCCAGACCAGCCTGGGCAACACGGTGAAACCCCGTCTCTACTAAAAACACACACACACACACAAAAAATTAGCCAGGCATGGCTGTATTCTCCTGTAGTCCCAGCTACTCGGGAGGCTGAGGCAGGAGAATTGCTTGAACGTGGGAAGTTGCAATGAGCCAAGATCGCGCCACTGCACTCCAGCCTGGGTGACAGAGTGAGATGCTGTCTCCAAAAAAAAAAGAGAAAGAAATATATACATAACATAAAATTTATCATTTTAAGTGTATAATTCAATGGCAGTAAGTATATTCTCAATGTTGTGCAATCATCCCCACTATTACCAGAAAATTTCCATTATCCCAAGCAGAAACTCTGCACCCATTTAACAATAATTCCCACTATCTCTTTTCCCCAGCCCCTGGTAAACTCTATTCTACTTTCTGACTCTGAATTTGACTACTCAGGTACCCTGTAGAAGTGAAATTACACAATATTTGTCCCTTATCTTAGGCTTATTTTACTAGCATAATGTTTTCAAAGTTGATGCATGTTATAGCACATGTCACAATTTCCTTCATTTTTAAGGCTGAATAATATTTCATTATATATATTTATACTACATTTTGTTTATCCATTTATCCATCAATGAATGCTTGGGTTGTTTCTACGTTTTGTCTGTTGTGAATAATTCTCCTATGAACATTGGGGTACAAATATTTATTTGAGTCTCAGTTTTCAGTTCTTTCCATTTTGATTTTGAGTATATACTGTCTTGATTCATTTTCTGCTGCTATGAAAGAATACCACAGACTGAGTAATTTATAAACAGTAGAAGTTTGCTTGGCTCATGGTTCTGGAGACTGGGAAGTCCAAGATTGAGGGACTAGCATCTGGTGAGGGCTTTGTTGCTGCATCATACCATGGCAGAAGGCATCACATGGGTGAGAGAGAGAAAGGGACCCACTCCCAAGATAATGGCATTAATCCATTTATGAGGGGAGAGTTTTCAGGACCTGACCACCTCTTAAAGGTTGTACCTCTGAACAATGTGGCAGTGGGGATTAAGTTTCCAACACATGAACTTTGAGGGACACATTCAAACCATAGCATATACCTAGAAGTGGGATTGCTGGGTCATGTGGTAATATTCTATGTTTAACTGTTTGTGGTACTGCCAATCTGTTTTGCACAGAAATTGCACCATTTTAAATTCCCGCCAGCAATGCACGAGGGCTCCATTATTCCCACATCCTCATTCAACACTTGTTATTTTCCATGTTTTAATAATAGCCATCCCAATGGGTGTGAAGTGTATCTCACTGTGGTCATAATTTTTTAATTAAAGCACTTGAATTCCTTTATATATTCAGCTGTTAATGCTGGGATCCATATTTACTTTCATAATCTCCCTTCTTTTCTCACGAATATAAAAATAAAAAATAAAAGATGAACTGTACCTGCTCCTCATAAATAGAAACTGGATGCCCAGTGAATTATATGGGGTTTATTCCTATAGCTGTGCTGTTGTTCTGTACCTCTTATCCTTCAAACAACAAGGACCCTATCTGGGTTTTGAATAGAAGCTTTGTCTTAGTCCATTTTGTGTTGCTATAAAGGAATATCTGAGGCTAGGTAATTTATAAAGAAAAGAGATTTATTTGGCTCATGGTTCTGCAGGTTGTTCAAGAAGCATGGTGCCAGCATCTGCTTCTAGCGAAGGTCACAAGCTGCTTCCACTCATGGTGGAAGGTGAAGGGGAGCCAGCGTGTGCAGACATCCCATGGCAAGAGAGGAGGCAAGAGAGAAAGGAGGTGCAGACTGTTTTCAATAACCAGCTCTCTCAGGAACTAACAGAGGGAGAATTCACACCCCTCTGCCCAGGGTGGGTGGGCACTAGTCTATTCATGAGGGAGCCCCACCTCTGCCATTGCCCAAACACCTATCATTAGGCCCTACCTCCAACATTGGGAATAAATTTCAACATGAGAATTCAAGGGGATGAACACCAAACTATATCAAGTCTTTACTCTAGTTAGGGCATTTTCTTCTGTTTTACCATTCCATTTTCTGTTTCCACCCTGGATCCTATCTTCCCTTTATCCTGCATTGCAAGGTGACCTAATAGCTAACTGTGCCCTTGGTTGACCTCTATAAAACTTGCATCACAAATATTGTGGGTTAATCTTTCCTAGGACTTGCCTGTGAATAGTAGACAAGCACTGCATCTTCCCTTTGGGTGGGTGGAGGTGGTGATGTGCATGCACAGGGAAGTAGCAGAACATGTATCCAACCAGGATTCAAGTTACTGGGTCTACCCCTTTGTTGAAGTTTGCACATTTTAAACTGTAAAAACTTCAGAAAGCAAGCAAGCAAAAACCCCAGAAAACCTCTATGGGGCTTTTGTTTGTTTAGAGAGAAAGAACCAACGTGGCTAAGTACTCACATGAGGCATTTAGTGATAAAAGCCTATACTTAGCCACTGAAGATAAGCTATAGTCATCATATGCAAAGCCTTGATACTTTGTTTCAAAGTTAAAAATTTTTCTGTAGTATTTGCCAACCAAGACTTTTCCCTTTGAAATCAAAACAAGAGGACCCACAGCTTCATTTACTCATTCAATGAATGTTCATTGAGCACCTGCTACATGGCAGGCACTGTGTTGGGGAGGCTCTGGAGACCCCAGAGTAAGCATTACAGATGCAGTCACTGTCCTAAATGAACTTAACAGTTTTGTGAGGCCATTATCAGTCTGTCAATCTGACTACCCTAATAAGCAACAATACATAAGCGATATAGAAAGCTCCCAAATTATAAGCAGAATGATTAAATTCCTTTCGAGGCAATGATCTAGAATTCTACTTATGTAAATTAACTAGGTATAATATTAACAACTATTACAATTATTACTTAAATGCGTACAATAGGTTGAGGTTGTCAATCTAGACACCTCTCCCCTACCCCAAATTTTAAATGTCTTCCCTGGCAGTAGAAATTCCTTTTCCGATGCTTTCCAAGGTAACAGTGGAGAAGGACTTGAGTGCTAAGTATTGTAAGAACCATGAAACATGGTTCCTGACCACAAGCAGTTTATTTCTATTCATCTAAGCAATAAAGTATAACATTTCTCTTGTCATAAGGTACATGGTTTAAGAAGGAATTTTAAAAGTCAAGTCTTACATTTATATTCAACTTTAAAATGTCCAAATCCTTCACACTTCTAGCTTTGATCCTTAGGGAGCTCATAAAAGCCAACTGGCTTGCAGTTATTTGTCTGAAGACACAGAATGATTTATTTGAGACCTCGTCCCCTGGCCCTTCACCCCCCAGCAAGTTTATGGAGAGTCAACACTAGAACACATGTTTCTCAATAGCAGCCCTAGATCTTTCCATCCTACCATGTTCAAACTTGCATTCCAGAAAGAATCACATTTCCCCTTAAATTTCTCCTGGCCACCATGGGCCCAGGAAGCAGCAGAGTTGAAGGGTTCTAGTGAAAGAACCTGGCTTTGACGTCAAGACAGACTCTTTGTGAATCCTGGCTCTGCCACCTGTTGGCTGTGGAACCGGGGTTACATACCCTTTACTTACTCTTTTTGAGCCAGTTCCCTCCCCTACAATAATTCAGGGTGGTGGTGACGAGCACAGGCTGTGGACTAGGGAATACCTGGGCTCTAGTCCTGGTTCTGTCTTACACTAGCTGTGAAGCCCTGGGGAAATTATTCCTCCCATCTAAACTTTAGTTTCTTCATCTGAAAAATTGGGAGTCATATAGTACAAACCTCATAGAATTGTGAGATGTAAATGGGATAATGCTTGTAAATACCTAAAGAAAAATAAGCACCCAAAACATATTAGCTCTTATTACACCTACTCCAGTGACTACACAGGTATGTGTCTAGAGTAAGGCCTGACACACAGCTGACCCACAAACCATCACATCAGTTTCCCTCCTCTGTGTCCCTAGGCTGACCAAACACAAATGTGAGATCATTAATATTACTCCGGGTGTGATGGCATAACGTTAGGGAGAATTATTTTACATCTGCCTTCTCATTTTACTCTATTCCCCAGGATTCCCCATACAGCAGATTACTCTTCCTAGTGACAGACACACACGCCTCTCCCCACCACGTAACCCAATCAGCTGCAGGGAGACAGATTCTTGGCCTGGGCAGACTAGCATTTGCATTCTTTTCCTGTGAACTCCATCAAAGGGCATCTGGAGGGAAAGTACCTCTCCAGCTGCGACAGACAGTCAAGAAGAATGACAGAACAAGGTGCACTTACTGATATTCCCAATACCAGCCCCAAATGACAGCATATTCATGCCGACTTATGAGAAAGTCTTGGATTTATGTTGCTTCCAGCACATTTGGCAGGGATAACTTCTAACTTTTAAAGGAAGAACAAATCTAACAAGCAGGGCTCAAAGGCTTTTAAGGTTTTTATTACACAAGGCAAACACTTGGATTTTACTCCAGGCCTGTAGTGTGGTATAGAGAGTGTGGTGTTTTTAAAACTGCAGGTCATGACCCATTAGTAGATTGTGAAATTAAGTGGGTTGAGACCAGCATTTTTACAAAATGGAATAGACTAGAATATAAACTATCAGAAAATATTATGCATAATAAGGTTAAGTGCTTTTGGTGATGCTTTTCAAAAAGATATACATAGATGGGTAGATGGTTGGATGGATTGTATTGTCAATGTGTTTCATACTGTTAGCCATGGTCAAAATAGACTGGAAGTCACTGAAACATTAGATGTACATAAAAACACATGTGCATTTTATCAAAACAAAGAAAACCACTCTGGATTAAAGAAGTACATGAAGATAGTGGAAAAGCCACATCATTCAACCAATGCCCTCTATTCATAACGGTATAGTTTTACTTCATCACAAAAAAATTGTGTGCCTATGTGTGAGAGAAAAATGAAAAGATAGAGGGAGTCCACCCAAGAGTGTATTTCTATCCTCAGTGACCTCAGGGCAATTTCTCCCCTGGCAACTGGAGCTGTGTCGTTGAGGGAGAAAAACCAACTGATTGAATTTAGCTCTTCTGAGTCCCAACTGGTGGGGAGAATTGATTTCCAACTTCTGAAGGGTGAAGACCAAGTCTTTCATTTCTTTTTGGCTCTCACACTATGTTTTATCACATTAGGTGTTTGAGAACTTTTTATTGACCTAAGAGTCTATGCAGGACACAGTAATGGACTTGTTGGAATAGTCCTGTTTTAATGTTTTTAATAACTCACCCATAAAGTTTTCAGCTATTTTCTCTGAGTTTACATAAAGTGCTCCTTATCTGATGAGTACAGTAGGGTCTCCAGGCAGCTTACAGTTAGTAGAAGTTCCAGTACTTGAGTGAGAACTAGGAGTAGGTAGATGATGCATCAAGGATCAGGCAACTCCTGTAGATACTGAGTGAGAAGCCTGGATATCAACAATTCCAATTCTAGGGATTTGTTCTGTGTTTTTATATGTATGTGTACAAAAAGGTGATGGTACACATAGGTACGTTGAAGCATGCTTTGAAATACTAAAATAATCTAAATGTCCATCCATAGGGGATTGTCTAAATAAATTGTTGTACCTACCACCATACAGTGGAATAACCCTTTATGTACTGATATGGGACAGTTTCCAATAGGGTTAAAAATAAAATGTCTATAGTTTAAAAAAGTAATAACTGTGATTCTTTCTCTTCTGTTCCACAGGTCCAGAGGCATAAGGAATCACCCCAAAACTTAGTTGCTTAAGGAATCACCCCAAAACTTAATTGCTTAAGGAATCACCCCAAAACTTAGTTGCTTAAAACAACAATATGCATTAAAATCTCATGGGTCAGGAATTGGGGAGTGGCTTATCTGGGTTGATCCAGCATATGGTCTCTCATGAGGTTATGGTCAAGATGTCAGCTGGGTCTGTTTCCCCAGCCCCAGGCAGAAACTGGTGGGAAGTGCCCTTATTTAAGCTGACTGTGCTTATCATGCCTGAGGGATAGATAGGTAGTGAGAACATCATTGAAGCTGCAACTAAGCCATATTAGAAAAAGAGCATGTTTTCAGTTCTAATAGCCTGTAGAGGAGGAAATTCTATTACCCAGATCAGTCTCCACTCTAGCCATGGCTTCAGCCTGCTTTCTTTTATTATGTCTACCTTGGGCATGGAGAATATGTGCTCATCATTATTTCCCCATTAACCTTTTTGGACTTAGACAGTGATGAACTCCTCTCTCTTTTCTCTAATAAGGTGAAATTATCTCATTACTATTATATCTCTTTCCCTCACCATTCTTTTCATTATTTTTTCTACTTGCACGGGTAAAAATGGAAATATAGCCTGGAAATCTGAATTGTACTCCCTTCAAATAATTTTTATATATTGTATTATCGGGGTCGGGTTGTGTGTCTTGTCCTCCTCACAAACACCTTTTTCACAGTTCTCTGCATCTTTTTCAGCACAACTTAATCATCAGTGGAGTAAACGAATCTGATTGTGAGGAGGTGGGTTGAGGATTCTTGCCTCTCTATAGCCATTAGACCACATCTCCTTCAACCTTGAAGCTACCCCAAAATAAATGCAAAATCTAACTGAATCTGCTTTAATTAAGCCCCCAGTCCCTTCTCCCAACAACATTGTCATCCCTGAGACCGTCCAAATAGATGCTTAGGAGTGGCTGCTGGTCTTGGTATACTGCATGATAAGCCATACCTTTGACTTTCCAGCTTCTACTCATTAAGGGGAACAGCTCCTGATGATAAAATTCTAGAGCTCTTCATTTTTACTTTGCTTCAGGTTAAGAGAATGGAAGATGTTTCTTTTTGGGGGAATGGTTGTTCTTATTGAGTCTGCCCAGTGCTTTTAACACAGGTGTCATACCACAGAGAGTCACTTATATAAAAGAGAAAGTTCTCATCTCCCAGCCCCAATTAATGGTAAAATGGTCTTTCTTTAGTCTATCTTCTCGTGCTGTTCTTGATTTCCTGGAACATGGATCTGGCCTCCCTCATTTTGACTCTTAGATACACTCTCTTAAATGTTTCACCTTCAGCTTCCTTTATGTCTAAGTACCCCAGAAAGTGACCTTACCTAGTAAATGCCAGAGCCTGGGATCCACTCCATGGCTGCTTGCTTGGCCATTGTCAGATCTTATGACTTCATTAAAGGCAGTTGAAAGGAAAGGAAAACTGGATCATGAGCAAGTTTCACATTTCCAGATTAGTGGTCTTGAAAACTAAAAGGGCATCCTGATGACAGATTCCAGAACAATCTCCTCGTGGGAATCACCATTTATCTTAGCAGCTGTGGTTTCTCAAAAGTGACCAAAGTCCAAGTCTTTCTGGGATTGATGACACCTGTGTGTGACATTTAGGACTTCTTTTGTTCCCTGCCTCAGTCTCAAATACAGTGCCTAAAGGTCAGAAGGCTTTACAAAATAACCTTCCAGTTCAACTGTAATTCTAATTTGCTGGGCAGGGGAGAGCTCCAGGATGGCATGAGAAAACTCACTAACAGGAAAATTTATCAAGGAATCTTGCTTTTCCTATTACCATGTTACTCCCTTAATCTCATTCTTCCAACCCCTATTACCATCTCTTAGGATTTTGTCTTTGAATCAATGATTCTAAGAATTACTTTTACTCTTCCAATATCTATATGCCCACTAATTTTCCAGGTGGAAGATGTGTTTTGGGAGCTTATCCGTAGTGAGAATAAGGAGATGACTGTAGTTTTCCTGACCCAGTCAATTCAGAACTGTGTCACCTGTTTGAAGATATCTGAAAAGGAGAGCCCAGCCTAAGCCTGCTACCACTCATCTGTGTGCTCACATGGGAACAAATGATAAAGTCAGGAGAAATTTACATATGTCTCTATTCTAGATAGGAAATTTAAGAACTAGGCACCACAATAATATTTTTATCCTTCTTGTTGAAGATTCTGTCTTTAAAAGAAGGCAGTTGTGAGATGTGAGTGGTAGCTACATGGCTGGCATACCATGGCTTGGGATAAGTTCCTGGCAAAGATTGAGAGCCACTTATGAAGGCTTGAAGGAATTCATTTAAAAAGAAAAAGAAATGGAAATCCTGAAATGATGAGGAAGAAAAAAAGTCTAAGAAAAACTATAAAAATATGAAAGAAAGATGACACAGAATATTGAGTGCTAGATGGTCAGCATCTATATGGGAGAGGTTATTAATGTTATTGAGGGGCAATTAACAATTTTCAAGAAGAAATAGTGGGAAAGTTTCAGGAATAATATTTGTGATTCCCAATGGCTATACAATAAGCCCCAAATGTGATTGATTGCTAAAGTAATTTAACAGGTTAATATGAGGCAAATGCTTTTGTTGATACTCCTTTCTAAAAGATTTGGGGCCACAAGGTAATAGAATTTTGGTAGTATTGTTAAAACTGGCACAGATATTACCAATATTCCTGGGACTTCCACTACTAGGATACCTGTGGGAAGTCTCATCCTGCTGAAGGCAGAACATCTCATAAATTTCTAATATCATTTACTAATAACATCTTTTTTCAGAAGCAGATGGATCAATAAAGGAAATACGGCCAACTCTTAACTCTGAGCAAAAAGGTAGAACCCATTAATAAAGTGGAAATGAGGTGAACCTTGGGAGACAGTAGCTACAGTGGACATCGGTTGTTCTTCAGCATTCTATCATGTATTCACCCCACTACAGGTAATTGCATCTCAATTTCCTCTGGGAGCATTACCACCTCCCCATTGCCTGTAGCCTTATTGGACATGTAAATCAGAGTTCCCTAGCCTCCCCTAGCCAAGGGATAGGCATCTGACCTATGCTGGGCCAATCAGACTCACTGCTTCTCTTAAGATTTTTAATCTGAAGTATATGAAGTGTCTTCAAATTGTTCATGGAAGTGAATATTATGAAAAAACTGAGTGAATTTCAATTTTGTGTACCAAAATAAACTTGTACTAACTTGTTATAACATATCTGAATAGGGTCTAGTTTGAGGCATGTGAAGAAGGATAAGACTTCAGTTTGAAAAGAGGCCATATCAGAGCAACATGAAATCTGCTAAAAATGAAGAAAGAACAAACATCAAATTTATGATGAAGCTTGGGTGGAAGAATGGTGAAATCATTGATGCTTTACAAAAAGTTTATGGGCACAATGATGCTTTCTAAAGATTTGGGGCCACAAAATATACAAAAAGTTTATGGCCTCAAATAAATCAGCAGTTTACAAATGGATAACTCATTTTAAGAAGGGATGGGACCGTGTTGAAGATGAAGCCAGCAGTGGCAGACCATCCACATCAATTTGCAAAAAAAAAAAAAAATCATCTTGTTCTTGCCATAATTGACGAGGGCCAACAATTAAGTGCCCTAATTGAACAGGGCTGATAATAACAGCTGAAATAATGGCCAACACCACAAACATCTCAACTGGTTCAGCTTATACATGTGACTGAAGAATTAAAATTGAACAAACTTTCCATTCAATGAGTGCCAAAACTGTTGTGCCCAGATCAGCTGAAACAAGAGCAGAGCTTTCAATGGATATTTTAAACAAGTGGGATCAAGATCCTGAAGCATTTCTTTGAAGAACTGTAACAGAAAATGAAACATGGCTTTACCAGGACAATCCTGAAGACAAAGCCCAATCAGAGCAATGGCTACCAAGAGTGGCCCAGTCAAGAGCAAAGGTCATGGCAACAGTGTTTTGGGATGCTCAACTCACTTAGCTGTTGACTTTCTGGAGAGCCAAATAACAACAGTGTCTGCTTATTATGAGAGTGCTCGAGAAAGCCAAAGCTTTAGCAGAAACACACACACACAAACACACGCCTGGGAAAGCTTCACTGGAGAGTCCTTCTTTACCACAACAATGCTCCTGCTCATTCATCTCATCAAACATGGGCAATTTTGTAAAAGTTTTGATGGAAAATCTTTAGGCATCCACCTTACAGTCCTGATTTGGCTCTTTCTGACTTCTCTTTGTTTCCTAATCTTAAAAAAAATTTTTTAAAGGGCACCCATTTTTATTCTGTTAAATATATAAATTAGACTTCATTGACATGGTTACATTTCCAGGGCCCTCAGTTCTTTAAGGATGGACTAAATGGCTGGTATCATGGCTTACAAAAGCGTCTTGACCTTGATGGAGCTTATGTTGAGACATAAAGTTTATATTTTGTAATTTTTATCTTTCAATTTTGTTTTTCCATGAACTTTTGAAATCCTCTTTTATTAGCACCAGGACAGATTAATTCTTGCTGAATAAACTCCTGGAGCCACCCTGGTTCTGACTGTTGTATAGTCTGATTCTGACCATGAGCTTTAAGCTTCTTGATAATCCCTCCAACAAATTCCATTTTTGTTTACCGTAGCCATAGTCTGTTTCTGCTGCTACTAACCTAAGAACCTTATTGAATGATATCCATACACTCTCCATTGTGTCCAGAAGAAGACAGAAAGCAGAATGAGGCATCTGAGATTTCAAATATTTAAGAGAGAGATAGGTATTTTAATACAGCTAGAGCCTTTATATAAAAGGAGAAGTGGCCTAAGAGTCTATAAAAAAATCTGAAGATATTATTTTTAAAAAATGATCTTGGGGTAAAAGAAAACAGACAGGAAGGTAAGGAAGCAAATGAGTGGCTAAGGCCACTTCAGTGGAATCAGATTGTAAAAGATCACACACACAAGATCAAAAAGTAGTACCTGACTAGGAGAAAAAAGAAAGATTGGTGGAGAGGAGTCGAAATTATAGCCAGAAGGCTGAAGCCAAGAAAAAAAATTAATCAAAGCTTATGAAAAAATCTAGAGGCATCAAAATGGCTTTTGTTGGATACAACCAGAGAGAAAATGGCCGGAACTGTGTAATGAGGCTCAAGTTCTAAAGCTAATGGAAGATGGTGAGTAGAACTTCTTTACAGCTCTATTTTGCTTCTGTCTTCTCTATGAAAATGAGAAAGCTTCAAAACCTGAAGGTGTAGAACAAACGTGGTTGCACTGAAGTCCAAGATAGGGGCCAAGATAGTAAGAGAACAAGGAGCCTTCGTGAAAGACTTTGATTCTTCAGACTTGGATACATTCTAGCTCAAGACATAAGAACTAATAAAAATAATTGTAGAATCGCTGCCATTAATTTTTGGAAAATCAAAAAGAATAGAAAAAGTGTCTGAAAATTGGAGATGGACAAATGGCTTTATTTCTGAAAGCCGGTAAGGCAATACAATTAAAAAAATTATATATAATAGAGACAGGGTCGTACTACGTTGCCCAGGCTGGTCTTGAACTCCTGGGCACAAGTGATCCTCCTGCCTCAGCCTCCCAAAGTGCTGGAATTACAGACATGAGCCACCACGCCTGGCCAGTAGTACGATATTGAAGTTTGGAATCTACAAATAGTCAATTTAATATGAAGCCCGGTTATTTGGGAATTACAAGAGTTAGATTACCATATCTGTAGGCTGCATATTATCGTATCTGTAGGCTGCATATTATCGTAACTTAAACAGATAAGGCCCCTCACATTATCCGTCTGAATAACATAGAAAACTGGACTAAGAGTGCAAGTACACGAATTTTTTTTTTTTTTTTTTTTTTTTTTTTTTTTTTTTTTTTTTTTTTTTTGAGACGTAGTCTCGCTTTGTCTCCCAGGCTGGAGTGCAGTGGCGCGATCTCGGCTGGGCTGACTGCAAGCTCCGCCTCCCAGGTACACGCCATTCTCCTGCCTCAGCCTCCCGAGTAGCTGGGTCTACAGGCACCCGCCACTACGCCCGGCAAATATTTTGTATTTTTTAGTAGAGACGGGGTTTCACTGTGTTAGCCCGGATGGTCTCGATATCCTGACCTCGTGATCCACCCGCCTCGGCCTCCCAGAGTGCTGGGATTACAGGCAGGAGCCACCGCGTCCGGCCCGTGAATTTCTAACTGGTTAAAAACTGCTACACAAGAAGTGCTGAATTGTGAATCAGTAGTCTTCCGGAGGGAAAAATATTGGGCTATGAGGCGGGATTCTGTTTTTGTTTATACCATACGATATTTTATCAACAACATGCACAAAAACACAGAAGCCACTTTGTGGCTGACTCAGAGCTAGAAGAAATAGTAAATACTCTAGATGTAAGACTGAATCTAAAAATTACTGCTATGGGTCATTTATGTGTGGAAATTTGTTTATGGATAATTTAGAAAGATATTTATTAAGATTCTAGAAAGATATACACCGAAGTATTCACAATGATTAACTGTGGGTGAGTGGCATAATAAAATTTTAATGTTATTTTTTGTTTATCTGCACTTCATAGTATTTTTGTAATGAGCAAATATTCCTTTCATTAAAAAACAATAAAAAAGATTTATTTCAAAAAGAAAAAAATTACTTTGGCTGATGCAATATAAAAACAAACCAGATGAAAGTTAGCATGGATAACTATAAAGTCCTGTGTCAAGGTAGGAAAAAAAAGTACTTACGTAAGCATAAGATGCAGGCAAGAAGGGTCTGAAAACAGTTTATTTGAAAAATATTTGGAAGTCTTGGACAAAAAGTGAATACACACCAAAGGATAAACTAATGCAATCACAGGCAGTATTAATAGAATATCAAATTCCGGAAGAAGGAAAATGATGAACCCAGTGAATTGTCAGATTCCATGTGGTGCACTATGTCCAGTTCTGAGCCTCCATGGCCTAGAGAAAGGTCAGAGGAGGGTCTTCTGGATAGTCACAGGTTTGAAGTCACTGTTCATTAAGACTTCTCTGGCCTAGGACAATTAACCTAGATCACAGGTTCTCAGAAGCCTTTTTAAAAAAAATTATTTAAGACTTTAATTAACAGGTCCTTACAGTTTGTTGACTTTTTTGAAAAAACCAAGTCGTAAACTTTTATTACAAATTAAAAATGAAGTTCTTAAAAATCTCAACTTGACCAGATATGAAACAATTTAAAAATCTTTAAAGGTATATTGAAAAAAAAGGGGGGGGGCTTAAAAAATGTTTGTTATTACCAAAAAGAGACGTCTTCAGGTAAAAACAATTTTTTAAAAACTGTCTGGAGGCGAGCGGATGGCTTGAACTCAGCAGTTCGAGACCAGCCTGGGCAACACTGCGAGACTCCCCCTCCCCGGTATAAAAATTAACCTGTATAACCAGTATATAAAAATTAACCAGTATAAAAATTAACCTGGCATGGGCCGGGCACGGTGGCTCATGGCTGTAATCCCAGCACTTTGGGAGGCCGAGGCGGGCAGATCACGATGTCAGGAGATCGAGACCATCTTGGCTAACACGGTGAAACCCCGTCTCTACTAAAAATACAAAAAATTAGCCAGGCGTGGTGGTGGGCGCCAGTAGTCCCAGCTACTGGGTAGGCTAAGGCAGGGGAATGGCATGAACCCGGGAGGACGAGCTTGCAGCGGGCCGAGATCGCGCCACTGCACTCCAGCCTGGGCGAAAGAGCGAGACTCCATCTCAACAAAACAAAACAAAACAAAACAAAAACAAAAAATTAACCTGGCATGATGTGCGCATCTATGGTCCCAGCTACTCGAGAGGCTGAGGCGGGAGGATCTCTTGAGCCCAGGAGGAGGTTGCAGTGAGCGAGACTGCACCACTGCACTCCAGCCTGGGTGACATCATGAGTCCCTATCTCAAAAGCAAAACAAAATACCATGCTGCGTAGACAATGCAGATAGTTCTAGTTGTCTGGTCAACGGACAAAAAACAAGCACTTAAGATCTTCAGCTCCAATCTTTTGTTCATTTCTTGTTGCTGGAATTTCGCATTCCTTTGTTCTTGTTGGATGATAACCAGGATGGTGGTAGAGATGGTAAGCCCGCATTTACTCAGCCTTGGGAGCCGGATTCTCAGCTGATGGATTGCTTTTGTCTCTTTGCCATCTTGTGGTTTAGAGTTTTCTGGGTGTCTGTGTCGGTAGTTGATGTTGAGGCGGCTGCTCACCTTGGGTCTTAGCCCCTTGATTTTCTTTATCGTCTTGGTCGGTGTCCACTGCTGGCTGTCTCTGGCGAGGAGAATTGGGGTGTGAGTCCCGGCTGCACATCCTGCCTCCCTGGTCTACCCTGTTCTCCTGCGCCTGACTGTGGGCACCCCCATCCCTGCTCCTGCAGGAGGGCTGGAGTGGTAGTCCGTGCCCGTGGGTCTCCGCAGGTGGTAGGTGGGGCCCTGCGCCTGCAGCCGGCGCGTGGTTGGGCCTGGCCCTTGGGCGCGCTCCCATCCCTTGTTTTTCACCCACGCCCACTATTCTGTTGATCCTACTGCTAAGTGCACGAGGCGCCTGCAGTGCGGATGGCGTCTCAAAGGGTTGCGGTCGCTGCATGTACTGCCTCGTACTGGACCGCCACCAGGGCCCGTGGCATTTGCCGCCTCCGCACCCTTTGCTCCTTCAACACCAAACTCCACAGCTCTCCACGACCACGCTGCGAAGGTGATTCCTGAGCTGCTGCTGCTTTATGGCAGTCTGCTGTACAAAATACATCTTCCTTGGTGTCATTCCCGCTGATGAAACCCCATCCTTCTTGTCCTCGCGGGCAGGCGCAGCCGATGTGAGGCACCCTGGCCACCGATCCCTGTGCGCTGCCCCTGGTGCTGGGTTTGGTGTCGCGGCGGCGGCTCGGCCTGGGCCTCTTTGCTCATGGGTGCGGGGATGGCGAGTGGCGCCCGCTGCGCACTTGCGGCTCCTCCCAGGGCTGGGCGTGAGGTTAACCGGGCCGGGACGGCGGTGGGGCTGCTCAGGGTCTCTGGAGTCTATTCCCTGCACCCATACCATCTAATTCAGAAGTTTTAAGGCACATGTGACATCTGTCATCGCTACAACTCAGTTTGTGGAGGGACAGGACACAGTATAATCCACAGGCCAGATTAACCCCCGACGAAGTGGCTATGATGGAGGAAGTTTCTAGCACCTGGAAGGCCAGGAAGGCAGTTGGAGAACAGACACATCTTGCAGATGACAATAGGTAAAGGCCCAGGAAAGCAGGTGGTATGGGGCGTCTTAGAGCAGAGAGTGGGGACCCAGCAATGTTCTGGTAGACTTAGAGGGAAAAGGGAGCCAGTCCCTGAGGAGTCAGGGTACCAGGCAGGCAACAAAGGAAGCCACTCAAAAATGGGAATCAAGAGCTGGATTCAGTGAGCACACAGTAGTGGTTCTCAAAATGTCCTTCTCAGACTGGCAGCAGCAGCACCTAGGAACTAGTCAGAAATGCAAATCCTCACTCCTCCTCCCACAAGACGTCTGAATCGCAAACACCTAGCAGTCTATGTTTGAGCAGGCCCTCTGGGATTCTAAGAAATGCTCACGTTTGAGAACCACTGGCTTAGAGATTAAGCCCATGGACTCTAAAGCCATCCCAGTTGTGCCAGTAACTAGCTATGTGATCTCAGTTTCCTCATCTGTAAAATGGGGATAAAAATGGTACCTACCTCAGGGTAGTTGCAAGGAGTAAGCGGTACACACACACACACACACACACACACACAAAGTACTTAGAACAGTGACTCCAGCACATGTAATTGTCAGCTAATGCTGCTCTTATCGTTAGTCATCAGAACTAGGGTATTCAGGTGAAGTAGAACCACCCATAACACTGCTTGATTTGGAAGCAAAGAGGTTTGCATTCAAGGTCCTTTCATCTTGGTCCCTCACTGGCCTGTACTGAGAGGTAAGGGGTTCCAGCTGTAGAAACTGGGGAACTCAGGGATCCAGGAAGTGGAATGTAACAACTGGCTTTAAATGTTTCAACACTGGGCTTCCCTTACTCCACATTACTCTTGAAAAGCAAAACTCATTCTAAAAGTGGCCATTAGGATGTTTTTAATTCAAGATCAGAAGAATATTAAAAACTGTTCTGTCCAGCAATGGAATGAGCTGTCTCCTGAAGAAGTCAGCTCTTTCTTACCATACACACATAGTGTGAGACAAAGTACTCATTGGCAAAGCATGTCAGACACAGATCTCTAAGTGGGGAGGGAAGTTCGAGTCTCAATGATTCCTTCCGCATTTTAGAATCTGGGAGTCTAGACCTTAGCATTTAGACAGGCAATAGGCTCCGGCCTTTCACCTTTATAAATGGCCTCTCCAATCTGCACAAATGCTTCCCTCCCCACTGCCACCCTGTGATTTTCTTTTGGTTCACATCTATGTCAGCTTTGGAATCCAGATGTGACCTGATTTTGAGTCTGGAATGAATTCATATTTAACAAGATGAGTTACTGTAATATTAATTGTTGCATTTTTTTTGTTCCTTCTTAGTCTAGACTTTTCTAAAGAAACAAAGATGATTATACTCCCTTCTCCCACAAATAAAAGCTAGGCAGTTAGGGTTTTACTCTTATCTTTGAGAGGGAATTAACAGTGGTTTCATATGCCTCAGTGACGACACACACACACACACACACACACACACACACACAGAAACACCAGGGAGACAACTCCAAAGAGGCCTTATTTTTAAAGACCTGGGGATTGCTTCTGCATGGAGAAACTCATTTTGAAGGTAAAAGAAGGGCGTGTTATGGGGTTGTTGGTTTCCAAGATACTAGGAAAGAGACAGGGTTTGTGAGTTCCTCGTGGGGCAAGATCCAACTTATACAACCTGTGTGCTGCCTACAGAGGCCAGATGTCAAACAACTCTGCTGCCCTTCAGAGCAGAGCTAGGTCCCTCCGTCCAGACTCTAGCAAAGGCGGAGCTCTGTGAAACCTGTCTAGAGTGGTCTTACCCATGAACAGGGGGCCAGCTCTCCACCCCAGCAGCATGCAGCAAAAGGAACCATGATGTTGAGGGTGACCAGTGTGATCTGATAGGCAGATTCCTTTCCTGTTCCCTCCAAATAGACACACACACACAGGGATGTGTGTATGCACACATAATTGGAGACACATTGATAAGGAGCCACTGTCCAAGTGCAATCCAAAAGAAAGGGTGAACATGAAAAATGACAAATATTAGACTGATACTGACTCCCCTACTTGGGGTCTTCGGGTCACAATTTGTTTTAGAAAAATAAAGACATCTGTCACTCCTTGAAGCTGACATGATCTGATGCAACTGATACACATTATAAATCGATAGCTCTTTATTGAGTGCCTGTGAAATGACCAGCAGCAGAAGCTCCCAGGCTTTTACATACTTTTTAAATGGAAATGAACACCTTCGAGACAGGTATTATCTCCATTTTGCAGATCTCACAGTCAAATTAGCAGAACCAGGACATGAAGGTTTTCTACTAAACTATGCTACTTTGCTCAGTGCCAGATCATTAAAAAAAAAAAAAAAAAGGTCTTTGTGATGTCAGACAAAAAGCCAAGAATCTACCATAACTGATACAGAGGGGGAAATCTTATTTCCAGGAGAATTAGAACAAGTTTTATACTTGTTCCTGTTTTTATTAAAACAAGATTAATTATGTGCAGGTATAGATAATGGGTTAAAATTACACGATTGGCAAATAAATTGAAATTCAGTTTCCTTTAACAAAAATGCAATGTCAATAAAATTTCCTACAAAAACAAACAAGCAAGCATCATCCTCTCAAGACAAGGTTATACAACAGTATGCAATGGCACCATCTCACTGGAAAGCTTCTGACAAACAAGCCCAGACTGAATTTCATGATGACAAGATACAGAATAAGCATATGTTTGACAATTTAAAACAAAACTTTCCTCAAATTAAGTTTTGTTTCCTTAGTCTTCAAAATATCCGATTTGAATATATTCTTTTACCTTCATTTGTATAAAATATTTATTTTTAAAGCCTTGTGCCAACAAATCAATGTTTCTCCCTTCCTGAATGATTCTGCTATTTAAAACCTAGGGACCTTTGGCTTCACTTTGATTTCTGAATTTGAAAGCTTGGAGATTTTAAATTTTCCATTCTACAGCAGCCATAGAAAACATATCACATTGCTGTTTATGCTATTGTAATATGTTAAACATCTTTTTAAAAAATATGCTAAATATCTCATCTCTTTTAAAAAAATGTTAAACATCTTTTTAAAATGTGCATAGATTCATAGTTCTACTTCTAAATTCATCCTAAGAAAATCACTGTACAGGTACACAAAAATATAGGTACAAAGGAATGTTTTTAATAGGTAAAAGAAGAAACAATTTAAATATGTAATAATTGACTAAGCAAATCCAGGTATATTCAAATAAATGAGATATTATGCAGCTATTTAATAAAGATGACATAAATGCATGTTGACATAAGAGATATTGAAATTATACTGTTCAGTTTAAAAAGGAGATGACTAAACAGCTTGCACAGCATGGAAAAAAGTCCGGAAGGTTGCCTACCAAGATGTTGACAGAGTTCATGTGTCTTCATGGTACGATTAAAGGTTTCTTCAATAAATTTCTTCTTCCTGTTTTCTTATCTGTATATTTTCTAATGTGGCTACAACAAACCTATCTCCCTTGTGTCATAAATAAAGAAATGAACACTACATAGGAGAAAAAATAACACTTACTTCCCATCATGAAGAAAACATTCCTTTGACCCCATGTCTTCCAGCTTCTGCCCATTTTCTGCTCCCATTTATAGCAAATCTTTTCCTGCTGTTTCTGCTTCCTTCCTCCCCTTTCTCTCAAGCCATCTCCCTACACTCCACCAAAGCTACTCTGTTAATGTCACCATTCACCTCCACGTTGCCCCATCTTCTGGCCTCAGCTTACTTGTTCCTCAGCATTGGACAGAGCTAATCACAATTTCCTTCTTGAAACATTTCCTCACCTGGATTTGGGACACTTCTCCCTTCTCTTTGCCCCTTCTTCCTTAACAACTCCTTCTCAGTCTCTTCTGCTGACCCTTTCTCATCTTCCTGACCTCTTGTTGTTGGAGTGCCTAGAGCTCAGTCCTTGGGCCTCCTCTCTCTGCACTCCCAATACCATCTGCATAGACTCCACCAATACCCACAGTATCTCCTCTGCATTCCAGACCTTGATAACCAACTCTCTTTCCTACATTTCCATTTGGATGTCTAAAACATGTCTTTCTCCAACCTATCGATCCTCTACTCTTTCATATCTATTAGCAAATCTTGAAATCTCTACCTTCAAAATCGATCATAAATACGACAATGTCTCAACTACCTTTACCACTGCTACCTGAGTCCAAGCTAGCGCCATCCTCCTCTGGGTAGAGCTCTGCAAAAGTCTCCCATGCTCCTCATTTCCCCGCTACCATATTCTTCTTGCTGCTCCTTGGACAGGACATCATGCATTCTGGACTCAGGCCTTTGTGCTTGCTATTTCCTCTCCCTAGAATTTCCTTTCCTCAGCTATCCCCTTGCTCATTCTCTTAACTGTCTTTGGCGTCTGGTCAAATGCATTTATCAGAGACATCTTTCCTGCCCAACCTATTTAAAATATTACAGTCCATCCCAGCTTCACCTCCATTGTCTTGCCTTAGTTTACCCACAGTACTTACTGCTTTCGAACATACCATACATTTATTTGCTATTGTCAGTCTCTCTCAACTAGATTATAAGTCTCATGTGTGCAGGGAATTTTTTTTGTTGTTCACTGCTGCACTGCCAGCTCCTAGAACAAAACCTGAGACAGGATAAGAACTCAACAAATATTTGTGGAATGAATGACTTGCCAGTCTAAGACTTTTCTTAGACTTAGAGGGAACTCTTTTCACATTCTCATAATTCTTAACATCTTGGGGTGGTGAGATGAGATTAGTAGTGATGCACCAGTGGGGCAGAGTGAGGAAGAGGAGCTGTAGCCCCTTCTTCTGGAAGTCTCAGTCAACTACAGGCTACTAATGTGACAAGAAGAGCAAGGAACAGCAGAAACTAGCTGGGAAAAAGCCCAGCACCTCCAGTCTATGTTTGGGGTTGGGGTCTCTTAGCATAGGTGTTGATCACTGAGGTTTCCCATTGAACAGTTTGGCCTTCAAATGGAAGAAAAGAAAAACCACTCTTGAACAGCAAGCTCCAGACCACGCCAGGAAGATCAGTTCAATTTCATGAAAACTCTAGACAAGAACAGCCCGAGGTGTCTGCGGTACAAATGACCCCTTCTCACTCCTGCTTAGGGGCAGCCACACTTCTGCAATCACAGTGTCTTGGCCCTAGTTCCCTTTACCCAGCCTTGTTTTCCTAGGTGCCCTCTGAAATACCTGGTTTAGATCTAATATCAGAAAAGATTCTTCTCTCACCTTCCTTCGTAACTTCTGTTATCTGACATCCTTCACAACTTGCATATCATCTGACATGACAGCAAGTATTAGGGTGGATTATGTCTGTCTCTTTTGGAAAACAAATGTCTGATAATCACTTTAAAAGGCTCAACAAATTTGCAAAATGCCTCCTACCCCTTATAGTGACCATGAGCCCTTTCTGTCATCACCTTCTTAATGTAGGAAAGTAAAATACAAATCAGGAGTCCCAATAAATTAAGTTCCCTGGATGGGAACTTAAAGGTAGTCTGTGCCTTTGATTTGCCTGAGCCTCTGATATCTCACCTAGAGTGGGCCTGAGGGTGGGCAGCCAGCAAGCTGCTGTCTCTGCCTGAACTGTCTGCAAATTGTTATAAGCAAACTTCTTCTACAGTTTGCCTTTCTGCAGGCTCCTGGAGGCTTTTATTTACTTAAGGAGACTTGTCTTCTGGTCCGAATACTGGATGTATTAATGGATTGCTTTATTTGAAATCTATTTAGACAGAGACCTAGGGGGGCTCCCTTGTCCTGGGAGAGTAAACTGCAGCACCTATGGAATATTTCAGATCTTAGGACAAGTCTCTGTTTCTGAGACTATTACCAAGGGGCAGTAATTTCATTATGCTATTCTGGGAGAAAATCATTCCTATCTTATTTTTGCATTTATATAACACTGGTTGTGTTGATGTGGTTAATTTCAAAGATACTGTTCATTCTCGTGTTATTCATTCTCTCATCATTAAATACTAACACACGCACACACACTGAACACCTACTATGAGTCTTGAACAGGGCTAAACCTTGAGGATACAAGCTAAGAAGAAAGGAACTTCCGAGGGCTTGTGCCCCAGCAGCTGAATCACTAAGTTAGGGACCTGAAGGCAGAGTCTGTTGGATTCCTTGCTGGATTTTTGAGTTGCATCATGATGTATATTTTAACAGTGATGTAAGTTCAAGAGTTCAGGAGAGCAAATATTAAGTACCAGTGAAATTTCAACATTCAGAAACAAAACGAGCCACTTGTAAATGGCAACTCTCACTTTGCATGTAACAGGGCAATTAATACATAATTCCATTCCAAGTCTGGAATATTTATTGAGCACCCATAGAGGTGCTCAATGTGTATGAGGCACATGGCAGGTCTGCAGCATTTCTCAGACTTTCCCAAGGAAGTGCTCTGAAGGGCACAAGGAAATGAACTGCAGACCTACAAATTTGGGAGTTAGGGGTCTCAGTGGCCAGTGTCTGCTGCAAGCTTGACATTTCTCTGAGTTTCTGTGTTTTGTTTTAAATATTCATATGAATTTTCTTCTTTCTGTTCAATAATACATCAGAATCTGTTTTAAAATATTGTTTTCTCCAAAACCTTCAATAAAATGGGTGTTCCAAATAGGTGCTTATACTGTAGCTTTGAATAGCCCTGACACAAAACAGTGAATACAAACACTCCAATTTGCCCAGCACAGCTCTAGGGGCTACCATGTGGAACTTGGTAAAGCACCCACCCTCGGGCGTGCTCCAGCTAGGCTCAAGCTTCAGATATCACCCTTCTTGACCTTCCCTGACTGCTAGGTCTACAGTAGTCTCCCTTTCCCCCAAATACCATGTTTTTGTTTTCATAGCATTTATCACCATCTGAAATTATCATCTTCTTTATCTTTAAGATTTTAAACAACCAGAAAGTTTAATAACAGGAGACAGGTTAAAACTATAATATACCTATATTATAGAATGCTATCAAATGATTTAATATTTGAAATGTTTTATTATTTTCTCAATGCATTGTTAAAATTAAAAGTGAAGCTATCAAATAGCATGTATAGAATACTATAACTTCATAAAAGAACTATATATATACATATATGTTAACAGTGGTTGCCTCTGAGTGGTAAGATCAGAGAGGACTTCAATATTTTTCTGGTTGCTTCTCTAATTTCCAGATTTCCCACAGTAGTATCTATTGCCTTTGAAATTAGAGGAAAATATTATACAGTGCCATGGGGACACTGGTATAGAGCTTGGAGATGGGAGGAAAGGAGAAGGTGGGTCCCCACGCTCTACCTCAGGTGGCACCTCTGAAAGTCACTGCTGAAGATCCAGCTCGTGACCACCAGGCTTGTCATGGTTCTAGATCCCATCTGATGCCCACAACTCCTGATGCTCACAGGAATGGCAGCGGCTTCACTCCTAAACTCTGGATTGCCTCGCCTTCCCCGTTGGCTCTGCAGTGAATTCTAGCACCTGTGTAATCTTTCTTTTTTTTTTTTTTTTTTGCATTAATTCCCACACTGTTACAAAAATGTAAAGGGAGTTTTCTGTTTTCCTGGTTGGACTTGAATTGATACTCTATCTGACTCATCATTCATTTCCAGTGATCTATCATAGAGAAATAGAGAGGGTAACATCAAAGAGTTATGTAAAATATTGCAGCATTGTCATTTGGAAAAAATAGAAATAAGCATAAATGTTCAACAGGAAGTGTTGTGGGTTAAATTGTGTCCCACCAAAAAGATATGTTCAGGTCCCAACTCCCATACTTGTGAATGCAACCTTATTTGGAAATAGTGTCTTTGCAGATATAATCAACCTTAGACGAGGTCATACTGGATTAGAGTGGCCCTTAATCCAATGACTGGTCCTTATAAGAAGAGAGAAATAGGGACACAGACACACAAGGAGAACAACACATGACAATGGAGGCAGAGATTGAAGTGATGTAGCTGCAAGACAAAGAATGTTTGGGCTGCTGGCAAACACCAGAAACTAGAAGGGTCAAGAAAGGATTCTCCTTAGAGCCCTCAGAGGGAGCATGTGCCTACTAACACCTGGATTTCAGACTTCTAGCCTCTGAAACTGTGAGAGAATACATTTCTGTCCTTTCAAGCCACCTAGTTTATGTTAACTTGTTTAGGCAACACTGGGAAACTAATATAGTAAACTAATAATAAATGTTTTAGAAGAACTGGAATTTACCCTAACATTGCTGTTAAATATATATGCACATATACACCCACATATATAAATAAAATCTAAATAATAACACAAAACTTAATGAGAGAGCTTGTTTACGATGTTGCAATGCAGTTTTCTGGGCCTCACTGTAGGTATTCTGATGCAATAAGCTTGATTTAGCAGCCAGTAATGTGTTCTGGAAATATTAGCCATTATCACGTGATAGGCTTCTCAGCCACCCCGGCTGGAGTCAGTCACAGACCTTAATCTTGTTTCCTGAGATATAATTTAAATGATTTAAGAAGGAGAGAGAGAGAGAGAAACCACTTTTCTTGGTTTCTACTCTCAAGTAGTCTCAGACTTCAATGGAGCCTTAATTTCCAGTGAAATGACCTGTCAATCTTACTTAGAAGAAATTTGTTTACTTCAATCAGCGTTGGGAAGATGTCATTGAAGCCTGAAGAGACATTTTCCAGCTTTCTCACTGTCTTAGATAAGATTCTTCTAGTCCCAAATTACAAAAACCAATCCTAGCTACCTTAAACATAAGTAAACAAGTAGCTAAGTAAGCAAATAAATAAGAAAATCAAAGGAGAATCCGAACAGTCAGCCTGGGAGAGGACTGGGCCCAGGACAGATCCAATCGTCAGCATCAGCATCAATTGCAGGCCTTTGACCTCCCTCGACCACATGGACTCCTGAAACCACTCAGTGCAAATCTCCAAATTCCTCAGAGACAATCTAATTGGTTCCACTTAGGTCAGGGGTCCCCTGAACCAATCAGTTATGGTTAAGAAAGAATAGGTTCAAGTGATTCAGATGCAGCAGTTTGGGGTCCATTTATGTGAGTGAGGGCCAGTTCTCAGAAAACGGGAAATGAGAGAGCGGCAACCTCTCCAAGAGGCCTCTACTCTCCCAACTCCCTTCCCTAACTCCTAACTCTTAGTCCATGCTCTGAGAACAGATCTTAAACTTTCTCCTAGAATAAGCCATTCCTGTCTTCTCTTCCCAGTTCTCCACATTCCATTCCAACTCAAGGCATTTCGGAAATGCCTCCCAGGTCCCCTTTCCCTACAGGTCCCATCCATGTGGAATTTAAACATTTGTTCATCTTGCTTATTTATGCACTTTGGTGAAATCCCCTCTCTAGAGGGAACTCCTTTAAGATCAATTTAGATGATATTGGTCTTTGGATAAATGACACAAGAAAAAGCCAGTAAGTTCTGGTTTGGGTTATTTATTCTAGTGGCAGTGATGGGTCGTGTTGAGTCACCCATATTAGTTTCCCTTTTGACTGCTATTGCAAAAGGAAGATCAACCTGGGTGACTGGGGCATATAGTCTATGGCTAACCACAAAACATGGCTTTTCCCAGCGGAAAGGATGGCTGGCCACTGTAGGAGAAGGGAAGTTAATTCAGGCACAACAGCATGACACCTTAAATTGAATGAGTTATCAATTTTGAAAACAACTTATGTCTCTATCAACATCAAGTCAACTCTCCTGTCCCCATTCTCTCCTTCAAGGATGAGCTGACTACATTGTTAAAAAAAAAAATCAAAGTTTCCTTTGGTACCTTCCTACTTTATTCTGTCTCCACAGAAACTATCTTAGCTATCATATCATCGAACATCATTAATTATAATGACACAGTTATCTCTTAAGAGTCATGAAAAGGTGCCATGAAACTCAGACATGTCCTCTGAGCTGAACTAAGAAAAATACATATTGGAAGTGCTTAGGTCACACTATCTGTGTGTCATTGGGGCCAGTTACATAACCTCTCCACAACTCTTTTCTCACCAGTGAGATATCATAATAATAATCCCTCCCTCAGGGGATTGTTGGAAAAATTAAATAAGTGTCAAAAAATTAGAGCAGCTCGTGTTTTGAGTCAAGTGCCTAATAAATGTTAACTATTATAACCATTTCCTATCCCTCGGGTAATGTCTGATACACCTTCTCTCTATGAAACATCCTGCATTGTAAATATCAACCTACTTATCTTTCTTCACTGCTAGACCAGGGCACTAGGTGGGAGCTTCTTCATCTTGTATCTCTAGCACCCAGGTAGCCACAGTGATGCTGGCTGCATGTATGGACAGTGTCACAAGAGCTGAGTGTGTGTCATCAGGACTGGGATGTAATCAAGAGAACTGTGATCGCCCCCGACAAGGCTTTTTAGCCTATGTGAAGGCATTCATTGAAGGATTTTCCTGAAAATCATAAAGAGGGAGTGGAGAGGATAGTTAGGAGTTTTGTGTGATCTTGGGAAAGCTGTTTCACCATTCTTAGCCTCAGTTTCTTCATCTGTAACATGTAGATAAGAAGACTTGCCTTACATCATTGCGTGAGAATTGAATGCAATAACAGGAGGACCGTGCTTGGCCCATAATCAGCATAAATAACTATACAAGTAAGAGTCTTCTTACCAAAAGATATAATGATAAACGCTGTTAACACCACCAACTATGCCTCTGGCTTTGACTCTACTTTTACCAATCACCTTCTGGATAGTAATTTTGTTTCTTCTACAGACTTATCTAGAGGAGAGAGGGGACTTATCAGCCAAGGGGAGTCCACTTGACTCTTGTGTCTTGTTTAAACTCGGCAGGCATTTATAAATTTTCTTTGAGAACCTCACTGAGCTGGAACAGCTCTCGGTGACAAAAAGGGGTGTTTCTGGACCTACAAAGGTCAAGACCTGATACTGGTGCAGAGCACCCCATCTTATCGGCCACTCAGTCAAAGTGTATTTACCAGAGGTACCAGCTCATCTCCTCCTTCTCTTTAACAGCGAAAACCACTATTAGATGACGGAATCAGATAGAAAGAAGGTTAGAAAGTCAGCATTACTTCACAGAGGAGCAATTCGTATGGGAATACTCTTTCATTCTGGGAATACAGTTTTGGAAGGCACACTGATAATTCTGGCCCGTATTTTTGTGTGAAATATCCTACTTTTAATAGTTTGAAAGATACATTATTAGCTTTTTTAAAGTGAGGTGCAGAAGACTGTGTAGTTGCTGAAACTCATCTAGAAGCGTTTAAATGTGTAGACCATGTCCAGAAAGATTTATGATAAACCGATGTTCTTGGTAGCCTTTCGGGAGGGAGCTGGGTGATTAAGGGTTAGGGATAAGAAGAAGACTTCCTATGTGTGCCTTTTTGAACCTTTGAAAATTTTGAACAATGTGAACATAATTGCTTGTCAAAAACTACAGTTTTTAAATGTTAAAAAATTAAATGAAAGAATCCATTTCCGACACATTTAGTAATTTCCTAGTCTCTTGCCTATGCCTATATGCTTGTGGTTAATTACATTTACATTCATGACTTAATTAGTTCAAAAATTGCAGTTCCGTCATTTCATTCTGAAGGATATTTATTTATTTATTTTAGGGATGGGGTCTCCCTGTGCTGCCCACGCTGGTCTCAACCTCCCGGGCTCAAACAATGGATATTTATTTTTAAATACTCTTTCAAGCTTTTTGTCTTTGGTTATTGAAGCCCACATTCATTCACATTTTTTTAAATCTCAATAAACTTTTGAGGGGAGAATTCTTGAATTTGAAAGACTGCAAGATAGTTCCCATAATGGCTAGATAGTATTTTCTGGATAGGTGGCAGGGGAGGAGAGGTAATGTGTCCAGAGTCAGTTCCTTCTGGTGGGTTAGTGGTCTCGCTGACTTCAAGAATGGAGCTGCAGACCTGCCGGTGAGTGTTACAGCTCTTAAAGATGGCACGGACCTGAAGAGTGGGGAGCAGGAAGATTTATTGTGAGGAGTGAAAGAACAAAGCATCCACACCATCGGAGAGGACCCTAGTGGGTAGCTGCTGCTGGCTGGCTTGGCCAGCTTTTATTCCCTTATTTGTCCCTTCCCATGTCCTGTTTCTGTCCTATCAGAATGTCCTTTTCTCAATCCTCCCTGCAATTGGTTACTTTTAGAATCCTGCTGATTGGTCCATTTTACAGAGTGCTGATTGGTCCACTTTACAGAGCGCTGATTGGTCCATTTTACAGAGCACTGATTGGTCCATTTTACAAACCTTTTGCTAGCTACAGAGCACTGATTGGTGTGTTTTTACAAAGTGCTGATTGGTGCATTTTACAAACCTCTTGTTAGCTACAGAGCGCTGATTGGTGCATTTTACAATCCCCTTGTAAGACGGAAAAGTTCTCCAAGTCCCCACTTAACCCAGGAAGTCCAGCTGGCTTCACCTCTCAGTAAGGCAAAAATATAAAGAAAAGGGGAACTTTTTTAGTGAATATTTTTCTGTCTCCCTTCAATATGAGATCATTCTGATATTTGATTAAACTTTTCTTGTTGAGCTTGCCGTAAATCTTCAGTCACTGAAATTAATGAATGAGTAGTTCCAATGTTTAGCAGATTCTTCATGGTATAGAGGACTCTTTACTGGGACCATGCCATTCCTTGGCATGGAGCTTGTGGGCCCCATCCTGTCTGGGGCCTCACAGTAAGATTGGACTGAGAACAACAGAGCAAGAGTGGGAGCGAAGGTGGATGCTGTGAGGTTGCCATCCTCTGCCTTCAGTCACCTTCCTCCTTCTCATGGTGCCTCCTGCCTCATGCTGCCCTGAGCCTCCACCCTTTCCAGACCCCTCCACAACACACTCACACTCACACTCTTCCTCACGTCTATAGCAACAGATGTCAGATGGGAGTGTGCATTGAGTCACCTGGAGGGCTTGTTAAAACCCAGATTTATGGGCCCCACTTCCAGATTTTCTGATCTAGAAGGTCTGGAGTGGGGCCCAAGAATTTGCATTTCTAACAAGTTCCCAGGGAATGCTAAAGCTTCTGACCTGGGAATCGCACTTTGAGAACTTTTTACTCATCTTTCTCTTTCCTCTTCTAAAAGTGTGGGTTTTACTTTTGGTTACTTAGAAAGGATCTAATCAATGAATTAATTCTAGTATAATGGAAAGAGCTTGAAGTTGGAGGCAAGTAAAGCCAGATTCACAGATAGACCCCATCATTTGTTAGCCATGCGATGCTGAGCAAGAATCTTAACTTGTCGCAGCCTCAATTTCCTCATCTGTAAAATGGGAATACTAACACCTACCTCATATAATTAAATAATGTGTGTAATGGGTCTAGACCACATTAGATATTCAATGAACATCAGCTTCTTTAACCCCAATCCCTTTCTTGATATACAATGGGCTGGTTACCACTCAAGGTATTAACCCATGCAGGAATTCCCAGGATGATATGAGCAATTACTTATATACATGCAACTCTTTACATTTACAAAATAAATTAATATACTTTATCTTCTGAAGGAAATTTGAGAATATACATTTTTAACAAACATCCAAGATAATTTTCATATGCGCCAAAGTTTGAAACCAACAAATATCTCACTTAATCCTCACAGCAACCTAAAGGATGGCATTATTAATCAGATTTTACAGATGAGAAACTAAGACTCAAAGAAGTTAAGTGACTCTCCACAACAGCAGAGCTAGATCCCAGACCTCTGGCTTGTGAATTCAACTCTTCAATATGAAGATAAAAATCTTTAATGGTGGTATTTTAGGCATCAGAGACAGGAAAATGGGAGATATTTTTGCCTAGATGACCACAGTTGGCGCCACCTGATGTCCAACGGGTGAGTTGCATGGGAATCTGGGAGGCTGATTGGTTAGTTCTAATATGATAGGGTCTGATTCTGTGGCTCCTGTACAGTTAACTTACAAAAGGATGCACCTGATCCAGGTGTCTTGCGGCCTTTCAACTCTGAATGGCTGACCAAGTGCCAGTTGGCTTTCTGGAATGGAATATTTAGTGACCCTGCTGACAGACAAGCTTCCACCTTTTCCATTCCTTCTTTTATAGCTTGAGCCTTAATAAGGGAAGGATGCAGTTGTTCCTAAATGTGGCTCTGGAAAAATCTTAACCCAGGAAAGAACAAATATTAGTTTGGAGCTTTACAAGTGGGGATGGCCACCAGCCAACAAACTACCCGTTAGGTTATTTATACTGCAAAAGGAAATGATGTACTTGCAAGCTACTTCTTTTCAGCTCATGCCTAATCCAAAATATTGTTCCAGAAATCAAAACCTGGTGTTGAAATTAACAAAAAATATTTAGTGGACATCACATGGCTTCCTCTTATAAATTCACAATTCCATGTAGTTACCTATGACACATGCTCACGGTTTAAGTGGCCATTTTTAATCAAGACTGACTTGATTCTCTATCTGACCTTCCCATCCTAAAACCTTATTTGCTTCTTGGAAACTCCCTGTGAGCACATGTGTAAGGAATGCCCCTCAGGCTTCCATGGAGAATTTTTTTTTGTACTTATTTATTTTAAGTAAAAGATATTTGAGAGGAACATAACTTTGGACAAGGGCACTGAAACTAGCCAAGGGAGAAATTAATCCATAACTTGGTACAAACAGTTCAACAACTGGAAATAGGATTCTTATACTTAAGGACACTCAGGCCAACGGGTGTGGTAGCAAAATCATGTAAGCCAAAAATTTCCCCATGAGCTCTGGGAGGGAAATTCCACTTTCTCATCAAAGAAATGAAGCTTACCCCCTCTACTTCCAGCTGGAGACAAAGCATGATTTTTCTTGATGTTGGCATCCCAAGAATTCATCATAAGCCCCACTGGGAAAATGACACCTGAACTCAGAGTCAGATCTGGTGCTGTCGGCAAAGAGCTTGAATAGGTTTGCCTATACTAGACTGCAAAATACTTCAGGGCTCAAAACCACCTCTTCACCCTCCTTTTGCAGGTGAGCATGAGCCTGGATTGAAGTGGGTGGTAATGAACTCTTGAAGGAAGCAGTAACTGTGAAATAGATCATTTTCGCATTGTGGACATGCTGAATTTGTGGTGTTCACAGACCATGGTGAGATCAAATAAGAAACATTAGAATCAATTTCTCAACTCTAGCTGAAGATGCAAAGCAAGAGTTTATAAGCCTGGTGAGAGAATGAACACATTTTCTTTACATTATAAATTTCTCTAGTTGAGGGTGAAAGTTTTCAGGAGGAATACCAAGTAGTTCAGTCATTTGACATCTAAAGCAGAGCTTGTCTCCTGCATATGAACAAAACCACTCATCTTGAGCTATTTCCCTAAAGGTGGGCTACTTCTTAGCCAGCTGAGATACATCAGCTACTGAAATTCTCAATCAAGGAATCCAAGACAAGAAATGACTCAGGGTCCTTCTTTATTGGTGTCAGTCCAATTTTACTTAATGCTAGACCTGTACTAATTTGCACTATAGAATTCTTTTTAAAAAAATAATTTTTATTTTTGAGACAGGGTCTTGCTGTGTTGCCAAGGCTGGGATGTGGTGACACGATCTTTGCTCACGGTAACCTCCACCTACCAGGCTCAAATGATTCTCCCACATCAGCCTCCTGAGTAGCTGGGACTACAGGTGTATGCCACCATGCCTGGCTAGTTTTTTGTATTTTTTGTGGAGATGAGGTCTTGCCATGTTGCCCAGGCTGGTCTTGAATTCTTGGACTCAAGCAATTTGCCTGCCTTGGCCTCCCAAAGTGCTGGGACTACAGGCATGAGCCACCATGCCTGGTCTGCACTATAGATTTCTGAAATTAAACTCTAGAATTAAGCAAATCTGATGCATACCATGATGATGAAGACAAATACAGAAGACAATACAATTTCTGTGTAATTCAGAAATGTGAGTGATAGATTTATTTATTCACTCATTCATTTATTCAATAAATATCCAATAAGCTTCTGGTCAGGGGGTCACTGTACAACCCTAGGGCATACCATTCATAGATATCTCCATGCTGGGGAAACAAGGGATACTTCCTGTAACAGCCCAACAGGTTATCCTTGCCTGCTGCCCAGATAAAGCCAATTTGTCAAGACAGGGGAATTGCAATAGAGAAAGAGTTTAATTCGCACAGAGCTAGCTGACTGGGTGACAGGAGTTTTATTACTCAAATCAGTATCTCCAAAAATTCAGAGGCTAGGGTTTACAAGGATAATTTGGTGGGAAGGGGAATTGGTGCTGCTGATTGTTTGGGGATGCAATCATAAGAGTGTGAAAAACAGTCCTTGCACACTGAGTCCACTTCTGGATGGGGGCCATAGGACCAGTTGAGTCAAGAGCTGTGGGTCCGGGTGGGGACATTTGCAGAAATGCAAAAGCCTGAAAAGACATCTCAAAAGGCCAGTCTTAGATTCTATAATAGTGATGTTATCTGCAGGAATAACTGGGGGAAGGTGCAAACCTTGTGACCTCCAGAATAATGGCTGGTAATCATTTATGCCTACATTTTAGCAGATTTCAGGCTCTTCTCATCTTCCTAACCTGGTAGTCTTCCATTAGTTTTGCAAATGCAGTTTAGTTTGGGGAAGGGCAGTTATTATTTAAACTATAAACTACATTTCTCCCAAAGTTAGCTTGGGCCAAGCCCAGGAATGACTAAGGGCAGTTTGGAGGTTAAAGGCAAGATGGAGATTGGTTATATCAGATCTCTTTCACTGTCATACTTTTCTCACTGTTATAATTTTTGCAAGGTGGTTTCATCCCTGCCTTCAAGGGCCTCATGGTGCAGTGTGGGAAGGGACAAGCAGTCAGGCCATGCAATACAGAATGGAAGGACCCGAGATGGCATGGTTAATAACTGTGATCCTGGGATCTCACAGGTGGGACACTTATCTCAGCCTTAGGGGATCAACAGAAGCTACCTGGGAGAGGCTGTACCTGAGAAGACTCTGAGAGAACAGACAGGACCTAGTCAGGCTAAGAAGAGGGAGAACAGTCCAGGGCGAGGATTCAGCCTGTGTAAATTCAAGAAAAAGAGGGAGACAAGGTGGGATAGCTAGAGGAAGCCATTTTACACCAGCTCAGTAGACAGAGGAAAGGAGATTTGCCAAGAAAGAAGAGGAGAGAAGGGGAAGGGCGGGGTAGGAAGGAAAGGGGAGGGAAAGGAAGGAGAGAGCAAGGGGTCAGAGAAAAGGATTTAGCCAGAGCCCAAGGCTGCCCTGGTTCTCACCCTCCGCACAGCCTAGTGATCAGATTCCCCTGAGTTTTCAGCCTGTGAGTCCTTTTCCTGCATTAGCATGGGACCACACTGTTCCTTACAATCAAAAGAATCGTAATCCTAACAGGGGCTCTTGATATTCAACAGGCTGAAATGTAAGTAGGCCTTTTCATCTTTTAGCATGTAGTAAATAAGCATGTGGTTTTGAACAGAGTAATTCCAACTTTGCCATTTTGATAGTCTGAGTACAAACCACTCCTGAGGATTGGAGGTGCAAACAGCTTGTTTTGCCACATTATTTCCCATCGCTTTACATGAAGCGATGTAAATCCCTTTTGCTACTTTGCCTTACATCTGCCCACTTGAAAAAATTCTTGCTCTGAATTCCTCCCTTCTAAGTCTTTGCTGCTTAAGAGTTGAGCACCCAACCAGTATTTTCTCTAGTCATCTCATAGTTGTTATCCCATAGAGAAAATACTGGTTGTGGATTTTTCAACAGATTTTAACCAGATTTCAACTTAACAATGCAACATATTCTAGTGGGAAAAGTGCTACAAAATAAGTTTTAAAATGACAAAGCAAGCCTTATATTTTCCCAAATATCATTTCCTTTATCTTCATAATTCCTATACTTTAAAAATCAAAATATGAAAACCTAGTTCAGTGAATAATAACTGCCTAACAACAATAACAAAAATAGCTTAACCCCATTTTGAAGAATTCATTCTTTTCTCTCCATTTTAGCACTTCCTAGTCAATCATCATCTATTAATTTTTTTCACACCACATTCAGAAACCGATAACACAGTTAGTGAACGTAAACATCTGTAGTCTACCTCTTTTACAGTTTTGTTCCTCATTTTTCTTCCCACTTCCCCTTAAGGAGGATTTTTCTCTCTTTCCTAAATGGGCTCAAACTCCTAATTCATCCTTTAAAAGCTTTTGCAGGATCTTATTTTCTCATGTACAATGCCTTTAGGGCTTTAATCCCAACACAAAGATCTTCAAAAATACAGCGGCTATTTTTGAAAGGAAAAAAGAAATTCTAAGAAGTCTGGTTGCAATTGTTAGACCGTTCTGCAAACAGTTATAACCATAAAGTAAAACAGAATAAATTTCACAGATGGTACTACTTCGTAAACATCAATGGTTCTCATTTTCTTAGCCAGACCCTCTAAATATCATCATCTTCTTCAATTATTAAAAAAAAGACAATGTACCATTGGGGTCATTCATGTCCCTTTTCTCACATCATGCCTTCTATTGTCTGCTTAATCTTTTCTTATTACCAGTGGGTTTCAGTCCATCCCACCATTCCTTTGCCTTTACACTAAATGGGTCATGACTGAGGGCTTAACATTCAGCACCCAGCAATCAAGGCCACCTCTCTTCATTCCCACTGTCAGCCATGGGTGACACTTGTCACCCTCTGGCTGAAGCCCTCCCTTCACATTCCCATGGTGTGTGAACCACATTCTGTCTCTACTTCTCCCTGGAAGTTTCAATTCTTAAAACTTGGTAATACTGAATCTTTTCTTAGTTTCCTCCCAAGTTGAATTCCTCTCTTTGGGTACATTTTTCTCTCAGAATTTAAAAAAAAAAAAAAAGAAAGAAAAGAAAACAGAAAAAACTTGTCTCATTCTTTTTGCTACCCATTCTATAAGCATATTTCTAGCTTTAAATCCATTTTATGTAGGTATGATTCCCTTCTGCCAATTTAAAATGGGCAAGACTAAAGCTAATTCTTTTTCTCCAACCTTCTTTTTGTATCTGTGAGAGGAAGAAAAAAAAAGAAGTCGGGACCCCAGTTCACTATGCCAAAGGCAAAAAATTAAGCTGAAAGCTGAGTCATACAAGAAACTGCCTTTCCTTCTCTTCCTAAGCAGATAGCTATAGATAAAAGGTTCCATATCTCCACAGGTAGCTACTCTGCCTTCATCCTATCTTATGTAAGGTGCCGATTTTCTGAGCACCAGAGGAATACGTAGTTGACTGTTCCCCTACCTGCTCCTTTTCTCTTGCAACAGGTGGATTAGCATACCCTCCCTCTTTCCCCTCCAGCCTGCTTTTCCCCTTTAAATATCGAAGCCCTCAAATTCATCTTTGGAGAAAGGCACAGACCGCCGACAGTTTCTGTGATTATGGGTTTTTTTTTTTTCTTCTGGGCATGTCCTTAACCTTGGCAAAATAAACTTCTAAATTGATTGAGATCTGTCTCAGATACTTTTTGGTTACATATCTTAAAAACATCTGAAGAAAATTTGTCCTGTTTATTCAATTTTTTATAAAAATATGCTTAATCAGTGGTTATTTCTGAGGTGTGAGAATTAGGTGGTTTTAGATAAGAATTGACAGGGGAATGGCATGCTTTTGCACTTCATTTTATATCTGTTTTTCTATTACTTGAAGTTTTTATAACAATAACATTATTTTTACAATGAAAAATCTTTCTTTTTCTGCATTTGTTTACTTGAAACAGGGTATTACCCTGTCGCCCAGGCTGAAGAGCAGTAGCATGATCATGGCTCACTGGCAGCCTCAACTTCTCCAGGCTCAGGTGGTCCTCCCACCTCAGCTTCCAGGGTACCTGGGACTAGAGGCACATGCCACCACACCCAACTGATTTTTTTTTCTTTTTTGTAGCGACGAGGGTCTCACCATGTTGTCCAGGCTGGTCATGAACTCCTGAACTCAGCAGATCCAGCCATCTTGGCCTGCCAAAGTGCTAGGATTACAGGTGTGAGCCACCGTGCCCAGTCCTTTCTTTTCCTTAAAAACACCTTTAAGTTATTCAGAAGGAAAAAAAAATTCTACCTAATGCTTTTTAAAACTCCTCTAAGATTATGATTATTAAGCTTTTTATCACTAAATAATTACTCGTTGAAAAGAAGAGAGGAACAGAGCTAGTGGGAAACTAAAGCTGGGGAAGTTTCAGGGAATTGTACCAAGCTGGTGTCCCTTGACTTGTTTTCAAGCTGTGAATGTATAACCACATTCTGTGAGCATCATGCTTTGAAGGCTGAGTATGGAGAAAGTTTACGTTATTTTGAAATAAAAATATTTAAGTAACTTTGATGCCTCTTTAGGAGCTTCTGATTCAAAACAAAAATCTGACTCAGTTTTTTTCTCTATACAATTTGATATATTCAGGGTTTTTTCAAAATCAGCACATGTTGCTGTAGTAATTAAACACACAAATATACACACGCAAATAAATACATGGAGAAGTGGAGGAAAGAGAAAGTCTCAAAGGACATACTGTAAAGTGTCAGCTTTGGCTAATGGAATTATAAGTAGTTTTTACTTTGTAGAAATACTGTATAACTTGCTACTGTGTGGGCTTTTTGCAGTTAGTATGGATTACAGAGATATACAATAAAACTCTTACTATCTCACACACAAAAAGACCTGCAGGCAAAGAGCCCTGCATCCATAACACAAGGGGCTTTCTGACAGGGGTGTCATTGCCTAGAATCAGGGTTCATTTATCTATTTTCTCCTTCCTTCTTTCCCTTAAGTTTGGCCTTGAGGAGGCACAAATGTTATTTACAGAAATACACTTTCATACAAAAACACACCACACACACACATCCCAAACAAAACTCCCATTCTTATTCTTCTGAGGTTGATAAATGTGATCAGGGTTCTTTTCGAATGCCTAACACTAAGGTGTGGTGGTGTTCATCAGGGTCCCACAGGAAGCCAGAGAGCAAAAGCCCTGATTGTTGCAATCCATACAGGACAAGCCTCCCAGGGCCAAGAGCAGCGCAGTCACCAGTGGAGAGGAAGAACAGAAAAATACCCAGCACGAGTGTGAATGTTGAAGTTACTTTAGTAGTTTTTATACAACATCGTATTCAACTATTGAAGCATATATTTTAGAACTCAGTCACAGCCATTTTATATGCCACAAATAAGTTGGCTTGGTGGGTCTAAGCTGGGGGCTAACAACCAGATTTGCAAGCCCAGAGAATGAGGGGAAAACTTCCAATCCCTGAAAATATTCTTTTCCATGACAATCTATTTAATTGTAATATTTGTGGTTAACAGGATTTCTCCAAGCCCAGGTGTACAGGTCCAGATCTATTTGCAAATATCCAGGTCTTTCCAAATTTAATTGCTATGTCTAACATTGCGATCTGAAAGCTACCCACCCCCAGTGTCACATTCCAAATTATCAGCTTTTTCTGGATTCCTATTTAAACGAGATTCTATCTGCAGAATTAAAACTTGTCCTCAGCATTTTTCACATGTGAGTTTTTTGTTTGTTTGTTTGTTTGTTTTTGAGACAGAGGTTTGCTCTTTGTTGCCCAGGCTGGAACCTCCGCCTCCCAGGTTCAAGCGATTCTCCTGTCTCAGTCTCCTGAGTAGCTGGGATTGCAGGCCCACCACCACACTCAGATAATTTTTGTATTTTTAGTAGAGACGGGGTTTCACCATGTTGGCCAGGCCGGTCTCAAACTCCTGACCTCAGGTGATCCACCCGCCTTGGCCTCCCAAAGTGCTGGGATTACAGGCATGAGCCACCATGCCCAGCCCACATGTGAATTTTTAAGTACTGGTATGTGTCTTAAGGCAGGAATTCTTTATTTTATTTTCTTACTTCATTCAAAATACTTTCCCTCTTAAAGAAATTTTTTGGGCAACTCCGTCTTATCAACCACCTTAAAATTTCTTCTGGAAAAACTCTTTCTGGCGCGTAAAGTCTTACTTCTATGAAGAGTTCTTCCTTGCGGTAGAATCATAAACAAGAAATAGTCTCAGAGGTTATCTCAACCAATGTCTTCAATTGCCTGATAAGAAAAATTCCTCATGCTTTTTTCTTGTTTTAATGATAGTGCTTAGATTTCAACAAAACTCTTCTGCTCTCATTTGTTCTCTGGTATCATTTATCTTTCAATTATTGTTTAAGATCTCCCACACCATTAATAACTTAAGATAAAAACAGAAATCTACAGAGTTTCTTTCTCTCTGAGAGCTTTTCCTGTATTCCACTCTCCGTGTTAGATGACTGATGAGCCTGGGATTCTTCCTCTTAATGTCTGGTTAGGTTTTCAGAGGAAATGTTGACTTTTGCCACGAATGGTGGCAATCTCTAATCTTCTGGGACCTCATGCTAGCACACTCTTGCCCCACCTAGAGGTGCTTTGGCCCAGAGCTTTTCTGCATCTTTGTGGTAGAGACCTCTGGGTTCCTACAGTGCAGTGGGCACATTCACAAGCAACTCCCCCAACCTCACCCCCACCTGATTCTGCTATAAAGAGGAATTATTGTCTGCATGTTAAAGGGGAAGAAACAATGACTGTGAGATCAAGTGTACTGACAGAATTTCACTAGTTGAGGCTATAGCTGGGATATAAGCCTGGGTTTTCTGACTCCAATTTATCTACATCGCTATTTTCTTTACCTATTGCTAGGCTTTTTTCTCCTCTCTTTTACACTCTACTAACCAGCCCCATCCTGTGCCACCAGAAAAGAGGTGAGTGAATAACAGGGAAGAAAGCACTGCCATTCCATCCTTGGACCATCTGGAGTTAAGAACTCCCCTCCTTAAACAATTAAGTCCTCTGTTTTTTCACTTATTGTCCCCAGAAAGAATCAATAATGTTATGTTGTTTGTTTTTTGAGATGGGTCCAACTGTTCTTCGAGACGGGGTCCAACTATGTTGCCCAGGGTGGTCTTGAACTCCCGAGCTCAAGCAATAACAACGTTAAGTTTTAACCACTTCTTCCCTTCCTGCTCGTCTGGATTGCTAATAACTGTTAATATTAATTTAATGTTAGGTTTAATGCAACATTTATCTCAGAATAACTTTCTTGCTGCGTTTTAGGGGTTTTTTCTCCCCTTCATTCAAATCAAGGTCATTTTTCTCCAATCTCAAAGCAATGTTAGAGACTGTGCCTATATGAAACTCCCTTATCACTATTTTTCTTCAGTAGAATACTTTTGAGCTGCTTTAGGGATATAGCAAAACAGAAAGAGAAGAATATATGTTCCCATGCACCCATTTATGGTAGAACCATTATACAAAAAAAGTCAGTCACAACGAAAGCATAATCCATAAAATATGAATGTTGATAAATTGGACTTCATCACAATCAAAAACTTTTGTACTTCAAAAGACCCCACTAAGTCAACAAAAAGACAAGTCGCAGGCTAGAAGAAAGTACTTGCAAATCATGTATCTAACAAAGGACCTGAATTTAGAACATATAAAGAACTCTTATAACTCGATATACAAGAAAACAAACAACACAATTTAAAAATGGACTAAACAAATATTTCACCAAGAAGATATAGGATTGTTTAACAAGCATATGAAAAGATGTTGGATGTCATTGCTCACTAGAGAAATGCAAAGTAAAACCACAATGAGTTACTACTCGATACACTAGGGTGACTAAAATAGAAAAGATGGACAATAAAGAGTGTTGGAGAGAATATGAAGCAATTGGAAAATTGCTGATGGGGATGGAAAATGGTACAGCTACTTTGGAAAATAGTTTGGTAGTTTCTGAAAAAAATAAACATAAACTCACCATACAAACCAGTAATTCCACTCTGAAGTGTCTATCCAAGAGAAATAAAATCAAGTATCTATACAAAGACTTGTAGGCAAATGTTCATTGCATGATTATTCATAAAAGCCAAACTTTATGCTAACTGAAAGGAGCCAGATGTACACATGAATACATATTGTATCTCATTTATATGAAATCTATAGAGACAGAAATTAGATTAGTGGTTTCCTGGGGCTGAGGGTGGAGTAGAGATTCACTGCAAATGGGCATGAGGCAATTCTTTGAGGCAATGAAAAAGTTGTAAAACTGGGTGGTAGTGATGGTTGCATAATTCTGCAAAAATAATACAATTGAAAACTTGAAACAGACAAATTTTATGGTGTGGAAATTAATCTCAGTTAGACAATTTCCTTAATTCAACATTGCTAAGTGCTTATCTTTAGCTTTATTGATTGGCGTTTGAACCTATGAGCCCACCTTAATTTGCTAGGCATTTACTCATTTCTGGGCAAACTAGCATCAGAGGAGAGGGTCAAAACACAGTACATTATCACCTGGTGCTATTTACCCCTGCATGAAAACTGAGCAACTTATACTCCATACAGACTTTTAAAAGTGTATGTTGATTTCCTTTAGCAGTGTACCAAATTTTGACAATGTTAGTCAATGTCTTCAAACTCTAATATCAAATAAACAAATACATTTGAAATGCTAACTCTTAAACTTTACCAGACTGGTCTTCTTGCCACTAAGAGGGCATTAACCTACTCTGGTTTCATGCTGATAGAAGGTCAAGAATGTTTGCCATCTGCCCTAACTCCGTTCAAACATCATGTGGCCTGCCTTAGAGCTGTACTATTTTAGTAACAAGAATTATCCACCTGGGAAAGAGGCCAGAGTAGCTGAAGAAACCAAACCAGAAGCTAACAGACAGAATCCCCTTGTTTGGCTTTAAGTACTTGTAATGAAATTAAACTTTCTTGTCAGACTATTTACACAAATGCCAGTTCCACACAGGTTATAACTGGACTCTGTGCTGCACAGCTTAGGCAGTTTACTCATCACCTACCAAATATGCTCTGCCATGTTAAGGTAAGAAGTTATATAACCCTTTTCTTGGCAAACATTTTAAGCAACAACAAAATAGCCATGAGCAACAGAGGAAATTAGGCTGTGATTCATTAAACAACTCCAACTTAAATGCTATGGTTTGCATGGGCTCGAGTCCTCACAAATATGAATTCCCCCTAAGTCTTGAGAGGTCATTTGTGCATTTGGAAATGGAAAGAAATCTGATAATAGATGTCTCCAAAAGTGCACCCAGTCAGCTGGCTCTTCCATTTTCCTTTGTTTTCATGATGGGCCAACCTGATTCCAGTTGGCATGCTCTGCCAGGTATAGTCATTTCTAAGGGGCCTGGAGTCACTCTATCTCCTTTAGGATATCTGAGTGTCTCTAGTATAAAACAAGATATATTGATTTGGAAGGCTAATTTATAATCAGTATGCTGAACAAGAACAATTCTTAGGATGTAATCATCAAGCAATTTTGTCTTCTGCCCCCATTGACTCTAAATTAACTCTTCAGACTAGTTCTTCTCCAGCTCCTGGAAGAAGTCTCAAACAATCTCATGCTATTTCTGGTCACTCTCTGGGAATAAAATATAACAAGTTTTGATCTCAATTCAGTAAGCAAAAATATTTGGCTTTATATAATCATTGAAACTCTAAACTCGGTTTAAGGCTAAAACACTTTCTCCCTCCCATTTGCAAGTTACCAGCAGACAGAGGAAGCGACTTAGCTTCTCACAGTCTGCTTTTGCTATCTTTATAAAATAACATAGACTGGGGGGCTTAAACAACAGAAATATATTTCTCACAATTCTAGAGGCTGGGAGTCCAAGATCAAGATGCTGGCCAATTTGGATCCCGGTAAGGGCTCTCTTCCTGGCTTACAGATGGCCACCTTCTTTCTGTGTCCTCATATGGTAGAGACAGCAAGCAAGCTCTCTGCTGTCTTTTAAGTACACTAATCCTATTAGATAAGGGCTTATGATATCATTTAACCTTAATTATTTCCATAAAAGCCTTACCTTTTAGAGATAACTCATTAGGAGTTGAGGCTTCAACATATAAATTCGGGGGGACACAATTAAGTGCATAACACTCATTTCCCTCACCTTTCATCTCCTCCTTCATTCTCTCTTGCACCCATAGTATCTGACCTTTGAAGTATGGGGAAAGAGGAGATTAAAGAAGGCAGGACCATTGATACTGTCTGGAGCTGGTGTGAGCCTTCAGCATCCTCCCCAGGCCTGGCAGGCAATAAACCCAATTCCTTTTCTTAGGGGAAATGTTTGGAAATGCTGTACTCTCTTCCTGTTCCATGCCACACCTCTTTCCTCACTCCTAAGAATTTCATGGCTGACCTCCAGCCTCTTCCTGGTGAAGCCCCTTCTCCTCTTCAGACAACCCACATGGACAGACATGAATCAACTCCACATCAGCTCTCTTTGGAATGTGGGCCATCAAGTACATCAGAAACCTTCATGCTTCCTTTTACTTTCTTCCTCTTGAATCTGAAGCTCTAGAAGAACAGGCCAATCATGATGCAGTGCCAAATTGCTTTGCTCCTGTAGTCAGAGTGTCTCTCATTTTCACACTCCCCAGGCAGGAGTCAGAATACATCCCACCCTAATGCCCAAACTGCAGAGGACACACTTCTAGCTTTCTGAGTAGTGTCCCTGAAGCTCTTCTTTTTTGACCTGAGGGAAGGAGAGACTCATTCCACTAAAATCATCCCCCCAGTTCTCTCTTCTGTAACAGATGTGACGAATTGGTCCTCAGCACCAATTCCAACCTATTTTCTTGGGTGCTTTCCTTCATTGCAAAATTGAAAACAATTATTTTCAGATTATTTTGAATTTAGGATTCTAAATGCAAATAACGTTCTGCCAATTGAAGGTACTTGAGGCCAGGCATGGTGGCTCATGCCTGTAATCCCAGCACTTTGGGAGGCCGAGCGGGTGCATCACCTGAGGTCAGGAGTTCAAGATCAGCCTGGCCAACATGATGAAACTTCGTTCCTACTAAAAATACAAAAAATTAGCCGGACGTGGTGGCGGGCGCCTATAAGCCTAGCTACTCGGTAGGCTGAGGCAGGAGAATTGCTTGAACCCGGGAGGCAGAGGTTGCAGTGAGCCAGGATAGAACCACTGCACTCCAGCTTGGGCAACAAGAGTGAAACTCTGTCTCGAGGAAAAAAAAAAAAAAAAGGGTACTTGAACAAGATTTGAAAGGCAGACAGGGTTGGAGTTGGGGAAGTGGGTGGTCTTCCCACTGCATGCAACCCAGGGGAGAAGAGAGTATTTTTCCGCATCTATGATCCAGGGTCCAGCTTTTGTTCTACCTTCAAGTAGCAGCCCCGCTTCCTTTTAACTTCTCCCCACCTCAAACATCTCAGTCACCTAAACAAAATGGATTTCCACTCCCAAATCCTAGTAAGCCACAGATTTCAGGACCTTGAGAGAAAAAATACAGTTAAATGGAAGTCTTGAGTTTTCTTTTCCTTTACTGTGTTCAAACCAAATTACGCCATTTTGTATAATTATTTCATTACCTAGAGAACAGGCCCAAATTATGCCTCACAGACTATAGGTTTTGTAGACTGATTTTACCAAGTTATTTATTTCAAATCTGTTATAGTTGCTGCCAAGGAATTTTGATGTCATACGAAGTATACTGTGGAGAGGTTTTATACTTATGTCAATAAGTGAAGCCATTTCTCTGACGCTTTTTATTAATGGAGTTTCTATGAACTTGTTCCGTTTATAGCTGGCTATGGTGATGCATAAGCTATTAAAGCAGCAAGTCACACTAGCACGCTCACACACACACACGCACACACATCATCTTCATTCACTACATCCTCCCAAGGTAACCTGGGAGGGTTACCTATATCTTCCCAATATACCTTTAATAATACACACCTCCCACACAGACCCAATACTCCAGCCAATTTTAAGACAGTTGTACATAGACAGACCTGTTGCCCACATGGCAGCCTCTGCCAATCACGAAGAACAGGAGTTTGCTTGGCAGGAGAATCAGTCACCATCTCCGAGTTCCTATGCTTATGGCTGGTATGAGTGTTCTCTTCTGCTCAGATGTGAGGATTCAATGAAAAGTGCCTGTCAAATCTATGCATTTATGTGGAAATGAGACATTGTTCTGTAATGTCAGTGTGTGTTTTGAGGACGACATTGCCTGTAAGACACTCAATTCTCATTATTTTAAGAAAGCAGTGATCTAACTAGGAGATATTTTTATGTATGCATCTTTAGATTTACACCACCTTTCTTCCTGAGGCCCACGACCACCAGCCTTATAGAAGCCACCGTCATCTCTCACTGGACTACCGCTTTGTTTCCTAACTGGTCTTCCTGCTTCCATGTGAACCCCATTACAATGTTCTCCACATCAAATATTGAACAGTCACTTAAAAATGCAAATCAGTTCCAGTCCCGACCTGGTTTATGAACCCCTCAGTGGCTTTCCACTGCACTTTAAATAAAATAGAACTTGGCGCTGGGTGTTGTCCTCCCTGTACCCCAGCCAGCCCGGCTGAGCCACGCTTCTGAGACTGCGCCAAGTTCATCCTACGCAGCCTCTGCCTTGCTCTCCTCTGCCTGAGGCATCGCCTCTCCAGGTCCTCCCTAAACTGACTCCTTCTCTTTCTTCAATTCAGTCTCCTCAGCGGGGCCTCCCCTGACCAACTACCAAAGCTAACTTCTCCTTATTCTCCTTACAGCTTCCTATTCACTTTTCTTTTAACACATATTATCTATCTATAATTATGTGTTTATTGTCTACCTCCCCTACTTGACTGAAAATTACATATGGGTGTGGACCATTGCCACTTGTATCCCAAACACCTTGTTCAAGCATCCACTGATACCCCGAGAGGTCTGGGAGCCCAGGTTCCCAACTCCTACCATACCATCGGTGTGTTATCACCTGCAAAATTTTCTTTAACATTCTTGTTAACATCATCAACATAATTTTACTGAACAATTTGCCAATACCCTAAAATTTGTTAACTTTTCCAATAAAAATCTAATAAGAAAAGCTTTTAAGTCAGCAACAAGGAAGCCAGGATGTAGAAAACAGCCAGCTTTGACAGAAGAGTGTGGCTTAGGTGAGCATTTCATCAGTTTGAAGGTGCTATAGCCGATTTTTGTGGTAAGCTGAAGATCAGAGTGCAGTTCCACAGGACAGGATGCAAAAGCATGACTCTGCTGTCTCAACTCAGATGTTTTTACAATGACCTCATCATTTTATTTGAAACAATGAGAATTCCAGGATCATTGGAACATCCGTACTCAAAAATCATAAAGAAAATATGTTAACCTTTTCTTCAACTCTTCATGTCAATGTCTCCTTCCATTCGTATACATAACCAGTATGATTTATTGTAACACATAAATAAACTATTAAAATAACCAGTTTAAATTTTCTTAGTTTTTAACAATAAAATTATTTATACATTAGTGAAGATTTAGTCAAAGTCACAGCTAAAAATTATTGTGATTTTATGGAGACATATTTGAAATATAGAAAATTAGACATGAAGCTATTAAAAGACATATTTTACAATGGCTACATAGTTACACAGCTTTGGGGGAAAAACCAGATATGTTTATCACCAATAAAAAAAACAGAAGGCTAATTAAGACAAGAGCCTATTGTGAATCTCATTTAACTAATCAATTGAATTGACACGTTTATTGAGCTTCTACTATGACCTTAGGAAGTGTAAGACATGGTTCCAGCTCACAAGAAGCTTAAGTTCAGGGGGGAAAAGGGAGCACAGCGGCTATTATATTGTACATTTATTACATTAGTAAGTGTCTTCTTACATTTATGAGGTGCTTACCAGTTCCAAGTTCTCTGCTAAGACTTTTTGCATGCACTATTTCATTTTATTCTCACAACAGCATCATGGACTTTAACTACATAGCAATTTAACTTTTAAGACAACTAAGGCTCAGAGCAATTCATTGGCTGTCTACTGACATACAGCTAGTGAGTGGCTGAGTTAGAATTCCACCCAGATCTGCCTGATTCAAAGGTTCAGAGCTCTTTCTACCATCAAAAATGTGCTGTGGTGAGGCTTTCCCCAGGTAGGAATGCAAAAATAAGACCAGATAATAAAATGAAAATGTGAACTTCATGAGGGCTAGACCATGTTCATTTTGTTTCTCATTTTATTTCCCAAACCCAGGACAGTACCTGCACTGATTAGTATTTTTTGAATGAATGGCATCTGACAATTAAGCTTTGAAAGCAACAGATTTTAACTCAGAGCAGAGAGGCACTGAGGGGAGCTGAAAAAGACAACTCCCAGTTATATAAAATCTGGGAGAGCTGACTGAACATATTGTCATATTAGAATAAAGATTTAAAGCAGTCTTCAGAGAGGCTGGTTAGCCTTGAAAACATAGAAAAGGAGAGTGAAACTATAGAGGTGAAAGCTGATCTTTTTACATCCAGTTTATTTTTCCCAAATTTACCAAGGAGAGAAGCTACTGCGTCTTCCTGGGGGCTGAAAGAGAAGAATTGAGTGAAAGGGGAAGAGGAAGAAAGGCCAGGCCATTATAGCAACTGATCTTCACCCACAAAGAGGGAAGCAGCAGGCAGGAAAGAAGCACCCCCATGTAAACTAGGCAATAAAGCCCCATGAGTGTGACAGGACTATCTGAGAGTTGGGACACCCAGGAGATCAACCAAGGAGAACTCAAGGCAATGGGTTGGAATGTTATAGGACTTTAGTTGGAGAGATGCATGAACAGAATAGCACAGACTAGAACATAGAAAAATGAAACCGTGTGTGTGTGTGTGTGTGTGTGTGTGAGAGAGAGAGAGAGAGAGAGAGACAGGGAGAGACACAGAGAGAGAGAGAGAGATCTGTTAGGGTGACCTAAGCATTGACACTGTGGAGCCAATTTCCCTTGGTTTGTACTTCTAATAAATTGTCTCACCCTACCCCCACCACTGCCCACCCCCTCACCAGTAATTGTATATTTTTCATCATACATGAAAAGAATCAGCATTCTGGTTTGTATATATCAGTCTCTGTGGCCTTGGTTAACATACATAATCCCCAAGCAGAGAGACCCTTCATCTGTATATAGGACAAATAAAGTCCTATGTCTGGATGGCTGACACAATACCTTGAACCCTTGTGAATTCCTACAGGATAAATGCCACTTGGAATGGCCTCCTGACAGCCAACCAGTGCTCTCCTGTGCTACAGTATACCCCCCTGTACTACAGTGGGGCCAATGTTTCCTTCTGAACTGACATTATCAAAGAGTACATAACCGCAAGAAAATACATTTCAGTCCTAAGAAGAGATCATCAACTGCACAAATACAACACAGAGGTTATGGTACAGTGTATGATGGGGAGTGGGGAGGGAGGAAAGAGAGGAGAAGAACTGATATGCATTCGATTTCTAGCTTGTTTTTAAGAAGTCTTACATACTTACCTTACACAGACAATAACCAGAGAACTAGAGGCTTGGTAAGCGTAAGTCAATTGACCAGAAGTCACTCAACTAGTAACTCTCAGGGATTTCAAACCCAACTAGTAACTCTCAGAGATTTTTAAACTCTCAGGTATCCAAATGCAGGCCTGTCTAGTTCAAGGGTAATAATAACAACGAGTACATAATTAGTATAAAAATAAATGGAAAAGACCCTTGTAGTAAGACTTATAAATTAGAATGCACAGTTACCTAAGAGACACTGCTCTCTCTCTAGTTCTTTTTAAAATATTCAATAGAAGACCAGGTGCAGTGGCTCACACCTGTAATCCCAGCACTTTGGGAGGCCGAGGCAGGTGGATCATCTGAGGTCAGGAGTTCAAAACCAAACTGACCAACATGGTGAAACCCGGTCTCTACTAAAAATACAAAAATTAGCCAGGCAAGGTGGCACGCGCCTGTAATCCCAGCTCCTTGGGAGGCTGAGGTAAGAGAATCACTTGAACCTGGGAGACGGAAGTTGCAGTGAGCCAAGATTGCGCCACTGCACTCCAGTCTGGGCCACAGAGTGAGACTCCATCTCAAAAAAATAAATAAATAAAAAATAGAAGAATACTCAATAGAAGTATGCTGTTTGGACTTCATTTTTGTGAAGGCAAAGAAAAATAAGTGAAACGAGAAACTATATAAAAACAAACTGTGGCATCTAATTCCTCCCCCTGCCCCTGTTCCATCCACGGAGTGTGTTTGCGCAACCGGTATATAGAAATGTTCGGAGAAGTGATGGAAACTTTATAGTAATTTATATGAATTGGTTTTTCACTTGTGGATTTTATAAGCAGATTAAATTCCACATTCAAATCGCTGCACTGCAACTTATTAAATATTCACTTTTCAAAATAAGTTGATGCATTATTTACAGCAGAGCAGATTCAATATTTAAATTGTTTTCTCAAAGAGTTCCTGACTAGAGCATGTAACCAGCACCTTCCTCCCGGACCAGGCGATGAGATGAAATGAGTCTTATTTGGTGCAAATCCTAAGAACAAAGGCCTAACCTGAACTGGAAAGCCAGCTTTGGTTAATGCCAAATTCCAGGCTGCATCCACTTCTGGACCTCTGACTTGCCTTCTTCTTGGCCTCACACAGCATCTTGTCCCTCATCAGCGTTTCTCTCACTAAAGGCATCTGGCTTCTTGGGGTGGAATCATCTGGGATGAGTTTTCAAAATGCATTGGCATTGAAAACAATGGTTTTTAAACCTCAGGGTTGAGAATCACTGCTCTAACCAAGGTAGTGCCTAGTAAGAAAGCCTTCTTAAGCCTTATCCTAGACTCAGAGTTCAGACTTTGTCTTGTGAGCTCTGGGAGACACCAAAAGGGTTAAAGCAGAGAAAGGACATGTTCACATTTTGCACTTTAAGAGTAGTGTAGCTGCAATGTGGAGAATAGAACACTCGGGAAAAGGAGACCAGGTGAGGCAGTGGTCTAGGCGAGAGAGGACGTGGACCCAAGGTAGAGCAGTGGCCATGGAAGGATTTGAGAGGCACTTAGGAAAGATAATCGATGGAGCCCAGAGCCTCATTGCATGGAGGGTGGGGAGGTCAGCAGGTGACAGAGAGGAAGAAAATAAAGAAGAACTTGCTGTGTTTAGGGTGGAATGTGCTAACATGAACGCTACTTGTTATTGCGAGACTCAGATTATAACCTCAATATTCTGATACCTAAGGTTTTACAAATATACTCTGTTTTCCTAAAATCAATTAAGTGGTTGAGTTTTGATTTATTTTATAGTTAACAAAAGGACATTCTTTGAAGTTCTTTTTGGTATGGGGTGCTAAATAATATAGAGTAAATTAAAACAATGTATCTAGGATCCTAGTAAAGTTATTTCTCTTTAGCTTCTCTGAGAAGCTGGGCAATGAACCAAAGCCTGGGCTTTCATTCCGTAGCACTGAAAATACTCAAGTCTCCTAACCTCAAATTTGGAAGTAAGCTCTGTCTTTTTAAATCACTGGCAAGTCACCTCCTCCTTTTCCTCTCTATCTCACTCCCTCTATCCTAGATTTTTCAGGCTTTATTTGGAGATTGTGAGTCCACAGATGGGTGCTGTCTAACTGGAACTGGAGAAATTTACAGACGACAGAATGTAGCAATAGTTGTAGGACAAGAGGCAAAAATCTGATCTTCTGATCTCTTTATTTTTCAGTTGTTGTCTGTATAGTTGCAGTGTTCTTTTTTCCTAATCATAAAATAATTACAATGTATTATTATTAGGAATTCAAACAATTCAGGAAAGTATGATACAGAAAGTGAAAATACCCTGACACCTCAACCTCAGGAACATCCATGTTAACAGTTTGGTGTATACCCTTCCAGATTCCTGCAGTAACATAGGATTAAGGTGAGGAATTAGGCAGGCACCGAGCAGGAGGTCAGGGCTCCAGGCAGATGGAGAGCACGTGTTCTTAAGAGAATGCATGACACATCAGGGAAGCTGGAGGTTCCCTATGGCGCTGGTATCCGAAGTGTGAGGTGGGCGTGGCGAGATGCAAGGAATGGAGGTTGGCAAGGACCCTTTAGAATGTGTGTGCACACGTGTACACCTTTTAAGAATATCAGATCATACTATGCATTGTCTTCTAAAACTTGTTTTTCTACATGGAAATCTTCCCACATCAGTGCATTTAGGTATAATTCACCCTTTAAAAAAGGGATATATAGTACTCTATTATTTGGATGGACAAAGTTTTTTTAACTAACCCACTACCAATGTGAGTAACTTCTAGTTTTTGCTATTAAGAGCAAATCAACATTATTAAGTAAATGCCCACAGAAGAATATCTCAAGGCTGAACTTCCAGGATTGATATTGCTAGGTCAATGGCTATGCCTATTTAAAATTTTATATTACCTACTGTATATAGGATTGGCTAATTCCTTACACCCTTACCAGCACTGGATGCCATTTATTTATTTGTTGTCACTCTTATGGGCAAAAAACAAAAGGTCATTTTAAATGTTATTTTAATGACCATTGCAGTTGAACACCTTTTCATATCTTTCTTGCCTACAGGTATTTATTCTGTGAATTACTAGTCCATGCCTTTTCTATCTGATCATTTTATTTTATTTATTTATTTAATTTATTTTGGGACAGAGTCTCACTCTGTCACCCAGGCTAGAGTGCAGTGGCACAATCTTGACTCACTGCAACCTCCGCCTTCTGGGTTCAAGTGATTCTCCAGCTCAGCCTCCCAAGTAGCTGGGATTACAGGCACAGGCTACCACACCTGGCTAATTTTTGTATTTTTGTAGAGATGGGGTTTCACCATGTTGGCCAGGCTGGTCTCGAACTCCTGACCTCAAGTGATCTGCCTGCCTCTGCCTCCCAAAGTGCTGGGATTACAGGCGTCGGCCACCGCACCCAGCCTATATCTTGATTATTTTAGATCAGCCACGCAGAGAGGTGGTTGATCTAAAGTAATCAGATATAATAGGCTACTGTAGAGTTCATTAGTTTTTGTTTTTTGTTTTTTGGTGGCACTAGGACCTACCAGGCCATGCCTTAGTCCAGGTGCTGGGGCTTGCCCATGGTGCTCTTCATGTATAAAGCCTGGGCATTCTGCCAATTCACCTTGAGCAGTGACACCAGGAAGCTAACATCCAGAAGGATGTTGTACACAAGCTCATCGTCTGTCATCTTCACATGGCATTGGTCATGGCCAGACACAGCACCTCCGTCAGGAAGTTGATTGTGGACTTCACCTCATCAACTCTGGCCACGATGTTTTCATTGTGCATGAACAGGGAAGGGAATTTGCCAGCTTTATTCAGGCTGGGGCTGAGGATGTGTTTGATCAGAGTCATCATACTTTATGGCCAACTTCTTGATGAGCTTCTTATTCTGGTTGAGTTTCTTCAGCACCCCAAAGCTCACATGGTGATAGCCACAGCCTTGGCTTTATCAAAGTGTTGTTGGTCCCCAGCATACACACAGAGAGCTTGGGGCGGAGAGTGGACTAAAGTTTGCAGGGGGAGCACTTGTCCTTCTGAGTTCATCGTTCTTCAAGGTGATCTTCGGCTATACCCGAAAGTGTCCAGTGCTTGCACTGGTTCCTCTGTGGGACGCCTAGTACAGAGTATCTCGAGAGGTTTTGATGCTCTTGGTGCCTCATGCCACAGAAACAAGAAATGAGCATTACTGTAGAGTCTTGCACCTTCATTTAACTAACTGGTGAAACAATGAAAGTCACTGACCTTCAGTATCTTGGAGTCATGTGTGCCTTTAGGTTTTTACTGAAATTGCAGGACACTAAACTTCTTTTATAACTAGCCGTGTTTGTTCTTGGCTTTTTCTATTGGCCTCTACCACTGTGTCTACGGACCTCAAAACTTCTGATTTCTACCAATAAATTTAATATTTTTGAGAAGGACATTTAAAATGCTTCTCAAGATCACTTTGCGAATCACACCTTCACTTTCCATTTATGGATTTATAGTTTTCTGGGAAGAGGACACATCTTTTCCTTTGAATATGGCCTGGTCTGTCTTCCTATTTAGATTCACAGTTCTCCATCAGCAACCAGCCTTGATCTTGTGCCGTTAGGAATCCAAATTAGTTCACATGTCTGTTCCAACTAGTGCTGGAGTGAAACTCACACCAGGTTTTCCCCCAACATTCTTTATACTTAGTCTGTAACTGGACAAATTGAAATAAATAAGTTCTCCTAGAAATTGTGGCACAGACTTCTTTCTACACAGTCAAGGGTGGGGAAAAAAACACAGCAAAGAATTTTAAATACAGATGTTAAGAGCCATTGGAATCATAGATTGAGGAATGTTTAGGTCTTAGCATCACAGAATTTGGAGTGAAAATGCCCTTTTGATGAGACACAAATCAACTTCCTCATTTTGTGGGTGAGACCAAGACAAGTCAGACAGCTGCTCAGCTTGCCCAGCCAGCAAGTGACAAGGCCGAAATGCAGCTTTCCTGACTACTGGGCCACAGTCTTTCTTCTTCTAGGCTGCCTCCTTTCCTAATCTAGTTGAAAGAAGACATTTACTTAGAAGATTAATATCCCAGAAGTCACTTTGCTTGTCACCTATCACAAAGGAGGAACTGAGTCTCAAGGAGATGAAGTGACTCGCTGAGGGTCACAGGGCTAGCAGGCGCACGCCCATCCCAGGGCACAGGTTGCGCTGCTTCTCATTGCCAACGAGGGCTCTACCAAGTAACTCTGGCATTTTCTGCCAGGGATGGTCAGAGTCCTCGGAGCAGGTGGAAACATTCCTAAAGTCTCACACTCTAGTGGCTGCTCTCAGAAATCCTAAGAGGCCCCCTTCTTTCAATACTCTGAGAAAACAGTCTGTCCTTTAAGACAGTCTAACCCTGCACCTTGTGTCTTATTAAAAATAAATCCTCATGATTCTCCTGGGTTTGTGACTTGTGTAATAGTGCATGTGTTCAGAGTAGTTGTATTTTATTTTCTTGCAGTAAAATGTGTCACTGTTTTCCTCCTAAGTTGGGTTCTTTTGTTTTTAAGGAATACTGCTGTAAGTGAGCTTGAGACCAGAGGGTTTTATTGTAGGAACTGAGATAGTATTGGGGACTGAGGTCACCTGAGAAACTGGTCAGCTCTGGGGACCCAGTACTGTCTCCATCGCTTTCTCACGGCTTCTTCTTCCTCGTGCTTCCGCTCAGATCTCCTCTCTACCGCCTGGCTTATCCTGCTTATTAGAGGTTTCTGAACCTCCCTAACTGTGAGTTACTCATAGGTTTTGCTTGCTATGTCCCTGACTTTCCTTCCCTCAGGGCATCTCTAAGGATATAGGAAAAAAACAAACTCTGTTTCTCTCACTATGCTCTCACAACATACAACGCTTCTGCGACCAAATGTGTGGGTGTATTGTCTCAACACCAAGCAAGCAATAAGTTCTGCAGCAGATACCAGCTGGGTGTCCTCTAAATCAATTCAGTTCTGACACTGTCTACCCGGAGATGGCGTCAGGTCCCACAGGTCGAGGGCTCAGTCCCACAACACTGTCCCCCACTTCCAATGACAATCACAAGCTCCAGGTTGTTTTACCTGTGCTCTGACCAGTCAGCTATAAATCAGGGGTCCCATGGCCCCCTCCTTAGTTTTGATTAATTTGCTAGAGTGGCTTACAGAACTCAGGGAAACACTTAGGTTTACTGGTTTATCCTGAAAGGTGTTACAAAAGATATAGATAAAAGCCAGATGAAAAAGAGGCATAGGGTGAAGTACGTGGGAAGAGGCAAGGAGCTTCCAAGCCCTCCCCAGGCGAGCCGCCCTCCAGGAACCTCCCCCTGTTCAGCTATCTGGAAGTTCCATGAACCCAGTACTTTCGGGTTTTAGGAAAACTTCATTTAGGCATGATTGACTAAATCACTGGCCATTGATGATCAACTTAACCTTCAGCCTCCCCCAAGTTTAGAGAATGGGGCTGAACGTTCCAACTCTATAATCCCCCCTTGGTCTTTTATGGGATCAACCCCCATCCTGAGGCAACCTAGGGCTGCCAGCCACCAGTCATCTCATTTGCATACAAAAGATACTCTTATCACTTTGGAGATTTCAAGGATTTTAGGAGCTGTATGACAGAAAATGAGACAAAGACCAAATATATACTTTATAATATCACAGCATCCTTGCAGTTTCTGTTCTTGTTGCTGTGGGCTCATTCCTTCTGTGTTTCCTAGTTTTAGGAAAGACAGAGAACATGATTGGCTCAGCTCATCTTTTTTGCACTAGGACATAGCTCATAGTTACTGTCCAGCCTATGGGAATGGCTGCCCTTTGGTCAGGTGACTACCCTTGCACCAATCAGATATGGGCAAAGAGGGGTTTCATCACATGGCAAATTACCTGGCAAATTAAACATCTGTTGGTGGGGCAATTTTTTTAGAAGTGGGAGAGGAATTGTAAGCATGTCTAATGCATCTGCTTTTTTTTTTTTTAATTAAGCTTCAAGTGCCGTGGAACTGAATCTGCTAATTGGCATCTTTTGTAAATTTCTTAGGAATTACAAAAAAAAATTGTTATTCAGGAACTCCTTCAACTGTCTAACAGTGAGTCATGGCAATGCTATAATTTCCCGTCCGTGAACTGCTTGGCTATTTTCCAAGTACTCCTATTGGGTTCCACTCCCCTGAGGCTGAAATTTCAGTGTGCCATTGGCAGAGAATGAGCCCTTATGCCCCGGCCTCTGAGCTTTGTCCTGAGAAGGTCTTATGATCTCTATATTCCTGACCTGGCCCATTCCTTTATGACACCTTTAATGAATAGAGGTGAATCTGCAACACTGAACATAAACCTTATGCTCACATGCAAACCTATGCTATGGCCCATATGATAGAAATTAGTTGATTTAGGAGCTTGGGTAGACATGCAGGAAAAAGGAGTTAACCTTTACTGAGCACCTACCATGAACCTGATGTGTATAGAGAATTTGGTGTATAGATGAGGAACCTGATGTTCAGAGAAGGTGAGACACCTGCCCAACAACACACAGCAAGCAGGTAGTAGAGCTAGAATTTAACCCAGATCTCTCTAATTCCAAATCACACTCTTTGCATCATATGTTGAAGTTGGTGGTTGAGAAGGGGTTAGAGGGAGATATTCCAGATGAAGAAAATGGAGACCATTACAGGTAAATATGTGGAGGTGGGTAAACAGAAAGTGGTGTGGGCACTGGAGTGACAGATTTCTGTTGGAATAGAGGGAGATTAAATGTCAGAGGCAGCCAGATTCTTGCACAATATAAAGGCCAGGCCAGGGCGTAACTGACATTTTTGGAGGCCTTGGGGAGTCACTGAAGGCAAGGCAAGGCATGACGTCTCCAAGGCAGCTGTTCAGATTAGAAGGATTAGCCTGGAGACAGGTGTCAGATGGATTGGGATAGGAAGAGACTCGAGGTGATTTAGGCACGCATAACTGTGGAGGGCCCCTGTAATCTCAGGGAATGTTTCACAGCTGGCTTCATTTTATTAAGCAAGGACCCTTTTTAGTCCCTCTCCCTCCTCATCTCTGTAATAGTCACGAGCTTAAAATTGCCTGTCCTCCACAGAAACTAAGTTTGCTGTACAGCATCACGTTTGATGAAGAGAAATTCTGTCAATTTTTTTGTAATAATTTCTATCTGAAGCCTCCGAATGCTGTGTTTTTGATTTTTAAAAACAGAACTACTCCAAAGGGTAGCGAGTACTGGGAAGCCGAGGCTGTGGTCTAAATTTCCCCTGAAAGTCTTAACCACGGGTGAGATTTTGTATGTGTATCAATCATACCATTTCCATCCTCATTCTCTGTTCCTGTCACTCCAAGTGTGAGAAGAGATAGATGATTAAGATAAAGTCCAGTTCCTAGGACTTTACCTTCTATTTCTCCTTTTTCTTTTCCAAAGTAAAATCACCATGAAATTACAAGACGTTGCAGGCAATTTGGCTAAGGTACTTGTGGATTTGCTTTGGGAAGAGTAAAAATCAGCAAATGCTTTCTTCCCCGCATTTTGCAGCTATTGAGGGTATTTATATAATTTGGGCATGGCTAACATAAAGAGTATTGGTGCTGAAACATATCTTTCCTTTACCAGAGATTAAGTATCAAGTTTGGCGATGAATTAGTTTGTCAGTTTTATTGGTGAAAAAACTGAAGTGGAGTTTAACCCCTGGACTCTGCGGGGCTCAGTAATCATGTAGGTGGAAATCCAGTGGATAAAAATGGCAGCAGGATCGTGGCACACCTGTAGTCCCGCCTACTTGGGAGGCTGAGGAGGAAGAATTGTTTGAGTCCAGGAGTTCGAGACCAGCCTGGGCAACGTAGCAAGACCCCCACCTCTACAAAAAATGTTAAAAAAAATCAGCCGGACATGGTGGCAGGTGCCTATAGTCCCAGCTACACAGGCAGCTGAGGCGGGCAGATCTCTTGAGCCCAGGAGTTTGAGTACAGCCTGGGCAACAGAGTACTTCTCTCTAACAAGAAAGAAAAATGGCAACAGGTTGATCTGTGTTTTCCTTTTGCCCTAGGCTAAATTTGGAGCCCCTCTTCCTTGACACACTTGAGGTAATAAAATTCACAGCTTTGACAAAACCACTGGAAGAGGTCCTTCAAGCAAAAGTTAAACTTGTGGTCTCCCCACCCAAGGAAACAGCAATACAACCAAAGCAGAAGCCTTAATTGGCTGCCCTCAATGTGGAGGGTATTGTGCTAGGAGAGAACTTAAATAACTTTTCCTTAAGAGTGTAGTGTCAGATAAATTGTTTACTATAATAGGAACAGTCTTCACTGAAGCAGAGGTGAGTTATTCTATTTAATAATTCCAAGAGCACACTCTTTACCCAGTGCTTTCTCTGCTGAGTCTGAAAAATCAACTCACTGCATTCTTTAGTGCTTAAAGCACAGGTCATTAGACTCACTACACCCAGGGACTCAATGAAATGGCTACCATTTTCAGGGGACTGTGAAGATGTCAAGATGTGAAAGCAACCTCTGGCTACCAAATCAAGGGGCTTTGCTGTGAGGCCTGGGTCAGGCCAGATGCTGGGTGATTCTCAAACCAACACCTTCGAATGGTCTACTGGTTAGGATCACCATGTCCCCTCATGGTCCCATCACAGCTGGATTGGGCGGACCTATGGGGTACTAGAGTTGTAGGTAGGAATGGTGAGAAATCGTTCAAACAGAATGGAATTGGTCAAGGCCAGATTTGTGCACAGTCCTATTTGGTATCCAGTTCAAATCCAAGGAGGTCATCATGGTGGGGTCTCGTCTATATATTTGCACCTCTGGGAATTTGGGGGAGCTAAGGCAGACTGTCCATAATAGAACTAATGACTATTGGTGTTTAAAGTCCTTGGGAAAAAATAGTGGGAACTTTGGGATTCTTGAACAAAGAAAGGAGGCGTGGCCTGTGTCAACTACTCAGAAGGAAGGAGTGCCCCAAGCAGGCAGAGAATTCATCTTCTGAGGTGAAGGAGGGACATAGTTCATATTCCCCATATTGAGACACCTTTTTTTCCTAGTCAAGGGATGCTTTTGTGTATGACAAAGAGCTGTCTTTCTGCCCAGGGCACTTGTAGATTCCTACATTGAGGTTGTCTCAAGGGGCCTTAAAAGTCTGTGGTCACTTAAGGGTCAGACAATTGAAAGTTACCTGAAGGAATTGTATTTGCTTGGGGTGGGGCTGAGATCCAATACCTTTAGTTTTGACAGGAACAGAGCAGATCAGGGACTGCAGGAGAACTGAGGACAGGAGGAAAGAATGACAGCAATTGTTGAGAAATGGAACACCCCAGAAGCAGCGGCCAAAACTCTAGGGAGATAGCAAGGATCGCTGGGGAATGCACGGGACTGGGGGTTTGGAGTTACAGTAACACAACTGTGTGAGAACTTGAAGCCAAATGTCTCTGTGCCCATCACCCAAGCTGTGAATATCGCCAAGGCATGTGTAGCCTGAAAAACCAAGGGTTTCTCTCAAAACTTTGTCAAATATTGGCTACTTTAAAAATGTTACCATTTTCATCAGTTTTGTGATGTGAAAGGCTTGGGAAGGTGGATTCATGCCAGGGATTCATGTGGACAGTTTGCCAGCTGCTGGGGGTGAGGAACAGAGAAGGGACCCCAAGATTAGCTCTTGGGGCAAGACTTGTCCCTCTATGTTAAGAGATGACCTACATACAGGACACAAGTAAGAGGAGATTATCTGACTTGGTGTCCTGTGATATTCTCTGAAAGTTTGTCTGATGTGGCAGATAGCACCAAGATGACAGACATTCTCACCTTCCTCAGGTCAGGTGAGGATCTGAAAATACTAAGTTGCTGAGAATGTCCTCTTTAGTTACCTCTTCATATCTGGGGAAGGGGAAGTCCTGATTTGGTTAAACCAGTCATCTTGCCCTGTAGCCCCTGTGAACAGAGATCAGTCAAGAACCGGAACTGACCATGTAGGAGGTGACTCCATTGATATTTGTACAGCCATTTACAATAAGCATGTATTAATTACGTATTTCTCCGTAACAAGTTACCCCCCAAATTTTGCAGCTTAAATCCACAATAAACATTTATCTCATATAGTCCCTATAAGTCAAGATTTCAGGAGTGGCTTAACTGGCTCTCTTGAAGTTGCAGTCAAGAAATCGCCAGGACTGCAGTCATCTGAAAGCTTGACTGGGGCTGGAGAATCAGTCTACAAGATGGCTCACTTGGATGATCACCTCATGCTGGCAAGAAGCCCAGCTCCTCACCATCTGGACTTCTCCATAGGGCTGCTGAAGTGTCCTCACAACATGGTGTCTGGTGTCTGGCTCTCCCCAGATCAAGTGATCCAAAAGAGAGCAAGACAGAAGCCTCAGTAATTTTTGCAACCTAGTCTCAGAAGTCACACTCAGGCAATTCTCCAATATCTTATTGGTCACATAGATCAGTCCTATTCAGTGTAGGAGGGGACTATATACAAGGGCATGAATACCAGGAGGTCAGAGTCACTGGGCCCACCTCGGAGACTGGCCACCAAAAATAGCCACTACCTATCAAGAGCTTACTGTGAGACAGGCACCTTGCCAATAACCTTACATACAGTAATCCTTCAGAGTTATTGTTTTCTTACTCTCCTCATTTCTACAGATGAGGACACTGAAGCCTAGAGAGGGTACATGACTTCCCAAGGATTTTCCATGCTGAGCTTGCCTTTGGTTTGCACCTCTAAGGAATAAAGTTCAGGTCATATTTTCATTCAGCACACAGACATTGAGTGTCTACTATGAGACAAGCACCGTGTTAGGCTCAAGAATATGAGTAACAGCCAGACCCAAGCCCTGAGGTATGTGAAAAAGTTACAGGCACAAAAATGGCCCTGTGTTTAAGGTATAATCTGGCTCTACAGAGGAAGTCGCCAATTATTTGAGGATAGGAATAGGTCAGAAAAGTCTTATTGTATGGGTGGTACTTGAGGTAAGTCTTAAGGGGTCAGGAACATTCTCAAGTGGGAATGTGCCAGAACTTCAGGCCTGGAGTAGGAGCGGGGAGTTCTGAGTGATTCCTACAGAGCACGTGGGAATCTCCCATCTTCATCTTCTAGCTTTTGGTCTGTGTTTGGTGAAGCCAGATGACACTTTATCGTATGGCCAGCCTAATGGAGCTGGGGGTAGGTGTGGGTGGGGCTAGAACCAGGAGACTCAGGTTTTATGTGCTGTTTTCCCATCCACCCCCTGTATGATCTCTGGCAAATTCTTAGCTTACCTATGCTTTGGTTCTGGCTTCTGTTAAATGAGAATAAAACAATCTTTCCTCACATTGCGGAGGGGGAGGAGCTGGAAGCATGGTTGTGACGATGTCAAATGCAACTGAAAAATTTAAAGCTCTCCTTTCTACATGATCTGAAGTCAGAGCTACTTCCACTGCAACACACTTCTTCTCTGCCACCCCACTCTGCCTGCACCGTACAGACACAGAAGGGCTATAACTTAAAATTTTGTTTTCAGTTACTTTTAGCCAAGGGAAAAGAGTCAACAGCTCCTGAGGATGTTTGGTACACTAGGCTCCCTCTGAAAAAATGTGCAAGCACTTCAGTTGTCCATCTAAAATTGTTACTGAAAAAGTTGGGTGATGGGAGAAGAGAAAGAAGTCTGCTGTTTGCAACTGTGCCATCGTCATCTGTGCTTTGTGCAGCTCTTTCAGGACAACTATCAGGTGGATGACACTACGATTCTTACAGTTGCCATGCATTTCGTTCTCTGAGAAGTCAAGCACATTCTTTTTTTTTTTGATGCAATAATGCTGCAACTTATTATTTTTATTGCAGAAGCAACTAAGCAATATTTTTCCTGTGAACAGCACTCTCATGTATATGTAAACCACAGTCTGCAGTTCCTCAAAAAAAAAAAAAAAGAAAGGGATGCTGAATATTCTTACTCTCAACTGTATGCATATAGGGTACAATTCAATGTAGAAGTCACCACTGCCTTCCTATGCATACCCTGGGCCCCCATCCTCACCATCATCGGCATAGGTGAGCAACTAGATATTTTGGCCAAGCAAAAAAATCTCCCGGAAGTATTGATCATTTCATATATGCGTGAATCTGCTGATACTGTTCATATGAATAATACACACAGAATATTGATCTCCCAAGAGTCATTTTCATTTCATTTTGCTCTTTTCCTTCTCTTGCCTGAAACCTTGGAAAGCTAACCCCACACACTCCTTTATGCTCTTCCTTATCACTTCCCTGAGCCCCTTTCATCTGCACAAGAGCATCAGACAAAATATTGTGACCTGTGCACAACCTCAAAGTGTACTGGCACATCTGTTCCAGTATCTATTGATTTCTAAAGTCATTTTCTCTCTTCTCATCAAGAAAACCCAGACAATTCTGGGGTGGAATTTGGTAATCCTGGATTGAGAAGTGAAGATCACCTTGTTCTATGGAAAGTGAAAGAGGAATTGAAGCAAGGAAGCTAAAGTTCTTCATGTAGTTCCAGAATATCGACTTTCTCCTCTCCTCTTGAGCTTTTCAATTGCCACCAATAGTCAAGGCCTTGTTGCCTGGTGCATTTTTTAAATTATGGCTTTCAATATTTTATTGTGGTTAGAAGAAGATGGGCAAGTATTAAAAGCCCATCGTATTCTTCAAAGACTACTTGTTTTGCTCTTTAATTAACATACAGTAAAATCATTTTCTTGGTGTACAGTTTTATGAGTTTTAATGCATGTATGGATTCATGTAACCACCACCACAATCAGGATATGTAACCGTTTCATCATCCCCCAAAACTCTCATGCTGCCTTCTGTAGTCACACTCTCCCCCACCGAAAACTTGTAACCACTGATCTGTTCTCTTTATTGTTTTGCCTTTTCCAGAAAGTCATGTAAATGACACTTGCCAATTATGTATTGGCATCAGCCAGTATGCAGCTTCTGAGACAGCCTTATTTTCCTCAGTATCACACCTTTCAGATTCATCCATGTTGTTGCATTTATCAATAACTAGTTCTTTTTTATTGATTACTAGGATTCAATTGTTCTCGTGCATATTGAACTCAGCAGCGGTTTTCAGTATAATACAGACCCCATGGGTCCCAGGAAGAAAGGCCGGTTGGGTAACCAAGCGAGGAAGTAGCTAAGGTTCATTCTTCAAATTCTACGGTTACTTGTCATAATCATGTTGGGTGATCATCTGGAGATGAAGAGGCACAGCGGTTTTTATTCAAGAGCAAAAGAAGCCAAGAGAAAGCCGAGGCCCAATCACCTCAGGCTTTCAATAGACCCCTTCCCCCGTGCGGCATCTGCGAGTTCTTTTTTTATTTTGTTTTGTTTTGTTTTGTTTTGTTTTTGAGACGGAGTCTCGGACTGTCGCCCAGGATGGAGTGCAATGGTGTGATCTCAGCTCACTGCAACCTCCGCTTCCCAGGTTCAAGCGATTCCCCTGCCTCAGCCTCCTGAGTAGCCGGGATTACAGGTGCACACCACCACACCCAGCTAATTTTTTGTATTTTTAGTAGAGATGGGGTGTCACTATGTTGGCCAGACTGGTTGATCACTAGTATCTTGACCTCGTGATCCGCCCGCCTTGGCCTCCCAAAGTGCTGGGATTACAGGTGTGAGCCACCGTGCCCGGCCGCGAGTTCTTAACCTACTTCACTTTCAAGCTGCCCAGTGTCTTCCTGACTCAGGCTAATGTAGCAGTTCTCCCCAGCGGGTGATATTGCCCCTCATAAAGCATTTGACAAAGTTGGGAGACATTTTTGGTTGTCAGGACTTGGGGACTGCTACTGGCATCCAGTGGATATTGAGTACCTAAGTGCCAGGCAATATTCTGTGCTGGGGATACAGGTGTGGACACAAAAGGCAGAGTCCCTGCCCTCATGGGGCTTACAGTCTAGAGCAGGGGTTGGCAAACTTTTTCTGTAAAAGGCCAGATGATCAATATTTTCAGCTTTGTGGACCATGTAGTCTCTATTGCAGTGTGAAGGCCAACAAAGACAATGTGCAAACAGATGATAGTGTCCGTGCCCCAATGCAACTTGACTTACAAAAGTAGGCAGCTTGTATGACGTAGCCCTCAGGCTGTAATTTGCCAACTCTTCTTCTAGCGAGAAGACAAATCATTGACAAACAAATATAAAATTCAAGTAGTAAGTGCTATATATTTTTTTTAAAGGCAAGATAAGGGATAGAGAGGAGGAAAGGTGCAATTTAGACTAGGTGGTCAGGGAAGGCCTCTCTGAGGAGGTGACATTTGATCAGGCACCTGAATGACATGCAGGACTGAGCCAGAGGGAACAGCAAGTGCAAACGCCCTGAAGCAGGAATGTGCTGGTGTCTTCAAGGAACAGAAAGAAGACCAGGGTGCAGGAATAACGCACGGAAGGTGTGGGGAAGCTGAGGTTAGAGAGGTCAGTGGGCTCAGGGCATGTTAGCACTTGGACTTCGGAGTTGATGCTCAGGGTGCTGAGAAGCCTTGGGGGCTTTGGGAGAGGGATGCCATGTTCCACATTCTCACCATCAAGCAGAAGAGTTCAGGTGACTTTTCATGGCCTCCATTCATCCACATGTGGGTTTGGGTGAATTAGTGAAAGGTGCCTCTCCCTGTTGGCAGCAGCAGCCTTGGATCCTGGCCTCCACTCCCCACCTCTGCCACATGCCTGTAGTTGGGGTATGACTTGCACAGCTGTACATTCCAGTCCTTGGTCTTAAGTGCTGCTGAGGTTACTTAAACTTTAAGCAAATGGTATTCTTCAGACTTTCTAGGACTTTAATATATTTGGTATGCAAATTATTGTTATTAGGCAGTGGTTTCTGGGGCTCCAGCTCAGTGTTCCAGGGCAGATTGGAGAACATCTAATCTGAGGGTGCCCTTCCTTTTCCCTTGAAAGGAATCTCGACCCATTCCTGAGACCTTTCACTGCTGGGACCAGCAGTCCCCCTTCTTTGCTTTGAGGTAATGCAAAGTGGTATGAATGAGGGAAACAAAGAGTAAGCAGCAAAGGCATCTCCCTAAGTTATGGAAACTTGCATAAAAGGAACCTTGTGGCAATAGTGAGGCCTTTCATTTCCTATTCTTTATTAAATGACAGGTTGCCAGGAAAGCACTGTCACACATTTGCATGCAGGTTAAATTTCTCAAAATCTGAGCCCCTACAGCGAGTGACAGTGGGAAGTGTGAAAGAAAGGCTCAAGATTCGCTGCTGTGCTGTTGTTATTGTCAATGGGTAAATTTCTTTAGCAACTTGTGGTTCTATTGGAACTGACTGGAACAAATCCAGCCATGAGCTATTTGTTAGTTGGTTTTCTTTTCTATTTATTATTTTGAATGGAAAGCATGATAACCAGGGATAAATAATGAAAGGCATTTTCGTTATCATCATTTAATACCAAACATAGGTGACTACAGAAATCCTAAAATAACTAGATGAGCTCATCATGGACCAACATCTTTCACTTTTCTAATGTGCTTTTGGAGGTTTTGACACCAGGAATGCTGCAGTGCTTTCCAAATAGTGTGGACTTTACCTAGAAGTATTATGAACTGAGTCATAATGAACATCATGGTTCACTCTTTTCCCATGGTTGTCTTAATTAGCTGCACAATTTTCCCTGATCTCACTTGAAACAATCTTCAAATTCTTACCCAGAGGTTTGATTGAGCATTTTCTATTCATTTGTCAATTCTAAGAACTAGTTACTGGGATTAACTTACAAATGAATATTCCTTCCCTAATTGCTGCAGACAAATGCAGTTTGGCTGCTTCAACTTAAAACAATAAAGATGAAAGTAGTAGTATAATATAATTAATTTTGTGGTAGTAAGCATCTTCTAAGCTGTAAGTAGAGGATGAGACATGTAGTTCCAGAGTTGGGCTTTAAACCTACATCTAAAGTTCATTGTTATTAGGTGGTATCTGAATATTAGGCCTGGAAATACTGAATTGGCAAACATTTTTCTGTTTTTAATCTTTCCTCTATGTTTTCCAGGGGAAAAAACTGATATTTGTTAATATTCTCCTTCAAATAAACTGGGAAAGTTAAAATGTACCTTGGGTTGCAGTAAAAGATGGTTGTGTAGTAGGTTGATCTTTCCCATGGCTTACCTTGAGGGACTTTACTCATGTCAAAGGCTGCATAAGATGCTGGGCATTGGGAGACACATTTGGGGAGCAAATGGACAGCTCCAAGTGTCCTTGTCACCTTTCTACAGGATGTAGCCCAAGGGCAGCTGGTGAGGAAAATGATTTTTAGGCTTGTTGCTTGCTTTTCTCAACTTGGCCTACACATCTTCTCCCTTGAAATAAGAGTTTTAGGCTTGGGAGAAAACAGGACTGAAAGCAAACCTCTGGCTTCTCCTAAGTTCCAGTAAAGCAGCCTCTACTCTGAGTCAGTGAGTGAAAGAGTGAGAACACAGGAAGCCAAGCTCTGTCACAAAAGAACCTGAAAAAGGGACCTAAAATATTTTTTTTTCAAAGGGAGAAGCATTAACAAAATGATGGGGAAGACACAAAATAGAAGAACAGAGAAAGAAGAGGAAGTAAAATTCAAGGAGAAAAAAAAATCATAACACATTAGTTTATTTGAAATGTGAACAGACAGCAAAATTGCACATGGCCCATTTAGTCCAGCTTGCTTGCCAACTCTTCTACTCAAAGACAGGGGGACCTATTCCGCCTATCTGTCTCAGAACCTTTAAAATGGGGTCAGGAAATTTGCTACTTGGGCTTAGCAATGTGCTGGTTGTCTTTGTCCCACACTCTGCATCTATCTAGGTGTTTTGCATATAAGAACATTTCAATAGCATTAAATCATCAACAACCTAAAAGTCATGTCTACACCTGCAAAGTGAAATGTGGAATTGAGATAGTTTAGAGAAGAAAAAGGGATTTTTGAAAATAGACCCAAATAGTCCATATGAAAAAAAGATTTATACTTTTGGGCAAGACTCATGGCCCACTGAATTTGATATTTTGACTCTAAGGGTGTATCACAGGCTGTGGAATGAAAGGGGTATAGGAGCCCAGAGCCACTCAATTGGTTCACTGGTTAACCGCCCAGCTCTCCACTTTGTCATGGTGGGTCCTGCAGAAGTGAGCTTCATGCTACTGATTATTTACTTGCAAAGTGGGCGTTGTGCCTGGGTGATACCCTGCCTCCCTATGCAGTGCAGTAGAACACAGCCTAACTGTGTTCCTCCCTCCACTTCTAACACCTGAATGAGATAAAAGCCTGCTTAACACAGCATGTAAAGAAAGACTGAGTTCTGGCCACTCAACTCCAGACTCCTAGAGGTGTTTGACCAAATGGCCATCAACCAGGTGTTTTGGGTTTTTTTCATTTGATAAGTGAGGTAAATCACAGACATTATGTAAGGAATATGTACAATAGGATTTTCCCCAAGATTTTTTCTAGTACCTTTATCCCTGAGCTGGTGTGGCCAAACCATACCAACTCTGTGGGCCACATTGTTTAGAGTCATTAACAGTTTGTTTCTTTTACCTCATCAGTTGTTGTACAATGCACAGTTGCACTAGGGTCTCCTCTAGGTACTTTGGGTGGTTTTCAAGAATGTATCTATCGATGCCCATGAAGAAGTCATCTTGAACAAGGGCATCTGTCCTTTCTTCCTCCTGAGCTCTGGTCTCTGTCAGGGATATCTCTCATCAGAATCCCCATCCCAGCCCCAGTATAGTTAGTGCTCTGTGAAGTCTCAATATATATTAAAGTTTCATGATAATGGGAATTTCATCTTTGACCTATTCTTAGAGATGGGCAGTGATAAATACACCGGGAATCCAACATTTCCCTCACTTAAATGGAGAACGCTCCAAGATTTAGTCATTCCTGATGATGGCAGGAAGAGACAGTAAGGTTGACTATCATTTGATGAATCTGGAAGGGTAGAGAGACAATCAAAATAACCAAGATCCTAATTCCTTTTTACTTCTTTCACACACAAATGTGATTTTAGTTAATAAAGGCAAACAGTTAATTGGGGGGATTTTCCTTCTCAATTTGGGAGGAAACCCTTTCCCAAGTGAGACAAATGACCATCCTTTTTCTTTCATAAGAAACTGAGTGTATGTTTTCTCACAAAACATCTAATGTGTGTGTGCATGTGTGCTCACGTGTACACGCACATGGACACATTGCATGATACTTACATTGGTCTACTTTCTGCAGAGGATCAACTTTACTGCTTTCTCTCTTTTAAAAGTATCCTTTCAACACTAAATATTTCTTAACCTGCGTGAAGGCAATATTCTATATACTCCCTAAAGTCTATCTACAGCTACCTTTCCTGTCTAGCCTGCTATGTGGACCTCTGTTCTCTCTGAATTCCAGAAATGCTTTTGAAAACTAGCACCTTTTAAAAATAGTGACTCTGGACGCCCTCTGCCGTCTATTGTAAGTTCTTCAGCTCTGCTACTGACAGCAAAGCAGGAAGTTGGCCAGGGATTATTGAGAATACATGCACACAGCCAGCACTTGGGCAGGCAATACAGAGATAAGGTTAAAAACATGACCTCCAGCATCAGACCTCCTGGGTTCAAATACTGTGCTCTCCCGCTCTCTAGTGTTATATCCACAGGCAAGCAACTAAACGTCTCTGAGCTTCAGTTTCTTTATCTGAGAAATGGCATAATAGTACTTTATGGGGTTTCCCAGGGATCAAATGAGATAAAGTGCTTTGCACAGGACCTGGCAAATGGTAAGTCTTATTATTATTATTATTATTTGAAACATAGTTTCGCTCTTGTCGCCTAGGCTAGAGTGCAATGGCGCAGTCTAGGCTCACTGTAACCTCCGTCTCCCAGGTTCAAGCAATTCTCCCGTCTCAACCTCCTGAGTAGCTGAAATTACAGATGCCCGCCACCACGCCTGGCTAATTTTTTTGTATTTTTAGTAGAGATGGGGTTTCACCATGCTGGCCAGGCTGGTCTAGAACCCCTGACCTCAGGTGATCTGCCTGCCTCGGCCTCCCTAAGTGCTGGGATTACAAACTTGAGCTACCTTGCCCAGCTGGTAAGTCTTATATGTTATCTATTTTTGTCTATAATCTTTGTAATTTTATGAACCCTGGCTTTTTATAAGCCCCGTTTTTGTTGAATTCTGTATCACCTAAGGACCAATGTGTTAAAAATCGATTATGATCTTCTAAATTGGAAATGACATTTTCTCTGCTCTCTATAGCTTTTTTATATAATGACAAGCTTTTTAGGCCAAAGCCTCATGATGCATGCAGCCATCTTGCTACCAGCTATAACCGGAACATACTCCTCACCCTACCTGACATCAACCCAGTAATTTGCAGCTATAAAATGGAAGGTTAACTTAATCCTCTTCAGTCTTCATGGCTACATGAGTCTCCCTGGGATGCGGTAGAATACATCAGCAGATTCTGTTACTATTAGTTACCAGGAATGAGACTTGCACTTGCGGATTCAAAATCAAATTGAGTTGTAGGGCAGTCACTTTGCAGGGGTTATGCCTTCCTTCATGCTGTCAATTGTAACAGATGATGTTGCTGTCTAGGGGTAAGGGCTACTTTGGGGATTGAAAGACAGGGTGATGCTGTGCTCTTCTGGGTGAGCATCTTGGCCTGATTCAGTCAGGAAAAAGGAATCAGGGAAGACAAGGGATTTACAAAGAAAGCATCACTCTACTCTGACAATGCATTTCCAGGCAGGCCCGCAGTTCACAGACCAGTTCACAGACCGTGATGCCTTGCAGGCCATCTCAGAGGCCCCTGGTTCTCTTTCTTCTCCTGATTAAATGAGGCCTTCCTCTCCTATCCCAGAGCAGCCAGCTCTGCAGTGTTTCAGCTGCAGGGCAGTGATTAGCAGGTAAGCATGTGGTTCCCTTTCCCTCTGGGCCTTCTTTCCCCATCCCCATCTTTAATGCCTGTGGTAATGCTGCCTCTGAGGCCCTTGGAAGAAAGTCAGCTGGGCAAGGCAGGCCAAGCGGGGAGGTGAGCAGTTCAGCAGCGCTTTGATCCTCTTTCATTAGCAACTTGAAAGTCACCTGGAACCGTTGTGCCCACCGCCTACTCCCCCAACCCCTCGCCAAATCACTTCTTTCTCAGATTAGCTGTGTGCTTCGAATGTCTGGGGGGAAACGCCCACGGATACATTACTGCAAGATACAGGGGCCCTGGTCCAGTACATGAATGCACTGGCCAACCCAGGACCCCCGCACAGGCAAGTCATTCTACTTGTCTGTGTCTTGGCTCTGTCATGTGTAAAACCGGGACAGAAACAGCAACCAGTTTATGAGAAAACTGTGAAATGCCTAAAGTATATTGTGGCAGACTGTACATATTAACTAAAATCTGCCGTTAATTAATGAAATCACTCTTTCAAAAAATATTAAGACCTCATTAGATGTATAAATAATATGCTACATAAGCACCTTGGGGTCATATAAAACAAATGTAGAATACTCTGTTCTTCAGGAGAGACCGGATATGGAGAAAAAGATCTGTAACAATACAAGGCAGTGTACTTTACATGTTAAAATAAATGACACAGACAACTGGTTTTACAAAACACCAGCAAAAGGTCTTCCTTTATACATGCCACAGGGTGATATGAAGATTACCCTAGACTTAGCACTTATCCCAACTGCAATCATGTGGTCATTTGCCCAGTTATCTTTTTGATGTCTGTTGCTCTTGCAGAATGCAAGCTCCATGGGAACAGAGGACATTTAAAAAATCTTCTTGTTTTGACTCCATGTTATTGAATAAAACATATCTCAATCAGAATACACCAATTTCCATTAATTTTTGAGAACACTTTTTTGAGCTAATGCCATTTAAGCCAATGTAATTCCTTGATTCATTTTCTATGCAATACAGTTGAACCACTTCCTTTTAAAAAATACCATTTCACTTTTATTTTTGTGCAACCATTTCCTTAGAATCAATTTTACCATGATTTGGTTCCTCACGGTTTCTTATGCATATCAAATATTACTGATGATAGCTTTTGCCGCTGTAATCTTTTTTATGGCTAGTTTATCTATGAAGTGTAATTTCTCTGAATCAAATTTATAGGTAGAAATGTTATGAAGGAAATTTGAATTGTGGGTTATTTTAGTCAAGTCTCATGTAGTTTTGCCACAATTGGCCTTAGTTTGTATGGATTTCTTTATGTATATTTGAAAAAATAAATGGATATATTTTTCAATGTCTTTAACCTAATGCCTTGGAACTCTTGATTCAATTAATTCATTGGTGGGCTTGGGGTCAGCAAGAGAGAATAGCAGAGGAAGGGTACTTATTATGTGTAGGGCAGATGGTAGAGACTACAGACCTCAGCAGTGGGTGCTGGCATGACCCTCTAAAAGGCCTGCTGGGCCCAACACTGCATCAGCACATTATTTACTCAGGAGTCCAGAGACAAGGCCAGACTTCCCACTCTTCCCCCTCCTCACAACTGAGACCAGAGGACACAGAGGATGAATCTGAAGCCCACAACTCCTGTCCACATAGACACACAAGACACACAAGCTTTCTGTTATACCAACTATTCTTAAAGTGTGTTGCCCAGACTAGCAAAGGCATCATCTGAGAATGCATTTGTAATGCAAATTCTTGGGCCCTGACTCATATGTATGGAATCAGATATTCTGGGGGTGGGGCCCATCAATCTGTATTTTAACAAGCTCTCCAAGTGATTCTGATGCCTGTTCAGGTTTAAGATGAGAGCCTGTTCAGCTGTCATCTTGGCTATGAAAAGGTAGGAGGAAGATACGCAAAAAGATTGAACATTTACCTCAAAGAAATCAAAGACTAAAATATCCTTTAAGCAAGATCAAGTCTCCCATGACTCCTGTTTTCAGTATAACCAGAGTTCATAAGAAGTTTTAGTTCACTGCAAAGAAACAGAGAAGCCTACATTTTTGCCTACCCAAATTGTAGCAGGTAAATCCTTACCTCCTCATTATAATATCCCAACAATATTCATTATGAGTAGTTAAAAGTTTGTATTTATTTCCTGAATCATCCTCAACAAAACTATCAACAAATATTGCCCAGGATTGTTTTATTTCACAACCAAGTCCATTCTTCAGTAGGAATTTGGCCACTCTGTAATGAGCACCTCCTACAGAAACAAAAAGATCCCTGGGAGTCAACATGGCAGGCTAAAATTTTCTGTGTTGGGACAGAGATCTTGTCTGTCTTTTCCCTGTGGCATGTAGAGTCTTTCGTAGTGCCTTGTCCTTTGTAGATTCTCAAAATAGATATGGTGAATTAATGGAGAATCCTTGAGAATTTAAAGAGCTTGCAAATGCCTCATTGAAAAAGTGACACAAGTTAGACCTTGAATAATAGGCAGAACAGAATAGAGAAAGAGTGGGGACACTTTGGTTGGGAGGAGGAAGGGATACACAGTGGGCTGAGCAAAACTTGGAGTCAGGTCTAAATGTGGAAGGTTGGGACTGGCTGTCTTAGTCTCTTCAGGCTGCTATAACAAAATACCAAAAACTGGGTGGCTTATAAATAACAGAAATATATTTCTCACAGTTCTGAAGGCTGGGAAATCCAAGAACAAGACACCAGCATTTGGTGTCTAGTGAGAGCCCATTTTCTGGTTCATAGACAGCGTCTTTTTGCCATGACCTCGCTTAAAGGAAGGGGTGACCAAATTTCTTTGGGCTTGTTTTATAATGACACAAATCCCATTCATGAGGGCACCACCCTAATTCCTTCCCAAAGGCTACATCATCTAATACCAACACCTTGGGGATTTGGAGTTCAACATATGAGTTTGGGGGGACATTCAGACCCTGCACTGAGTGTATGGTATTAGAGACGAAAAGCTGTCCATGGGGGACCAATATGACCACCAACATTGTTATACAATATAGTTAAATGAGCTGGTGAGTTAAATAAGTACTAATCCTCTGATACATCCCCTACCATGCTAGGCACCCAGCAAACAGAGCAGAAAGGACAGACATGGCACCTGAGTCTAGTGAAGAAAACAGACAGTGACAGGCATATGATAAGCACTTTGATAAATGAGGTACATGGGGCACATGGGGAGTTCACCTAACCAGGTGAGACTAGACCAGAAAGCCTTCTCAGATGAAAAGATGTCTAAGCCAAGACCTGAATGATGAGTAGGAATTAGCCATTCCACAAGAGGGGAAGAGGGGCGTAGAGTAGCAAGAGTTGGAGCTGGATGGACAAATGTGGGCCAGATTAGGAAGGACCTTCTAAACCATGTTGAAGAGCCTGAGCTTTATCCAGAAGCATGTGAGGTCCTCAGGAGGTTTTAAACAGGGGAGAAAACAGACTATCTACTACAGTTTCACAGAATTTATTCTTTGAAATTCCTACCACTGAGATGGGATATATGCTCCCTCCATTTGAATCTGGGGGGGCTTGGGACTTTAGTGGAAGTGATGTTATGAGACTTCTGAGACTAGGTCATAAAATGTAACTGCTTCTGCCTGGTCCTCTTGGGACAGTCACTCCTAGTACCTAGCCACCATGCTGTGGGGAAGCTATGTGTAGACATGTTCCAGCCCCAGCACTAGCTGAGGTCCTAGCATCAACTGCCAGAAATACTAAGGAAGCCTTTGAGATTATGCCAGTCGCGGCCACAATCTGATGATGACTATAACTGCATGAGAACCCGAATAAGAACTGTCTGGCTGAGCCCAGTCAGTACTTAGGATAATGAGAAATAACACAATGACTGGTGTTGTTTAAAGTCACTGAGTTTTGGAGTGTTTTCCACACAGCAATCAATAACCAGAACTATCCCTGATATCACCTAATTAAGAAGATATCTTTTTGTCTCCTTCTAGTAACTGTGCTGAACTCATCATACTGATTTCTGGGACTCTGGAGCAACAGATATCTACAGTAAGTAAAAACAATCTACAAAAGCACATAACAGAGTTAAGGAATAAGATGTTCTGTCCAATCAAATATTTTCATTAACAGGATAAGTAGGCCAGGTGCGGTGGCTCATGCCTGTAATCCCAGCACTTTGGGAGGCCAAGGCAGGCAGATCACTTGAGGATAAGAGTTAGAGACCAGCCTGGCCAACATGGTGAAACCCCATCTCTACTAAAAAAATACAAAAAATAAGCCAGTGTGGTGGCACACAACTGTATTCCCAGCTACTTGGGAGGCTGGGGCATGAGAATTGCTTGAACCCAGGAGGCAGAAGTTGCAGTGAGCTGAGATCACACCACTGCACTCCAGCCTGGGCGACAGAGTGAAATTGTGTCTCAAAAAAAAAAAAACCCCAAAGCAGAAAAAAACAAGTAAATGATGTAGGCAAACTACTGCTTATAAAGAAACATCATTTTTTCAAAGGAATTACTGAGTTTTAAAGAATGAAATGCCTATCATAACCTATACTGAACACTGTTTTATTGGACTTTTAAGACTTTAAAATCATCTATTACTTTGGGGTGAACATTATGCATATAGCTACCTCTGTACTGAGGTTTCTGGGAACAGGTGGAATGGACCAGTTTTTCCAGTCGGCTGGGCAGCAGGGATTGGGAAGCTTGTTGCTATTTACTGCTCACAAAATTTGGTTATTTCGCTAATGAATGGTTGTTAGCTAACAACCAAGGCCACACTCACCCACAGCACTGGAGCCATTTGAACTGTGAGAGTTGGAGAAGATGAAAAGTAAGCTGGGGGGACAGGAAGCATGCCCTATTATTCCCTAAGACTGAAAGTGGAGAAATCCAAGCACTTTTTTTTTTTTTTTTGCATGTGCAAAACACCAGACACATACAGAAACAATTAGGATTCTATGAGGGCAGAGAATTTGTTTCTCTAAATGGGGCTGTTCAATGTTTCACAGAGCACAAGGACAAGAAATTCAATATTTTTGAGCAGAAGGAAGAACTCATTTGTTTTTATAATTCCTTAACTAGTTTCAAACATATTGCATGTACTATGTGCCAGCCACTATCTGCTTGCTTTATATTCCCTATCTCATTTCATCCTCACACCAAGCCTAAGAGGTCGGTACCATTATCCCCATTTACCAAATGAGGAAACTGAGGATGCCCAGGGCCACACAGTAATGGGGGCCCTTAGTATTCTGTTTCTTAAGAGCTGCTCCTTTTTCCCCTCTGAAAAGAGATAATGTGGTACAGTGGGAAGGATACTAGACTAGGAATCTGGATTCTAATCTCAGCTCTACCACAAATCAATTATACCAATGTGCGACTCTCATATGCGGATCCTGTCCTCAGGTGGGATTGTGATCTCAGACCTGGATTCAGCAAACACCTGAAGCTGTGACTCTCTTACTGGGACACAGTCTACAGTTGAGATTGGGCCTCTCTTGCATGGATCGTTTCCTTAACCTGAAAGATGAAGGAATTAATTAGGAGACTCAGAAGACTTCTCCTAGTCTACAATTTCTGACTCTATAATCCTTGCCTTAGAACAACAACCAAGTGAACAGTCTTAGTTTTGGAGGTGGCAATGAAGAGTCTGCAGCAATCTTGGCAGACAGCTCCTGAGGTCTGAGCAACCCTCTGGGCTTTCTGAAACAAAAGGAGCAAGTGAGGTGGGGTCACTGTGTATCTTCTGCTCACTGGTGACCAGACACGGTAAAATTCAACACATACTATATTTGAGACCATAAGTATGAAGCAGCTTTGAACTGCTCTCATGGCACATTTTTTTTTAATATGAGGCATTCAAGAGAGAAAAATCATTAACAAATAAGATAAACTATAGGACTAAATATTTATTATCCACATAGAAACCAAAGCATTATGTGGTTTTTAGTGGCACTTATTTTGAAAAGCACATGGCTTACCCATGAACAAAGCAGTAGTCATTTAAATTTGGCTTACTCAGCAGTCCTAAAGGCTAAATTCTGGTTTTGTTTGTGCTGCTGAGAAAACAAAACAACCACAATCCCAGCAAGTTTCCTTATGAACCTTATTTCTCTTATTTTTGAGAAAATATGATCCTACTAAACCTTGAATGAAGATTTCAAATCTATATGCAAAGACACATAGGCATTATTGTTTTGCAGATGGAAAAATAAGGGCTCAAGTCATAGACATATATGATGGCAGAGCAATGAGAAAATCCTGGGCTGTTTTCTAACATGGTAAAATAGGGTTTCATACCTCCTGAATTCAGCAAGGATGTAATTTGCAAGTAACTACTCCTTTGAAAATCAGAGTTATCCACACTTGTAGTGAAATTCATTCCTGATGGTGCTTACTGGGTTCCACTCTGGTGTCGGAAGCTGAACCGGAGACTGACCAGGTTCCTTCAAGGATCCTCAGCCATGCAAAAGGGAAGCGCCTTTCTGAGGGAGCCAAGCTTGCATCTAGACCTTCACAGTGGTGCAACATAACTTCTCAGAGATCGGCATGGTACCATTCAGTGAATTTGGGAATTTCAGGAGAAGACCAAGTGTCAGCACACTGTCTGCTGAAGTGCGATACCTGGCTTCTTAGGAAAGGTAATAACTCACTAGAAGCAGGCCCCTCAGATCCATAGGTGGACTGAAACCAGGGTTACTCAGCCAACAGGGACTGGCTGAGTGGCTGGAAGGTGCGACGGCTGACCATCCTCTTGTTTAATAGCAACGTGTGAGATTTCCTGTCCCTGGGGGTGTGGCAGAGCACAGCATCCAAAGAATCAGTGGTGACCTGGCCAGTGATGTGCAGTGTCCCATAGATCTCATCAAATTTGGCCACAAGGGCAGGCACATCCTTCACTTTTTCCCTCACTTTGGCCAGCTGGAAAAAAGCAAGAACACATCATTACATCTCTGCAAGATTTCTTCCTTATTCTTACTATAACCCTAAGAAAAAGAAATGGACATGAACAAAAATGTATGGTAGGCCAGGCGAGGTGGCCCATGCTTTAATCTAAGCAATTTTGGACGCTGAGACAGGAGGACTGCTTGAGCACAGGATTTCTAGGCCAGCCTAGGCAACACAGTGAGACTTTGTCTGTAAAAAAATTTTTTTAAAAATTAGTTGGTGTAGTGGGAGGATCACTTAAGCCCAGGAGACAGAGGCTGCAGTGAGCTGTGATCGTGCCACTGTACTCCAGCCTTGGCGACAGAGTGAGTCTTAAAAAAAAAAAAAAGTATGGTATACACCTAAAATCGTGAAAACCAGGGTACTGGGGCACACAGACAGCAGTATTACTATGAGGGATTCCAAAAGCTACACACAAAATTCAAAATTAGTACTTGAAAATCATACCTAATATAAAAAAAGGGGGGTTCAAATAACACATCATATATAATGAAACACACCAAGTAAAGGAGGTCATATACCAGTGGAATCAACTTTGTTCAATGTAATGATTAGAGCAGGAGGAGGCAGGGCCAAATTACATAGGCTTTATATATATTCCACAATAAGTTTTTTGAAATTTATTCTAAAAAAGCCATCAGAGCATCTAAAGTGGGAAATGATCTCATTTCTGTTCAAAAAGTTGCAGAGAATGAACTGGAGTGTACAGAAATGTGGAGACTATTCTGGAGGCCCACACCATAGCCCAGATAAGAAACAATGGTAGTTGAGATTGGGAAAGGTACAGAAAAGAAGGAGAAGTACACTTATGTGAGGTATATTTTGGAGTTTACACTGAAAGGACTTATTTTTGAATGGGTGAAGGAAAGGGAGGTGTCAAAGCTATCTTCTCAATTGGGGCTTTAATAGCTTGATGATGGGTGCTATCATTTCCTGATAGAGAAGACAGGGAGGCGAGATTTGGAAGGGAAAATCAAGAGCTCTGTTTGGACCTGATTGAGACGGCTGTGAACCATCTAAATGGGTATGTCTAGAACGTTGTTGGATATACAAGTCTGGGGCATGAAGGAGAGGTCTGGGCTAGAGGCATACGTAGTAGAGTCACAAGTATATGATGGTATTTAACCCCCAAAATGGGTGAACTAGAATGGAGAATGTGAAGCTGCTTTCTGAATAAAATCAGCATTTTACTTAGTTCAATCCTTATCAAGGGTACAATCTCAACACATTTCTTGATGGAATTTAATTGGGATCAAGCTTCCTAATAAATCCTTTGCCCCTCTTCCACCTCTTCCAAATATATAACACTGTTTGCACCTGCACATCTTCCTTTGAGACAATGGCTCCCAACCATGCCTGCAGACAAGCAGCTTAAGCACTTCTTAATGTTCTTAAAAAAGAATAGCTTGTTTAGTCCTCATGTTCAAGGTGAAAATGACTTAATGTGCAGCATATGGCTTCTAAAAGCAGCAGAGCAAACATGCCAAGCTGGAGGTAATTTTGATCTAAAAACTGTAACAGTTCTGTTACATAACTACAGAAATAAATCAGCAATTATTTTCAATAGTCCTGTGGTGGTATAATAGCACCTATGATAGTTTATAGTCTTATCTCCCTACATAACACTTTTTAAATAACTGCTGGCATAAGCATTAAATGCACTTTGTAAAATGCAGACGTTTACAATATAGGACTCCACTTGCAATCTCACACATATATATTTAGAACTAGCTCAAAAGCTACTGGAGTTATATGAATCAATCCATTTCTCATCAAGCTGTTCCTTGAGTGGTCCCACAGTAACCAGAGGGAAGACACTGAACTAGAGGGTTCATTTTCTAAGTACAAGAGTCTTATATGAGTATTTTTCAATATAAAGTTTGTTCGGGTGCTTTAGCCATATAAATGGGTGACAATGTATTGATGGTTCAGGTCTAAGGAATGGTTGTTAACAACAATGCTGCTGAGAAAATGGAAGTTGGATTTCACATGTACACATACACACGTGACTATGCACTTTAAAATCTGTTCATGCTTCTACTTTCCCTACTTTTCTAAACTTACTCCAAAAGGGTTGGGTGGATCACAGCCTACACAGAGCTAAAACTGCAAATAGAAAGAAGCGTTAAATCAACCATATCCAGTTAGTCATTTTCCTGACAAGCTCCCTTTTATCAGAAGGAAGAAGCCTTTGGGTGGAAGTGAGGAAATGGAACAGGGCTGGGAAGGCGACAGTGTGGCAGGAGGAGGAAGCAGCCACTGCCCTCTAGTGCCAATCCTGCTGTCTCAGCCTTCAGCCTGGACCAAACTATAAAAGAGAGGCAGGAGAAATGAGGGAGGAAGAGAGGACCAACCAACAGGCCACTTGGTTGGTCAAAATGACAATATCAGTATTATTACTAACAATATGATCACTGTCAATAACGTACAATTTCTTTACACTTCTGTTTTTCACCTTAAGTTACATGCTATGAGAGATACACAAATTACTACATCTCAAATGACCTACAAGAATTCCAATTTGTGTACTTAAGCCATCAATGTGACACATGGGTTCATTTGTTTCATTTCACTTTCAATTTTTAGGAACTGTTTTTTCTCTTCATTTTTATTTAACTCTGCTTTACAGTTCTGCAAAGCATTTACATGGTTCCTAAATGAAATACATAAACAAGGTACATTCGGAGAACTCATGTTTCCGTCCCTCACTTTCACTTTCAAAACTTTTATTTCTTAATTTTTTAAAATTAAATTTAAAAAATAATTTGTCAATTACTTTAATTGTCAAATAATAATTGTGTATATTTATAAAGTTCAATGTGATGTTTCAATCTATGTGTATACTGTAGAAAGATTCAGTCAAGCTAACAAAACTATCCATCATCTACCAATGTGTCTTTTTCTGCGGTGAAACATTAAAATATACTTCTTTGGCATTTTTGAAATATGCATAATAATTAACTGTGGTTCCTAAAGACTCAATCAAAAAAACCTTTAGGACTGATAAAGTCAGTAAAGCTGCAGGTTACAAAATTTACATACAAAAACAGCAGTATTTCTATAAAAAAAGATCTGAAAAAGAAATCAACATAACCACTTAAGTTTTGTTTTTTTTATCGTAGTGTTTTTCAAAAACATAAATATATAAAAATAACTATATGGTCCCGCCTTCTTAAGGCATACTACACATACCCATTTGCATCTTACTTTTGTCACTTAAAAACATATTTAAGTGATCCATATAAATGGTAATCCATAGCAGTATATGATGTAGCTGTTCCTCATTTCCTGTCCTTTGTACGAACAGACCCTAATTTGTACAACTAGTTGTCTAGTGATGGAAATTTGGGCTTTTTTCCAGTCTGCTGTTATTAGAAATTGGATTGCAACAAATAGCCTTGTACATACAACTTCTTTATATTTGCCAGTATATTTTTAGAATATACTCCAAGAAGTGGGAGGATTGAGTCAAAGGGTGAAAGTATTTGTAGTGTACCAATCTGTATTCGCTGTAGCAGCATTTCCTCAGATGATAGCGCCCATTTCCTCAGAGCCTCACCAACCAAGTTGGCTGGCAAACTTGCAGATTTCTATTCAAGAGAAATATCATAGGGTAGTTTTATTTAGCATTTTCTTGATATGGGCAAGAGAATCTTTTCGAAAGTTTAAAGGCCATTCACAATTCATTTTTAGTAAATTCTGTCCACATCTCTTACCCATTTTTCTTCAGGGTTGTTGGTTCTTTTCTCAGAATTTTCAAAAAGAGCTTTTTTTTTTTTTTTTTTTTTTTTTTCAGATGGAGTCTCATTCTGTCGCCAGGCTGGAGCGCAGTGGCGCAATCTCGACTCCCTAGTTCAAACGATTCTCGTGCCTCGGCCTCCTGAGTACCTGGGACTACAGGCATGCACCACCACGCCCAGCTAATTTTTATATTTTTAGTAGATACGGGGTTACATTTTGGCCAGGATGGTCTCGATCTCCTGACCTCATGATCCGCCTGCCTCAGCCTCCCAAAGTGCTGGGATTATAGGCATGAGCCACCGCACCTGGCCTCAAAAAGAGCTCTTGAAATATTAGGGCTAGTTAGCCTTTTGTCAGTATGATTAAAAATTGATTACTTACCTCTTGACTTTGCTTGTAGACTTTTTGCCACATGAAAAAACAGGTTTTAACATTTTTATTTAGTCAAATTTATCACTTCTTTTACTGATTTGGATTTTGACTGAAAGCTAAGTTTTTCCACTCCCAGGATATTAAAGAATCTACTAATGTTTATATCTAGTACTTGTGTATTTCAATTTAAAAATTTAAATTCTCATCCATTTGAAATGTATCCTGGTTTGTGGTATAAGAATATATACAACTGTATCTTTTTCTATTGGCTCTCTACTTATCCTAGTACTACTTCTTACTAGTCTATCCACTTAGATTGATTTGAGATGCTTGTCTCTATGTTACACTAAATTTGTATCTGCAATTTGGTCTGTATCCGGACTTTCTATTCTGTCCCATTAGCTGCCCTATTCATGTCCTAAGCCACAGTTTGAATTATAGAAACTTTAACATGCTTTGATATCTGCTAGACCTAGCAACTCTTACTGCCCCTCTTTCACAGGGTTTTTCTAGCTAGTCTTGTTTGTTCTTTCAACTAACCTTTACAGAAAAAACAAAGTGATATTTTTATTGGAGTCATATTACATTATCACAGTAACTTGAAAAAAACTGAGTTTTTATGAGGCTAGGTCTTCTTATCTAAACATATGGTCTGTCTTTTCATTTGTACAGAAGATTCTTTTTATTTTTTAAGATGAGAGATACTATATCCTACTGTTTGCTGACAAGAATGACCCACAGGGAAGGGGATACTGATGATAGCCAAAAGAGTGAGTCAACTTCTGGACTGATGCTGTGGAGTGGGTCAGAGAGGATGGGATCCAGTGCATGACTGAAGAGGCTGGTGTGAGAGATGTATCCAGTCATCATGGGTATATAGGGCAAGGGGCCAGAGGCTCTCTATGTAGCAGTCATGCTTTTCTGATTACTTCTATTTTCTCCAAGAAACAAGAAATACAGTGATCAACTGAGAGTGAAAAGTGAGGAGAAGGTATTGAAGGCTTGAGGGAAAAGGAAAAAGGTGTAAAATCGTCATCTAGAAGAAAAAGAGAGCCAGGGCCCATGAATACAATGTGGAGAAAAGAATAAGGTAAAAGGGAAAAGTTTCCTAGAATTTCAGAGGATATATTCTGTTGGAAGAAAAAAAAATCTTTGCACATATACATGGAAGTCTTAAAACAGGAACAACAGAGAAGCTGCCATATTTGGCAATTTCTTTAAGGTAAGCTTTAGAATTGAGAAATTAGTGGACATTTTTAAGAGTGTCCTTTCACTTTTAAATGATTTCTGCAGCACTTGCATACTCACCACTTCCTCCGAGAACACATGTCTTTTCACAAATTTTGATAAATTTCCTTCTGCAGCATTTTTTAGAGTCTTTATCAGGTTTTCCAACATATTTGACTGGATATGGATTATAATCTGAATATTAAGAAGACACAAGCAAAACCAAGACTGAGTGAGTGTCTCAATGCTGAGAAATGTACCTGGTTAGATAAGCCTTCATTTATAGGCACCTACCCTGCTTTGATCCTACTTCCTAATTTATTTGCTTACACAAGTTCAAAAACGTGCTTTAAATGTACACTTACGAGCCAAAATGTGCTTTCCAATAGTTAATCAAAAACTACAACTTTGCCTGTAATCCCAGCACTTTGGGAGGCCAAGGTGGGCAGATCACGAGGTCAAGAGATAGAGACCATTCTGGCCAACATGGTGAAACCCCATCTCTACTAAAAATACAAAAATTAGCCGAGAGTGGTGACATGAACCTGTAATCCCAGCTACTTGGGAGGCTGAGGCAGGAGAATCACTTGAACCTGAGAGGCGGAGGTTGCAGTGAGACGAGATTGCGGCACTGCACTGCAGCCTGGCAACAGAGCAAGACTCCATCTCAAAAAAATAAAATAAAATACTACAACTTCAAAACTTGTTTACGGGTAACACTGGAGAGGGCAGAGATTTTGGTGTCTGGATACTCGGGCTGAAATCTAGACACTGGCAAGTACCAGCTAAGTGACTCTGGACTGGTACTTAATCTTTCAATTTAAATGCCCTCATTTGTAAAATGGGGAAAATAGATTTAGATCTCACATTTTGGGTTTTATGAACATTAAATAAAATACCAGTATACAGAAGATACTCAATGAACAAAAATACTGGTTTCCTCCTTTCTACATCCTCTAGATTCAGAGGATATGACAATCAATCTCATAAGACTAGTGATATGGTTTGGCTTTGTGTCCCCACCCAAATTTCATCTCGAATGATAATCTCCAGTGTCGGGGGAGGGACATGGTGGGAGGTGATTGGATCATGGGGGCAGTTTCCCCCATGCTGTTCTCATGATAGTCAGTGTGTTCTCATGAAAACTGATGGTTTTATAAGTGGCAGTTGCCCCTGCTCTCTCCCTTTCCTGCTGCCTTGTGAAGAAGACACTTGCTTCTCCTTCGCCTTCCCCCATGACTGTATTTCCTGAGGCCTCCCCAGCCATGTGATACTGTGAGTCAATTAAACTTCTTTCCTTTATAAATTACCCAATCTCTGGCAATTCTTTATAGCAGTGTGAAAATGGATAACAGTAACTGGCTAGGGGCAAATGGTACCTTCAGCGTTTTCTGTTTTTAGGAAGTTGCAGGCACACAGGTTACTGCAGGCACAGAGTGGAAGCTGGCTGGAATGTTAATGAGGCACTCCTATTTACGCTATCTATTAATGAACTTTCAAAACTGGGTACTGTAGTGTGCTTTCGGAATGATACTACCACCTATCTTCCACCAACTTGTGCACAACTATCTTGTGCAACTAACACAAGAAAAAAGAACACATCTCCCCCCAATTACCAATATTTACTAGTATAATTCAAGAAGAAGTTTAAAGAAAGTGAGAATAACTGAGAACTCACCAACCAATGTTACAACCACTGTTTATAATTTGATGTATAAATCTTCCAAATATATTAACTTATCCCCAAAATTTGATTCTACTTTTGGTCAATTACTACACAACAGACATTTATTTCCTCATAGCATTAATATTAGAAAAAAGAAACCTCATTTTTAACACATACATAGCAATTCATCACGGAAATATACCATACTTTATTATACTGAACAATGTGCACATATGTACTTTTAAAAACTGGTAATGTCTTAGACTTGATTCCCAGAAGTAAAATTACCAAGTCAAAGCATAGAGACATTTTTAAGGCTCTTGATCCTTACAAAGATAGTTTTCCTGGAAGAGATTTACCTTTTTTATATTAAACCAGCTATGTTTTCTTACCAGTCTACTTGGCAACATTTTGCATTTGTTGAGTAACTTATCAGGATGAGGGGTTGTCTTTGGTTCGGAAGAACAGAATGAAATGATCCCAGGTAAACTAAATACAAAGAACCCAATTTAAATTCAGTGTTCTAAAGCCCAGGCAAAATCACGAGCACACCCTTTTTGGGAGACAACTTTCCATGCGTCTCTCAAATTTCTGCATGCCTTGAGAGCAAAAGCACTGACTGCTTTTATTCCAGACTATCTTTTCAAGGATGTTTGTGGACAACAAACACAGTGTTGCATCCAAAGCAAAGGACAGGCATGCTTACTGGCCATTATAAGAGATTTGGGTTTCCTAAGCTTAGGGTTCCTCTCTTGAAAGCAACTTCCTATGTGTGCAAGAGGCACATAGAGCTTTTCATGTCTCCCCACAGGAACTGGGGCTCAGGAAACTGATGCAAAGATGCTAATATTCTGGCTACTGCTACATAATAAATTGTCCTTTATTTCTCTGTGTCTTGTATACTCCACTAGCATCCGTGAAACTGGGGCAGGCTAACTCATTAGCTTACAAGTGGGATAAAATCTCTGACTCTTCACAGTTCTTAACACCTTTGTTAATAAAAACCATCCCAGTTTGGTTGATGGTGGTGTCCTCTCAAAGGCAAAGACAAGTCTACCTTGTTCAATGCAGTGCTATGTAGTACAAGGCAACTGGCCAGCCCTCGATAACAATAAACAAGAAGAGGAGCTTGGTTCCCCCAGCAATTTACAAAAATAAACCATCTAGAGCCCTCTGCTAGAAATGATGTGCTCCCTGGGAGATTTCAATATTTATTCCTAAGTTTTCCCAACTTCTCTTCCTCCCTCCAGCAACTATTTCTGAATCAGCAGGGATTTCAAAAATAAGGCTCATTACCTTAAAATACACTGATGAAGGGCAATGCACATAAGGCAGTCACCGATAAAAGGCAAAGAGAAAGTTTAAAGCTAGGGGCTTATCTCAAACCAGTCTCAGGGTTCAGCTAAAGAAAATGAAAGTAGGGTACAGCACATTGCCTTAATCTTACAGATTTCCAACAAAAGACTAGGGAAACTCAGTTGGTAAGGAACAGGGGAAATTTTGGTAAGAAAAACTATTTAAAGAACACATGCTTCCTGCCTCTTTGATTTTCTGAGGCATCAGGAAATACGTTACTAGATACCTTTGAACAAAAAAGGGAACAGAAGCCCTGAGGATGCAGAAATTTACATTTCTTGTTTCTTTTATTTTTGTTTTAGGTTTGCTATATTTGAAGTAGGATATCATAGTGTGGTAGAGGCTGCCAGTTTTCTAACCAATATCCATTCTCTCCTCCTTTTTCGATAACAGAACTCCCTAACCTTAATAGACACTTTCATGTATGTACGAAACTCAAAGACCATTTCTCAGTATTCTTTGCAATTAGGTATGGTCATGGGATTAAGTTCTGGCCAATAACACCATCAGTACAAGTTGTTAGATGAGACATTTGAGAAAGCGTCTTTAAAAGGGATGAACTTCTTTGTCCACTCCCATTTTTCCTACTTCTTGCTGGACCAGGGATATAATGAATGGAAGTCACGTGTTAAAGATGGTAGAGTAGAAACATAGAAAGAGGCTGGGTTCCTGATGACATCATGGAATGCCACACAAGGCGTGGACTGACCAGACTCGTTTTCTACATGGAAGAAAAATAAATGCTCTAATTTGTACAGGTTTTATTTTTATTTTTGGAGTCTACATTGCTCCCAAACAAATGCAATTCTTAACTCACACATATGAGTAAGATGCTGCCACGAAGGAATTTGTGAGAAATGAGTCCTGTCTCCTTTCCTCCCTGTGCATCCTAGACTTCCCAGCATATGCTAGAACTTTAGGGTGACCTAAGTGGGTAGGAGAAAGGGGCATTAACACATTCACCTGTATTAACAAATGAATGATAAAAGCAGCAAAACCACTTGTCAATTCCCTTGCAAGGTAAATTCAATTCCAAAATGGATCTCCAATTGGAGACATGCCAGTTTTATACATAAATGATTAGAATTCAAATACGATCAGTGGAAAGTTACCCTGCACTGGTCTCTGCTATTTTCAGACATATTTGGAAGTGGAAATTAATTCTTTGATGTGAAGCAGCATTGCTAAAGAGGGTCTATGTTTGAGATTGAGAAGTTTAAATTCAGACTGAAAAGGCAGAGTCAACATACATGTGTTTTGATGAGATCTGTTAAATCATTGCAGTATGTATCACGTATTAGCTGGGAAAATAGGAAACTGGGCCCTCTGGGTCACACTGGCAACAGGAGCAATTTAATAAAACAATCAAGTCAGGGAGAAAATTTGTTAAGTTCAAATTTCAGTTGACAGTAGCAAAAGATTTTAGCATAAAGCATTAATTTTTAAAGTATATCAGAAAAAAGTTTCATTGATTTCTGTGAATACTGACTAAACAGACACTACTCAGCCTATCTGTCAGTTTCCATCTCTCAATAATTAATAAGCTGCCTTTAAGGATTTCAAGTAGATGAGTCAGCCTTGGAGAAGCTAAGGTCCATGCAGTCATTTTTTAAAATGTGCTCTACTAACAGAGACCTAGAATCTAAAAGATTACTAAACTTGAGAATGGCAACCATATCTTTTTCATCATCCCCGAGGAAGATGACATAGGCTTATATTGCAACATGAGAAATTTGGGTTGAACATTTGAAAGAATTTCCTGAGAATTTTTAAACACTGAAACTATCTTTAAGTTTCCCGACAGTGGGTAATTCTGTGACGCAGTTCAGAGAGGATGATTCATACTCAGTATCACTTCAAAGTTACTTATGGAGTCCTTGCCTGAAACACGCCCATTCCACTGCATCCATAGGCTGACTTTCCTTTCTAGCCCTCAGAGGAAAGGAGCTGTTCCTGCTGCCTGGTGGGCAAGCACACACTTTTTTCATCATGCCCTGCATTGCTCCTCTTATTGGGAATGGACAGCCTCATGCTCAGCAGGCTCATGTTTAGCTCCACCAAAGCACCTTCTCATTTGGGGGAAAAAAAAAAAATCAAATCATTACTAGATTATTTTTGTTGTTGTTGGAGGCAGAGTCTCGCTCTGTTGCCCAGGCTGGAGTGCAATGGTGTGATCTCCACTCACAGCAGCCTCCGCCTCCCAGGTTCAAGCAATCCTCCTGCCTTAGCCTCCCAAGTAAGCCAGGATTACAGGCACACACCACCACGTTCAGCTAATTTTTGTATTTTCAGTAGAGATGGGGTTTCACCATGTTGTCCAGGCTGGTCTTGAACTCCTGACTTCAAATAATCCACCCACCTCAGCCTTCCAAAGTGCTGAGATTACAGGCATGAGCCACCGCACCCAGCCCATTACCAGATTCTTGTAACTGTGAGAGATAGGCCACGATGGAAGGAGATGAGAAATCTAAATCCAGAGGTGGCTTACATGCACTAGTGGGATCATGGTTTTTGACATCCAGTCTTGTGTTCTTTTTATTATTCAAGAGGAGCCACTAATCCCAGTCCTGGATAAAAGAGACGCACCTTTTTCATCTCTGTAGGTCTGGAGTGGCGGGGAAACCCTAGGCTTCGCAGTCAGACAGAGTTGTTGGTGTTAAAACCCTGACTCTGCTATTTATTTAGTTGGGAGAACTAAGGTAATTTACTTACCCTTGAATCTTCATTTTCCACATCTATAATGTGGAGAAAAATTGTTTTGATAGAGTTGTATAACAAATCTAAAGTACCAAGCATGACACCTTAGATAAATTAAAACCTGCTTACCTCACTGTTTGATTTCTTATCACCAATTCTTACTGAAACCCTCAACCTTGCTTCAATTCTAGGAAAAGTGATCAATGATCCAAGTAAAACACTTCTCCCCCTTTTCTCCTTTCTTTCCTTCCTGATGTTATCAGAGACTTGGATAGCTTTAGCTTTAGTGGAAGAGTATCTTGCTAATCCCAGCAGTTCTATTCTGTCCCATCATGATAGATGGGACATCTGAAGGCCATTCTCTCTCTCAGAAGCAATTATATACTGGAATACCAGAGCTGTCCATATCCAGTAGGAAGCAGATAAGTCAGAGACATAGTATGCCTGCTGGAAGACCAGGCTTCCCAGTCTGTTTAGCTTACTGGTATCACTTGCTCAAATGACCTGACCTTCTGGACTCTGGACCTTTGCCAACCTTGGCCTCCCAGACCTGCTTTAGCGTGTGAGCTTTTCAGGCTGACCCACCTGCTCAGACCTGTAGTTTCTGCTTCAGCCCCCAAGATGAACAGGAGCTACCTGCAGCAGGCTAAGACAGGGAGGGCTCTCAGCCGCTTGGATTTCTACACAGCTGCAAGTCCTTCCCTCTCTTTTCTGGTGCTTCCTCTGCCTCACCATTAATGCCTTATAAACTCATTTCTGAGCCCTCATACTTCCCTGCTTTCTTATGGCATTCATCAGTTCATATCAAATCCATTACCAGGTGTATATAGTTGAGTTCATGCCCTCCAAGTTTATGCCCTTTGAAACTAAAATGTCTCTGTCGATATTTTTCTAGTATTTTGTTTCTTCCATTACAAACCCATTTCATTTTTTCAAGTTCTCTGTTATCACTCTCTCCATCTTTCTGGTTCCTTGGGCTCACCTTTCTCTCATGTAAAAGCATTTTGAAAAGTAAAGTTGAGGTCCAATATGAGGAATTCTTATTGCACACTTCTTGCCTGACCTTGTTCTCCAAAATTTACCATAAATACTCATCTAGTCATTCTCTGAAAAGTCACCTGGGCACTGGTGTGGGATGACATTTGAGGATAACTACTATGGGCAGAACTGAAAAGCATTATTATCTTTAAGTATGACTCTTTCAGAAGTTTGGAGTTATGCATAATTCCTATTCACTAGGTTCTAGGATTCAGTACAAATGAATATTCCTTTTAATTTAACTCATGTCAAAAAAATACTATTAGTATTAGCAAATATTCATTGAACAGACTACCTGCCAGGCACTATGCTAACTATTTTATATGCATAATTTATTTTAATCCCCACAACAAAAAGATAGCAACTATTTGTTGCAGGAAGTCAGGAACCCCAAATGGAGGGACTGGCTGAAGCCATGGCAGAAGAAAATAAATTGTGAAGATTTCATGGACATTTATTAGTTCCCCAAATTAATACGTTTATAATTTCTTATGCCTGTCTTTACTGTCTTTACTCTGAACATAAATTGTTAAGATTTCATGGACACTTATCACTTCCCCAATCAATACCCTTGTGATTTCCTATGCCTGTCTTTAATCTCTTAATCCCGTCATCTTCTTAAACTGAGGAGGATGTATGTCGCCTCAGGACCCTGTGATGATTGCATTAACTGCACAAATTGTTTGTAGAGCATGTGTGTTTGAACAATATGAAATGTGGGCACCTTGAAAAAAGAACAGGATAACAGCAATGTTTAGGGAACAAGAGAGATAACCTTGAACTCTTACTGCTGGTGAGCTGGGCGGAACACAGCCATATTTCTCTTCTTTCAAAAGGAAATTGGAGAAATATCACTGAATTCTTTTTCTCAGCAAGGAACATCCCTGAGAAAGAGAATGCATCCCTGAGGGTAGGCCTCTGAAATGGCCACTTCAGGGGGCAGCCTTCTTTTATGGTCGAAGCTGTAGGGATGAAATAAGCCCCAGTCTCCCGTAGCGCTCCCAGGCTTATTAGGACAAGGAAATTCCCACCTAATAAATTTTGGTCAGACCGGTTGTCTGCTCTCAAACCCTGTCTCCTGATAAGATGTTATCAATGACAATGCATGCCCGAAACTTCATTAGCAATTTTAATTTCGCCCTGGTCCTGTGGTCCTGTGATCTCGCCCTGCCTCCATTTACCTTGTGATATTCTACTACCTTGTGAAGCACGTGATCTCTGTGACCCACACCCTATTCATACACTCCCTCCCCTTTTGAAATCACTAATAAAAACTTACTGGTTTTATGGCTCACGGGGCATCACGGAACCTGCCGACATGTGATGTCTCCCCCGGACACCCAGCTTTAAAATTTCTCTCTTTTGTACTCTGTCCCTTTATTTCTCAGACTGGCCGACACTTAGGGAAAATAGAAAAGAACCTACGTGACTATTGGGGGCAGGTTCCCCCAATAACTATTACTGTTTCAGATCAAAGGAAATTGGGGGGTTTCCAGGGGCAAATTAACCTAAGGACTCAGAGCTAGTAAGAGGTGGTTACAATTCACAGTTCATATTCTTTTTTTTGAGATGGAGTCTTGCTCTGTCGCCAAGGCTGGAGTGTAGTGGCGCAATTTTGGCTCACTGCAACCTCTGCCTCCCAGATTCAAGCAATTCCCCTGCCTCAGCCTCCCGAGTAGCTGGGACCTACAGGCAAGTGCCACCATGCCTGGCTAATTTTTTGTATTTTGGTAGAGATGGGGTTTCGCCATGTTGGCCAAGATGATCTCGATCTCCTGACCTCATGATCCACCTGCCTTGGCTTCCCAAAGTGCTGGGATTACAGGTGTGAGCCACCGTGCCCAGCCACAGTTCATATTCTTTTAAATAGATGCTCCACCAAAACCAATATCCCAACAAATAACACCCTCCACCTCATTCCCTCCAACCCCACAGTCCTGTCCTCCTCTAGAGCACTGCTCAGTAGGTTCCCGCCCTAAGGGCCCCTCACGTTGCTCCTGCCGGCCAACCCGACCCCCTTCATCTACTCATCTTGGAATACTCCATTGATTGTGACTTGTTTTCCTAGTTTGTGTCATGCTAATGCTTACACATTTCCATTTTTCTGAAAATGTTTTCTTCATCTCAACCCTCTGACTGTTTCAGGAGACTATAAGCTCCTGAAAGTTTTTTTCTTTTGCAACTCCCCCCACACAAGTAGACACAGTATACAAGGAGTCTCAATATGGGCAGGCTGAATGGGGGCTATGGTGTCCTTAATAACAAGACAGTCTTTTATAATTGGTCCAGGAAGGTTTTGTGACACACTGCTCAAACTCTGGGAGTAGTAATATGCCTCAAACTTTATTATTAGCGTGAATCTGGTGAATCTGAGATAATTTTTTTTCCTATGCTTTTAGTTTTAGGGATTAAGGTTTTGCATGTCTTGGTGATATGTGTGCAGCCACTTGCTGACCCAGACCACAAGGTCCCAAATAAGTGACCCAGGTGGCCCAGGTAAGTTAATGGGGAAGAGGACCATGGGCATACTGGCAACATAATAAGAATGACAATAGATAACATTTACTGAATGCTTACCACATGTCAGGCACTATTTTGTGTACCATAAGTATATAAGCTCATTAATTGCAACAATGCCATGAGTTAGGTACTACCAATAAGACGCAGTTGGCACATGGGTTTCTCTCAAGGCTTGGTAAAGGGCCTGGAGGATCTGTCTCCATCCCCTCCTCCTCCCTACATCTACAGCTTTCTTAGCCACGTCTCATGTCTTCAGCATCTAGCCATGTCTTATATATGAGCATATCTACCTCTCTCCAACCTGTTTACAAACTCCTGGAAGCGACAGCTGTGTTGACTCTTCTTACAAGGGTGATACTGTAATTTTCAGAGAGGAATTCAATAAATGACTATTGATTTGAATGAAAACCTTGGGAGAGCAAGTCATTGTATACAGCTAAAAAATTTAGGTATAATTTTATTATAATACATTTATTATAATACATTTCAAGGCTTACCTTAAACCATAAAGAAATCACTTACATTTAAATTAATGCAGGCTATGCTTTCTGGATTCATGATTTGAGAAAAAATGGACACAGCTTTTGCCATCTCATTCTAGAAGGAAGAGAAACAAATCATATTCCATATCATAGGAACTAATGTTATTGTAAAAGATCACTTAGAGAGGGCAGTATATTCCTATTAAGGTGACCTCAGGGTTTTGAAGTCCACAAAGATAAAATGTTTCGGAAATCAAAACTAAACATTCCATAAAATTCTCCATCCAGTCGCATATTGTTGAATGTTTTAACAACCTGCCTGAGTCCAGTTTTTAAGATGCAGGCATAAAGTTGGTATTTCCCCTTCTCCTATTGGAATCAGCTTCTAAAAAAATAGGAATGAAGAACAAAGTGCAAAGCCTGTCTTTGACATACATAATTAGAACATAGAAACCTCAAGCCACAGCACAGCTGGAAACACTGCCAGAAACATTGGAAATGGAGGCTGGCAGGGTTCAGGAGAAAGCAGTCAGAGGCAGACAGTGCTCTATATCTCACAAAGAATCTACAACAGTACAGCTCTCAAAGGTAAGGGCACAACCTGAAGTACAAAACCTAAATTCCTATTTACAATGATGAGAACAGAGCGCAGGACTAGTAAAGAGAACTTCCGTGGATCCTGTGGTGGCAGAGATGAGGCTAGTCAAGCGTTTCCATAGGCAAGACATACTCATAGGAAACAGTATGTTCCTAAGACAGCAGCAGCAGAGAAGAGACTGCGTACCAAAAACCACCTCAGTGCCTACTTCTGTTGACTTAAAAGAAATGAGGCCTGTGCATACTTGTAGACAAAACTCTGGGTTATATGAAGAAAAATCCTGCTAGTCTAGAACAGTGCTCTGGTGTCCCGCTCTGTTGTTCTCTCTTTCTCTGACATGAATCTACAAATGACCGGTCTAAAAGAAACACGTTTTTCTTTTATTTTTGAATTTTTATTTTTATTTATTTATTTTATTTTATTATTATTTTTTTTAGACGGAGTCTCGCTCTGTTGCCCAGGCTGGAGTGCAGTGGCATAATCTCAGCTCACTGCAAGCTCAGCCTCCCAGGTTCACGCCATTCTCCTGCCTCAGCCTCCAGAGTAGCTGGGACTACAGGAGCCCGCCACCATGCCTGGATAATTTTTTTTTGTATTTTCAGTAGAGACAGGGTTTTACCGTGTTAGTCAGGATGGTCTCGATCTCCTGACCTCATGATCTGCCCGCCTCAGCCTCCCAAAGTGCTGGGATTACAGGTGTTAGCCACTGCACCTGGCCAGAATTTTTATTTTTTAGAGACAGAGTCTTGCTCTGTCACCCAGGCTGGAGGGTAGTGGTGGAATCATGGCTCACTGCAGCCTCAAACTCCTGGGCACAAGCTATTTTCCTGCCTCAGTCTCCTGAGCAGCAAGGACTACAGGCATGTACTAGGTACTACTGCACCTGTTTTATTTATTTATTTATTTTTTGTAGAGACAGGGTCTCCCTATGTTGTCTTGGCTGGTCTCAAACTCCTGGCCTCAAGTGATCCTCCCCCCTTCCAAAGTGCTGGGATTACACGCAGGAGCCACAGTGTTAGGCCTGAAACTTACACTTTTCAATGATGAATAGTCAAAAAAGAACCACCACATGACACTCATAAAGATGATATTTTTAAAAAGAGGAAAGGAACACAGTAGAACAAAATTAAGAAAATAACTGGTACAGTGGCTCACGCCTGTAATCCCGGCACTTTGGGAGGCTGTGGCGGGCAGATCACTTGAGGTCAGGAGTTCAAGACCAGCCTGGCCAATATGGTGAAACCCTGTCTCTACTAAAATACAAAAAGCAGCTGGGCATGGCCAACATGGTGAAACCCTGTCTCTACTAAAATACAAAAATTTAGCTGGGCACACGCCTACTAAAATACAAAAATTTGGCTGGGCGCATGCCTGTAATTCCAGCTACTCAGGAAGCTGAGGCAGGAGAATCACTTTAACCCAGGAGGCGGAGGTTGCAGTGAGCCGAAATCGTGCCACTCCATTCCAGCTTGGGAGACAGAGTGAGACTCTGTCTCAAAAAAAAAAAAACAGAAAAGAAAAGAAAATAACTGGCCGATGAAGAAACCCTAATTGAAAAATATTTCCATGGATATAGAAGATAGAAATGAGAAAAATGAACAACATCACGTCAATCAAGTGGAAAAAAATCAGGCAGGCGTTAGATTTCTCCACATTCCATACTAGATTTCTCCAATATTCCATACTAGAAGACAGAAAAGCAATGCCTAAAAGTACCTCAAGAAAAGAAAATGTCACCTTGAAATTGTAAATCTGGCCAAACTGTAGTTCAAGTACAAAAACAACAGGCAAATAAAATAATTTAAAATACCAAGAACTCAGGGGATATCATTCCTCCAAAGAATTTACTAAAATACTCACTTCAGCCAACAAAGACAAAACTGGAAAAACAACTAGCACCAAACAACCTATTTAACTATACAAAGGACTCAAAAGTTGGGAGTATGGCTATAGTACAGAGTGTAAATGTTATATGCCTGGACAATGAAGCAATGTTAATACTAATGAAAGAAAGAGAAGGGAAAGAGATGAAAGGTAGAAAAGGCATTCCCATTTCCTTATCTTTATTATCAGCAGGCCAAAAAATATCACTTCAAACTGACAAATCAAGTACATTTAAGAGTAAAGTGAACACTATCAAAATAAAATACCAGCTAAAATTGGGTATTGGATGGGGGAGGAAGAAAATAAGATGAAAAACAGAGGAAATATAGTAATTTCACCATTACTTATATTAGGGAATTAACAGGTCTTGTCAAAAGAATTAAATAATTAAGAAAATCAAAACTATGGTTTTAAAGTCACCACTAGAGCAAAAATACCAACTAGAGAAAATAACCACATGGCATAAGAGAGTAGAAAAAGTTATAGAAACAGAAAGCATCAAACGAGACCCAAGATCAAATATATGTCACATTAATACAAATGGATTATATTAAAAGATTAGCATCATATTATAAAGCAACACAGAAATTTATGCAGTATATAAGAGACAAAGCTAAAACAAAACAATTCAGAAAGATTGCAAAAATAAAGCATAGGAAAAGCTGTATATTGGTCAAATGCAAACCTGATCAAAACAAAGAGAAAAACAAGCAAAAAGAGGGGTGGAGATACTAATATTAGATAAGGTTGAACTCAGGGCAAAAGCAGTAAACATGACCTAGATAGGCACTTTATAATGCTAAAGTGAGGGATTCACAATGACGATGTAACAGTGATGATGTATCTGTGCACCAAACAGTGTAACTTAGACATAAATAAAGAAAAACTACAGGAGCTATACAAAGAAAGAAAAACACATGCCTTCAAAGACACTTTAATTCACCTCACTCACCTCATGACTGACTAAGAAGACAAAATAATTCCCCTGCACAGCAAGAGAAGCTTAGAAAGTTAAAGAAATGATCTTGGCCCAGCAGAAGGCTGGGAAGTGTATAACCTCTTGGCTTGTCCTTCAATGACTCCCCCCAGCAGTATATGGAAATGCATCACCCTCACGTTTTGATTTCTAATTAATAATAAGAGTTCTCCAGCTATATTTTACCAGCCAGGAAAATAACCTGGCTTGGTTACTATTTTTCTGCTGTAAAATTTCCTTTTACTACATAGGAAACATGTAAAGCATTTCATATTTTTTAGGCTCTGGAATAGGAAATCTCAGGAGAGGCTCTTCCAGAGAGATGGTGTTCCAGGGTTTCAGCTCTAACTCTGTCCATCACTGAGGCATGACCTCAGGGAGGTCCCCTCTTATGTCTGGGTCTCTGCTACCTCCACCTGTCCAGTCAGGGGAATGAGGCTAAATGATCACTAAGGTCTCACCCAAATAACAGTAGTAGTTGGATGTAACTATGAAATATGTGATGGATCCCATTTCTACAATGGGCTGACACAGCAGTCCTCATTCATCTGAGGCTAATTCAACTTTGGAGAGCATTAAATTAAACTGTTCTCTGAGAACATTACAACGTAATCTGATGACTTGCAATTTTCATTTTAATTACTTGAGAAATTTCTCTACCCTTCTATTTAGAAATGCATGTTAGGTCCCCAACTGTAAATAAAATCATTCTTTGTGGGTATAGGTATAGATATAGGTTGCCATGGCAACAAAGGCATTGGTCTCTTTATGGTGACTACTTCTTTACGATGCAGTCAGAAGGAAAAAAGGAAAAGCAAGGACGAATAAAAGTAATGAAGTCCTGGCCACTCCCAATTTACTTATGTACACCACAAGGCTTTACCTGATTCAGAGCTAATGCCACAGCGAAACAGGATGCTCTCCTGGAGAGAATTTCTCCTTTGAGTAGAGCTTCTTCTCTTAATGTAGTACAGATTTTGAAAGACTCAGGGCTATTCTGTGAGGAGACAGGATTGTTCGATTAATGTTATAAACCTTTAAGTTCAATAAAATGATTAATAGTGCTCAGTATTTATAGTTCCTTTTGTAAGGATTTCCTAGAGCCTCCCTCAAGCCACTTAAAAGATTAAGCCCCATATAAAGACTATTTGCAAATACACCAGGCTACTGATAGGCTAGCAGGTCAAATCTAAATTAACTTTATTTTTAAAGCTCATTTTCAATTTTCTGAATTGGGGCAGTTTTAACCAGAAAACATACACATGTCTTTGTATCTGGGCAGGCTAGTTTCTAGACAAAGACCCCATAATTTATGAGTATAAAGGTTCTGCCTGCTACTATATGAAATAGCTGATTAAGGCTCAACAACACCAGGAAACTTTTTCTGGGGGATTTCCAATCTGAAAATATTCATATGTCAAATATTTGAAAACACGAACACTAATTTGAACATAAATTATAAAAGAATCCCATGAAAACAGAAACCTTTAAAAAAAAATCCAAGAATGTCAGTGATATAAAAACAGCAGTGGTAAAACCAAATCCTCTTCCTTTGTGCATGCTGCAGGGGATTAGGTTTATGACAGCAGCCTGGCTGTGCAACTTTGTCATCTGTCATAACGGGAGTTGCAACTCCTGTCAAAATAGAGTTCAAATGGGATGAGAGAGGACAGTTCCCAGAATTGATGTGGAATTTGTACTGGCTGACCAGATCACTTTTTCAACTCATCTCCACTGGGTGAAACAAGTTATTCTTGGACATGACACAGGGGAGAAAAGTCCTCTGGCCTTTCCTAAATAGAATTTATTTATTTATTTTATTTTTTGAGACAGAGTCTCGCTCTGTTGCCCAGGCTGGAATGCAATGGTGCGATTTCAGCTCACCGCAACGTCTGCCTCCCCAGTTCAAACGATTCTCCTGCCTCAGCCTCCAAAGTAGCTGGGATTACAGGTATCTGCCACCACTGGATAATTTTTGTATTTTTAGTAGAGACAGGGTTTCACCATGTTGGCCAGGCTGGTCTCGAACTCCTGACCTCAGGTGATCTGCCTGCCTCGGCCTCCCAAAGTGCTGGGATTACAGGTGTGAGCCACTGTGCATGGCCTCTAAGTAGAATTGAAATTCTCGTCATTGCAGTATACACTCAGGGAGGCATCCCTAAGTAGAGGACAAGAAGGCTGGGAATTTCAATGCTGAATAAGTGATGCTCTAGTGCTGTGTGGTGTTTTTTTTTTGGCCTCCTAGAATCATAGAATGGTATGAATGGAAAGAATTATTGAATCCAGAGGTCAGCAAACTATGACCCTTGGGCTAAATGTAGCCTACAGCTAAGAATGACTTTAACATTTTTAAAGGCCTGTAAAAACAAAAACAAAGAATATGGGGCAGAGATCACATGAGGCAGAGACATATGTGGCCCCCAAAGCCTAAAATATTTACTATCTAGCTTTTCATAAAAAAAGTTTGCTGACTCCCAAATCTAACCATCTCATTTGTAAAATGAGATAGGTGATCAGTTCACAGCTATATAAGTCATATATATAAGCTATATAATACCAAAGTTGAGACTAGACTCCAAGTTTCTCAATTTCCACTTGGTTTTCTTTCCACTATAACCCAGCTATCCCCTTGTTTTGGAAAACTGGTATTGCTACATTCTTCAGGGGAGTTTTTCAACAGCCCATGTTCTTCTACTTCGCTTCATGTTCCTTTGTTTTCAGTATAAAGAGGTTTTGTGTGCCAGGTTTCCAAAGTTTAAGTGATACGAATGACAACAGTAATACATTAAACATTGATCATTTCACTATTTCAATGATCATTCACTAAACATTGAAGAAAGAGTTTCTATGGGCAAGAAATAATCCTGGTACAGTAATAATAAAATAACTTTTTTTTTTTTTTTTTTTTGAGACAGAGTCTCACTCTGTCACCCAGGCTGGAGTGCAGTGGCACAACCTTGGCTCACTGCAACCTCTGCCTCCTGGGTTCAAGCAATTCTCCTGCCTCAGCCTCCAGAGTAGCTGGGATTACAAGGTGCATGCCACCACGCCTGGCTAATTTTTTGTATTGATAAAAGAACGTATAAGTCATGGTCTCTGTCCTTGGACTTCATTTTCATGTCACATACGTTTATTAAAGAACTACTGGATACCAGGCACTGTGTTAGGTGGTGGGATACAAAGAAACCTCAAGGAGCTCACACTCAAGTGGAGAGAATGGAACGTGCATCTGCTAAGTACATTAAGCTGTGTCAGAAGTACCAGGGAGGTGACACAAATAGAGCAAAATTAAGGGATATCTGGAGGTGACAAACATCACTTCCAGTTTCGGTGATTGCAAAAGCCTTCACATATGAGGACAAAGTAGTCCTTGAGCTCACCAATGAAGGAAGCTAAGATTTCCATAGACAAGGACAACAGGGAAGATGGATCTAGCAGAGTCCAGCATGCGTGATGACTTTAAAGCAGAGCCTGAACCCAACACATTGCCTCTTGTTCTCACTATCTACACAATCACCAGAGAAGAGTGAAAGATGAAAAAATTACTTTTCCCATAAAACTGCCTGATATGGCTAACTTGAGTTTTCTAAAAATAAAAACATTTAAAATTAAAACATTTGCACCAGATGGAAAACAGATTTCAGAGGAACTGAATTTTATTTGTAGAGAGAAGAAAAATCCTCTCTCAAAGACTACACACAATGCTCTCAAAGTTAAGAGGAAAGAGTCTTACCAGTTTGTAGCAAATTGCAAAAGCAAGAACATAGGTATCTTTGGTGAACTTCACATCTTGGTTTTTCATCTCTATCAATACTTGCAAAGCACCTGCCAAAAGTGAAGAGTGGATCGCAGTGTTAGAGTTCCTCTACTGTTGGCCCCCAAAGCTCTCATCTGTTCAGCACCATCTACAGAAAAGTGTATTTCAACAAAATAAAAGCTATTCCTCAAAGTCATTTAGCAATTAACTAAATGTTGAAATAAACTATCAAGTCAAACAGGAAGAACTAATGTTTTAAAAGCTGCTTCACAATTTTAGCATAAGTAAAATCTGGGATATTTAGTTTAAGGGATGACATGCAATGCAATGTTTTCAAACTTCCTAAGGTCTCCAGAATTCAGCCACTTATCAGGGATATAAGAATCATTTTTTTTTTTTTTTTTTTGAGACGGAGTCTCGCTCTGTCGCCCAGGCCGGACTGCGGACTGCAGTGGCGCAATCTCGGCTCACTGCAAGCTCCGCTTCCCGGGTTCACGCCATTCTCCTGCCTCAGCCTCCCGAGTAGCTGGGACTACAGGCGCCCGCCACCGCGCCCGGCTAATTTTTTGTATTTTTAGTAGAGACGGGGTTTCACCTTGTTAGCCAGGATGGTCTCGATCTCCTGACCTCATGATCCACCCGCCTCAGCCTCCCAAAGTGCTGGGATTACAGAAGAATCATTTTTGCATGACTCATTTTTCCCCCTAGTTCCTATGCCAGCAAACATGGCAGAATTTTTCAGCAAATAGAAATTGCAGTACTTACTTTTATATTTGCCTTTGATAAATAACATATCCATCAAAATATTGAATGATGTGGAGTCTGAGAAGAAACCTCGTAAATGCTAACGAAGAAGAACAATACAGTTTGGTTAAAAGTTAAAACTATTTATTGAGGAGGTACTTTTACTGTCTCTTATCTAGCCAGGTCTTATTATTCTGCATGCTTTACTCATTTGGCCTTCTGAATTCTCTAATATATTTTATATACCCAGGTTTTATTTTTGAAAAGTTGGCCGGGCGTGGTGGCTCACGCCTATAATCTCAGCACTTTGGGAGCCCAAGGCAGGTGGATCACGAGGTCAGAAGTTCAAGACCAGCCTGGCCAACATGGTGAAACCCCGTCTCTACTAAAAATACAAAAATTAGCTGGGCATGGTGGTGGGCACCTGTAATCCCAGCTACTCAGGAGGCTGAGGCAGAGAATTGCTTGAACCCAGGAGGTGGAGGCTGCAGTAAGCCGAGATCACGCCACTGCACTCCAGCCTGGGTGACAGGGCGAGACTCCGTCTCAAAAAGAAAAAAAAAAAAAGAAAAAAGTTAAAATGCTGTCCACTCTCTTGGCTGTCATGCTGAGAGGTATAGCAAGAGATCTCTGGGTTTCATAATTACCATGAAGGACGTCTTTAAGGAACCGTCATTTGTCATGCTTAGGAGAAAAGAAACTAGCCAGTTAACCCTGGCAGAGTGGTCCTGGAAACTAGGTGCCAGCTATTAACATGAAATGGCAGCTATAAATATACTTGAGGACTAAGGCAGGAGGGTCTCACACAACTATGGTCTTTTTTTGGCAACGGATAATACAGAATTGATTATTCGCCTTTTGAAATAATTCTCCAAAACAGTGGTTCTCAACATTTTTTTCCAACTTGTCTGTATGTATTTATTTAATTGACAAATAAAAATTGTATATATTTGGCCAGGTGTGGTGGCTCACGCCTGTAATCCCAGTACTTTGGGAGGGAGAGGCGGGATCACTTGAGGCCAAGAGTTCAGGACCAGCCTGGGCAATACAGCAAGATCCCATCTCTTAAAAAAAATAATAAAAATTTAAAAAATTAGCTGGGTGTGGTGGCACAAGGCTGGAATCCTAGCTACTTGGGAGACTGAGGTAGGACGATCACTTGAACCCAAGAGTTATGAGACTGCAATGAGCTATGATAATAGTGCCACTGTATTCCCGCTTAGGTGACGGAGCAAGACCCTGTATCCAAAAAAAACCCCAAAAAACAGTATGTTGTTTTGAAATATGTATATATTACAGAATGGCTAAGCCAAGCTAATTAACATATGCATTACTTCACATACTCATTTTGTGTGGTGAAAGTACATAAAACCTATTCTTTAGGCAATTTTGAAGAATACAATACATTGTCATTAACTATAGTCACTATGTTGTACAGAGAAATCCCTTGAACTTATTCCATCTTACTGAAATTTTGTATCCTTTGACCAACATCTTGCTAACATCTCAACATTTTGTGTGCCATGATAATGGGACACATGGTATTCAAATGTGTCATTAAATGCCTTGCTCAAGTTCACTCTTTTCCGATCACCTACTATGCAGACCCTGTTCTAGGTGCTGAGAATAAAGAAATGATAAACAGGATATACACCCTGCTCAAAACCCTACTAGGGTTTATAATCTAGTAGAGCTTAAATTCTGGTGGAGAAGACAGTGAATAAGACAAGTGAAAAAAAATATTAATTTCAGCTATTAGTAAAGTCTATGAAGAGCAAGTAGAGAAGATGGATGGAAGGTAGTCAGGGAAGGCACTGTGAGAAGAGACCTCAGTGAGGTCAAGGAGGGAGCCTCAAGGATAAGAATGCAGAATGTTCCAGTTAGAGGCTGTGAGCTCGCCATGGCTGAGGAAGAACATGCAGGTCCAGAGTGAAGTCAGCAAGGGAGAAAGGGGAGATGGCACAATGGGCCCCCTAGGTCAGAGTCAAGGGTCTGGGTTTTCTTCTAAGTGTGAGGGAAAGCCACCAGAGCAGCCCCAGCCAATGGAAAAGCATTTTGAGTCACCAAGGATATTTTAGAATCACAATGTATGTGACTCTAAATTTTCAATTAGCCTCATTTAAAAAAGTAAACAGAAATAGACTAAATTATTTAACCCACTATATCCAAGATGTAATTTCAACATGTAATCAATATAAAAATTAACATACATTGCATTCTTTTTATAACAAGTAATTAAAATCCATCATATATTTTATACTTACAGCACATGTAAATTTGAGTTAGCCACAGTTCAATGACTCCATGTGGCTACCATGCTGGCAACACTACAGGGTTGTAAGTAGGGAACAAGAGAAGTTCGGCTAGAAGCAGGATTAGGTCCTATGTCACTTACTCGAATTTGTCCATTCTACTCCAGAAAATTTACCTATACATGACTTTTTCATATACAAGCAGGCTAAAAAAAACCCGTTTGCTTTCATCTTTTTTATTTTTGTTTTTATCACCATACTCATGGCTATGATTTATTACAGTGGGAAGCTTTTGTTTTCCTTTAACTGAAACATTAACATATGTTTATTAAAAATAGTCAAATAATACAAAAATGTATAAAGTAAAAAGTGAGAATTTTTAATAATTCTACCCCCTAAAGATAAAGTGATTTAGTGTCTATCTTTCCAGTATCTATGTATTTATATTTTGTTAAAATGTTAATGTTAATATGTGTCTTTTCTTATGGAACAAAAAAAAACAGGATCAAACTATCTGTACTGTTCCGAAACAACCTTTTCTCTGCTTACTAATATATTATGGGTATCTTTCTAATACACAGGTGTCATTAAATAGGAGCAAGTCTAGAGTTAACATGCCCACCATGTACAGAGAAAATTTTGTATAAAAAAAGAGTAAGAGGCAGAAGAACAACTCAACTTGTTATGTAAGTTCCTAAATATACAAAAAGGTACCTGGTGGCCAGCCGTGGCCCCAAAATTTAGCAAATGTTTCTGATTATGGGAAACACAGCCTCATGAAAAGCAGTCTAAGCTTACACTCCCCCAAAGTGATGTTTCTGTTCTCTACATGGCATCTAGTAATCAAAATGACTTCATAATGAATGAATGAATTTATAATGTCTCTAGGTCCTAGTTTCTTTATCTACAAAATGGAAATCTACCTTATCAGGGCTATTGTGAGAAACAAATAAAATGAAACATTTAAAGTACTTAAACACAATGCTGAAGACATAGTAAATATTCAATGAGTAGCTGTAAAAATAATTATTTACTTTTGTTTTTAGGAACAGAAAGTCAGAATATGTGACGGAAAGTATTTTGAAAATAGAAAAGCACTTCCCAAATGTAGTCTTCAACCAGAAAAATACAAATACAAAATCGAGAGGGAATACAGGTAAAGGATAGGAATGTCAGTCTTTAAATGGAGACTGTCTTAAGCTCTTCTCTATTGAAAGCCCCTAAAAAAGCAGGTGTACAACCCACATTGATACACATCCAAGGTAGGATCATCTGTACCTATACCTCCTCCACACTTGTTCTATATTACTCCACCCCCCTTCACACAAACTGACTGCAAGGAAACTTAAAAATGCAGAGATGTGCTCATTCAGCCCCAGCAGCCTTTCTTTGAAAATCTAACCCAGGAATAATGTACATAGAAGACATGCCTTTTCCAATATCACCAAAAACACACACATTGGCAGAGAAAACAATTAGGAAACAATAACCTGGTCTTTCATGAGCTCCACTGCAGATTCCTCGAGATCCAACTCGTAACACAACCTCACAAAAAGCGGTCCAAATTTATACTCCCCCAAAGTGAAATTTTTGTTCTCTGCATGGTACCTGGTAATGAAAATGATTCAATGAGCCAAAAGGTAGGACACAGGAAAAAGGACAGACACAGACTATGGCAGGTACTGTGCCAGGTACTGGGACACAACAGAGAACGAAGTCCTCTCACAGTCTGGAGGGGGAGAAATGGAGATTTCAGACAATCAGGAATCCTGGAGTGCAGAAGTACACCAATCATTTAAACAAGTAAACAGAATTTACAGCAGACTGACATAAAATAAAAGAAACAGAGGAAAAACGTATGTTGTAATCATTCTCTAAATTTAGAAACAACCCCTAGACTGAGTGTGAGCACACCTTAAGAAACAGCAGGAGTCTAGTAGCATCTGTAAGTGCATCAGAATGGGCCCCACCCAGAGGAGAACAAGGGAAAGAAGTGGGGGTGATGCTCTGTGCTCCTGGAGGCTGGTTTCATCCTCATATAGGATGGCAGACAACCAACAGTCACATTTACAATTTACAGCAACTCTCTGCTTTTCTAAGCTTGAGAAAGGTACACCTGGGCTATGATCACCTGGCTAAACAAATTAAATGTGGTTTTGAATGTTTAAGTTTTAGGAAAAGGCTAATCTCAAAGATAATGATGTCTTCTATGTGGCTTGAGATTTCTACAGGCAGCCAGTCTGCCAGTCAGAACTGCATATCACTACTGTAAATTTACTTTCAATAACCAATTCTTTTTGCTTTAGACACCAAGAGGACAATATATGACAAAATCAACACCTCATGATTACACATAAATCAGATTTTAGAAAGACTTATTCATTAAGAATCTTCATATTCATATTTCTTTCAGATTTAGATTCATATAATGAGTGAATCTAAAATACCTTGGGGAGAAGCGCTGATGATAAAACAGGATACTTTTTACCTTCTGCTAAAAATCATCGAGGAGTCAGAGTAGTATTACGCTAGTCTATTCTAAATGCATATACTACAATGATACCATAATAGAATGATGAGGTGTACTTTGATACATTTCATTATCCACTTATAGAAGTTACAAATAGGCCGGGCACAGTGGCTCACACCTGTAATCCCAGCACTTTGGGAGGCCGAACCAGGCGGATTATGAGGTCAGGAGATCGAGACCATCTTGGCTAACATGGTGAAACCCCGTCTCTACTGAAAATACAAAAAAAAAAAAAATTAGCCGGGCGTGGTGGCGGGCGCCTGTAATCCCTGCTACTTGGGAGGCTGAGGCAGGAGAATGGCATGAACCCAGGAGGCGGAGCTTGCAGTGAGCCGAGATAGCACCCCTGCACTCCAGCCTGGGCGACAGAGCGAGACTCCATCTCAAAAAAAAAAAAAAGAAGTTATAAATAATATTCATTGCTTCATTACAACACTTATAAATTAAGTTTTTGGAAGGCAATATAGGATAGTGGTTAAGGGTTTTCAGGCTCTGAATCCAAACTGATCATTCAAATCCTAGCTCTTCTACTTGTGTGATGATGAGCAAATTAATTAACTACTCTGTGCTTCCGTCTCCTCATCTGTAAAATGGAAGGAAGAAGAGAACCCAACTCAGTTTTTTTGTGAAGATTAAATGAGATGATGTGCCTGGCACACAAGTCTTCAACATATAAATCTTTATAAAACGTAAGGCATGCTAAGGAAAACATCTTCAAAAATCAACATATTTCAGTAAATATTCTCATGAGAAACTTGTGCCAGATTAAAAGCAAAAGAAAGCAAAAAAAAAGTTTCTGATTTGACATTAACATGCTAAATGACATTCACATTAATAAAAGTGCTAGAAAGTCACTGAGATAATGAATTGCCTTCTGGACAAGAAATGTTCAAGAGGGTCTAAAATCCCTCAATAAACCAAACAGCATTTGGTCAACATAACGAGGGTATTAAGATGCTCCCCATTTTTGGCTCAATAAAAAGCTTATGTTTCAGCTCGTGACTCTCCTTTCCCAGCCACGGGCTGCCTGACTCAGGGAGAAAGAGAACATGTTGGTGGAGCCTTGGATCTACCCATCTTTCCACTTGTCCGGCTGTCTACAAGTAGAGAGGGAAAAGGTCAGCAACTGGGTAGAGATTTATTAGCATCAGTAAAGGAACTAAGTCATACTTTGAATATTTATGATAAAAATAAGAGTAGAAAGAGTGTTCAGGATATTTATCTCATTTTACTACTCTTATAAACATTGAATAGCTTTGTGTAGTAAAATGAGAGGAAAACATGCCAAAGGGAAATGATTTAACTTTGTGAAACTGAAATACGGAATTAAGTTTGTAGATACAGTGTGACTTTAAATTAGCATAACACTTTTGGAAAATAATCTGACAGTTATATATTGATAAACTTTAAAAAGTTCATACCCCCTGATCCCCAAAAGGAAACAAAGAGTAAGTTTTATGCAGCGAGTTTCTCATCATGACATTATTTATACTGGTGAAATATTAGAAAAAACTTCAATGTCCAACAATATGGGCATAGTTGATGAAAATACCTAACATATAATAAATACTGTATTGCCATTAAACTATGATTCCTAAGGATATGATTAACATGAAAATATTTATATTTAGAAAATAATTACACAGCAATAACTATAACAATGTAAAGCAAAATCTACCAAAACAATGAAATCTTTACATCTGTGAAAAAAAAAAATGCAAAAATATTAACAGTGGTTTCTTAGATGGGAGCAACAGGCCCCAAAGATGGCTGCCATCAATTTCTTCCCTCTCTGTATGTGCATATGGCTCCATCCATCCAGAGGTAGAATCCTTTTCCCCTCCCCTTGACTTTGGTCTGGCCAGGCAACTTGCCTTAACCAAGAGAAGCCATGCCAATTCTGGGCAGCTCTATCATGCCTGGCAGCTCCCATCTGGGCTGTGGGCCAGTGCAGCTCAAACCAACAAATGAATAATGAGGCACTCCAGAAAGACAGGGAGAGGCCACATGGAGGAGCAATGAGGCATCACAAACTCAAGAGAGGACTTCTTGGACCATGTAGTACAGCCCAGCTACCAGCTGACTGCAGATGAGTGAGTGGCTTCATCTGACACCAACCAAGAACTGCTCAGTGGAGATGGGCCTGAATTCCTGACTCCAGGATTATGAGAAATAATAAATAGTTACTGTGTTAAGCCATTAAGTTCTGGTGTGGGTTGTTATACAGCAACAGACAACTGAAACAGCAGAATTTGTGACATATTACTTCTCTCTACTTTTTGGTGTTTTTCAATTTTTCAATGAATTTTTTAATTTTTACTTAAAAAAAGACATTTTTTTCATGTTATAAAATTAATGTCCACTGTAGACAAGTTTGAGAAATCAGAAAAATATACATTTAGATAAACAAAAAATACATAATCCATAATTCCTAGAGAACCAGTTAACTTTTGGTAGAGAATCTTCCAGTATTCTTTATATGATTATCTTGTATTTCTCTCTATAAATGTACATATAAATACAGGTTCATATATAGAAACAGATCTTTTAAAAATGGAAAGGAGGGCTGGGCGTGGTGGCTCATGCCTGTAATCCCAGCCTTTGGGAGGCTGAGGTGGATGGATCACTTGAGTCTAGGAGTTCGAGACCAGCCTGGCCAATATGGCAAAACCCACTCTCTACTAAAAATACAAAAATTAGCCGGGTGTGGTGGCAGGCACCTGTAACCCCAGCTACTTGGGAGACTGAGGCAAGAGAATTGCTTGAACCTGGAGGTGGAGGTTGCATTGAGCTGAAAGATCGTGCCACTGTACTCTGGCCTGGGCAACAGATCAAGACTTCATCTCAAAAAAAAAAAAAAAAATAGTTTAAAAAGAAAAGGAAAAGAGCAATGAATTTAATTTCAGAAATGAAGTCTGTTGATTTGATGTCATACTGCTCCCTGGTAAGCGAAGCCTTTGCTGGCTTTCCCAGTGGCAGGCTATGCTTACATGCGAGTTCTTTCTGACATGGGAAACTTTAATAACGGATCAGAAAGGTATAGCAGGACTGGAGGAGGGAAAATAGGAGTCCACTGAAAGGATTTAGGTGAGAGACATTAAAGCGTGAACTAAGACACTGCTAACGGAGATAGAGAGAGGAAGGCTAGAGCTGAGGGAGATACCAAGGAAGTAGAACCAAGAGGATTTCTTACCCTATCAGGAAAGAGAGGCAAATGACATGAGAGTAAAGAGGCTCCAAAATATCTGTCCTGAGTGACTAGCCAGTGAGAAGGAAAACAGAAGAAGAGGAGTGAATTTGTACATAATGAATTTGAAGACCTAGGGGATATGTCAGTGATAGGCTGGTAACTTCTTTAGACATAAAATATCTGCTTTTCTATCCTTAGCACCCAGCATATAGTAGGAACCCAGTAAGTGTGTGCTCAACAATAAGTGAATGTAGGTGTCTGGAGTTCAAGGTAGGCATCCGAACAAGAGATCTGGAAGTCACTAGTATAGAGGTGGCAACAACTTCGAAGTGGATCAGACTGCTCATAGAAAGGAACAGAGTAAGAAGGGATAAGGGTGGCAACATTCTAAGGAAATGCCTCACCTGTAAATGACATTTTTAGCCAGTTCCACATGGTCCCGAGACTCACACAAATGTAGTAAGGTTATCAACTCCCCCTTCAAGATGAGCTTGTTCTGGGTCAGTTTCTTTTTCAAGTTTCTAAAATACGTTTCTGGAAGAAAGCACAGTATGGTGACCATCACTCAGGCTGACTGAGAGTATAAGGAGTCTGACCTCAGGAAGATGGGGAAGCCCAACCCCGGCTCACTGCAGAGGGGCACTGAGAGGGGTTCAGAAACACACAGCTGCCATCACTGGCCAATCTCCTCTAGAACAGCATCAGCAGATGGCATCTGTCACAGGAGGCAGGGACATGGGCACAGGGCCAGGCCCACTCAAGACTCTCTAAAATAAAATCTGTGGGGTAAGAGCTCAAGAATTGGCATTTTTGATTCCCTAGGTGATCCTCTGGTATACTAAAGTTTGAGAATTACTGTTCCAGAGGCTTGGCTCAAATAACTGAATCTCTAGGTGACTCATGAGAAAAAGAAAGAAAATGTAGCCAGACACCCAAACCGTCAACTGGCAGAGAACCAAATGGGAAAACTAAAAAGAAAATGTGAGTTGAAGGTAGGTTTGTCCACAATGGTGGACCCACATGACTCACGTTTCTTTCATTTGATTCAACTTCACCTCTTTTTCATTCCTCTTGGTCTCTTTTTACTCAGCTGTTAGAAGGCATGCCAAAGTACTATGTAATGGGCAGGGGGGAAAACAGTCCTCCAAACAGCAGCAAACAGTTTTTCAGTGACAGAATCATTTCAGTGTCATCACAGTCTATCATTCTCCCTTGTCTTTGTATCTGATCAACCGTGGGGACAAAAACCAAAAGGAGGCACCTCTTCTTGTCATCAATAAGGGGCTTTATTCCCACCAAAATGCGGGGTGAAAAGCAAAGCAGGCACCAACCAAGCATCTGCTTTCCAGAAGGCAGAACTGTTGTCAGTATCAGAAGCTGCCAGGAAATAGCTATAGGATTTGTTCCAAGAACCCAGAGCTTTGAAGGAATGCTGCTGAAAGGAGAGGCACAAATACATCTAAAACACAAGAACTAGAAGCAGAGGCACTGTTCTCAATTTAAAAGAAAAGACCTACTAGGTTTGAGATAATGCAGTGGCTCTTCCAATTTTTATTTGCAGAACCATGTAACAGTTAAAGGCTCTAGAGATGGAAGGACCTGGGCTGAAATCTAAGCTCGGCCACTTGCATTCTGATGGAGACCCTTGCTCTGAGACTTGATTCCTCATGTGTAAATTAAGGATCGTGGTACCTTCCTCACAGGGTTACCTGAGATGATATATGTAAAGCATTTGTCATTCGGTAACTGCCAGTAAATAGAAACATTATTGTTCTCATTTTCATTCCTTGTGTCACCTGTTAGATCTAAGAGGATTTAGTCTATTAAATATTTCTAAGCAACTTCCAGTCTAAAAAGTCTCAAGTCATCAAAGAGATGACGTTACATCTTGTACTCCTTAATCCTCCTTAATAAACCTTAAGAGGCCGGGTGCAGTGGCTCAGGCCTGTAATCCCAGCACTTTGGGAGGCCAAGGTGGGTGGATCACTTGAGGTCAGTAGTTTGAAACCAGCCTCGCCACCATGGTGAAACCCCGTCTCTACCAAAAATACAAAAAGTAGCCAGGTGTGGTGGTGCACGCCTGTAATCCCAGCTACTAGGGAGGCTGAGGCACAAGAATTGCTTGAACCTGGGAGGCAGAGGTTGCAATGAGCCGAGATCATGCCACTGTACTCCAGCCTAGGTGACAGAGCAAGACTCTGTCTCAGAAAAAAAAAAAACAACACCTTAAGAATCCAGTATTTCAACAGATATAACTTGTGTTTTAAAACAAATCAATCAACATTTGTTTATCATATAATCATACTCGGAAGTATCCTTCTTTGTGTGTGAGACACCAAGAAGCGTAAGGAATAGTTCCTGCCCTCAAAGAACTTAAAAGCATTTTGGGGAGGGCAAGCTAAATTTATACAAAGCTACCTGAAAACAATGATGGAGGAGGTGACACATGAATACTATAAACATAATAAGACTCTTCTGTCCTGTTACGACACCTATTACAACTCAGAGTGGACAGAAGAGTCCTGTTACAACCTTTACTATTATGACTCAGAACAGACCAGGTTGGTGAAAGTGGAGGGGTACCAGTGAGAAAGGAAAGGGCTGAAATCAGGTTGGAGAAATGGAGGAGGGGGATATTCTAGGTAAGGAAATCAGCATGAGCAACAGAACAGAACTGGGAATGACAGGTGTGGAGGGAAAAGCTGTGACTAGATCAACCAGAAACCGTCCTAGAAAGGGCGGAGTCCATCACGGGAGAGCCAGGATGCCAGAGAGATGAGTATGTTAATAGTGTGGTATACAACAGAGTACCACTGTGGGCTCTCAAAATGATGAAAGGTTGACAGGACTTTAAACATATCAGTCTGACAATAGAGCAGATTGGCACTGATTATATTAATTGCCTTTCAGAACATGTACACAACTGCCACAGACTTATGAAGACTATGACAACTGGAAATCACAACTGGATGACATGAAGCCCTAACTGCAAACCTCACATAGATCTAAAATACCTGGGTAGAAAGAAAAGACTGAAGTGAAATCTAGATTGAGCCTACTCAACTGGGGATAAATATATTCCCCCCATTCCAAAGGTTTATTTTTTTGCCCCCTATATGGTATTATATAACAGTATGATTAGCGGAGCAGCGAGAGAACATTGATTTCTGGAGGACTGAATTGTGAGGGAATGGAGGCAGAAAGTATCAGGATGGGTGCAGTGGCTCACGCTTGTACTTTAGGAGACTGAGGCGGGATACTAGCTTGAGCCTGGGAGTTCGAGACCAGCCTCAACACAGTGAGACCATCTCTACAAAAAAAAATTAAAAATTAAAAATTAGGCGGTATGGTGGCACTGTAGTCCTAGTTACTCAGGAGGCTAAAGCAGGATTGCTTGAATCCAAGAGTTTGAGGCTGCAGCGAGCTATGATGGTGCCAACTGCACTCCAGCCTAGGTGACAGAGCGAGACTGTCTCTTAAAAAACAAACCAAAACAAAGAGAATGTTAATGTGTTAATCAGGAGCTCACAAACATCTGGCAGTGAGAGGAAGGAGAGCTGGGTCTATGGTTGAAAAAGTCAGTAGGGACACCAAGAGTTATTAAAAAAAAAAGGAAAGTCTTAGATGTGTTCATAAAGGAGGATCAAGGAGGTATATCCACAACCCCCAGGGACCACTGCTGCATCCACACACAATAAAAGGTATGAAATGCTGGGAAGAACTCTATGTGCAGGAGGGAGAGAATGAATGCACAAGATTTTTCAGGTGCTGAAAGGGAAAAAGACCTAGGGTGGTGTTCTTGTTTGTAGCTTTTTATAACAAAAATTTTCAAACATACCCAAGAAATGAAAGAACAGGATAATAATCCCCCTCACTAAGTGCCATTACCCAGCCTCAATCATTATCAATATTTTGCTAATTATGTTTCCTCTACACTACAATCCTCAAACACACTGGATTTTTTTTCAAAGCAAATCCCAGATTTATCTTTTTTTTGAGACAGGGTCTCACTCTGTTACACAGGTTGGAGTGCAGTGGTGTGATCATGGCTTACTGCACCTTAGACCTCCCAGGCTCAAGCAATCCTCCCACCTCAGTCCCTGGAGTAGCTGTGACTACAGGCATGCACCACCACGCCCAACTAACTTTAAAAAAATTTGTAGAGATGAGGTCTACGCTGCTCAGGCTGATCTCAAACTCCCTGGCTCAAGCAATCCTCCTGCCTTGGCCTCCCAAAGTGCTGGAGTTACAGGCATGAGCCATCATGCCCAGCCAAATCCTAGGTTTGGTAGTCAGGTTTCTCTTGTTTTTTAAGAAATTTTTGATCCTACTGACTTTTCTAGCACAGAGTGAAAAATACCAAATGTATCATCACACATAGTACTGTTTTGTTTCATTTGATTTCATTTATATATAGATATGTTTGTGTGTACTGAGATGCAACATAAAATGCATTTTTCACTGAAGGTTACATCAAAAAGTTTGAAAGCCAATCATCTGAAGTTTTTAAACTTTATTGTGCATATGAATGATCTGGGGCCTTTCTCTCTGCACTTCTATCAACCACCCAATAGATGCTGATGCCGCTGGTCCTCAAACCTCACTTTTAATGGCACAGATTTAGACAAGACCAATCGCAGCACTAGCTTTAATACTTCTCTGGGATCGTAAGAGAAGGAATAAGAGGAGAGCTGTAGACGTTGTAGCAGCAAAGTATGAAATGCAAGATAAATATAAGAGTTCACTATGAAACTAACAATAAATGGTCTCAACTTTTTCTAAGGCATAATAAAGTCACTGAAGGAGACACTGAATAGGGATAAAGACAGAGAAACTTAAATGACAGATAAATGACAGAATTAACAAAATAGATTCTATTACCTTTAGTGCCAGAAAGATTACATGCAACAGCCACTTTCTTTTGTTGAAATTCTTTTAATTTCACCACATTATCTGTAAGTAGGTATCTTTTAGCTAAAAATCAGAGAAAGAAAAAAGTAAAGTCATTTTGACTGTTTTAGAAGTTAGCAAATAACATGAATAGAGCTGGATTACCTCTAACATCTATTATAGATAATCCATTAGACAGGTACAAATATAACTGTACAAACTGTACAAATATAAATCCTGGGAAAAACAATTTCTGAACTACCAGAGAATGCAAATCCTCAGCAAAACAGGTTTTATTTGTGTGTGTGAAAGAAGCTAGTGATTAACCGTAGCTAGTGATAAACCTGTGTGGGGACTGGTTGACAGGAAGTTGGGATTTGAAGTACAAATGGGCATTTGCCATCGGTTAAGGGTATCAAGGGCATTTAAAAAAAAAACTAATAACATTTAAATGCAAAACAGGCATATTTAGTTTTGGTTTATCCAGGGAGAAGCACAGTGTAGTGGAAAAAGCTGCAGCATGACCACTGGAACTCCCAGTTTTGTCCTCTGTGAAATGAGGGGGTTAAGGCCTCTCAGATGTGGACTCAAAATACATTTGAGATACATGGAAATCATTGATCACAGCTTAGTAGATTTGGGAAACATCATCCTTTCTTTAGGATCCTTGGCTGTGCATGAGATAAAACGGACCAAGCGTGGCCGAAGAATCACGCACTAACAGAGTTCTGTGAGCTGCAGTAACAAGGTAACAATAAAAGTTGCTATTTATTTACAGAAAGGCAGTCCAGTGAAGTGGTTAGGAGCAGGTTTCTATTGTTGGGTGTGTTCAAATCCCACCTCTAACAGTTCCCTCTGACTTTGGGCAAATTACTTAACCTTGTTCCTCCTCTGTAAATGGAGAAAAGAATGGTACTTCTCTTGCTGGGTGTTGTCTAGAGAAAAGGAATTAATGTATGTAAACTACATTAAAGTAATGCCTGACAAACATTTTTACTATCACTCACTAGCATCTTCAGATTTAACTCTCTTCATAGAGATGTTAGAGGATAGTTTTGAAAAATGAAGAAACGTGCCGTTAAGTCTTTTAGATTGTTAGCAGAACTGAGACTCCATAAGACCTCTGCTTCCAAACTCTGCAGAAAAGAAAAAGGCCGGGCGCGGTGGCTCACTCCTATAATCCCAGCACTTTGGGAGGCCGAGGCGGGTGGACCACGAGGTCAGGAGTTCGAAACCAGCCTGGCCAACATAGTGAAACCCGTCTCTACTAAAAATACAAAAAATTACCCGGGCGTGGTGGCGCACGCCTGTAGTCCCAACTACTCGGAAAGCTGAGGCAGGAGAATCGCTTGAACCCGGGAGGCGGAGGCTGCAGTGAGCCGAGATCGCGCCACCGCACTCCAGCTTGGGCGACAGAGCAAGACTTCGTCTCAAAAATAAATAAATAAATAAATAAAAGTCACCCAAGGCGGGAGGGATGTTCCTGAAGACGAACGTCGCCCCATCTGAGGGAGCACTACAGCCCCAAGGTCAATACCCCAGCAGTCCTTCGATTTGCAGGCACTGGGGGTATCCACGACCCCCAGTGGTCACCACTGCACCCACGTGCAACTAGAGGGCGAGGGTGCGCTCCAGGCCAGTGAGTGACTTAGGAGCTGTGGCTGCTCCACAGAGATGCTAGCTGGGATCTAACACTCCCTTCTCTCCCATCCCTCCCCTCCTTCCCTAGGCTAAAGCCGCGGATACCTCCGAGAGGGCAGCGGCAGCTGACAGAGCCGGAGCCTCCCACCCCAGGATACACCAAAATCTGCAGCGCCTGCAGGAGAACTCGATTCGAGGGCCGAAATGCAGCAGCCATACTGTCTCGGACCATACCAACTACTGGAACCGGGGCGAGGAGGCGGAGCGTCGGTCCTGTCGTCGAGAGCGACAAAAGGGATTCGTCCAATTCTGGGCGCCCCGAGAGGTCGAGCTGTAACCCCGCCCCTTCCTCTGTCCGTAACCCGTTGGCTGTTCCTTTTGGTACGCTCCAAGATGGCTGCCTCCATAGTGCGGCGCGGGATGCTCCTGGCGCGGCAAGTGGTTCTTCCTCAGCTCTCTCCTGCAGGTTGGCCGGACAGCTTCATTAGGCCCCTGATTATTCTGTTTTTTGGGTGAAGGGAGCGGTGGGCTTTCAAGAGGAGAGGAAACGTTTCTGGAATCTGATTGCTAGGGACGCCATTTGGGGTGTTTGGTAGTGCAGAAGAAGGAGACAAGGTATCTGATCCATTTCCTTCCCTAAAATAACAGTATGTTCCTGTCCAAAGGTACGAAGAGCAGTGGAAGGTTATATAGCATGAGGGAATTTGCGTATGATTCGCCAGATTTATGTGTTGGGGTGGTCGTGCTTTTGCTGACCACGAAAAACCCAAATGTGCGCCGGGCGCGGTGGCCCACGCCTGTGGTCCCAGCACTTTGGGAACGCGAGGCGGGCGGATCGCCAGGAGTTCGAGACCAGCCTGGCCAACAGGGCGAAACCCCATCTCTACTAAAAAATACAAAGAAATTATCTGGGCCTGGTGGCGCGCGCCTGTAATCCCAGCTACTCGGGGGGCTGAGGCAGGATAATCGCTTGAACTCGGGAGGCGGAGGTTGCAGTGAGCAGAGATCGCGCCACTACACTCCAGCCTGGGCAACAGAGCGAGACCCTGTCTCAAAAAAAAAAAAAAAAAAAAAAAAGGAAAAACCTAAATGTGTCCATTCCTGGGGCTGGGACATTTTTCTCCCATCTGAGGTTTCTTTAGAGGGACGTCAGATAAACATTTTTCCCACCACCACACATTTAGCTGGACCCCTGGTCTTCGTGGAAGAATTTTTCAGTATTAATCTCATTTTATCTGATGACCTAGAGCACAACTTTTGATTGACCTTTCTTTGCTATAGTTTTCCACGTGTAGATAATAAATGCTATTAGTTACTTGTAAAATACTTTGATATCTGAACTAAATGGCAGCCCACTCAAAGCCTGCATAGTGGATCTGATAATGAAAACATTGGAAAAAAGTTTTAAAGTATTTATAGAAGCCAAATTTGCAGTGATTCTAACCACATAATCCAGACAGACATATTTGATAAAAATGCAATAATCACACTCGATTTTTCCATTGCCGCTTATCTTCCCTTTCCAACCTACCTCCCATCCTCTATTTTTTTAAAAAGCACGCACTTCTTTAGGAACAGCCATTAAACGTCAATGTGAAACCTCAGAGTTGGCCACCAGTTTTCTGAAGATTAAGTGGCTGACCTGGTGAAAACGTTTAATGTCACACATTAGGCAGTGTTATGCACAACGCTTGACACCTTAGTAAGAATTAGCTGTTGTAGCTATTTTCTGTTTATGTGGTTTCCGTGAACAACTACACACAGAGGGCATTTTGGGAGACCTGTCTTTCCCCACAATCACCTCCCCAGCCTTTTTTTTTTTTTTCGGGTTTCGTTCTTGTTGCCCAGGTTAGAGTGCAATGGCACGATCTCGGCTTACTGCAGCCTCTGCCTCCCGGGTTCAAGTGATTCTCCTGCCTCAGCCTCCCGAGTAGCTGAGATTACAGGCATGCGCCACCACTCCCGGCTAATTTTGTATTTTCAGTAGAGACGGGGTTTCTCCATGTTGGTCAGGCTGGTCTCTAACTCCTGACCTCAGGTGATCCACCCGCCTCTACTTCCCAAGGTGCTGGGATTACGGGCGTGAGCCACTGTGCCCAGCTGGCCCAGCTTTTTAATCTCCCAGTTCAGAACTCTTGAGCAATGATCTAGATATTGTCCTGACTCCAGAATGTAGAAAGGTGATTACTTATGCTAGAATGAAGCATATGCTAGAATGAAGGCATAGAGAATAACAGATAATAAATAGAGAGTAAGCAAGTAGCTGGTATGCGGGAGTACAGTTGGCTTCCTTATCCGAGCATTCTGCATCTGCAGAGTCAACCAACAGCGGATCAAAATACTACAAAACAAAACAAAAACTAACAATAAAAAATAATACAACAGTAAAATAATACAAAGAAAATACAACATGACAACCACTTACATTGCGTTTACATTGTGTTAGGTATTATAAGTAATCTACAAATGACTTAAAGCAGCTTGTCCAACCCTCAGCCCAGGACAGTTTTGAATGTGGCCCAACACAAATTTGTAAACTTAACTAAAATATTAGGAGATTTTTAGCATTTTTTGTTTTGTTTGTTTGCCCATCAGCTATCATTAGTGTTAGTGTAGTTTATGTATGTGTGGCCCAAGACAATTGTTCTTCTTCCAATGTGACCAGGGAAGCCAAAAAAATGGACACCCCAGCTTAAAGTAATGCAGGAGGATGTTTGTGGGTTATTTGCAAATACTGTGCAATTTTATGTAAGAGACTTCTGCATTCTCAGATTTTGGTATTTGAGGGGGTATTCTAGAACCATCCCCCTGGGGCAGGAGAATTGCTTGAACCCTGGAGGCAAAGGTTGCAGTGAGCCAAGATCATGCCACTACACTCCAGCCTGGGCAACAGAGAGATACTCCATCTCAAAAAAATAATAATAATAAATAAAATTAGGCCGGGTGTGGTGGCTCACACCTGTAATCCCAGCACTTTGGGAGGCTGAGGTGGGTGGATCACCTGAGGTCAGGAGTTTGAGACCAGCCTGGCCAACATGGAGAAACCCTGTCTCTATTAAAAATACAAAATTAGGCGTGGTGGCGCATGCCTGAAATCCCAGCTACTCAGGAGGCTGAGGCAGGAGAATCGCTTGAACCTGGAAGGCCTCCGCCTTCCGGTTGCAGTGAGCTGAGATCATGCCATTGCACTCCAGCCTGGGCAACAAGAGCGAAACTCCATTTCCAAAACGAAAAAATAAATGGAAATTAATTTAAATAATTATAGTCTTTTCTTAGTTCTCCTTTTGAAAGCGTCTTTGGAAACCTTATTGTTGCCTCATTATTTAATTTGTAGAACTCAAATTTAGATATATTATTCTAGTAAAGATCTGTGTTCACAGTAAGAGAATGAACTGTGTATAAATTCACACAGATGTGTTTGTATTTGTTTATTTGTTTGAGCTGGAAAGTAGGTAGAGAATAAAAACAGCATTCCAATACTGTGTTTAATCAGCCCCCATGCTATCTAGTTGTGTTGGGCTTTTGGTCTGCTGTGACCTCAGCATAATTATCTGTCATTTTTTCTGTTTGTTTTTTTTTTTTTTTGAGACGGAGTTTCGCTCTTATTGCCCAGGTTGGAATGCAATGGCGTGATCTCGGCTCACCACAACCTCCACCTCCTGGCTTCAAGGGATTCTCTTGCCTCAGCCTCCCAAGTACCTGGGATTACAGGCATGCACCACCACGCCTGGCTAATTTTGTATTTTTAGTAGAGGCAAGGTTTCTCCATGTTGGTCAGGCTCGCCTCGAACTCCCGACCTCAGGTGATCCGCCCACCTCGGCCTCCCAAAGTGCTGGGATTACAGGCATGAGCCACTGCACCTGGCTGTTTTTCTATTTTTTTAAACAGAGTTATTGAGGTATAATTCACATGCCATACAATTCATCCATTTAAAATACACAATTCAGGCCAGGCATGGTGGCTCACGCCTGTAATCCCAGCACTTTGGGAGGCCAAGGCTGGGGGATCTCCTAAGGTAGGAGTTCGAGACCAGCCTGGCTATTATGGTGAAACCCCGTCTCTACTAAAAATACAAAAAATTATCCAAGCATGGTGGCAGGCGCCTGTAATCCCAGCTACTCTGGAGGCTGAGGCAGGAGAATTACCTGAACCTGGGAGGTGGAAATTGCAGTGAGCCAAGATCACACCATTGCACTCCAGCCTGGGCAACGAGCAAAACTCCATCTCAAAAACAAACAAAGAAACAACAAATGCAGTATACAATTCAAAGGTTTTAGTATAAACACAGAGTTCTGGAGCCATCATCACAAGCTATTTTAGGACATTTTCATTATCCCAAAAAGAAATTCCATGCCCATTTGCAATTGCTCCCCATTTCTCCTCTAGCTTTCCTGATCCTCACCTTTAGCCCTTAGCAACCATGAATCTACTTTCTGTCTCTACAGACTTGCCTATTCTGGATTGCTCATATAATGGAATCATATAATATGTGGTCTTTTGTGACTGGCGTCTTTTTTACTTAACATGTTTTCAGGATTCACCCATGTAGTATGTATCAGTACTTCATTTTTTATTGCCAAATACTATTCCATTGTAAGGATAGACCACATTTTGTTTATTCATCAATTGATGGATATTTGGGTTGTTTCCACTTTTTGTCCGTTATGAATAATACTACTGTGAACATTTGTTTACAAATTTTCTGTGGACACAAGTTTTCATTTTTCTTGGTTGTAAACCTAGGAGTGGAATTGCTGGGTGATAGAGTAACTCCATGTTAACATTTTGAGGAGCTACCAAATTCTTTAAAAAGCAGCTGCACTGTTTTATGTTCTCTCCAGTAAGGTATGAGTTTCTGGTTTCTCTGCATCCTCCCCAGCAGTTGTCATTATCTGTTTTTTGATGGTGGTCATTGTAGTGAGTATCATTCGTTTCTCCAGGTGATTTTGTTTTGCATTTCTCTAATGGCAAATTATGTTAAGCATCTGTCCTTATGATTATTAGCTATTTGTGTGTGTATACATATATATTTTACTTTTTCTTTTTTTTTTTTTTTCGAAACAGAGTCTCACTCTGTTGCCCAGGCTGGAGTGCAGTGGCATGATCTTGACTTACTGCAACCTCTGCCTCCCGGGCTCAGTCGATTCTCCCACCTCAGCCTCCTGAGTAGTTGGGACTACAGGTGCATGCCACCATGGCTGGCTAATTTTTGTGTTTTTTGTAGAAACGGGGTTTCACCATGTTTCCCAGGCTGGTCTTGAACTCCTGAGCTTAAGTGATCCACCCACCTCAGTGTATATATGTTTTTAAAGGTATACCTGTTTAAATCCTTTACCCATCATTCATTTGGGTTGTCTTTTTTTTTATTTTTGAGTTGTAAGATTTATTGAAATATTTTGGATACAAGTCTTGTACTAGATAAATGTTTTGCAAATATTTTCTCCTGTTCTTTGGGTTGTACTTTCACTTTCCTGAGATTGTACTTCAAAGCACAAAAGTTTTAAATTTTGATGAACTTGCCATTCATTCTTTCTCATTCACTCCTTGAGCTCATGTTTGTTAAACACTGCCAAAGGCTAGGCATTGTGCCAGGAGCTAGGAATAGTGGTATGCTATCTTGTACGTTACCTCAGCTTTGGCTTTGTGAGTTTCTTTAATTTACCACTAGGGTGCTGGCTCATTGGGTAAGATACTACTCCTTGCTTTATGTGAAATGATTGAAACCTGTGGATCTAAGATGAAAATGTTTTTTAGGCATAATAATTATAAAGCATTTAATTAATGAGTTAAGCAACAGTCAGCAGGTGTTTTTGGTTCTAAGAAGGTGTTCTAGGGCTTGCCTGGATTATAATTTACTAGCAACAAGTGGCTCCTAGTCTTAAAGTTATAGGAACAAAATTAGCAGTTTTATCCATAAAATTATGGGCATAGCGCAGTGGTATGTGTCTGTAATGCTAACTACTTGGGAGGCTGAGGCAGGAGGATCACCCAGGAGTTCTGGGCTGTAGTGCACAATACCGATCAAGTGTCCACACTAAGTTTGGCATCGATAGGATGATTGACGTTCCAGGAGCAGGGAACTACCAGGTTGCTTCAGGAAGGGTGAACCAGGTTGGAAACTGAGCACATCAAAATTCCTGTGCCGATCAGTAGTGGGATTGTGCCTGTGAATAGCTACTGCATTCCAGCCTGGGCATTATAGCAAGACCCTGTTTATTTTATTTAAAAAATTATTGTGAAAATCCTGTTTTTCTGCATCTTCACTTGTTAGGGGTTGAATGCATTTTGTTCTTCACTGAATTGTCAACTATGCGATATTGGTTGCTGTACTGTATTAGATTATTTAAAATATATAATCTAGTAGTTGAAAGGATAGTGAAGATATATTTAATAAAACATATAAAATGAACCTCTTGTAAAACCATGTGTGTTGAAATAATTGCCTATTTTCTCAGGTAAAAGATACCTGCTTTCTTCAGCCTATGTAGACAGCCACAAATGGGAAGCAAGAGAAAAAGAACATTACTGTCTTGGTAGGTACCTATTGGACTATTATATGTGTCATTTTCGGTCACTCTGTATGTCTTCCATCATTTATTCATATAACGTATATATGAAATTATGCTTTTATGATGTTTCAATTCAGATAAGCATGTTTTAAGTCTTAAAGAGTTAGACTTTTATACATGGCAAAATCAGTTTTATCCTGTTCATTTCTAATATTTCATTTTTGCCTCCATGATTAGTCTCCTTAGAATATGTAAACAGTTCCTTTCTTCTGTTTTTTGTCCATTTTTACCATATGGTTTTCATGCAGCCTGTTTTACAGAATTTCGTATTTTATATTTCATCCTGTCTTATTGTCAGTCTCTTTATTTTCTTAACTCCTCTTGTGGTCTTCAGAGCCCTTTTTGACTCTTCTCTATTTCATTACCAGGTGACAGGTTTGAAGGCAATGTTACAATCTCATGTAAGCTGTTTAGAGAAATAGTTGGTTAACATCTTCCCAGGCTTTGGGCTTATAATTATACTTTCTTTTCTCCTGTTCCCTATGTCATATTACACAGACAACAGCCTTTCTTTTGTAAAATACCAAGCCCCAAAAGAAATCACTGACTCAATGAGCAGTTTTTAAAAATGTGCATACTTTAGACTTTTGGTACTGCCTGCCCTTTGGTATATATAACATCATCGGAACATTAATAAAATAAATAGATTGGTGATAGTTTTATGAGACTGATGTAATTTTTGGATCAATTCCTATGCTGATCTAATATATTCCCCCAGATTTCTTTAGCTGTGTTTTGGGCTTATGTCAGTTAAGAATAAAGTCCCCTGTGTTTATGGATTTTTCCCATAAGTGCAGGAGACATTGCTGTCTCTAATGGCTACCTTATTGGGATTTTCAAAGATCTCATCCTTTTCTTTACTGATGATGTGATTGCACAAGCAGAGTTGGCTGTGAGCTCTGAGATGGGTGTATGTGCACAGGCCAGCTGAAGCAGAGCTGTGGAAGATCTGAAGATAAGTAATCGCAGCTTCTCCATGAGAAACTTACAGTCTCATTCTGTCTATAAGAGGCCCAGGGTAGCCTTCTTATAACAAGTACTTTATCATACTCTTCTTTTGCCATCTTGAAACTAAATTCATAGTTAATATAATCTATCTATACTTACTGTTTTAAAAACCAGTATATGGCTGGGTGTGGTGGCTCACACCTGTAATCCCAGCACTTTGGGAGGCTGAGGCTGGTGGATCATGAGGTCAGGAGTTTGAGACCAACCTGGCCAAGATGATGAAACCCCGTCTGTTAAAAAATACAAAAATTAGCCGGGCGCAGTGGCAGGCATCTGTAATCCCAGCTACTCCGGAGGCTGAGGCAGGAGAATCGCTTGAACCCGGGAGGCAGAGGTTGCAGTGAGCCGAGATCTTGCCACTACACTCTAGCCTGGGCAACAGAGCAAGACTCCATCTCAAAAAAAAAAAAAAAAATCAGTATGATTCCTTCGCCACGATACAGAGGAGAAACAAAGGGGAAGTAACTTAAACAATATGTATTTCAATTTGTAAACAAATGTCCAGGCAAAACTACAGTAAGAAACAATGAAGCAGGTAAATATTGCATATAAATGTGGAATAATTATAGACATGGAAGAAGTGTAGATGGGTAGAGATGCGGTATACTGGCAAATTCAAATACCAGGAGTGGCGCTATCATAATGACATAATTTTATTTATAGAATGAACAACTCTTGGTAAAGTTCTGATTGATTCAAAGGTATGTCTTCCCTCAATATAGAGTTGCAAAATTCACCTTATTTTCCATTAAAAAAACTTTGCTTATATGAAAAATGGAGTTAGTTCCATTAATGATAAACAGGTTGTTTTTGATGGTATAATTATGTCACAAATGACATGGCAAATTTTTTTAATCTTTTAATTTGGAAATAATTTTGTTGTTGTTATTGTCATTGTTGTTGAGACAGAGTCTGTACTATCTATCGCCCAGGCTGGAATGCAGTGGCGTCATCTCGGCTCACTGCAACCTCCGCCTCCTGGGTTCAAGCGATTCTCCTGCCTCCACCTCCTGAGTAGCTGGGGTTACAGCCGCACGCCACCACGCCCAGCTAATGTTTGCATTTTTAATAGAGACAGGGTTTTGCCTATTGGCCAGGCTGGTCTTGAACTCCTGGTGTCAGGTGATCTGCCCACCTCAGCCTCCCAAAGTGCTGGGATTACAGGCTTGAGCCACCGCGCCCAGCGGGAAATAATTTTAAACTTATAAAAACTGCAAAGAACTCCTCTATATCTGTCTTAGTTTGTTTTCTGTTGTTTATAACAATACCTGAAACTGGATCATTTATCAAGAAAACGAATTTATTTCTTACAGTTAGAGAGTCTGAGAAGGCCAGCGTTGAGGGGTGGCATCTGGTGAGAGCCTTCCTGCTGGTGAGGACTATTCAGAGTCCTGAGGTGGCTCAGAGCATCACATGGCGAGGGGGCTGAGCATGCTAGCTCAGGTCTCTCTTCCTCTTATGAAGCCACCAGTCCCACTTCCGTGATAACCCATCAATCCATTAACCCATTAGTCCATGAATGGATTAATTCATTCATCAGAGGAGAGCCCTTATGATCCACTGGCCTCTCAAAACTGTTACACTGGGGATTAAATTTCAACATGAGTTTCAGAGGAGACAAATATTTAAACCACAGCGCTACTTTTACTCATGTTCACCTGTCGTTACCATTTTGATTCATTTGTTTTTGCTTTCTCTCTCCTCCTTCCCCCTGTATACACACTTTCTTTAATCATTTGGGAGTTTGTTTCATATATTATAGCTCTTTATCCTGAATACTTCAATGTACATTACCTGAGATAAGGACATTCTATTGTATAATCATAGCACAGTTACCAACTTCGGAAATTTTGACATTAATATAATACTTTACTATTCATATCCCAGTTTTGGGAATTGACCCAATAATAGGGTCTCTCATAGCATTTTTCCTCTTCCAGTACAGGATGCTGTCTAGAATCATAGTTCCTTATCCTTTCTTTGTTTCTTATGACATTGTCCTATATATTTTTAAAGAACCCAATCTCTTTTTTTAAATAGAATATTCCTCTTTCTTGGATTTTTCTGCTATTTTCTCATTGTTATGCTTCCCCAGCCAGAATACTCTCAGTGATGTTGTGCCCCTGCCAGGGTATCACATGTGGACATACCTGATATCATATGCCTTCACTGGTGATGTCAGTTTTGATCACCTAGTCAACTGTGTCTGATTTCTCCACTGCAGAGTTACTGTTTTTCTCCCTTCTGATTAATAGGCTATTCTCGGAGAGAGACTTTAATGTAATGCAAATATGTTGTTTATCAAAAGTTTGCTCTTAGATTTGGCATCCATTCATGGCTTTAGCCTGAATCAATCTTTACTATAATGGTTGCAAAGTAATGATTTTCCAACTCTGAAAATTTCTCCAGATTTACTAGCTAACACTCAGTATTCTACTATAAGCAAGAACTCTTCCTTTTCTCTCATTTCTTTCTCATTTATCTGTTTATTATCATGCATTATGTTTAAATCATCAATTTGTGAATTTTTTAAATGATTCATTACCCTTCTCAATTATTTTGGTGGTCTAAATATCCCAGACTTGGCTGATAGAAGCCCTTTCAAGCTGGCTTCCATTTTCCCCCACCCCCCTCTTTTTTGATAACTTACTTTCTCTCATATAACAAGGTGTTTCAGGCTCACTGTGTACCCTTCCTGGCCTAGCCCTGGAATCAACCATTTCTCCAAGGAGCTCTGGTTACTTTTGGTGAGGAATGGCATTAGAAACCAAGATCTAGGTGCTAGGTGTCCTTTTGCTACTGTGAAATTTTTGCTTCTTGGCCCATTCAGTGAACAGTTCTGGAAAAAAAATGAATGCACATACACATAAACATACATGTACACATATGCATATACATATACTATATATATTTTGCAGATAATGAGTTCACACCAATCCCAAGTTCATCCCTATGGGATTCTTCTTGCCTTGCTCCAGTCCATATTTGTATCTCCCGTCTTCCATACTGACAGCCCTGGCTCCCACTAGAGACAGTGTTTTGATGTACGGGACAGTCTCAGCATTGCAGGTCATCTGAATTCCCTGTTTTCTGTCCATTAAGTGCCAGTAATGCCTTTCAGTCATTGTGACAATCAAGACCAACTTCCACATATCCTAAAATGCTCTGTAGGGCCAATACTATACTGTTCTAGTGATCAGACCAGTATGGACTCATAGTTATACAGCAAGGCGTGTTCGGATGTGCCATATGTGAATTATAAGCAAAGTGCAGTGAAGTACAGATAAGGGAATGACGAATTCCAGGAAAGCTTATTAACACTTTCCTAGGTATGTAGGGAAGATTAGGAAATGAGGCCACTAGGTTTGGTGTCTTGGTGTTGGGTATAGTCAGTCACACAAATCCAGGGAACATTGTCATGGATACCTGAGTAAGCAGTAACTGTTTGCCAAATAATGAGTATAATAATCTGCAGCGGGGCAGCACGCAGTGGCACACGCCTATAATCCCAGCACTTTGGGAGGCTGAGGTAGGCAGATCAAGTCAGGAGTTCAAGACCAGCCTGGACAACATGGTGAAACCCCGCCTCTACTAAAATTACAAAATAGCCGGGCGTGGTGGCGCACACCTGTAATCCCAGCTACAATGGAGGCTGAAGCAGGAGAATCGCTCGAACCCGGGAGGCAGAGGTTGCAGTGAGCCAGAGATCACGCCGCTGCACTACAGCCTGGGCGACAGAGCTGACTCTGTCTCAAAAAAAAAAAAGTCTGCAATGAGTAAATATCACATAGAGACATTTGTTCCCTTTCCTCAGTTAAGACTAGTTTTCTTGGAAAAGCAGTACTAGCCACCATTTACTGAATTTTTCCTGCCACCGAGACAGCTGTCCCCTCTGCCTAGAATATCTTTGTATATCCTGAATCTCTCCAGTCAGAATCGATGTTTCCTGCCCTATATTCTTTCAGCACTTTGTGCCTTCCTTGTGTATGATGTGCTGAAGTCTGCACTTGGGAGGCCGACTTCTGGGTGTCAGTCCCAGTTCTGCGGCTTTCAGCTGTCACACTCGGTTTCTGTGCCTATAAATTAGAGATGATGGTAATGCCTGCCTCTCCGTCTGACATGCAGGTGCTTCAGAAATATGTGCACTGAGGAGTCCCTAAGCCCCTTGTTTTTAGCCCTCTATAAAACGTGTGAGGTGAAATAATGTTTTGGAACTCACACTGCTTGGAACAAAGAAAGCTTTTGAGACTTTTTCCTACTGTGTACTGGAAGGTAATTATTGCCGCTTTTTTCAAAATGGACATTGTTTTCGGTTTTACTCGACGACACTACTTGTTTTCCCTCATTTTTATTTGAGCGTTTGGGTTGAGCTACTGGCACTTAGCAGGGAGGCCGCATGGTAGGGAGAGCGCCCGTGGCTCCAGCTCTGGAGATGGGACAGTAGGTGGCAGTGTGGCCCCTGCGGGAATCCGCCGCCCCGCGGGTGGAACGCGGCGAGTGGGCGCGGGGCTGTCGGGTAGCGTGCGCGCGCAGGGCCGCGCCCAGCATGTGGAGCGCTGTGATTGGGCGCCGCCAGCCGGAGGGCCGTGAGGTGCTCAAAGCGGGCTCGCTGATTGGGGGACGGAGGAGGGCCGATATGAGGCTTTCGCCGCTCCCATCCCCATTGGAGATCGAGGCAGCAAGGGACACTGCGGCGTGTGGGTGTGGGCTTCATGTGCCAGAGCGCCGTCTCCCCTGAGCCGTGCCCTGCCGGGGAGTACGGCGAGAGAGAGGTTCTGGCCTCTCGGAGTGGGCTTGCGGTTCCGGTGCCCCCTCTCTTCGTCCTCGTGGCTGATTGTGCCAGAGAGCTCCTCGGGGAGGGCCCTAGCGTGAGGGCAGTTTCCCAGCGCCGGGGCCGCGGTGGACGCCAATGCAGCTGTCTAGGACCTGCGCCCGCGGTGCGTCCAGAGGGCCCCGGCGCGAACGTCAGAACGCCGCCCCGTTCCGCGCTCTCAGCAGCCAGCCAGGGCCGCTGCCAGTTCCACCGTGGAGAGGAGGAAACCGGGCGAGAGCCTCACTTTCCTTTCCGCCCAAAAAGCTTTCTCAGTGATTGCTGTAGTACCTGAGATTCTACCATAGGATCTTCCGCCTACATTAAAGTAGTCGATTTCTTCTTTAAAATACTTTTTTATTGGAGTATAATATACATACTGAAAAGTGTGCAAGTCGTAATATAGACATTGATGAATTACCACAAAGCGAGTAAACCTGTGTAGGAAGCAAGAGCATTCCTACCGCTCCAGAAGCCCTTATTGCGGCCCCCACTTAGTCTCTCCAAAGGTAACCGGTATCCTGACTTCTAACGCCACAGATTTTTTTTTTTTAGTGTTTTAACATTTGAAGGTGTAGACACCTTGGTATAAGGAGCCCCCTTTACCCATCACCTGGCTTCAACAATTATCAGCTCTTAGTCTTTATTTTATCTTTATTACTGTTTCCCCATCCCGATGCTTTGGATAATTTTGAAGGAGATCCCAGGCAGTAAGTCATTTCATCCGTAAATATTTTGATACAGATCTCCAAAAGACAAGGGTGCTTTTCAATACCATTATCACACCTAAAATATTAATAGGGTTGTAAATATCACGAAATATCCAGTTAGTGTTCAGATATCCCTGATACTCTCTTTCTTATTTTATTTTATTTTCTTAGAGCCTTGCTCTTGTCGCCCAGGTTGGAGTGCAATGGCACGATCTCAGCTCGCTTAAACCTCCTCCTCCCAGGTTCAAGCGATTCTCCTGCCTCAGCCTCCCGAGAAGCTGGGATTACAGGCGCCCGCCACCATGCCCGGCTAATTTTTGTATTTTTAGCAGAGATGGGGTCTTGCCTTTTTGGTCATGCTGGTCTCGAACTCGTGACCTCGTGATCCGCCCACCTCGGCCTCCCCAAGTGCTGGGATTACAGGCGTGAGCCACCGCTCCTGGCTCAGGTATCCCTGATACTCTCAAATTTTTTTTTTTATGATTTGGTTGAATCAGGATTCAAATAAAGCCTCGTATAATACAATTGGTTGCTATGTGCCCCCGTTAACTCTTTCTGAATCTTTTTAATAGAAACATACAGAAGTAGAGAGAGTAGAATAAACCCCTGTGTACTGTCACCCAGCTCCAGCAATTATCAATTCCCTACCAGTGTTGTTTCATCAACTCCCCACCTGTTCACCAGATTACTTTTTAACAAACTTAATTATCGGGGTTTTTTTATATGTACTTTGATATGTACCTCTAAAAGATAAGGATTTTTAAAAACGTAATTAATCATACTATTCTAAAAAACTAGTACTTCTGTAATATTAAATATTCCATTAATGTTCACATTTTCCCAAATGTCTTATAAATTTCTTTTTAATTTAGTTTGTTGAAATGTGATCTAGATAAGGTCCATACCTTGCAATGTGTTGAGTTGTCTCAACTATCTTAGTTTGTAAGTTTTTTGCAATTTATTTATTGAACAAAACAGGTCTTTTTTGGAGTTTCCCACATTCTAGATTTGCTGATTTCATCCTTATTGTGGTGTTTAGCGTGCTCCTCTGCCTTCCATATGTCTTGTGAAACTGGTAGTTGGAGAAAGGGGCTTGATCAGATTCAGGACTTTTTATTTTGTCTTTTGGTATAAATACTTCATAGTAAGTGTTTACTTGTGTCAGTAAGCACACAGCATTTGATTGCCCCTCTGCGAAGTTAAAGGCCATTCATGATCTTTACTTAGATTTGTTATTTCATTTGAAGCTGCATACTATTGCTGTTTAAATTTTATCATTTCTTTTCATTTATTATCTAGGAAATTTTTATGACAGAACTTCCATTCATCAACAGTTTACTTACCCTGAAATAGTTTGTATATGAGTTAGCTTTCAAAATAACTTGCAAAAATGATGAATGAGGACTTCTTAAAATGTCATTAAGAACTCATAGATTTAAATAATTGAGACATTTTAATCCATTGCTGTTGATACTTTTATTGATAGGGCCATAGTTCAACTGTGCTCTGTAGAGCCCTGGGCTTTCCTACTTCAATCAGATTTCAACTTTTGATTGTTTCTGTACTGGGCTTCCCTTTGGCTAAAATAAACACTGAGTTAAAGCATTGTCTCTGGAATTCCTCCACTAACTTGCTGATTTGTTGGGGAGGTACAGGGTAAAAGTTATCAACATTTACTAGTTAACAGAATAGGATCCACTGTGAACAGGACTCAGGAGAAAACCACTGGGGAACTGGGTAGGGTGTTGGTAGGAGGGCAGGCCTCATGGGGAAGCTCCTTGAGTTCCATGAGAGGAAGTTTTCTTGAGTCTTTCTGACAAGGAGCGAGCACTCAGGTGACTTGAGCTGAATTCAGGATTCATGAGCCCTACTGGATTAAATATTTTATTTGTGATTTTTCACATCACAAAGTATAGGACACATTTTGGTTTGGGTTACTGTTTTGCTTGTTTGTGTTGGTTTCTCTTGGTTTGTTGGTTTGTTTTCTGTTGGTTTGTTTTTGGAGAACCTCCTTTTTGAATCCAAAGAGTATTTCCTTGACACATTTGCATTCAGGTCTGTCTCTTACAGACACTTCTTCCATTTTAGCTGAGATTTAGTTTTGCTGTGTCATTTCAGCTGTAGAGGCCTTTGGCTTTTTGCATGAATATTTCAGATCCTGCTCTTGAGGCCTGATGGAGATTTTCTGAAGTCTGCTTTCTTAACTTTTGTCAGTTCTGTATTTGCATCTCTGTGGCATCTATTCATTTTCCAGTTTCCATATTTGCCAAGTTCTAGAGATGGGTCTGACTTGTGCACATCACCGTTCTTTAGTCTCATTAATATATATGTACACAAAGCTTGATTTCATGTTTTTCCTTTATTGGATTTATTTATGTTAAAGCTTCTGGTGACAGACAAATAGAAGGAAGTCTAAAAATCTATGTCCAAATTGGTTGCTAGGCTAGTTTTCCATACTTCCTTCTGTATATTCAATGCATGATATATGTCATGTGTCCTCGTTTTTCTTTTAAAATGTGGGAAACAAAAACAGTTTCAGCCTGTATTTTTCAAGATCAGTTCTTCTAGGAAGGACAATAATAATCTGTACCTGTTTCTTTATTATATAAATTAGGTAAGGTATGCAGATGACCATAAGCCCAGAAAGAGTTTAGTGTTGCCTGAAAGGTTAACAGTAATGTGCAGTTATGTAGAAAAGAAAAACTGAAACCATTTCTCACCTGAAGCTAGAAGGATTCAATAAAGGATTCATATTTTTCTTCAGTGACCTTCATTATCACAACTTTGCCCCAGAGACCACACTCTTTTTTAAGAGGCTTGTTTTTCAACACATCTGTACTACAGATTTTGTGGTTATGTACTGTGAAGCTGTGTTACTTTGGTGTGCACCAGGTTAAAATTATCTTGGCAAAATGAATTTTTGGTCATTATGTAGTGACCCACATAATCTATAAAACTGCTTTTTGCCTGTAATCTATTGTGTCTGATATTAATACAACTGTACCAGCTTTATTTTGGCTTCCTAGTGTGTTTTTAATAATTTTCAACTCTTCTGTGTTTATATGATTTATATAGCTAGCTTTTATATTTTTAACCAATCTGACAATCATTATCTTTTAACTAGAAAATTTCGTCTATTTACATTATCATTTCATGATTACCAATATAATTGGATTTATTTCTGTCACATTTTGTGATTGGTTTCATCTTTCTTTTTTTTCTTTATTTTTTATTTTTGGATTGATTTTTACTTTTGGATTGTTTTTGTTTTTTACGTTTTTTTCCCCTCCACTGGTCTGGAGATTATATCCTCTACTTTTTTAGAGATTGTTGCCCTTTAACTTCTAAAATGCATATCTAGCTTAAATTGTAATGCTCATCACACTCTACTATCCTTTAGGACACCTTAGGTCCACACACACACATCTAACCATATGCTCTTGTCTAATAATAAAGTTTTATCCTTTAAAACACATATAACATTATTTTAAACAGTCAGTTCCCCCCCAATTTAACCAATTTTATTGAGTTCTAAAAATTTCCTTTAGTATTTGTTGCTAATACATTTTCTGTTTTTGTTTGTCCAAAAATGTCTTCATTTCGCCCTTATCTTTTTTTTTTTTTTTTTTTTTTTGAGATGAGGTCTTGCTGTGTTGCCCACACTGGCCTCCAACTCCTGGGCTTAAGTGATCCTCCCACCTCAGCCTCCTGAGTAGCTGGGTCTACAAGCACATGCCAGCATACCCATATTTTGCCCTTATTTTTTAAAGATAATCTTGCTAGATATGCAATTTTAGGTTGATAGTTTATACTTGCAACATTTTGAACATTTTATTCTATTTTCTGGATTTTATCATTCCTATTGAGAAAACACCTGTTAGTATAGTTGTTTCTTTCTTTGTAATTTCTCTTTTCTTTCTGGCCACTTTTGAGATCCTCTCATTCATCGTTTTTGAAATAATAATTTTACTTTTTTGACTTGAGATTGTATACATATCCTGAATCTAGAAACCTATATTTTTTATCAATTCTAAAAAATTCTCATCATTGTCTCATCATACATTCTTATTCATATTTCTATATCTTTGCTCTTTTACAGTTCTCATTTTTATCTTTGCAGCATTCTGTGTAATTATCTGCCTTTCAGTTCACTCTCACTTCACCTGTGTCTAACCTGCTTTTTAACTTATTCATTGTTTACTTTTTACAGCTTTGATGAGGTATTCTTCACATAAAATAAACTATGTATATTTAAATGTACAATTTGATCAGTTTTGACCAATGTACAGGTGTATATGTCCATAAAGTCATCTCCATGATCAAGATAATGAGCATATGTGTCACCTGCCAAAGTTTTCTCCTATTCTTTAACCCTTTTCTCCTTCCGCTTCTGGCCCTATACCCCAAATTCCCAGGCAACCATGGATATGCTTTTTTGTTTCTATAGAATAGTTCACAATTTTTAGAATTTTATATAGTGAAGTCAACTCTTCAAACAAAATTCTCAGCTTGGTATATTTTGGATCACAAAAGAAGAGTGGATTAAATCCCCAAAGAGGCATGAGGGCTGACTTGTAGTTTATAATCTTCAGGGGACAAGTGTCCCGGTTGTTTACTTTTTAGGGTGCATTATTGTAGTGATAAGTTTTACCTTTTCACTTCAGGTGTAGTTCCCTTAGGTGGTCCTGGCTTTACCTGAGGATCTCTGAACAAGCTTCTCATCTTACAAGTATTGGTTTTATCCTCTGTCCCCATAAGTCACTGAAACTAAAGCTCTCCATCACTGTAGATCATCACATGCTCTCAAAAGGACTGCTCCCCTCAAAGGGACTGCTCCTCTAAACACTCCAAGTTCATGTTTCCATCTTGCCTTTGGCCTCTGACAGTTACATCTACCTTCTTGAAAGCTCAGTCATATATTTGGGGGAAAATTGATATTTTGTTTTATTTTTATAGTAGGAGGAATTTTTTAAAGATATTTAATTCATTTTATTCCAGCAATGGAATTCCTATTCAGTATCTTCTTTGAGCTTAGGAGCAACATCTAAGACTTCTTTTGTGTTCCCTCCCATGGTTGCTCCCAAACATAACTGACGTGCTTGATTGGCTACAATCTTCTGGGGCTATTGTTTAAGTCTCTCGTGCTACCTCAAACCCAGGGAATTAGAGTCTCCCTCTGGGTGAAAAGAATCCTAGGAATCTGAAGTTTTAAAGCCCCTCAGGCAATCTGAATCCTCACCCAGGCTTGTGGGCCATTGCACTCTTACTGGGAATAGTGCAGGGTTCTCAATACAATCTTGTATATTCTGAGATCGTTAATAGTATTGCTTTCTTCAAATGGGAAGGGCATTTTTAGTATACATTTTATTTTCTGGACATACTTCCACATTGTCTGTCTAGCTTCAAGTTTTGTTAAATGAAGAATTCAAATTTCAGATCCATTTTCCCATATAGTCTGTTGTCCACAACCATCTGCCACAGTATGTATTCCTGAGGAGCTGAATAGCAAGCAAAAAAGTATCTTCTTTGGCACATCTCTTTGAACAAAACCTGGGCATCTGCTGGCCCCTCACTGAAACATGAGGTGGGATTTTGACTGTGGAAGCCCACAGTCCAGAAGCCTGTGGCGCTGGCCCTCTGCACGCCGCAGCTGTCCCAGCTTTCCTGGCCGTCCCTGCTCTGTGCAGTTTTCTGCCTCATTCATCACGGCAGTGCTATACTGTGAGGTGATTGGCCACATGATATATTTAGCAGCAAACCTTTCTCTGACTTGGAAAATGCAAATGTTATTCATTAGATGCTGGCTTTGCAGCTGTTACCTTTTCTGAGGCTCCAGCCAATTTCACTTGACTAAAGATGCCTTGGTGCGAAGGATTCACATGCAATCTTGAGTTACCACACTACAGAGGTGATCAGTGAAGCCACCTTATTCCAGAGTTTGGTTATACATTGTGCATGATGTGAAACCCACAAAGAAATGATGGGTTTTTCATTTTAATTAGGCCATAGATCCTGATCTTGCTATTTTAAGTTAAATTGTAAATTTCAGGTAGAGGGAGGTAATTTCTCATATTGCCTCTCATCTAAACACAGAAGCCTTCATTATGAAATGATCAAAAGATTTGCTATTATGAGAGAGACATTTAACATCTGTAAGCAAGTAGATTTAATGCTATTAAGTTGCCTTAGTGTGAAGGGGGTTTAAGGACTTTTTTGTTTTTATTTTGCTTTAATCACTTGGCTTCAATCCCTTTAAGATAGTCATAAGAAAAGCTAATTGCTTTCATATCGTATCAAGTTCTAAAGTTCTAAAGTTGTTTTCCCCCAGTAGGTACTGAGTCATTGAGATCAATCCCTCAGGGAAAAAAGAGAGGAAAAAATGGTTAAATGCACAACAATAGGTTTTCAACAAATACTTATTACTTGATCATTTCTGGTGTGTCCTTATTACTTGATACCAATTTCTTCCACCAGGGAGTAAACAAACCTTGGAAACCCAATTGCTTTTTTCTTTCTTCCTTTTCTTCCTTTGATTCATTTCTTTAGGTATTTACTAGGTGCCTTTTATGGAACTGTTCTAGGGACTGAGAGTGTGTATATTAGTAATTATATGGATTTTATTTTTAGTGTAAGAGACAGAAAAACAACACAGATTAGCATTTATTGGTTTTTATCCTGATTGGCTGATTTATCTTTTAAAATGCTCACTCAGACTGCTGGGTGGAGATTAGATAATAAGGGTGGGGACAGTAGTTAAAACAAGGTCAGGAGATGAGAGATACTGGTGGCTTAGCAGTAGTGGTGATGAGAAATATATAGTTATTTTTCAAATCTAGAGCCTGTAGGATTTATTGACAAATTGGTTATAGAGTGTGAAAAGAATGGGGTCAAGGATGATGCCTACATTTTTGGCCTCAGTAAACCAGCCAATGTGGTGGTCATTTACTGAGATAGGAAAAGCATATTGAAAGTGGAAGGTTGAGGAAATAAGAGAACATGTGATGTTTAGATACCTATTAGACACCCAGATGGAAATATCACCTATGTAATTGGAAATGCAAGTCTGGAGTTAAAGGGAGAAGACAGGGTAGGTATGTACATGTGGAGCCAACCATCTGTAGGTAATGGTTAAAGGCGTGGCAGAGAATGAGATCACCTAGGGACCGAGCATAGATGGAGAAGGGAAGTCTGCAGTCTACTAGAGTCCTAGAGGCACTCCAATGTTTAGAAGTCAAGAAGAGGAGATCCTGCAAAGGAACACAAGAAGGAGAGAAAAAAGAGAATATTTTGTGAAGGATAGAATGGTCAACTGTATCAAATGATAGAAGTCAAGTAAGATGAGAACAGAAAATTAACCACTGGATTTTAACAATGTGGCAGTGGTTATTGGTGTCAGTTGAATGTGTTGAAGACTGGGAGCTCAGGAGGTAGTAACAGCTGTATCTAAGATGACTCTTTTTAGCAGTCTTGCTGTTAAGAGGAGCAGAGAAAAGGAGCCATAATGGTAGGAAATATGAGGGCAAGGGAGGGCTTTTTTGTTTAACACCATTCAACCTTTGTAACAGAATGGAGGACACAGAATATGGGCACAGATGCTAGTAACCTGGTAGACATGATGCTAGAAGGATAAAGTTCTCTTTGGATTGCTTCTGTTTTCTCAGTGAAATGAGACACAAAATCATGAGCTGAGAGTGAGGAGAAGGGGAAAAAGGATATTGTAAATTTGAAAAGCAATGACAAGATGTGAAGTAAACATTTTAGAGAGTATGCTGCCTAGGATTTCAGATATTTTCAGACTCTGAGATAAAAGTGTGATCTCAGAAATACCAAATATTCCTATGGATGTTCTGCTAGAAGGAACCAAAATAGGAATCATTCAGGCCAAAAATCATTAAGGATAACCAGAGTGCTGCTCTGATTTGTTCAGGGTAGGTATAAAAGTCACTTGATAAATTTCAATTTTTAAATGTTTTGAATAGCTAATATACACCTATAACCTGATATATAGCTAATATATTTCAAAATACAAAAGGAATAAATGCGTAAGCAATGAAGAGTCTTCTTCCCTGGATCTCCCATCATCTAATTTCTTTTTTTGGGGGGAACCTATCAGGAAATACACTTGCTTGTGTCTCCTTCCAGAAATATTTTATTGATCCTTTCCCCGCCCCTCCCCATCCCAGGTCTTTTTTTTTTTTCTTTTATTTTTTTCTTTCATGAGCTAATTATATTGGACTTCTTTATTTCCACTTTCATTTTAGATTCAGGGAGTACATGTGCAGGTTTGTTACATGGGTATATTGCATGGCACTGAGGTTTGGGGTATAAGTGATTCCATCATCCAGGTACTAAGCATAGGTAGTTTGTCAGCCCTTGCCCCCTTCCCTCTCTCCTGCCTCTAGGAGTCCCCAGTGTCTGCTGTTCCCATATTTATGTCCGTGTATACCCAGTGCTTACCACCCACTTGTAAATGAGAACATGTGGTATTTGGTTTTCTGTTCCTGCGTTAATTTACTTAGGATAATGGCCTCCAGCTGCATCCATGTTGCTGCAAAGGACATGGTTTCATTTTTTTTTTTATGGCTGTGTAGTATTTCATGGTGTATATGTACCATATTTTCTGTATCCAATTCACCATTGTTAGGTTGATTCCATGTCTTTGCTATGGTGAGTAGTGCTGCGGTGAACATCGAGTGCATATGTCTTTTTGGTAGAATGTTTTATTTTATTTTCGGTATGTACCTAATAATGGGATTGCTGAATCAAATGGTAGCTCTGTTTTTTTTTTTTTTGTTTTTTTTTTTGAGACGGAGTCTCGCTCTGTCTCCCAGGCCGGACTGCGGACTGCAGTGGCGCAATCTCGGCTCACTGCAAGCTCCGCTTCCCGGGTTCACGCCATTCTCCTGCCTCAGCCTCCCCAGTAGCTGGGACTACAGGCGCCCGCCACCGCGCCCGGCTAATTTTTTGTATTTTTAGTAGAGACGGGGTTTCACCTTGTTAGCCAGGATGGTCTCGGTAGCTCTGTTTTAAGTTATTTGAGAGATCTCCAAACTGCTTTCCACAGTGGCTGAATTAATTTACATTCTTACCAACAGTGTATAAGCATTTCCTTATCTCTGCAGCCTTGCCAGCATCTGTTATTTTTTGACTTTTTAATAATAGCCATTCTGACTGGTGTGAGATGGTATCTCATTGTGGTTTTTATTTGCATTTCTCTGATGGTTAGTGATGTTGAGCATTTTTTTCCTATGTTGGTTGACTGCTTGTATGTCTTTTGAGAAGTATCTGTTCATGTCTTTTGCTCATTTTTTAATGGGGATATTTGGTTTTTGCTTGTTGAATTGTTTAAGTTCCGTACAGATTTTGGGTGTTAGACCTTTGTCGGATGCGTAGTTTGTGAATATTTTCTCCCATTCTGTAGATTGTCTGTTTACCCTGTTGATGGTTTTTAGTTTAATTAGGGTCCCACTTGTCAATTTTTGTTTTTGTTGCAATTGCTTTTGAGGACTTAGTCATAAATTCTTTCTGAAGGCCGATGTCCAGAATAGCATCTCCTAGGTTTTCAAATTGATCCATTTTTTTAAAAGCTAAATACATGGTAAAAAGTTTTTTTAAAATAATTCTCAACCCAATTAAATCATTTTTAAAATGTTTTAAAGAATATTCTTTTTTCCTCTTTAATTTATATAAAAATAATTTCTAAAAAGCAAGAAAGAACGTTTCTTTTAATACTTCATGTTGGCAGCCATCTGGCAAGAATTGTAAAAAAATATGTATCTTTAACAAGGTTTTTTTTCTTTTTTTGTCTTCACAGCTGATCTTGCATCTTTAATGGATAAAACATTTGAGAGAAAGTTGCCTGTTAGTTCTTTAACAATATCACGGGTAAGAAAATTTTAACATATATATTTTCCAAGAACAAGGAAGAAAGCCAGAAAGGCCCTTCATGTAGATGAGGCTGTGTAAATAAAAAATAGTTTGCATAGGAAATATTTTTGAGAGTATGGTAAGTTTTTATAGTTACTAATAGATATTTTATACTGTAATAGCAAATTTCTTTGGCTGAAATAAAAGTTAATACATTTACCAGATTCTGATATCAGTAATCAGTTTTGTGTATCTGATTTATTTTTTCCAGGATATGACATTCTGCTGTATGATACCATCAGTTTTTTTAAGTTGATACATCCTTCAAAGTAATGATATTTACCCGTTAGTATTGGAAGTGTTTTTGGTAGCCAAGAAAGTCTGTAAAAGAATGGATATTAATGTTAAAGTTAAACTGCAGCAGAGTGATGGGTGGAAGAATAATGTTAGGTTAGGAATCAGGAATAGTAACCATTACTGAGCACCTTCTATGCCAGTTTTGAATGTATTAGTTCCTTAACATACATTATTTTTTTAATTCTCACTGCTCCCTATGCAATAAACAGTCTATGTAAGACATGGTTTAATAACTTTCCCAAGTTCACACAGCTTGTAAGCGTGGAAAAACTGAGATTCAAACCCAGATATCTAGGTTCTCTTCTGTTGCCTGCTTCAAATATATCTGGGCTTGTCTTTAACATGAATTCACTTCATGACATTGGGCAATGAGATCCCTCTCAATTTTCTCATTTTCAGCATGGGTACGGTTGCATCTTCCTCCCAGGGAATAATGGGATGCTAAAATGAGATTTTAGCTGTGAAAACTTTTTACAGAAATTAATGGCACCATAAAATTTAAAATATTGTTAAATATGGAAGAGAGAGAGGAAAGAAATTACCTTTCTTTTGAATCCTGGTCCTTTCTTTCTGCCTTTTAGTTGAGAAATAATTTTACTGTTCGTAAGTTACATTTAATAGACTCATAATTGGCATATTGGAGGAGAATGGAAAGGCCATTTTTCGTCCCTTACATGATGGGTAAAACTTCTGTATGCCATAATACCTGGTATTTATTTAGGTAGTACTTCAAGGTTTACAGTTTTTATGTACATTTTCTCATTGGTGCCTTATACTCTTCGAGGCCAGTGCCTTTATCCTATTTATGCAGATGGAGCAACCAAGTCCCAGAGGGGCTATGCCATCTGTTTATGCCATACAGCAAACAATCAGAGCTGTTTCTCAAGCTCAGGTTCTGTGTTTGAACCACATTTTATATGCCCTTAATGGATTTCTAAGTCAAGTCCAGAAGTGCTAGGCATTTTTAGAAAGTCTCCCTCTTTTTACTCTCCTCTCTTTCTTTTATGAGGTTTTCATTATATTCACAACATGCATTGTCTTCTACGCTTTTTTTTTCTTTTTTGCCTCTGAGTCTCTATTTTAGAATAGAATCTGTGTTTGGAATAATCCTTTTTATTTGTTTATTTGGACCATAGTTAATGAGCATACTCAGAGATTTTATGGTTTGAAGGGAGAGTTTGTTGGTAAAGGAATCATAGGTTTACTGTTGCATAGCAGAGCTAAATCAAAGTAGAAAAAATCGTTGCAAGACTGAGTTCTCTAAATTTAGATGTTTATGTTCTGGGCAATAGTTTTTTAGCCATCAGAGTCTTCATTTTTTCAGCCATATGTTCCCATGTTTGGAACATAAAGAAAATAATATCAGGGTTTAAAGATAAAGGAAAAAATAGGTAACTAGTTATAATCAGTGGAACACTCTCCTTGTTCTGAGCAAGGTTCATGTTTGGCTTTCAATCCGTTTTCTGATCAAGGTTATTCTACACATAGAAAAAGAGAAGCCATTGTATATTCTTTGTTTGCATTAGCATAAAGGGGTTTCAAGGATGGAGCCATACCACGTGAACATTGTTCCACTAAGCATCACCATCGTTCCAATAAAATGGGTGTCCTGTGTTTTCTAAGGTCAATGTGTGATCTAGGCCCTAGGCCAAATATATGACATAATTTATATTCAACCAAAGGTTTCTTTTTCTGTCTTTTAGCTTATAGACAACATTTCCTCTCGGGAAGAGATAGATCATGCAGAGTATTACCTTTACAAGTAAGTTTTCCATTTGATTTGGCTATGTACTCTGTGATTTCACACCCCTTTTTTACATAAAAGTTGGTATATGTTGTGTATAATTTTGACACCTTCTAAGTTTATATTTTAAAGATCTTTTCATATGAGTATAGAGAGAGTTTCTGATTTTTTATAACTGCATTTTATTCCATACTGTGAGTTTATTATTTAAACCAGTTCCCTTTTTATGGACCTCTAGGTTGTTCTCTTTTTTGTATTGTATACGATGTTATAATTGATAACCTTGTACGTATGTAATTTTTCACCTAATTTTCATGAGTATATATATTTATAGTTTTAATCGCTATTGACAAATTGCTTTCTGTTGAAGTTTTTACATTCCCACTAGCAAGGTATGAGAGACATGTATTTTTACAGCTTGGCCAATAGTTAGGTATTTTCACATGTTTGCATTTTTTTGCCAATCTGATAGGTGAAAATTTATACACACACACACAAACACACACACACACAAGTTGAGTATCTCTTATCTAAGATGCTTGAAACCAGAAGTGTTTCAGATTTTGGATTTTTTTAGATTTTTGAATATTTGCATTATACTTACTGTTTGAGTACCTCTAATTCGAAAATCCACAATGCTTCAATGAGCATTTCCTTTGAACATCATGTTGGTGCTCAAAAAATTGTGGATTTTGGAACTTTTCAAATTAGAGATACTCAATCTGTATGTATATCTCTTCTCTCCTTTTTTTTTTTACAGGTGGAATTTTACCCGATGTGAACTGTTATGTACCTATTTTCAGTTAACACTGTTTTAAAACCTTTTCTACATTACCACATTTACTTCACTCTTTCTCACAGCTGCTAACAATTCCATTGTGAACTACCCACAAAACTCAGCCATGTGTACAAAAAGTATGTTCAGTGCAACATCATTTATGGTAGCAAAAGACTGAAACAACCTAATGCACATTAAATAAAGAACTGGTCAAACAAGTATCTGTCAGAATTGTACCTTACAACTAAATTTTTATTGCGATTTCAGTTTTAAAAATCTGATTTGTGATTTGTTCCAGTTCCTATGTTCCAAAAATAGACTCAGATTGAAATTTTAAATGTTTCCAGTAAGCATTGCATTAGAGTTTCCCATTTGATCTTGCTTGTTTTGATCAAGAGAATTTTTAGTTGTTTCTGTCTAGATGCATTTTTATTTTTTGTTGTTGTTGTTGTTGTTTTGGGGGGTTTTTTGGGGAGTAGTTTTTTTCTAGATGCATTTTTTAAAGCTTACTGTATTTTAGTGAAAATGTATTCGTTTTTCTCTGATTTTGCTAAATAATAATGAGGCTTTTTTTTTAATTTCTGAATTGGGTAGATGCTACCACTTTTTGGGTATTTTCTATTTAAATGTAAACCTCAAGTAGGCTAGATTCCACACCTTTAAAAAACATTTATTTTAAATCTCAGATTGGCTTTAACAATGTCCTAAGTTGAAATTTTAGGTCCTAACTTAGTTGCAAGTCATCTTAGTTGTGAGTGCCCTCTTGTACTTCATTAGGATAAAGATAAACGAACCCCTTGATGAGAGGTGGCCCTGCCTTCCTTTAGTGGCTCTTTGGGACTGTAGGGCTGCTTTGGTAGTTACTTTTTGTCTGTGATGAAGGGTGTATTTGGGCTGGCATCTGGCCAGTTCTCATATTTTTATTTATAGCAAAATGCAGAACATAGTTTCAATTTCTAAATATAAACTGTTTTTTAGAATTTCATCCTGTGAGATACAGTGCCATAGTGTTGGGAGAAGTATGTTCCAAATTCAGAAGTACTTCTGTAGCATCAAATTGATTTCAGTGACTCAGCATTTCAACAAGTATTTACCGAGCACCTATTATGTGCGCAGGCCCTTTCCTGGGTGCTGGATATCTAATGTTGAATAAGTTAGACATTCTCCAAGTATTACTGAAAAGTTGAAATTCTGTTTTTAAGACCTTCTATGATTAATTCTTCACATGATGTTCAGTTTTGTGTGGCCTGGGGTATAACTGAAAGTTTCATAAGATCACTACGTCCTATTTCCATATAGATCAAATAAAAGACTCTTGTCCATCATAAATCTGAGCCACTGTTTAATTGGACATCCCATTTTTTGCTTTAATCAAAACTAGTTCTTTAGCTATGATTTATCGTTTATCTTAGTTCTTTCTCCTCCCTTCCATTACCAAGAAAATTGACTCTCTTTTTATCAGCTTTTTTTTTTTTTAAGACAGAAATGTTTTTATGACTTCATGTGCTTGTATATATATGAGACTAGGTAGAACTCTACAAAGCTGCGTCGGAACAGTGGAGATTGGCTGGGTTCTCTCGTTAGCTAAGTGCCTCACTCTTGCTTTCCACCCTTAGAGAATATACAGAACATACTTATGCCTTAGCAAAATTAAAAATTACAAGTTATAAACTCTTGGGGTTTATCTCAAGTAATCAAAATCAGGGATGTTAATCCTGAAGACACCAAGGACTTACTGCTGTGTAATATTTCTACCAGTTAGGCCTTCAATCATTATGATGCCTAACATCTCCTCATGGGATGACTTTAGACATCTCGGAGCAAACTTACAATTCCAGGTCTAAGGTGAGGAAATGAAAAAGGAACTTCTTAATTTTATACAACTCACAGCTTGCAGGCCTGGGGTTAGGATTTCTCAGTCCTTAAGCAGTACCGTCTTTAACAGACAAGCCCACAGGAGAACTTTGGCATTGGTTCACCTCTTTCTCTGACATAACCTGTGAACACCAGGCTCTGCTAGCAGGAGTGTAGCTGCCACATCTTCTCCTCTTCTAGTGATCAAATTTCCGCAATTATTATGTAAAGTCTAGAGCCAAAGAAGTTTAGAAACCTTGAATGATCAGTGAAGAGCTGATTGAGCTTCTGCCATTGCATCAGGCACACAAGTAAACAGTTCCAAGTTCCAGCAGCTCAGGGTGCTGCTGGTACCTGCCAGCTTATTATCACCCTATCATCCCAGCAGAAGATTTCAAGTTTTGAATCTCTGAAAGTACATAGGCTTAAATGTTTAGGGACTTCAACATTAAAGGGATCTTTTAAGGAGAGATAGAAAGGCTGCTATTCAGACAGCAGGCAGGAGAACAAATTTCTAAGTACTTTTATTTGGGCCGTGGTCTATTCTCTGGGAGCTGGCAATCCTATGATCAACTTTTGCCTTCTATTTATAAATAAAAAATGAAAACACCAAGGAAAGGGTGAAGCTCTAACCAAAGAATAATGTGAACTAAAAATGATTAAGGCAATACCAGCAACTATATTCATTGGCCAAAAAAAAAAAAAAAAAAAAACTGGTAATACCCATATAAAAGGAAAATAAACCAAGAGTAAAAGTGATTAAAATAGCAACAAAGTTAAAACAAAGTAAAATAAACAAAATAAGGAAACAAGGCATACTGTTGGGCTGTGACAAATAAAGAAAACTTAAATAAGATAATAAAAAATAAATACAGTAAAATGAAATAAGGATTTGAGCCAGGGACTTTATACGATATGTATAGTTTAAGCCGGGAGGTTGGGAAAATAGGCATAGGTGTGCTCTTGCACAGATATTACTAGCAGGCTAAATGGTAAACCTCTTTATGAGTGGTTTTCAAGCTGTCTTCTGAGAAGCCCTGGAGCTAGTTTCTTATAGGCCCTCTAGGGCGTGGCTTGGGGGAAGAATAGGTCTGGAGATAGGCCAGACCATGCTGCCACAGGCCATTTGCTTTTGCTTCTGTTTCTGCCAGAGAAACTGTGCCTCCAGCTGCCTTATCGGTGTCTACAGAGAAAATTCAGAGAGGACTGTGAACTTGCATAAGAATAAAATTATATTTTTATTTTCACTAACCTCAATAATATTTAGCATTTCTTTCATTTATGAATGTAGGCAGCAGATGACTATAATATTAACAGCATCTGTGTCTTTCTTGCCAATAAAAATCATTGATTTTTTCATATCACATTACATTTGTTACAGATATCACTGCTTAGAAATTATGTTAGTAATTAAACCTACCGCTAGCTAGTGTTATTTCATGCATTAATAAAGCAGCACATATGTTACCATATCCCAAAGATTTCTTAATATCTTGATAATTGTATTTCAATATAATTGGTTTCTGTTGTAAGAAACTAATTCTGAGAAGCCTTCATCAGACTGCCAGAGGGTTCAAGACAAAAAATTGTTAGGAACCCTGCTGTGAGATCTTGTTTGAAAAATAGGTTCTTTTGCTTAGACTTATTTTTATTTCTTCCCTTAGGTTTTTTGGGTTTTAAATACTCTGGGTCTTTGTTTTCTCTTCTTACAAAGAAGACTTTCTTAGTTTAGACCTTACCAAGTAAGACAAGCATATAATTGATGGGTTTTCTGTCTTCACAATGAAAATTTAGATACAGCCAGTCTCCCAAGTTTCCCTACAGCACCGGAAAAAAGGTGTGGTGAGGAGTGAGAAGATTTGGACAGGCCCTGAGATGCTACCTGTCAGGAGACCAGCGCTGGCAGGGTGCTAGACAGGAGCATTTCCGCTTTATTTTGATATCACCATCACCCAGTCCTTGGTGAGGTAAGAAGTCATGCTCTTTCCCAGTGGTAGCAGCAAAGGTTCTGTGACGCAGAAAAGAGAGGTAACAGAACAGCTCAGCTAACAGCTGCTGACAGGAAATGTCTGTTCAGTGGGCATAAAAAGACTGCATTTATTTTTTATATTTGTTTAAAAGAATTTTTATATCCCATGTTAATTTTAAAAACAGTTAGGCAAAATACTTTCTTTTTCTGGGCAAAGGATTAATTTCTACTTCCTATCCACACGCCCTCTTGTTAATATTTGGAAGAGAAAAGGGTTCCTACCTTTGCTTTACTATAAACTTAGAGCATTCCTAAGAATTAGATTTGCATCTTTATTTTACTGATGCAGAGACTAAAACATAGAGATTGGCTGAGCACACCCAACATAGAGACTTAAGTATAAGCCACTGCCTGTCCTGAGAGAGAAACCACAAGGATCAGATGTGAGCAGTGGGGCAATGCTATAAAAACAATGCAGTGCTGTCTCAGTGCAAGGTTTATTGTTAAGGATCGCAGATGGGGCTACAATTTCTTTATAGGAAACTAAGGCAGAAGAAATTCCAGAGAGACCAGGCTTAGCTGTTCCTCTATAAGAGATCCCCTTTTAAAAGGGATCTGTCTGCCTGGAGTCAGTTATGGTGAGTGTATGTAGAGTTTTATACAATGGGAACTTTTTCCTTTTTCATCTTGTAGAGAGCATCTTTCCTGGGCCACCTAGTCTGTAGTTCTGAGCTTTCCCCCCATAACCTCCAAGTCCACATGCCCAATGTATACTGCCCAAATGCAGACAAGTGAACCTTGGGGCGGGCTCTATGTCTCTATTTTCAGGAGATAAAACAGCATGTTACTGGTAAAATTGTGCCATTGGCAAAAACCATTATTTTCATGGTTATGACAAGCTTTAACCATTCTTGTGTTAGTATTTGATTACTGCATTGCTAAAATGCAAACTCAAGCCATAAAAATTTCCTCTTTCCACTTAGTGTCCTCATCTTCACTGAGGATATTTGCAAATTGCATTTTTAAAGGCTTACATAGGCCTTCGAATCATGTTGGGACCATGGTAGTTTAGAGATGTATGAAATTAAACTTGCTCCTTCTACTATCCGGGTGTCAATAATCAGAACTGATAATTTGATCTGCAACGTAACAGTCATTCCTGAAGGATAAGTCATAGAAATTTCTAACATATATAACATATACTCCTTATATTAAGGATGTAAATTTTTTTTTAGGCCAGGCACAGCGGCTCATGCCTGTAATCCCAGCACTTGGGGCAGACGGATTGCTTGAGCACAGGGGTTTAATACCAGCCTGGGCAACATAACAAACCTTATCTCTATAAAAAGATACAAAAAATTAGCCGGGTGTGGTGGTGCACACCTGTAGTCCCAACTACCTGGGAGACTGAGGTGGGAAGATCACCTGAGCTTGGGAGGTCGAGGCTGCAGTGAACCGAGGTCATACCACTGTACTCCAGCGTAGGTGACAGAGTGAGACCCCTGTCTCAAAAAAAAAAAAGAATATAGCATTCTTTTAAAGCAGCCTTTTAGTTTTTAGCAAACATGTAGGGAATGCTGAATTGTTATACAATAAGAAAAGACTGTTGCAAAGCTCAGTGGAAGATGAGTTTTTCTCAGAATACAGCTCTCAGTGTTGCTATGGAGAGTGGCATGCCACCCAGTAAGAAAGGAAGTTCAGATTGCGTGGCAAGCTGTGTACTGCCAACACATTCATCCATGCTGTACGTGGGTCTCAAGTATCTTTCACTATTTGCTTAGCCAACCTGGCAGATCCCAGGTATCCCTGGTTGGAGATGGATAGCAGGTCAGGAACAGCTGGGCCAAGGCAGATGGCAGCCTGCATGTCTCCAGGTCCTGGGTTGGCAGCCAGCCTAAAAAGGAAGGACCAAAATAGCTTCATTTTTCATGAAGCAAAAATACCCAATGGTTCCTTGGAAGGCTATAGCACCACCCCAGGCCTATGTTGTAAAAATCCATTTCTGCCTGTAGGAAAAGGGGAAGGTGGGAGTTTATTAAGAGGGATTATTAAGAGGGAACAGCATGCATTCGTTTACGCAGCAGTAATTTTCCTTTGAGGGCGTAGAGACTTTGTGTTTCACAGCAATAAAAGGTAATCTTAAATTTTTCTGTTAGCATATTGCCAGGTCGCATTATGCCTGAACATTATTAAGAAAAGAGTAAGAACCCAAGGGGAGAGAAATGAGTCTGAGAGCATTTTTTAGTAGCACTTCTATACTTTAATATTGCCTAGTTCTTTATTTAGTTCTTATTTGCTGATCCTTACCACAGGCCTGGGAGATTGCTTATTATTGTTAATAGCTCTGTACTGGAAAATAGCAGATCGTTGGTCATAGTGCATGCATTGCCAGAGATCATGGGAGCTTTGTGATAAGGATTAGAATTCTTGGCCTCCATGGCCGGGCGCAGTGGCTCACGCCTGTAATCCCAGCACTTTGGGAGCCGAGGCGGGCAGATCACGAGGTCAGGAGATCGAGACCATCCTTGCTAACACAGTGAAACCCCGTCTTTGCTAAAAATACAAAAACAAAATTAGCTGGGCATGGTGGTGGGCGCCTGTAGACCCAGCTACATGGGAGGCTAAGGCGGGAGAACGGCATGAACCCAGGAGGCGGAGCTTGCAGTGAGCCGAGATCATGCCATTGCACTCCAGCCTGGGCGACAGAGCAAGACTCCATCTCAAAAAAAAAAAAAAAGAATTCTTGCCCTCCACTGCTTCAGACTCTACTTCTCTTCCCACTGGTCTTATTATTTCATCTGGAGCCTCATCATAGGAAGAGTGAACCTTCAAGGTATTTTTTTGGCTTTGGCTTAAGCATTCCACCTAGCTTTCCCAGAATGATCTCATACCTTAGATGGTTATTCCATTTTATTCCTCTGGTGTGCTAACTATGTACCTCTGCAGACTCCAGTCCTGAGTCCCTAGGAGTATGTGCTGCTGCAGACATCCATGCACAAGTCTTTGTATAGATGCGTGCTTTCATTTCTGTGGGATAAATAGCTAGGGGTAGAATGATTGGAGCATATGGTAAGTAAATGTTTAACTTTTTAAGAAACTACCAAATTGTTTTCTGAAGTGATTATACCATTTATAGTCCCAACAGCAGTTCCGCTTCCTCCACATTTGTGCCAACACATTTAGCCATACCAACATGTGTTTAGTGGTATCTTATTGTGGCTTTAATTATTTGCCCAATGAGTAATGATATTTCCTTTGGTAAAGTGTTCGAATCTTTTGTCAATTTTTTTTGTTTGTTTGTTTGTTTTTTATTGAGATGGAGTCTCTGTCATGCAGGCTGGAGTGCGGTAGCACGATCTTGGCTCACTGCAGCCTCCACCTCCCAAGTTCAAGCAATTCTCCTGCCTCAGCCTCCCAAGTAGCTGGGATTACAGGCAGTTGCCACCACGCCTGGCTAATTTTTGTGTTTTTGTAGAGATAGGGTTTCACCATGTTGGCAAGGCCGGTCTTGAACTCCTGACCTCAGGTGATCTGCCTACCTCGGCCTCCCAAAGTGCTGGGATTACAGGCATGAGCCACCATACCCAACCTGTTTTTATTTTTTATGTAAGTCCAATTTATCAACTTTTTTTTTTTAATGGATTGTGCTTTTGGTGTTCTCTAAGGTAGGGGTCACCAACCTTTTTGGCACCAGGGACTGGTTTTGTGGAAGACAGTTTTTCCACAGCTGGGGGTTGGTGTTGGGGATGGTTTGGGGATGAAACTGTTCCATCTCAGATCATCAGGCATTAGTTAGATTCTCATAAGGAGCATGCAACCTAGATCCCTTGCAAAGGGAGGGTTCCTGCTCCTATGAGAATCTAATACCACCACTGATCTGACAGGAGGTGGAGCTCAGGCGGTAATGCTCACCCACCCACCGCTCACCTCCTACTGTGCCGCCCAGTTCCTAACAGACTGGTACCAATCCACAGCCTGGGGGTTGGAGACCCCATATCTAAGGAATCTGCTTAACCCAGCACCACACGGATTCTTCTTCTAGATTTTGTTTTAGAAGTTTTGTAGTTTTAGGTTTTATAATTAGGTCTATGATCGGCTTTATTTTGGTATCACCATCACCCAGTGCTTGTTGAGGTGAAAAGCCATACTATTTCCCAGCAGTAGCAGCAAAGGTTCTGTGACACAGAAAAGAGAGGTAAGAGGACAGCTCAGCTAACAGCAGCTGACAGGAAAGGTCTATTCAGTGGGCATAAAAAGACTGCATTTATTTTTTATATTTGTTTAAAAGAATTTTTATATCCCATGTTAATTTTAAAAACGGTTGAGCAAAATACTTTCTTTCCCTACAGATTTATGATTTTGAATTTTTTTTTGTGTGTATGTTATAAGGTAAAGATCAAAGCTAATTTTTTGACATAAGAATGCCTAATTGTGTCAGCACCACTTGTTGAAAAGGCTATTTTTAAATTGCCTTTGTACCTTTGTTGATAATTAGTTTATATTTGTGTGAGTCTATTTCTGGACTTCTTTGTTCCATTGATCTCTGTTCTATTATCTATTTTAATGCCAATACTACTCTGTCTTGATGACTGTAGTTTTTAAATAAGTCTTAAAATTAGGTAGTGTAAGCCCTTCAACTTTTGCATGTTCTTTTTCAAAATTATTTTGGCTAGTGTCGGTCCTTTCCATTCCGTATCAATTTTAGAATCACCTCTTGTATATGTGTGTGTGTATACACACATACATATTTAGGTATATACACACACGCACATGCATTATTAATATAGAGACATTAGGAACAATATCAATTCAAGAAATACATATTGAATGTATAGTATATATTTAGGAACTAACAAAGAAGATTATAAGGAATATGAGGGAAGAGACTGATTTTGCAAAAGTCATTCTTTTTCCATTGCGGGAAAATTTAAACTGCCCTAACAGGATTTGAGATGGAAATAAATGAGGACGGATTCGTGTCTGTAAGACAAATGATTTTCAGCTCTGTTTATACGGGAAATTTTAAAGCCAGTAGAGGCTTTGAGAGTATTTTTTAATGCACTAAAACTGTGGTATATTCAAAGGAAGGATATTATATAATCCCAACAATAAAAAAATATTACAACTAGGTGCAGTGGCTCATGCCTGTAATCTCAACACTTTGGTTGACTGAGGTGGAAAGATCCCTTGAAGTCAGGAGTTTGAGATCAGCCTGAGCAACATAGTGAGACTCCGTTTCTACAAAAATGTTTTTAAAGATTAGCTGGTCATGGTGGTGTGTGCCTATAGTCCTAGCAACTCAGGAAGCTAAGGCTGGGCCTTGTTGTCCTAACTACTTAGGAGGCTGATTCCAGAAGTTCAAGGCTACAATGAGCTATGATCGAGCCACTGCACTCCAGCCTGAGTACTAGAGCAAGACCCTGTCCCCCTCCCAAAAAAAGATTATTAGATGGTTGAAGATCATTAGATACGTGAAACAATTCAAAATCAACACAAATCCAGGATATGATAAGTAGATAAATTTACTGAATTTATGTAACAAAATGTAAGTTTTAGAGAAAACATGTTTTGAGCAGGCTAGAAGAAGGATTGATGTTGTTATCAGCAAACATTTATAAAAGAGGTAGAACTTAAGATAGCCTTGAAGGTTAGATGAGTAGAGGAAACAGGAGCAAGTGTTCAAGATGGAACAAATCGTACAGCTGGAGTTAGAAGGAGGAAGTGAGAACTAGCTTTATGGAAACTGCCTTAACCAGAGAGATCAGGGTTTGTTGGGGAATAATGAGAAATAAGGAAGGCAGATTAGAGAGGGAATAGAATGTTGGCAGGAGAGAAGGGAGGGTTCAAAATCTGTCATTATCATACATTGCTAGTGGATATATAAATCGGTACAACTTGTATAGATAGAACTTTGGCAGCATCTGTCAAAATTATAAGTACAATACCCTCTGGCCCAATAATTCCACCTCTAGGAATTTAACCTCCTGATACACTCATATTCATGCCAAAAATGTCCATTGCAAAAAGTAAAAGATTACGTCCATCAATAGAAGCCTGTTTAATTATTCTACAGCTGTACAGTGGAATACTGTGCAGTGATTGAAAAGAATGAGGAAGCTTTATTTGTATTTCCTATTGAATAAATTGTGAAATGTATTAAGTGAAAAAAACAAGAGTAGGACTTAGTGTGTGATGTAGCCACTGTGGTTTATGTGTAATATGTATACATGTGCTTTGATGCTTATGTGTATATATGTATGTGTGTACATAAAATATCTCTGGAATGATACACACAAAAACTGGTAACATTGGTTTCTTTTAGGGAAGAAACCTGGATGACTTCTCATTGAATTGTCTCTTGTAACTTTTGAATTTTATATCATGGGTGTATATTACTTATTCAAAAAATACATATTTTTCATTTCTTCCCTTCCCTTCCCTCCCCCCTTCTCTTTTTCCATCTCTCTCTCTCACACACACACACAGAAGGAAATTAACCAAATTTTTTTTTTTTTTTTAATTTAAAGACAGGGTCTCACTCTGTTGCCCAGGCTGGCATGCAGTGGCAGGATCTTAGCTCACTGTACCCTCAACTTCCCAGGCTCAGGCAATTGTCCTACCTCAGCCTCCCAGGTAGCTAGGACTTTAGGCGTATGCCACCATGCCTGGCCTTTTTGGTGGTGTTTTTTTTTTTTTTTTTAGAGATGGGGTCTCACAATGTTGCCCAGGCTGGTCTTGAACTCCTGGACTCAAGCAATCCACCTGCCTCGGCCTCCCAAAGTGCTGGGATTATAGGCATGAGCCACCACACCTAGCCTGAAAAAATATTTTTTAAAAGATCCTCAAGATAGTCATCTGCAGATTCTTAAGAAGTATATATCATAATAAAAGTATTTCAGAAAGATTTATAACAGGGTAAATTTTTTATTAAAATTGGTAAATGTTATAAGGAAATTGTCTATGCATATAGAGAAAAAAGACCTGTCCTGTGGTAGTAGACAGTGGAAATAAAGAGAGAAATGTACATAGGAGGGAAAAAATTGGATCAGCAGGATTAATGGCAGGTTGAATGTAGAGACAGAAAACAAGGAGAGTCAAAAATGAACTGAAAATTGAACCTCAGTGGGAAAGTGGCTTGTACATGATAGAAGTATTGAATTGGAAGCAGATTTAGAAGGCAGCAAGAGGGTGAGTTTTTCTTTTGCCTTTTTTTTTTGTACGTACACATTTCTTTCTAAGCTTGCTGGATCATATCTTGCCTACTTGACCATACTTGGACTGTTTGACAGGAACTGGCCACAGACCTTTGGAGAAAGAACAATTGCCAAAACATACCCATTGGGTCTTCCTGGTGTATTGGCACTAGTTGGAAAATTTTAGACCAGATGACCTCTGAAGTCCTGCCAACTTCCGGAATCTGAAATTGCAACCTGGATAGACTAAGTGAGTCCCTTGGAGCCATGTGACAAGTCCAAGCTCCAGCTGTGGATGAGGCCTGACTTCAAGTTCAGAAGCTCATCAGCTAGCCCAGTGTATCTCTTTGTGTCAGTTTTTTTTCCTAAGCAGTTTCAGTAATATACCAAAAGATACAGACTCAATGAACATTTTGAAACCTCCTAACAGTGTGACATAGAATTAATTAAACCTAGAAAAAAATTAACATAAAAAGAAATTCAACAATGAAAATGTATTATCTTGTGGGGGAGGTACTAAAAAGACCCTGAAGGAGTCAGGATGGGAAGAAAGAGGTGACTGGGGTCTTAGGACCAGTTTAGTCCCCACTTTGATCTGTAGCTTTGAACTAGTTAGTGAACTCTCTGGACATCAGCTTTCTAGATGAGCAGATCATCTTGGATGCCTCCCAAGGCACTTCCCATAGCTAAAACATAATGTTTCTTAATGTCACTGATAAGATTTTATCACCAGATGCCTCAGACTTTGAAAGCATGTAGCTCTGGCTTTTTGTTTAGTTTCTCACGCAGAATTTTATTCACTTTAAAATTGAAGTTCCAGCCGCCTTAACTATGAATATCAAGAGAAAAACTAATAGATGTAAAAGTAAACAACAGAAAGGGTAGAAGATCTCTTATTCTCTTCTGGATTTAGGTGACAGACTTCATTTACTATCTTGTTTGTGAATATATTTAGTAAATTTTGTGGTATGAGAAGTTGGGTATCCACTCTTATTTATCCTCTAGGTAACTAATTTTTATACATATGTACTTGCCTTTTTCCTGCAAGGCCCACAAACCACATGTTTTTGATGCCTTGTATATACATGAGATTTAAAAGGAGAAGGCTAAAGTAAATCTGTTCTAATAGCTACAGAACCATTTGTAAATTAAACCTTAAACTCCTAAAATTTCACATAAGAATATGTATCCAAGTTCTTTTTTTTCTACAGTATAAACCCCTTTTATTGAAAAATATTTCTCCTGCCTATTTTTATAATTGTAAAGTCAAATTAAGGTACCAGGAATTATAGCTACAGGGCAATGAGAAAGGCATAACTAAAATATAGTTTTATATTTATTATATAAACCCTACTTCAGTAGGGTTTTAAGTGTAACGCAGTTTGATTTGAAAATAATTAAGAGATCGTTTCAGAAACTGGTATAATATTTAAGGGAGAGCTGAGTAGATAAACAGAAGCTTCAAGGAGAGATTTATGGGAACAGAAGTTTCAGTTGATTGCATCATGGTTTTTGAGGCCAAAGGCAAATAAATTCCTGAGTATTTCCAGATGCTGTGTGTCTAGGCAAGAGGACATCTGAGGAGCTAGAAGTATTTGATGTGAATTCTGTTTAGTGGTCTAGGCTGCTTTCATTTTCATGATAGATTTCCAGGTATGTTTGTTTTGAACAGGCAGATTTTACATTTTGAGGTCTATTCTGTTTTTTTAATAGCAATGCTGATTTTAAGACAAATAGTATCACCATTTTATACCTAGTAATAGGCAAAGCTGGGACTTAAAACTAGGTCTTCCAACACCAGATCATTACAGCACATGAACAGTGTATTCATTATGCACTGGCTGTTACATAGTTCAGTGATGGACACTACCAAGAGGTGAAACTCAATCATTAGTCTTCATTGGTAAAAATCTTGGCAGAGTTTTGATAAGTCAAACACTGAAATTATGTGTTCAAGTGAGAACTTTGTGCATCTCATACGTATAGATTAGTATAGTCCTCCATTTGCTGAATAATAGCAGGTAATAACAGACTTACACACTTACACAGTGCTTTCAGACTCCAGTTGGAATGGACTACTGTTCTCTGAATGTGCCTTCTACTTTCATATCTTGCCTATGCTCTTCCCTCCCCACTGTCTCTTTCTAACAGAATACAGCCTGTGTTTTAAGGCCTGTCCCAAATTCTGCTACACTCATAAACTTACCCTGATTTTCACGGTTGAATGTGATCTCTCTGACCCATCTATAAAATTTTGTTTTACCTATTCAGGGGTGCTTACTTATTTTGTTTTGTCTTCTGTCAAAAATATTTCTTTCTTTCTCTTTACCTGAGACACAGTATAGTATAGTAGACAAGAGTATGGACTTGAGCCAGAGTGCCTGGATTTGAATGTCGAATGTGCCATCCATTTCCTCCCTCATAAAATGAGTGTTAAAATAGTGCCTGTGCTTTAGGGTATTTATGAGACTCCAAGAAATTGATAACGTTATAATGCCCTTAGAACAGTCTTGGGACAAAGAAGGTCAGTGCTCAATAAAATTTAGCTTTAATGTTGACTATACTAGATTGTAACATCGGGAGAAGCAAGGAGTATTTATTTCCCATACTTCTCTCTTATGGGAAAATGTATTTGATTTCTGGTTTAGGTTTCCCTAACCATCCGCACCACCCCTGCCCCAAGGGCATCAAGGTGTAAGGGCCATCAAGGCTCAGGAATGTGGAGAAGTAGATGCTTAGGAACACTAGTAGTTCAACACACATTTAGAAAGGATATCACATTTTGGGGGAAGCTTCCTGACCCTAAAAGACAGCAAATCAAATCTGTCATACGTGTACCCGTATTGCTAAGCTTACAGCCACAAACCAGAAGGGGGCAACAGATCTGCTTACTATCTGTGAAGAAGGGAGAAGAAGCCTCAAGAAAATGATTCCCAGTTAGGAAAAAACTGCACCATAACTGATCTCTGATAAGATGTTATTGAATCAATAATCAAAATACAGATTAGACACAAAAAGAGAGGTCTGTTCTGTGGGCTGGGAGCATGTAAGCAATTGAAATAGAAATTGTGGAACTGCTTCCAGAGATTTTAGTTTTGATATCTGGCATGCACAAGAGCAGCTCAGAATGGCTAAAGTTGTTTAATGTTGTCAGCATTCCCCACTTTTATTTTATTGGTTTTTTTAGAAGCTGTGCAAGAGTTTCTATTTGTAGAGCTGATTCTTATATAGAAAACTGGGCTGCTGTGCAGCCTTGCAGGTTAGAATGAAATATACATTTTTTTCATATTTTTAAAATCATTTCTTGTTTATGGAAAAAGTAATTACATATTCTTTTTTTAAAAAAAATACTTATAAAGGAAAAATCACTTGTTTTTAGTGTGTTTCTTGCCAGTCTTTTAAGTATATCTTTCCATTTTATTTGTTTTAAACTATTAAACAGTAAGTGTCACATTTCATCTATAAATTCAGTGCAATTCCAACCAAAATCTCAGCAGAAATTTTTGGGGAACCTGAGAAGATGACCCTGAAATTCAAGTGAAAGAATAAAACCAAGAATAGCTAAGACAGTTTTAAGAAGACTAACATAAAATGATTGGTCCACAAGATAGACAACAAGACTTATTAGAAAGCTACAAAAAATACAAATGAAGATAATGGCTTAGATGTAGACAAATAGACTAGTGGAGCAGAATAGAGAGAACCCAGAAATGTATCTACATATCTGGAAACCTGAGATATTTTTTACATCAAAGGGCGAAGAATGGATTAGTTAATAAATGCTACTTAGACAATCGATAATCTAACAATTATATGGGAAAATTCTTCATTCTTACTTCAAAATATATGAACATACTCACACACATTTTTTTTAGGTAGATTAAAAACCGAAATGGAAAAAGCAAAACTTTTAGAAGGAAATATAGGAGAATATTAATAGTAGTATAACACTGGGGACACTGAAGGATTTGTTTTTTTTTGAACAAGACACAAAAAACATAACAAAAGATTGATAAATTTTTTTGTTTTGTTTTATTACTAAGTGATAATTGTTTTTGGGGTTTTGTTTTTGTTTTATTTTGTTTTGTTTTGTTTTGTTGTCTTCCATGATTCAGAATGGTTTTTGTTGTTGTTGTTATTTAATGCTTGTTGTGTGTTTTTTAAGAGACAGGGTCTCGCTGTGTTGCTCAGGCTGGTCTCAAACTCCTGTCCTCAAGCAATCCTCCCATCTTCGCCTCCTAAATGGCTAGGATTATAGGCGTGAGCCACTGCACCTGCTCTGATAAGGTTTAATGCATTAAAATTTTAAAGTTCTATTCTACAAAAATTTTGTTACCACCAGTAACAAAATTAAAAGACCAGGGAAGATTTGCAATGCATGTAGCTAACAAAGATTAGTATCTAGATTATATCCATAGGCCAATAAGATAAGAATTTTAGAAAAGTGGATAGAGAATATGAACCAGCAGTTCACAGAATAAAAAACCATATTGGCAGTTAACATATTTAACATATGAATAGATGCTCACTCTCAATAATCAGATAAATTACAGATTAAAATGATACATTTTCACATTTATTAGATGCAAAAATAAGACTTCCATAATAATTGTGACAAAGAGGAGCAACAGGAAGTCTGATTCACTACTAGTGGGAGTTTAAAATTATATAGTCACCTTGAAGAGTAGTTTGGCAATATGAAGTAAAAGAGGATGGGCATGGTCATCTTCTACTCAGCCTTCTGCTCTGGGGTATATACCTTAAAGGAACTCTGGCTTGTATAAGGATTAAGTTATAAGACTGTTCATTTTAACATTGTTCATAATATGAAAAACTGGAAGCAACTTAAATATCCTCCAATAGAAAAAGAAGAAAAATGTGATAGACTTTTTTTTACAATGGAATACCATACAACAGTGAGAAAGAATAAGCCAAAGCTATCTATAGATGCATACATATCTATACACACATACACATATATATCAGGGTGATTATCTCAAAACATAATGAGTAAAAAAAAGGTGAAATATCGTACATATAATATGATACCATTTATGTAGTTTGAAAATATGCAAAGCAATATCATCACTTACATGGATACATGTTATAAAGTGAAGGGTATAAAAAACATGCCCAAAAATGGTAAACAACAAATTCAAGGTATTATCTACCTATGAAGAAGCAGGATGGGGTTGGAGTAGGATCCGGAAATATACATGAGGGAGCATCAACTGTATCTATAATGCTTTATTGGCTTAAAAAGAAAATCTCAAGTATGACAGACTTTAAATTTTTTTTTTTTTTTTTTTTTTGAGATGGAGAGTCGCTCTGTCACCCAGGCTGGAGTGCAGTGGCGCGATCTCGGCTCACTGCAATCTCCGCCTCCTGGGTTCACACCATTCTCCTGCCTCAGCCTCCCAAGTAGCTGGGACTAGAGGCGCTCGCCACCATGCCCAGCTAATTTTTTTGTATCTTTAGTAGAGACAGGGTTTCACCATGTTAGCCAGGATGGTCTCAATCTCCTGACCTCGTGATCCGCCCGCCTCGGCCTCCCAAAGTGCTGGGATTACAGGCATGAGCCACTGCGCCTGGCCAGATTTTAAAATTTGATGAAGATAGGTGGTTGAGTATGTGGGTGTTATGTTCTGCTTATTTTTGTTTTTGTTTTTTAATTTAAGTTTCAGGATACATGTGCAGATTTGTTACATAAATAAACATGTGCCCAGTGGTTTGCTGCAGCTATCAACCTGTCACCTAAGTATTAAGCCCAGCACGCATTAGCTATTTTTTCTGATACTCTCCCTCCTCCACCCCCTCATCTCACAGGCTCCAGTATGTGTTATTCCCCTCCCTGTGTCCAAGTGTTCTCATTGTTCAGCTCCCACTTATGAGAGCATGCGGTGTTTGATTTTCTGTTCCTGGGTTAGTTTGCTGAGGATAATGGCTTCCAGCTCCATCCCTTTCCCTGCAAAGGACATGATCTCGTTCCTTTTTTATGGCTGCACAGTACTCCATGGCGTATTGTACCACATTTTCTTTATCCAATATATCATTGATGGGCATTTAGTTGAATCCATGTCTTTTGCTATTGTGAATGGTGCTGCGATGAACATAAACGTGCATGTATCTTTTTTTTTCTTTTCTTTTTTTTTGAGACGGAGTCTCACTCTGTGGCCAGGCTGGAGTGCAGTGGCAAGATCTCGGCTCACTGCAACCTCCGACTCCCTGGTTCAAGCGATTCTCCTGCCTCAGCCTCCCAAGTAACTGGGATTACAGACATGCGCCACCATGCCTAGCTAATTTTTGTATTTTTAGTAGAGACGGGGTTTCACCATGTTGGCCAGGATGTGTATCTTTATAATAGAATGATTTATATTCCTTTGGGTATATACTCAGTAATAGGATTGCTGGGTCAAATGGTATTTCTGGTTCTAGGTCTTTGAGGAATTGCCACACAGTCTTCCACAATGGTTGAACTAATTTATATTCCCATCAACAGTGTAAAAACGTTCCTATCTCTCCTCAGACTCACCAGCATCTGTTGTTTTTCACTTTTTAATAATTGCTGTTTTTACTGGTATGAGATGGTATCTCATTGTGGTTTTTATTTGCATTTCTGTAATGATCAGTGATGTTGACCTTTTTTTCATATGTTTGTTGGCTGCATAAATTTCTTTTGAGAGGTGTCGGTTCATGTCCTTTGCTCACTTTTTTTCCCCCTTTGGAGATGGAGTCTCATTCTGTTGCCCAGGCTGGAATGCAGTGGCGTGATCTCAGCTCATTGCAACCTCCGCCTCCTGGGTTCAAGCAATTCTCCTGCCTCAGCCTCCCAAGTAGCTGGGACTACAGGTGCCCGTCACCACGCCTGGCTAATTTTTTGTATTTTTAGTAGAGATGGGGTTTCACTGTGTTAACCAGGATGGTCTCGATCTCCTGACCTCGTGATCCACCCGCCTCGGCCTCACAGAGTGTTGAGATTACAAGCATGAGCCACCACGCCTGGCGCTTTGCTCACTTTTTAGTGGCATTTTTTTTTTTTCTGGTAAATTTAAGTTCCTTGCAGACTCTGGATATTAGACCTTTGTCAGATGGATAGGTTGCACAAATTTCCTCCTGTTCTATAGCTTGTCTGTTCACTCTGATGATATTTTCTTTGGCTCTGCAGAAGCTCTTCAGTTTAATTAGATCCCATTTGTCATTTTCTGTTTATGTTGCAATTGCTTTTGACATTTTCATCATGAGATCTTTGCCTGTGCCTATGTCCTGAATGATACTGCCTCGATTTTCTTCTAGGGTTTCTATAGTTTTAGATTTTACATTTGAATCTTTAATCCATTTTGACTTAATTTTTGTGTAAGGGGTAAGGAAGGGGTCCAGTTTCAATTTTCTGCATGTGGTTAGCCAGTTCTCCCAGCACCATTTATTAAATAGGGAATCTTTTCCCCATTACTTGTTTTTGTCAGGTTTGTCAAAGATCGGATGGTTGTAGATGTGTGATCTTATTTCTGAGTTCTCTAGCCTGTTCCATTGGTCTATGTGTCTGTTTTTGTACCAGTACTATGCTGTTTGGGTTATTGTAGCCTTGTAGTATGGTTTGAAGTTGGGTAGCGTGATGCCTCCAGCTTTTTGTTTTGTTTTGTTTTTTACTTAATGTGGGATATGATAAGGTTTCTCTTCAAATAATCTGTTCAATCTTTTATTCTTTAATTCATAGTACCCCCCCCACACACACACATTTTTCTCCTTTTTTCTCCTTTTTTCCTTTTTTCCTTTGTTAAATGCCCAGGCACGCCACAGTACCAAGCGTTATCAGTACCAGCTCACATTCCTTTCCTTATTTGGAAAGAGGACTAACTTTCTGGTTCACTATAGACACCCCTTCCCCTTTCCCTCCACTTGCTTTACGTGCCCACCCTATCTAAAAAAAAAAATCAAATGTTTAGCCAACCGGGATTAGTTTAAATTGTACGGCCCAACCCCGGCCAGTGGGGAAAGGGTACAGGGGCAGGACTTGCATTAGGAATAAAGGCTTTCATGCCCCTTTGTTCAGGTATGCTGTCATGGCAGCTGGCCAAGGAGGCACCCCTCTGCGCAGAAGTAAAATTGCTTTGCTAAGAATCCTTTGTTTGAGTGTTCAATTTGTTTAGGATTTTGAGCATTATTCCTAACACTTAGGATTGTCTTGGCTATATGGGCTCTTTTTGGGTTCCATATGAATTTTAAAATAGTTTTTTTCTAATGCTGTAAAGAATGTCAATGGTAGTTTGATGGGAGTAGCATTGAATCTATAAATTACTTTGGGCAGTATGGCCATGTTCACGATATTGATTCCTCCTATCCATGAGCATGGAATGTTTTTTCATTTGTTTGTGTCCTCTCTTACTTCCTTGAGCAGTGGTTTGTAGTTCTCCTTGAAGAAGTCCTTCACTTTGCTTGTTAGTGTATTCCTAGGTATTTTATTCTCTTTGTAGCAGTTGTGAATGGGAGTTCACTCATGATTTGGCTCTCTGCTTGTGTGTTGTTGGTACATAGGAATGCTTGTGATTTTTGTGCATTGATTTTTGTATCCTGAGACTTTCATGAAGTTGCTTATCAGCTTAAGAAGCTTTTGAGCTGAGACAGTGGGCTTTTCTAAATATAGGATCGTGTCGTCTGCAAACAAAGACAATTTGATTTCCTCTCTTCCTATTTGAATACCCTTTATTTCTTTCTCGTGCCTGATTCCCCTGGGCAGAACTTCCAATGCTGTGTTGAATAGGAGTGGTAAGAGAGGGCATCCTTGTCTTGTGCTGGTTTTCAAGGGGGATGCTTCCATGTTCTGCTTACTTTCTGGATGTTTGGAATAGTCTTGTGCTGCATAACGATGTTTCAGTTAGCCACCTACTGCATACACAACAGTAGTCCCATGAGACTATAATGAAGCTGAAAAATTCCTATTACTTAATGACATTGTAGCGTTCATAATGCCATTATAACATCGTAGCAAACTGCATTACTTGTGTGTTTGTGGTGATGCTCATGTAAAGAGTCCTACTCTGCTGCCACTCATATAAAAGCATAGCACAAACAATTACGTACAGTACATAATAATAAAAATTGTTAATGAACTATACTACTGGTTTATATATTTACTATATTATACATTTTATCATTATTTTAGAGTGTACTCCTACTTATGAAAAAGAAAGTTAACTTTCAACAGCCTCAGGCAGGTCCTTCAGGAGGTATCCAGAAGAAGGCGTTGTTATCATAGGAGATGCCAGCTCCATGTCTGTTATTGCCCTGATAAACTTTCAGTGACACAAGATGTGGAGGTGGAAGACAGTGATCCTGACCCTGTGCAGGCCTAAGCTAAGGTCTGTGTTTGTGTATTAAGTTTTTAGTTATTGTTTTTGTTTTTTGAGACAGAGTCTCACTCTGTCGCCCAGGCTGGAGTGCAGTGGAGCGATCTCTGCTCACTGCAACCTCTGCCTCTTGGGTTCAAGCGATTCTCCTGCCTCAGCCTCCTGAATAGCTGGGATTATAGGCGTGAGCCACCATGCCCAGCTAATATTTGTGTTTTTAGTAGAGACGGGGTTTCACCGTATTGACCAGACTGGTCTCGAACTCCTGACCTCTGGTGATCTGCCCATCTCAGCCTCCTAAAGTGCTGGGATTATAGACGTGAGCCACTGTGCCTGGCCTGTGTCTTAGTTTTTAACTAAATTTTAACTAAGAATTTTAAAAAGTTAAAAAAAATTAAAAGTAGAAAAATGCTTATAGAATAAGATCATAAGGAATTTTTGTGCAACTGTACAGTATGTTTGTGTTTTAACCTAAGTGTTACTACAGAAAAGTCAAAAGTTTCTAAAAAATTAAGTTTTTAAAGTAAAACAGTTACAGGAAGCTAAGGTTAATTTATTAGCGAGAAATTTCTTTCCATAAATTTAGTGTAGCCTAAACGTTGTGTTTATAAAGTCTACAGTAGCGTAATGTCCTAGATCTTCACGTTTACTCACTGCTTGCTTACTGACTCACCCAGAGCTACTTGTAGTGCTACAAGCTCTATTCATGGTAAGTGCCCTATATAGATGTACCATTTTATATCTTTTATCCCATATTTTTATTGTACCTTTTCTATGTTTAGATACGTTTAGACACAAATACTTAACCATTGTGTTACAGTTGCCTACAGTATTCTGTGTAGTCCCACGCGGTACAGGTTTGTAGCCTAGGAGCAACAGGCTATAGCGTATGGCCTAGATGTATAGTAGGCTGCACCATTTAGGTTTGTGTAAGTAAACTCTGTGATGTTCACACAACAAAATCACTAACAACACATTTCTCAGAGAGTGAGGACGTATCCTGTTGTTAAGCAATGGATGACTGTACTTTATAGGGTTTTATTATCTTCTCTTACCACACAGAAAATAATCAGTTTTCACATTTGTTAAAAAACAAAATTACTTAAACATATTTGAGGCTAATTTTTTCTCACTTTCTCGAAAAATCCCGGACCAGTGGCCCAGCTTGAGTGATGGTCCACTTTGGCAAGAAGGATAGGCTTATATATTTACTTGGGCCAGGTAACTACCCCTAGATCAATCCACTGAGAGGTGTGATCATGTAAGAACAGGGTAGCTTCCAGGGATGAGATAAGACTTGAATTTCTCAGGAGAAATGGGAGTAAAATGCTGGATAATCTTATAAGATCCTAGTTGACTAGAAATCTAATATGTAAATAATAAATTTATTACTATCACAAGATACACAGTTTTAGAATGAGTTTGCCTTATTTTTATTATAGAAAATTTTAAACATATATAACACTAGACAAAATAGTATATATACTCATGTATTCATTACCCAGTGTCAATACCTACCTTCAACCCTTAGCCCATCTTTGTTTCATTTATACCAGGGGTTGACAAACTTTCTGTAAAGGGCCAAATAGTAAATAATGTGGGCTTTGCAGGCCACACAGTTTCTGTTGTAGTCGTTGCTATCTTTTTTCTTCACCCATTCTGTGTCAGGAGTCTCCAGTACGATCTTCAGGTTCCATGGCAGACTCACAGGACACAGCCTATACTCGTACTTGCAGCTAAGCCATACTCACAGCCAAGTGAAATCAGCAAAGGGGAAAGGTTAGGGGCAGTCTGGAGGAAGCCAAGCAAAAATTTGCAGAATTCCTCTGCCAGTGAAATCACACAGGATGTCCTTAATTTATCCAGTATCGAATTGTGACAACACACATGAAATGTGTCTACCTGGGAAGCTCATTAGAGACTCAGTGTCCAAGGTTTTTACTGAGAGCTGGTCATGTAGGCATCCTCTGCCTAGCACATAACAAAATTCCATAATCCCAGAAGGAAAGAAGTGTTCAGCATAAACCACATTATTCACACAGTTTATGCACAATGAGCTACTCTTACCAGTTTTAAGGAATGGTGGGAAAGTCCTCAAAATCCAAATTTCCAGACACCAGTGAAGGGCCAACCTTGCAAGTAGACCTTTCTAAGGATAACAGTATCAGGCCTGATATGGCTCTTCCCCTTTAAAAATGTAAAAACGATTCTTGGCTCACAGGCTGTAGAGACAGACCGCAGACCTAAAGTATCCCATAGGCCTTAGTTTGCCAACCCTTGATCTATACCCTCACTTCTTGATCTTTAAAATGTGGCAGGAGATGGGGGGGGAATCCCAGTGTTTCATTGCAACCATCCTTACTTTGTTTGTTTGTTTGTTTGTTTGTTTAGAGGGGAAAAATGTAAAAACTAGAGCTTAAAATAACTCCTGAGCTATTTGATTGTGCACTTTGGAGCTTGAGGAGAAATAATTCGTTGGATGGCTGTTTTGTGTCCCAGTGTGAGCCTATATATAATTTTTATGAGCCCTGCAACAGATGCTGGATATCAGCAGATGGCTGGCACGTGCTCCTTTTTTAACAGTTTCAGAAGCAGAAAGATGACTTTATTAACTGATAGACAGCTAACTTTCATGGGTATTATTTATTAATACTGATTATTTGAACTTTACGGATTTTGCCCATGTAACTACTATATAATGATTAAAATCAGAACATTTAACAGAATTACAATACTATAATACAGTCCATATTCAAATTTTGTCAGTTGTCTCATTAATCCTCTTTATGAACATAGTTTTTTCTTAGTCTAAGATCCAAACCAGGATCACACATTATATTTACCTGTCATATCTCATTAGTCTCTTTTAATCTAGAGCAATTCCTAGGCCATTTGTGAGTGTTTCTTGACATGAACGGGGTTTAACTCTTGTTTTTTAAGATTGCCTTTGTTTTTTTCTCGGCAATATTTTATAAATTTCAGTGTAGGCATTTGCAAGTCTTGTTAAATGTATTTTAAAGTATGTTATATTGATGTTATTATTTGTGAAATTATTTTCCTAAATTCCACTTTCCAGTTGCTTGCTGCTAGAGAGTTGATTTTTGTATCTTGACCCAGATTCTGAGAGCTTGATTAACTCACTTATTCATGCTAGTAATTGTTTGTAGATTCCTTCGTGTTTCCTACATATCCAACCATATTATCTGTGACGAGAAATACATTTACTCTTCCTTTCCAAATTTCAAGCCTTTTAATTTTTCTTGCCTTGTTGCACTAGCTAGGACTTCCAATACAATGTTGAATAGAAGTAGTGGGAGCAGACATGTCTTTGCTTTGTTCCCAATCTTAGAGAGAAAATATTTAATATTTCACCATTAACGATGTTAGCTGTAGGTTTTTCATAGATGCCCTTTATTGGGTTGAGGAAGTTCCCTTTCATTCCTGGTTTTCTAAGAGTTTTCAATCAAACATGGGCATTGAATTTTGTTAAATGTTTTTTCTACAAATATAGACAATTACATGAGTTTTCTTTTTCACTTTCTTAATATAATGTATTACTTTGATCAGTTTTCAAATGTTAATCCAGACTTGCGTTCTTGGGATGAATTCCCAAGAGTGTATTGTCCTGATGTAGTATTAATTTGTTAAATTTTTTAAGTTTTCAGTAACACTATGTTGTCAGTAAGACTGGACTCCAAATTTCTTTGCTTATGTTGCCTTGTGTAGTTTTGGCGTCAGGATTGTATAATGTCACAAAATGTATTGGGAAATGTTCCCTTCTTTATTTTCTGAAAGTTTGTTTAAGAGTTTCTTCGGTGCTTGATAGCATTCACCGAAGGTATTATCTGGGCCTGGAGTTTTCTTAAGAAGATGTTAAATTATAAATTAATATTTTAAAGTAGATATGACTTCTCAATGTAGTTTTATTTTATATTGTTATTACTGAGGTTGGCATGTTCTTTTTTTAACTCAACTAATTCATAAATTCACAAGCATATTCTTATGTGCTTAAGAGTCATTTGTACTTCCATGGACTTTCTTTTGCCTTATCCTGTCTTTCTGCTAGGTTATTGGTCTTGTCTTACTGATTTAAGGAATAGCCTTTAATTAATGAGTATTTTTTCTTTTTTTATTACTTTGCTTTATGATAGTTTTTGCTATGTAGGCATTTTAATATTATTATTATTATTATTATTATTATTATTATTATTATTATTGAGATGGAGTTTCTCTTTTGTCGCCCAGGCTGGAGCATAATGATGCAATCTCAGCTCACTGTAACCTCCGCCTCCTGGGTTCAAGAGATTCTCCCGCCTCAGCCTCCTGAGTAGCTGGCATTACAGGCATGTGACGCCATGCCTGGCTAATTTTTGTATTATTAGTAGAGATGGGATTTCACCATGTTGGCCAGGCTGGTCTCAAACTCCAGACCTTAGGTGATCTGCCCACCTCAGCCTTCCAAAGTGCTGGGATTACAGGCGTGAGCCACCGCACCCGGCCACATTTTTATTTTTTATGTAATTGAATTTATCAATCTTTTTTTTTATGGCTTTTATATTAGACTAAGAAAGACATTATCCATCCCAAGAAATTTTTCTGTTTTCCTCCAGTAAATGTATGCTTTTGTTTTTAACACCTAGATATTCATCTGGAGTTAGATTTGATTTGTGTGAGGTACAAATCCATGCATACACATATCCCCCACACGTGTGTAAAACAAATGGCTACCCAGCTATCCTAATGCCATTTATTGAATAATCCATCCTTTGCCTGATGATATAATATGCTATCTTTATTTTACTAATTTCTTATTTGTGTTTGAGTCTGTCTCTGAATTTTCTCTGCTCTTCCACTGATCTGCCTTTCATTCAATAGCATCATACCTGTTTTAATTATTATAGCTTGCTAGTATGTTTTAATATTTAGGAAAAAGTTTACAATTCTTTGCTCAGCCTCCATTATCCTCCTTTCTCAAACTATGTTTAACAGCCTCATTAATTTTTAGAAATATTAGTCAGATACCTGTTTGAATATACATTTCCTCCTCCCTTTCTCCAGCAGGGGGCGAGATGGTGGCTGAAAGTCTCAGATATGTGACCAGGACCTCAGGTAGCCTTAGGGCATCTTTGTGCAAGCAAGAAAAACACTGCCTCTTCTAGACAGATAATCAGGGAAAAGTACCTTTTTCGGAAAGATGCAGCCTTGTACCTTAGTACACAGTGGCTACAGCCAATTTTAGTTCCTGTTCACACCTTCTGGCAGTGCTGAAAATAAACCACTTTACAAGGAAAACTCATATGCAACAATCCTGAATTATACTGCACCCTGCAAATAATGTAATCAGAGCAAGCATACAGGAAAACCAGATGCATATTCCCTCCCTTCCCTCCTTCTCCCCATCTGAGCTGCTAGCCCCAGAACTGACTAGTTTACATCATTCAGTAATGGGCTTCCTTAAGTGGATGTACAAGTAGCTGTTTACACTAACCCCCTGCCTTCAGAGATACTTAGTCAAATTGAAGTGAGAATAAATAAACCTCTCTAAAGTTCAATTGACCCCCTATCAATTAGAGTGATACTGTGGATCACATCAAAATAAAGGTCAAATAATAATCACTTGTATCTATGTAAGAGTGCATTGTCATCTCATTTTTATCATCCTCATATAAGACCTGCAAGATTCCAAGGGCAGATATGTTTGCTCCTCTTTTGTAGAAGAAAGTAAATCAAAGAGGAAACACTTCCAAAATCAAACAGTTAATGAATGACAGAAGACCTTGATCCATAATTTTTTGAAGTTTGGGGTTCTTCTCTAAGCCTGAAGGAGCACTTATTTCCCATTATCACTCAATTTTATAAAAACATTGTTTGTCAGCTCCACAGACCTCCAAGCAGGTTAAATTTAAATTATCACAGAATTATACTGGTATGTTTCATCCTCCTGAAAGTACACTGATATTTCTGGCATGTTCATACCGCCTTCCCCAGTGGTGCCAAAACACTTTACTTCCTATTCAGAAACATTTGTGTAGCAAAGAGAAAAATAAGGATAAATGCAAATGTTGCCGAGTATTTGTTTTTACTTGTTTGTAGAAGTCTATAAAGCCTCTGGACTTTTAGAAGATTGTAAGAAAGATAATGATTTTGAGGGTAAGATTGTATTCTGATACAGTGCAATGATAAATTAAGTTTGTTGTATTTATAATTCTTATGTTTTAAGGATTTGACTTATAATTTTTTTTTCTTTTTAGGGTGCTCTTTCCCCACCTAAGAAACAAAGTTAGCTTTCAACTCTGGACAGAATTTAGGTTTGAAACCAAGGAGGGGAATTGTTGAGGCTGATCTTGGTGCACATGTTTGTTGGGTTTGGGAGTCACTGGGAGAGGAGTTTTTAATGCCTCTAAAAATCATTCTTCTCTCTGTATTTTCATTTCTAAGTATTACCTTTCTTTGCAAATAGTAATTGTTTGGGCTCTACTTGCAGATCTTTTTGGCCAAGTATTCTGCAGTGATTCACATAAGTTCCCTGAACATTTATTTGGAAGGCAGCATCTGAGAGCATACTTTTTTTTTTTCTTAATGACCTCTATATCTTATTACTGCAAGGCAGCACAGATTCTTTTTAATTTGTTTTGATATCTGAATCTTTGGCAGTCATAAATTTGATTTTGACTGCAGGCATTTTTTACTTTGGACAAAATGTATTTCTGGAGAACCACCAACTAAGGTGTACTTTTTGAGGGTAATGGTTATATCTTATTTGATTTTATATTCCCAGAACTTAGCTGTGCTTGGAACATAGCTGAGCCTCAATAAATATTTGTTGAATGAATGATGGAATGAAGTCTATGAGCAAATTAATGCCATTTAAAATCCTGACTGTGTATACATTGTCTTTCTCTGTTCATACATTGTTTGAACTTATTTAATGAGCAAATAAGGATAAATTTTTAGGTGGTTTCAAATTAATTACATAGATGAACTTAGAGTATCATATTTGTTGAATGAACAATGGACTGAAGTCTATAAGCAAATTAATACCATTTAAAATCCTGACTGTGTATACATTGTCTTTCTCTGTTCATATGTTATATGAACTTATTTAATGAGCAAATAAGGATAAATTTTTAGGCGGTTTCAAATTAATTACATGGTTGAACTTAGAATATCAGTCCAGAGAAGTCATGTGGTTAGCAGTAAGCACTAGATTGGAATTGGAAGACTCCGTATAGTTATGCCAAAATGAATATAGTCTGATTCTTGTCAGATTCTTTAGCATTGCTGACCTCAGTTTTCTTATCTTTAAAATAAACATATAAAGTTGTGTAGGAATCACTCACCTCATACATGTAGAAGTGCTCTGGAAAAGTTGAAGCACTTTAGATACAAAGGGACACTGCTCTGTAGATAGCCATCTCTGAAGCCCTGAGCCTCACTTTGGGAAGATTTAGGGACTCTGCAGCCATAAAATTCAGCATATTTTCTACTGTGAGAAAAGATTCATGAACCTAGTGGTAACCACATTTCGGGCTTCATCTTCTTTTTTTTTTTGAGACGAAATCTCGCTCTGTCACCCAGGCTGGAGTGCAGTGGGGCGATCTCTGCTCACTGCAAGCTCCGCCTCCCGGGTTCAGGCCATTCTTCTGCCTCAGCCTCCCGAGTAGCTGTGACTACAGGCACGTGCCACCACACCCAGCTAATTTTTTTGTATTTTTAGTAGAGACGGGGTTTCACCATGTTAACCAGGATGGTCTGGATCTCCTGACCTCGTGATCTGCCCACCTCGGCCTCCCAAAGTGCTGGGATTACAGGCGTGAGCCACCACGCCCAGCATGGGCTTCATCTTCTTTGCTGCTTCTCCTGTAGTTCAATAACATTTTCCTTGTTATTTCTCTACCTGTAGCTAGGAACTGGGCCAGCAGCCAGTAGATACGTAGAGCATGAAAAAGCACATGGTGCCACTTTGGCAGCCTTCACTTAGATTCCTGTCCTAGAAAGATTGCTGTTTAACTCCTTTACTCAGGCTAGGAGTTGGGGCAGTCATGTATTTACTATATCTAGCAATCCTTGGGGGAGGTGGAGAAAGATACCTACTTCACCACGTTACGGATGGTTCAGCTAAGGAAAGTCTGGGTCTTAAAAGTCAGAGAAGGAGGCCTTTGAGAATGTCTTTTCAATTCTGTGAAAATAAAGGGACTGCTGCATATCTGGATATGTGTGCTCTTTCAAATTATCATGCCTCACTGTTATTCTTCATGATTAACTTCTAATATCCCATCATGCTTGGTTCATTTTTTTGTCTACTCCACCAAGACCTATTGTTTCTCCTTCCACTTTCTTATATCTTCCCCTCCTCTGTCCTATGAGATACTATCTTAGGTGAAGCTTTATTTTCTAGCATCTGTATTCAAATTTCGAATACACCACCTTCATAGGAGGAAAAAACCATTAACGAATTTCAAATCAAAATCTTGCTTTCATTTTAGTGAACTAATCATTCATTTAAAATAAGGTGTTCTGCCTTAAATTTATTAATGTCATAGGTCTACCTGAAGTCATTTTCCTTGTTTTCGTAACAGAGCCAGGCTTCTTTTTCAATTAAGACAGTCAACATTCCTTGTGTTTTACGAGTTATATTAATGGCTTCTTGGATTTGCAATTCCCAGTTGTAAAACAGAGATGTGAACATCATCATCCACTTAGTTTATAGCTCTGTGAGACATCTGTCCAAACTTTCTTTATTGAGGTGATAAAGAAAAATCCAGTATCATTTACTGGCTTAGAAGTTAGTAAAGAACGCTCCCACCACCCCAAGGCTCAGTCCTGTTCTTGATGTCACATATTTTGAGAATAGCCCAGACTGTTTATATAATTTGATTCCAGCCTACTTTTCCAGCCAGATATCACTAATCTCTAATGTAAATCCTACATTTATGGAATTATCTTTTCTGGATCATTCAGTGTTGCCCAACAAATAATTAATTGTATTTCCTTTGTAAACTGGGCACTGCTCTTGCTGTGAGGAATCATTCCCTTACTTCTAAAAGTCTGCCAAATCTTAAGTGCCCAGACCCTGTGATGCCATTTCAGATCACTTCAGCCAGCAAACAGCCTTAGTTTGTATCACTCAGGTTACATTGCACACTGGTAGCACTTAGTTTGTATTACTCAGGTTACATTGGTCATATGTGGCCTAGATTTGTGTCATTATCAAATGGCGAGCTTATCAGCATTTTAAGGAAACCTTGTCTAATAAAAACTCATAATTAGCAAAGGTCCTTAAAAAGACAATAAATGTTCAGTAATTGCCTATTACACAAATAAATAGCTACAACTCTTCTTTCTTGAAATCTTGTTGCTGCCTTAAGCCGCAAGGTTAGAATAATTTTCTCAAGTTCTTCCCATAGAAGTACTCTGAAGTTCATATCTGAGCTCCCCTCACGGTCTAGTTGCTCCACATACCGCTCATACTTCCTTCTCTAAGCGTACTTCCTCCGTTGTTTTTTCCATTATTTTTTAGTTTCCTAGGGCTGCTGTAACAAAGTACCATAAACTGGGTGGCTTAAAACAGCAGAATTTATTCTTTCATAGTTCTGGCTAGAAGTCTGGAATCAGAGATGTCAGTAGAGCCATCCTTTCCCTGAAGGCTGTACAGGAGAGTCTGTTCCATGTCTTCCTCTTAGTTTCTGGTGTTGCTAGCAATCCTTGGCGTTTCTTGGCTTATAGATGCACCCACTCCAGTCTGTGCCTTTGCCATCACATGGCACTCTCCCTCTGTGTGCACATGTGTGTGCCTCTTCTCTTCCTCTAAGGATGTCAATTGTATTGGATTAAGCCCCCTACACCCCCTCCAAAGACCTCATCTTAACTTGATTACATCTGCAAAAGACCGTATTTCCAAATAAGATCACATTCACAGGTTCTGGAGGTTAGAACTTCAACCTATATTTTTGGGAGACACAATTCAATTTGTAAGTCTCTCTCTCTTTTTTTTTAAAAATGAAATTCAGATAAATTTAACCACTTTAATTCAGTAAATTAACCATAAAATGAACAACTCAGTGTCATTAAGTATATTCACAATGTTATGCAATAACTATCTCTGTTTCTAAAGTATTTTTATTACCCCAAAAGGAAAGCTCATATTCATTAAGCAGTTATTCTTCATTACCTGCTTCTCCGGCTGCTGGCAACCTAGTCTACTTTTTGTTTCTATGAATTTCCCTATTCTGGATATTTTATGTAAATGGAATCATACAATATAGACCTTTGTGTCTGGCTTCTTTCACTTAGCATGTTTTCAAGGTTCATTCACATTTTAACATGTATCAGTACTTTATTTCTTTTTACAGTGGAATAATATTCCTTTGTATGTATATACTACATTTTATTTATTCACTCATCTGTTGATGGATGCTTGGGTTGTTTCTATCTTTGGGCTATTGTGTATAGTGCTGCTACGAACATGCATGTACATGTACTTGAGAACCTATTTTTAGTTCTTTTGGGTATCTACCTAGGAATAGAATTTTTGGGTCCTACAGTAATTCTGTCTTTAGCTGTTTTAGGAACTGCCAAACTATTTTCCATAGTGGCCAGCTGCACCATTTTACTTTTGCTCCAGCAGTGTACAAGTCTTTCCACATTCTCAACCAATACTTTTCCATTTTTCTAGTCATAGCTCTCCTAATTGGTATGGAGTAATATCTCACTGTGGTTTTCATTTGCATTTTCCTAATGACTAATGATGTTGAGTACCTTTTCAGGTGCCTATTTTGGCCAGTTGTTTATCTTCTTTGGAGAAATATCTCTTAAAGTACTTTGCCATTTATTAATTGGGTTGTCTTTTTGTTGTTAAGAGTTCCTTATATATTCTGCATACTAGATTTTTATCAAAGAAATTGCAAATATTTCACTCTGTAAGTTGTCTTTTTGCTTTTTTTGATAATATTTAATGCAAAAAGTTTTTAATTTTGATGAATTCCAGTTTCTCTATTTTTTCTTTTGTTGTTAATGCTTTTGGTGTCATATCTAAAAATCCATTGCTAAATTCAGTGTCATGAAAATTTACCCCATGTTTTCTTCTGAGGCTTTTATGGCTTTAAGTTTTATGGTCATTGATTCATTTGAGTTCATGTTACTACTATGCACAATAGTGGATAATATTCACAAATTCTGAAAGTGCCTAGCCTCAAAGGTCTTATGGTCTAATGTTCTTTAATTCACTGTGTTACTGATGAAGGAAATCCCTAAGAAATAATCAAGGGGAAATGCTTCGTTTTACTAGACATTGCAAACCAGAGTTTGCCTTCCATAACCATGAAAACTGGTGCCTTGTGACCAAACGAGAAAACTTTCATTTTTGCTTTTTTTCTGGATGTATGGTTAACCCAGTTGTGCAAATAATTGTACTAAATAGAGGATCCATTCAGTACTTACAGGATATCAAAGGCAAGCATAAAAATCTCTCACTTGGGGCTGGGCATGGGATACATGCCTGTAATCACAGGACTTTGGGAGGCCAAGGCGGGAAGATCGTTTGAGCCCAGGAGTTCAAGGGTGCAGTGAGCTATGATCCTGCCACTGCAATCTAGCCTCAGGGACAGAGCAAGACCCTATCTCTAAAATAAAATAAATTAAAAATATATTTAATAATAATAAAAAAAAGACCTCACTTTGTTCCAGGAAGAAGTTTCACAGTATACATTCTCCTGTCAGTCTACAAGATGGAACTCTCTCCCCCTTTTTTTCTGTCCACTTGCTTTCATCACCCCTCTTCATTCTGGAGAGTTGGTTTATTACTATTGATTATAGTGTAGATGTTTTCATATAGCCCTTGCTTATCCTTTAATGGGGTGTCCAACAGCAGTCTAAAAGTGGTCCTGCCATATTTACCTTTGTATCTCTAGCATTCAGCAGTATTCAGTATATACTGAGTATTTATTGTTTGCTGAATTCTGTTTGCTGAGCTTTGGGTTGCTTTTTCTGGGTTTGTTTGGGTTTTTATGGGTTTTTTTCTGGGGAAGGGGATGCTGTAAGACAACGGGCCTCACAAAAAACCTCAGCATAGAAATAATAGCAGCAGCAGCAGCAGCACCTTTCGTTGACTGCTAACCACATGATCATATGTTACTGATTGAGTCCCCACACAGCCCTTTCAGTGAATACTCTTATTCTCATTTTATAGATAAGAACCAAGAATCAGAAAATATTAAGTAGCTTGCCTCAAAATACACACAGCTAGCTAGCAAATAGCTCGCCAGAGAGTTAAAGGCCAAATTTTTCACTAGTATGCCATACTGTTTTTCCCTAATAGAGGTTAGGGAATGTCACGTGCATAGGTATATGTGTTTGAACTTGCTGACTAGAAAGGGTTTAGGGGCAGAACAGATTGGTGTTTTTATAGATATGGCATGTAATTTGCATTTATCCTGCCACAGTTGATACCTGCTCTTGGCAGGCATCACCCTTTGGTCCTGGGACTCATTTCAGCAGTCGTGACTCTGCCTCAGAATCCTGCTCAATATAGCAATGTGGCAACCACTACCAAGAGACTGGAATTGACCTACAGATGAAATCTCTATGTTGTATTTGCCTTACAGCCATGCTGGAATGTGGGGTAATGGGCAATTGACAGGAAAGAAGTTATGGATAATGATGACTTCCCTTGTTCTCTTTTATAGTACGGACATAACATTACATGGTACAGACTTTAATCATTACATCAGCAATTATCTCATAATACTCATAAATACTCTGATAAGTATCAGCCATTGCTTCTGAAAGTATGAATATTTATTTCAGTTTTCTACTCCTATTTTATTCTACTCTCATAATCTAGTACAAAAGTGCAGGATAGCATCCAAGTACAGTAACAGTTTTTGTTTTTTTTTTTCCTGTGAGTCTATAGCAACTGGGGTTTTTTAAAAATCAGTTTCCTCGAGATCAGCCTGGCCAACATGGTAAAACCCCATCTCTACTAAAAATACAAAGATTACCCAGGCATGTGGTGGCGTCTGTAATCCCAGCCACTCGGGAGGCTGAGGCAAGAGAATTGCTTGAACCCAGGAGGCAGAGGTTGCAGTGAGCCAAGATCGTGCCACTGCACTCCAGCCTGGGCAACAAAACGAGACTCCGTCTCAACATACATACATACATACATACATACGTTTCCTGATCAGCATTATAATCACACCAATGTAGCAACTTTCAAGAGAACGTAAAAGGTTCCATTTAAATGTAGTGATTGGCCAGTTGCAGTGGCTCACACCTGTAATCCCAGCACTTTGGAGGCCAAGGTGGGCGGATCACTTGAGGCCAGGAGTTCGAGACCAGTCTGGGCAACATGGCGAAACCCTGTCTCTACTAAAAATACAAAAATTAGTCTGGCATGGTGACACACGCCTGTAATCCCAGCTACTTGGGAGACTGAGGCATGAGAATCACTTGAACTCAGGAGGCGGAGGTTGCAGTGAGCTGAGATCACGCCACTACACTCCAGCCTCAGCTAAAGAGCAAGACTGTCTCAAAAACAATTAATTAATTAATTAATGTAAATGATTTAGTTAATTACTGTAGAAAGTAATATGAAACTTGGCATTTTGTTGACCCAGAAACACAACTCAGCATTCCATGTATATTTTGAACCACCTAATTACTTGTGACATTTTGACTGTTTGACCATTTCATTATTAGACTAGATTTTTTTTGTACCTGATACATATTTTATTATGTTGTAATTTTACCTTCTGTGTCAATCAATGGCCACTTGTCTCTACTGTTTTTAGCACAAAAAGAAAAACAGAATTGGTAGGATAAGGAACAAGTGATACCCTCTTCCTTTTCCGATCACATTGTAGTAAACTTTTCTATGTTACATGTTTTAAGTGTAGCTTTGTTTGACTTAGACCGTAGCAGCTGAAAAGTAAATGTGATTTTCTTGAAATTAGGAGTCTGTAGGTTGAAAGGTTAAATAAAACAGTAGGAAAAACAAAGATCAACGCCTGGAAGACAGAAAATATAACCTAGGAAATACATAATGCAAAGGGACTCTTAGGGCAGTGTTATGTCCCTTCATCAGAATAAATTCCAGGTGGACAAAAGATTTAAATTTAAAAAGTGAAGTCATCTATGTGAAAATTCAATAAGGAAATATTTGTGTACTCTTGAAGCATAGAGGCCTTGTTAAGCATGGCATAAATGTCAAAAAGCATTTTAGTAAAGCATATTTATCCATATGAAAATTTAAAATGACAAATATAGCAAAATGCCTTAATCTGAGAAAAATGATATGAAAAATGAGAAATAGTAATTATAGCATTGGTTGTTTATTAAACTGGTTAAACAATGATTTTTTAGTCATCAATAATAGAAATAAAAACATTGCAATAGAAAAAGCAGGAAAGGCAGTTCTAGTAAGAAGAAAGGCATATAGCCAATAAGCACTATGAACGATGTCCATCCACCCTAACTACTAAAGAAATTATGCAAATAAATAACATAATGAAATACTTTTTACCTGTCATATTCGTAAAAATTTAAAATTAAACAATACCTATTTTCATGGAAACACATACTCAAAAAACAGTGGTAGTAACTTAAATTGGCACATTTTTAAAGGAATTTATTCTAAGGAGAAATTTATATATAAGTCAAGAAAATTAACTGTAGCTTTGTCTATAATAATAAAAATAAATAGAAGCATCTTATTGAACAAATGTTTATCATTAGGGAATTAGTCAAATAAACACCAGAATACCAGCTCTGGATGGTGAGAATCCAAGTGATTTTTATTTCTCTGTATGTTTCTATAATCATTAATTTATATGAAAATTACCATATTTGTTTCAGAAAAGATAGTTTCTTGCAATTTAAAAAAGATTTTCAAATGGAAGCTTGTGAAGAAGCCACTAAGGGAATTGGATTTTTTTTTTTTTTTTTTTGAGACGAAGTTTCACTTTTGTTGCCCAGGCTGGAGTGTAGTGGCATGATCTTGGCTCACTGCAACCTCTGCTTCCCGGATTCAAGCAATTCTCCTACCTCAGCCTCCCAAGTAGCTGGTATTACAAGCATGCACCACCATGCTTGGCTAATTTTGTATTTTTAGTAGAGACAGGGTTTCACCATGTTGGTCAGGCTGGTCTCAAACTCCCAACCTCAGGTGATCCACCTGCCTCAGCCTCCCAAAGTGCTGGGATTACAGGCTGAGCCACCATGCCTAGCTGGGAATCGGATTTTTAAACCGAGTGGAACATAGGCTAACAGATATTTAGGAGATCTGGTAGTAGAATTCAGACCATGGAGTTTTCTGGATGGGGGGTGATCTTAAGTGATCTTGAATCAATGGAGATCAAATACACAGAACAAAGAACCATGGTTGGGGGAGGGGGAGAGAGAAAGTAGATATAATATGCTCAATTCTGGCTATGATGTATTCAGAGAGCCTATGGGAGGTCCAAATGGAGATGTCCAGGAGGCCATAGTACATATGGATTTGCAGCTGGGAGAGATGTTTACGCTGGAGACTGAGATTTAGTAGTCAACTATAGCTAAGCTATTTTATTATCTACTGTCATAGTCTATTTTGTGCTGCTATAACAGAATGCCTGAGACTGAGTAGTTTATCAATAACAGAGATTTATTTCTCACAGTTTTGGAGGCTGGGAAGTCCAAAATCAAGGCATACACACAGGTTTGCTATCTGGTGAGGGCAGTTCTCTGTTTCCAAGATGGCACCTTGATTGCCATGTTCTATTGAGGGGAGGAGCACTCTTCTTCACATGGCAGAGTGGAAGAGAAAGCAAACCCACTTCCACAAGCCCTTTTTGTAGTGGCATTAGTCCGTTCATGAGGACTCAACCCTCATGACCTAAATACCTCCCATTAGCCCCCACTTCCCAGCAGTGTTGTCCTGGGGGTTAAGTTTCAACTTGAGTTTTGGAGAGAACAAAAACATTCAAACCATAGTGCCTATATTTCTTCTAAGGTCTTTGGTCATTGAAATCATGAAAACAAGGTGATTCATATTCAGTCCGGATCATAGAAAACCCAAAATTTGTTTTCTCTCTTTGCTTGATAAGCCTCTAAAAACAAAAATCAGAGAACATGGTAGACTTCTTTATATCACACATTAGATGTTAGTGCACGTTGGAACAGTAGGCCCTTCTCCTATATGTGTGGGTTTTCCCAGCAGCTTTCCTGGGCAGAGCATTTGTTTGTTTTAATATCATCTTTGTTTTGAACTTCTTAATCTTTATAGATGCTCTGGTGCCTCGGACTTTTTAAGCTTCCCAGTCATTCTCCAATTCTTTTTTTTTTTTTTTTTTTTGAGACAGAGTCTCGCTCTGTTGTCCAGGCTGGAGTGCAGTGGCCCTGTCGTGGCTCACTGCAACCTCCGCCTCCCAGGTTCAAGCAATTCTCATGGCTCAGCCTTCCGAGTAGCTGGGATCACAGGCGCCTGCCACCACACCCGGCCAATTTTTTGTATTTTTAGTAGAGATGGGGTTTCACCGTGTTGGCCAGGCTGGTCTCAAACTCCTGACCTCATGATCTGCCCACCTCAGCCTCCCAAAGTGCTGGGATTACAGGCATGAGCCATCGCACCCAGCCTCCAATTCTTTAATCTTGTAGATCAAGTCCTTGGGTAGATAAACAGTACATCCTGCTGCTCACATAATCCCATCTCAACTGAGATAGCCATTTTTAAAATCCCTGCTCTTTTTACCACCACGTCTGCAATCCACCCTAAATAAATAATAACAACAGTAAAATACTAGTACATTTGGAGTGTCATAAAAATCCTATTCTTATTCTTTCTTCCCACCACAGCCAAGAATATGAAATTTTGGTCTTCCGAAACAATTTTCATGAAACCCATGCACATGAATCTTCATGGGAGCAGTGGAACCACCAGATTCAACTGATGGAGGATTATGGATGAACGTAGCAGCCATAGCAGTCAATTTTTCACTAGCAGCCCTCTGAGAGAGAAGAAACAGAAAACTTACCAGCTAGGGAGGAAGGAATCTGTAATCATTTTAGTATAGAGAGGAAAAAATAATCTGAGCACTTGTGGTCCCTCCAAAGGCAGGATTATATTATTGATTTTTAGTCTGTTCAAGCTGTTCAAGATCTTCTCATTTAACCCCCTCATTTTACAGCGCTGGAAACGATAACAGAGAAGGAACGTAAGACTTTCCCAAAGGCACATAGCTATTTGTAATAGGACTGGCATGTGTACAGTTATATGAAAATTCTACTAAAAATCATTACAATTATAAATAAAATTGGGTGGAGGGTGGAGAATCAAAGTTGAGGGTTCAGGTACCTGGGATACCTTAGGTTTGATTCTCCTTCCTGTCAGTGCTATATATGTGACATGATTGTACATCTCCTATACTTACTCTCCCATTTACATTTTTTCAAGAAATCATCTTAGGGACTACCTCAAATCCTGTGCTTACTAAGAATGGCACGTCTAGTTCTGTACAGGATCGTACCACGGCATCTTACAAGAATAGTGATATATCTTCTGATGATCAGTGGATCAATATATAAGGCTATAAAGAGCCTGCTAATGTTTTCCTCTTACTCTGGAGATCTGATAGCATAACATGAGTCAGCATAGAGGCTCTGAGAAAATGAGAAAATAACAGACCTATTGTTTTGTTTTGAGGATCACTTAAGCAAATATGTAAAATCAGATCACATAGAATAATTCCCTGACCTCAGTGAGTCTTCTTTCTAAACTGCTTCCTGTCTGCCTCACCCATCTATTTCTGCAGTTCCACCCACTGCAGTTTTAAAGTGACTTTGGATAGCTGGGTGAAAAGGAAGAGGGCAATACATTAAGACTCAGTTAATATAATTTGCATAATGAAATTGTCAAAGTGTTCTTGGCCCAAAAAACTTGTTTATAAATGAAAGTGAAAGGGTTGAATGGATAATTTGAAGAGAGTGCCTTTTCGGCTCTATATATTCAATCATAGGATGTCTTGCCACTGAGTCAGCAAAGGTTTTTCTCCAACCTACTCCATTAAATTTTATTTTACGCATTCTTTTTTTAATACATATAAGTATTTAAAATTTTGAAATGTCTTAGTTGTGCTTCTTAAATGTAAAGTGCATGCTATCCCATTTGATAGCAATTTCTGCATAAGCCTGTAGGTGAATAAAACAGAACTTCATAATACGTGGAATATATCGGATATACACATTTGTGGTAACCTTAGATATTATAGTCATTGAAGGGATATAATAGCAAATGGTGACATTTGATTATCAAAATAGTAGTGGAAGTTCTAGGGCTGAGGTGGCTTGCCAAATCTACTTACTTCATTCCAGGATCAGGAGAGAAACAAGACAATGGCTTTCATTCAGTATGCTTGAAACCAAATGATTTTATCTTTAACATTTGAAATAACAGAGTTTTCTAGACAAACACTCCTTCTTCCAGAGGTTAATCTTAATTGAGATAGCACTCCCTGGTTTATTGATTCCTTGCTTGGGTCGTGAAGAAGCCCCAGTTGTTGGTTCAAAGTTGATAGAGACTTTGCTCCCTAGATCACCTATTTTAGCGTCAGGCAGGACAGCTTAGTAGTCAAGAGCTCTGGAGTCAGACTGTCTGGGTTTGAATTTTGGCCTTGTTCAGTATTAACTGTGGGATCTTGAGAAAGTTACTTAACCTTTTGATGTTCAGTTTCCTCATCTGTAAAGTGTGGATAATATACTTACCTTATATAGGGTTGTTTCGATAAGTAAATGAAATAATCTTTAAAAAGCAATTCGCATAGTTACTAAAATAATGTAAGAGTTCAAAAAATGATGAAGTGCTTATTTTATTATTGAATATGTCATCTATATGTTGTCAGCTTGGACTAAAGAGGAAAGAATTGTGTGAGGCATGGGCATTGAACAATGGTAAAGTAGTATTTCCTGATGAGTGTTTACTCAGGAAAAGGGTGGTACTGACTTAATAGGCTTTTAGCCCTATATCCACTTCTGCTATTCTTATCTCAGATGTATTTGTTTATATTGAATGTATATCAAGAAATGTATTACAGGCCAGGTGCAGTGGCTCAGGCCTGTAATCCTAGCACTTAGGGAGTCCAAGGCGGGTGGATTACCTGAGGTCAGGAGTTCGAGACCAACCTGGCCATCATGGAGAAACCCTATCTGTACTAAAAATGTAAACATTAGCAGGACATGGTGGCACATGCCCGTAATCCCAGTTACTCAGGAGACTGAGGCAGGAGAATCTCTTGATTCTCCACCTCCACCTGGGAGGTGGAGGTTGCAGTGAGCTGAGACCATGCCACTGCACTACAGCCTGGGCAACAGAGTAAGACTCTGTCTCAAAAAAAAAAAAAAAAAAAAAAAAAAAGAAAAGAAATGTGTTACATTTTAGATGTGGTAGGGTAAGCTCTGCTATATAGAGCTACTAAATTCTGCATTTTACTTAAATATGACATTCAGATTTCTTGGCAGCAGACACTTCTCTGAAGAAAAGAACAGTGGTAACCAGAAAGCAAAAGACCATTAAACATTTCACACAACAGAACCGATTCTTGAATGACCTGAATTCTCTCAAATCAAATTTTTAACTCAACTTTTTAGTTTTTTTTAATCCTTTGAATTGGTACAAAATAAAATGTACCTAATGACATGGCTTGTGTAATGTTACATCCCATGTGGCATTTGCAAGGAAGGAAAAGTTCACTCATATTTGCTAGAGGAAGTAGGTGCTATTATGTGCTATATTGCTATGGGAATGAAGAAGAGATCCTTGTTCTTGTTGTAATGTGGTACTGAATTCACTAAATTCTACCATTTTTCTCTTTCTAGGCTATGACTTTCCCCTCCATGTAAAGCAAAGGCTCCACATATATAATTCCAGGAGGAGGAAATAGTATTTAGTTTAGTGTTTAGTGTGAATTCCCAAGGATAATAAGGGGGTAGCTATTGTGTTTTTCTTTCCCGTCTTTTTTCTCCCTTGGTCTCTTTTTTCTTCCATCCCTTCTATACATATTAATATATGTGTGTGTGTGCACACCACCACACACCAGGAAGCTAGGCTATGGCATGATGTATGCTCCCTAGTTTCCTAGGTTTTGTGTGAACCGGCTATGAGAAGTTGCCTCATTAAGTGCCTTGGTTCTCTGCTAGGCTTCAACTTAGGTTAGGTATTCCTTCGTGCTGGTTTTATAATCTTGTGGGAGCCATTCCTCTAGCTTCTTGGCCCTTCAAATATAGATAAAACTTAGCTTTTTGAAAAATCATCAGAGCAAAGAAGATTTTATGAGTATTATTGGAGTTTCAATCTCAGGAAAAATTAAGCCAGATGCAGGGTCACCTGCCTGTAGTCCTCGCTACTTGGGAGGCTGAGGCAGGAGGACTGCTTGAGCCCAGGAGTTCAAGACCAGCCTAGATAGCATAGTGAGACTTAACCTCTAAAAAGAAAGAAAGAGGGAGAGAGGGAAGAAGGAAATTGCTGCAACATTACATAATTTTCTATCTTCTTACAAGAGAATTTCCCAAGCTTGATTTAAGTATCTTTCACTACTCAGTGTAATCCTGAGTAGTGACTTTTCCAGGAAAAAAAGATGTATTACAGTTTAAAGACTACATCTTAACAATATTTCTTGTTAACACTGAGCACACCATCCATATACAGGGACCTTAATATATGCATTTTGTGGTTTAAAATAATTTTGGCTTATCCTTTATTTAATTTCTGTCCCTATACAAATATTTTCAGTAAAATATTTTAGATTAAACAGAGAATTCAAAATATAGTGCAGTGATTTATTTTTGGCCTTTGTGGTGGAAGGATGTTAGAAGTGAAAGGGTTGTTAAAGATCTCTTCTCGCCTTTTGTCTTAGAATTTCTTTAATTTGAAATCCAGATGAGTTAAGTGTCTTATGCAAGAAATTTTATTTTTCCTTTTAAGCAGAGGGCTATTACTGCTGAAATATATTTGAATGTTTTATTTTCTTTATCATTACTTTTAGATGATTATATAATCCATTGACTAGTTTACAGATCAAACTGCCTGTGGAAGTGTTGTGATTAAACGTGATAGATTGATCATATGTGCTTATCTCTATTTCCTACAGAAACCTCCATAGATATGACAGTAAAGGGTAGAAGAGGCAAAAATTGACAAAATAAGAGACTGGGAGAGGAGACAACGAGCAAAGCTTGGAAGTTAGAAAACAAAAGTAATGGAGTTAGCAGAAAAAGAAAGCTACAACCTAAGCCGGCAGGAGAGGTAGTCCAGAAGCAAGGCAGTCGAACCATAGGACCCCAGAAAGCCTCGTAAATGAGAAGCAGCATGATTCCCAAAGTAGAAGTGTGAGTGGAGCTGAGACAGGAGGATTGACGGGAAGTCTTCATACAAGTTAGTGAAATACCCAACTCTAGCAGAGGAGTGGTTGTTTTCTTTCTGGAGAGAGTGAGCCAGAAGGACTCTGGACTTGGGTATACAAGGCTTATTTTACCTCTCAGTGAGGAAATTGGATGAGCCCTCTCTAGGTACTCTGACTGTCCAAGGAGAAAAGACCTATGGGGATTTTGGCGGTCCCCCAACAAAATAGCACCACCAGGGTACCCTGGCAAAGACATGAGGTGAAAGATGAGAACATGTTGTTTTCATTTCTACATTCCTCTCATAATATGAATTTCCTGCTATGCCAAATGCAATTCCATTATTCAGAGTGACACATTTTCTATAAAGCAGGCCATCTGAATGCAAGCCACCTACTTCTGGTGCTCAACAACAACCAAAAGTGTGTTTCAAATGCTATAGGGAAAACCACCTGTGTTAGGTTCACTGTGGGCTCTTAGGCTAGGATTTTAATCCCCTTCAATTTCACTTTCCTACTTTGTAAAAAGGGGAAAATGTATATAAAGTACTTAGGATAATGCTTGGCACATGGTAAGTACTCAGCACATTTTAGTTAATTATCATCATCATCCTCATTTTCAGTCACAGTTAAAGATTTTTCACAAACTGATCAGGGCAAAAGAAGCCTTCCTTCAGTATGATTTTCCTTTAAAAGTTCTAAATGCTCAGAAAAAAAAAGCAAGTTCTTTAGTATGCTACATTTTTTATAAGTATTCATTCAGAGAAATATACTTATGGTACAAGTATTGCTGATAAATTAGACTTTCCTATGGTTGCATGGGAATGTGAAAAACCCTTGAGATAATCAAAAGCTGTGGTCACTATAGCAACAGCTCACCCTTGTCTTTCCTTTTTTGAGCCTGTCTTAAATCAGAATCCTAAAACAGAGTTATTATTGGTTATTTGTACCCATAATTTTTTTTCAACATGAGAAAAACTATTGTATATTTGTTGTTCATAGATATTCTCTTAGCTTAGTGGCCTTTGTTTTCATGTGACTGCTGTCAGCTGCTCTTTCCAAGTTGTCTGAAAGAGCTGATGGTTCCATTTAGGTTGGGAGCAGGAACAGGTGCTTTCAGCCTTAAACTCCTTTCAGGTTGCCAGTGGTGGGCACGTGATGGAAAAGGGGGTTCTTAGAAACAAAGCTGGGTCAGTGGCTTGCTCAGCAGCAAATGCTTTGCTTTAGTTGGTGTTTTCCTTTATTTCCCAGCCTTGGATGGGTGGCATGTTCTACACAAATAACTACTTTCTTCTTCTGAGCTCTTGCCCCAACCACAGATCCAAGCCATGAGCAGCACTTAGCAGCTTCTCTTTTCAGTAGTTCGGTTTATCCTCCATAGGCATCCACACTCCTTAGCTGTCTACCTCAACCAGAGGCTAGTGGGCACTGAGCTGACACAAAGCTCAAGGTATAAACCCCATTGTATTATAAGAGTGCTTTGCTAATCTTGTGGAAACCAGTATAATCCCCATTGTATTATAACAGTGCCTTGCCAAGCATGTGGAAAGCAGTCCAAGAGCAAAACATGATAGGTAAATTGACTCCTCCTTAGGTCATCCCCTTGCTTCTCCTTCCTAGACCTTTTTCTGTCATAAATAAGATCAGAAACCCTGCCACCAGTCATCAGCCTGACTGGCAAAACTTTGCTGGTTGGCTTTGGGCCTCTGTGATTGTAAAAAGCCTCTCTGTTGTCCCCTTTCCTTCACCTTCCAGCTCCTCATTTGAGACTGTCTTGAGAGGAATGAGAGGGCAAAGGATTCTTTACCCTCTTACTGACCCAGTTCTTCCTACTGTATTCCATCCCCTCTGGCTAATGGCAGTCAGGTCTTTGCTGCACACAGGTACCCAGCGCTCTGCAAGTCACCTGCCGTGTGGATGGTAATAATCATAAGAGTTCATACTTAACTCAGTGGCCCTTAGAATGAGGCTGCTGCTGACTGCTCTGTCCAAGTTGTCTGAAAGCACCATGTGCCAGGCATTTTAATTTTACATGTTTTATCTCTTTAATCTTCATATCAATCTAGAGTTTTACCAGATAAACTGGATATAACTTTTACCGGTTAGAATCCTGAATCCATTTTAGAATCAGTTTCCTGAGGTTCTAACATAGGAGAAGTTCTCTCTGATGCTGATATCTTAACTACCTCTCTACTACCAAAGACAGTTATGCCTGTGATCTCGCCACTGCACTCCAGCCTGGGTGACAGAGTGAGACCTTGTCTTTAAAAATATATATTTTAGTATTGCTTGTATATGTGCATATTTTTACTGTGTTTGGTTCCAAAAAGAATTATAAGCCGGCAAAATGCCTAAATAGCTCCTATGTGATTTTCATAATAACCCAGTGATTAAGGTATTATCATCTCTATTTTAAAAATGATAAAACTGATTCTTAGGTTAAATGACTCAGTTAGTGAGTCGGGGCTGGGTTCTAATCAAACACAGAGCAGCACTTTGTCAGAGATTTACCTGGTGGCAGTGCAATTAGTTTTCACAGTGAAAGTGGCATCGAGTCCTCTCTCATGTCTGTGATAACAGTAATTTTGTCACTTCTTTCCCTACTCTTCTGCCCCTGGAGAAGCAGCATTACTGTGGTTTGGTTCAGTTCTCTATCAGACAGGCCCTTGAATGCAGAGTCAAAAAGTCATGCACCTTGAAAAACTCAACACAGAACATATCCCTAAGTAGTAAAAGTATAACATGAGAATGATGGACACCAACTTTCTTGTTCTAGAAAGTGAGAGAAGCAGGGTACAACATTATCTCTAACATTTTTATTTCTTAAATATACCCAAGGAAACAAAAAAGACAGACTATTGGGAAGAAGAGAGAAAAGTTGGATTTATTTTCCTATTGAGAGCCAGTTTTTCAAAATTTATTATCAGGGTGTTATGAAATAATCAGTGTTATATACATGGGAAATTACCTATGATGCTTATAAATTAACCTTCTAAACTTGTTATCAATGCTCAAAAAATACTTGGAGTTTTTTTGTTATTTTTGTTTTTTTGTTTTTTGTTTTTGAGATGGAGTCTCGTTCTGTCGCCCAGGCTGGAGTGCAGTGGCGTGATCTCAGCTTACTGCAAGCTCCGCCTCCCAGGTTCACTCCATTCTCCTGCCTCAGCCTCCCAAGTAGCTGGGACTACAGGCAGCTGCCACCACACTCGGCTAATTTCTTTGTATTGTTTTAGTAGAGACGGGGTTTCACCGTGTTAGCCAGGATGGTCTCTGTCTCCTGACCTCGTGATCCACCCGCCTCGGCCTCCCAAAGTGCTGGGATTACAGGCGTGAACCACTGCGCCCAGCCTGTTTTTGTTTTTTTGAGATGGAGTCTTGCTCTGTCGCCCAGGCTGGAGTGCAGTGGCGCCATCTTGGCTCACTGCAACCTCTGCCTCCCGGGTTCAAGTGATTCTCCTGCCTCAGCCTCCCAAGTAGCTGGGATTACAGGCACGTGCTGCTGCGCCAGGCTAATTTTTGTATTTTTTAGTAGAGACGGGGTTTCACCATTTTGGCCAGGCTGGTCTTGAACTCCTGACCTCAAGTGACCTGCCCGCCTCGGCCTCCCACAGTGCCAGGATTACAGGCGTGAGCCACCACGCGGGGCTGAAAATACTTGTTTTTGATCATCCCAATCTAACCTTATTGAAGGCAAGGAGATGTTTATTCTTCTTTGTCTCTTAGTGCCCAGCATAATATCCTGATTCATAGTAGGTTGATAAATGATCAAATGCAGAAGAGAGGAGCTTTGACCTCATCAAATGCTCCATTCTGTTGTAATAAGTAATTTCATATAGGTATAGAAGTAGAACTATTCTCTCTGCAGTTTAACATTCAGTTTTGCCTTATTCATGCTTAAAAAATCCCAGCTTTCTTACTTTTTTGCCTAAGATTATTGAAGGAAAAAGTGTATCTGTTCACTAAAGGCTGCATTCATTGTAGCAGCCATGTATATGTGGACAGTCTACTTGCTACCACACTTGAAATTCTGCTTAATGTGCACTCATAAAGGACAAGCTCCCACCCCTTCGAACTCAGTGTAATTGTTCAGTATATGAGCTTGTGGTGTTTAAGAAACTAGGGAGGCAGAGGTATTTTCATAGCTTGTTATCCTCTTCTCTCCCACAAAGTGCAGCCATGATCTGACACATGATCAATGGGCCGAGCCCTTTTTAGGATGCAGAAGATGCTCCCTGTGTCTGTGGATCACAATAGCAAACAATAGCAACTTCTGCAATGATATTTTGCCTCCCTGGTGTTCAAACTTCTTCAGTTAAGCCTGTCTGGAATCTATTTAACTATTATACATCAAAGCTTTTTTTTTTTTTTTTTTTTTTTTTAAATGAAAATGGTGGGGGTGGAACCAGAGAGGAAAACCTGTATCTTTGCCAAGGAGCCCTCTCTCCTTCCCCTATGACTCATACTTAGGAAAGCTGAGGGACTTTGGAAAGCTGCCTGAGTCACATTGAGGCAGGTCTCCTGGCACTTTCAGACACTTTTTAAATTTTCTCAGGCAGTAAAAGATGTTTTTCAAATTGTTCATTCCCTCTTTCTGGGCCAGCCTAAAAGCTTTTGTTTAGCTAAAGTATGGCTTTTTTATGCAAGATTTGCCAGCCAGAACAGATGAACCCGGAACTTTGTATTTGGTTTATTACTAAAGAAACAGCTCTTTCATATTCAGAATTGTAACTGTTCCTTCTTATGATTGTCATCCTATTAAAAGGAATTGCCTCTGGTACTTAACCTTCCTATGACATGAAGTTTGCATTTGGTCATTGTTAAGAATTTTCTTAGCATATTTTGTTTGTATAATTTCAAATATTCAGTTTTTAAAAATTTGGTTTTTGGTATGAGAGACTAGCTTGAGCTAAATAGAGGAGCTGCCTATTAAATGTATTATAGTCATACTGAGTTTTACTATTTGGCAGCAGAAGAAAGAAAGGTCACCTTAATTTTTCTGTCTTTACATGTAAACAACTAAGGGTTTTTGTTTGTTTGGTGAGTGGTAAAGTAAACCTTTCTAAAAACCAATTGGACTCACAAATAATAAGTCTCAATTTTTAAATATCTTTCCTTTTTAAACTACAAATAGTCATTATGTTCCAAAAACTGTCAAGTAATTTCTTAATATCTCTATGCCCACCCTATCCTACTCCCCTTTTTTTAGAGTTCAACCATTTCTGCTATAGGAATTGCCAGATAACAGAGGTTTGATAAAGTAACAGTATATAAAACAATAATTTATATTATGTAGGAAAATTACTTTGGATGACTTTCTTAGATATAAGATGAATTGCACTGAAATATTTGAGTAGAAAATAAAATGCTTTACTAATGGAGTGATCAATTGCTGAAAATTTTATTTTCTATAAAACTTGATCTTCAGTTATAATGTACTTTAGGGACCTTAAATTTAACTTTAGCTGATTTTATCATTTCACCTTGAAATTTTAGATGCCAATTTGCAGGGCCCACCATTCCCATAATAATAATCTCTGTTGCCTGCCCAAAGTGGGTACCATATGGTGGGGGAATGGAGGCTAGTGGAATAAAGTAAAATCAGCTGTGGACTGAATGGTTGCTCGTTTATCTTTGAGTCTTTATTCACTTGTTTGTATCACTGCCATTTTTCTGGTTTAATAGAAACTTGTATATGACTGATGTTTTAATGAGTAGATATAGGCTTATTGTCTTTTACAGTCATTAAACTTAAGTGCTGGAAGGAGTTCCGGGGGTCTGGTCTAGTCCAGAGTTCAAGTGTATTTTGTTTGGCCCGTAAGCTGTGTTTTTATAAACAGTATAATGAAATCACTTTGCTTGATTGTAATACAAGCAGCTTTGTACCTATTGTCTTACATGATTCATGCATTTATATTAACTGACTGGCCCCTGTAGACAGTTGAGTTTGTGATCCAGATAACCGTACCTCTTCATTTTACAGTTGCAGGAACTGAAACCCTGAAGGATCAAGTGACTTTCCAAAGTTAAACAGCTAGTTCAGGGCAATTCCAGAACTGTTTTACACTGAGTTTATTTTTCTGTTGATTCTGCTCCTAAATTTAGAAGAGATGTTTATTTTTCGCTGTTAGAGACCTTTGTGAAACCACAAAAATGTTTTTTAAAGATGTCCTACAAATAAGTTGAGAGGCAATGGTGGAATAATGAAAGTGAGGGGTCTAATTTAGGTCCTATTGCTAACTATCTTGGGGAAATCATTTTATCTCACTATATACATCAAGATTCCTCCTCTATAAAGTAAAGGAATTAGATTACATAATTTTACGTCACCTAGAACAGGGCTAGTAAATTCTCAATAAATAGTCTAGTGTACAATAGATATTGAAAGTCCCTACCAGCACTAAATTAAAGATTCTCTAATTCAGTATTAACTTTTTGTCTCTCCCTTATCCCCAGTTTACTTGGCCTAGGTTGCTTTCAAAGCCTCTTCCAGGGTTGAAAGGAGTCTGTTTTTTTATTGAATTCCTGTTAGGGAAATTCTTTGAACCCATGTACTCTGGCTTCTGTCCTCAACTTAACGGCTTCACTCTCCTAGCAGCTTGTCTGTTCCCTCAACTTGCATTAAAGAATCCATGTATCATCCTTGATGTATTGTGAGAAGGAACAGTAGGGGGAATAAGTGAGGACTAGGTGGCTTTCCACAATGACCACATACTACTCCACTTCCTCTGCCATCTTTCATCTCCTCCTGCCTTGTACAAAAAAGGCAGCATTTCTTCTTGGCTTCAACTTTATTTTAGCCAGGATACTTCACAACCAGAAGTGAATTACTGTTTCAAATATAAATAATCCTCATGAATTTCAGCATGCATGATGGGTATTTATGCAGTCTTAGCAGGCCGAGTCACTGTTGCCAAATTATCAGGCACCTACTTGAGTCCTTGTTCACTTGTTTGTAGACGCAAAATGATAGATAACTTGTCCCCTGCCTTTTAAGAGCTTAAAAGCTTAATAGAGGAGTCAGTAGAGTTACAGAAATAGAAACTAGCTATGAATTGGATTGTATCACTGGAAGTATGTCCAACCTTCCTTTTGCTACAAACAAAGAATGCCTAGGGATTCAACTTTTTCATGTGTTAGAGAATCAGAATGTTTAAAATACTGAGATGCTTTTCTTCTTTAATAAAAATCTAATTCTTAAGAAATCCTGATTAGTACTGAGCTTCTCTTCCCTCAGAAATACCCCTAAAGAAATCCGTAATCTCACATACAAACACATATAAATCTGCTCAACACTGGCTTAATTCTTTTCTGCTTTTACCCTGGTGTGCTTCATCTCCTGGGCCAGGCTCTTTGCCTGCTCATTTCTTTTGTGGCAGACTTAATCCTGACAACTTCACTAAGCCTAGCATACTCCAGAAATTCTGGTTTTTATTTCTATTCTATTCCTTTGTTTTCCTCCTTTTTTTTCTTTCTCACCTTTCTTTTTCCCAGAATTATTCAAAACCAGTGTTTAATTAATATATGTGATTTTCCTATCTTAATCATTGTATTATTTGTGATTTTGCAGAAATTTTATCTGCAGTTCCTAGCCAAAGCTTTAGGAGACATCAGGAAATGTTTGCATGTATTTAAAACTGGCTCATTTATTGCTCATAAATTTCCTACTCAAAAACCAAAATATTTCGCTTATCTCTGTCCAAACCAAGCCAGTTTCCATAACTTTATATGCTTTTATAAACAGGACTGGTTCCGGGATCCAGTTTTTCTCAACATCCTGCTGTTCCTAGGTAAAGGCCCTCTGTAGCCTAACCTTGGCCTTCAGTAACTGCCTCTCAGTCATGAAGCTGACCTGTGAGCCAGTGTGTGTATAGCTTTAGAGAGGCTGGAGAAGTCTTACCAGCTGCTTCTGGGTGCAGTTTCACTGATAGGTCAGGTGGTGGCCACAAAGCCATTTTCTGCTTTTAGGACCATCTCCAGATGGGCACCTCAGTGATGACTGTAAATACTTGTTTCTTCTCCCATTCTCCCCACAAGTAATCCTCCCTGGTTATCTACACATATTGCTCTTTGGAGGCTGATAAAATAGTGTTCCAGGCTTTAGACAAAGAACACAACTGACTTCATTCTGACTGCCTCCCTTATGTACCATGAAAGTAAGAGAGAGAGAGAGAGAGAGAGCAGCAGAGCTTACAGTCTGTCTATAGGTATTTTTTCTGTATCAGAAAGGGAGAGATGTCATCTTTAAGATAGGAGTTAGGGCTAGGCATGATGAGAGGCCAAGGCAGGAAGATCACTTGAGGCCAGGAGTTTGAGATCAGCCTGGTCAACATAGCAACACTTCCGTCTCTACTTAAAAAAACAAAAAAAAATTGGAATTAAAGGAAATTAGTAGATCAGTGGGTAAAGAATATAGATCACCATGCCTGAGCAAAAGGTAGCTACTCAGTAAATACTTAAATGAAGCAGAAATATGTCTTCTAGACTGAGAGTTAGATCTGGCAAAACAGCAGGCAGATCAGAGAGCAGGGAGAGAGAATAATGTGGTGACATGCATCCTACTTTTGATTGCTTTCTGTTTCATGAGAGGATGTGGATAATAAGAATAACTCTCCTGGAGTAGTTTCTAGTATGTCATATTTATACCAGTGTGTTTCCAGGTGAAATGCTAAGGGCCTCTTTTTTAAGCCCTTGGTCTGACAAATTCAGACTTTGATATCTAACAAGTCCCTCTGTTATCTATCTTCATTTCAAAAAATGTGTTGTTATGCTGCATTTATTTAGCACTCCACATCTGCAAAATTCTATGCCCCTGTTATTCTCTACCAAAAATCTACTTACTCATCACCCTTTTTAGATTAGCAGGCAGGGATTCCAGAAGGTCTAATGACTATATGTAGGGCTCAAAAAAAAAACTACTCACAAGCTGAGTTTTAATTTTTTCAAATTCTTCTGGGAAATTGACAGAATATACATTATAAACCAACCAATAGATGATATTGTGGTGGTTTTATTATCTTATTTGCTTTTCCTCTTACAAAATTAATAACTCTAGATCTGGAAAGGGACCCAAGGAGGTTACCTATATAAAATTTGCTTAAATTGACCAGCAAACCCTGGAGAGGTTGACTACAAAGGGGGCTTATCTTGATTGTGGTCATGATTATGCAACTGGATGCATTTGTCAAAATTCATAGAACTGTAAACTGAACGTATGAATTTTTTTGTTTGTACATTGTATCTCTGTAAACTTGACTTTAATTTTTTAAAAATTAGAACTTTTAAAGAAAGACATTTTTATCTGTATTGTGAAGGTAGATAGTGAATTCGTTGGAAATATTCAAGCCCAATCTGGTTGACTTTTGTTGGCAGGGTGGGAGAGGTGTTTTGGAGGGGACTCTAGCACCTGGTGCTTTTATTTTGTGCAGGCTAAGTGTGTGTATGTGGAAAGTTAAAATTACCTTAAATTCTTTGAGTAAGAATCTGAGATCCCAAGCAGGAAATTTTAACTTATAATACTGATGTTTTTATTATCGATTTCTGTATTAAACCCTGCCCTCTTTTTTTAAGTACTTGACAAAAATATAATAGTCATTAGAAAATTATCTCATCAAAATTTGATTTTATTTGTGGTAGTTGAGGGCAACTAATAATTGTTAGTTTTGAAATTAACAATTCTGAAAGCAGAATTTCCAGCAGGATGAAAAAGAAAATAATGAGAAAGTGAGTAGCAGTGATTGAATCAGATTCTGATTTAAATAGTCACATGACACTCTTGGTCTTTGGTTCTAGTTCAAGGAAGCGCTCATTCCTTTTGATAGTTGCTAACTTTCCTTCATTGGTAAGATCCTCAGTCCACACTACAGGCTTTGAAGCCAGCCATATTTTCTTCTTGGCATTCTTTCTTTCCTCCCTTTACCCTGACCCCCTCTCCCATCTCTGTCTACCCAGCTCCGTGGCTGAGGTTCCCATCTGTAAAGCCTGTTGCCACAGGATACAGAATTCACTGGGGCGGAGGGAAAGCTGCATGTGTGTGTTTAGGGCTGGTGGCTCTCGGAATCGGATAAACATTGTGGAAAGCTTGCTCATTCATGTGGAAGAACCAGTGTGTTACAGCTAAATGGTGGAGCTGTGAGCTGCTGGGCTCTAGGCTCTGGCATCTGTGCATTGGGCCTGCCCAGCCTGGAGCATTTTTATTTGTGAGACCGAAAATGCTGATGAGCATTGCCACTTTAGCCGTTCAACAATAACAAAACCTTTATTTCAACCCCGTGGAAGAAAGGCTATATTTTCCTTTTTTTTCCCCCCTATTTTTGGTGTGTATGTGTGCTATGAGTGCCGTGAGTGTGTGTGTGTGTGTGTGTGTGTGTGTGTGTGTGTGTGTGTAGACGGGGTCTCGCTGTGTTGCCTAGACTGGTCTCAAACTCCTGGCCTCAAGACATCCTCCTACTTTACCCACCAAAAGTGCTGGGATTACAGGCATGAGCTACTGTGCCTAGGCCACTTTTTTTTTTTAATTAAATGACGAAATTGGTCAAACAAGAAATCCCATGCGACTTTTACACACAATAGAGTACCTCCTATATAATCACAGTCAGTCTGTGGTGTTTTTTTTTTTTTTTTCACTCTTGATCTCTTTTATATAACCTCTCTTCCCTTCTAAGAAATCTCTGTGATATCCAAGACTTTCACTCCCATGTCATTTTGGCAGCCTGTGATTCTGCTCTCCTTCTTTCCTGGTAACATCAGTCTTGAATGAGCAGCAGTGCAGGCAGATGCCCTTAAGAGTTCTGAGTATGGCCTGAGTTTTGAGAATAGGATGCTTCTCAGTTCCTGCTATTTTATTGGCCGTGGTTTGGCTTCCTAGGCAAGCTCTGTCTTCACCTGAAAATCCTACTCAACACTGGGGACAGAGATCTCTTTAGCCATGGGATACCAACTTTTAGAACTAGAGCTAGAACTTGAGAGTACACTTTGTCACTCTTTCTTATGCTCCTCCAAGAAATACACATTTCCTCAGAATTGTAAGTGTAATCACATTTTATAAGCTGAAATCTCAGAGTACCTTTAGCCTTCATGAGCACAACCTTGTTGGGGATATTTGGGTTGTATTTGTTTCTCTTTTCTACACTCACATGTTTGCCTATCTTGACAGCCTGTTGGCCTAGGCAATAATAAAGCTTCTGTCGAGGTGAGCAAACAGCTGATGGCATAGGCGCACAGAGGGGACTCCTACAGTGGCTGGCTGTAATCTGCCAGGCTGGTGGTCAGAGCAGGCGAGAACAAAAGCCAGTCTGTTTGCAGGCAAATTGGAAAATCAATGTGTTAGTTGTATTCTTTTCTCTTTGCCTTTCTTCTGACAGAAAGGGAGAATGCTCATCCAGCAATCCACAGAATTATTCCAGGCAAGTGCCCATTCCAGAGACTCACTCACCTGACATATTACTACTGGAAGTTGAAAAGTCCCCACATTTATTTGTCTGAACTGCTTAAAAAGTCACCAACAGGAATTCTTCTCAAACTTGCCATCCAAAATTGAACCCCGCTGGCCCAGTGTTTTGACTTGTTTATATTCCAGATAGCCACTCACGTAAGTTTATCTTTTTAATGCTGATGGGGGCCAAGAAAGGAGTTCATTTGCTTCCTGGCTGGGAAATTCAGGAATTGCATTTTGGGCAGCATATTTTATAGTATGTGTGTAAGTATTTCACTGCTTTTCCTCAGTTTATTTTTTGTGAGAGTTCATTGAAAATGTCCAAGGCTGGGCACAGTGGCTCATGCCTATAATCCCAGCTCTTTAGGAAGCCGAGGTGGGAGGATCACTTGAGGCCAGGAGTTTGAGACCAGCCTGAACAACATAGCAAGACCCTGTCTCTACAGAAATAAAGAAGGAGGCAAAGGCAGGAGGATCACTTGAGTCCAAGAGTTCAAGGCTGCAGTGAGCTGTGATCTTGCAGTTGCACTCCAGCCTGGATGACAGAATGAGACTTTGTCTCTCAAAATGTATATACAATAAAAAAGAAAATGCCCTAGACATAATTGGGTCTAAGATTGTTAGGGCTTAGAGAGCAGAGCTCATACCAAGTAGCCTTGTCCCAGGATAGGAGAGGGAGTAGACTTATTAAAGACTTCTCTGAGTGTCTTGACAAATATCTCAAAAGGCTGCTGTGCAGAGATGATTGTATTCGATGTGTGAAGTCTTGAGTAACTTTCCCTTTAGGCTTCTAAGAGAGAAAGTCTGTGAAGGAAGGGTTTTTGAGAAGAAAAGACTTTCTTGCTCTTCCTTGTGTTGAAGTTAGCCTTAGAAGCTTAGCAAATGGCTTTAAATATGTTTTAATTTGAGCTTTGAAGGTCTGAAACTAGGCTCTCATTATCAGTCTTTGTTATTTTTTCAAAGCCTAAAAGTGGTCTGCTGATCATGAATAAGAGAAAGGTGTTTGGTTGGATATGGTCATGGTATTCTTATTGTAAAGTTCATCATCAAAAAAAAGTTACAACTTTAGTGGCCATTGGAAACATCCTGAGCCAGAACCTTAGATTTAAAATGAGTATTAGGTTTAAAATAATCTTGAGTGAGGGTAGTAATTGGCATTTGATATATTTTTTTCCCAAAGTCATTACCAAAAAATAATTATATTTCGTTTTGTTTCTTTTTAAAGGAAAAATTGACTAAACCCAACAACTGCTACTACCAAAAACCCTTCAGCCTCTAGCAATCCCTTTTGTCTTTAGCACTTATCATGCTCCACCTCGTATTATTATTAAATTATGTGTGCATCGTTTTTGTAATGAGACTCTAAATGCCCTGAAAAGGAAATTTACATATCTTCATATATACCATAGACATTAACAGAATGATCGGGACATAACAGCATTTAATACCAGTGTTGATTAAAGCTCTTTTTTTAATTAGCTGAAAAACCTATGGGCCAAGAATTGTGTCAGTACAGGAATCAGTATTGAGCAAGTCAGTCTCTGTCTCTGCTGACACAGGAACTTACAGGCTGATGAGGAAGCATCACCATCGTTGAAGCAGTACACCTGATACTTCACTTGACTTTTTTCTTTAAAAAATAAAACTCATTTTTAATTGGTCATTTCATGTTAAATCTCAGATTGTTCAGAGAAACAAGAATCAAGTAGCTAAACTATTGATTTGAAAATGTTGCCTGGGCAACACAGCGAGATCCTGTTTCTACAAAAAATAAGCTGAGCATAGTGGCATGCACCTATACTCCCAGCTACTCGAGAGGCTTAGGAGGAAGGATTGCTTGAGCCTAGGAGTTAGTTTGAGGTTATAGTGAGCTAGGATTGCACCACTGCACTCCATCCTGGGTGACAGTGAGACCCTGTCTCAAAAAATAAAAATAAAAAAATAAAAACAAATATGAGGGAAAACATGGAATACTAAAGGTATATTTTGTTTCATTTCTGTGCAGAAGATCTTATAAGATTGAGTATCTAGGTCCCCTATACCATGCCTTTCTCTGGCCACGTCACTCTTATTCTAAACCTAATTTGACATATTTCTCTATTTCTGATTTTAAAGGGGCTAATTTGTAGAGAAAAATAGAGTGAGAGAGACATTTTCTAGCAAAACCTAAAATATTGAAGAGAATCAGGCTGCCTAGAAGACCCTAAATCCATAAAACATCTTTGGATCTTATTTTTGCCAAATCTCTCACCAGAGCACTAATAGATATCCTAAATTAAATACTATTTCTCACTTCCTCTCCTTTTCTTAACCATTACTTTGGCAGAGAACCTGTTCAGAGGAAACTATCCCAATAGCAGATGGCAAGAAATAGCAGGAGGCAGACTGAATAATCAGCCTCTAAAAGCCACTAGTATTCATCTGTACCCTCGACTCTCAAATATAGCATGGAATCCTTTAGCACTAGGTTTTTGTCTCACCTTTTTCTTTTTAAGAAAAAGAGTTTGATTTTTGTGGAGCCCAGCGATTGGCCTGCTTCCTGAATGATTCAGGAAAACATAGGGATTTCAGCTAACATGATATAGTATAGCATATGAGGGTCCATCCTAATCAAAGTAGATAAATAAAAAGAGGGACTACAGAGCCCTTTCCACCCCCATCTCGCAGCTCAATCTCCAGTCAGTCTTTTGTCATGAACCCCAGGAACCGGGAGTAGCAGCTTCCATCCCAGGTGTTAGCAATGTGCGTGAACTAAGGAAAAAGCAGCATTTGGAATTCCTTTCCAAGCACTGTTCCTTTGTAGGTATACTATTACTGTATATAACTCATCCTGGGCTGCTTCAGACTTTTAAGACCCTGTGGGGAGCTATAGGAAGTAAGGGATAAACTGATGAGCTACAATGGAACTGTGAAGAAGGCAGTGTGGGATTGTGGATCTTGGAGGACATGAATGTTAAATTTTACTCAACTTTTATTTCTTTTCCTCTGTTTTCCTTTGACTCAGTGAAGAGTGTCCCAGTCTCTCCTAAGAGCCACAGGAAGTATCACTGTTACTCAAAGCTGATTCTCCTCTACAGAGTTGCTGTGCTATCCTATTTTTCATTTTCTTCATTTGTTTTAAACTTCCAAAGTTTCAGCTTAAGCTTCACGTCTCTTCTAATGAAATATCTGTTTACATAATGCCATGATTAGTAGAGTATTTTTCCCAAATCATTTTTCATAAATCTATTAAAATGAACTGTTGAAGTAAGGGGTATAAGGAATACAATTTTTGTAAAATTTTTTGTTATTTATTAGTTTGCCTTCTCTTTACCATTTCAGACTTTGTGGTTAATAAGTTTCATTCTCAAGTTTTTATCAACTGTTGACTTTTATGAATTTCTGTCACATTGCACTCTGTAAGTATCTAAGAGAAGGACCTATCGATGGAAGATGTGTTTTAACATATAAGAGTTAACACCAGTTTTCTCTCTTCTTGTGCTTATTTAGGTTTCGACACAGCCCCAACTGCTGGTACCTGAGAAACTGGACTATCCACACCTGGATTAGGCAGTGTCTAAAATATGATGCACAAGACAAAGCCCTATATACCCTTGTAAATAAGGTGAGTTGTTCCGTGGATCTGCAGCCTGTTTTCCTGAGTTTAGGTGATATGGTGTTTGTACCTATTGTAGTACAGCAAAGAATAACACCAGAAATAACTTTAAAAAATTATTTGGCCTCAAATATTCTTATTAACAGAATGGAGCTGGGTATAAGTTCATTAATAAATTAAAAAAAAAAATCCTGTAGCTGCTACTTTTCCAAATGTAGTGACTCAGAAAAGGACAGGTATAAGCAAAAGGAAGAACTCTGCAGTGGTGGTCATTTCATTCTCGGTTGCTAAGCCTTAGATTTCTTGCCTGTTTCCTTCTGGTGAAGTATAGGGGAAAAACATGACCATGTTGCTCCTGTGTCTTTGGAGTTCCCTGACTCCTCCCATCAAGCCTGAGAGCCCTCTAGGATTAGGATCTTTCTGACTGTTACACCACCCAAGAGTTGAGTCTTACTTACATTCCACTGTATGCAGTAAATACAAAATGAACAGAGGTTTAGAATGTTATTATTGTGAGTCTGAAGCTAAACACTAGTTTGAACTATAAAGATATTTTAACAGTCTTTTTATGAAAAGGTATTACGTCTATAATGTCACTGGACCCTGAAAGTTAGCACTGAAAAGGAATACTGATTTTGTTTTTGAGTCCCCTTCTGTGCAGAATGTTTTATTTCCAGTTGCACCAGTTCAACTTAATATATATTATATACAGTTTGTTTGTGAGACATTGGATTGGTTATTGATAGTGGATACAAAAATGAGCAATATTCTGTTCTTGCCCTCAGGAAGTTTACAGTTTAATAAGGCAGATAAGCAGGATTACTTATAAATCTAATATTAGGCAAATGTAGGTGCCACACAAGAATATTTGTAAAGGCCAGGCACCGTGGCACATGCCTGTAATCCTAGCATTTTGGGATGCCAAGACAGGAGAATCACATGAGCCCAGGAGTTCGAGACCTGTAGTCCCAGCTACTCTAGAGGCTCAAGTAGGAGGATCACCTGAGCCTAGGAGGTGGAGACTGCAATGAGCTGTGATGATGCCACTGCACTACAGCCTAGGCAACAGAATGAGACCTGGTCTCAAAAAAAAAAAAAAGGAAAAAAGAAAAGAAAAACAGTAAAAACAACTTGGAGAATTAAGATGAGGGAATCTGATTGGAAGGAAATAATTAAAAGAGACATGAGGTACCATTTAAGATGGTCACCAAAAGATGCATGCTTGCACGTGGAGATGGGCTGGCAGAAACAGTATTACCAGAGGTATATCTGGGTGAAAACAAAGACTCAGTCTGAACAGTAATACATTGCCTTTTTCCTGGGGTATAAGGTATGTTAAGGGAGGAACCAGGTAAGGAAGCGAGTAAAAGATTGAGCTAGGTCCCTGGATAAGTCCAATCAAGATGACAGCCTTGAATCTCAAGAGGAGGAAATGGAAGGCCCAGAGGAAGGAATGGATTAAATCTTGTTTTCTTCAGTTCAGAGTGTAATGTCACAGATTACACTCAAAGATTCCTATGATAGCAAAACTAGGAGGGTCTAGAATTTTTGCTGCTTCTTGAGTCTTTTAGTGGAAAGAACATCAAACTAGAAATCAGAAGATCCAGGCTGTAGCCCCACAGGCTCCCCTGGTTGCTGGTAACTTTAGGCAAATAACTGTATTCTTCTAGCTCTTAGTTTTTTCAACTCTAAGTCAAGTGGGTTGTAGTAAATCAGTGATTTCCAACTCTGGCTGCCCATTAGGGTCACCCAAGAAGCTTTTTAAAAATTGTAGATGTTTGCCTCTACTCCTGAAATTCTAGTTTAATTGATCTGTCTAGGGCCCAGGCATTGGAATTTAAAAAAATTTTTTAATAAGTTTAAATTTTTCTGTCAGTTTCGGGTTCACAGTATAGGGGAGAAAACATAATTTAGTTTCTTTCCCTTTTAGGTTCTTAGTTGAGACACTCTGCTGAAAACAAAAGTCAGATTAACAAAAGAAAAACAAGCAGAAGTTTATTAACACATGCTGTACTCATCACACAGGAAAGGCCTCAGTTCAAAAGCATTTCTATCTCAAGGCAGTGGCTTATGGCCTTACTGAATAGTATTTCAACCAAGGGCCATAAATCCTATACAGTGACAAGACGAAGGAAAAGTTCCAGTCTTTAAAAGGTGGGAAAATGTGGGAAGATAGTAAAATCTGTTCTCAGATTCCTCTGGTGCCTGCTGATGCCTTCTCTGGGCTCAGAAGCAAGTGCTGTTCTAGGAAGGAAGGATTTATGTGCTGCCATCAGGCAATTGGAGGCTATGGCAGAGTCTTCCCCTGCATTTTCAGTATCTTTAACTTAACATCCTCAATTATTTTGGGGAGAAATATTTTTGTTTCCTTCAACAGCAAAACTGAGTGGAAAGTACATAGATTTTCTATGTACTCCCTGCCCCAACACATGCATAGCCTTCCTCATAATCAACATCCTGCCCCAGTGTGGTACATTTATTACAATTGATGAACTTACGTTGACAAACCGTTGTCACCCAAAGGTCCTAGTTTACATTAGGGTTCACTCTTGATGTTGTACGTCCTATGGGTTTGGACAAATGTATAATGACATGTATCCACCATTGTAGTATCATCCCTCATCCCTGCCTATTCATCCCTCATTGGGTTTGCTTGTTTGTTTGTTTGTTTTTTAAAGCTCTCAGTTGATTCTCATTTGCAGCCTGGGTTGAGAATCACTGACCAGTTGATTTCTAAAATCCCTTTCAGCTTTAATGATTTGTCATCCTAAAATATTTTGGTTTTTAGCCTGCCCTAGGGATTAATACTGATTTGGATGACTGCTTTGAGAAATATAGACACTGGCCATGAGCTACAACCTTTAAAACAGTGGTTTTTAGACATTTTTCCATTTCGGCACACCTGAGGCTACTATATATAACACCTGGAAACAGTGAGTCAGCTCAGTGGTGATTCAGTTGGGGGTTAGGACTGTATCAAAATCTCTCAAGGGGATATGGATATAGTTTGGAAAAATTCCTCAGGTGTTTCTACTGGTTCCAAGAGGGAAGAATGGAGCCCTGTGGGGAATGGTGGTTAACATTACTGAAGAATTTGAAACAAATAAAAATGCAGCCACAATCAGGATCATTGGTAGTAAAATGAGTATGCATGAAAATCACAAGAAGCTCACTAAAAATTCAGGGTTTTGTGCCCAATTCCCACAGATTCTGGTTCTATAGGTCTGAGACGTAGGAATCTATATTGTTAAAAACACTCTGAGAAAGTCGACATCCTGCAGGTGCTAAAGGGTCCACATTTTAAGAAATCTGAATTCTCAAGTATTCAGTTGTATGACACAACATTCTAGAAACTTAGTAGCAAATATTTCTTGGCATATTTCTTGGGACCTTAAAAGCCAGGCTAAGAACCAGAAAATGCTGTGTAATGTCTGCTTTCTCATGAGAGTCTGTTTTTGTATTGTTATTCATACTTTATAAGAAGAGTCACTGAACCAGTTAGGGGGGTTGTGTGGGTTTCTTTTTTTCTTTTTTCTTTTATGTTTTTTTTAAGCTATGATGAGGTGTTAGAATTGGAGCCTTAGTTTTTACATTATCAGTTGTCTTATATCAGACTCACAACTTTCTCACCCTGACCAACAGTTCCTGTTACCAAACCTCATGAGTCATGGCTTCTGTTTCACTGTCACAGATGCTGTAAAATGATAGTCAAATATTTTAAAGCTAATGGTGGCAAGTTTTATTCTGAATAATACATAGGCATATATTACAGACTAAATTAGATAATTTTCTCTTTTTTTCCTGTTATGTTCATTTTCATTATAGGTTCAATATGGAATTTTTCCAGATAACTTTACATTCAATTTACTGATGGATTCTTTCATAAAGAAAGAAAATTACAAAGGTAAGAAACTAACCCCAGATTCAGTGTTTATAGGGCTTCCAGCTCCCAAAGGGAGGTGTACAAATGTAGGAACTTCCCCTTTTTTATTTCTTAATAACATCTCTTCATTACTCGTTTAGTCAGAAAAGTTTTGATGATTATCTTTTATGCAAAATTTTTAAAAACATTATTTTTATTTTAAGATAGAAAATATCAAAGTACATAAATGATTATGGAGGAAAAGTAAGTTAATTATACAGGCCAATCTAATTTCACTTCCCAAACTGACTGAAATGCAGAATATAAATAAAGGATAAAGTAAATTTATTTTTCAAGTATAATTTTGGATTCAGTAATGAACAGTTGGCAGAAATGAGATTTTTTTTTTCAACTGAATTTTTAGCCTATGCTCTTTTAAAATATTACTGGCTTGTTTGTTTGTGTAAAAGAAAATCCCTTCCAGGTTCTTATTTTTCTACTGACTTATTAGATGACTACCTGGTCTGCCTATCTCAGTTTCCCCATTTGCAAAAAGAACATAGAAATCCATGCGTGTGGCCTCATTCAGAACCATGACATGTGCAAAACCAGCTGGGTAGGAACAGCTGCAAATCAGTGCTATTTTATAGTTATGAATATATGTAAAAATTGGTTAAAAAAATAATTCAGTAAGTAAAAAACATTTGTTGTGCTTGTGATATGAACAGGCACTATATTTTAAGCCATTGTTAATATTCTCTGCTTTACCACCAAGTAACTACAGAAAGGAAATTGTTTGACTTGATTTTCTTGGCCTCCATCTATGTTGTAGAATATCAAGGGAAAATAAAAATTGCTTAAAGCCTGCTCTCCAGGCTTTAATGACCAGCATTAATGTGCAAACAAATATTTTATGTTACGTGTTATACTCAGGGGCTTATAATTTATGAACGAGCATTTCCCATTCCCTTCCAACAAGTATTTTAAACTGAGCCTTATTGTCCTTTTTATAGTCATTATTTTGCTGTCTTTGAAATAACACCTGAGATTTAGGGTTTCCTTTAGCATTTTGTCCTCTTCTGCCTTAACAGTGAGAAGGTACCAGAGCAGAGAATAGGGCAGTCAGACCAGCCTGTCTGCTCTGCCTGTCAGGGTGACCTTGAGAATATATGTGTCTCCTTTATGCCTTAGCTGTTCTAGCTGGTAGACATGATGCCTTAAATTTGCATCACAGTTTGAGCCATTTTCTGGTTGAACTGTCCAAAATTCTCTTGAAGTAGGTGAAGCAAATAGTATTTTATCATTATGACGATGATACTGGGAGCCAAGAGAAATGAGTGGTTTATTTAATGTCCTTCAGGACGTTGGTGCAGTAGCACCTGATTTAGTTCGTTCTGGTATGTAAAATAGAAGCTAAAGGCTGAGGAAAAACCTTGTTTGTGGAAGAACTAGGGCCAGAGCCTAAGCCCGCATATTTTACTTCTTAATTCTGCATTTTTTTAAACCATGCCCCACGTTTTAAGAGTGTTTATAGTTAAATAGAGATTTAGTAATATTACCTACAACTAATTTCCTCTCTTTTTTACTTTCATCTTCTGCTAGATGCTTTATCTGTGGTTTTTGAGGTCATGATGCAAGAAGCCTTTGAAGTGCCTTCCACCCAACTTCTCTCCCTCTATGTTTTATTTCATTGCCTGGCAAAGAAGACAGACTTCAGTGTAAGTGATCTTCCCTAAAGCAGTATTAAGAACTTTAGAAAAGGCAAGCAGGGGCTTGCTCTCAAAAGCTGGAAAAAGGTGTCTGCAGCTCTGTGGCCAGGCACAACCAGGAATGTGTGTTTATTGTATACATTTTGGTTACTGGTTTCTAACAAATGGAATTGGAGGTTCTTCCACTTGAGAGAATCTCAAAAGAAAGTCCTCGTGCATATTTTGAAACTTGAGCTAGGCTGAGTGCACCTCAGACATTCAGAAATGGGTCATTGGTAGTCACTGAGAGCTGGACATGGCATGTCAAAGAGGCAGTGAGGCAGCTAACGTTGACCATTACCTGGGATATTAAATACTAATTATTTCATTTGTATCAGTATTTTCCTAAGGTTTCTCTAGGGCAGTTCCGTTTTGGAAAGTCTAGAATATCAAGTTTTGGTTTCAGATCTTAGGTTCGCATGTTTAATCATTGCTTATTGTTGTCCTAAGAATAGCAATAGCAATAACTGATATTTTAAGTAGCACTTACTTTACACCAGGCTGTGTTCTTGTTTTAAATGTATTAATGCATTTAATTCTCACAACAACCCTAGGCAGATAAGGAGACTGGGGCCTAGAGATGTTACAGAGTAACCCCCCAGCTAGTAGGTAACGAAGCCACCTGGTAAAGCCAGTTAGTCTGCCTCTGCCATCTGCCCTTAACCTCAATTGTAAACATCAAAAATCCCAGTTTGGGTAGGAACTGAAGAGGTCATTTAGTCCAGACCACATTCTAAAGAGTAGATGGCATGTTATGCCTTTCTAAGATGAGTGTCATAGTCTTATGATATACCCCACATTCATTATTAATTCATTAAATATACTGTATTGAACACATACAAATTCCATACATTGGCAAGTGCTAGTTATGTACTGGTGAGCAAACATTTTCTGCTTACAATTTAGGAAGAACACAGAGTTTAAACAAAACAATCACAGAGATATAAAACTATGACTATCATGAACACTGCAAAGGAGAAATCTAAGAAAAGACTATATTATAGGGAGTTTTCTCTGTATTTTAAACTTAAATTGGTTAGGAAGGGCTTCCTTAAGGAAATATTTCTTAGGTTACTATTGAAGGATGACTGGTAATTAACTGGCTAAGGAGGGGAAGAACAGTCCAAAAAGAGGAAATTACATGTCCAAATACCCTGTGGCAGAAAACTTAGTGAGCAGAAATGGGCTGGAAGAAGATAGTCAGTGTAGTTACAACAGAAAATGGTAGGGAGGACGTGGGGTGAGAGGGTTGGAGAATGTAGGCCATACTAAGCCATTTTGTGTTCGTTCTAAAAACAGTGAGAAGCCCTTGAAAAGTTAGAAGCAGAGGGCATATAATAATCAAATCTGTGTTTTGATAAGGTCCTTCTGGCTGTACTGTGGATAAGCTATCAGAGCAGGGCAAGGATGGCTATGGTCAGACCATCCGAGAGACTACCATGAATCTCAGCAAGGGATAATGGTAGCATAGAGACCAGGATATGATGCAGTTAGAGAGTAGCCAATGGGCATATTTGGAAGGTAAATAACAAGATGAGGCAGGGAAGCAGGGGTCACATATTCTCTCCTCAGTTTCTGACTCATATGTCTGGATGCAAGGTGTTCCATGTGTTGTTTCCAAAAGGGAACTTTGGGAAAAGACTGGATGTTATGAGAAAAATCATTAATGTGACTCTGAACATGTTGCATTTTGAAATTGAGACAGTCACGAGATTTCACCAAGGAACTGGGGGCTTAATGGAAAGATCTGGACTGGAGATACAATTGTGGAGACTTATACTTCCATGTGTAAATGTTTGCAAATGAGCTAGAAAGCAAAAAGAAGGGAAATCAGGAATGTGTTGGACCACAGAATCCACAGGAAGAGATGGTCTGCTATGTAGAATGCTTCCAAAGGGGTAGGGTAAGATGAGGAATAAAAAAAGTCAATTAAATGCATTAGTGGCACGGGAGGCACTAAATCGTAACCTTTGTTTCCATATGAGTAATGGAGCAGGAAACCAAATTGGAATGGATTGTAGAATGATTAGAGGTATAGACAACTCTTTTAAGATGCCTAGCTATGAAGTGGAGAATAAAGCGGGGAAGTTGGGAGAATGAGGATTTGCTTTGTATTAATGGAAGAGGCAAAGCATAAAATGGAAAAACTTTGAAGGCATTGATGAAACCACACCTGAATTAGTCCATTATAGTGTCTACAATAGAAATTAAAGGCTTGGGCCAGGAGCAGTGGCTCATGCCTGTAATCTTAGTACTTTGAGAGGCCAAGGCAAGAGGATTGCTTAAGGCCAGGAGTTTGAGACCAGGCTAGGCAACATAGCAAGACCTCATCTCTACAAAAATTGAAAATAAAAAAAATATTAACCAGGCATGGTGGCACATGCCTATAGTCCTAGCTACTCAGGAGGCTGAGTTGGGAGGATCCCTTGATCCCATAAGTTTGAGGTTACAGTGAGCTGTGATCACACCACTGCATTCCAGCCTGGGCAATAGGGCAAGACCCTGTCTCCAAAGAGAAAAAAAGAAAAGAAAAGAAACTAAAGGCTTGGAAGATATCTGTTAATTTATGTTGACACATGAATAGCTTCATATAAGCAGCAGTAGTTCCAGCAGCCCCAGACAATGATCAGAAAATTTCTAAGACAGTCATTGGTTTGTTTTCATTCATCTTTTTTGAAGTCCTTTAGAAGTATAACCATCCCAGTCACTGTCACCACCCCTGCTCGACTCCTAACACATCAAAGGTATCTAGTGCTTAGATATTTTAGTGTTCATTTGGCTTTAACCCCTACTACAGCCTGTTACTGTAGCTCATGTTTTTCCCTACAGGGGGAAAAATGTTTGTAAGGCTCCTTATTTATTATTTGTCGGCCCTACTTTTCATGCAGTTTTAGGTGGGGAAAATCAAACTTCTTAGTTTTGAAAGTAAAATGACCTGGTTTTTAATTACCAGCTCTTTTATTTACCTGTGCTGCAGAAGTGCTTGGGGGGGGGCGTTGTTTTTCTTCTGAGGTCTTTGCTTTTCTCAAAGACTGGGGAGCAGCCTCAAGAAATGACACTTGTATTGCACAAAGCCTACTTACAGTAAAGAGGTTTGGGTGCCTATGAACATCTGGGGTGCCTCACTTGCCCGTGGTTGTAACTGCAGCCTGCAGACATTATTCATTCTCTGCTTCCTCCCTAATCTCTTGGTGCAGAGACCAGTGCAGGGCAACCTGAGCTTAGTGTTCTATGTTTTGAAGCCAGAGTTAGGGCTCCAGCTCTGTCCACTGTGTACTCATGTGGCACCAAGAAGATCACAGATCCCACTGGGGAGTTGCCAAGGCTCTCCCCTGGCCGCATTGCCAGGAAGTCCTCCAGTCATCGTTGTTACTAGTCTGCAGCAGGTGTAGCAATGCTTGTGTTTTTGCCCTTTGTTTCCCCCATGTCTCTAAAGACTTCATTTTCATTAAAGCGTAATTTTGCACCCTGGGCTGAAAGAAGCGATCACTGTTTCTGACTGCCTAATTTGTTTTTGAGAAGCACAAATCTATCTAAAAGCAATTTAATAGTGGTATTTATTCTAACACTCTGAAGGAGTCTTATCATTGCTAAATTCTTTAAAATTCAAAAGCTTGTTCCATCAGGCCACAGCAGTATGAGTGACTGTGGGGCTGACAGCATGTTGAATCTTGATTGTCTCGAGTGTCGGTTTAAAGTGTACTCTTTATTTGTGTTTTGTTTTGCTTTTCTGATTGTAAAAGAAACGCTTATTCATTGCCAAATTTTTGGAAAATAATAAGATATACAGGGAATAAAACCAAAATTACTCATAATTTCACTGCCCAAAAATCCATTAACATATAGGGTATTTCTTTCCTATATTTTTCTTTGACGTAAGTACCTTTTAATCCCAAAATTAGGATTATAATGTATATATAGCTTTGTTCTTCTTTGTTTACTTAATGCTATAACATGTTCTTTTCCTCATGTCATTGAAAGTCACATTTTTGTATAAAGTACTCATTGCTTAGATGGATCATGATCCAGTATATTCTGTTGCAGTGGGAAGAGGAGAGGAACTTTGGTGCATCCCTTTTGCTTCCAGGCCTAAAACAAAAGAACTCAGTGGGTTTCAGTTCCCAGTTGTATGGCTATGCACTTCTTGGTAAGCTAAATGATCCTTACAAATACTGTTCTTCATGGTTAGAATTGTTGCATTCTTCCAGTTCATAATAAAATTGTAATTTGATTTAAATTTACCAGTGAAATCCAATTAGCCTTCGTTTTTAGACATAAAAATAGACCTTGATGGCCTTACAGTTACTCCATAAGAGAGTAAAGAGGGTTCTTAAAACCTGCCATCACTGGCAAAGCAAGAACTAGTTCTGGTGGATATAGGTAATAATATTCAGTGGTAATCAGTCTGAAGAAGGGATAAAGAAAGGGATGTTCTGGCCCTGTTTAGGGAGACTAGCTAGTAGAATCTTTTCCAGTATTAACAAAGATCTTTCTGTCTCTTTAGATCTAAAGTCCAGAAGGTAAGAAATTAAGAGTTAGAGTTGAACTTGTATCTTTGGTATTGTTTTCAGGTAAGGGAAGATAAACTAAGAGCAGAAGTAGTAGCACTTCAGGAAAAGTGGAGTGGTTCATGGGTACCATGTGATTGCACCAGGAGGTGCAGTGGTGGCTTTCCTCTTGTGCCCTGATTGCATTGAAAATCAGACAGGTTAAGAGGACAAAGCCTTCTGAAGAGTGGCCTCGGAACCTGGGTTGTGTGGAATCTGGGTAAATAAGATTCAACCTAAATGTAACGTCCCGATTTACAGACGTTTATTAAATTTATGTTATTTCATTACTCTCCCATCGTCTCTTAAGTAGTTAGGCATCTCTCAATTATACATTGCTTCTGCTTACCTTTGTTTTTTAAAAATCATAAAGTTATAGCAGTTTGACTGCTTTTGAAGTTGATCTTTGCCAACAGAATGTAGTGTGTTATTCTTGGTGCTGATTCTGATATAATAACTCAGGAACTTCAGAGTTTATTGACTGTCTATCAGACTAACAAAGGAGTTGACCACTCTTTTTAAAAATAATTTTTTCCTTATTTGCCACCTACTTTTGATATTGATTTACATGTATTTTCCTTTGCTTTCAGATCAGCATTCAGGACTGTCATACAGCCTGAATTGGTCAGAAGTGACAGGGCAAAGAATATGTACTTTGTTGTGGTTTGTGAGCAGAGGCCCTGGTTCTTTGTGATAGCAGCCATCAGATCAGAAGCTCTTTGCTCTCATTGTGTCATTTGCCGTGCAGCCTCACTCAGCCCTGATGGAAGCAGCTGCCCAGAATGTAACTGCAGTCCAGCCCCAAGCACCTTAAAGGTCTAAAATTAGCTGTCGCCTGATAAGCTTTGTCTGTTTGTGTCCTACTCTGGCTTTCCCAAATCCTCCTTCCCAGGAAAGATAAAAGAAGGTGGATTTAAGACTGGGCAGCTCAAGGTGACTTTGGTCATTAGTGCAGCCAGGTTCTGTGCCACAGGAATACAGACAGCCATCTCCCTACCAGAAGACCCTGCTGTCTAGCATCCACATCTTGAACTCCAGGTGTGATGGCTTGAGGTACCCAGAGAAACATTCATGTCCAGAGATCCAAAAAGATCATGAGAACTCTGTTATTTTAAAACTGACGAAACTCAAAGGAAAGAAGGGAAAGATGAGGGGTTTTTTTTTTTCATAAGGATTGGGTGTTTTGAAGGATTTCAAAAAATGACAGACATTTCCTAGCAGGGAAAGTTGTCGGATGTTGACAAAATTTTCACAGTGGGAAAGCTGTGAGATTTCTTTTTCTGGGGAAGATTTTGTTCTTGAAACAAAAATTGTATCTCAGTTGACTTGTTTTTTAAGAGTATCCTTACCTAGAGCCATATATGTCAGCCTCTCAATTGCCCTCAGCCCAGTGGTTTATATATACATCCTCAGCCCAAATGAGAAAGAAGAAAACTAAGTTCATGTAATTTTGCATTACAAAATGGATACAGTGAATTTTACCACATTCGTCATTATCCATCTGAAGTGTCACCGAATGAGATGAGTCTGTTGGTACAGATTTAAAATGATCCTTCTCTATTTCTAGTGCTGCCAGGTGAACATTCACTTGGGCCTTCAGGTCCTCAGTCTTAGAAATGGTGGGAAGACATGGCTGAGCATTCTTTATTGTTCTTTTTGGCCACAGGGAAGGTGGAGTTGCAGCAAGGGCTACGGGCTGTGTACCACAACATGCCTCTGATATGGAAACCAGGCTACCTTGACAGAGCCCTTCAAGTGATGGAGAAAGTGGCTGCCTCCCCAGAAGACATAAAGCTGTGTAGAGAAGCGGTATGTTCTTCAGCTCTAAGGCAGTGAGATTTAGCCATCTGTTTCCCATAACCTGAGCTTTAAATTTGTTTTCATTGTCTTTCCACTACCCCTACTTTCTATATGTCTATAGAATAGGTATTTATCAAGTCGAAAAAATGCAAAACCACAAACATTTTCAATGCTCCTGACCAAAGGCACTAGAAAATATGATTAACATTGATTTATAGTTCATTGTCTAGGAAAAAAAAACTATTCCACTGCCTCGTCCCTCACCTCCTTACCAAAAAAAAAAAAATCTCAGTGGGAACTCAAGAGAGGGTAAAATTTCATTTTAAATATGTTTGGTGTTTTTGTAATACCATGTAGTCCTGAGAGGCTACATAGCATCTTTCCCCATAAAAGTCCTCAAGAAATGAATCTGGGGACCAGAGATGGAACCATCTTAAACCATTCTGTGTGAATGTGTGATGCTGATGAGATCTCGGTCAGATGTTTCTTTCAAAGTTCTAAGGTGTTCACTTTACCAGGACGAGAACACTACTCTCCCACCAGCCCCAAAGCTCATGCCTCTTGGTCACCTAGGACCCTTGATGGTATGAGGTTGCTCGAACTCCAGGAGACATGATGCGCCTTACACCCCACAGGCAGCTGCAGTGTCTGCTCCTGTCCAAACAGCTTTTACAGCCAGTGTGAGTCCTGAGAAGGACATTGGTTGTCTTGTTACCATGGCTTAAAGGTCACCGTAGAGCCACATATTTGTTTTTTCTTGACTCTGGTTGCTAGAGTCATCCCTTGGCTTTCATTTCAGTCCTGAGGTGGTCAGGTCTGGTGTCTGTCCTGTCACCTTATACTTATGTCTAGTGAATCATTATGCTCTTTGCCAGACGTTTATAACAAAGGATATACATTTCTCACTATACTTGTTTTAACCCTGCTGTAGTCAGTACTGGTAATTGAAAACACAAAATTATACATAAATCCTTTGCCAGGGAAATATTCCTTCCAATCTCAGCCAGATTTGCATTCTTTGCATTCTAACAGTAGAAAATGAGTTCACATGTCAGCAAGAATGTGCTATGTGTCCAGTTTGGATGTGATGTATTAGTGGTATTAAAAGGCCTTGGCATATTTTTAGGATTTCTGTTCTGATATGACATAGACAGGATTAATTCGTTTCAGGTAGGTGTTTCTACTGGCCTTGCTGTTGTTAATATCCCATTTCTGATGATTAGGCCCTCTGTGGGTCAAGGGAGATATACCTCAAAGTGAAAGTAGAGGGGAGAGGGGTCAAAACAAAAATGCTCTATTTTTAAATTTACTTCCTAAGTCACAGAAATCACCTCATTCAAATGAATTTCATGTCTGCATCTCTGGTCTTTGCCAGCAGCTTATGTGGATTACACTGATCCTTAATTTACAGATACCATGTGAGCTAAAAATCTTTCTGAGGGGGACCCTTGCCTGTATCCAGAGGCTTTAACATACACTTAAAATGGCCTTTGGTTGGTTGTGTTCTGTAATTGCCTATCCCTTTGTCCCAAATCCAAACTGATTGAGGAAGAAAGACATGGAAGTGGGAGGTACTTTAGTGCCCATCAAGCATAATTCCTGGATTCCTGTCTGGCTAACTAAAAGCGAACTTAGCTGCCATTGTGCGGATTCACTTATACAAATAATTCGTAGCTCGCTTATTTGGCATTTTGTTGTTTTGTCTTTGAGACAGGGTCTCACTATGTCACCCAGGCTGGAGTGCAGTGATGTGATCATGGCTCACTATAGCCTCCACCTCCCAGGCTCAAGCAATCTTCCTGCCTCAGCCTCCTTAGTAGCTGAGACCACAGGGGTGCACCACCATGCTTGGCTTTTTTTTTTTTTTAAGTGATGGAGTCTCCCTGTGTTGCCCAGGCTGGTCTCAAACTCCTGGGCTCAAGCAATTCTTCCACATCATCCTCCCAAAGTGCTGAAATTACAGGCATGAGCCACCATACCCAGGCTAGCTTGCTTATTTCTACTATTTGTCTTGTACTGTTTTCCACGCCATCTGATAGGGTGTTTATAATGTGAAAAAATATAACCATTTATATTTCCTACAATTTTATAAGAGAAATGTTTTCACAGTCTTTTAGAGCTCATTCTTCCTTTCTTTCGCCTTCTCTAGCCTTTCTTCACCATGTGCTTTTGGGCCATAAAACATTTGGTTGCTGACCCTCTTTCTGCTCCACAGCTCGATGTGCTGGGTGCAGTGCTGAAGGCTCTGACTTCAGCTGATGGGGCTTCAGAGGAGCAGTCCCAAAATGATGAAGACAACCAGGGGTCAGAAAAACTGGTGGAGCAGTTAGACATCGAGGAAACAGAGCAGTCCAAGCTTCCTCAATACCTGGAACGATTTAAGGTGAATCATAGCAGAACGTGTCTCTCTTAGCAGCGCATAAAACACACTTCTCTCCTGTGGTGATGGATAAGCATTCTTTCTGCATCAATGTCACACAAAGAGGCATTAAAAACTGACATCAAAAATTACATTTTTATTGCTTTGCACAGGAAGTGGTCTTAAAAGAAACCAATGGAATTTTTATGCTCCTTTTTGTACTTGAGCTAATTGGTCACAGTTTTGTTCACTAAGGTGGCATGTCATTACCCACTTATTCCTGATATGCACCTGTCAGCTGGATAATTGCTTGCCTCCTCATAGCAATAACCTGACTCCCACCCCAGGTGGAAAGTATCTGGCCATTTCTCCATCTTGCACTAAATGTGCTTGATAACCTAAAAACCCAGTTAGACACTATAATGCCACATTTGAGTGTGTAGAGATAAGACGTGGGCATCTTTCTTTGCTCATCTTTGGCAGCTTTGTATTGTTCTCTTGTGCTGCATAGAAGCTGTAAACAGTTTGCATTGTTTCTTTCCAGAACAGCCCTGAGCACTCAAGCTACCTTTGGTAGCTTCTAACTCTGTACATCCCAAAATGCTCTGTGATCAGTGTCAGGAAAGAACCGTGTTCAGTGTTTGAACTCTTGGCTTCTTAGCTGCTTTGATTCTTGTCTAGTGCAAAGGGGGAAAAAATGCTGTCAGAATGGGAATTCTTGGTACAGCAAAAAACTTTCCCACTTGTTTTGTGTAACTTGTGTCATTTTGGTACTGATAAGATGTAAACTTTGCTAGATTATTATGTTTAAATATTTTCAGTAATTAGAACCTAATTCCCAGTGTTGTAAGGAGGAGCCTGTTGTATTTTTAGCAGCAATTTCTCCCAGTACTTCTGTAAAGTCATTGCTCAACTTCCCTCTTATAATTTGAAACTGAGAAAGAAAGGTTAATCGATATTCCCAAGGTACCCAGAGAATTGGCAGTATAGCTGGGATGAGAATTTGCATGCCTGCCCCTTCAGGCTCTTTGCTTAATCTTGTGTATTTACAAAGGCTAAAGAAAAAAATCTCCTTAGCCCCATATATTATGATTCATTGCATTCACATTGACCAAGGTTGCCATACCATTCTTAAAAATTAAAACTTCCTTCTCTTGTTTCTTATATACTTTGCCTCAGAGAATAGAAACCTGTGCCTGCATTAAGTTCTCAGCCCTCATTCCTCTACAAATGTATTTTTATGAAAATTTTAAAAAGGCAAGTATTTATTGACTACTAACTACATGTTGGGCACCAGTGCATTTCTCCTCGCAAGAGCTCTGGATGCTAGAGACTACCTTTCTCATGTTAGATGACAGCAAAGCTGAGAAAAACTAGCCCAGAGTGACTGACTTTAGGTTTGAACAAAAGTTTGCCAACTCGTAGTTTAGTCCTCATTCTGGTGTCCCAAGCTGTCTTGTTGGCCTCAAACCCCACATGGAGAGCGTTGTCAGAGAGAGATCATTTTCGTTTTACATTTCCTTTTCTTCCTGTTGCCTGATTTTTATTAGTCAGAGGTCATTTGTTTGGGAGCCATTTTTATATGATTGACTCTCACACTAGGCCTCTGGCCCCTCCTGGAGCCTAGGCACCCTGCCCACCCCCAACCCTGTTAAGCAAGCCTCCTTTCCTGTGCCAATGAGTGGCATTTGTTTGTGGAACATGGGGATGTGTGGTATAAGCTACAGCTGGCCCCGTAAGTGGCCCTCTCTCTAATGAGAGAGTACATCTTAAAGTACTTAAATAGATTAATGTTTTTAATACTTACTTCTCCAGGAGCACAACACCAACCAAACCAAGGTGCCATTTCAGATGGAGCTGTAAGCAGGCAATACATAAAGACTGACCTGCAGTCTTAGAGTTCCTAAGACCCAATGCAGTGGAGCACAGCAGGCAGACGCTTCTAACGGTGCAGGCACTCAGGGGAGCTATTCCTTGAACTGATTTCCGTCTGTTGAGAGGAATGCCAGAAAGGCAAATACTTGTTTCAGTTATTCCGAAGGCACATGTATGGTTGGGCTTGCTCCAGTTATCAGATGCCTCTGCCATTTTGTTTGCATATTAGAATTCTTATTTTTGGTGTTTGCTGCTTGGTTTGGTTAGGTCAGGGTGGAAACATAGATTTGTTAGAGGCTGGCTGTCTTTGTGGTTTAAAACAAGAAATTACACAGGGAGACACAGCATATGGAGTTCCATTTACTGTTTTTGAGTGAAAGGGGAGAAATCACATGTGGTGCATCTTAGCAAAATTGCTGAGCTGAAAAAAATAACCACAGCTAACAGCACCTGAATGAAAGGCAGCATGACCATTTCCCAACAAAATGGTTTTTTTCTACCAGCAAAATGTGTGGTTATTTTGCAGGTGACTTCATTCTGGGCCACTAGAATGAGGACTAAACTACGAGTCAGCAAACTTTTGTTCAAATCTAAAGTCAGTCACTCAGGGCTAGTTTTTCCTCTTTGTATCTTTCTCTCACTTCTCTACCTTTCTTCTCATTTTTCCCATTTGTTTCCAACAGGCCTTACATTCTAAGCTTCAAGCTCTGGGCAAAATTGAGTCAGAAGGTCTTTTAAGTCTGACCACCCAGCTTGTCAAGGAAAAACTCTCCACCTGTGAAGCAGAGGACATCGCCACCTATGAGCAGAATCTGCAGCAGTGGCATCTAGACCTTGTACAGTTGATCCAGAGAGAACAGCAACAGAGGGAGCAAGCGAAGCAGGAGTACCAGGCTCAGAAAGCAGCAAAGGCATCTGCCTAATAGGGTCCCCCAGGGCCCCACCTGTCTCACAAGAACTTCACTCAACCCCGTGCCAGGACTCAGCAGTGGCCTGGACAACAGCCTCAGCTTCCTCTACCCATCTTCTTTTCTTAAAGCAGGCTATGTGCCCTACATGGCAAGGCACCATGACTGCCCATCGAGATGCCAAGAAGGGCTATGGAACTATGCAGGTGGCTAGTGGTCAGACTGAAGTCACCAGCTGAATACCTTAAGGAGGACTCTTGAGGCTCATAATGGAGTTCCTGGGGCACAGGGATTAGTTATGAGCATTAAAGTTCCTAAGACCCAGTGACAGTACTGGGAGAAACCAAGGCTGAAGAGTCAGGTTGAAGCACAGGCTTTTGTTTTTTGTTGTTTTTGTTTTTTGAGACAGAGTCTCATTCTGTCACCCAGGCTGGAGTGCAGTGGCGCAATCTTGGCTCACTGCAACCTCCGACTCCCAGGTTCAAGCAATTCTCCTGCCTCGGCCTCCTTTAGTAGGTGGGATTACAGGTGCATACCACCACACCTTTCTAATTTTTGCATTTTTAGTAGAGATGGGGTTTCACCATGTTGGTCAGGCTGGTCTCAACCTCCTGACCTCAAGTGATCTGCCCGCCTCAGCCTCCCAAAGTGCTGGGATGATAGGCGTGAGCCACCACACCCGGCCAAGCACAGGCTTTTGAATGGTCTCCCTCTCCCCAGCCCAGGTACATGAGGCCAAGGTGAACTGTGCATCCTGAGACCTTGTGTCCCTGAGTCTCCTTTCTGAGTGCAAGCTGCACTGTGAGCTGGCTGTGGGATACTCACACATTCCCACATTCTCCTTTCTGCCACATCTCGCCCTTCTGGACCTGCACTGGGAGAAATTCAGGACAGGAGTGAACTCAAGGCCATGAACTCACTGGATTTCCATTTTTAGGCACCCATAGGGATGTTTTTAGGATGTAAGTTTCTGAGGAGAAAGCTAGCTCTAGCATGAAGCTTTTTTGGATTGGCTTCTCCATCGTGTTGGGGTAACATTTTTTTTCCAATTTTTTTTTTCCCAAAACATCGTCTCAGCTCATTTATCAAGTAGGTAAAATGAGCCTTTTGTGTACACACAGAGGCACATGTGCATGCACACACAACTTGTGAACACACATTTCTGTTAAAGAAGTTAGAAAATGAGAGATGGGTTGGGGCTTGAAGTGCATCAGAGGTATGAATGTTGTAAAACTGTCAGGAGATGTAAAATTCCTTTCTGAAGTGTCTCTTCTGTGAAAGGGTTCAGAGCAGATTTTGCTTACTATGTAGTGTTGCCCTTAAGTACAGTGGTGTAATTTTATTCAAGATTGTGCTCTTCTATCAAAAGCCTCTGGAAATAAATGTTCCGGGATCATGTTAGTGTACTCTTTATCTTTGGGGAAAGGGAGGAGGGAGAGGGACTCATTATTGTTACTATGATTTTGAGGAGTGTACTTTAAACCCTCCCCCATTAAACTATGGGATTTATTGTAATAATGATAACTGCCACCACTAATATTTATTAAGGACTTAACTGTAGGCTGAAAACCCAAGCAGCCCTATGAGGGAGGTACCAGTGTCCCCATTTTATGAAACAAAGCAGCTCTCCTGCTGCTCCTCTCCCTGCCTGTGGCCTCCATATAGAACCGCAGTAGTCAGGATCCAACACAGGGCCCTTTAGACTAGCAAAGCTGCTGAATCTTACTTAGGTAGAGGGCCGTGACCAAAAGTCAGTTCCAACATTTTGGTTTACCAACAACAGGAGTTTTTCAGCCACTCTCTCATTACATTAAGAGGAACATTCAACACAAACAAAAGGGCAACTTTTGCCCAGTAAATTAATGACTGTCACAACATGAAGTATCTGGTTAAGGCTTTGGCTCATCGTTTTGCCTTCATTTTTCCTCCCTCTCCAGCCCCAATGTACTTTACTTCTCTTCTTCACCAAAAGAGACCACTTCTGCCACTGTACTGTGGTCCCACAGGAATTTCCATGTTCCCTCCTCCTCAGGATTCCTTCCACACTTGTGCCCCATTTCTCAGGACTCTTGGAGTCTTTCCCCTCCAAATATTCTGCCCTTTCCCCATGTCCTTATCTCCTGAGCTATAGGATACTCTCCTGCCTTCCTTCACAATTGGCTCTTCCCAATACAGTTGTCCTTTGTCCCTTTCCCTGATGTCATCTTCCATATTTCTTCCATGTGGATGGAGAAACTGCTCTTGGTGCCCTGGCCTCTGGAGGTTACCTCAACTGGATCATCTCCCAGTAACAAATTACCTTCTGCAGCTGACCTGCCATAGTCACAGCCAAACCTCCAGCCTCATCACGAATCCGAGATCTTAGATCCTGAAGTCCCCACTCTCCCAGGCTCGTCTCGTACCATGACTGCTGCTGAACCAACTTGCTCTGTAATTTCCTGCCTGCTAATCCTTAGCCTTTACCCCATCACCCAAACTCTTGGTCTCCAGAATCTGCTTCTCTTCCAGTGTGGGCCCCATGGTCAGCCATCCCCATGTTCTCATTAGCATCTTCATTTTCTCTCACTCCCTTTATCTAGGCTCACTTGCCAGCCTTCGACCTACATCCTTGCACCCATCTATTATGGGTAGAATTGTGTTCCCTAAAAAAGGTAAGTTGTATCCCTAATCCCCAGTCCCTTAGAATCTGACCTTAGTTGGAAATAAGTTTGTACTGAGGTAATCAAATATAGAGTGAGATCATCAGGGTCAGCCTGATCCAATTTGGTGTTTTTTTAAAAGGGGAAATTTGCACACACAGACTCACAGAGGGAAGATGAGCATGTGACCGTACAGGCCCAGGAACACCAAGGCTTGCCAGCAAACACCAGAAGTTAGAAGGGGTAAGGACGCTTCTCCCCTAGAGCCGTCAGAGAAAGCTTGGCCCTGCAGACACCTTGATTTCTGAGTTCTAGCCTTCAGAACTGTTATTTTAAGCCACACCATTTTTGGTACTTTGTTACTGCAGCCCTAGGAAACTGATAACACCACCATTCATTTTCTCTTTGGTTCTGACTTACTAAGTGTAGATATATAAAGTCATAATATTAGGCTGATTAGATTCTTCTACAAAATTATGGCTGTTCTCTTCAACTCAATAGTCCTTCCTTTAATTGACTCTCATTTTTGCTTCCATAGCTTTTCTGTTCTGCGTTAGCTCGAAGCCCTGCCCTCAGAACTACAAGCAGATGTTCTCTCCATCATCCTTCCTACTTTCAAATAATAGGTATCCCCTCCCTCCTTTCAAAGCTTAGGCTCTTCATTTGTGACCTTGGCCCATACCTGCCCACCTGTTCTACACATTCAAGCATTCCCTTTCCGTCTTATAGCATCTCTGTTGATTTCTTCTTCTAAGTCTACAGTCTTATTCAAGACCTTATTCAACACTTTTTAACAGCAAAAAATCCTTTACCCTGCCATCAGTCAAGCTGTCATGCTATGTCTCCTTCCTTATGTCTCCAAACTTCTTGAAAGGGTATCTACACTTACTGGCTCATTGTTCATTCATTAGAGGCTGAGAATTTGGCTTATAGCTTTACCACTCTGCTGCACAACATGGTCATCAACTACAGTGATCTTTTTTTTTTTTTTTCCTTTTAAATGCTCTGCTCCATTTGGTACCACTGACCACCCCTTATAAGCTTGCTGTCTGCAGCAGACTTACTGTCTGTTCCAGCACTGCTTTCGCAAGCTCTCAAGTGTTCGGTGTATACTGTGTACAAGGCACTATACAAGTGCTATGGAGTTTACAAGGATGAATAAACTATAGATTTTACCCTCAAATAACTTAGATTCTAGTGAGGCTGGCACATCCACACCCGTCAATACACAGCTGAAAGGTGTCGTTAGACAAACAGTTAATGTATGTGGGAGTTCACAGGAAGATCACTTTAAGCCCAGTGATGGGAAAAACTCTAATGAAGGGAATTAATTGCCTGCTTTGTGCATTAATTAGTCACATATGAGTGCCTCAAGCTGCCCTGGGGTCCTCTTTCCACAGAGGCTTGTGTGATGTGTTCATGAGAAAATACTTTAAATTAAGCTAAAATGAACAATTCAGATTAAACTTGTTTTGGCCCACATCCCATACTTACCTTGGCCATAAAAAGGAAAAAAAAGCAAGGCGGTGGAAAGAAGAAAAGAAAGAAAAATGATAAGGTATTATCCTCCCCTCAGTGCTGTGTTGCCTTGGCACCCAGCCTTGCATCCTGTTTTCCGACCTTCTCGTTGGCTGTGGAATCAGGTAGGTGTGTGAGAAGATTGGTTTAGATTCTACAAGAAGTAGTCAGAGGCCTTGAAAATAAGTTGATTATACCACAGTGGCTCACACCTGTAATCCCAGTACTTTGGGAGGCCGGGCCAGAGGATCACTTGAGGTCAGGAGCTCGAGACCAGCCCGGCTAACATAGCAAAACTCTGTCTCTACTAAAAAATACAAAAATTAGCTGGGTGTGGTGGTTGGCACCTGTAATCCCAGCTATTCAGGAGGCTGAGGCAGGAGAATCGATTGAACCTGGGAGGCAGAGGTTGCAGTGAGCCAAGATTGAGCCAATGCACTCCAGCCTGGGCAACAGAGCGAGACCAAAAAAGTTGATTAAAACCTTTTTTCACACTGAAAACAATTAGTTTTGCCATTCTTTGTTGTCTTTACTTTTGTGCATCTTCCCTGAAAATATACTGCAGCATTCTACTTTTTTCTTTTTGCTGCAGGTATCTGATGAGCTTTGGGAAACTCTCTTATTTTAACCACTGAGGAAAGGAAAAGCAGCTGCTGTGGTGGAACAGAGAACTTAGAATTAGGTATGAAAAACATTTCTAGAAGCTCATTGTGTCACTTAGGCCCCCCAGGAAGCAGATCAGCATCAGAGTCAGAGGTAACAGTGAAAGCAGTTTTGGGGGGATAAAGCCTGTGAAAAATGAAAGGAGGTGGAATTGGGATTGGGTGAGGAAAGCCTTCAGGTGGAGGTCCTACATCTGCAAAAGGAAAGGAGGGAGGAAGCACCACCGCCTAGCCTCTATTGCTTGAGGGGGGAGATTTTCAACACCCATCATCCCTATTGCCAACAACACCAAGCATAACCTCCTTTTCTATTGTGAGTTCTAGTCTGCTACCAAACCTGGTGACACAGGTGCCTGCTCACCAGTGCCCTTCCCCAGTGCATTCCCAATGGCCTCGATGAGCGGCGTGCCACCTGGCCCTCGAGGGAACATAGTTCTCTGCTGGGTCTTCTGGCTTCCTGTGATATATGTATCCACTCCAGGAGGCTACCCTGAGACTTGTAATCCTTTTCTCCTGGATCTGCCAGGTCAATTCGGGTATTTCAGTGGTTCTCAGTTCAGGCTATCCCTTTCTCCAGGCTTTTTTTATGAGCCATTGTTGCAGCAAGTCTGCAACACCCCCTGGAGTGTTAAACCCCTTAAGCATTTTATGGATTCTGAATTAATTATTTAGAACTAATTGGTGAGATTGGCCCTAGACTTTAAACTCCATGAAGACAGGCACTCTGTGTGTCTTGTTCATGGTTGTGGCCCAACACACAGAACAGGCATTACCATGAGGAGGGGGCTTATAAACATTTATTGAATGAATTATTTTTTATTAGGTTAAAAGGAAAGTCCTCCAACTGAGGTATAATTCCCAGCAGAAATTCTGAGATGCTAGAAGCCGTATGTCCTAAGCTGAGGTAGTTTAATGCCAAAGAAAGCCTCTTTGGATTTCTACGAAGTGTAGTGTAAGCCAAAATTGACACCAGGAGGAAGGTTTGTGGGGAAAAAATAGGGGGGTGAGCATGGTGTATCATATCAGAATTCTCTTCTACATATGTATATCACACCTGCCTCAAAGCAGGGAGTTAGGAAGTGATGAAGCTGTAACACAAATCTTATCATTTATAGACCAATAATAAAAGCCAATGTTTATTGACCATCTATAGCCAAGTGCCATATTAAATTTTTGTATGCATGATCTTATTTAACCCACAAGAATATGCCCATTATTACAGCTCTTTCTATATACAAGATAACAAAGACTTAGAGAAGTGATTAAATGCCAGGGTTTCCCTCTGTGAATTGGAGAGCCAGGGTCAAACCCATATCTGACTCCTAAAGTGCAGTCCCAAACTCGGAAGATCACTGTCTCAGTTTAGGTTCCCCCTAAAGCAAGACAGGAGACAGAAATTGAGTGCCGGTGCATTAGTTGGAGGTGATCTTACTAAAGCAGGTGAGGGAAGGAGAAATTGAGACAGGGTAGAAAGGAGAGCCAACAAAGGGTGCATAATTGAGTGGATTGTGGAAACCAGCTCATTCTTGCTGTGGACCCTCTGAGAGACTCTGAAGAGCACACCTCAGCAGTTCCTCTGAAAGGCAAGGAAGCAGCTAAGTATTTGCCCATTCAGTCTATTCCCTCATGGGTTGGGAGCACTATAGCCTACTCCTAGTGCAGCGCCATCACACTCCCATGACCAGGAAACACCCTTGGGCAGAGACCAGGAAGAACTTAGATTCTAGTGAGGCTGGCACATTCGCACCTGTCAACACACAGTTGAAAGGTGTCGTTAGAGAAACACCATCCACTGGTGGAGAACTGTCTGCAGATGACCAGGAGTAAGCCCAGGGCAGTGGTTCTCAACCAAGAGTGATTTTGTTTCCAGGGGACGTTTGGTAATGCCAATGTATTTTTGATTAGGCTGCTATTAGCATCTGACATTTGATAATGTCAAGGTATTTTGAGGGGCTGCTATTAGCATCTCGTTCGTAGAGGTCAAGGATGCTGCTAAACATCTTACAGTGCACAGGACAGTCCCTCACAACAAGGAGCTATCTGGTCCAAGATGTTAGTAGTGCCGACGTTAGAAACCCTGGCCTAGGGTTTACAGATGGAGCATTCACAGGACTTTTTCAGGGAATGTAGATGAGACCCAACAATGATATTTGTAGCAAATAGCTCATTCACAAATGATATTTCAGGCTAGAAGAATAATAGTAGCTGTTTCTTGTCTAACTCTGAATATAAATATAAAATATGCAATGATGCAGAGTAGGCCATTATTCTTCCTAAGTAAGATCCATTAGGGAAAAGAGTAAATGGTGATTTGTATGGTTTTGCTGTCTGGTTGTAACTGGAGTAGGACTTTTGAGTTCCAAAATGTAGATGCTGTGAAGTGACCTTGCGTGAGTCAGTGGAAGGTGATTCTGCTGGCACCCTGCGCATAGGTGAGAAAGAGATGAAGTGGAAAAAGGTCTCAGAGAGCTTTGACTTTAGTGAGTCATCAAAGCAGAAAATGTGGTGTGGTTGTATTTTCATGAGCTTTTCGAATTCTGAAAATGATCAATTTTTAAAATTTTGCTTTAGGAAATGGTTGGAAAGGAGCGCTTTTCAACAAAGCAAAATTTCCTTTTATTCTAAATAACAGCCTCTTAGCTTGAAAATAACCTCTTATTCCCCATTGATTTGGCCTTTTTGCTGATACTGCATACTGCTTTGAGGATGTTATTACCTGTGTGGTAACAGGGAAATCCAAACAAACGATGGTGGCAACGCTGCTGAGGTTGTGGCAGTAACCACTAGGATCTTTGTTTAAAACAAAATCATTGCTTGAGCTGTGTGATTATTATGTACAAAAGAGAGTCCAGATCTGAGCTGGACATATTCAGAAAACAAGAAGTTTATTCTTGTAAAAAGCACCTGAAAATAAATTTCATCATGGATTTTAAATGCTGGATCAAGGACTATGATGAAGATGTATAAAAGGGGTATTATATCCTCTGATGCCCTCAGTGGTAGAATTGTTTGGTTTTTTGGCTTTTATTTCCCATGATGCTTCATCTCTGCAGAGTTCAAACTTCTAATCCTTAAAACACCCTCCAAAGTGAATATGCATATGATAGTAGGTAGAATAGACCATTAATGCCCATTACAAATGTCCTCCATTGATAGCATGCTGGGCCACTGCTGGGTATGAGTGTTTCCCAGGCTCTGGCTCATTAGTTCCCATCTTTTTTTTTTTTTTTTTTTTTTTTGAGACAGAGTCTCACTCTGTTACCCAGGCTGGATTCTCCTGCCTCAGCCTCCTGAGTGGCTGGGATTACAGGTACGCACCACCACGCCTGGTTAATTTTTGTATTTTCACTAGAGACGAGGTTTCACCACGTTGGTGAGGCTGGTCTCAAACTCCTGACCTCAAGTGATCCACCCGCCTTGGCCTCCCAAAGTGCTGGGATTACAGGTGTGAGCCACCACACTGGGCTTTGCCCCAACCTTGATCACAAAAATAATAGTCATATGGAGACCAGGAAGGTAGAGAAAAAGAGAGTGCTAGGTAAATGGTGGAGATTGCAACTTAAGATAAGGTGGTTAGGGAAGGCCTTCCTGAGAAAATGACATTTGAACAAAAACCCACATGGGTGAGATTGAAAACCGTGGAATCACCTGGAGAAAATGCATGTTGAGCAAAGGAAATAGCATAAAGGCCTTGAGATGAAAGGCTGAATGCCTGAGGAATAGCAAGGAGGCCAGTATGGCTGGAGCAGAATGTGTAAGGTGGAAAGAAGTGGGAAATGAAGTCGGAGAGAAGGGGTAGAGGAGGAATGAATTGTGTAAGCCTTCTTAGCCCATCAGTAAAGACATTGGCTTTTACTCTAAGATGAGAACTTACTCAAGAGCTTTGAGCATGGGTGGCATGATCTGACTTAACATTTTTAGAGGATTACTCTACTGTAGCTGCAACATGGAGAATAAGCTAGGAGGGCAAAGATAGGAAACCGGAAGGTCAATTAGGATGCTCCTGCAATAAACCAGGAGAGAAATGATTGACTTGGACAAGGGTAGTAACCGTGAATGTGAGGAGAAGGTATCAGACTGATATATTTTGAAGGTCAAGCCAGCAGTACTTGCCGGCCAGTTGATTTGCTGATGGGCCAAAATTTTTGGCCTGAACAACAAGAATATGTATTTGCCATTTACTGAGGTAGAAAAGCCTAGGAGAGAAGCAGTTTGCAAATGGAGATCAGGGGTTTGTTTGGGGACATGTTACATTTGGTTTAGGGTATTTTAAAGACTCCTATTGGATATCCACATGGAGATTTTAATGGGCACTGGATATATGAATTTGGAGGTAAGGGATGATGTACAGGCTGCAGATATAACTATAAAAATCATCAGTTTACACATGGCATTTAAATTCCTGAGACTGCATTAAAGCAGCATGCATTTCTGGTTTTAGTGGGGACAATCTGAGCCATGAAATAGAGCTGTGTCTGTTGGTGTACGGCGAGATCTCCCTGTGAATCAAGCAGACCTCAGAAGCCCTGCTCCACCATCTGTGAAAACATTGCCAGTAACCCCTGGAGAAGTATCCAGAAGAACTGCTCATATTAAACGAACTAGGTGTGACCAAAACTGCATATATGGCTCCGGTGAATTTCCAAGGCATACAATACAAGATCAAAGAGGAAATAGTTCTGGAATTATGCAAGGGACCAAGAATTCATGAGTCAGGAGTGTGTTAAAAAAAGCATTGTAGGGATATAGAAAATCATCCAGAATGAGCGGTACAATTAAGAAGAGAGAGAAAATATGATCACAGGACCTCAACAGACCTTTGTTGATTTTCTCAGAAGATAGGAAAAAAGAAACTGAAGGAAAGCTGCCGCCAACTTTTCCCCCTCCATTGTGCCTAGATGGGGGGAGAAGGGGATGTAAACAGCAGGGCAGGGTTCAGGTAGGGTGACTAGCCCTCACTGGTTCCCAGGGACTGAGGGGTTTTCTGGGACACAGGACTTTCAGTGCTGAAATCAGGGCAGTCCTGAGCAAACCAAGATAGTTGGCCACCCTGGCTTCAGGCCAGAAGGAAGGCTTCCTGGAACTGAACAATTTGGCAGTGGAATAGAAAACAACTTATTTACTATTTAATTTGAGTCTGATAGATGAAATTAAAATCTGTAAGTGATGATTTCCCACCCTGAGTGCTCACATGCTTAACCCTTTAATTTCTGGAGGGATTTCAGAATCCCTCTTAGCAAGCAGTGATTTCTGATAGGACCATTCAATGTAGCCCCATGGTTTGGAGGGGAAATGTTAAGATCAAAAGGAGTGGATATGACACACAGAGGGATATCATAATAACTCAGGACAGGCTGCTGGGGTCTTTTGAGGCTAAAGGACCATCTCTGCAGACAGGCAGGGCCCAGTCTTGGAGGTCTCTATTAAGAACCTTATGGGCATGTTTTTTGTGGCCACATGGTGGGAAACTGAAGTGCCAGGGCCTCCCCCATTTACATGCTGCCATTGTGAGCAGTCTGTGCTCCTTAACATATGCTGATCCTGCTCTCTGCTGAGACCCTGTGTGAGCTCTTGTCTCTGCCTGGAATTTACTTTTGGTCCAACCAATGCACACACACACACACACACACACACACACACACACACACACACACTCCAGAGCTCAGCCGAGACATCATTTGCGGTGCTTTTCCTATGGTCACCTAAGCTCGCTCTTGAATTTTAGGAGCCCCCATCACGATGTGGTATCATTGCCTCTGCTGGTCTGTCTTCCCCCAATCAGTTAGGGCAGCAGTTAGGTTATATCTTGTAATATAACCTACTGCCAGGTACAGGGTAAATGTGTAATAATCATTTGAATGACAGGGAGGAAATCCTCCTCTTGTTAGGTATTCTTTGCTACATATATAATCACTTTTTCCCAACAACTGCTAGTTCCTGGGTGTGAGTCAAATCCACAACATATTATGTTAGATAGAGGATATTCTGTAACAGTGAGCAAGGAACTAAGAAAAAGATAGGTACTGAGCACAATTGCTGAATATGACAGGTTCTGGTCTGGTCTATCTTTTCTTTCTTTTTTTTTTTTTTTTTTTTTAGAGACAGAGTCTCTCTCTGTTGCCCAGGTTGGAGTGCAGTGGCACAATCATGGTTCACTACAGCCTTGAACTTCCGGGCTCAAATGATTCTCCCACCTTGGCCTCCCAAAGTACTGGGATCACAGGCATGTAGCACTGCACCCAGCTATCCTTTTTTTTTTCTTTTTTTTAAGCAATAATTTTAATTGTTCCTTCCCTTCACCTCCCAGTTTCTGTCCTTACACGCTCACATCCTCTAGAGCTTGGCTATAAAAGTTAACGAGGTAGCAGTTGCAAGCATTAGCAAGATGCTTTCGGCAGTTTGCCAAAAGCCAGGGAGCCCATCTTGAAAAGAACGTAGTCACCCCCTGCCGTCATGCCCTGACTGCCCAGCATTCTGCGTGAGTGGCAAAGCCCAACTCAGGAACACAAAGCAAAAGACAGCACAGCACACACATGAACTTTTGCCACTTTTGTATTTTATTGTGGAACTGAGTTTTTTTTTTTCCTTTACATCAAATATCCTCAATGGAAGAGGGGATATTGCACACAAATATCATAAAAGCACTACATATTACTTTCACTGGAAACTAATTTTCTACATTAGATATGACTGGATAGGATAGAAGTGATGCAGGATTATAAGACATAATACCATACACAGCTGCAGACTGACACAAACACCATTCAGAACAAGAGAGAGGAGTGTGAAGTGCTTCTCAGCTGGGCTCAAGACCACTTCTTTCCAGTGCTGGAAAGAGGGGCTGCATGCAGTGTAGGAAAAGCGTGTCTCTGAACTGCCACAGGGTGTTCTCGAAAGGGCAGCCCGGTCTTGATGCCACTTCTCCATGGCTCCTGTTTTGGGGAGCTCCAAACAAGTGCAGAGAAGCTGCCTATTTTTTCCCTTCCTTTTCAGTTTTTGATGCTGCCTTTAAAAATCAACTTCATGAAGTCACAGATTTTTTAACAGTAAATAGTTTTAATACCAGGTGAATAACCTAATTGCTTTCAAAGAAATGCTCATCCCTAGGCTGCTTTTGGTGTATTGTTCAGTTGGTTAAAAGATAAAAGCTTACAGTTCCTTTCAAATGGAAACAGGATCTTTTCTTCTAAATCTGAAGCACAAAAAAAAAAAGTTATTATCCTAACTCACAATATCATTACTGAGCAGGAACCTCCTGTGACAGGTGACTAAAGAGAGGCAAGAAAAGCAAATTCAGAATTGTAGAGCAGCTCCTAAGAGCTGAAATTTGGTAACAGAGGGAAAATGAAAGGTGGTAAGATTTCCATTAGCAAATGATTAAATCTTAATTAAATGAGTATTGGAAAGCTCCTAGACTGCATAAGCTATTGGAGACACTTAAAACATTCATATACACTGGGGAAACCATTCACTATGATATGTAACGTTAAGAAAAAAAATTTTTTTGAACTCCATGGAAAATGGTGTTTAAAGAGGGGAGGAGGGGAAGTTAGTCATTGTATCCAGTCCCACCACAAGACTGAGAAAGCATGCACAGGGCTCAGGGTTTTGAGAAAGGGGACAGAATTGGTTAAAATTGAAAATGGAGGATCATCGCTAACATTTAGTCTCTGTAGAATTTTGTTTAAGAATACTACCAAAAAGGTCATGATCATGAGTGCTATCTCGATAGAATCCCATCATTTAAACAGAGTGTAAATTCCTTCCACTCAAATATTCAATCTATACAATTGGATTAAGTAATCAGTATGAACAAAGCTCCTAGAAGTCTGTGTCGATCTTTAGCTCTCACCATGAATGTACATGGTACATTGTGATGGCTGTTACTAAACTAATCGTGTATTTATGGAACTAGCAAAATTAGGTTAGTCACACAGGCAGGAAAGGTGTCTGGAAGGACAGGAGCAACCTGTAATGCGAATATTGGTTTTCTTGGTATACTCAGGCTCTGTGGTCATATTGAGAACAACGGATGGAGAAAGGTACTGATAGATTTCATAGGAAAAAGAGCCAGCTGACTAGTGACAGTTTTTACATATTTTTCCCATTAAATCCCATAGCAAAAAAAAAAAAAAAAAAAAAGAGAGAGAGAGAGAGAAAGTGAGGAGGGTGGAGTGGTTATAACTGAAGACTGGCTATAATTCTCCTACAATGTTTATAGTTTTTAAAGCAAAATAATGTTCAGGTTAAATACATTTAATTGTGAAATTGGAAAATAACTTGCATCTTCTGTCAAAGAAAAATCAACCAGAGGTCTGGATTTGGCAAGAAGGCTAAAAATCTGGTTTTCTTCCCACGCATTATGTAGACCAATTCAACTTAAGAGCTAACCATTAAATAATTATCTTGAGTATCTTAGGTTGTGTTATAAAATAAATTTGAAGTAGATGAGTTTATACTCAATGAAATTCATTGGCGTCACAATGACTTTTCCATCATGTGTTAATTTCTTGTACCCTTAATATGTTATTTTCCAAGGACTTGAAAGAAATGGGGTAATAAATAAAAGCTGCATTTCTAGAGAAGCCTAACAAAAATAGAATATTAATTTTCTTTAAAAAATTAAACATTTGAAAAATGTAATTCACAGCATTAAGTAGACTGCATAGGTCCTCAGTGAAAGGACCCTGAAGAAGCATTTTTTTAAACCCTCATCATAGTTAGCAGTGCAAAACATAGACTTATCAGACAAAAATCAACTAAAATGTTAATTTTGAAATAAATAACTAACATAGAAAATAAAATGAGGTCATTGTTCTCTACTCCGTAGATCTTAGAGTCTGCAGGAAATGTAATGTGACAGAGCACAGCACAGTTGTCACGGAGAAGTTTGCCTCATCTGAACACTGGGTGCATTGATCTGCAACTTGAAACTTGATGTCAGTGTTAATCATGATCTGGCTTCCCAGGTTCACAGTTCAATGATGACAATGATGGAAATTTTCTCTAAACTCTACATGAACCGTAGGAGTTGAGAATTCATTTGTTTTCAATGTACTATTTCTTTTATTTTTTTTTTCCAGAAAAGAAAATCCCAAAGCAAATTTGTGCTAGGGTTCTTTGAACTTGGCTCTTTTACCTCATGGTTGAAGATCTTGAAAGAAGTATGTAGGATACCACTGGGTGATGTACTTGTCAAGGCCCTGAAAAGTAGCCTACCATGCCATTCTCCCCCACTCTCAAGTAGCACTTTTATGTTATGGGAATCAAGGGGTGGGAGGTATCATTATTCCTGGTAGTTATGGGTTTTTAATAAATATCATTACTGCAATATCAGACTTCAATCTTGCCAGAACTTCAAAAAACATTATTCAATTTTTGTCTTACGAAACACTTAAAAAAAAAGACTATCACTTGAGAATTTTCTTTGCAATTTCCTGTAAATGAAAACATTTGTTAAAAAGTTCATCTATGAAAAGTTCTCACATATCTTAAAAAAAAAATTCTTCTGTACACTTGTTCCCATAATTATGTTGAAATTAATGGAAAATTTAAAAAGCCAATGTAAGACAAAGGAAGGTAAATACTGTACACTTGCTGAGAACCTCTTCCACCATAAGATTCACTGTTTTCCCAGTTCTGATCATAGAAGCCATTTCAGTCTTGAACTTGCAGTAGTAAAGAAGCTGTGAAAGGCACAACTTGTTTGACTGAGAGGCCACAGGTGCACTGAAGTGGGATTCAACACGCATGACTCAGCATCAAACTGTTGGACCAATCAGATCAGCTTCTAGTACCCCCACACACGCTCACCCACGTGTTCCTTTAAGTATCTATAATCCTATATGGATGTTTTATAAACTTGCTGTCTCACATTAAAAAATAAGTGCATCAAGTATCTTTGTACATTCAAGTCACTTCCTAAGGCAAATTGTCTACCATATGTACTCCCAACTGCTTTGGTATTTGCTTCAGTTAATTGGGGTGGACTTGGGTGTTGCTGCATGCAGGTTAATCGACTCAGAGTGGACTAAGTGGGTGGACAAATGCTGGGAGCATGCCTTAGATCAATCTACTTGTGTGTTTAGAGTCTGAGAGTTCTGAATGGGGCCCAAACCACTTGCATGGCCAGTCTACACTCACTACATTATGTCAGTGTGCAGCCTTCAAACTGAAGGAGCTTAATTAAGATGTGAAAATATCACATGCCCTCATAACAAGTGTTGTTCTTTTTACTTTCTTCTAGCCAACTTGTTTTAGAAAATTAAGACTCTTTTTGATGACTCAGACTGACAAAAATGGAAAACTTTGCCTATGTAGACTAAAGAATGCCTACTGCCTGAGAAAATGCAGACCTAATTGTTGGTTTATTTTCTCCTCCTTACCCCACCCTGCTCTCTCTTTTTCTCTCTGGGTATCTCACCAGAACTCTCTGTCATTACATCTCCTTCTCTTGCATTCCTTTTCTTTCTCATTCTTTCTCTCTCTCTCTCCTGCGTTATCTTTGTGCTCTCACTCTCTCTCACTCTCTCCCGCGCTCTCTCTCTCTCTAAGACAAATGCCTCTACCTAGCAGAAGTCAGTTGGGTTGGCTAGTGCATGGTTTCCAAATGTTCAGCAGAGATGAACTGGGGTAGGTAATTTTGCAGGAATTTGAACCCTATTGTGGAAATACTGTTATTTCCCTTAGCAATCAGCAAAAACTGAGAAATTTAGTGACTTGCATCACCATGACACAGTATAGCATTTGGCAGGTAATTGTTCAGCGACTTAACTAGATGAATTGACTTTTTAGAAAAGGTGATTTCAAATTGAAGAATTTCTGGAAACAAAGTTCAGATCCTGTGGTGTGGCTGGCCTTGGTTTTTACAGTTCAATCTTGCATGCAGGGAAGGATTCATCTTGCATAACCACTGTGCTGCTGCTTGCTAAAACCATGATGTTGAGATCTTGCTGTTTCTCATGGGTCTCCTGGTACCATTCCCTCATCACTTCTGAGTCATGAGTTGGGATCAGTGTCACCTGCAGGGAGAGAAAAAAAAAATAGCTATTTAAGGGCAGAAACAGAAACCATATGAAAAAAATTGAATAGCAAGGTATTAGACCACTGGAAGAAGAAGGGAAATGAGAGAAAACTTTTCTATTTTCCTCAAGAAATGCAAAGGATTTTTCAATGTATATTTTCCAGGAACCAGAATAAAGCTGCAAAGAAAAGCTATTGTTTCTAAGGGAAACTGAAGGCTGGAACCAAAAAGCAATTAATCAGTTTCTCAGTTCTTTACTGTTAAGAGAAGTGCTTCCGTTAGGGTACAATTTTTTGTATTTCCTTTAACACAACTGGTAAGTTTTGCATAAAAGATATTGCATATTTAATCCAAGGATTTTATCGCGCACTTCAAAGCCCTCAAAAGCCCACTCATTGTGAGTAACTAACATTTTGTCCTGAGAACAAAGATCTGCACCTTTACTTTATGTGTGTGGTTGGGGATGGAGGTATGGGGTGGGTAAGTAATGTCCTGAATAGTATAAATTCCATCTAGCATTCAGTAGGGAGCCACTGGGTGCCTCTCATTAGATTTCATATGATTAAATAACAAGTAATTCTATATAATATGATACAAGCACAATTTACTAGGTAATTTTGTACAGAACCACAAATAAAACTTGATAAGCAAAGATCACAGCTGAATTAATAATAGCTGGTTCTAAGAATCATTTAAGGCCAGGAGTTCGAGACCAGCCTGGGCAACATAGGGAGACCCTGTCATTAAATAAATAAGGGATGGTTTGTGGTCAGGCATGATGTTTGGGAGTTGGGAGTGTCCTGTGAGGGACTATATTCAGCAATGCTCCTGCTGTGGAATTTCACATGGAGAGCTGTTTTTCTAAATGGCCATATTCCTAGCCGCAGTCTACTCATAAAACACAAAGGAAGAAAGGCAATTCCTCAGGAGCTCTCATATGGAAATATGACCGCTTTGATTCACACACACAAGACTCTTGGCATACTGGAGGAAGGGCAATTAATCTTAGGCCCATTTTGCAGATAAATGGTTTCTGCTTTAGTTAAGGTGTCTTTCCTCCAAGGCCGTGGTTGGTGGTGGTGCCAAGAATATTATTTCAGACTACCTACTGTGTGTTAAACTGACTTTGTTCTCAGGATATTTCGTGTGTGACAGACACAGGAGGCACCTCATGTGGATCCACGATCAGCCACATGAGGTGCCTCTTTAAACATGGTTCCTTCCCATTGCCTCTGGACACAGCTCAATCGGCAGTGCAGACACTGTCGAGGAGTTCTCACCTGCATGTTGCTGCCCCACTGAGCCTTTCCTTCCAACAAAGCGTCCAGGACAGCCCGGCTGGGCTCCTCAGCAGCAGGGTCATTCCCACTCACCACGTAGTAGGAAGACCGCACTCTCTTGAAAAATTCCACATCAACATTCTTACTATTGCTGTGGTTAGGAATGTAGCACAGGTCCAAATACACAGGGAGGCCTGGGGGCACAGCAGATGACTTGGTCGTCTTGGTAGTTCCTGGTCCTTGGGTAAATAAACAAAGACAAAGCAAGGTCATAGCAAGGTGAAGAGACCATACATCCAGCACATGTTCCCCACTCAATCACACCTTCCCTATTCAATCACAAGTAGGTCCTCTGAGACATGCAAAGTGGTGACAGCATTTCCATCTCCCTGGTAATCTGTCAAGGGCATTTACGCTAGCAATGTGACAAAACATAACATGGTTGTTTACCACCTCAATAGGAGAAATGAAGAATGGGATAGTTTCCCTTTGTGGACAACCAATATTAGGAAGCAAGAAGAGTTTGAAGGCCTTTCCCAAGATGGCACTAGATATAATACTCCTCCTAAAGAAGTTGTTAATGTGTTTCTTTATTTGATAAGTGATCTAAGAAGTAGATTTTAAAAGTCAAAAGAAAACGTCTGTATTTGGCAAAACATAGCTAAGTGATCTTAGTGCTCTATTTTAGGGTCTCATTGATAGCAATTTTGTCCACAGCTGGATATTATACCCTAACATTCTACCTAGCAAATAGTTTTGATCTTAACCCCATATGATTTCCAAGGCCCTCAGCACCTCCATCTCATTCATAAACTGATGAAACACCATATTCTCTCCTTAGCACAGTATTCTGAAAAGTGATACTTCTTTCCCTAGACAAGGCTGGATGCCAAACTTGGGCAAAGGAAGGTTCAGAAAGACTAGGCTTTCTCTAGCTAATCAGGACATATCAGACTGCAACCAAAACCCCCAGTCAAATCACAAAGGTCTGGGAAAACTAACTTGTTCCAGTTAGGAAGTTTAAAGCTTTTGAAATGTTAATAGAACTAGCATTTTGAGGCAGTGGTTCTTCAGCCTGACTATATAATCAGAATCACCTCGGATGCTTAATACTGACACCCAGGCCTCATTCTCTAGAGTCTGACTTAAGTGGGCTTGGGTTGGGGCCTGGAACTACTGTCTTTTAAAAGCACCCCAGGCGATTCTAATATGCAGCTGGTTTCATTGCTGTAAAGCCAATTAAAACACCAGCTAGATTTTACATGCTTAATCCTCTTTCTCCATAGGATATTTAAAGACTATCATCCCAGATTGAAAACCACCAGCTAATTCTATCAACTGTACAGTTTTATTTTTAGAGAGGTTAGGGAGTGGTGAGAATCAGCCAAAGTAATAATTGGATAAGCTAATTCATTCTATGAATAGATCAATAGTTTATTTTAATGAATCTGAGCCGAAAGCCCTCAAAATATCCAAAGAATTCCTAAAGAATTCTGACTTGTACTAGAAGTTTGTGAGTTACAGTTCTTCCAGTAATTAAACATGTCTGCCAATTTCGCCCTCTACTCTAAATCACTACCATCAACATCAAATGAATATTGCTCACAGAAGCACAAACTGACAGAACTGCCCAGGTTTGCTTTAAAAGTCAATTAGTACTGCAACTTTGCCTTTTTAGACATCTAAAAGCATCTCCAAAATAAATGAAAATTAACTCATTTTCACTTATTACTTTGCCTTTAAATTACCTCTTTAAATGTCCAAAAAAAGTTTTTTTAAAAATTGTGTGGGCTAGGATGTATATGTTCTGGCAAATTTGCAGTTGGTTTTATCTGTTTAAATGGATTTCATGTTTTCTCCTAAGTGCAGGTCAGTTGTCAACTCTTTCAGATGAAAGGGTTAATTATCTGGTGGTTTTTCATTCATTTTAAACATGAAAAAATTCCGATTATTTTCTATGTGCATGTAGAAAGGCCAAATGTGCTGAGAACTGAGCCTTAAAATTGATACTCCATATTGTTTAAAGTAAAAATTTGCAGTTTTAACAAATGTATCCTAAAGTGTACTTAATTGGAGAGCTCCAAAGATTACTCTATCAGATTTTCCCTAATAAATCAGGGCAATGTTATTTAAATTATGTTGTGCCTTACATGTTTGGGTCCATTTACATTACTTTGTGAATTGTGATCTAAAAATCTCTGAATAATTACCTAAAGCAAATAAAATGTATGAATGCCAATCCTTGTGATTGATGTGAAGCAACAAAATGAAGCAGTACTGCCATAGACCAGTTCCATCAAAAGCCCAGGTCATTGCTGAGAACCTGATAAATCTGAGAATCATGACCAAAAACATGAATGATCAAAAATCAGGGATACCTGCTCTTGCCAAGTGGCATTTCATTTGCTTATTTATTTATTTTTGAGAGACAGGGTCTTGCTCTGTCACCCAGGCTTGGCATGCAGTGATACATACAATTCTGGCTCACTGCAGCCTTGATCTCTTGGGCTGAAGTGATCCTCCTGCCTCAGCCTCCCAAGTAGCTAAGACTATAAGCACGTGCCACCACACCCAGCTAATTAAAAAACATTTTTTTTTTTTTGTGGAGACAGGGTCTTGCTATGTTGCACAGGCTGGTCTCAACTTCCTGGGCTGAAGCTAACCTTCCATCTCAGCCTCCCAAAGTGCTGAAATTACAGGCATGAGGCCATGCATCTAGCTTCCCAGTGGAATTTTAATCTGAAATAGCATTGAGTCTCTACTAATGAGGCCATGGGGTAAGAGAAGGGTAAGAGCAGAGCCATCAATGTTTTTCTCTCAATTTTCACCGGACACTCACTGGTCAACTGAAATTATAGTATTTTTTGGCTGATAAGAAAATGGAACACTGCCTTTAATGAGGATTTATCTCCAACCTGGTGATGTTTTAAATAAAAATGTAAACATTTTTAATTTAAAAAAAATTTTTTTTAAAAAAGGACTCTAAATCTTGGGTCTAGACTGGTTGATCCAGTCTTGATGTGAAACCTCTGGTTCTCCTTAGGCCTTTGGGAGCTCCTGGCCTGTGTTACCCTGCTGGATTCTGAGGCCAGTATGGCTGAAACCAGTCTTCCAGAAGCACCTGAAAGACACATCCTTGGTTCTGAAGATTTAGAACAGGGCTGTAGTTGCTGTGTTCGAAAACGGCACAAAATCAGGAATCCCAGTGATGAATCACAGCTGCTTTGAACCATACACTGAGCTATTTCCAAGCCTTAAGGCCACACTGGACTGAGATATATACCTTTGGGCAGAGGAGAAGAGTACAGGGAAGGTAAAGCATCAATTGTGCTCCCTCATCTTCCCAGTACAAAGCCAAACAGGGAAATATAAAGGCTGTAAACGCAAGTAGAATGGTTGTGACATATATCCAATGCCCAGCCTTCTCAACCTACCTGCAGTGGCGGTCTTGGCCGACTTGGATGCAGAGGCATTGGCAGCATTCTTGGTCTCCTTGTCTTTCTCTTCCCCACGTGCAGCTTTGACCTCAGGAGTGGTGGTGGGTTTTGCTGCCTTTTCCACAGATTCTTTCTTCTTAGGAGAAGCCACCCTGGACACTTTATCCGAGGATTCTTTCAAGCCCGCTGGTTTTGGTGAAGCTGCCAAGGGCTTAGACTTCCCATCACTCTTTTTGACAGGTGAAGATGACTTGGTCTTTGTACCTGGCTTTTTGGTTTTGGTCTTCTCTTTCAGATCTTTCTTTAGAGCTTTGCCCAGGTTCTGCTCAATGGCCAAGGCCTCTGGGTCCACCATGGACACATCAGGGTGGCGTGGCGAAGGGCTGCGGTCTTGCACGGGAGCTGGAGGTGGGTCCATGTGTTTGTACGTGACAGTTTTGTCTGTGGGGATGGTTTCCGACTCGTCTTCAGAGTCGATATTGGCATCGGCCGTGATGGAGGGGCACTCTTCAGTCTCCGGGGGAACATCAGAGTCGGTCTGGGATGGGGCTGACTCGCTGACTGAGGTGGGAGGGGTTTCATCACACTGTCGGCCCTGTTGCTTTCCTCCTGGAGGCGGTGGGGCTCCCCCTGATTGAGTGAGGGGCTTTTCAGATTCTTCAGTGGGTTCTTCACTGGCAAACCACTCAAGAGGATTGGGATTAATGAAAGAGGGTGAAAGCTCTGTCTTGGGGTGCTTGTATTCACAAGAGGACACGAGGCATAAATCGACATCCTGACGGGCTTCTGAGGGGGACTTCTTTTCTGCAGTGTAGCATAGGTCTGAAGTCTCGTAGGAATATGTGGATGCCTGAGGGGTTCTAGTGATTTTCTCTGCAGTCTCGTAACAGTATGTGGAAGTATCAGGGGTTCGTGTTGTCTTTGTAGATGTCTCATAGGAATAACCTTCAGACTCAGGGAAACTGGTAATTTTCTCAGTGGTTTCATAAGAGTAGCTGGGGTCCCCAAGTGTGTGGCCACCATCCTCAGAGTCATCATAGCCATTGCTGATGTCATCCAGAAGCCTTCTAGACCTCTCAGTCTTTTCATAGCTGTAACCACTCACTTCGGGGGGGCTGGTGGTCTTTTCACTTATGTCATATGAGTACCCACCCTCTTCAGGGGTCCGTGTGGTCTTCTCAATAATTTCATAGGAATAGTCACCATCTTCAGGGGTCTTGGTAGTTTTCCCAATGGTCTCATAGGAGTAGCCACTGTCACTTGGAGATTTTGTGGTTCTCTCTATCTTCTCATAGTAATAGCCACCCACATCTGAGGTCCGGGTGGTCTTCTCATAAGACTCATAGTCATAATCTTCTTCATCTGGGGACCTGGTTGTTTCCTCAGGCTTTTGATAGGCATAGCTAAAGTCACCAGGTGTCTTCCCTCCACTGTCCTTCTCCAGGCCAGGTGTGGACAAATCTCTATTCAAGGCTAGATGGTGTTGCATTGTATCGAATAACACTGAGGCACGGAAGCCATAGGGCTCTGCGGATGCTGCATCTATTGGTGGAGAAGAGGAACTGTGGCAAGTTGCTGTTTTCTCTTTGACTGCAGAGGTAGAATCTGAAAAAGTAGGTGAATATAAAGGAGAGGACTCTCGTGGGGTGAGTGGAGAGATATCAGATTTTGGAGAGAGCTTCTCTCCTTCCAGACTTTGCACTTTTTCAGAGGTGAGTGAGGCATATAAGGACATATCTCTGGGAGGAGCAACATCGGATAGAGTATCTTCTTGGAGAGGAGAAGCGATCTGAGAAGGGGTATGAGCAGAAGAGGTGGACGGGGAGGCCTCTACCTGAGATACTGAGATGAGCTCAGAAAGATCATTATCTTGGGTGTAGGACGGCTCCTCCATAGGTGGTATCTTATGTGATAAACTGGAGTCCTGCATGTCAGAAGGACTGTAGTCCACTTCAGTTGGCCCATTTTCAGTGATGTGAAGCACGCCTGCACCCACTGTAGGGTGATCTGGAGACTGTCGACTGAAGTCCATAGCAAGGGATTGCTCAGGAGATTCTTGGCCAAATTCAATAGACATTGAGGACTGTTCAGATCTGTGATCTTGAACGGGTGTCCTGGACTTTGCAGTTTTAGGGGAGAAATCTGGTGGAGAAATTGACATCGGTCTTGGGCATTCTTCTTTAGATGGAGACATTTCTGTTTCCTGGAATGTGGTAGGTGTTTGCACAACAGACACTGAAAGGGAGTCATCTACTTCTGTGGAATGTGGGGAGCCAACCTCAGCATGCAGAGATGGAGACACATCATCTGTTGTTGGCTCTGGAAATGAGCTCGTAGCCACTGAGGCTGTGGACACTGAGGCCACACCCTCCATATGAGAGTACGTGTCTTCTGCTACGCCCTCATCAACAGGAGTAGCTGACTTGTCTGAGACAGTACCTTCAGAAATGGACATCTTAGTGTCTTCTTTAAAAGATCCAAACTGACTGACATCTATTTGTGTGGGAGAAACATCTCCTAATTTCCTTTCATCCAGAGCCAGTGCTGGTTGAGAACTCATGGCTTCAACATCATCAGTTTTCTTTTCTTGGCCAAAGTCTTCTTTTATTGGTGCAAAGTCTGTGCTTTTCCCTTCCTGTTTGTCTTGGTAAAGACTAGTAGAAGTCATTTCAGAAACTGGACTTACTTGGTCTGGAGAGCCTTGTTTTCCACTCTTTTCTTCAAAAGGACTTTCGGCACCTCTGCCAGAAGCCTTGTCATCAGCACTTAGAAAACTTTCATAAGCAGACTCGGATCCAATGAGGGGCGGGCTGCGTAAAGGAGACAAAACTTTTTCAATAGGAGACTCTGAGTCAGGCACGGGCTCATCCATGGGGCTTACTGAAGCCCTTTCATTCTCATCTTTGGCATCACTGAATTCAAAACTCACTGGAACTGCTGGTGGTTTTTCAATGACTTCTGTAGGGAGATGACTGGATTTCTCGTCAGTAGGAGATTGATAGTAAGGTGTGTGACCAGCACTGCCAGTCACGGACTGAGATGGTGACACCACTTCCAGAGTCTTGTCCTCAGGACTAGCACAATGTTCTTCAACTACTTCTTGGGTCACCTCAGGAGACACCGGGGCTACTTCTGCCTCTGCAGAGACTTTAATCTCATTGGGCGTCAGAGAGAAGTTCACACTACGTTCACCCAGGGGGGTCTTTTCTAAGGGTGATGGTGGAGATGGACTCAGGGACGGGCTCTTCGATGGGCTGACCTTTTCACTTGAAACAGCTGAGATGCTATCTTTGATGTCCAAAGTGGTGCTGGCTTTCACTTCAGAGCAGTAAGCATCACGTAAAGCAGATCTGCTGAATTTGTCTTCCTCCATGGAAGAGGGTGGTGATATGGTAGAGGCTGAAGCATTGTAATCCTTGCCATCAGTGGCATCTGTTTTTGATCCTTCAGAAAATCCGTTGAGCGGTGTAACATCAGCAGGTTTAGAGTATTCCTGAGAATACAATGAAGATTCATATTTGGTGATATTTACGAATTCCTGAGAAGGGGACTCCGTCTCTTCATTGTTGGTCTCATCACTCATCACGTCTCGAGGGGTAGACATCTCATCCATGGGGGTGGGCTCACTGGATATCTCAATAGTAGACTGAGTGTAGCCAGAGGTGGCAGTGAATTCCTCAGGCTGGTCTTCTCGATTCTCCTCATCAGAAGCGGTGGCCTCGCTCTCTGAGCCTCCAGGTAAAGTCTCATCATGAATTGAAGATGCAGGTTCTCGGCCAGGAGACTGGGCTCCTAGTTGCTTGGTTGGTGTGGTGAGGAATCCATACTGCTCCTCGGCACCACCAGCCTCTGCAGCCTTGTCGACCACAGCCATCACATAGTCTTCAGCTTCCATTTTTTCCGGCTCATATTCCTCCTCTCTGGCATCTTCAGCTTTGTCCTCCTCATCAGCCTCCTCTTCAGATTGTTCAGCCTCTCCTTTCTCAATGGCCTCATCCATGTCTTCTTCGGCTCGGTCATCCCCACTGGCCACAGACTCCCTCTTCTCCCTGATGTATGCATCAGCCTCCGCCTTGGCACTTTCCTCATCCTCAGTGGGGCTGTGCTTGGAGGCGCTCACACATACGTGTTCCTCCCCATCCTCTTCTGGCTCCTCAGCCTCCTCAGTTTCTGCCTTCTCTTCATAGTCTCCAGTCTCTGAAGATTCTTCAAAACCGGCTCCTTCATCTTCAAATTTTTCAATGTCGTCTACTCCCTGCTTCTCGACGGGCTCCAGCTCCTCAGGTGTCTGTTCACATTCGCCCTCCCCTTCAGTGGTAGTGATTCCCTCATCAGGGGACTCGGCAGGACCTTTGGTGACTTCTCTCTCCTTCTGGATGACGTAGGCTTCGACTGGCTCAGTTTCCTTCAGTTTCTCTTCGTCTTCGATTAGCTCCAGCTGAGGCTTGATGTCCTTTGTTACATCGACCTCTTCAGCCTTTAACTCTTCAAAGTCCTTGGTTAGATCCTCAGGAGATGACATAAGGGACCTCTCAGCTTCGAGTTCTTTGGCAGGGCCAATGGCTGCTATTCCAGCTGCCGCCATGACAGCTGCTGTGGTGGCTCCAGTGCCGACAGCTGCAGCGACAGCCTCTGCGGCCTTGCCTTCCTTCTTAATGACTTTTATTTTCCCCTTCTCCTTTGGCTTTCCGGCAGCAACAGAATCTTTCTTGACAGACTCTTCCTTCTTGGGTACTTTTGGTTTTAAAGCAGCTGGTTTTTTTGCTTCAGACAGAGGAGTAGATGATTTCTTTGCGTCTTTAGGGAGCTTCTTAATTTCTTTTTTGGGTTCCTTTTCTTCCTTTTTCACTTCCTTCTTCTCTTCCTTCTTAACTTCCTTCTTGACTTCCTTTGGCGGTGTTTCTTTCTTAACCTCTTTCTTGGGTTCTTTTTTCTCTTCTTTCTTGATCTCTTTTTTGACTTCTTTTTTCACCTCTTCCTTTTTTGGTTTTTCCTCCTTCTTGATAGGTGTTTTGTCCTCCTTTTTAGCCACTTCTTTCTTTGGCTTTTCTTTCTCCTCTTTCTTGTCTTCAGGCTTTACCTTTGTTTCCTTTTTCACCGTCTTCTCCTTGGCAGCTTTGGGTTTGACATCTGTGGCTTGCTTCTCAGCCACCTCGGCTTTCACTGGAGATGGCTCTTCTTTGCTGGGAACCTCCTTTTCAGTCACTGAAGGTTTGGTCTCTGTTTTTATTGGCTTGTCTTTTTTCACCATTACCTTTTCTTTGCTTTCAACTTTGGGTGGCTTTTCCACGTGATTCACTTTTGTGACCTCAGGGGTTTCTTCTTTTGACTCCTTGCGCACGGATTTGCTAGGAAGTGGTTTTGCGGCTGGCTTCAGACTTTCTCGGCTATCAGCCCTCTGTTTCAGTTTTGTTTGTTTCACCACAGGAGTGGGCACCTGGCCAGTGAGATCCTTTTGGGTGGCCAGTGGCTGCTTCAGAAAGTCTAGATGTTTGAGCTTTTCCAACCCTTCCAGGATGTTGTACTGGGTGCTGTTCCCAGGAAACAGGACTCGGATGATTTTCTCCGCAGGGTTTGCTGGATGCCACACAATCAAAGATGAGACTGAAGTTAAGTAGGAAATCGGGAGATCTACTTCTTGACCATTAGGCAGAATGAATTCAGCCTTGTCTTTGTTGGTACCAGTCCACTGCTGCATAAAATACTGCATTTCCTTGCTGCTCTTGACTGGATTAAGCACATACATCTCAAGTTTACCTACTCCCATTTTTTGGAAAAGAATGACAGGATCAATAGTATTGCCTACACTTCTAAACAGAGGTTCTGGTTTCATGGACAATTTGTTTAGGTACTGGAGAGTGAAGCAGGCTTCTTCTATGCTTCTCTTCATCTTGATGTTTGGCTCTGGATTTTTGAGATTTTCAGGTACATTGAGAAATACAACTCCTAAGTCAGGGGAGATGAGGTTTTTCATCCAGTCACTATTTGTGGTGGAGCCCTGGGACTGTTCTTCCTCGAGCTCTGCAATTTTCCGCTGTAACATGCTGTTTATTCCAGGCAAATTGTCATCCCCAATGTGGGTGAGCAGGATGGAGTCCACTCGGTCTAAGTGTCGGATGAGCTTCCAGAAGCAGGATTTTCTCTCTGATCCGCCATTGATGAGCATATTGAAACCATTCACTGCAAACAAGGCAGAATCGCCCCTCCCTCCTGGAAAAATATAACAGCAGGGCTTGGAGAGCTTCAGAAATCCACCCGATGTGGGAGGTTCCAAGATGTCAAAGGGAGATGGGACTTCCACTGATTCTGAGAGATACTCGGTAAACTCAGAAAGTCCTTCCATTTCTGGCAAGATAGAAGCTGAATTGAGTTTAATATTGATGAAGTCTTGGAGATTGTGTCTGTCAAGATTGGAGTTCTTCCAGTCCCCTTCTTCAGGACAGAACAGGGTTAAGCTGGCTTTGTTGGCAGGATGGGTGGTGCTTAGTAACTCCCCGATCTGGGTTTTAAAGAAAGAAAGAAAGAAAGAAAAGGTGTAAGTGATTATCATCACTGATCCATCATCTCCAGCTATAACTATGTGTTACAGGATCACAGGATGCACATAGGACCAGTTTCAGACATGCACTCTCATAGTGATGTTGGTTGCTTAAATGCTGAAATACTTCCCTACTGGAAGGTGAACAGCCTTTGTCCTGAGCCCCGCTGCTACTGGCTTCTACCTCAACCAGTACCCACTCGCCCTGGCACCTCCCCAACAACCCCTCCACCATCTATTCCTGCCCAGCAGGGGAATGCCAGTACTCTGCTCCAGTTCTAACACCAGTGACCACCTGGGCAACTGAGGATTGTGCTGCAGTGGTTATGAAACACTTTGAATATTACCCCTAGAATAAAGGCAAAGATGCCCTTTAAAAAAAAACGTTAAACTATCACAAGAGAAAGCTGTCTGGGTCATTTCACCACTAATAAAAAATATTTTCTTTTATTCCACTAGACTTGGCAAAAAAAAAAAAAAAAAAGGCCTGATGGATACCTTAAAGAAATTCAGATTAACAGGGCACTTGTTGTGGCCTCCTTTCAGGATCTGGCATGTAAAAAAGAAAAAACCTTGGTGGGTTTTTCCCCATAGGAGACAAGAAGTTACGGATTGCCTATTACTACAAAAAATTACTGGTTTCTGGCATCAGTGCACGCTGATTGAAACATGAGTGGGTCACCCAGCATATTCTCTGCAGATACAAATACTTTTTTATTAAAGCCATGACATTAAAGTGGTTTGGCCAAGTTCGTTCCCCATTTGCTCATGTTTAACTCCACAGTGAGCCACTCTGTTCTCTTACTGCTCCCATTCTTTTCAGGGCAAGTTGGGTGTGAGCAGCTAAGATCAAATGTGGCTGAAACATTTTTCAACACATTGTTTAGTACTTCCCAAGGATGTAAACATAGAAAAGCAAATCAGGACCAAAACAGAAATTGTGGTTTAATAAAAACACTACTTGTCTCTCTCACTCCATATTATGGCCATATATTTCATGGTCTTAGCCTAGCAAATTAGTGATGGAGAATCATGCCATCAACTCCAATATTCTTTCCGTCTCAGTAAAGCTCACAAATCAGCTCAGAGTTTCGACTGAAAAGGGCTCTGTATTCTGGATGACAAATGATCAAGGGGTAAAGCCAAGGTTTCATTTGGTCCAGGCATCCCTGAGCCAGCAGGTCTGAACTCTTACCTTCTAGTATTAGATTAGTTTCCTCTATCTCCTGACTATCAGCATTCTGAGGCTACTATTATGAATGTGTGTAAGAATAATTTATAGAATCTGAGTTTTCCTATATTCGACTGCAATATTGCAGTAAAATAGTCATTTTTGTTTTGTTAGCATATTAGTCCTAAGCATAACATTTTATGTAAAGGGCCGCAAAATAACAAAATAATAAAACTTTGCTGTTTTTCTGTGACTTCACAATTTTCTGTAAAAAGGATAAGAATCAACTCCTGTTTTTGGGAGCTAAGAAAAGTGAAAAAGCAAATGGTAATACCATCTTTGGGTAGAGGGGACAGGCATCTTTGCTCAAATGATTTGCTGGCCAAAGCAAACATAGGGCATCAAATATGGTTTTTTGTACAATAGTTAGCAGAGACTCTCATCACAATCACTATAGCACAATTAAAAGTCTCTAGATCCCAATTTTCACACAAAGCACATGCAAACTATTCATGTTTTATAATATGTTTTAGGGGGCAAATCTAGAATAACTGCTGTATCTTTAATAGTGAAACTTAAAAATTAAGTTTAGTTCATTTTAATTTTTGAAATTCCACCCTAGCTGAGAGGTGTGGCAGCCAAGGGTATAATCCAGCTGTGAGTAGGGGGCATTCAATCACTGGCTCTTTTTATGTAAAGTATGTAATTACCAGGTTGAAGCAGAAGGTAGAAAGACTTAAGGAATATCTTCCTACTTTCCGTCTTTTCACCTCTATCCAGAGAATTTCTATGAAATGCAGGAAATGACCCCAAAACAAAACAAGATTGCACAGAATTCTGAGAAGTCAGAGGTCATGAAAGATAGCCAAGAGACACTGGTGAATGAACAACCGTGATGTACAAGGCAAAGCAGAAAAGAAAGCCAGCATTGCTTTGACAGGTTTCTTTCCAGAGAAGGAAAATCTGGTCCCTCTGAAGAAACAGCAGCACATTCTGAATGATGAGACAAGAATGCAGAGACAGGGCTGGACAGAGCCCTCAGTCATAAAACAGACAGATGGAATTGGGCAGAGGGAGGAGGAGGAAGAACAACTCCTACATCCTTGGAACTACACAACAGAATGAAGCCCGTGTTTTCCCCCACAGCCTCTTTCCAGACCTGTGGGCCAACAAGCACAGTAGAGAGTGCCTCAAGGGCAAAGACAGGGTCTTAAGAGTGGCCAGCCCACGGCAGCACCTGACCAAGCTTATTCAATGAATAGATGAGAACCATAAGGAGGATCCAACAATGTTAGCAGTGGCAAGGAAGCTTGTGACTAGTTCTTAGACTTGGAAACTGAGGCTTCTTCTGAACAAATTGGGAAATCATCACCATGATAAATGGTAACTATTATAACCCACTACTCTAAACATTTCTGATAGCAGGAAATATATCTTCTGTATCTTTGTATCTTAGTTATCTTTGTTTCCTCAATACATAATCAGGCTCAGTAGATGTTTGTTGATCTGTGTGCCAAACTTGGCCAGTTCAACACATGTTATCTTCCTGGAGTGGGTACTTCAGATGTAACCACACTGAGTGCTACCCTGGTTCTTACAAAGTTGGATGACAGATGCAACAAGGAGGAATATGCTTTGGGACAAAGATAATCTTTTTTGTTAATTACTTTTTCTGATTAAATGCAGGCATACTGGAAGAGGAAGGAAGATGTAAGAAATAAATGGTTTTACTGCAGATGAGATTAATGAAACAAGATTTGAATTTCTAAACCATGGCCTACGAACTACATTTCCTTTTTGATTAGGTTACTTGCTTGGCTGATGAGGAAATACAGTAGACAGTGTATCTCTGGGTTTTAGCCAGACATTTAATAGGACCCCTGAACAGTGTGATAGTAGAATTAGGTGGATTTCCAGCCAGCCATATAAATAGTGCTGCTTAATGTCAACCTGGAGGGAGGTCTATGATGGGCTGCCTCAAGTCTCATTTTCTGGCCTGTATTCACTTGGATAAAAATGGCGAAGGCATGCATATCATATTTGTGCATGGTATGAAAATGGGAGACACAGCAAAATGTGGAATGGCAGAATTAAGGTATTTATAAAAGCTCTTGACATTGGGATGATGGTGGCTAAGTCAATTCTAACAGGATGGCATTCTAAAGGGATAAATGTAAGGTTCAATAAACCAGCAGGGTAAACTACAGGATTGGGAGATGTGGCTTAACAATAATATCCATGGAAAAGACTCAGGGATTTTAGTTGACAGTCAAATGGATTTATCATGAAGCCAAAGAAGCTTAAACTTCAAGGTACCTCATTGGCATGGCCCTGTACTTAACTGTATATTAATAATTGTTTCATTTTTCTTAAAAAAGAGCCCTTAAATTATATAAATTGTCGAGCCCCTCAAAGCCTGCATCTCTTCCCCATTGACTTCCCCATTGACCATTAATGGTGTATGGTGATGGTCAAAAGTCACTTTTAGACTTCTTTAATAGAAGATGGTATTGAAAACTATAGACATTATCAACTCTCACAATCCTAACCTGGTCAAATGACTCCTGAATAGGGTGTCCAGTTTGAGTCATGACATTTTAGAGAAATTAGACCAACAAGCAAAAACCTGAAACAAGTCTCCCTTACTGGCTCCTTCCTCTTGGCCTTATGACCTGTCAACACTGGACCTGGGCCCTTTCTCTTCTTAAAATGTTTCTCACTCTAGGTCACATCATGTGTCTTCTGGGCTTCAAATACCTCTAATATGCTAATGGATTTCAAATTAGTATCTCCAGCCCGACTCTGAGTTCCCTGAGCTCTGTTCTCATAAATCCAACTGTCTGATTTCAAGGCACTAAAACATGACCAGGACTAAACTCCTGAATTCCCCCCATACCCATCCCATCTCCTCTTCTTTTTATTTTATTTTTTTAATGTTTTAAGTATAGTTTTTTTTTTTTTAAGAGACAGAATCTTGCTCTGTTGCCCAGGTTGGAGTGCAGTGCAGATTATAACTGAGTGCAACCTAGAACTCCTAGCCGCACGTGATCCTCCCACTCTGGCCTCCCAAAGTACTGGGATTACAGGCATGGGCCATAGCACCTGGCCTTCACCTCCCTTTCTTGACAGAGGAACAAGTTTGAAGGACAGTGAGCAGGGTTATGAAGAACTGTGGGTAAAACTGAAGATGATTAATCTGAAAGGGAAAAAATCGGCAGTGTTGGTGAAGGGTAACTAAGACACTGTAGGTGGGAAAGGGATCACATCACTTCCTTGAAGATACAATGAGACAAATAAGGAAAAACTTTCCAACACAGAGACTGAAAAATGTCCCCAGGAGATGATGATTTCACCATCCCTGGATTTCAGGGAGGAGTGGGGTTAGCCAGACAATTGTACCGTCTGTTAGTTCTGGTTTTGTTAATTGATCTCCAGTGATTAAGACTCCAAAACCTGAAGCTCAAAGTGTACTGATAGTTCTATTTTTTCAGTCCATTTATTTTTAGCTGTTCTTATATTTTTTAAAAAGTATCATTTTTGTTTGTCCCAAATTGTGGTTTTGGTTTCCCTGGAGTTAACTAGTATGTTTCAAGGACTGGATAAAAGGAAAAGAGCTGGACAACAAGTGGTCTTCAAGGTCCGTTTGTTATTCAGTTACTCAACCATTTTTCCAAGGCAACAATGGGCAATCCTAGCTCCAAAAGGCTGATAACCACTGGTCCAGTCCAGTGGTTTTCAATTCACTTTAGCTGTGGCATCCTTTCTTTGTGGGTGGCAGAAGAGAATATGACATGGTCTCTGACCATAATGATACCTGCCTGAGTATAATCAAAATATGTGTCCTCCAGAACCTACCCCAATAAGTATAAACCCTGGGGAATCTGCCCTTCCACGGAACTCGAGTTCTTCAGTTAGGGCAAATTTTTTTTTCTGTAATTAGTGGCAAAATCTGACACGTGCACAGTCCATGGTGCTAAAATTTTGCTTCCATAATCTAGTAAAAATGATTAAGCAGCAATATTCATAACAACCTTATTTAAAGAAGGGGAAGGAGGGATATTATTTGAGATGCAAATATGCCAAATCGTGTTACTTCCTTATTGAAAATCTTGGCAATGACACTTTTCTTTACATATTTCCTTTGTCTGGTTTTTCGGCAAAAAAGACAAACCAATGACTTGGGTAGAAACCAACCACTAGAAAATAACTACAGAACTGCACAGGAATGTGGAAAGTGCCCATGTGCATGCAAATGAGCTATAAGCAGGCCACTTAACTGCTCACCATGTCATTGGGCCACTTCCAGCCTTCTGCAGCTTTCTCTCTTCCCTGAGGCAAGATGCTAATAATGTGTGTGACCCCAGAGCTACTAGACAAATGCCCACCTGCCTCCGGGTACAACATGCACATGGGGACATAATCTTGCAAAACATTCTGACATTATAGTGATCAAACAACAACTTCAGGACAGTAGGCAGAGTGAGAATTGTAGCCCTAGCTTTGGAATTTCAATGCAATTGAACAGCGGCTTACTAGGCCTTTACTATGTGCAGGTGCAATGGATACCGAGATGAATGAGGCAAGATGCGTGAACTCTAGCGGCCTTGGAAGAAGACACAGCCAAAGCTTGCATTTTGAAGTGGTAAAGATGAACCAACTGTGAGTGAGCTCTGAAGCCTCTGAGAAAGGAGCTGCCTGCCTGGGGGATCCCATCCTGGTATGTGTTTCAAGATGCAGATGACGCCACACCTTCTGACAGCTGTGGCTTCAAAAATGTTCCTTTTCACAGTTTTACATTCTCCCCACCCCAGTGGCTGGAGAGTGAACATTATTATGCCTTCTGATCAGTGTTTTTAAAGAAGCCTCCAGGTGACTCAGATGAAGTTGGGCAGTGTGCTTACAGTTCTTGCCAGTGATGAAAAGTACAAACAGAGCTTTCTCTGAACCTCAGGGCCAAGGAAAATTAAGTGCAGAAGGACACGTGGCCCTTCACAGTACACATGAGACAGACAAGCCACCACCTCAGAAAGACAGTTTTAAACAGATGTGGGGACTCTTCTTATCAGAACATCCCTCAGTCCCTCCATGTAGAAATCTGCTATCGGCCACAGGCAGGCCCCAACCTGCTATGGGGATGGGTCTGAATTGTTTCTGTAATTGCTATAAACATGTAAGCTAGATAAACAAGGTGCATTACTTTGGAAAGTTTCCCAGCCAGGATAAATTCCCAAGCAGAAATAAGCATATCAAAATCTTTGATCTCATTTTACAAAATACGACTAACTTCACACAGTTTTCAACACTTTATATGTGTCATCTTTGAATAAGATACGCATTAGAAATATGAATGATCCAGCTTCAGTCCAGCTACTTTAGCCATCTTTTTCTTGGGTCACAGACGTGCCCCATTTTCCTACGTGGCTCCTTTTGTAAAGCCCTCTCTCTTTTGTGGGCTGTTCAAACAGCCCAAGTTCAAACACTGGGGCCAGGCATTAAAGTAAAAGAAATCTGAAATAATTAGGCCTGGAAAACGAGGTGCCAAAAGCCCCAGATATCTTTGGAGTATTATTTCAGAAAACAGGAAACGCAGGTTTTCTTTTGGGCTCTGACATTTCAAGTTTCTCCATCATTTTTACCATCTGTAAAGTGTTGACTGTTCCAACCCCTCCCATCTATATCTCAGGCACATTAAGAATGATTCCAATTAATTGTAAATGAGTGCTCTAAATTCTTTTGGCAATGAGCCATAGAAATAAAGTATTTTGGATCATGCAGTTTTGCTTATTTCAGGAGAGCTGTGAGGTTCCCTCCCTTCTTCTTTTGTCTCCCCCAGTGCTCTCAAAGAGGAACCTAAGGCAACCAAGCCACTAGAAGCACAGATATTCTCAGACACGAACCTACCTCTTGATCGGTGAAAATCTCTATGAAGTTCTGGAAGGAGAAAGAGCCGGACTGGAGAATGAGCTCTCCGGTATTTTCAAAGCACTGCCCGGTCAGCACGAGCAGCTTGTGTCGGGCAGCATCAGTGATCATTAAGCGCACCTGAAATAAAGCACAGAACGTAGGCCCTGAGCCATGGGCAGTGCTGCCATCCCACCTTCAGGACAGGGCTAGCCTTCGGAGCCATGGGAGTTTATTACCAGCAAAAAGCATTCATTCCCCAAAGGTCTAATTTCTCCTGGAGGCCAGAAGAGCACGGGAGGGTTGAATGGATCCCTGGCTGTAGGATCATCCACAAAGCCAATAAGTGTAGTTATCAGTTTGCCCAAGAATGCCATTTTCAAAGTTTCTCTACAATCACGACAGTAGCGATAGTTGACTTTCTCCCCCTAGTTTCCTCCTCTTTTTCAAAGCAGTCTTCACAGCTGGTAATCATTTGTTCCACAGCTGTTAGAAATGTCTGCTAGCAGCACGTGGTCTGCGAAACCAGGGAAGACGGAACTATCTCACAGGCTGAATCACCATGTACAGTCCAGGTTCCCCAGTGGCCTCCTCAGTAAGCACGGTGTTCCAAACTAGGGTCCCAAACCAACCCCTCCCATATGCCCTTCCAAGGCGTGCAGCAAGCACACACACAGCTCCACGGCAGTCTCCAGTGGCATCAGTAAGGTGCTTGACATTGAATATAAAGAAAAGGCTGCCCCTAAATAGCAATCTTTGAGATAATTGCACATGGTTTGCGCTAAGGAACTCTCTGTGCACTTTTCAGTGGCAGGAAGCCAGCTGTCCTTCAGCAAACACCACTCTAAGCACCAAGGTATCCATTCTGAGCCCAGTTCATGAATGTTCAGCACATCCTACTTGCCAGGCATCATGTTAGGCACTGAGGGGAGGATACAAAAGTAAACAGACCATGACCCCTTACCCAAGAACCCCACAGTGTAATCATGCAAAAAACACATGTACCTAAGTAATTGTTTCAGCCCCATCTGCTCCACAGGCAAGCCTGGATTCCTTTTATAAAATTCCATATTTTTCCTTTCTCACAACTCTTCCGGGCAGTTTGCCTGGACATATATTAATTTTCCAGCTTTTTTTTTTTTTTTTCTCCTTTTGAGACAGGGTCTCACTCTGTTGCTCAGGCTGGAGTGCAGTGTGCAGTGGCGCCATCTCGGCTCACTGCAACCTCTGCCTCCTGGGTTCAAACAATCCTCCATCTCAGCCTCCTGAGTAGCTGGGACCACAGGCATGCAACACCATGCCCGGCTAATTTTTTGTATTTTTGGTAGAGACAGGGTTTTACCATGTTGCCCAGGCTGTAATTCTCCAGCTTTTTTCAAGCTGTAATTACTTCCCGATTCTGTTAGTAACAGAGATTGCTATCCCATCACTTTCCTCAGCTTCACACCTTCATGGATTGTCAGAGGTCCTGCTGATCTAAAGCAGGCAGAAGTCAGTCATGACAGGTGACATCACAACAGCCAAAAAGTGGAAGCAACTCAAGTGTCCGTCAACTGAGGAATGGATACACAGATGTGGGCTATCCATACACTGGCACTGTTCAGCCTGGAAACGAATGCAGTACTGACACATGCTACGACATGGATGAACCTTGAAACTGTTAGGCTAAAATAAGCCAGACACGCAAGGCCACATAGTATATCATTATATTTATATGAAATGTCCAGAATTGGCAAATCAGGACAGGCAGGTTCGCAGTTGTCGGCATCGGGGAAGAATGGAGACCGACTGCTGATGAGCTCAGGGCTTTTGGGGCGTGATAGACGTATTCTAGAATTAGATAAGGGTGATGGTTGCAAAACTTTGTAAATACACTAAAAACCACCAAATTACACACTTTAAAGGGATGAATTTTATGGTCCTTGAATTATATCTCCATTTACAAAAACAGGATACAGTCACAGAGATGCTCAAAGTGTGGGTAGAAGGGACGCTGCAAACAATGAAGGTTCCCAGGGACTTTGGCTGCTTTCATGTCCGAGAAGCAACTCTATCTCAAAAGCGCTCAACTATAATAAAGGAAGTGGAAAGTGGAGTGATAGCAACTCCTCTGGCCTGGGTGACCAGGGACTCTTGGCTTCAACCAAGTTCTTATGTCACACTGGGCTCCAAAATACCCAGTGACTCTCCATAGCAACAGTTTCATATGGTGGTAATAATAACAATCACAGCTAATATTTACATTTCAGTCATTATGTGCCATGCTCTGTTCTAAGCACTTGGCACTTCTAAGCACAACATTAAATATGAACATTAAATGTAGAAACTATTATGACCCCCATTTTACAGAGGTGCAAACGGAGACAAAGACAGTAAATAACTTGCTTGAGGCTCCCACCTAGTAAGAGGCAGATGTGGGATTATGAACCCAGGTGACCTGGTGCCAGCCCATGCTCCTGACCACTATGCTAGCCTGCCTTTCCACAGCGATAGGAGTGTGCAGGAGAGCTCTGAATGGGGCTTGCATTGAGATGCCATTCTTGAGATGCCATTCTTCTCCAGGTTTGCCCTGTATGTCGCGGCCTGAGGGCTTGCGTCTCTTTTCCCTAATACATCCCTATCAGACTCCATCCCAGCAGCACTCCCCACCACCCCCAGCATAAATACCCCAAATTCATACTCCCTTGCCTGGACAAAATCTTACAGTTCCAGCTACTATCTTCTTCTTTGTCCTTATCAGGAGGAGTGGTCTGGATGGTACCGATGCAGGGAACCAGCCACTTAATGGGGGTTGAGAAAGACCTCTTAACCCAGAACTTCTCTCTGTTGTGTCCCTCTCCTGCCCCCATTTGCCCAGCCCTTCTAATCCACTGGGTCCCTATCCAGTGTGTGGGGCCCGGCCCCAGATTCTACAGAGCTGAATGCTTACCTCGGTGCTGACTGCTTCATCAGAAGGGTTGATCAGGACCACTGTTTCTAAAACGTCACTTCGGTGATGAAGGATCTTTTGTCCTGCAGGCACAAAAACACAAACAAAAGAGGAGACCTTTAGCTTTTCCAGATAAAAACTGCCCTGCCTGCTCCTGGGACAGCAGAGGAATTTCTGCCTCCGACGTGGTACACAGCACTGAAATTCTCTACATCATCTTGGGAAACACAATTGGTGCTATTAAAAAAGAGGGTGCAGCCACTAGTAGGTTCCTCCCCAGGCTGGGTTTGTGTGGTCGGGGGCTCCTCCCGCTCTCACACTCTCCAGTTTTCAGGGTCGGTCTAGGCAGCCTCCTTGCGGTAATGGCGGTTTTCATCTGAGACAAGGGTGGGTGCCAGGAAAACTCAACGGGGCTCTTGACATTTCCTTTCTCATGGTAATTGGGGATGTTTCTCCGTATCAGCCTTTCTTCTGGTGAGAACTGCACTGAGATTAATTAGGAGCCTTATTGTGAAATGAATGACATCCAGAAACCCCAGCTAACAATTAGCCCAACAACCAGAATGGCTGTCTGAGGCAGGCTTACAGTCTGTTGGAGTATTCATTAATTAATTCACTTGCTCATAGGAAACTGGAGACACCGTAAGCAAATGAAAAGTGGAGAACAACCCTCCCATGAAACAGGGTGGCCAAACTGCCTCCTAAAAACATGCACAGTGGACAGAGAACAACAAAGCAAGGCGTTGGTGTGATGACCGCCTGTCTAAGGAGGGCTGAAACCCTGCGGGGCTGTGGCTCCACAACGCTGACTCCCCCTGCTCACAGGTCCTAGGGTCATTCGGTGGCTGAACCAGCCCTCCAGCCAAAGTGGATGGAGACCTGTGCATGACCTTCTATGAAGACTCCCCCTCCCTGGACAATGGGATGAAATGATCAGGCAGATGTGTGGCCCAGTTGGTGATACATGCTTGGGCAGCTGCTAAGGACAGGGAAGTGGGTGTTCTCTCCGAAATGTGGGAGGGAGACGCATGGTTGGGAGGGTAGACACAAACATGTCTGCTGCTTGGAAGTACAATGACTCTCAGGCAGCAGGAGGAAATGGAAAAGAATCTGAGAGAGGCAGACACCAGAGGAGAGAAATACAAGAGGAGAGAATGACCAAAAGCAACTGTTTTCTAGAAAAATAGTTGGCCAGTTCTTCAAAAAGCTAAAATAGAATTACTGTATGACCCAGCAAGCCCACTTCCAGGTGGATTTGAAAGCAGGAACCCGAACAGATGCTTGTATGCCAATGTTAATTGTAGCATTATTCACAATGGCCAAATGGTAAGACAACCCACATGTCCATCTATTGATGATTGGGTAAAATGTGGTATATCAATACAATGGAAGATTATTCAAACATAAAAATGAATGAAGTTCTGATAATGCCAAAACATGGATGAACCTAGGAAACATTATGCTAAATGAAATAAGCCAGACACAAAAGGATAAACATGGTGATTCCAATTACATGAAATCTCTAGAATAGGCAACTTTATAGAGTTAGAGAGTAGATTAGAAGGTTCCAGGGACTAAGGGAAGGGGAATGGGGAGTTATTGCTTAGTGGGTACAGTTTCTGTTTGGAGTGATGAAAATGTTTTTAAAATAGAGGTGATGAAGGCCGGATGCAGTAGCTTATGCCTATAATCCCAGCACTTTGGGAGGCTGAGGCAGGAGGATTGCTTGAACCCAGGAGTTCAAAACCAGCCTGGGCAACAAAGTGAGACCCCGTGTCTCCAAAAAAAAAAAAAAAAAAAAAGGCCAGGTGCGGTGGCTCATGCCTGTAATCCCAGCACTTGGGGAGGCCAAGGCAGGTGGATCACGAGGTCAGGAGTTCGAGACCAGTCTGGCCAACATAATGAAACCCCGTCTCTACTAAAAATACAAAAAATTAGCCAGGTGTGATGATGTGCACCTGTAATCCCAGCTACTTGGGAGGCTGAGACAAGAGGAGAATCGCGTGAACCCAGGAGGCAGAGGTTGCAGTGAGCCGAGATTGCACTATTGCACTCCAGCCCCGACAACAGTGCGAGACTCCGTCTCAAAAAAAAAAAAAAAATAGCTGGGTGTGGTGGCACACATCTGTGGTCCCAGCTACATGGGAGGCTGAGGCAGGAGAATCAATGGAGCCCAGAAGGTCGAGGCTGCAGTGAGCCAAGAACATGTCATTGCACCCTAGCCTGGGTAACAGAGCAAGACTCTGTCTCAAAAACTTGATAAAATAAAAAAAGAGGGGATGGTTGTACAACCTTGTGAATGTAATTAATGAAACCAAGTTGTACATTTAAAAATAGTTAAAACGGCAAATGTTATATTTTATCGCGACTTAAAAATTAATAATATACCAAAAAACATTCACTAGTACACTATAAATGGGTAAATTGTATGGTATGCAAACTAGATCTCAATAAAGCAATTAGAAAATAAAAAACATAAAGCAGTTCAGGATACACTGGTTCTTTTTCCTTTATATCAGGAAGGACCAGAAGTACTACAGAAACAGCAACATGTTGAAATACTCACCACCAACCACCATCACTGTTACCAAGCCCATTCTCCCCCACCATCCTACTTTCAGTAACAGCTAACATTTACCAACAAACCCCACATCACAGACAGAAGCCTAAACAGAACAATGATGATGTCAGGCACCGTTCTAAGACTTCACATACATGGCTTCGTTTAATCCTCAGAAGAGTTCTGTGACATAGCTACTATGATTATCCCCCTTTACTGTCGAAAGCAATGAGTCTACAGAAGAGAATTAACCTGCCCAAAGTCACACAACTAGTAAGTGGTCAAGCCAGGATTTGGACCCGGGTCACCTGGATCTAGAGTCCTTCTGCTTCACTGCCCTATGGGGTTGGTTACTGGAACTAAAATTTGTTAAAACAGACAAGGCACAGACACCAAATGCCAAAAGACAGTTAGGGAAAGGTCCAAAGAAATAAAATCAGAGATGAGCTTACAAAAGCAGGAAGGCAGAAAATATTAAGAGAATATTGGCCAAAAAAAGGCAACGGTGGCAGAATACCCCACATAAAAGAAGTTAAAATTAAGAGAAAATATGTGATGTCTTACTCCAAAAGCCTAAAAATAAACTCCAAAACAGAACAAAGTCCCACAGTTTGAGCAGACAAAGAACGGAGGCTTAAGAAGAATAAACCACAGGAAAGAAAGTTCATTTATTATGAATGCTAAATACTGTAATTTATTGGACATTGCTTTTCGGCTTTTTGGTTGTTTTTGGTTTTGACAACCATGTGCATTTAAAGCAAAAGAAAATCAAATTAAATAAGAAAATGATAAAATGAAAATTGGCAAGACACATGAAACTATCCTCTTTCTAGGTCTTTCCATCAGTGGTCTTCTTGAAACAAAGATTTCAAGAGCTTCAAAGGCACTAGGTTGAGATGAAATTAAGCAAAAGCTTAAGACCAAGGAGAAGGAATAGTCATTTCTTTGGTCACAATTTTGTTGTGGGCACCCAGAGCATCAGCCAGTGCAGTGTCCGGGTATGACTGTCATCACGTCTGTATTCTGCAGGAATCCATACAAGTAGACTTGAGCAAGGTACATAAAGTGGCTCCCTCCACAAGTGATGGTAATGAAATCCCAGCCTCTTTCTTTCTGAAGTGATCCTACACAACGCCCTGAGCCCGCTAGCTGCACCCTTCAACACCCATGTCCAGGCGACAGCAGCCTGCACAGTCCACCTGCCTCCACAGCACGCTCTTCCCCAAACACACAGTGAGCTCGCCTGCTGCCGAGGTGGCCCCTGGCAGGAGCCTTCTTACCATCCACCGGCAGTTCCTTTCCTCTTTGGCTTCATCAGTTGCAAACAAAACAAATGCCACGTGACAGTTGCCATTTACCTCCACTCCTTCCAAGTCAATCTTCAGACCAGTTTGCCCAGGAATTCAACTAACGATGTTCTCTTTTGTCCATCTTTGGAAATATTGAGAGGAATGGCACAGACGTGCACCAAGATGCCATGGCTGCTCCTTCAACAAAAGCCTTTTTATAGGATCGGATTTGAATGAAGGAGGGGATTTAAAGGGAGAGAGAGAAGCTTCCAGCTCTTGTCACGGCCAGACTGTTGGCCAGATTCTTTCTGGGGACGACGTAACCTGGGGCTGGGCCGCCCCAGCATCTGGCCAAGCCTGGCAGAGGGGCCCTGACGCGCCCCCACCCCTGGCATACCCGTGGGTGCCAGCTTTCCTGCGGCAGGCGGGCGGGTTCTCAGCGCAGGCGGCTGGGATGCTCACAAAGTTGCATATTTGGGGAATGTTTCACACTGGGAAACGGGCCAGGCATTCTGAAGGGAGGCCACCACCCTGGCTTGTAAAGGTCTCATTCAGTTGCCTCAGAAAAGAAGTTCCCAGGAAAGAAAGGCAGCCGGGTTCCAGCCTCTCTCTCCACCATTGTAGTCCGCATTCTCCATTCGACACCTCACAGGGAAACCCTTAGGCAGCCCCATGAATTGTTAACTTTCCCCGGCATCGGTCTGAGGGCAGCAAAAGCGGGGGCTCGACCTGGAATGATTGTGTCACTTATCGCTTCATAAGAAAAAGTCTTTGAGGGCTTCCCCACAAAACTCAGCATGATTGTGAAGCCTCGACCTGGGTGGCGGGGCGGGGGCAGTGGAGAAGATTGTGTGTGACAAAAGGGGTCCGCGCCACCTCAGAATCAAAAGAGGACAGTCTAAGGACCCTCGAAGCAGGAGGGGCCTTGCAGACAATGAGACTTTTGTTTGTGCTCTCCCAAAGCTGGGTTTGGAACTCAAAAGGAAGCCTGCATTTTTTGGCTGTTGTTGGGATTTTATTCCTTTTTGAAAATGTGACAGATTAATTGAACCTATGTGTCTTATAAGGTTTGGCTTTTTTAGTAGCTTATGTTTTGCTACATTCAGCTGATTCTGAAATCTCCTAAAGCAAAATATTATTTTCTATGTATGTAAATTTCTAGGATGCTTGCGGGATCTCTTCTCCACAGAGTTTAGCATTCATCTACACACACACACACACACACACACACACACACACACACACACACACCCCTCAGAGGCTTCACCCTGGTTTTGGAAGAAGGAAATAGAAATGGTAGTTGAAGAATAAAGCAAGCCTCTGATTTCTACTCAGTATGAAAGGGAGATGATGAGGAGGGTCCTGAACTATTGGTAACCAGGACTGAGGGGCAGGGCATGGGCAGGGGCTTTAGCCAGGAGAAAAGCCGTCCTGTCCCCATCTCTGCCTCCCTGCTCTGTCAGCTCCCACTGCTGCCCTCTCTTCACCTACCAACTACTTCCAGCCCCCTGCCCAGGTTCAACACTGGAGTAACTTACAATGTGAAGATTCTGGAGTTAGAGAGAAAAATGTGTGAGATAAAAAAGGACTGGGTTGATTTAGCTAAAAGTAAAGTTTGGTCGATCAAGAAAGACCACAAGCACTAAATGTCTTGATTTTAAAGTCTGTTTTTCAGGCCAGGCACGGTGGCTCATGCCTGTAATCCCAGGACTTTGGGAGGCCGAGGCAGGTGGATCACTTGAGGTCAGGAGTTTGAGACCAGCCTGGCCAACATGGTGAAACGCTGTCTCTACTAAAAACACAAAAATTAGCCAGGCATGGTGGTGCATGCCTGTAATCCCAGCTACTTGGGAGGCTGAGGCACGAGGATCACTTGAACCCGGGAGGCAGAGGTTGCAGTGAGCTGAGATCATGCCATTGCACTCCGGCCTGGGCAACAGAGTGAGACTCCGCCTCAAAAAATAAAAAATGAAGTCTCTTTTCATTAGAAGGAAGAAGAGAAGGAGGGAAGGGAGGAAGGAAGGAGGGAAGGAAGGAAAAAAGAGAGGGAGGAAGGGAAGGAAGAGAAAATGATAGAGTCAGAGTTATTCAACTCAACCTCTTTACCAAAGTAAATTTTTTTGAGCGGAAACCTCTAACCTCTAACCCCTCGTGCAAAAAACACTCTTGAGAGTAAAATTTAGCTAAATGGCTAAGAGCAAGAAATGAAAGGTGCTTGGTACAGGAACTAAGAATTAATAACTAACCAACAGGTCTCCCAGAAGCTTGTAATAGCAGCTTATGGTGTGAAATCATTTCCAGCTCCAGGCCTCCTTTCTGCAGAAACCCACATGGCAGGTAAAGCAAATGTGTGGTTGATTTGAAGAGAATGGGAGCTGGTGAGGCAGGAGGGGAGACGCCTGAAGCAGCAGAGTTTTGTAGTGAACCTTTTCTTCCAGAGCCCCTCACAGAAGTCTTCTCTATCCCTGGCAACTAACGCTGGGGCCCAGAGGCCTGGCCGGAAGGAATCCCCAAAACTTCCTTTTCAGAGGGAGGAAAGGTACCAGCAAATAAGGAAGCCTCACAAGCAGCCCCCAGGTGGTTCTCCCTGTGCCCCTCCATCCCACCACATCATTTCTAAGCACGAAAAACAGAGAGGAAGAGAAAGAGGTGAACATAGTTTACCCAGTAACCATGCTCTGAGAAGCTACAATGAGCGGCTCTCCATCCCAGGTGCCCCAGCTTAGAGCTCCGGAGAGGGTCCAGGAGAAGGATCGAGGCAACCCAGCCTAACAGAAGACTTCCTCGGCTCCCCTGGAGCAAAAACCTACCTCAGCCCTGAGGGAGGACATGATCCCAAAGCAGGGTGAGACACAAAACCCTCACCCCTGCCACAGAGGTGCTGTTAGAAAACAAAGGTGGTAGGAGACTTGGTTCTAATTCCACGGATCCCCAAAGACCAATAGCATCAGCACAGAAAACAGAAGGCCACCTGTTACCAGGAAATTACACAGAATCTGTCTCCAGGGAAGTAAAACTCCTAGCCCTGGAGGTAGCTGGATTTCTCAGGGGTCCTCTGCATCAAATTAACTCCCCCAATCAACTCATTCATCTTTTCGCATTCATCCGCTCTTGCACATCTCAGCCTGAGGCTTGGAAAAGAACTTTTTCTAGGCTGGGTGTCTCAGAGGCAACAGGGAACATGAACAAAAAGGTGGCAAAAGCATAATTCAATGTGCGTGCTGGTTTTAAGGTCATGCACACATTGGAGCACGTTCTATGTGCCAGGTGCCATCCCTCCTGGGTCCAAAAATGACTGAATACAAGGCTAATACATAGAAATGGGTAGTGACAAAATCTAATCCTTTGATCACCAGAGAGTCCATCACCAGAACACAGCAATAAAATCTTGCATGTGTAGAGTGCCTTAGAGTTGCCAAAGCATTTTGTCCTTCAGGTAGTTCTTTGTTTTGTCTCACAGCATTTTTATGAAGTAGTGGGGCAAATATTATCTTCTCTTCATGGACGAAAGAGCTGAGGTTTACTGACTTGACAGTGTGGAAGAACAGGCCTGGGGACCCTTGTCACGCTCCATGAGGCCACTCAAGGCCAAGGTCAGTGCTGTGACACTATTCCTTTCTCCTTTTCCTGATCCACTCCCATCCAAAATAAAGATTTTCAAGCTGTGATGCCAAGATTCTCCTTTGTAAGAGGTAAGTGTGCAGCCAGGGTTGGCTGCTGGTCAGCCAACGCCTGCTGAATTGCCTAAGTGTGTGTGAGTGTGTGCGTGCACACACGTGTGTGTGGACCCAGCAGGGCACTATGGCCTCCCACACACGCCCTGAGGGCAATTCCTTCTTGGTTTCTGCTGAACCATCAGCCAAGTTCTTTCCCACCTTCCCCTAATATTCCTAGAAATGACATTTCTTTTCTGTGGGAAATAAATTTTTGTTTATGTATCTGTTTCATCTCTGAAAATGTTCCTGAATCTATGGCTCTCCAAATTTTGAACACTTGTTTTCTTAAGAGAATAAAAAAACTCAAGTTCAGGAGACTTCGCAAATAATGTTCTTTAGTTTAAATAAATTGATCATTGCTTGTGAGTTAGACAACATTTTTTTACCTTGGATATCTTTTGTGTTACAGGGAATTTAGTTATTACCTAATTTGAGTCTATACCTAATTTTCTCTATACTTCCTGGACCTTGTGGTTGTTAGTTTTCTTTTTGTTGTCAGTGGTTTTGGTTTGGTTTTCCATGTGCAGGATTCTCATTTGACCTGCTTTCTAAATCCTCTCTTCGGTGTTTCTCTCCTACCCAGTCCCATTCTCTTAGGTTTTCCTCTTCCTTTTTTTCTTCTCCCTATTAAAAATTCTCAAGGCAAAGGGATGAGAATCAAGGATATCAAGGGTTAAGGTGAAAGACAGTGGAAGGAAGAAGTTTGCTCCCTTTTTCTCTGTTTTATCCTCTGGCTGAAAGAAGTAGAAATAAATAACGTAGATGGTGTTGAAACTTGGGCTCCCTGGAGGGCACCTAAGTAGAACCAGCAAAGCCCAATCCTGGCACCAGCTGTGGTTGATAAAATAGCCTAAGGGTTACATCTTCAACAAAGTACAGAAGCTACAGATTAAAAATAAAAATAAAAAAGGCACATGGAGTGAAGGGTGATGGGGTAACCTGTCAGGTGAGCCAACTCCAGGTCTCTTTAAATACAGTGACCAGCCTGGGCAATATGGTGAAACTCCATCTCTACAAAAAATACAAAAATTCGTCAGGCATGGTGGTGCACGCCTGTGATCTCAGCTACTCGGGAGGCTGAGGTGGGAGGATCACTTGAGCCCAGGAGGTTGAGGCTGTAGTGAGCCGAGATCACACCACTGCACTCCAGCCTGGGCAACAGAGTGAAATCCTGTCAAAAGAAGGAAAAGGAGGAAAGATAGAAGGAAGGAGGGAGGGAGGGAAGGGAGGGAGGGAGGGAAGGAAGGGAGGGAGGGAAGGAAGGAAGGAGGGAGGGAAGGAGGGAAGGCGGGAAGGAAGGAAGGGCCAAAGAGGGGAAGGGGGAAGGGGGAAAGGGGGAAGGAGGGAAGGAAGGAGGGAGGGAGGGAAGGAAGGAAGGAAGGAAGAAAGGAAGCAGAGTTCAATGCCTATTTGTGTTGGTGTTTGCTTCACCATTTCCAAAGCACTTTCTTCTGTGTCCACTTACTTAAGCTCTAATGACAGGGTTCCAAGTCTCTGATTTGGTTTCCTCCAGGCTGAGACAAGGTGGGATCTGTGAGTGCCCTGTTCTCTAAGCAAAACCTGCTGCAGACAAAGGAAAATACACATGCCCCTCAACGCACAAGAAAGGAGTCTCCTCCTCTGCATGTAAAATGTAAGGGGTCCAGCAGCCAAGAAGGAAATGTGGCCCCCGCAAGCCTAGCAGGATTTGTCACTCATACAGTGTAAGAAATCAGAATTTCCTCACCTCACAGAATGGGAGGACCTGAAGGAGTCCTGGCGACAATTTCGTCCCCTCTCTCTTCCTCTTGTTTTACAGAAGAGAAAACTGAATCTCAAAGACGAGGAGTGGCCTGTCATAGGCATTTCCTATGCATATTGTGGTCAGTTCTATTGGAGAGTGGGTACTAAAATAGTAACACTACCCTTCATTTGTGATGGACTTTATGGTTTATACAATTTTTTATTTTCATATTACCTCATTTGCATATCACAAAGGTCAATGTTTATCATTCTTGCTATTTTATAGATGGACAAATAGAAGCTATTGGGACAGGTTCCTCAATAAGAGTTAGCTGTCTTGTCCAGCATCAGAGAGACAAAATAAGCTACTGAACTAGGATTTATCTGTTTATTTGTTTATTTATTTTGAGACGAGGTTTCTCGCTCTGTCACCCAGGCTGGAGTGCAGTGGTACAAACATGGCTCACTGCAGCCTTAACCTCCCGGGCTGAAGTGATTCTTTCACCTCAGCCTCCTGAATAGCTGGGACCACAGGCACAGGCCGCCATGGCTGGCTAATTTTTTTGTACTTTTTGTAGAGATGAGGTTTTGCCATGTTGCCCAGGCTGGTCTCGAACTACTGGGCTGAAGCAATCCTCCTGCCTTGGCCTCCCAAAGTACTGTGATTACAGCTTGAGCCACCACGCCCAGCAGGAACTAGGTTTTAAATCCAGTCCACAGGACTCGTGATCCCCACTCTCTTTTCACTGTCCCTCACTGCTTCTCAGATTGTTTTAAGTGTTTACGAGGTCCAGATCCTTAATCTTTAAGAATAAGATCTGAGGTACATTATCCTCAGAATGTTATAGAATAATCCCAGCATTTGAGATATGGATCTGGGAATTATTTTTGTTGTGATGAAACCCTGTGGTGTGCCAGGTGCCCTGTGCAGTATTAGGTAAAACCAAAAGATTACCGATATCAGCTATTTTTACCACAAAAAAGCCACTTTCACATGGTTAATTAGACCTGACTTTCTTGAGACTAGAGTAGGTTTCAGACACCTTTTTAAAAAAATCTTCATGGTCTTCTCCTGCTTTTGTATTTCCTATTTGTTAAAACAATGTGAATTACTTATAGAAGACATGGTTTTCTGGAGGTTAATTCAGGCAAATTAGTGCTACGTTCATAAACTGAGCACTGAGATTAAAACATGAATGAGATGCTACCCCTATCCTGAAGAAATACGGTTTAAACAGGAGACAGTGTTTTTACAGTTTCTAAATCAGGAATCGTAAGTCATAAGGAGGGTCTGATACACAGCAGATGCGCAATCAATATTGCATAAAGGGCTGAATAAGAAAAATGGCTAAGGTATATTCAAGACCTGACCTAAGCTCTTTATGTCTGTGATCTGATGTAATGTGCACATTAATGCTATGAGGAAGCCACTATCCCCATTGCACACAGGAGGCAAAGGCGGCACAGGGCAGTGGAGCAACAGCCCAACGGTCTGCATTAGTTAGTAGCGGAACTGGGATGGAGACCAGGTGTTCAGTATCCAAAGTCCAAGCTTTCAACTAATAAGCTATTCTAAAGGGAAGCAGGAAGACAGATGACAGAGAGTTTGCTTGGAGGCATGCTGAGTTTGAGGTCCCTGTAGGATCTCCAGATGGCTCTGTCCAATAAGAGGCAGAAATGTGGCTCTCATGCTTGGCGCTAGGCTTGGCCAGAAACACAGATGATGAATACCTTATTGATCAATAACAACATAATAAGTGACCTCCTTTAAAATCATCCTCACATGATTTTTATGTATTCCTATCCTAATACCTGAACATATTTCTAGCATTATTTCCCTTGGGAGCAAATGTAATCATTAAAGGCTCAAACAACTTTTCCCAGTAAATATTGATTCTTGGAGTCACTTGACAGGTTTATCTGATATTTAATTTGCCATCAAACTACTGCCATTGATCAAATCCAGGGAAATGGTTGACCTTTCACCCTCATCTGTTATTATCAAACCAAATCATCAAACTATTATTCGGTCTCAAAACCAGCTGCCTTTTAAAAACAAAAATCTAATTAGTCTTTTTTGGTATTTGGCTATTGAAAAGAAAACCAAAAAAAAAGAAAAAATGCAAATGGCCGACATAACACATATTAAACCTAGAATCTACTGATTTCCATCCCTCAGAAAGTTGTTAGCTCTAGGCCAGGGAGAAATAGTATGAGTTGATTTTTCCCCAGTAAAACTGCGAGGGGGACAATATCATTGGTAGTGGCAGCATCAGGCTGGGCCACAGCAACCAGCTTGGTGATTGGCCAGGAAGGGACTTCTTAAGGTCAAGATCCTGACCAAAAAGGATGAGGTTCAAGACCTGAGCTCTGGTCCTGGCTGAAGTGGTGCCTCAGCTGCCACCATCTGTAATAAGTAATGTACAGGTGGACACTCAGGTCCTGCACCCCAGCCAGGATGAATAAATCTGGTCATATCATTACAGGATTTGACATAAAGCCTTAGCCCAACCCAAGGGACCTGTGATTTTTGTTGTTTGTATGAATTGTGTTTATTCCTCCACTGCATCATTTCAAAACTCCACTGCATCATTTCAAAGGGTGAGGTGGAGATGGATCATTCGTAAGTGACGACAGAATCAGCACCTACGCATTTCCTCTTTGCACGGTGCCTGTGTTGTTCAGTCATGGCTGGATGCCTAGCTGCCCAGAACAGCACACCCGGTTCCCAGTGACCTTGGTTCTTCCCTCTTCCAGACCTGAAGGGTGATTCTCGGCACACCAGGGGCACAGTCCTGATTCTACTTTCCTGTTCTTTATCCTTAGTTACAGGCCCTGTCTGGGAAACCAAAATGATGTCTCATTTAAAGCCTAGTTCTCAACTTCTCCCATTTGGGTTTGATTGAATCCCAAACACGTTTCTTCCACTTTAAAAAAAAAATTTTTTTTGAGGGAGGGTCTCACTCTATCACCCAGGCTGGAGTGCAGTGGCATGAACATGGCCCCCTGCAGCCTCGACCTCCTGGGCTCAAGTGATCCTCCCAACTCAGCATCCCCAAGTAGCTAACACTACAGGTGTGTGCCACCATGCCCAGCTAATTTCTTCTGTTTTTTGTAGAGATGGGGTCTCACTATGTTGCCCAGGCTGGTCTCAAACTCTTGGGCTCAAGTGATCCTCCCACCTCAGCCTCCCAAAGTGCTGGGATTACAAGTGTGAGCCACTGCAGCTGTCCTTCTTACACTGTTAAATGCCTTTTCTTTAAACTCTTGGCCCACAGATGGTCTTTCAAGACCTCGACTGCATCTTCAGGCACTATCCTTTGCTATGTTTATCTCAAAAATGTCCCCCGAAAAGCCACCATATTTGCTCATGTTTTCCTCTTTACCCTTTTTCCTTATTCTGAGCAGGGAAGACTTCAGTCTTTTCCCCCTTTCACTTTACCCTTTCCTACTCTATGTTGTCCTGACACGCAGCAGCAAGAGAAGGGTGTCACTTTTGAAGGCTTGATAAGCTACATGAACATAAAGCTTTGGATAGATATTCTAGCCCTATATATTAAACATTATTTTATGTTATTTTATTTTATTTTTGAGATGGAGTTTTGCTCTTGTTGCCCAGGCTGGAGTGCAGTGGCACGATCTCGGCTTACTGCAACCTCTGCCTCCTGGGTTCAAGCTACTTTCCTGCCTCAGCCTCCCGACTAGCTGGGATTACAGTGACCTGCTACCACATCTGGATCATTTTTTGTATTTTTAGTAGAAACAGGGTTTCACTGGTCTCGAACTCCTGACCTCAGGTGATCCACCCACCTCAGCCTCCCAGAGTGCTGGGATTACAGGCGTGAACAACCGCGTCTGGCTATATTAAACATCAAAGAGGACCACGCAACAAGGTCTTGGCAGGTTAACTGTTCTGATCACCTCTTCAGAGGCTCTGCCACAGGGGATACTGAGCCACTGTGTATGGGATAGTCCCAGCTCCTCTCGGTGGGCAGAAGGAGGAGAAATTTAATAAAAGAACTTTCTCCAACTAAACCTTTCACCACTTCTCCTTCAACCAAATCCAAACCCTGTATTTCAGCAGTAAAAGATTTATTAAAAGGCTAAATAAAACATTTAGTAAAGGGTAAATGCTTGCACGAACTATTGAGTACTCTCTTGGAAACATCATACAGAGAGCTGACCTTCTTGTAAAAGCTTCCCTTCATACCATTGTTTTTAGAGCAGATAAAGAGATGTGAAACCCAGCTTGCTGCTGACTCAGGCCTATGGAGAATCATACTTTGACGGATAGGATGCAGGCCCTTGGCTTTTAAATTAGCCATTGAGTTTTCCATTTCACCTAATAGCATTCAACTTAAAGAGCCATACTACTAAAGCTTACATGAAATAGACTGGTAATTTACAATGCTGATGTGTTCATTTAATTTCCACTAACAGGAATCTAAATTTTTAGTAAATCAGATATTCATGCCAGTTGGTCACTGCATTCATTTTTTGCCCTAGTGGGATACTTTGCTTGAAGGTTGTTTTAAATAAAGAGTGTTGTTTGGTGATAGAATTTACTGTGCCATAAAATAAGGCATCATACCTACTTAAATCTAATCCATTTCTTACATGTTCAGCTCATATTTTTATTTCCTCAGGGAGTATCTCTCTGTCCACTTCAATTCCCAGAGTTGTCTCTTATCCCCAAATTCTGGTATAGCAGTTAACAGTCTCTATACTATATAGCTCAATTAGAGGATGTACATAGTATTTATATGAGCTATTGCCTCCAACCAACTTATAAGACTCTAGTTAACAAAATGCTTTTACATACTTTCATGTACCTCTCATTGAACTTCCTGTGAAGGTGGCAATTTCTATGTAAATCTCACAAAGCCTAGATCCGAGCCTTCCACCTATAGGGATTTAGGTGATGACAATCTTTTGCAAAAAAGGACAACTAAAAATATAGATACCCATAGTTACACACAAACACTCACTCCACTTCTGAATGGGATTTAACATCATAGTGTGGGTTGAAATGTGTGTGTGATTCAATCCACACTATTATGTTAAATCCCACTCAGAGGGATTTAACAAGCAAAGTAAACAATCAAAGTGTGATTTGCTTACTTTGTCTTTAGAAGTAAGCAAATCAGGTGATCTACCTTCAGGATCTGAAAAATATACACCTGGGCCATCATTAGAAGAAACCCACTGCCATGCATAAATAATTAAAAAGAAGACATTGCCTAGCTCTTTTCAAGTGATTAGGGCCAAAAACTGCCCCAAAGTGTCAGGAGTTGTTTGTGTGTTTGGTTTTCTCACACGCGCATTGGATTTTGCCTGTGGTCATTCTGCCACCCCTTAAGATCTCTTAAGGAATTAAAATGAGGCATCGTTAGATTTCATTTTGATTTTATATTCAACGACAAGGTCTTCACAAGGTCACTATTAATGGGGTGCCACAGTATGCCCCCAAACCATATTTTTTGCTGAAGGTTGATTTCTTACCTTAACAACCTATTTTTTATTTGTTTTAAGATGAGTACCGTTGACCTCTGGGATATTATAATTGAAAGAATACATCTGCTTATTTAGGAAAATGTGATGTAGTAAACCAAAGGAATTAAGTTCTGGGCCATATATTTAATTAATGGTTTACTTAACAAACAGAGATTTGTTTCTGAGGCAATTCAACCAAATCTGGCCAATGGGCATTTTCAAGGCATTGATAAATGTACTCTGAACCAACAGACGTAGCTCTCCTGAGAAACAGGTCTGAAACCCATGACAAAGAGCAAGTCAAACAAGGTAGTCAAATAAATTCTGTCCTCTTCTATCTTCTTTTTAAAAGACTGAAATTTTAGTTTAAAATGAGTCCAAGGAGGGAGGGAAATAATCTGGGGACTTTGGGGAAAATTGCCCTTGAGCAAATCCCCAGATTTTAATTTCCATGAGAAGTAACAAGTTCTCTTAAGAAAGGCAGCATGCATAAAATCACTTTCTACATTCCTGTCTTGCATTATTCTCCATTGGGTATTTTTTATGTATTTATATACACTTGGAATATATGCAATGATCCATATGTATGCTAATCAAAGTTCTTAGAATGTATTACTCTTTGCTCTTTCGTAAATAAAATAGTATAAATTGGGAGCATATTTTGTCTCTGTAAAAATGCCAACAGGTAAGCCGGCCCTAGAGAAAAATGGACCAAATCAAGCTCTGCCAGAGCTCTGGAGTTTAACTGAAAGAAAGAACATCTGATTCCTGCCCAGAAAGCAACACTGAACACCTCATTTATTTTGGAGCAGAGGCTGTTGCTGGAGAAGCTGGAAGGTGAGATGGAGCACCCTAAGGTTGCCGAGGGCACCACTGCTCAGTGTAAACTCAGATATCTGGAAAATGCAAGGCTTCAAAGTTAAGGATTGGAAAGGCAGGAGGTGAGCAAGCCTGAGGCCCTCCTCAGCTCAGGGCCTTGGCCAAGCGACAGGAGCTGGACAGGGGCAAGAGCCAAGTGGAGGAGCAGTGCTTTCCGTGCGTCAGCTATCCCTCCAGAGGAGAGTCTAACCACATTCCCGACTCCAGTTCTCTTTATTCTCATAATTCTTAAATGACAGAAGATGATGCCTTAATGTGTTATCTACATCGTTCTGAAAAATACTTGCATTTCCTTCCGTCACATCTAATCAAATTCATTATAAAAGTTCCTGTTTCGTAACTACAAAACTGCTCTAAAGAATGTTACTTTTTTATTTAAAAAAAATGAAGGGTTACTGGGGGAAAGAAAGTCTACTTATCAATACTTCTTTTGACTCCAATGACAAAGTAAAATATATTTCTCATTTCTGGTCCATTCTCTTTCAATATAAAATGTCTGTGCACTCTTGCTTCATTAGACAAAGCATTCCTTTAATATCTTGGTCTGTTTTTATTTGATTTAAAGAATGACAGTTGCAAAAGGATATCTAACGGAACACTAGAGGTACACAGCTTGGCACATACAAAATATTCTGAATGAGTTTTCTTACAGATGGATGATTCTTTTAAGTGGGCTCAGTTGTGTGCTTTCCCCAGTTTGCATCTGAGTCTTGTGGTCAACTGAGAAGTGTCTTGTTCAGAACAGTAGTAGAGAGAGAACCAGCTCATACTGTCTTATTAATATTTTCTGGAAGCTCTGATAATTACTTTGGAGTTTCAACTTAACTTGCTAACTTTCTAGTCCTTGGGGGTAAAATTTTTGCTTCTTGTTTTAAAAAAAATCCAATTAACAAATTGCAACCTATGAGATAGATGCAGTGAAAATCAACCCAAATAGGAAATTCTGCTCAATTATTTTCCATATGACTTGCATGGACCAGGGAGGTGCTGATTTAGCAGAACGCTAAACCATGATGTAAATTTGGATCCCCTGTTTCCCTTTGTTCCTCCTCTCTCTTTTGTAATGTCTGCATTTTGGCATTTCTGCATTGCCTCTTTGGTTTCAGAGCTTTCTCACCGAGCCATTTCCCGTGGAAAAAAAAAAAAAAAAGAAGGAATATAGCAATTAGCATACATTATGTGGCTGTACCAAAAGCTATACTCACAAACATGTCTGCATGACAGACAAGTGGGCTGTGTTTCATCTTGTTTCCTGGACTGCCCCGTCCTGCCCACAGTCTGCCATTTGCCAACGGGAAGAAGCCAGCCCTTCCCTTCCTCCACCATCAGCTTTCCCAGCACTGCGCGCCAGTCAGCTTGCGAGCTCAAAGTACTACTTAATGAGTTTTTAATTCAGTTTTGACTCTGGAACCCAGCCAGCTACTGCTGCCTGGGGCTTGCATTTCCCTTTACACATCCTCGGCGAATAGTCATAAAGACAAGACGCTTCACTGTTGGATTTCTACAGGGAGGATTAGCTCGGCCTCGGGCCTCACATTATCACCAGGTCTTGCTGGCTGCAGACAAAAAAAGGGCTAAAGGGAGTTATCTCACAGAGCCAGGGGGAGAATCAGGAAGACACCTCTGAGTGCTGGGAAGCTGCTGTCTCGACCTCTCTAGGGAGTGAACACTGCTGTTATCAGTGGGCCACAGTTCAGTGAGAACTAGACTACACGGAATATTTTGGAGGCCAAATTTACATGCATTTTTACAAACAGATGCCCATCGTGTACCGGGATCCTGGAATACTCCTCTCCACCAAGGTTCCAGTGGCCACTTCTTTCTCTCCCCAGAGGCTGGAAAGGGGTCTGCACACTGCCCTTACCTCCCTGGATTCTGTTGACGATCATGAAATCAGTGCTGCTTAGGGAGGCTCTGTACAAGCCACAGAAGCTATTACTCTAGGAGAAAATGTTGAGAAAACTCTCTGAGGCTTAAAGTGCTGGGATATACCTTGTACATGATGTAGTTTCTCCTACATTTGCCAAACCACAGCTAGCATATTACAGGGTAAAATTTCAGGGCCTGGGACTTGCAGCCAGAAGACCTGGGTTTAAGTCCTCTTGCCACTAGTGTCATTTGGAGCAAGTAACACTGAGCCCTGTCTATTAAATGGGGATAATAATAATGCCTACCCTAAGAGTTGTTGTGAGGGTAGAACATGATGGGATCTCAGAGCTACTGAAATGTTTGCTATCACTAGGATTTCTCCCTTCTAGTCTATCTGGTTCTACAGTTAGGCTTTGTAGCTTGCTCTGTCACAGCACATAGCATGCTCTATCACGGTGTCTCCCAACATGCAGTACATGTTCTACTGGCAGTATGCAAGATTGGGGTGATACACTTATGAGCTTTTTCACATTTTAATAGTAATGCATATTTTATATGTAATGAATATGTTTATGGTTATATGGCACTGCTTTTTCATCTAGGGTAGTGATATAGTCCTGTTCAATAAATGGCTAAGTGAACTAATGATCATTACATCCCATCCTCTTATTTAGTGGATGGGAAAACTGAGCCCAAGAGGTCATGTGACTTGCCCAAGGTCCTGTTCCTGGTTTTTGGCCAGGAACAGGACTGTTGGTTGTTCTTGGTTCTTCCTCCTGGCCACAGACTCCTTCGGACCATTGAATCCCCTAAGTAACATCTCTATTCTATTAGCGTTTTAACCAACTGATGTACAACATTTTAAATTCCGATTTATTTTAGATTCTGGGTCTGTGGACTTGACGTATATTCTATGACTTAAGTATCTATTCATTCATTCATTGATTTGACAAATATATATTAGGAACTTCCTATATGCCAGGTCCTGGAGATAGTGGTCAGCAAGACTTCCATTCTAGTAGGGGCAGAGGAGCAAAAATAAACAAATAATTAAGACAATTATCAGACAATGATTGGCAAAGAATTAAAATATGGACATGTGAAAAAAAGCAAATTGGGTGACTATATTTTGACCAGGGGACCAAGAAAGATTAAGGTCAAGGAATCCACTACAAATTAGCTGACAAAATTACCTTTTATTTGTAAAGTGTAGGCTTCAGTGGGTCCTGTACTTTGGTTTTAGCCTTTCAAAGTTCTCATGGTATTAAAATAGCAACAGTAGGGCACTGTATCATACAAGACATATATGTCCAATTGCTAACAGGTAAACCCAGTTGAAAAGAGGGAAAAAAACAAGGAAGAAAGGAAAGAGACTCTTCCAAGAAAAATACTCATTCATGGGTAAATATCACCTATGAATAGAGATAAAACCCCCTAACAAATAAATATTAAAATTGTTTGAACAAAATACCCTTGCAAGTAAAAACACGCAGGGAAAGCAATGTTCACCCAGCGGACTGAGAGCTCTTCTGTTTAAGACCACAAGCCTTACCCTGTCCCTGAGGATATGCAGAGGAGCTGGAACTGAGGTCCCACCCACCTCAGAATGGATGTCTTAGTTAATTACTGAAGGCAACTGCGCTGGTTCCCTGGTTACCCTGCACATGATTTCCATGATCCTTTGCCACTGTCATATCAGGCATGAGCTCTACAACTCAGACAAGAAAGCTGGCACCAGCAAAGAGATGAGTTGGCAACATTACCAGGGAAACAGTTCCCATCCAGCCCATCATCAGCCCCTTTTTAAACTGTAAGAAGAGACCCAGAGAATAGCCAAATTAGTGTCATTCAATGAAGGAACCACTGCTCTTCAACTCAAGATGCCCCCAAAATTCTGATGCTAAAAATAAATTTCATACCACAGATGATGTCACCCTTGTCACAGTCCTGGCCTAGATTATCAACACCCTCACCTGAACTATGAAACAATGCCTCCTACCTTGTGAAAACCCTGGGAACCAGGTCTCTGGGATGAAATGATGCAGTCCAATTAGAAGTCTTATAGCAGGCTGGGCGTGGCAGCTCATGCCTGTAATCCCAGCAGTTTGAGAGGCCAAGACAGGAGGATCACTTGAACCCAGGAGCTCAAGACCAGCCTGGGCAACATAACAAGACTCTGCCTCTACAAAAAATTAGCCAGGTGTGGTGGTACATGTCCCAAGTACTTGTCCTAGCTACTTGGGATGTTGAGGTGGGAGGATCACTTGAGCCTGGAGGTCAAGGCTGCAGTTAGCCCTGATTGTGCCACTGTACTCCAGTCTGGGTGACAGAGCAAGACCCTGTCTCAAAAAAAAAAAAAAAAAAAAAGAAAAAAAAAAAAAGAGAGAGAGAGAAAGAAAGAAAAGAAAAAAGAAAAAAGTCATATAGCCTGTAACACAGGGTTACAGAAATATGAATTTATATGGATCTATTCCAAACCTCTGTTTTACAGATGAAGACATTAAGGTTCAGAAAGGCTAAGTGACTTGTCCGAAGTCACACAGCAAGATAATGGCAGAGCCAGGAGTAATGTGCAGGTATCCACACATTCACCCTCCCCAAAGCAAGAGGCTGAGGTTGCTCCCACAGGACCTCATGCCCTTACAGCTCTATGATCCCGACACCTCCTTCCTATATCCATACTTTATCCCACACCAAATGGAAGCATTCTATTAAATGAGCTCATCTCAAGTGGCAAAAAAAGTATCTGATTCCTAATCTAGACATGACTCAGATTCCTTATTGGAAGCACAGATGGGCTGCAAGAGAAGCAGTTTAAGCTCAATTCTTAGGTTACCTATTTGGGTCAATGATGGTAAAAGCATGGAATCTCATCCAGTTGGCTACAAATGTTGGGCTAGAGGCAATCACACATCCTCCCTTCTTTTGGAAAAGAAATAGACTAGGAAACATAACTGCCTTATTTACAAAGCTATCTAGAGTCAGAGAACTCTTCACACAGTATGTCCAGTGAGTCTTCTCTCCTTAGGTTTCTCTATATTTTTCTTTCTTTTTTTTTTTTTTTTTTTTTGAGATGGAGTCTCATTCTGTCACCCAGGCTGGAGTTCAGTGGCGTGATATTGGCTCACCACAACCTCCACCTCCCAGGTTCAAGCAATTCTCCTGCCTCAGTCTCCCAAGTAGCTGGGACTATAGGCACGCACCACCATGCCCAGCTAATTTTTGTATTTTTAGGACAGACAGGGTGTCACTATGTTGGCCAGGCTGGTCTCGATCTCCTGACTTCGTGATCTGCCCACCTCAGCCTCCCAAAGTGCTGGGATTACAGGCGTGAGCCCCCACACCCAGCCGAGGCTCCTCTATATTTTTCTTTCACAGAGACCCCTCATGACAAACTTTAAATGATGAGTGAAATGAAAATCCCCACAAGTGCACTGGAAGGCTTCAAGCCAGGTGGCATAATCACTCCTGAGCAACACTCACTGTGCTGGAATTAATATTCTGCCCGCATGCATTCATAAAACTTAAAGGACTCAAAGTGGAAGAGAAAGTGTTTTTTTAATGATGATGGTTTAACATTTACCAAGTCCCTACTATGTTGGGTCCCGCACAATGTGTGTAAGCAGCAAAGACCCTGGACTCCACCGAGGTGACAGAATTTAAGCAAGGAAGCAAAACCCATGTGAACATCTTTATTTTTTTTTAGAAATATTTCATAAGCGCTAACATAAAATGATACCTGTAACTGCAGGGAGCAGGTAGTAAGCTTTTTATAGGGAGCTTTTTCCTTTTGTGTTTTTGTTAACTTTCTTTTTCAGGATGTCTTTCGTTTTCTTAAAACCATTTTATTTCATCTTTCCTCCAAGAAGTAAGAGAAGAAGGAGAAAAAAAAAAGATGCCCCCCCAGTCATGTTACAGCCCTTACATCGAAGATTTTTCAAGTTAATCACTTTGAAAATATCTCAGAGGGAATGAAAAGGTCTTTCAATTGTCACACTGACAGTGACTTTTACTTTTACAGGATAAAAATATTTCTGCCATTATTTTGGTTCTTTCCTTTCTCCCCAGCTCAGACACTCATCTCTCGCCAATCACACCCACTTTGCTAGTGGCATGACTTAATCCTTCATCACAGAATGTTAGGTTGCACGCAGCACTGAGTTCAGTCCCCTGCCTGGCATGGCGTGATGTGTCTGCAGTGCTGTCTTGGACTTGAAGGTCCTTTTCACTCTCTGGTGATGATAACTTAGTACTAGCTCTTCATAAGGTTTCTGAACTGGCTGTCAATTCTGTTTTTTTCTTTTCTTTCTTTCTTTCTTTCTTTTTTTTTTTTTTTTTTTTGAGACGGAATTTCGCTTTGTCACCCAGGCTGTAGTGTAGTGGCGCGATCTCGGCTCACTGCAACCTCCGCCTCCCGGGTTCAAGCAATTCTCCTGCCTCAGCCTCCAGAATAGCTGGGATTACAGACGCCCACTACTATGCCTGGCTAATTTTTGTATTTTTAGTAGAGGCAGGGTTTCATCATGTTGGCCAGGCTGGTCTGGAACTCCTGACCTCAAGTGATCTGCCCGCCTCAGCCTCCCAAAGTGCTGGGATTACAGGTGTGAGCCACTGCGCTGAGCCAGCTCTGCTTTTTTTCAACACCTATGTTTTCAGCACACCATCAGCAGAACCTAAGTGTGAGCTGAGGGAGCAGAAGTCCCTTGGGATAGAAAAGACAGGCAGAGGAAGTCAGGAATGCCACTGTGACTCTTCACCAACTGCAACTTCCCTGTCCATCTATCTGCAGAATCCTGGCCATGCAGGGCAAGATGCCCTTTGGGTTGAAAAGAGTCTCACAGAGAGCAGTATTTTTCATTTGTTTGTCCTTTCATTGGCACACCAGCACTAGTACTATTATTCATATGAGCCACAATAGCCACCATGTATTGACTGCTTATTATGTATTGTTTGAGTATTATTATGACATTGATTCCATTTCTCAATGGCAGCTGTATGACTGACTTCACTGTACACATGGAAAACCAGGGTATAGAGAGATTAAGTGATTGATCCAAAGCCAGGTGGCTTGTGAGTGCCAAAGTTGTGACTCAAACCCACATGCATCTGGCATGGAGGCTCATCTTCTCTCTCTGTCCCCTGAGTACCACTGAGTCAAACACCCTGGCTGACTCAGGGTTGCACTCTTCTCAGTCCCCTGGCCTGGGATCTTTGAAGGTGGATGTACCAGAATCTTAAGGAGAAACAACATGTTCTCCCCAGGCCCAGGGGTACCATTCACTAGTCATATGATGTAAATGGTGTACACTGGAGTTAGGCAACTGAATTGTACTATGTTCTGGGGTCTTTCTAGCCTATGAAATCCCCAGCTCTCTCTGGGCCTAAGTCTAGACCCTCTCATTCATCCAGGTAACACTTTGAGGCCCCTGACCAATGAACTGTCACTTATTTCCATGGTCAGTCTAGCTTGCTCTTGAAGCTCTCCAGAGACAAAGAAGCCTGTAGCAAATCACAATGAGGATTCTGGTCCCTGAGGTGGAGAGGGTGGGAGCCCCACTGTTTGCCCTAGTCTCTACTTTCTGTAGATTAGGAGATTTCAAAGACTAATCAAAGATTAGTCTTCTTTGATGTTGCCTATATATCTGTCTCAAGGAATGGAACTAGCTCTGTTCATTCTTCAGTAGGCTTAAAATGATATACGGTAGAATAAAATGATGACATCATGAGGCTACTGACTTGATATAAACAGAAGACACCATGGAACAACCAACCACAGGAACATTCATGAACCCTCCCACCTAAAGGGACTGCAAAAAATAAGGCTCATTTCTAAACAATGTAATCAGCCAGGCTATTCCCAGCCTACACTCATTTCCTAGACAATAGTCACACAGTTGTTTAAATAACATCAGCTATTTCAAGCCTGGCAAAATAAATACAGGCTCACAGAAAAGTATAATTTGTAGTAAAAGACCTAATACCATTGCTCTTGATCAAAGATGTGATTCCTTTTTCAGAGTCTTTTCCAAAACGGAATGAATACAGAAAGTTTTTTTGGTTTGGATTTTTTTTTTTTTTTAAGTTTCCAACATACAGCTGAAAACTGCCCTTTATTCTCGGTCCCTGATCCATAATAACATCCTCCCTCCTACCTTCTGATTCCCATTTATGCTCAAAGTGAAAATGGAAATACAAAAAAAGGGGAAGAAGATAAAGGAATGGCTGAAACTTCTTCCCTTGCTCAGTTTGAAAACACATTTTTACCCTCCTCCATACAAACTAAAAGAGTCATCACATTTTAGCTCTACAAGACGCTGGAGGAAGACAAGGCATAGAGAAGGAGCTAGTTGGGTGTGATTCTGATGAAGCCCCCACTCTTTACCAGGTGAACGTATTATTTCGTGTGGCTGGAGGCTGCATGTACTCAACAACCATGAGTAAGGCCTGGATCTCACACTATTCTGTCATGGAAAGTCATTTCCTTTAAAACTGAACTCAGACTCAAATGTGAACTTGGTATGAAGCTCCTAGTTCCTGTAGGGCCTCTGAAATCTTCACTGAATTTTCACAAATGTTTCTTTATTTTCATCATTGAATGCCTTGAAGGCTGCCTGCCTCTAAAATCTATCAACGCCAATGTTTTATGGCCATTAAGAGATTCTAGAAGGCACTTCTTCCTCCAGGGCATAAGTTAAATCACTGGTATAATGGTGTTTATCAACAATACAACAGCAGATGGTCAACTTAAACAGATATTTGTACATACACAGCCAAGCTTGAAGATGGCCCAGTGTTTACTTGCTAGTCCACAGGAAGTAGGCATCTAGTGATATTTTTCATTATGTTAACATACACTATCTATCTGCCTTTTTAGTAGCTTCCAGACACCAGACATTTTTGCTCTCTTCAGAGAAATTCCAAAGAATCACCAAGGACTCCTAAGAAATAAGTCCAAATGTAGGGACAACAGAGTAGTAACATACTGTACTAATCTAAACACTCTTCTTCAAAGAAAGATCACCTTTCTACAGTTTTTTTTCAGTACCCTTCTGTGAGTTCCAAAAGCAGCCTTTTTACAATCTTTCATCTAGGACTGTTTTTTTTCTTCCAGTCTTGATTGCACAAGGTTCCTTCTCTTCTAGAGGCTCTGAAAGAGGCTTTGGAGACTGGCAAACATAAGTTCAAATCCCAGCCCTACAACTTGCTAACTATGACCTTGGGCTGATTATTTAATCTCTCTGACCCTCAGGTTCCTCAATCGTACATGGGAATAACAGTACTCACACCCCATATGGCTGTTGTGAGGATTAAGTGAGGTCTTACAGGTAAGAAGCCTGGCATGTGGATACTCAAGAAATGGGTGTTGCTATAATCACTAGTGATTAGGCCATGTTGCCCAAATCTCTAACTTTCTGCATAAGTGAACCCTTTCAACATCAAATTATATGCATTTACATAAAACCTCTCTGGGCCCAGATTCTTGTCTCTAGTTATGCTCCATTCAAATGTCTTCTGCCCATGAGCACTTATACCCAAACTGCCTCACCACATACGAGTCTTAGAACAATAAGGGCACCAGCTTTTTATTACATCAATCCTACCTGTCGCCTTCCATATTCATTTCCACTGAGCCCAGGATTTGGGTCTCATTAGGAAATCACCAAAATTTCAAGTTGTCATTACTTTACCAATCAATACATCAGTGGTCCTCTCCAAATTAGTCATACTCAAATCACATAATTCAAACACCATTGAAAACTTCCTTCCCCTTCAACCATAGGGCAGCTCCCTTGTGCTGTGTTTAAAGGAATCCATTCACATTTTCCCAAACACCTCTCCTCTTTCTTTTCTCCAACTGCTTTAATCACCTAAATCGTTGTATGAAGTGAGACAAGATTTAAGGTTCATTTAGGTTTGCATCGTTTAGAGTTTCCCACTATCTCTTACTAATACATCAGATTACAAGGGCTATCATAAGAATCGGGGGATAGGCCAGGCACGGTGGCTTATGCCTATAATCCCAGCACTTTGGGAGGCTGAGGTGAGCGGATCACAAGGTCAGGATTTCGAGACCACCCTGGACAATATAGTGAAACCCCATCTCTACTAAAAATACAAAAAATTAGCCGGGCGAGGTGGCAGGCACCTGAAGTCCCAGCTACTCGGGAGGCTGAGGCAGGAGAATGGCGTGAACCCCGGGGGGCGGAGCCTGCAGTGAGCTGAGATCGTGCCACTGCACTCCAGCCTGGGCGAACGCGAGACTCCATCTCAAAAAAAAAAAAAAAAAAAAATTAGCCAGGTGTAGTAGCAGATGCCTGTAATCCCAGCTACTTGGGAGGCTGAGGCAGGAGAATCGCTTGGACCCGGGAGGCTGAGGTTGCAGTGAGCCAAGATCGTGCCATTGCATTCCAGCCTGGGTGACAGAGCAAGAAAGAGTGATAAAGGCTAGCATTTAGTAACTGCTTTCTATGTGCAAGGCATTACTGAAACTGCTTTGCCTGTATTATTTCCTTCAGCACTGTCATTTCCCACAGTCCAGAAGCAATTACTGGAAGGTTTTGGGCTTTGCTTTTACAGCAAGAATCTATTAGGGGAAACTTATCAGGAAGGTACAGGCTGTCTAGTCATTTTTCTCCACTTCCAGGGACTGAGATCAATCATTCCTTTTAGATTCTGCTGCCCACTTGCCCCTGAGACCCTCCCCGATCCCTGTAATCAAAGGTGTCCTCCCCAGTCAGTCCCCAGGGAGGGTGGGGAAGCCCATGGCTCCCTGTCCCCGGGAATCCCATCTCCATCTTGTCCCTTGGCTCTCACTGGCTGCATCCCACAGCTGCAGCTGTTGACCTGTGTTTGCTGCTATTTGCATTTCAAATAAGTTAATAAAAGCAACGAACTAAATAATAAATTGGAGATTTGTGTTTAAAACAACAATGACAAAGGCCTTTGATTAACCCACAGTACCATAGAAAAGCAACTCAATAATACCACTAATGGTACTTTATGCACTTACAGGGCCTCTCAGCTGATTGTCTTGGGATTTCTACAAACATTACCCTCTCATTCCAAACTGAGTGAAAAACAACATCTTTGGGTAGGAAAAGTAGGTCAAGACAGATATAAAAGAAATGCACTGATTTGCATACGGTTACAATTAAAGTCAGTGAATCATTCCTCCATCTGTTTAACACACATTTTCTAAGCACTGACTAAGTGCTGGTCACTGGCCACTTGGGCTGCTGTGAGGAGCTGACTTATAATTTATTGCCTTCTACAAATAAACCTACAAGGATTAGGAACTGGGAAGGTTTAACATCTTCCAGCCCGTAATGATGCTACTACTCAGTTCTGACTCGTGACTTACAAGGTCTTTGTGAGTCTGTTTCCTCATCTGTAAAAGGGCAGTGGGGAATGGGGAGTGAGTTTGGACTGGCTACTCTTGAGAGCTCTTTTCTGCTCTGATACTCAGTTGGACCTCTGGGGTACTTTGGTCTTGCTCTGTGTCCCTGTGTGGGTCAGAGGAAACACTGCTTCCCATATTGTGCACGGCAACAGAAGCTGGAACCAGAAGAATCATGTTTGAGTCCCTAAATCTTACCAAGTCCTGGTTTGCAAAATGGGAACAACGACAATTCTTATCTCAGGGTTGCTCTGAGATTTAAATGGGGTAACATATGGGAACTGCATTGGAAAGCACTGTCCGAATCTGAGTTATCACAAACGTCCATGAAATCTGAGGTCAGAAGTGGATAGCTCATCTTTCTACTGTCCTTAAGCATCTCTATCATATCTTATGCTTTTACTGCTCAGTTTGCACACCATAGCTCTTATTTTGTGGCCATGCTATTTCATTTTCAAGTTGCCTTGTTTTTGTTTACGTTTTAAGAGGATGAGATTAAAAAATTTCCTGCTTTCGCCTATCGTCTTCTTGCTCACTTAGTCAGACAGGTTTCTATTTTTTGCTGCTACCTTTAATGTTTATCCCAAGAGAGGGCTTAAGAAATTCAGTACATAAGGAAGTGAGGTTGAGGAGCAGAGGTGGTTGGTACACAGGTGTAGGGTACCAGGCTGGGCTTTCCTGTTGCCTTCATGCAGTGGCAGCCAGGAGTAGCAAGTGTGGTGGTGGGTGCCATAAAGGAAAACCAGTGTTTCTGAAGGAGAGGAGGTGAGAAGCAGGAAGAGAGGGCAGGGATGCAAGCTTGGGGGGCCATATGCATGTTCAAAATGAAAATCAAGCTGGGCGCAGTGGCTCACACCTGTAATCCCATCACTTTGGGAGGCCAAGGCGGGTGGATCACCTGAGGTCAGGAGTTCAAGACCAACCTGACCAATGTGGTAAAACCCTGTCTCTACTAAAAATACAAAAATTAGCCAGGCATGGTGGCAGGCCCCTGTAATCCCAGCTACTTGGGAGGCTAAGGCAGGAGAATCGCTTGAACCTGAAAGGCAGAGATTGCACTAAGATGAGATTGCGCCACTGTACTCCAGCCTGGGCAACAGAGTGAGACTCCGTCTCAAAAAAAAAAAAAAAAAAGAAAAGAAAATCAATCAATCAATTACCTCTTGTACGCTTTCAGATTTTCTACAGAAAGGCTACTCAAGACTAGAGAGGAAACTGTTAACAAATGAAGAGATTTTAGAAAATATTTCAAAAACAGCCCCTACCAGTCAGAACATCACCACTCTCCTGACTCCACTGATGCTGGGAACATGGTGTAGACAGGCTCCAAATATGGTTGTATGTGCAAAACTGCATATTGTCACAATGAAGGACCTTACCTTTGTGTAGACTTAAACATCCTGCTATATTTTTCATTTAATCTGTCACATATTCTTATTGTTAGTATAACTATCAGAAACTTCCAGGGACGGGAATACATAAAACTATAACCTCCATTTTTGTGCCAACACAGTCTCGATGAATCACATTCTCAATTACTGTTTTTATTAAGTTGGTCCATAGCTCAGGAACCACCAATGGCTCCTCAGTTCCCTCAGGATTAAATCCCAGCTCCTTGACCTATAATTTAAGCCATTTCACCAGTTAGCTCTTTGCTATACAGTACTCTGGGGGGAGCAAAATGTACCAAACATAGGATCACTACTCTTGAGGAGTTTAACAATTTTGTTGATGAGGCGAGATTTTGTAGATAAAAAGTTTAGAAAATAATATATGCTGTTACAATCAAGTGCTAAACCAGTGAATGGACACAGTGTGTAAGGACACGGTAACAATGCACCTCCAACTCACCAGAACGTCTGGGCTTCCCTTCGCAGGATATGCCCTCCTCAGAAAAATACATAAGCCATTGTTCAATCTGGAGTCTAGAATAATCTAGCTTCTGGGGCACCCTAATGACATTCAATAATTTGCAGTGCACCAGCATTTATCAGGGTAAAAGTTCCCCAGATAAAGGATTCCTGGTTTAGAAGACACTCTGAAGAAGTGCAGAGATTAACAGGAATTACCAGGATGCTGGTTCACAGCACAAGGAAAAATGCACACAGAGGAACCAGTGAGATGCTCAGTGCCTACTGGAATCTCCAGAACTAGCAGATCTGGGGAAAGAGGCCCCAGCAAACAAGACACAGCTTCTAAATTTCCCAAGCCTGGTCACAACTAGTGGCACAATTGCTAGGCCTGGCAGCCTGGTTCTATTAAGCACCTCTCCATCTGGTAGGGGACCTGTGTTTGTTTATTCAGGAAAACTCTGGTTGGCAAAGGTCATGAGCTCAGCTGGGCAGGAAGCCGGGGACCGCTGAATGATAAACCTCAGTGCTCCAACACTTTGTTCTGGCTCTCACCTGCCCATGGCCATCTGTAGTGGCCAAATTAGCTAAAAGTTGTCAAACATCCCTTTGTGTCATATAGATACTACTCCTGTGTCTGTTCACAAATAGATGAGGCTGTTAACAGTAAACTGGAATGGGACCAAAAACATTCAATAGGTCCCAAAATATGCCAGCCCGATATCCATTTGGAGGAAAGTCACTCAGTCTGTGTGGCATTATACATGGGCACAGAGTGGGACCATCCTAATTCCTTGGCCCTAAATCCTATTCCCTCTGGGAACACTTCAGATACTATTTCTAGAAATCTGAGGGTGTCTACAGCAACTTCACTGTGATAGACACACGAGAATGAGCTAGGAATAAGAGACGAGTCATAAAGAAAATGAACACCCCATGGAATTTTAGCAAAATAAAAAAATAATATTACTTTACCATTCAGTATTATTTTGTTTTGGTTTTACTTTTGTACAATATGTGAAAGATTAAATGCAGGGTATTTTAATGAAGAACTGCCTCCTAACTATGGTTACAATCTGCAGATTTTAGTCCGAAATTATATGGTGAAGGTCATCTTCCCGACCTAGGGAAAAGAGATTTTTTTTTTAAATGAACATCCTAAAAGTAACAGTAGCAGGCTTTGGGGGGAATGTCTTTGTGCAACACTGCTCATAAGGTCCCACAGCTGAGACCTGGAGACGTTTTTGTCATTTCTATTCTCATTTGTTATTCAAAGTTGACCAATGTTCTCTAAACAAAGGGAAAGGAATCTTTCCAAAAAGGACTTGATTGAAGACTAACAGAAGGGGAACCCAGAGAATCAAGAAGGGAAAGTAGACTAAATCTGACATGTTCAAGGGTTTGTATTCTTAAGAACCCGTCTTCTTCACCACCACCACCACCACCACACGCCACATATCACCCAGCTCTGTGATGTCCCACCAGGATTCAATTCCAACTTGTCATTACAAATCACCCCCACACTGACTCCAGGCCTCACTTCTGCTTGTCTTCAATTAACTTTGAGTAAGACTATATGGAAGATGGGTATCCACAGAAATGGCAAGAGACCACTGCTTCTAACACATAGTTTCAGATTTTATGTAATTAAAAGACTTTCTGCCTTTATATGAGTGGTTCTTGTCAAATCCATTGTGGTCCCTGCATGTGTGAGGTAGAGTTTCCAGCAGGAAAATGGCATGGGTGTGACATGTCCACCCTCCCTCCCCGCTCTCTCATGTGAGATCTCTGCCCATGGTGGGCAACACCATCTGCTGCTGTGTAACCCAGCACAGCTAACCCGCTGCCTCCTGTTTTTAATGGGAAGGAAACAAAAGACAAATCTGTGCAAAAAGAAGCAGCAAACACAGATCTGAAGCAAACACGAGGTGGCTCGGCAAATACTTGACTATAGTCGGGTCGGAATTTATAGAACCTGACGCCAGACATTTCCATGGTGCAATTTCCTGACTAAATTTTGTTTTCTTATTTTCACTCCTGTGACTCTAGACAGGCTTTCTTCTCAGACTTCAGTCAGCCTTGGTTTCCCTGTGGTTCCTCTGGTGGAATTGCGTTGCTGCTTCCTGTTCCAGCAGGCCCAGCAGACCCAGCAGGCCCAGCGAGCATGAGAGCAGCCTGGGGCCCACGCTGCAGCCACTGTATGTCCACAGGCTGAGCTGCACAATGTTCTCCTCACTCACAACAGTACTTCTGAACAAAAATTATTGTTTTCAAGAAACTTGGTTGATTTATAAGAAATGCTATAAAAATACCATGGGGCCAGGCACGGTGGCTCATGCCTGTAATCCCAGCATTCTGGGTGAATCACTCGAGGTCAGGAGTTCAAGACTATCCTGGCCAACATAGTAAAACCCCATCTCTACTAAAAATACAGAAACTGGCTGCGCGTGTTGGCGGGTGCCTATAATCCCAGCTACTCAGGAGGCTGAGGCAGGAGAATTGCTTGAACCCAGGAGGTGGAGGTTGCAGTGGGCCGAGATTGCGCCACTGCACTCCAGCCTGAGTGACAGAGTGAGACTCTGTCTAATAAAATAAAATAAAATAAAACAACCATGGGATTTTCCAAATGCTTTCTTTATTCTTCAGTTTTTCCTTCACAGACCTGGTGTCAGTCCACATAATGCTCAGGGTAGGAAGGGGAGTGAACGGGGTCCGACCCCAGGTTTTGCAGAACAAGGAATCCCATTTATTTCAAAGAGCTAGAGGCCAATTGCTTCACTGTGTCCCTCTCTCCACTCCTGGAGGAAAAAAACATCTACTTTTTACGTAAAAAAAAACATATCCATAGATAGGATAATTTAGGAACACACCCTGCTAGAATGCTGTTCTGGTGTGCACCTTTAGAAAGAACCACAATCTAAATACAATGTGGGATACCGCATTGGATCATGGCATGGTAAAAGGACATTCAGTGGAAAACCTGGAGAGATCAGGAAAAAATCTGCCATGTAGTTTAACTAACAGGATGTTAATTTCTTAGTTTTGATAAAAAGTAGCACGGTTATGTAAGTTGCTAACAGTAGGGGAAGCAGGGTGAAGGGGAAACAAGAACTCTCTGTACTATCTCTGCAACTGGTCTGTAAATCTAAAGTTATCTAAAAATAAAAATGTGTTTAGAAAAAGGAATCACTGTGAAATGTCAAAAGTGATTAAAAACACAACCCAGTGATGACACAATGATTATTTACTATCTAAAGAACAGGGAGGGAACTGTAAAAAACACAGAGAGAGAGGCTGGCCCCTGGGTGAGCCCAGCTCAGCACTGCCAGTTTGGGACCACACCTATTTCAGTCTCACAGAGACAGTTTTTCTTTAAAACCCTCTAAAAAATTATGAAAACAAATCCACACCCATTGTGGACAATATGGATGCCACAAATGAAGAAGCAGCAAGCAGAGGTGTCTAATCACTTTACCCAGAGACAATCATCCTTGTTCATCTTTGACCATGTTTCCTTCCAGTACTTTTTCCACATAGCCATTTTTTTACATAGTTGAGGGCACAGTGGAAACACAATATTTTGGTCCTGTTTTCTTCACTTTATGTTCTATGATCAATGACTTCCCCACTGCAATGCTTTGGACATGACTTGTTTGTTCTTGCCAAATCTCATGTTGAAATTTGATCCCCAATGTGAGGGTGTCTGAGGTGAGGCCTAGTGGGAGGGGTCTGGGTCATGGGGGCAGATCCCTCATGAATGGCTTGGTGCTGTTCTCATGAAGTGAGTTTGTCCTGGTTCTGGCAAGATGGGATTAGTTCCCAGGAGAGTGGGTTGTTATAAAGCAAGATTCTTCCTTCTGTTTGGTCCCTCTTCAAATATGCCCACTTTCACTTTGACCTTTGCCTCCATGTCTTGATGAAACACAAAAGCCCCCACCAGAAGCCAAGCAGATGCCAACGCCAGGCTTCTTGTACAGCCTGCAGATCCATGAGCCAAACCCCCTCTTTTTTTACATAAACAATCCAGCCTCAGGTATTCCTTTATAGCAACACAAAATGGACCAAGACACCCCCATTTATCCAAAGCTTTGTAAACATGGCACTCAACAGCTGCCCGCTAACTCTGCTGTGCATCACCTCCACAGCTGACCTACCCAGACACCAACTGCTGCACTATTAGGATGCAAGAAAATTATGGCTGCTTCATAAAAAAGAGTGAGATCATGTCCTTTGCAGGGACATGGATGGAGCTGGAGGCCATTATCCTTAGCAAACTAATGCAGGAACAGAACACCAAATACTGTATGTTCTCACTTACAAGTGGGAGCTAAATGATGAAAATACATGGACACATCGAGGGGAACAACACGCACTGGGGCCTATCGGAGGGTGGAGGGTGGGAGGAGGCAGAGGATCAGGAAAAATAACTAATGGGTACTAGGCTTAACACCTGGGTGATGAAATAATCTGTACAACAAACCCCCATGACACACATTTACCTATGTAACAAACCTGCATTTGTACCCTGAACTTAAAATAAAAGTTAAAAAAGAAAGTTATGGGTGCTTAAGGAAAAAATCTGTCCTATATGCAGCCCTCTCTGGGCTTAAGTTATCCCTCACTGGCAAATTAGGCAGAACAGGTAGTTCCAGAATGTTTGGGGTCATTTCGGCTTGCAGCCAGTCGGTGATGCTTAAAATATTAATACATGCCAGTTACCACCAGAGAAAAATTTAAAACATGAGAGACAAGAATGCAAATTAGGTTTTCTGAGTAATAACGGTATAAAATATTAAATGGATTCTGAGTCAGTAATTCATATCTAATAAAGTAAAAATAGCAGATATCAAGACCTAGGAAACTATGGTGCTGTTTTAAATGGGCCATTCTGTTTATATTGCACACCAAGTCAACATATTTATTTTTGTAAAAGCTAAATGGGACTTAATATCAGCCCAATTTCAAAAAATGGGTAAAAACCTAGGTATGTAAAAGATGCGGAAATGGCCTAGGCCTAGCTCTTATTCTGGAAAATGAGATCCCACATGATATACCCACTCAGACACATACACACAGCCAAATCCTAAAATAAACTTAATCCTGCTAAGGATTTTCCTCCCAGTGGCGCACTCAAGTGGCTACATCAATATTCAGGAAGAAAAACCAAATATGCATAGAGAAGCCAGCTTTGAGGAATACACTTAAATTCTTATTTCTATTTCATTTGTCCCACTTCCTCCCTCCTGGATATAGGGTGTATCTGGAAGTAGAAAATGAAGAGAAGTTCTTCCCTTTTGCCCTCACCTCCTGCCCTCATCCCCGTCCCATTTTCTCTTCCAACCCATCAGCCCACTATCTCTATGGTTCTGAATAAAAGCACAGAGGGGTGACAGAAGAGGATAGCAGTATCCCCACTGAGCAAACAGACTCTGTCCAGAGGGTGTCCTGGAGACGCTCAACAAACTGTTTAAAAATCAAGTTCTTCTCCAGCCTTAGAAGGCTGGGCCAGAGTCTTACTAATGAGCTAGTGATCTTTTCAATAAAGCCAACAAATCACCAAACGTGTCTTATAAAATTCAGTCCTCATCTGATAGATGATGAGACCATACAGTGAAACAAATGTCTATTGTGGAAAAAGAAAAACGAGATTTTGCTTACCGCCCCTCCTAAGTTTAAACAGGCTTAATTAGTACATTTTCCCGAAAGGGAATAAATCATTTAGTTAGAAACAGGAAATTTCTTTCCAAGTTAGTTTGAGGGAACAATGAGGCTTAAGACCTCAGAGGTGGTCTACTACATTAAATGGCAAAAACGGCAATTACTTTTGCACCAAACTAGTAGTTTTCTAAAATCTAGAAAGAGCAGAAAACTGTGCAGGGATTTACATGAGAGTACTATATTCAATTTTTTTAAAAATAAGATAATCTTTAATGGGCAGCCACTATGTGCCAGCATTGTGCTAGGTGCTGGTGGATACAGCAATGAATAAGACATGGTCTCTACTCTCATGGAGGGTGAGGTAGTAAGCAGATAATCACAAGCTGCAGGGTACATAACAGGGGACCTAAATTAATCCAGGTGAAGGGGAAGGCTGGGTCCTGAAGAGGGAGTAGTAATTCTTAGCTAAGTGAAATGAGTAGGGAAGAACCTCAGTAAGTTCAAGGAGAAAGATCAGCCATGTGAATGCTCCAAGTTGGAGAGTTAGGCTGCCATCTCCTAACTCCTCTCCCTGAGCACACCACAGTGTGGCTGCTCCCTTTGTACACAGTCCAAACACATGGTCTGGGCTATTTCGAAGAGCATTAAAGAGCAAGGAGTCTTCTCCTGCATTACTGCAAACACACCTCCTTCCCGTTCCTGTTTCCTTTTCCCACCTCAACATCTCCTCGGTGCGTGGCAAGTGGATCCACGTCCTAGGGCAGTGGCTCTCCAAGTCTGATGAACAGAAGAATCATCTTGTGAGCTTGTTCAAAATGCAGATTCCCAGGTCCTACCCTGGAAGACCCTCTGAAAACTGTACATTCATAAGTGCAACCCCTGCCCTACCAAGTGGTTCTGATGAATGTTTTAGCTAGCCTGGTCTTTCTGCAATTAATTTGAAAAGAAGGATATTCAAAACTGGCAGGGTAACATCAAGGACAGGTGGCTGATTTCCTAGATGCTCTCAGCAAAGATCTCCCTGGGTATGGGCCCTTCTGTGGGTCTCAGCTGGTCTCCATGAACAGAGGGGCTGAGGGACTGTTCCCCTAATTCTCAGAAGACAGGAAGGAGAGGGGATGTTAAGGAGCCCTGTGCAGCCTCAGGGTGAAATTTTCATGGAAGACAGTTTCAGAAGTGGCTTGACTAAGCTGTTCTTTGGTTCCATAAGTGCAGTGCAAAAGATGGGTTTTTAAAAGTATTTTATAAAATAATTTCCATTTTTAAAATCTTAATATCTCTCATAACTATCATGAAATTTATACTTAATCAATGTAGATAATTGGCTATAAACTGAGTAATGCCTTATAATCGATTGTTCTGACATTTAGAGAAACTTACCATTCACCTAGTTTGGGTGATTTTCTTTCCTGTGTAAGTAAAAGAAACTTTAGAAACCACTGTCCTGAACTCCGCTTTGCATAGACTCCTTTTAATTTTCATGTTAACTTGGATCCGGTAAGAAGGCTTTGTTTTCCTGTCTGTAAATCTGTCAGTGCAGACAGCAAACTGGATCCTCCTCTGGTTCATTTTATAGTCAGCAAGTTTCCCAGGCAACAAACCACCAAGCCCACTCCATCAAATAGTAACCAATTTTTTCCCCTGACATGTCTCTCAAGACCTCCCTCCCAGCTGGCCATCAGCACACCACTCACCTTCTGTCTGTACTGGAGGAGAGGATGGGTAGTCCCTGGGAGGGCACAGGAATACTGGCCAATTGATCACCCAGCAGATGCACAGCTGGGGCGTGTCCTCGCAGGCCTTGCCCTGGGCTTCCAGGGACCAAGCATCTATGCCAGGGGCTTGCCTTTCTTTCTCTGCATTTTGTGATTATCTGCTTAATGTCTCACTACCCCATAAGGGTAGAGACCCCTTTCTTTTTTTTTTTAATCACTAAAAAGGATTCATCCAGTGACGCATATTACCTGGAATACAAATAGTTACAGAGCAAGTGATGAGGCACAGGTAACCTTCAAGATATTGCCCCAGCAACAAAGATGGGCCTTTCTGATTCAGCTTTACCGAGAAAGGTGACATCTTGGTTCTAGGCTTTGCCATTTTCTTTTGTTTTTTAAGAAGATTTTGGGCCAGAAACAGTGGCTCACGCCTGTAATCCCAGCACTTTGGGAGGCCGAGGTGAGTGGATCACTTGAGGTCAGGAGTTCGAGACCAGCCTAGCCAACACGGTGAAACCTTGTCTCTACTAAAAATACAAAAATTAGCCAGTCGTGGTGGCGCAGGCCTGTAGTCCCTTAGTCCCAGCTACTTGGGAGGCTGAGGCAGGAGAATTGCTTGAACCTGGGAGTCAGAGGTTGCAGTGAGCCAAGATCATGCCACTGCACTCCAGCCTGGGCCACAGAACAAGATCTGTCTCAAAAAAAAAAAAAAAAAAGAAGATTTGGATAAAATGTATTTTTCCATCAGACGTGAATGACAGTATCCTTGCATCCCATAGCCAAGGAGGTGCTGCTTTTGAAAAAGTTTTCAGTTGCCCCAGAAAGAGGCTGATGCTATGTGTCAAAAGCACATACTTCCTGTACATGGAATGCATTTGCCTCAAGCCTATAAGGTTCTTAGGAGTCCTGCCTTGGAAAACAGAAGTTCCTGAGTTAAAGAACTTCCCAGTGGTATTTGAGGGTCTTCAGAATTGAGCAGTAAGCTCTGAGGACCAGATTGCTGGGATCTGAACCCCATCTCCATTACTCACTGGCTGTGTGACCTTGGGCATGCTGTTTAACCATGCTGTGCCTCAGGTTCCTCGTGGTGGCATGAGGATAATAATAGGGCCTCCCTCTTGGAAGGCTATGAGGATTACATTGGCGCATACACAGAAAGTGCTTAGAGCAGCACCTGGCACATGGGAAGCATTTAGTAAACGTTATCTACGATTATTGTTCACTCCCCTCATGAAGATCAACGCAGGCTGGCTTCACAGAGAAAAGGGGAGCAAACCCGGACTCAAATGGCACTGGCTACGTCTGAGAAAGGCAAGGCCTCCTCCATAGGACATGATTCACCCACAGAAATCACTAGAAAGGTGGCCTGCCTGACATTATTTTTAGCTTTAATGAAAAAAGCAATCTAGTCCAAATTAGATGAGCTGGGTCACTGTAAGATCCAGCCCTGGGGCATTGTTCAGATTTTTTGGTTCTGGTGTCATGCTGGGCTGGAATAAATTGATTTAAAAGAGTTAATAAAAAATTCAGTCTCCCTCCTTCCAACTGGCATTGCAAAGGTCCCTAAAACATCTCAACTAATAGGCTACTTTCTTGTAAAAGAGACTCTCTTTAAAAAAAGAGTGTAAATTAAAATTACCTAGCTTTCCAAAATCACTCCCAATGCGTCTCTTCTTTGACCTATCTCTTTATCCAACTTGAGCCATCCTGGGGGGATTCCTCTCAAATTGCCCACATTTCTGGGTCTTACTTCACTCCTCAATGAAATTTAATGGATTTGGCTGGTGGTTCGTTACTGAACCCACGTGGAACAATATGTCATGCTTCATGCATGATAAATAAATGACATTTCTAAAACAATAGGGATGAATATAAACTGAGATCTAGAGCAAGAACCTCCAAGTGACCGCTGGGCATATCATAATTAACTAGTGATTTAGGACAACTCAATTTCCCATCATCATTGTATGGGGCCTTAAGGAAATCCACCAACACTTCACTGCTTCTTGAAGGAGATGCTTGGAGTCTGAATGGAATATTGTCAGGTGAAATTAGGCCACTTCTGAGTTGTGCAACATTCCCCTTCAAAATCTTGCTGATTATGCAAACACTGAATAATTACACTGATTCATGTATTATTCTCCATCAGAATGACAAAGCATTAGCACTGGCACCCCATTTCACTTTGCTAATGAAAAACAGCAAGCTTTTAAGACCACCATCCATCAAGAGAGAAAAAGAACTCATTCAGTGTAATGACAGGTGCATGACAATGGAAACACGGTTCCCTCTTTTTTTTTTTTAAGCATATGGGTTGCTGCCAAAGATTAAAATCATTCTGTGCTTAATATCATTCTCTTTCTTTGTGTTCCTCTGAGGTTTCGTATTTTCTTTTGGCAGAGAAATAAAAAGGTTGAAGCCAGAGATCCCAAATTCCCAATAGTATCTTTCTATCATTTCATACTGTGTTGGTGAGCATTTTCCACTAGGGTTTCTATCACTGTCTTTAAAGACTAGTGCCCTCCCTTTCAACAGTCCAGGGAACAAATCTGCACAAAGGTAGTTCTTAAAAACTATTAACAAACTGAACTGAGAAGGGAATTTGTCCCAGACAGTGCTCCCCACAGCTGGACAGAGCGTGATTTTCACCAAAACAGAGTATAATTCACAGGCAGCACCAGAGATAGGCAGGGATGGGGCCCTCTAGAATCTCACACAAGCAACAACAGTCTCCTACAACTCAGATGGCCAGGGGAAGAGAAGGATCTGTGTTTCAGTTATAAGAAGGAGTGCATTCTAGTACCTCTCCCACGCAGCCTCTTCTCATGCCTTTCTAGTCATGGCCTAGACTACCTCTCAGAAGCATTACTTAGCTAATTTTCTCCCCAACACTCTAAAAAACTGTTTAAAAGACCCAAGCGTAACACTTCATGTGTCAGAAGTTCTTTATCCAGCAGCATCAGCTGTGAGAAATTCAGCGTGGGCCTGGCATGGTGGCTCATGCCTGTAATCCTAGTACTTTTGGGAAGCTGAGGTGGGGGGATCGCTTGAGGCTAGGAGTTCAAGACCGGCCTGGGAAACATAGCAAGACCTCGTCTCTACAAAAAAATTAAAAAATTAGCTGGGCGTGATGGTGGACACCTGTGGTCCTAGCTACTTTGTAGGCTAAGGAGGGAGGATCTCTTGAGCCCAGGAGTTCAAGGCTGCAGTGAGCCATGATCGCATCCCTGCACCATCCTGTCTCTGAAAAGAAAACTTAAAATTTAGCTTTGAATTCAGTAAAAAAACATTAAAAGGTAGAGCGAGGGAAAGCCTCTGAGCAGGCAAAATAGATACCACTAAGTCAAAGCACTTACAGCTCAAAGACTTTATACGACGGAAGACTCCTTAGGGAAGATTCGGGATCAAGTCTCTCTCTCTCTTTTTCTTCTTTAGAGAGGAGGTCTAACAAGCTTAGTGACTAGATTTTCCAATCCACAGCAGATTCAGAACAACAACATAGAAGGAAGGTGTACTAGATTGAACAGTATTCCCCACAAATGTCCACGTGGAAACCTCAGAATGTGACCTCATTTGGAAAAAGGGTCTTTATAGAAGTCATTAGTTAAAATGAGGTCACACTGGATTAGGGTGGGAATCTTATTCAATGACTGAATAAGAAGAGAAAACACAGAGACAAACAGGGAGAACACGCCACGTGACACTGGAGGTAGATAATGGAATGATACATCTACAAGCCAAGTACGCCAAGTATTGAGCCTAGGAGTTCAAGACCTACCTAGGCAACAAAACAAGACCTTGTCTTTACAAAAAAAATAAATAAATTAGCTGGGCATGATGGTGCACACCTGTGGTTCTAGCTACTTGGGAGGCTAAGGAGGGAGGATGGCAGAAATCACTAGAAATGAGGAGAAAGGTATGGAACAGATTCTCCCTCAGTACCCCCAGAAGGAACCAGCCTTCGGCCTCTTGGAATGTGAGACAATACATTTCTGTTACTTACGCCACCCAGTTGATGATACTTTGTTATGGCAGCCCTGGGGAACTAACATAGAAGAGTACTTAGAAACAAGCACACTGAAGGTAGTTTAGAAAAAAACTACTGGCAGTGTGATATCGAGGGAGGATACCAAGACAGATATGTTTTTTAAAAGACATATGAATTAAAAAACCAGAGCTGGCATCATTCTGTCTGGTGGCAAACCGATACGTCCTCTCCAAGAAGACACTGCAAATATAAAGACATAATTCAATTGTGGATGACGTTCATAATGATGACCTTGAATTGGTTTTTAAAAGGCTGGATTCTGTTGAGGGTACTTAAACAAGGCCTCACTGTACTGCCTCACCCCATAGCCCTAAAAAGGAAATGTATTTGTTTGCCACTTGGATTGCACTAAATATTATCTTTTCTATTTGGCATCTCAACACGGCAGTGTATTCTTTTGTTACTAAATTATTGGGACTAACATTTCACATTTTCTTCTCTGGGAATCCTGATAAAATTATACAGCTTCTCTATGATACGTGCAAAGATGTTTCTACACTTAGTTGGTATTTGTCTTTCTATAGCAACTGCACACACTCACGCACACACTCACACACACACAAGAGAACACAACAGAAGAATCTATGATTAGAACTCCAGCATATGGACACCTATGCAATCAGACTTTTCACTATGGATTTCACACAACAACTAGAAAATCTTATTTTTGGAGAATGAACTATGAAGCTGGGCCAAGAATGATTATATCTTGACTTCAAATCACTTAAAAACTCTATGCCTCAATGCCACCCCTCATCTATTAAGAAATAGAATAAAAAACACAGTCGAAAATGTTTACGCACTACGGCCTATATAAAAATGACCCATAACAGTTCTGCTCCACTCTATTATTTAGCCCCATACCATGTGCTAGAGTCAATTTACTTTTTTTTTTTTTAATTGAAACTTATGCTGGAGAATTTTTCTTGTTCTACTTGGGGAGCACTTTTTTTCCTGAAAAAAAATCCCTTTTTTCTTTTATTTCATGTCTCCTTACTTAGGCCCAAATCTCCTTAAATCATCTTTTAAAATGAGAAGTATATAACTTTATGTAAATATATTTTAAATTGTCTTTTTAAGGTTTAACTTTACATTTGTTTCCACATAATTATTCCTCAGCGAGCTCCGGTCTCCTGGCTTAGAAACGCCTAGGTACAGTTTCCCCATCTCTTTCCTGGTGATCAAGGAGGTTTCAGGTCTTCACTGTGTTAAACCACATAGCGGAATTTTGCAGACTACCTGCCCCTCCTCCTTGCCTGATGAAATGAGGTGGATGTAGAAACACAGTCCCCCTCCACAGGCAGAGCAGATCCCATAGCACAATCCAGTCTGCACAATAAGCGACCGCCCAGGACTCCATCTCACAGGAAGATCTTAAATCACTCCCTTCCACTCTGGCTTTGAATGTGCTCCAATTCGCCTTCCACTCCCAGCCACCTTGGGGGAAGTAGGAAGAGTGAGGGTCACAGGGTGGGCACCAAGCCCAGATGGGGAGGGACACCAAACTGTCACTGGGTGGGGTTCCACAGGTCTCTTTTGCTTTTGCCTTGTCAGCATATTAGGATTTGGGGCTGGGGACTGCATTCCAGAAATAATAAAAACCACCCATTTGGAGAAACACGTGGCAGGGCTTTATAGCCTCTGGGCCTCTCTGCAGTGCTGTGCTGGGAGAAACAGGCAGACAGTGAGAGTTCCTTGCTCCAAGATGCAGGGAAGGTCAGCCAGAACCAGTGGAATGGGATTTGCTGTCGTCCCCAGTGTAATCCAGAATTAGGGTGGAAACGTTTGAAGGAGTATTTTCTCTATCTTTTTTAACCAAGCCTGTAAGTAATATGATATCACTGCCTTAGGCTTTTTTTTCTTTTTTTAAACCATGATCCTCTTGCAAACCAAACATACAATCGTCTCAGAACCTCTCCATATAAGGAATTTCCAGACAGACTGATTCTATGCAATATTTCTTGGGCTTAATGGAGAAAGTCATTCTAGGGCATTGTCCAGCTTTCTGAGTCATGCCATCAGGGTACTGAGAGGCTGGCTCACCCAGGACAAGGCCTGGCCTTTCTGAGCCTCAGGAAAGCCATGAGTGAGAAAGGTCACTCCGAGGCTACTGATCCCTAAGCAATGCATTTATGATTTCAAGAGACCCATTCAGTCCAGAGACAGGGCTGGTCTGACTATACAATACCCAGCATGAAGGCTCTGAATTCAGGACTTTCCATGTCTTTTCTAACGTGCATCAAAGGCCATTAAAAACCTGCTGAAGAAATTAAAGACTTGTAGCTACTATTAAGCTCCAACCACTTAAATCCTGCACTGGTGACCACTGGTCAGCCCCACCAGCCATGCTCAGATGTGTGTCACGGCACCAGTGTCTCTGCAGAGCAAAGGCAAAAGGGAGGGGAAGAGAGGAGAAATGGGAGGAAAGAAAGAAAGAAGCTGGAGGGCAGGAGAGGAGTAAAGCGTGGACATGTACCCCAGGAGGTAAAAGAGTTTGAGGTGGGAGTGAAACTCTGGGTGCAGGGAACGGTACCCTATACTGGCCTGGTCAATGCTCCAGAAGACACAGACACCAAAAAAAGCAGATGGAGTCGTGTGAACGTGGGAGGCTGGTGGGTATCCATGGGCAATGAGTGGTCTGGAAGCTGTAGAAGAGGAGAATGGTGCACCCCCAACCCCAAAAGGTTTCTGTCTAGAATGGTTTTATTGGGCGGTGATCCTTTGATTCATAACGACTCATACCCTGAGATGGGGATTCAGACAAAAAAAGAAAAATCCAAGATGGACGCTAGAAATAATACCAGGTCCACTTTGATCTTGGCCCTTTTATTTTTTCATGTTGCCTAAAGTTGGTGATTTCATTCATCTGCATAGGTGTAATAGGATTGCTTCGATAATCACAGTTTTACCTCTTTCAGATGCATTCTTCTTGCTGGAAAACACTGGATATGTGTAAATCTCCTCTTTTAACATGTTCCTCCCACGTTATTTTTGTCCCAGTTTCTGTCACAATTAACTTAATAAAGAAAGGATCTATTTTCCTTTCCCATGTTGCTGAAAATAAATTTATGAGTGATACTTAATAGTTGTCAGGACATGCAGCTGTTTTTCTCTCCCTTATGCGCACCTCTTCAAAAACCTCTATACCAGTGTTCTTCAAATGAAGGCTGCAATACTTTACTGTAGCATGAAATGGTCAAAGCCAGTGTTTCTTAATAGTATAGAATAAAACAGACTAGAAAATGTCATAATGCATTGCAGATAATAAGGATAGGCATTGTTTTGTTAAACTTTTGTTTCAATTTTAGATGTATGCATGGATCAGCCTGTATTTTCTATACCATGGTTAAGGTAAAAGAAGTTTGTAGGACAGGTCCTGTGGCTCTTGCCTATAATCCCAGCACTTTGGGAGGCTGAGGAGGGCAGATTGCTTGAGCCCAGGAGTTCAAGACCAGCCTGGGCAACATGGGAAAACCTCGTCTCTACAAAAAATACAAAAATTAGCTGGGCATGGTGGCATGCACCTGTAGTCCTAGCTACTTGGGAGGCTGAGGCAGGAGGACTGTTTGAGCCTCTGGAGGCGGAGGTTGCAGTGAGCTGAGACCGCGCCACTGCACTCCAGCCTGGGTGACAGAACAAGACCCTGTCTCAAAAAAAAAAAAAGTTTGTAATACATCCTTATACAATATATGTCTGAATATGTTTGTCTTTAAGGTTAAAAACTAAAGTCCTCTGAACTGGGCTTTTCTTATGTATCAGGTGTACAGGATAAAGATCTGCTGCCTCTAAAGTCTCAATTTTAAAACCATCTCTACCACAGATGGGATGAAATTTAGTCTGATGGTAATTTCAAACTTAGATTTTTATGTAAGAAAAAAATACATTGTTAAACTATATACGAGGTTTCCTCATATTCAGGGACAGATCTCTGCTTTCATTTTATAACCTCCACAAGAGAATCAAACTGCCTTTCTTACCCTCAACTGTGGTCCTTTCCAATAACTTATGTCACGGCAACTTATTATTAAAAAACGACTGAACCAAGATGACTTCGGACACCTCTGATCCAAGGGTTGGCCCAAAAGGAGCCTCAATCTGCTTCAGCATTGGCCAGACACCCCGGAGACTTACATCTTACCTTGCAGGGCTAGAAAGTGCATCAGAATGCCAAACTCCAAAAATGAATAACGATCCAGCCCTGGAAGAAAACTCTCAGTTCAGAGAGTTGGTGACTTGCCCAAGGTTAAGTACAAAATATATTTGCAGAGCAGCCAGAACGAGAACCCAGGCTTCCAAGTTGCAGCAGCCCCAGTACACTGCACTGTGATAAAGGTTTGATATGGAGGCACAGACCGACCCTAGAGGTTACCAGAACTGGAGATCATAGATTAGTAAGTTTTTTTCTCTTATGACTGTTGTATGTATCTACTCTAACCTTAACTCAGACTGACATCCGTGGCTTTTCGTGCCATGTCATTATTCTACCACATACTATTTTGAGGTTTCTGAGGTTAGTATTCATAAGAGCTTTCCAACCTCTGACTCAAATGAGCTCTATTTTCCCCAGACACGTAACTTACTATTGAATCTCATTTCCATGAGGAATACAAAAGCGATAGTGATTCATGTCTCCAATGCTTGGCTTACCATTTTTGAAAATGTGTATACTTTTTCCTGACTGTAAAATACTATGTGCCCACTGCATAAAATGTAAAAAACACAGAAAAAGATAAGGAAGAAAATTAAAATAACCTGTTCACCTACTGCTCAGTGATAACCCATATTACAATTTGGGTGTCATTGAAATTGGGTGTCAAGGAAAAGACAAAAATTATTTTGGTATCAAATTGTGATCAAATTGAAAAATACCTTCATGAACCCTTCCCTTGTCACTCAACATTACACATCAGTAAAGATTCTTCGAAGATATGGTTTATAATAATGCAGGCCAAATACTGAATTCTATTGATTAATCATTACTGATTATACATGCCCTATTGTTGAGAACTTCAGGTTTTTTTCCAGTTTTTCACATAGAGAAATAACGTAGCAATAAGCATTTTTTTACATAACATTTTTTGTGCATATCTCTGCTTATTTCCATAGAATAAATTCCTGGTAGGGAATTACTGGGTGAAGTACGTGAGCATTTCTATGACTCTTCATATATATTGAAAAATTTCATTTCAGAAGGTTGTTTATATCCAAATAGCAGAATATGAAGGTGCCTATCTTGTCCTCTTTGCCAGTGATCAGTGGTATCATTTGTTAAAACCTTGCAACTTGGAGGTAAAAATGTGTATCTTCCTGGGTTCATTTGTATTCCTTAATTTATAAAGAGGTTGAACATTTTTCATACGTTTATTGGCCATTTGGTATGTGTATATGTGTGTCTTTCTCCACCCACCTTCTGTGTGTATGTAAATTGAATGTTCATATCCTACACCTATTTTTCTACTGAAATGTTAAAGTTTTACTTATTTATTTGTAAGAACTCTTTATATCATAAGGATATTAAACTTTCAACTTTTATATTTGGGGCAAGTACTTTAGGAATCTCTTTTAATTATGTAACAATTTAAAGTGATAGGGTGGGTTAGGTTTTATATTGTCACCAGCAGAGCAACAAGTCATGCCACCTGCTGGTAAAGAAACAGAATAGTTGATAATTCTTCATGTTTCCAAGATACGATGCATATTAATACTTTTTCCATGTCAACTATTTTAAAACTTTGGAAATGAAAAATGAGTAATTGATTGAGGCTATTTATGACATTTCTTACACATGAATCCTATGACCAAGATCCTTTGATCACATTTAAATATTTTTAAGGTTACTTCTCTACTTAAACGGGGAGAAAAGGCTTTGATACATATTAGATGTTAATAAGAGAAAGTATAGTTCTGAATCATCTCAAAGCCATTTCTGTTGTCAATTCTGGGCATAGGAGCCTGTACTTTGTTTTAAGGAATCATAATTATTGACAAAATTTAACAATCAGATAAACAGGGAGGAGTAACTTTATTATTTATTTTCACAAAAGGTATTTTCAAACAGACATCTTCAAACCAGAGCTTCAGACCTATACAGATCATTTAAAATCAATATTTGCTTGATTTGGCCAGGTAAATTAAGGGAAGCTCCTGCCATTTAATTCTGAATGAAGATGGATCTCAGCAGTTAAAGATCATAAGCTTTTTATGTAATTCAACTAGAAAATATGATTTAATTTGTGGCTTACATAAAACAATAGTCATGGAACATATTTATTGCCTATCATCCCTTGTAGACTAGTCTAAGAAAATAATACACTCAAGGTTCTACAGAAATTTAGGCTGTCAAGATGATTGACTATAGCAATAGGGCCAATAGGTCATTGAATTCACTCATATATGTGGAGGTCAACACCAGTCTACAGGATCTATCAGCAAATGGTCTGACATGCCTAGGAAGATAAAAATGGAATTGCTGCTTTGTCATAAGCCATCCTTATGAATAAACTGAACTGACTTTTTTGTACTGTGAATTATTACTCAGCCTACAGTTCTGACATAAACAAAAATGCAAATCATGCTAATAACCTAGCCAATTTCATGTGCCATAAACAAGCCTTCAGTAGCAGTGAAGGGCACTTGGCCCATAGGGTGGAAGAAGATGCAGAAATCAGAATCTCCCTGCAACTCAAAATGACCAAATGTAAAATACTCAAAACCAAGTTCACACATTTTTAATAACAAAATAAATCTTGGTATGGGCTTGGCAAAAAATAATAATAATTCACATATTATTTAAGCACCCATATTAGCACCCTCTGGACAATATTTTCCTTGTAGTTTGGCTTGGGGTCAGTAGTCAAAATGTATATGTTTATAGTTTATAATCAGAAGAGGATACAAAACAACTCAAGGACACACCCTAATTGGAGGGAAAGGGAGTGGCTGGCCAACAATTGAGTCAAGGTACAAAACATTAGGCTAGGTGTGACTTGGGGCAGGATCTGACAGAGGGTAGTAGTAAAATGATTATGAAAAACAACTGAGAATGTCCCCCTTTTCCTTCCATCTAGATTATGAGGTCTTGGGGAGAAGGAGGTAGGTTTTAAATTATCCCAGAGAACTGAACCCAGAGATGAGGACAAGTCTTGGATGACAGGGCCATACTGACAGCTTGGAGAGGACACAATTGAGGCCCTGGGAAGATGACCCGACTACTCCTTGAGCCACCCAGGAAAAGAGTATCTGGCCATCTCCAGACAGCAATTTCAGCTTCCATAGTCAATTGCTGATTTCCTGTTTGTAATGTCCTTCCTTTGAATTATATTTACATTCAGGTAGCTTGTGGTAAGAGAGCTGTCCTGTATGTCAGATAGTTCAAGGAGTGCTGGGGGTGGGAATAGAGGAAATGAGGGCAATATTCCATAGGTTCAGGAGAAACTCAGGGGATAGCACATGCCCATGGGTATGTTTAGTACAGTAACTAGCACTTTACTTAGTACCTAGGTGCTCAGCACACTTAAGTACTCAGCACAAGGCAGTGCCTTCTCCTTTATTCCACACAAGGGCATCAGGACAGGTGATTCAGATGGTCTAGTTCTTTCTAGAACACTCCAAAGTTTCCTTCCAACCAGCTCACCAAATGCACTGGCCTTGAAGAACTGTAAATGGAGACTCCTGGTCAAATCCTGTTGGGCTACACCTCAAAACCCAGTGTTATTCCAAATTCTTTCTAAAATATCAGTCCTACAGGAGCAATAATCATCTAGGTAATTGGACATGAAAAGTCCAATGAGGAAAAAGAAATAGCTCACCAGCTGCCTTTCAAGGCAAAACAAGAATGCAAATGGAAAGGTCCCAGGGAAATCTGGATGGAAAATTATCACCTCACAAGAGGGTCTGATCTGGATTGGATTCATCCTTTTTCACAGGATGACTCTGTTCCAGGGAAACTAGATGCTAGGAACATTCTGGGATCCAAATATGGAGAACTGAGAACTATTGTAAGGGTTTCTAAAAACTCCCAAGAAAAATTCACAAGGACTCTTTTTCTTCCAGTGCTTTGGGAAAATTCAAAAAACCTGAAATTCCAAAGCCAGTCTAATCCAGGTGACCCTCAATCTCATAGCTACTGGGTCTACTCCACAAGGAGGAAATCAAGACTGGTAAGAGTTGGCTACCTGACCTGTACTTGCAAAACACTGACACAAATGAGAGAGAGAGAGAAAAAAAGAAAACCACCACCTTTACTCACTCAAGTAATAAGGTCACCTCAGAACACTGGCCCATGTTTTGAAAGGAAATAATTTTTAGAGGTGAAAAACAATGGTTGATAGGTACCAGGCATAACCCTTTGAGATGCAAGTACTATTGCCAATTAATGCCATTGGACAGATGAGAAAGTTAAGGCTCGGAGCAATCCCATAAGCTGCCTACAGTTACATAGCCCAGTAAAAGCCAGAGCTGGTATTTGAACCTAGATTTTCTGACTCAGGGTTATTGTTAGATTGCTTGAAAGGAGGCCACAACTCCCTACCCCAAGTCTGACAATGATTTTCTTCCTATTGCGGGAGGGGCTGGAAATGACTGATAAAAATTATACTCTTCCACCAACTCAGCTCTGGGCTCAAAGCATCTGAAACATCAGGATTCCACCTCGCTCCTGATTAATTTTTTCATATGGGAAGGGAACTAAGAGCCTTACCCTGAGACATAAGGAATGAGACTTTAAGACATACTAGATCAATGCCATCACGAAAAAGCAAAATATTTCAGAGGTCTGATGGGACCAGCCGCCTGCCTTCCTTTTCTACTCAGCAGTGGCCAAGTCTCTGCCTTCCTTTTTCAGGAACATTTTCTGCAGCAGGGCCCAGGCCATTGTGAGCTTTGAGAAGAATGATATTCTGCTTTTGTAAGAAAAGGAGGAGATTTCCCAGGCATGCTTTGTGTCCCAGACGCTTTCACTAATTGATAGAGTGCCACTACAGAGTATATTTTTATTCATGCAGTCAGCACATGCCTGCTTCTACGTTTTCAAGTTTTCTTTAAAAAAAAAAAATTCTCCTATGTGGTAAGACAACAGCTTCCGTTAACAAAATGAAGCAAAACCAAATTCTTCTTAATGAAAATGAAAATGTCAATAGGACTTCTCTCCTCATGCTAATCCCCTGTTTGACATGCAATGACATCATCCCCTAGAAGCTGGAGACAAATGTAATGTCTGCTATAATTACAAGGCTTACCCTGCAGAAGAAGGGAGGTGGCCGTGAGGTGCAGGCAAGCCCTTCTCACTGGGCCCTCCTTGGAAATACAATGGAACCCACTAATGCAGTGAGGGAGTCTTGCTGCGACAATACTAAAAGGAGCAGAAATCAAAGGACTTCACTGACCATGGATTCAGGCTTGATGTTCTGATACAAAGTTTATATCCCCAAGTAGCAATTTAAATAAAATTGCATTTTTCTTTTTCAATCAAATCAAACTGTGGTGTCACAAAAGACAACATGTACACACACAAAACTCTCACTCACAAACATGTGAAAACTAAAGTTAAAAAAGAAAGCCCTCATTCATAAGGTGTTCACATAGTGACAATAAGAATGCATGTGACACTTTTGGCGGAAGCTGGAGGTTGCAGGAAGGGATTTTCCACAATATCCATAAAGAAGAAAGGGAGTTTTGAAATGTGACAGATTCTGATTAAAGAAAAATGGAAATGTTTGGCTCTTGGGAACTTCAAGTATAGAGAACTGATAATGCTACAAAGAAACCATAATCCTGAACCAATTATGGCTGAATAATACTGTAGACTTTATAATGGTACAGTTGGTTTGAACACTGAGTCAAGATGAATCAGCTTTTCCTGCTTTACCAACATTTCTTATTCATTTCCTTGAATGGCAAGTTAAAAGCATTAATCATTATTAAGACTGTCTTTGTATTTTGTAAAAGCATTGTTATTTAAACATCTCTTAAAAATGTATTTCTACACTTTACATGCCTTATAGCTACTGAATTTTCATAAATCCTCTGTAAAGTAGGTTCATAGATAAGGAAACTGAGGCACAGAGACCTTGTGCATGAGGTGAAGCCCATATTTGAACTTGGCCACTGTAGCTCCTGGGCCCCCACGCTTTACCATTCTGCTGGACTCAAAGAAGGTTGGAAAGTTTTTGACACACTCTTCAAATACCTGCCCCTAATCCTAGGATGCAAGACAGGAAAAAGAAGCTTACTGCAGGGTATCAGATACCTCCTTTTCCACTGCTCTCCATCCCGCCTCCAGCGCCTCACCTCAGATCCCAACAGAGCTGGGGGTAGAGGAGAGAGCTGTTCTGCGTTACAGCCTGAGCTGGACAGTTGTCTCAGGAAAAACACCTGTAAGTACAGGCAGAGGCAGGAGGATCCTGGAGAGGAGTGCATGCTGGTCATGGTCTGTAATATTTGTACAAAGAAGAAATGCAAGTTCTATCTAATTCTCTAGGATTACAGGCAGAAACTTGGACAGTAAAGACAGACTATTTCTTCCCAGGCTAGCATCCCACGCCAGATGCATGGCTGCTCAGGGACCATGGACCCAGGGTGGAGGTTATACACCTGAACCTGACTTCCAGGTTCTAGATGAGCGGGTAAAATTGCCAGCTCCCAAGTGGGCAGCCTTGCTAAGGAGTCCCTACAACCCTCTGCTGGCAAATGCTGAACCTGGACAGGGAGTTTCAGGGATTCCTGAACCTCCTTCTTATACAGGAAGGAGGAAACAAACAGAGCTCTAAATGGGACCTTTGAAAAGACTCTGCAGCACAAGGAAAAATGAGCACTGTCTTGAGATTTGGTGGAAAAAATATATCTCTAAAAATGACTTTCCATAGGAACAAAATAAAATTTTAGAAAATGACACTTGGCTCCTATAAAAGATGCAGACGTTGCCACTATGAAACGACAGAGAACAATAAAAACAGGGTGGGCTGAATGACAGGCAGAGATTTAGAAAGAAGTCCCCAGTGGAATGAACAAAAGAATTCAAGGAAATACAAAATGCAATAGCAGAATTTAAATCTGCATTTAAGGCACTCAAGAGCAGAACAAATCCTGCAGAATATTGACCCAGTGATGTACAGGACAAATGTGAAATGTTCTCCTAGAATACACAGAAGAAGATCGAAGAGGAAATGATGAGTTGGAGGATGAGATCTAAGAAGTTCCATTTTAAGAATTATACATATTCTTAAGGCTGAAATCAGAACAGGAAGAGAAACAATGATAAGAGCACATGGGAAAGAACTTTGCTAGCGGAAAAAAGTCTCCAGGCTGAAAGGGTTCAGAGCATTTCAGAAAAAAATTAATGAAAAATACTTGTATCTCAACATTTCCTTACACCGTATTTTAATTTCAGATAGATTCAGATCAGCTGAGATTTGTGCACACGCTACTGAGAAAATTACTTCGCAACTGAATTATGAACACCTTCAAGTAAAATACTACATAGAACAAGAAAATCTGTTCTTCATTAGATTTAATGGTGAAGGCAGGCTTTATTTTTTCCAACAAGGGCCATTGGTTCTAAATAATATACAGGTTATTTGCTTCAGTAATATCCTCCAAGTAATAGAAGTATCTTTATATGCAAAAGTTGAAATTTTAGATACTTCATCACATAGGACCAAGAGATATCAATCAACATGGTAGAAAAGAAGTGGACATTTCAACCAAAAAGTAAATGGTGTATGAAAGATAATCAGACGTGATGCAAGAAGGCTGCGTACTGTTGGCCTGAAGAAAGCAAACACTCTGAGAGATGACTGGCCTAACAATGACCAGGTGAGGAACTCATAAGCAAGTACAGAGAAGACACTGGGAGGAAGGTATTGAATGAACCTCTAAGTACCATGGACATAAACTATGATTCTATAGGCACTCTGGAGCCCTAATTATGTTACAACACAAACCTTTCCATTCTGATCTCAGAAATGTTGGTTGCTTTCCTTTCTCTATTTATCATTAGAATTTTTGCAGCCCAGAAAACTTGTCATCAATCCCATGTTTTTAAGAGGCCAATAAATATTCAGATAGTTTTCTTTTACTTTATTCTTAACTCAGAGCAGAGTAGTGGAATCCTTATAAGAATATCTTATGAAAATATTTTAGAATCACTTCTATTGGATTGTTCCTATTTCCTCAGAAATGTGCTATTATAACCTCACATTGATCCATATGAAGTCCAGGATAAATCTGCGTACTCTATACCTATAAAACTAGGCTGAATTGCTAATGCTGTATTAAAAAGGAAACATAAGGGAAAATAATAATAATAAAATTAATTTTTAAAAAGGGAAAAATACAGTGTCCAATGTCTTAAATGTAAAATAAAAAGCACTCTTCATAAATCTCAGCTCTAAAGTTTACTTACCCCTTACCACATCAGTTTCTCCTTTTACATATTTAGATAGCACCATATTATTTTCCCTCCTACTTAGCACAGCTTGTAATACAAATTTGTGTGACTATTTCATCAATGTCTGTCTCCTCACCTTGACTGAGAGCTCCATGGGAGACCGTATAGGGACTGTGTCTTCATTTGCTTATTTTTATTAACCTTAGTACTGACACATTACCAGATCCCATTAGACAAACAATATATTTGTGAAATGAGTATATTCAGCCAAGCAAGTAATTGTGTCCTAAGAATCTCAAAAAACTTTCTGGAAAAACCACACATCTTGGTTTATACATCAGCTATGTTTGCCAACTTTATATGTAAACTATTTTTTGAAAAAACATTATTTGAATGACTTTTTTCACTTGTATGAGAGAATATTAACATAAATAGGACCTTAGAGATAATAAAACTGAAGTTCATAAATGCTAGGCAACTTGTCCACAATGGCACAAATCTACTTAGCAGTAGAACTGGGATTAAAGCTCAGATTTTCTGCCCCCGGTTCCATTCCTTAAGTGCTCTGTCCATGGAGTTCAAGACACTGGCTCTTTACCAGAGCTTCTAGACTGCCAAGTCTCTGAAAAGTAATTGATAGTTTTTGTAAATAAACACTTTACCACATCTTAATGTTTAAAGGAAATCTGCAACAAAGAAATTGTTTGCAATATAGATAATTAATAAAAGATGTGAGATTTCTTATGCAGTTTATTTTTCAAACCTAAGCGCTAACTTTAGTTTCTCAAGCCTATGACACCTCATCATTCATTGTCATACACATACTAAGCCCACATGCCTGGCACTATTCTAAGGCTCTTTATCAAGGGCCATTAATTAGCCTAAGGCCTCCCTATTTCGATGGTTAAAAGATAATTGCATTCCTTTTTTCTTATGATTCAGTTGACATTGGGAAAAAGCCATTTCTGAAAAGTTAGAATTCGGAAAGATTAAACAATGTATCCCTATGATTATTTAATTTAAGCCCTTTCGTCTTTTTGTTTGTTCATTTTTTTTTTTTCCACTTTTCTTCTTTTTAAACTGTAAGTTGGGATTTTTAAAATTTCTTTTTAATTAATTTATTTTATTTTATTTTATTTGTAACTAGCTTCAAATTTGTGATGAATTTGCTCACCAAGCATAGAAAATCCATTTGCTGGCTAAAGGACTCTAGCAATAGAATTTCTATCTGATGACAGAATCATATTTCTAGATGACCCCTGGAGAGAGTTAATTTGCCAAACTATTTCATTTATATTTATACGCTGGAATGTTATTCCAAAGGCTCCAAATAGTCTCTGTTCTATGTGTAAAACAATAAAATAAAGATAAGACATTGTCTAATAATTTGTATAACTAATACATAATGTAATGCTTCTTTAAAAAGCAGGCACTGATCTCATGTTAGATGTTTTAAAATAAACCCAAACCAGCATTATTTGTAGACCACAAGCCTGTGACTGGTGGCAGGGAGGACACAATAAGAAAAAGAAGAAGGAGAGAAGAAAAACAAGTGGGAAATAGGTGACTGCAGCGGAGAGGGGAAAACGCGTGAGGGATACCAAAGAGAAAACAACGGAAGGAAAGGAGGTAAACCCATAGGAAGTGTCAGTTTTTTCATCAACAGATATTTACTTTTTTTTTTTTTTAGGACGGAGTCTCACTCTGTCAGCTAGGCTAGAGTGCAGTGGCACAATCTCGGCTCACTGCAACCTCTGCCTCCCAGGTTCAAGAGATTTTCCTGCCTCAGCCTCCCGAGTAGCTGGGACTACAGGTGCCTGCCACCACGCCTGGCTAATTTTTTCTATTTTTAGTAGAGACAGGGTTTCGCCATGTTGGCCAGGCTGGTCTTGAACTCCTGATCTCAAGTGATCTGCCCACCTTGGCCTCCCAAAGTGCTGGGATTACAGGCGTGAGCCACCACACCCGGCCCTATTTACTTGGATCTTCTAATGCTTCTTGAAAAGCGAAATACATTTTGATACAATATAAAAACAAAGCCATACACATACACACACACATACAATTACATATGTACATGTAAATGGCTACACAATTAGCTAGACAACCTTGTCTCTTCCTAGGATCTAAAGATATTCCAGATAAATCTTAAAGCACAAGTGATTAAGCCTTTAAAAAAAATCTCACTTCTCATCTCTCTTACCTTTTGGTTGGATTCTTGTGTTTATTAGCTTATTTGGAGGGAGATGGTGCAACAGAGAAGGCAATTGTCTATTTAAAAAATTACGTTTTCAGCCAAATGCAGTGGCTCACACTGTAATCCCAGCACTTTGGGAGGCCAAGGCAGGAGGACTGCTTGAGGCCAGGAGATTGAGACCAGCCTGGGCAACTTAGCAAGGCCCTGTCTCTACAAAAATTTAAAAATGAAAATATAAAATTAGTTGTTTGCCTTGGCATGTGCCTACAGCCCTAGCTACTTAGGAAGCTGAGGTGGGAAGATTACTGGAGCCCAGAAATTCAAGGCTGCAGTGAACCATGACGGTGCCACTGCACTCCAGCCTGGGCGCAGAGTGAGACCCTTTCTCAAAAAATAAAATAAAATAAAAATTATGTTTTCATAGGCAAGGGGATACAGGAAGTAGAAAGAAAAAAATGGTTGGGACTTAGAGGCGGGTGCACCCCACTGTATGCACATCAGGACAGTGCAAATGCAGTGAGCTAGTGCATACTTGCAAACTCAGGTATTTTCTTCGAATAACCTAGAAGATAGCCATGGTCTCTTTTTTCACACTTTCTTTTTTCTCTGTAGCAGTTTTGAGTGTTTTTTTTTTTTTTTAAAACAATATCTGCAATCAATGACTCTTTTTCAGAAGGACTATAACATCCAGGGATATTCCTTGTTCTATATTGAAGCACAATCATATTAGTATTGAGGACACCACCTCAAAATAAATAGTTTGCTCACTAATGATTCAGTGATAAGAAATCGCTACTAATCCGCACACCCTCATGTTTACAGTATAATTACCAATAGGTTCATCATGAGGACCCTGAGGCACAGAGAGATGATCTTCCTCCTGAGTCTTCCAAGGAAGATTCAATTCTACTGTTCTGAGTTTGGGTTCCAAGTAGGTAGCACGGTGTGCACTCATCTTGCCTGAATGCATGTCTCTTGAACTATATTTCAATAAAATGCCAGTATCTACCTAAGGGGAACAATATGTCCTTTTTTAAAAAAAGACTGTCTTTGAAGATATTATTCTATTTGGGTGGGAGAAGAAACAACAGATTTGTAAGTTCATGTCTTCTATAAATAATTTAAGTATATCTTGGGCTAATGTATAAATTTGGTTTAGGAAATTCTAAGTTAATTCTAGATAAATTTTAGGTGTTTGTGTAAAAGAAATGACTGTATTATTGGATTCTACAACTTTGAAAAATAATAATCCCACGAGGGATTATTGGCAACTCTCAATTAGCTAGAATATTTGATTAACCAAAACGTATTATCCATGGATATATTATCATTAATGTTGTTATTGTACATAAATTATTTCTTTCTGTTATTTTAGAATACTTGGTAAGCTTTGTTGTAAACACATAATATCACACCTAGGTTTTTTTTTAACTTTTTTAAAATTATACTTTAAGTTCTGGGATACATGTGCAAAATGTGGAGGTTTGTTACATAGGTATACACGTGCCATGGTGGTTTGCTGTACCCATCAGACGCCTAGGTTTTAATGAGTGAATTAACACTTTTTTGCAAATATGATCAAATTAGGGATGGAACAAATTGAAGTTTTTACCTTAAAGGTATTAAAAATCAACAGCCATTCAAAGATATATTACCACAAAAATCACTTTTCCTTCTGGATAATCATGACTTTCTGATAATGATTACCTGCATGTAAATTGTACACTGTCAGTAATAATCTGATTCGAAAATTGCTTCCTTCCCAAGGGTGTTCATATCTGCATGTACTAACTTGCTAAATTATGGTGTGCTAATTGGTAGTTCACATGACAAGATATGCACAGTTGACCATGCTTATTAAAATTCAGGCCATCCGCAGTTAGCGATAACAAACAATGTGCCTGGGACTTTTAACACCTTCAACCTGCAGATAATCCCTAGAACTCTTGAGGTTCAATCTTCAGCCTCCTTCCAAAGATCAGTGAATAAGCAGCTAACCTGAAGCTCAATGCAACACCAGATACCAACATGGAAATTCTCATTTTAATGGGAAACATATGTAGCTATTTCCTATTTGGCACTGTGAAGATAAAACACCCATGAGCTGACTTTGGGGATAGTCTCTATGCAAGTGTTTGACATTGTGCAAACATGATTAAATTTTGTCTTGTTTGGTTTGTCTGCAAGGTAAAGACAGGTGGGAAAAGCCAGGGCCAAGAATTCCCAAACTGGGAAATCAGCCTGAGTGTCATAAAGCTGTGCATCTTTCCTAAAATTAAGAATACTCATGGATGGGACAGGCAGTTTTTTCTAAATGAAATTCTTTCATTGATATTTTAAAGCCTGGATTAAAAGCCATTGTAAGCTGAATGAAGTAAGACAAGCTCCCATCTACATACGAGTGATGAGACAATTTAGTAAAAATTCATAGAATAATGGAATAAAAAAACTGGAAGGGACTCAGCAATCATTTAATCCATCCTTTCCCAGATTGTGTTTTACAGGAATCTAGATCCATGGGAGAGAGTGGTGATAGAAGTGACTAGTCAAATAGGCTAAGGAAATGTATGGTTAGACAAAATTGAACAAGTTTATACACATACAATTTATGCCTCCTCAAAAAATTAGATGGAGTATGTCACAGTTTTCAAACTTAAGTCACCATGAAATTCTTTTCCACTGACTATTAATGTTTTGCAGAACTAATGGCTGGCAGAACAAAGTTAAGATGACCTGATCTAGCCTAATCCCTTTATTTTACAGAAAAGGAAAGGACTGACAGCAGCTCTTCAGGGAGCACCATGGGCAACAATGCTCTCAGGTGTGGCCCAGAGCTGCTGCACTAGGTCAGGCTTCCTGGTCTCTCCGGAGGGGGAAGGGTCCTGGAAAGCAGCTTGCAATTGGTGTCCCCTCCCTGCTTCCCTCAACACAGGGACAGCTGAATCAGACACTCTCCAAAGTACCCATTCTAGCCTCAGGGCAGTGAAACAATTACTTCACATTTATTTCCTTAAAACATTTCACTTTCACAATCTCTTCCCTAGTGTCTTCAGAGTCTGCCAATGGACAATTTTCCAGCACTCAAAGATAAAGACAATCTTGAAATTAAGCTTATACATCCAGGTCAGGAGTTTTGTTCTCACATGATTTCAGAAGGGTGAATTCTTAAATTATCGATTCTAACTCTTCATCATTGAATTAATGGGCTTAATCTAAAATGTAGCTCCAAACTAGGAAATATTTTAATTCAGGCTGGATTCAAAATTCCCTGGTCACAAAGATGATTCAGTGCATTAGGATCTGTTGCATTTATGCCCCAATTTGCATGGATAATATTATTTTAATGCTTTTTTTATGCACACAGATTTTTTTAAAATAGCCTGAACAAATAGAATTTACAGAAGGACCTCCTTGCAAAATTCTCATTTGGCACTTATTATAGACTGGCTTGTTTCATTAGTTATCTTATTTCCATACTCAATTGTAAACAACTGAAGACAGGATTTACTTACAAGTCTTCTTATGGCCTGCAGAGCTAGGAACTGAACTGTGCCTTGCTGCAGGAACATAAATATTTAATGACAGATTGGCTGATAATAGGACACTAACAGGACACCTTCAAAAGGAGATACCATATAAAATGAAAGGATTGTCTCCTTTATAATAGATGAGAACAGATAAGGTTTTCTCTCTCTCTCTTTCTCTCATGTATGCAAACACACACACACAAACACATATGCACATTATACTAAACTAACTACAAGGCACTTGAGCATCTTGTGGGGCTGCTGGAACTTCACACCAAATACCACTTTCAATTGAATTGCACCACCAAAAACTCCTAGTATTTGAGCTGGGAAACTATCTGGAATTCTAGATAAAAAAGCGGTTGCTACATCATCCCTAAACAGGCATCGAGCTCCATTAAAAAGAGGAAGAATTCTCTTAGGCAGTTTTCACATCTTTCACACATCAAAACTTCCAAGTGAGAGGTTTTTAAAAGGCACAAGAGACAACTGCTCAAAATGGCTCTGCACTAAGGAAGCATTGTTCGCCTGGGTTCCAGAACTTATTTGATCTTTAATTTTATTGCAATAAGGATAACTTCTCCAAATGTGACATTCCCATTGATGGATACACTTCAGGATCCAAAAAGCCACATCTATGTAGAGCAGTGTTCCTGGGGCCAGGTGCACTAAAAACGTGTTGCTCCCTCAGGGGAATAGCTGTTCCTTCCTCGCACTATCCACGTGAGAAGCCAACAAGAAATCTGAATTTGAGCCACAATGCTCAACAGTGGCGTGTTTACTCACAGCTCCCATTGAAAACCTGTTTTATTGAGAAAGAAATGGCCAGATTAATGGCAAAGTGCGTGTTTAGAGGACTTCCCTCTATGACAACAAAGACAGTCCTCAGGATGTTCATATTTCGTCTTAACCCCTCAGGAATGCAAGGCAGCAATTTTGAGAGGCAACCTCAGCTTGAGTGTTTCAAATGAGGTGCGGTACAACTGCAGAGAGGAGCCACATTCAATAAAACACTACCCTAGCTTTTCAATTTTCATTCCTAATTACTTACTTTTATTTTTAAATCACATGTAGACGCTCTTGTTGCATTTTCTATAAGCATCAATTTCACCAGTCCTGACTATAGGCAATCCTTTAACCTAGAAGAGTTTATTAAAATAACATTATTATTGTCTTGTATTTATGTTAATTTCTCCAGTCCCTGTGGTGCACTAAGTGCGCTTCCCCAGAGTACCTCTTACTTTCTCACGTTTCTCTCAGACCAAGGAAATCTGACTTCACATGCAATAGAAATTACCCTTAGATCACAGCCGAGAAAACAAAAGGGGTAAGCCCTGGAGTATGATGTCTGGGGATACTTGATCGTTGCCTAGGTAGCATTTAATTAGTCCTGGGTTGCAGCTGGGAGTGGGGTGCTGGTACCTGGGTAACCTTTGTCATTGTGACTAAACCCATGGTTGAACAATCAAAATGCAATGCTTATTATACTCTCCATTTTCACCCCTTTCTTCTTTAGGAATTAGACACACACACTCTCTCTTTCTCTCTCTCTGACACATATACACAGTTCGCAAATTAAGAGAACTCTCACGCTGGGCAGGGTGACTCACACCTGTAATCTCAACACTTTGGGAAGTGGGGGCAGGAGGATCGCTTGAGGCCAGGAGTTCAAGACCAGACTGGGCAACAGAGTGAGACTCCTTCTCTACAAAATAATTTAAAAACTAGCTGGGCATAGGCCGGGTGCGGTGGCTCACGCCTGTAATCCCAGCACTTTGGGAGGCCGAGGCGGGCAGATCACGAGGTCAGGAGATCGAGACCATCCTGGCTAACACAGTGAAACCCTGTCTCTACTAAAAATACAAAAAATTAGCCGGGCGTCGTGGCGGGCGCCTGTAGTCCCAGCTACTCGGGAGCCTGAGGCAGGAGAATGGCGTGAACCTGGGAGGCATAGCTTGCAGTGAGCCGAGATCGCACCACTGCACTCCAGCCTGGGCGACAGAGTGAGACTCCATCTTCAAAAAAAACTAAAAAAAAAACAAAAAAAACAAATTAGCTGGGCATAGTGGCAGGCTGGTAGTCCCAGCTATTTCAGAGGCTGAGACGAGAGGGTAGCTTCATCCCAGGAGGCAGAGACTGCAGTGAGCTGTAATTGCACCACTGCACTCCAGCCTGGGTGACAGAGGGGAGAACCTGTCTCAAAAACAAAAAGAGATTAAAAAAATAAAAAGAAACTCTCTTTCTTTGTTGAGAAACACAGTGAATTTTAAAGCTGTGAATGACTTATTTTCCCAACAAAATTATAAACAGTGGGAAATACTTCATTCTTCCAAATATTCCCTTACAGTTGCTTTCTTATTAATAAGCACTCAAAAACATTACTTGGCACTTTTAAAGTGATCTATTAGTTTATGCTTTATTCTTCATCTTCCACCATTATTTCTAGTAGGCTACCATAGGTGCTGAACAAACTGCCCCAGAGGAAGACCAAAAAGCAGGCAGAAAAAGCAAAGAGACTGTGCTTGCTTGATGGTTTGCTGTTGCTGCATACTTAAAAAAAACCTTTAAAAAAAAACTCTACTAACAAAAATCATGAGCTCTCTTTGGTCTCTGGAGATGAAGACAAAAGCAGTGACACTCAGCATGAGGTGCTGTCCTTGGTTAGCAGCTGTCGTGGAACGCACTTAGTTGGGTTTAATGGAGGGGTTATTGACATCTCCTAAAATGGCTCCTGGGCCCAGGCAGCCCATTTTCTGCTACCTTCCTGCCTATGCCTGTCTATGCTGAGTGGTTCCACAGTGCCCATTAGGAACTGCGTGAGAGCCATTACAGTCAGCAGAGTAAAACATCCTTTCCACTCTTAAAAAAAAAAAAAAAAAGTGAGATGAATAGGTATTTCTAGGGTGGTCTGAAAGAGCCCATTATTAACTACCCTGAGGAATGAGGAAGCCTGAACATGGCAGTGAAATGCCATTTTATTCCTTTCTGCTGGCCACACCTGCACCAAGGGAAAAAATTCCCTTGTATGTGAGGATCTGGATATAAAGAATCCTGAAATTTGAAAGTTGACCAAGATGTAAAGCTTGCAGGAATTATGCCTTATGCTGCGTACACTATAAAATTCTAATCTTCTCCTTGGAAGGTCTGGCTCTTTCACCGCTAGAAAAGGATGCAGGTGGGGGTGACTGGGCTGTCTGCTGCTTGGGCGGCAAAGTCTCAATGGGAGCACTGGGGTGAGAGCGGACAGCATGAGGAGCTGCCGATCACTCTGTTCCCTGCAACCGGGCCAGGAGGGCTCAGGGCACGGGGCAAGTGGGAGAAAGGCTAGGGATTTGCATTAAAATGGGACTCTCCTTCCCAGGCAGGCAGCAATGACCTCAAGGAATATTAAACAGAGATCTGGTTACCTTAACGAATATAATGCTCTCTATTTGTCATTTTCTTCTAACATACCACGATTTCTCCTATAACCTTGTATGATGATGCAATGAGGAAAGATGAGCAGAGCCTCACAGGCATGGGGACAAGTACCTAGACCTGTGCGTGTACACAAACAACACAGAAAACATGAGGATAAAGAATCGGCTGTCCCTCTGAAATTGCAGGTTCCCTGAGGGTGAGTCAGCCCCTTGAATGCCGCTAGAACATATATTTGTGTGCCTTATTGTTTAAAGGTTGGAGCAGGGCTGAAAACACATTCATTACTCCCTGTCATAGAGCAGTTGATGTATTCTAGGCACATACAATTAAGCTATAATTCTACACACAACAGACTAAACACACAAGTCTAGACAGAGAAAGATGGCTTAAAATATTCTTAGACCTTTTCTAAGAGTATTTTCTCATTTTCTTATCACTCAACTGGTAAATATTAGTTGTAACCCGTGCCTCATTAATGTCAAAGGGAGAAGATTCGCATGACTGAAATTCAAAGGGCTGATTCTAATTCTCCATCGAAAACCAATCTCCAGGCAAGATGTTTTTAGCAATCACTCAGCACAAATCTAAAGATGCTCAGCTGTGGTTCGTTTATCTTCTAGGAAAAAGGCATCGGTTCTTAAAACAAAACTGCCCATATACACCATCCATCACATTTTATGATGATTTTTGTGAATGTGATCTAGATGTTATAAAACTAGTGACAAAATGTAAATATATCAAGGTCTTACTGTGTATTCAGCTAAGAAAATAAACCACAAGAAATCTGTTTCTTAAACCTGGCAACGTCTATAGTCACCTGTTGATTGGTGAGAGCAGAAGAGAAAAGCGAGTGTAGAACGGCGTGGAGGGAGTGACCATGGATGGGTTATCATAGCAAGGAGGCAGGCCAGCCCTCAAACTGTGCACACGTTCCCTGACAGCCCTTGCGTGGGCACCCACAGGACCATTTTGCAAATGGTCTCCAACCCCCTCTCAGGCTCTGCTTTACCAGCCAGCACTTTAAAGCATTGCCGGCTTTTTGCTCTCAAGCCCAAAGGACCTTAGAAGCTCAGCCATAGAATGTTGTCACCCTTTACACATAGTCAGCAGCTCTGCGCCTTCTGAGAATGCTGAAAGCAGTCGTTTCTCTGAGAAACATCTTTAATACAAATTTAAAATTACTACAAAAAGGAAACTAGCCAAATATCAATACCCGGTATTTCCCACGGATAATAACAATCACCAAATATACAAGTCAAATAGATACTCCAGAAGGGAGACAGCACTCGTTCACATTTGTTTCCATGTGACAAGCCCTGTCTTAAGAGCTTTACACACTTTAATTCATTTGATCTGCATTGAAACTATGAGGTGGGGCCGGGCGCAGTGGCTCACGCCTGTAATCCCAGTGCTTTGGGAGGCTGAAGTGGGCGGATGATGAGGTCAGGAGATCGAGACCATCCTGGCTAATGCAGTGAAACCCCGTCTCTACTAAAAATACAAAAAAAAATAGCCAGGCATGGTGGTGGGCGCCTGTAGTCCCAGCTACTCGGGAGACTGAAGCAGGAGAATGGTGTGAACCCGGGAGGCGGAGCTTGCTGTGAGCCGAGATTGCGCCACTGCACTCCAGCCTGGGCAACAGAGCAAGACTCTATCTCAAAAAAAAAAAAAAAAAGAAAGAAACTATGAGGTGGAACTGATCATCCTTGTTTACAAACAAGAAGACTGAAAACGGTTAGTTAACTTGTCCAAGATGACACAGCAAATAAACCGTGGGGTTAAGATCAAACAAGGCAGTTTGACTCCAGAATCTGTACTCTTCATCATTATGCTAGGCTGCTGATGAGGAGTCAGATGATCAAAATTTTTAAATTATTTTAATAGGCAGATAAAAGTGGCAAAATTAAGGGAAAAAATAAAAATTGAAACTGATTTTCAGTCTGACATCACTTGTCCTGAGAATAGTTTTTATTTGTTTGCTTGTTTCAAAATGATGTCTGTCTACGACAGATAATTATGGGGCACTTCTTACAACCCCTGGGAGATATCCTTCTTTACTACTATACATAGACAGTCCTAAAGTTACATTTGGGAAAGAAGCAAATGGCAACGGAAAATGAAATAAACCCTGTACAGCATGGTAAGCCTAGCTTTGCTTTTGTGGTCAGACTTAACCAAAATGATTCTCATCCAACATGATTAGGGTACAAAAAACATATGATATAATAGGTAAATAAAAATTTTATGATAGTATTTAAAATCATAACTTTAAAGAAATATAAGACTGTTGTTCTGGCCGGGCACAGTGGCTCACACCTATAATCCCAGAACTTTGAGGCCAAGGCAGACAGATTGCTTGAGCTCAGGAGTTCGAGATCAGCCTGGGCAACATGGGGAAATCCAATCTCTACAAAACATACAAAAAATTACCTAGGTGTGATGGTGCACACCTATGGTCCCAGCTACTCAGGAGGCTGAGGTGGGGGGATCATTTGAGCCCAGGAGGTTGAGGTTGCAGTGAGCCAAGATTGCACCACTGCACTCCAGCCTGGGCGATGACATAGCTAAGACTGTTTCAAAACAACAACAACAACAACAAAAGACTGTTGCTCTATTTTGAAAAGACTCAACTACTGAACTTTCCTTTGAGTAAAAGATTAGAGAGTGTTCATAAAGGAACACCTAACCTTTTCTTTCAAGATGACTGTTCTCACTTGATCCAGCTTAGATGTGGCCAGGAATGGCTTTACATCAAGGCAAATCAGCAGAGACCTGCCCTGGGCACACAGCAAAGGTTTGTTGAGTGATCTTTAGGCAAGGCAAGGCTGCAATAGTAAGGCAAAATAATAGTAAGATAAGCCCAGATGACTGACCACTCCAAGAATTACAGTATGCCAGAGTTGGACAGAGCTTAAAGATCACAGAACTAACATTCTGGGGAACTGAGGCACCCACCACCCACCTTGTGTACAGAAAGCACTCATATTTCAGATTCCTGCTCAAAGGATATTATTCAAGATGACTAAGTCTTTCAGAGTGGTCTTGAATGAGACCTACAATCCTGAAGAAATAGTCAAATCAAATCTCAAAACCATATTTAAAAACTAGTATAAGGGATAAACTAGTATAAAGGAATCAATCTTGTGCCATTTGCACAATCTGTTAGCTGCAATTTGAGGCTATCTTCAGTCTTTACAAGTGAACTCCAATTATTAAAAAACAACAAAAGCTATCATAACCAACAGGAACATAAGACAGATATATGGGTGACTTGAGCCTTAATTTACTTATGTCATAAAAGGCAATAAATATTTTACTATAACTCTGCTGGCCTTAAAACAAAACAAAACTGTGGCTGGGCATGGTGGCTCATGCCTATAATCCTAGCACTTTGGGAGGCCAAGGCAGGTGGATTGCTAGAGCCCAGGAGTTTAAGACCAGCCTGGGCAACATAGTGAGACCCCGTCTCTATGTTTTTTTAAACCCAAACCTCCCAAAAATCTGTTTGAAGCCTGGATTTGATGCAGGGGGCTAGATTTTATGTTGGTCTGTATATGATTGTTAAATGCCTTCTCCTCTCACAAGAATATAAGTGTAATAAAGGTAATGACTGTATTTGTTTTGTTCTTCACAGTGTCCTCACTCACCAAGCACCCTATAATGCCTGGTATATTGTAGGTGCTATTTTTAACAATGTTTTACCTGGCTGAAAAATGGCTCTATTTTTTTTTAGGGGATCCATCCTTCATCTTGCTCCTTGGTTCTAAGTTAATTTAAGATTCTTGAAATTAGGCAGGTGTGGTGGCATGTACCTGTAATCCCAGCTACTTGGAAGGCTGAGGTGGGAGGGTCATTTGAGCCCAGGAGTTTGAGAGCAGCCTGGGCAACATAGTGAGACCCTGTCTCAAAAAACAATGAAAGATTCTTGAAACTCTAAAGGAAAATGTTCAGCTAATTCCATTTCAGGGGAACTGAAGTACATGAGTTAGCTAGAGACCACTAGACTTGGACCCACTTAAAAACAGACTTCAAATTTTTCCATAAAACCTTTCCAGTTTGTTCAGGAAAAGCTAAAGGCTTCCCTGGGCCCAATCCAGTGATCATCCTGTGATCTCCATGTCTTCTTATCCTCTAACATCTCTTCTCTTTAAAACACACTTATCTGAAACTGAATCTGACATGTGCTTTTATCACCTTACAGTCCTGGTTGGAAACCTTCATGCTCCCCACACAGGAGCATGACTATAATGGCTCTATTCTAGATGCTTAATTCCCAGAGGGGAGCCTTGGCCTGTAAAGCGTACTCATAGGCTTGACAGGGAAAGTCGTAATATCAGTCCTTTCTAGCATTGGCAAGAATAGTAAAGATGCTGTGTGTCCAAAGGCCAATCTCCAAACACAGCCTCTAGCATAACACTATACAACTAGGTAGGTAACTAATCCTTACTGAAGGTGATAGCAGGAGAAAGGAGAGGAGAATGGGGTACATTAGGCTAAAGTGACAGTTTGGGGGAACTTGATCTTCCTACTCCACAGGAGCAATACTAGGTCTTGGGTCTAGAAATGGTTAATTCTTCAGCAATGCTTGCAGCCTTTCATTATGCAATATGCAGTTGTCACTCTATAAAGTCAGTCCAAATATGAATGAACACAATGAGAACCACATGACTTGTACACACAAAAAAAGAAGTCTTACAAACAATCATAGTAAAAAAGCCAGAACAACCTACAGAGAAAAAATAAAAGCTTGTAGTTTTTACATTTTGAAATAATCATACTTTTTGGAAAACAGCACTTCCCTCATTTTTTTTGTGAGATGGTTTTAAAAGATACGGAGATATCGCAAGACAAAAATACAATAAAATAACAACAAGAGAAACAACCTTATACTGTACCTTTCCTTCAGCAAATCATATGCTGTCTGACAGTCTCTGGATTCCTTTTTTCTCAAAGCAAAGTTACTTAAAAACTGATTTTTCATGTGGCTTTGCAGGAAGTTAACTTTTAATAAACCATTTCTTGCTAAGCTTTTCTTAGCACATTTACTCAATTCCATACTTGAAAGCTACAATGCATTTCAATAACTGAAATGTATGGGATTTTATTCTAATATTAAACTCAAAAGGAAGAACTGAGACAGTCCTATGGGCATATTACTGCAGCCAAATGTGATTCACGAAGGCACTGATATTCTATAAAAGTGATTTCAAATATCAATGTATATACACGACTAATGGAATATGACCTAACCAGTCAAAATAGGCTGAATCTCATTCCTGATGTTATATCAATGCCAATAAAATTAGGAATCATATAACAAAAGCATATGGGCAGAAAATAGCTTTCTCTTATGTAAAATTCAAGTGATGGTCAAGAAATAAGATGTAATACAGTGTTTCTGATGGGTCAATGGCAAAGGTCTGGAGAAATATATTCCAGGTTTGGAGTCTTTATGGGCCAGAAACTGTCTCATAATTCCTAAATGTGACCAAATGGGAGGAATATAGGTTATTGCTCACAAGAAGAAGACGAGATGGGTCAGTATGAATACATCTCCAGCGCCAGAGGCATGGGTCAGATCATAGCCCCAGGAAGGTGGCTGGTTAGTGGGAACATCTTCACATATGACAAATTTTTGCATCCTTACCTTTAATTATTCTTTGATATTCTTTTTCATCTCTGAAAAAAAGGCTATTTTAACAGAAGTTTGTAATATCAGATTCTTTTACCCACACGAAGAAAGATAAGTGGTAATGCAATGGCGGGTGATAATGCAATTATGAAATGATGATGTATATTTCATTTTGAAATGCAGTATATGTTTCCTTTTTCTTTTGCAGGAAGACAGTTCTGGGATCCTAGGAGCATCCAATTTGTATTCAGAATTTCATTTGAGTAAGATTAACATTTAAATAGTTTGTAGTCCCTTGAGCTCAGAGTACAGTGAGATACACATACACACACTATACTATCTCTCTCTCTTTCTCTCTCTCTCTTTCTCAAGCCCTGGATATCAATTCAAAATTTGTGTGATCATTGATGTGTGTGTGTGTATATATATACACATACACAACCCTAGAACTTAAAAACTCATTAAGAATCCACAAAATAGATAACCCACACAGTGATAACCTAGAGTGACTTCCTAAACTGTGGCTGCTGGCTAACCTAGTTGATAATAACAAATACAAAGTATCCTTTTAGCAATAAGAGAGTCTTTTTGCTGCCTCAGACAAAGCTTTCTAGCTTGCTCCTTGTCCTTTGGAATTCTAGGCTGACCAACACTGAGCGGAAGCCTCACCTGGGACTTCAGGAGAGAATCTTGCAGAGTGTCGAGATACAAAAAGTTTGAGTTCTTGGTCCAAGTTGCATTCAATCAGGTTTGTGTCCCATGATCGGATTCCTAGGGAGGGAAAGAAAGACAGTTGAGAGACTTCCAGTTAGTCATTTCAGAGTGGTTTGGACAACATCACTGTAATATTTCTCAGGCTTTCAGGGAGGATGTGGGAACTCCTTTTCTGAAGAGCTTGGTGGCTTAGCAGTGGATGCCCACAAAATGGGAGGGCCAGGGAGGTCTCTCCACCAGGCCACAAGGGAGGGATAATTAGCAGTGTGGACTGAGCTTCTGCCCCTCATAAAAAGTAAATGCACCTCTTCTGGAAGAGTCAAAGAAAACAGTTGTTAGGAAAATGACAGGCTGTACTCCAGGGAGGGACTAGAAAGGGCAGGAAGATGTTAGTTCTTAAGAAGCTAAGAGGCCAACAGACTAACTCTAGCTTGTAGACAGACTAACTCCACTTGTAGGTGGCAAGAAAATGTAGAATAAAGGCAAAGAAAATACACGGGGGCTGCCATTCAAGCACGGGCCTTTGTTTCTAAAATGATGTTCTGGTAGTATACATGTGTAATTTCTTTCCTTTACCAATCCCGTTTTTGACTTTGGTTTATCGAGCCCTGGATATCAATCCAAGATTTATGTGATCTTTGATAAACAGAGTGGATCCACTCAATCTTCAAGACTTGGCCTGTCTGTCCTTCCAGGCACTTTTCTGTTACCTGAGTAGCTTGGCAGGCAGCTCTTTTATTCACAATTGTTCATTGTATTCAATTTTCTTATCCAGAGGCAAAGAAAAATGGCAACTTTTTATACTTTATAAAACATTTATGGAGTTGGGGACATGAATCAGCTATTCCTACCCTAGGCTGAACGGAAAGGAAGTCCTATCAGACTTCCTTTCCCTAGGCTGAAAGGAATATCCAGGGTGAGAGGAACAGGAGGGCAAGAGGCGGGATGAGGGCAGCTTCCTGTGCTCATGCCCTACTCTCTAGCCTCTTCCTTCCTCCTCCCACTGTCCTCTTTCTCCTGCCCTCCCAAAGGGGATGGCCCAGAGGGAACCCCAGAGAGCATCATAGAAGGGAGGTCTGGAGAGTAAGCCAGGGAAAGTTGGGGAACCCCAGAACTCTGGTGTGTGTGTGTGTTTTACATGTTTACATATTATATATTACATTTTTCCTAATAGGTTGCTCATGGTGGAGCCAGTGTGTGGTATCCATCATTGTACCTTTGTATACAGCATTCTCAATTGCCAGGAACAAATCTCTAGAACAACAGACATTTATTGCATACCTCCTAAAGGTAAGGGCTTGAACCTCTAGGTATAACACAGCAGGTGAACTATCTCTAAATTAACACCCAGTCATGTAATCATTTTTGTTGGACATTAGTCATGTATACAGACTTGAAGGAATAAATAGCAGTGTGTTACTTAAATACACACTGGATCCTTAAGGCATATTTGTATTTACCCTTGGTTATATTGTATTCAGTCTTCCTATCCTGTAAAGAATCAAGGTGGATTATACATAGACATTACAAAAAAAAAAGATTCTGGAAACTCAGTTCACTGCACATCTAAAATATCTTTAGATTACACACCACAGACCTTTTCAACCAGGAGGAATATTTTCAAATAGATGTGTGTCCACTAAATACAGGCAGAAATTTCTCATATGATCAATGGGAAGAATTCAGATGTGGAAGAGTTAACGTGCTTAAGGAAAGGTCAAATTATAAGGGAGAATTTTATGGCTCTTCCTGGAAACATTAATAGCCTCAGTTTGCATTTGTGCTAATGGAGTATTTGAATTTTAACAAGAAAGGCATGTTGAGATTTCGCAGATCTTTTTAGTGCAGAAATGATAAATGGGTTCTTTTTGTTTCACAGAGAGCTTGACAGGTTGAGAGGTCTGAATTCATTAGAATATTTTACTTCAATGTATACACTATATACTAGTCTAGTGCAAAAAAATCGAGTTCCTGTCTGAGCTGCTTAATTGGTATTGTTGACTGAATTCTCCTTGTTCCAGGTCTGAGCTCTACTTTGTCTTCTACCCTGTCAAGCTGGGTCAATAAGTTAATAATGAGACATATGCATTTAAATTAAATTCATACAATTTTTCTGTCTTTGTTCTAAGTAATGTCTAAATTGGTACATTATTTGAATGACTTCATCCAGGGTTATCTGCAGACTTGCTCTTACATTGTTACTTGCCATTTTCCCTTGGCTTCAGTTAACTTGTCATGGCACACACAATTAAATGTTTGCTTTATATTTTCATACATATTTTATTTTTGACATATTTGTAATTTAGCAATAGAAAAAGTACTAAATGATAAATCCACTTAGTAATTTCTAAATTATACTAGTAAACGGCTGATAAAAATATTTCTCATTTTTACACTCCCAATGAAACTAAAAATGTAGGGTTCTTTTTTCAAGAGAGCAATTTCCACCCAAATTGTTTCTTAGCAATGCACAACCACTACTACCACTTATAAAATAAAGGTTATGTTGGATTTGCCAGCTATTTTAGTTGGAAAGGAAAATTTTGGAATCAGGCCACTTTCCATACCAATTTTAGAAATAAAATAATTTGTAATTACTTTGTATCTCCTGCTGGATAATATTGGTAAAGGCAAAGAGTAGTTGTTAATGAAGGTTCATATTGCATTTAGTAGGTTTATGTAGTTCCCCTTTGTGCCTAACAAGGAGCCAACAGTGAGCCCTCTAAAGTTTACAGGACAGAAAAATATCTCTTTGGCCCTTCCCATATTCTCCCCTCTCTGAATCTGGCTGGAGGGCATCCTGGGGTGTTGGTGAAGAGGTTCTAAAGAGGCTTTCAGAAGCAAGTCATCCTGGTCTCTGTTGGGGAGCAGGGAAGCCCTCTTTCTAATTTTCACCCCAATATACACCAAGTCAAGCTCTTCCTGGAGGCTTTGTTTCCCCAGCATTCTAAGACTGTACCCCTTCTGGGCTTACCCAGGTGGGGGCAGAATAACTCCAGGCAGTTGGAGGCAGTGAACCCCATTCTTTCAATGTCTGGAGCCAAAAGGCATCCGTCATCTCTGAGAACAATCTGGGCCTGCTCTGTGGCTATTGCCCAGCCCTGAAAGTGAGCTCCTTGGGACCAGGGAGCAACAAAAGATCTTTCCTTCTCAGTTCTCTGACCCCAGGTGGTAGCAGTGCACACAAGGGAGGCTGACATGCACATGATATACACAGATGAGAAAAGGAGAAAAGAATAGGTTATGGGGCAGGGAGGCAGGGAGGGGTCATTAAAGAACAAGTCAGGGTGAAAAATGAGGAGAAGTCAGGTACTCTTGGTGTGTACAGGCTAGATTGTTCCAAGTTTTCCAATCATGTAAGCATTTTGCAGGGTTGTTTAATGAAACCAACAATTTAAAAAAGCACCTCCCATTTAAAAGCTAAAATTCATATTTCTAAAGGTGACAGTGGATTGAAGAAAGCAAAATGAAATGACCATGCATTGTATGTTGATGGCACATGGGTTCTATCTGACAGTTATTTGGGCCTTTGGCAAGTTGATTTTCCTTTATGGGCTTTAGTTGCTCCCTCTGAAAAACAGGCTTTTGGATATTTTTTCCAAGTACCTAAATCATTAACCTAGAATCATAAGATTATATTTGTAAAACTATGCTAAAAAGTGGTCTGAAATCAGATTGAAATCATAAACTAAATAAATGAACTAAAGGAAATGCTACATTTAGGAATGCTTTATTTCTCAGAGGAAAAAATTCTTATTTTTTCCCTTGAACTCATCTTTAATTTGCTTTTTTTCTTTTTTTAAAGCCAGCAACTTGATGTTCATAACATATGTATGTAATGACGATAATATCTTACATACAGAGCTCATAGTTTCAAAGCATTGATAATAAATAATTTAGGTCTGAGATAACATCTTACAACACAAGCAAATGAGAAGTGACATAATTATTTGCTTGTCTAAAAAGTTATAACTTATTTTTTTAAAGTAAGCCCTTAGAGAAGGTGAACAATTTAATGACCTTAAATTTGGGGACTGCCTTGTGTTTCAGCATGGATCACAGAGCTGTCGTAGATAATACCAATTAAGCAGTGCAAGCAGAAATCCATCTGTCTTCGACTTTGAAAAGTATAGGCAAATATAGTAAATTTAAGACTCTCTAACATTTAATTCTCACCACATATGGTATTGGTTTCTTATTTCCCCTGTTAAAAGAAAAGGAAAACTAAACCCCAAATCTTTCCTGGGTTTTAAATTCTCTTACCATCTTAGACTGAAGGACATTCAGTTAAGTGACATCAGAATGTAACAATGTAATCAGCTAAACTTTTATCTAAAAATGCAGAGCAGTAGATGTTACATTCATCTATCTTTTCACCAACAAATCTTGCTGATTCCCAGTGTTAACTAAAGGAAAAGTTATAATCTAACGGTAATTGAAAACATCCAACAGACACTTAATATTCTTTATATGTTTTAGTTCCTTAAAAAAAAAATGAAACAATGAAAACGTTCACAAGGCTCTAGAATTCAGTTTGCAAGACACGGATGTATGTCCTCTATGTATTAAAATAAAACCAAGAAGCAGGGTTTTGCTGAAAATGAGAACCACTAGCTAAATCCATGCTGGGGGCTAATTAGGGAGGAGAAAAAGGAGGTGCCAAAGAGTAGTAGTTGGTGGTAGCGAAAACGATTTGGAATAAAGTCCTGCATAACTAAATAAATGAAGCTAGCCTAGTCCGAGGAAACACTATTGTTCCAAACTCTGGAGGAGACATGTCCAAAGCTTTCATTATGCTTTCCGAATATAGTTGAGAAAGCAAGAGGGACCATCTCTCTTCCCTGGTTTCAAGAGGCATTTACGAAGCATCCACATTGGGACGTTCCAGGCCTGTTGATTTACTGCATTACCACCATGTCTCTACAGATTTATAGATTATTTTCTAGGCTTCCCAGAGAGCCCTCAGTAATCGGATGGCAAGAATCCAAGTCGCCAGGGTCTCCAAACCCAGAATCTCAGTTAAGGCAGGAGGGGAAATAGGAAGAAAGAGTAACAGATGCGGAACTGCCTTCCCAGCCTGCAACACACAATCATCAGAGCTGGCCCCCCTGGAGCAGCTCCATCTTGCTTCACACAACAAGGCCCAAAGGCACCAAGCAACAACAGCAGTGGCCTCTGGAGGAGGCCCAGCTGAGACCTGGCGGCTGAAGCAGCAGCTTGTCGTGCACAGGAAAACAGGACCAGCCTGCTCTGTTGCTAAGTCATCTCAGACTGTCTGAAAAGCTATGGGAGCAGGATTTTCACTTAGCGCTGGAAGGGCCTGCATCTTGAGCTGCAGCCAAGACCCCAGAACCCAGGAGAGCCATCTTCAGAGGAAAAGCAGCATCTGCTACGGTGTGTAAAGAAACGGCTCTGCTCACTCACTTGGTTGATTCTTAATGGGATCAATACAGTCATTTCGGAGTTCCATGCAAAAACCTGACCAAATTAGGGAATTAAAAAATCAGGAAGCCATGATGTCTATTGCAAAGGGAACACAAGGGGGCTTCTGGGGTTCCAGTAATGTCTGTTTCTTGATCTGGGTAACCCAGGCGTGTCCGTTTTGTGAAAATTCGTTGAGCTGCTCATCTTTGATTTGTGCCCTTTCCTCTCTATATAATACTTCAACCGAATTTTTTAAAAAATTAATGTCAAGAAGACAAATCTGAATTTTGTCACTAAGTGCTAGTAGTGTAAAAACGAGTAAAGGCAGGGAGCCCTTCTTCATAGCAGTACGTGGATGCGTCTGTTTTCTCCATAAATAGATGCAGCTTGTATAAACCCTCTGAGGAATAGGGCGCTGAAAGGATGATCAGATGAGTAACAAAGCAGGAAGATAATTACGATCCGAAGGTGATTGCTGAACCATCTCCCAGCATGGGGCGCTGCCCACAAGTGGATGGCCATACAAAGGCAAGCCCTGAAAACTGTTGTACTGAAACCTTCCTCCCATCATAGGATGTTAGCCAACCCTGCACTAACATCATGACAGGGTCAGAAAACGAGTGACGCTGCAGTACTGGTACTTCTGTCACTTATGAGTGCTGTGACCTTGAGCCGGTTCTCTTACCCTTCCTGCCTCTCTGGGCCCCCAGCTCTAAAACGGGGTTGATGATCCCTCTCCTAGCACCACCACATCGAATGGTTATGAAGATTTTGTAGATAGAAAAGCACCTCCTAATATATTCCTATTTCCCAGAAATGCTACTTACAAATAATTTTTTAAAGAAAAAAATCCAAAGTCATTGATTCCCACAATAGCCACACCCAAAGTCAGTATGTGTAAAATTTTTCCAGGAGAAAATTGTGCAAATAAACTAAATTAGAACAGATTAGACCAAAGGCCTATATAGTCTGAAAATGAAGGGTTATTGAGATGCTCAAATAAGACATTTCACTACTGAAATATCTCTTGTTCTTGAATTTTTTGGAATAAAATACTATGACTTTCTGCTCACATTTTTTTTCTTTTTTTTTTTTAAGCTAAAAGGGAAAATCAAGTGCTTTAAAGTTAAACAAAAGAACCAGGTCTGCAACTCCAGTCCCCACCCTGCAGCCTTTTGTTCTGGGGACAAGTGGCCGTTTCCAACTGCAGAGGCAGATGACAAGCATTTATTTTTTCATCTAAAACAAGGTTTTTCTTTCGTCTTTTATTGGGGAGGGGGAGTGGGGAACGAGGGCTGCGTGAACGCCCTTTGTCCGCCTCGGGCTGCCGTAGAGACCGCAGTGCGGACTGCACCACGCCCACCAACCGGTGTCTCCCGGAGAAACGCTTCAGCACCACCCCAGGAGAATAGAGCGCGGGCTGGGGCTGCGGAGGGACCCGGCGACCTCTGTCAGGAGCGAGGGGAGGGCCGGGACGCCAGGGATAAAGGGAAAGGCAGAGACCAGAGCTGCCCACCCAGGGACTCCCAGGGCAACAAAGCCAGGCAAACTGAGAGGTGGGGGCGCGCGGCCCCCGCCAGCCCGAGGCCCGGGCGGAGCGCAAGCCCAGCCAGCCGTGCCCGACGGGGGCGCCGCAGTGTGGGGGGGCAGGTGTGGCGGGCGGTCCGGAGGCACTGCGGCAGCTCGGGTGGGGCTGGGGGCGGTCTCTCTGTGCGCCCGAGGCTGTGCCCGCCGGACCCTCACGGCCCCGCCCAGGGTCCCCGGCGTACCGCTATTCGGCCTCCGCAGAGCGCGCCACTGGTGCGAGCACCGGGCGAGGAGCTGACCCTACCCGCTGACGTCTCCCTCACCGACCCCCTTCAAGCTACCACTCCCGAGGCTGGGACTTCTAAAAGCAGCAGCCCCACCCCGCAACTTGGGGTCCCATTGTCCTTTCTGAGAGCTGCAGCCAAGGCCCCAAGGGCGGTAGCGAGGCGGGCTCTGTCTGGTGGCGAAGCGCAGGCGGTTCTGCATCCCAGCATCTCCCCGGGGAGGGGGGGGCGGGGGGAGCGGGCGTGGCCCTAGGACTAGCCTAGTCATTCTGAGGAAAGAAAGGATCGGGAGGTTTGAAATCAGAAAAGGCGTTTCTCAGGGGCTGAGGTAGCCGTGGTGAGGATGAATCCCACGCGGGCCCTGGCACATGGGCTTCGGCCCCAGGTCTGCGGTGGTGGGGGTCCCAGCCTTTTCCTGAGGCCAGAAGAGGACTGAAAGGAGTGGTTGCATCAGGTCTCCCCCACCCTTCTGCCTCCTGCGGTTGCGGCTTTATTGTGGCCTCTGCTCCCCTGACACCTGCATTTCACTTAGCGGGAGAGGCGGTGGCCAACTCAGCACAGGCTGCGGACTCAGCGTGGTGACAGATCCCTCAAGGTTATTGGAGACTCTCCCTCTGGGTCTCATATCTAATAATTCGGATTATTCTTAATTAGCCCAGAAAGGGTCTGGACCAAGTATGAGAGGTGACGAGGAGAGGCATGGGTGCGGGGCGCGCGGGAGGAGCGCAGTGACCGTCGCGCCCTGGGTGGGGTCGTGTTTGCGCGTCTCCCAGCGCGCGTCTCTGGGGGCGCGGGGCCACTTACCGAGCTCGATGTTGCCGATGGCACGCCGCAGGTGCTCCTCGGTCACGATCTCGCCGACGACCACCAGCAAGTAGAACTTGCTGTCAAGGAAGCGGTGCGACAGGCTAGGCGAGGTGGACGCCGCCGGGTTGGCGATGCTGCCGGACGGCTCCGGCTCGGTGGCTTCCACCACCACGGTCGCCATCCTGCCGGCTGCTGTGCCTCGGCGAAGTGTCTCGCTCCGGCCGCTCCTCTCCACTGCGGCAGGAGAAAGGATTATCTCCGAAGGTACTGTCTCCGCTCCGCCCCCTGCGTCCCCCCTCCTCTGGCGCCGCGCGCCGCCTCCCCCTCCGCCCTCTCCCAGCGCCGCGGAGAGTGCGCGGCGGAGAGGAGCGGGGAGTGAGAGAGGGCGGGGAGGCGGCGCCGCTTTTATATGGAGACTAGGCAGGGAGCCGGGAGGAGGAGGAAGAGGAGGAGGAAAGGACCACCCGGCACATCCTCACGCGGTGGCTGCCTCCGCTCTTCCAGCCGTTGGCCCGGGGCTGATGTCATCTGCAGCAAATCATCTCGCCCGCGGCCCGGAAGCTGGAGGGACGAGGTGTGCGGACAATGGTCGGGGCAGGGCCGCGAGCCAAGGGGCTGGGGCGCCCGCTGAGCTCCTGCTGCAGCCGTGAAGGGGGAAGACGCTCTCAACCTACACCACCCACCACGTACACACCCACTGCCCACTCCTCACCCTCACCCTGTCTGTGCATGGGAATGGGATGAGTTTCCATTTTCGGAGTGGGGGTCTTTTCTCTTGTTGGAGTTGCACTAGTCAGGCCTCTGCCTTGTGTGCTGTGTATGATGTAGCCAGGTTCTCAGGAACTGGGATAGCCACAGTGGGCAGATGCGGGGCTGTGGGTACCCCGCCTAGGAAGACGGAACCTGTCTTTTCTTTGACCTTGTGGCTTTAAGAAGACGAATTTACTGATATTTACCAATATCAATATTTACCACCTTCACTTAAAGAATACATCAAAAATGCAAAACTTAAGCCTACTATTGTTCAGGCCTTGGATTCTACTCTGGCAGGGCCAAGGATGAAAAAGTACTGGCTTTGTGGTGCTCATGGGAAATGAGAGAAATGCAGATGTATTATATTAGATACCAATTTCTTTCCTTAATGTGCTGAACAGATAGTATCAGTAATAACAAAGAATAAAGAGAAGATACTGTCTCTACTCAGCAGGGTTACAGTGACTATAATGTACTTTTCAGTTCCTTGGGGAACACACAAGCAAAATTACCTCGTGACAATGATGTCTTTTAAAATACCTGTAGCATTGGGAATTTTTATTGCCTTTGTTTGTGTTTAGAAGAACTAAAAAATGTGTTTTTTGTTTTTGTTTTTTTGTTTTTTTTTTTAAGGCAGCCTATTTACAACCGTTTCTCACAAACATACTGAATATAGCTTCTGTCCCAGAAAAGGGGAGGAGGGTGAGGAAAGAGCAAAATGTGCAAACATGGTATCATAGAAGACTGGGGAATTCGAGCTTTAAGGAAGAGGAATAGATGGAAATTAGTCAACATAGCTTTAATACTAGAATGCCTGTTAGTAAAATATAGATGATAGATAGATAGATAGATAGATAGATAGATAGATAGATAGATAATCACCTAGATATTCTTAAGATTTCCAAAATAACCCAGTGTCTTAGGTGTTAGCTGCCATGACTTATTGGTCATGTACTCTTTGCTCTTATATCTTTCCTGACACCCTGGCATGGGAGACATGCTGGGCAGCCAAGGGCTGGGGGGTTCCATCCAACATGTCAATCTGATCAATGCAGAATGAAAATACCGTCTGGCCCGCAGTATTTGGGATCTGTGACAGGATCACTAGAGAGTTGCATTCACCAGTAATTAGATGAAGTGTTTCCAACTAGCTGCATTCACCAGTAACTAGATGAAGTGTTTCCAGATAATATTTTGGTTAAGATATTCAATTGCTGTTCAAGAAGTAAGGCCAGCACCAAAGCCCATAACTGGGGTGAGGGGCAGGAAATATGGTGAAGAGCACTGTTTTCTAAAGGTCATCCGTTGGATTCCAGCCTCATCTAGTTTGTGTTTGGTTTTCCTTTCTTTGAACCATTGTTACTTTTATGTATGTAATAGTTTTCTTTTATGCAGTTTATTTCTTTTACTTAAATTTATTTTTAAATGCAATTCTATGTTGCTGTATAAATGGAAACACTAATATCACTTATTAATAGAAAGTATCCCTAAAAATATACACAATGAAGATAAGATGTGATCAAATTCCTGCTACATACTGTTATGATTTGCTCAAGACTCTGAGTCCAAGGCTCTCCTTTCTTGGTTGAAAACAGAGATTGGCCAAGTGTTAGAGAGGTATTAAAGAGATACTAACACCTAACTGAGTTGTTCTCCATGTTGCAACAGAAGATTGGATGAAAATTATAACAGAGCGCTTTCTTACTGTGTGTGTCTGTGCAATTAAACACCATGACCGTGACCACCTAAGTCATCACCCACACTTTGAAAAATAGAGGCATAATGGGAGAACACAGACTAGGGATGCAGAATACTACTTTACAGCTCGGTAACTTTGGCAAGTGACTTACTCTTTTTGATCTTCCATCTCCTTATTTAATGAGAAGAAGAACATCTTTATAACTGTTAAAGTAACTGTAAGAAAGAAGGAAATGATAGAATGTGTAAGCACCTAATACAGTGGCTGGGCATAGTAAGCAATCAAGGGATGGTTGATTCATTGACCTGTTTTCTCCCAGTTACTAAGACAATGGAGCAAAAGCAGTCTTATAAAATGTGCAAGTGATACTGCTACAACACCTCTGAAACAAGAACAGAATATTACATTATTATACTTCAATACTAGAAAAGTAGCCCCTTCCCCTCTTCATCCCAAGAAAATGTATACAGTTCTAAGGAGGAAAAAGGGGGAAAACTAACATATAAGAGCACCAATATTGCCAGCTGCTCAACTGACATCACCTGGATATACCAAAGGCACCAGAATCTTGACATGCTCCAAACCCAAATCATCTTTTACCTCTAAACGGGATCCTCTCTCATTCTTGTTATTTCAATGAACCATAACACCATGTATCCCATGATGCAAACCAAAACCTCACAAATATTTTGGACTCTCCCCTGACCCTTAGCCTCGTGTGCAATCCAGCATGGAGTCTGGTCAATTTCACCTTCAGTATCTCTTCAATCCATCCACGTTTCTCCATTATCACCAACCTAGTCCAAGCTAGCATCATTGTGATAGGTACTAGTGTACCGGTTAGAAAATGGGTTCTGGAGTCAGACTGCCTGGTTTTGAATCCTAATACCATAATTTATTAGCTGTGTGGCCTTAAGCAAGGTGCTTAACCACTCTATACCTTGGTTTTCTCATTTGTATAGTAGAGATGAGTACCGACCTCATGGACAGGAGGACAGTTTAAATATGCAAATTACTTAAAACAGTGCCTTGCATATAATGAGCACTTAATAGGGATTAGTTGTTTTTGGTATGGGGTTAGTTGTTTTTGGCTGTTATTGTTTAACATTTTACTATGGAAAATTTCAAACAGAGAGAGTATAATGTAAGTAACACCCACATACCCATTATCCCCAATCCATAGATTTTTATAGTTTGCTTCTTTAAATCAAGATTGAAATAATGTCTATATATTTCAACTGATTCATCAGTCTTAAACTCCTTTGATCTATGTAATCCTGCTATTTTTTTCCTTGTAATTTTCTGTTGAATAGTGGCAACATTGTTCAGCAGAGTTTCACAAAGCATAAATTTTGCCGATTGCATCACCTGTTGTGTTATTTAACATGTTCTTCTATCTTCTGAATTTTCTGAGAGAACTAAAGTCTTGATCAGATGCAGATTTGATATTTTTTACATGTATACTTCATAGGTAATATTGTGATCTTCCATCAGAAGGCACCTAAAGACTAGTTAACCCTCATTCTGTGATTTTAGCAGCTATTGATGATCATTACCTAGATCCATTATTTCACTATGGATTGAAAAAATGATAATATTCTAATTTTGTTATTATTTATTTGACAGCTAGAAGACTTCTGTTAGGAGAAGCGTTATCCTGTCAGTTGATTACCCTGAGGTACGGTATGTACAGGAAAAGAAGGATAAACAAATGATTTTTTCTCTTTATTTACTGATTTTCAAAATAATTAATTTATTCCAAATCATTCTCTAAAGGTGACTAATTTTTTGTATCATTACAAATATAACTTACATTATTCATATTGATGCTTTCATTTTTTCATCTTTGGCCAGTAGTATGGTAAGGTATCCCTAGCTTACCTTGCACATATCTGGCCTCAGAACCTGGAATGAGCCGTTTCTCTATGGAATCCAAGTTCCTTACGTGGGTAATGGTATTTGGAGACCCCTGTATACCAGGTGCTACTACTATTTTGATCATTGTTTCTAGATATTTTCAGTGGACAGAAATATGAAATAAATTGTTTTTCAAGTATGAGTTCATACTTATACCTCTAACTCAGAATCGGGACTACAGGGATTTTGCCTAACGTTTTATCTTGCATCTGTATTTCCTTTGTCCTATGCCTAGAATTCCAGTTTTCAAAGACTCCAAGGTGACAGAATTAGAACAGCAGATAGTTTCTCATTTTTCTTGTTCCACAATATATACAAATTACCCTCATGGTAGTTTTAGATACGAATGCAACACTTTTGCCAACAATGTGATTACTAAAAACATTTTAAGGTATATAGTTTTTTTGTTTGTTTGTTTGTTTGGTTGGTTGGTTGTTTTTTTTGTTTTTGTTTTTTTTTTTTTTTTTTTTTTGAGACCGATTCTCACTCTTGTTGCCCAGGCTGGAGTGCAGTGGCGCCATCTCGGCTCACTGCAACCTCTGCCTCCCAGGTTCAAGCGATTCTCCTGCCTCAGCCTTCTCAGTAGCTGGGATTACAGGCACCCACCACCATGCCTGGCTAATTTTTGTACCTTTAGTAGAGATGGGGTTTCGCCATGTTGGCCAGGCTGGTCTCAAACTCCTGACCTCAGATGATCTGCCCGCCTCAGCCTACCAAAGTGCTGGGATTATAGGTGTGAGCCACCGTGCCCAGCCTAAGCTATATAGTTTTAAAGTGTAATTAATTCTGTTATATATGATCGTGCCACTAACTCAGTGCATAGTTATGTTCATTTGTTTCATTTTGTTTTCAGTTTTTATGAATTGATTTTTACAATTTAATTTTGCTTTATAGTAATGTAAAATATTTACATGGTTCCAAGGTGAAATCTACAAAACAATTTGTATTTGGAGAACTTTAGCCTCTATCCCTGTCCCCTCCAGCTTTCTCCCTGTCTCTTCCTGTGAGTAACAATTTTTTACCTTGATTTAGCCTTTCACTTTAAAAATGCAAGTAGCAGCATATACATACAATTTTCTCCACTTTGCTTATTTCATCAAACACTATATCCCGGCTATAACGCTACAATAATATATGTTAATATTCCTCATTTTTATTTATAGCTGCATAGTAACCCATTATGTTTATTTACTATAATTTACTCAACCAGTCCATTGTTGGTGAACATTTGAGCTATTTCCAGTTTAATTTATATTGTAAACAGTAGGTCTAGCTATTTTTTTTTCCCATGCAACCTCAATAGTCACCTTACTGGCATCTGTATATCCACAATGACTCACCCAATCCATGCTTCACACAATATGGAGAATGATCTTTTCTGATCTGGTTTTGTTGCCCCATCTCCACTTAAAACACAAATGGCTCCCCATTTTAGAATAAAGACCAGACTTCTCAGTGTCACCTACAAGCTGGTCCCCATTTATCTCAGCAGCTTCATCTGGCCCCTCCACTTGCCCTTACTTTCCAGCATCAGCCACAATGACTTTGTGCCAAACCATCCTTCCCTCCAACACAGGCTTTCCCTTGCTTTTCCTCCTGATGAGAGCACTACTTTTGTCCATTTTCTGTTGCTGTAACAGATTACCACAGACTGGGTAATTTATAAAGAAAAGACTAGTTGAACTCTATGCTCCACAGGAGCAAAGAACATGTCTATCCCCACCCCCACACACCCTTTTCACACCCACCCAGCCACCCATATACCTTAGCATTCCTCTTGCTCAGCATAGGGCATATGCTCAGTCAAAGCATATTCAATGACTAAATGAATGGCTTCTATGAGCCATGGTAGTGTGCTAGGTGCTTAAAGTACTTCAGTGAATTCCCACTGGTATTATTTATATTTTTGATGGCTTAAAGTCTGTATTGATGTCTCTTTCTCATTTCTGATCTCGATAATTTGTATTTTCTTTGTTTTTTTCTTGATCAGTCCAGCTAGGGGTTTATCAATTTTGTTAATCTTTACAAAAACCTACATTTGACATTATTGATAGTTTTCTATTTTATGTATGTGTATATATATTTTCATTGAAGCTGTTTTTATCCATGCTGTTTTGCTCCTAATTTCTTTGGGTTTTATCTTACTTCCTATTGTAGCTGCTTGAGAAGCTTAAGTAATTAATTGTCAGTTTTCCTTCTTTTCTGATAAATACATTTAAGGCTAAATATTTCTAACTCCTGCTTTAGCTGCCCTGTACACATTTTGATGTGTTGTGTCTTTATTGTCATTATCATTCATTTCATAACATTTTCTAATGTCATTGTGATTTCTTTTTTGCCATTAGTTATTATTATTGCTGTTTGACAGATGAAAAACTGACATGGAGAAAAGTTAGACAATTCCTCCAAATCACAAAGATAGTAAGTTGAAAACTTGTGAAAAGAACTCTGCTATGTCATATTTCAAAGTCTATGACCTCCCCTATATGGTACCTTCACTGATGCTATTGAATTTAAAGCAAATAAAGGAAATGAAGCACAGCCCAAGTGTTGATTGGTGGGAAGAATAAAACAGTCAGAGTAAATCTCACATTGAATGAACCTCCAGTGTTGTGTTGTTAGTTAGAATTAAAGTCATTCTCTAGAGTGTAACTTAAGACAGTATGTCATTTAAGGGTCAAGAAATAGTCTGTTTACTCAGCATTTATCAGTCCTTTCTTTCCAAACTTTAAGCTAGCTATAGAAAAATTCCAGAGAGCCTGGGGAAAGAAACAAAAGGAAAATTAGGGAAAAGACTTACAAGGTATGAAGTATTAGAGAACATTTTAAAAGGATAATCTATACGCTATGTCATTGATGGCTGCAGCCATTCTCTATGCCCATAAACTAAATGGGCCTAACTCTTAACAGTGGCTATTAGGTTAGTTAGAAGAGGCATGTTTCTGAAAATTCCATAGTGAACTTCATAGCCAGAGGAAAATATCTTATACTTCTTTCTATTCAATCATCCTTGACTCCGAAAGTGCCTCTTATTTTCTTTTGGTGGAACAGTGGAAAAAAAATATCACACTGGAAGGCCAATTGACTGAAATCAAGTCCCTTTTCCTAACTGTGTGAACTGGGTCCTTCACATCACTATCCTTCAACAACAAGAAAAACAAAAAACATCCTATAAATGTATAAAGAAGAAAATGAAAGTTCTTTCTTTGCTACCCCTAGTTCTCTTCCCCTTCCTAGAGGCTAAACTATTTTGTGTGCATGTGTGTGTGTGTGTAGAATGTACACATATATGTAGGGGATTGGTTCTAGGACTCTGTCCCCTGTGAATACCAAAATTCAGGGACGCCTAAGTTCCTTATATAAAATGATGCTTATAACCTACGCACATCCTCCTGTATACTTTAAATAATCTTGATTACTTATAATATCTAAAACAGTGTAAATGCTATGTAAATAGTTGTTATACTGTATTGTTTAGGAAATAATGACAAGAAAAAAGTCTGCACATGGTCAGAACAGATTCAACCATTCTTTTTTTATATATTTTTTTCTGAATAATTACAATCCATGGTTTGTTGAATCCACAGATGCAGAACTGGTGGATATGGAGGGCTGACTGTATACATGTATCTTCCCCATATAAATAGAACAATATTTTATATACTGTTCTTCAAATGGCATTTTCCCTTTGAAGCTCTTTTCAAATATGTAAAAATCTATTTTTAAAAACTGCTGCACAGTAGCTCATAGAATGAATCTACCATATTTCCTTTACTCTTTCCCCTCTTGGTGGTCCTTTAGGTGGTGTTTGGTTTTTTTCTATTATAAATAGTGTGCAATGACCATGCTTGTAAGTGCTTCTATACTCATATATGTTTCTCTGAGCACAGATGCCTAGATCTAGAAGCCAAACAGATGGGTTGAAGGTGATACCTAATTTTAACATTTGATGACTCCTGCCAAATTACCCTCTGAAAAGAATTTAACAATTTATATTCCTTCCACATCATTGCCTCTTTCCCCACATCATAATGTAAGTCTTCTTATTTTTTACTCACCAAAGGGAGAGAAATATTTACTGTTTAAAACTGAGCACCTTTTAAACTGCTTTTCTTTCTTTATTGGCTTAACTCTTCAAGATGTGTCTTTTTTCTGATTGGACTATTGTTTTTATCTTTACTGGCTTTTAGAAGCTCTTTATATAATCTGGATAATAAGCTTTCGTCATCAATATATGTTGCAGATATTTCCTCTCAGTGTGTCATCAGATTTTGTATTTATGTCTATTTATTATGTCTGTGACCATACAAATTATTAAATTTCTTATAAGGTTAGGCTAAGCTTCTTTCTTTATGAGTTAATGGGGGTTGTCTGTCTTAGAAAGGATCTCTCATTCCAAACCTTAAAACTATTCTCCTAATAATTTTAGATTTGTTCAACTGAGAGAGTGCTTAACTCAGGAGATCAATAAAGGTTCATAGAGGAAGAAGTATTTGAAATTGTCCTGGAAGAACAATATTTTTCAACAGGCAGAGATGGAGAAAGGACAATCTACATGAACAGAACAGCATGAGCAAAAAGAACTGGTAGAAATATATTGAGCTTATTCTTGAAAATAGCTAGCAGTTTACTCCTCCTTTCTTTTGTATACTAACAGCAGCACACTGAACAAACTGTTCTGTCATCTTGTTTTTATCACTTACCATATCTTTGAAATATTTCCATAACCATCATAAGGAGTATCCCTATTGCTTTTTGAGCAATGCATAGAATTCCATTTTGTGTGAATATCATAATTTATCACTCTTCTATTTTTATCACTCCTCTGTTGATGATGACTTCCAGTCTTTTGATAATATAAACAGTGCTGTAGTAAATAAAGTTCTGTATATGTCTTTTCCCACAGGTTAGAGACTATCCATAGGATAAATTTCTAGCAAATTGCTGAGTCCAGGATATGCATGTTTGCAATTTTGGAAGATCTTAAAAACTTGCCTCCTATAGGTGTTGTACCAGTATATACTTCTGCCAGTAATAGATGGGTGGGCTGCTGATGCCTCAAAATGTAAGTATTTTCAAACTTTTAAATTTTAGCCCATTTAACATAATTTAAAAATTATGTCTCTGTGTGATTTTAGTTCCATTTCCCTTATTATATATAAGACTGAACATCTTGGCATATGTTTAAGGGCCATCTGCATTTCCTTTTCTGTGCACTGTCAGCTTATATGCTTTGCCCATTTTTTCTAGTAGATGGTTAGTGTTTTTCTTATTGATTTGTATATATTCTGTATTACTCCTTTATCACATTGCCACAAAGAAATGCCTGAGATGGTGTCATTTATAGAGAAAAGAGGTTTAATTGGCTCACAGTTCCACAGGCTATACAGGAAGCATGGCTGAGGAGGCCTCAGGAAACTTAACAATCATGGCAGAAGGTGAAGGGGAAGCAGGCACATCTACACATGGCCAGAGCAGGAGGAAGAGAGAGAAGGAAGAGGTGCTACACCCTTTTAAGCAACCAGATCTTGTGAGATCTCACTATCGTGAGAATAGCAAGGAGGAAATCTGCCCCCATGATTCAGTCACCTCCTGCCAGACCCCTCCTCCAACATTAGGGATTACAATTCGACACGAGATTGCCGGTGGGACACAAATCCAAACCATATCATATTCTTTATACATTTGGGAAATTAACTTTTTTCTGTAATATGATTTACAAATATTTTTCTCAGATTGGCATTTGTTTTTTGACTTTTCATATTGTGCATTTTGCCATGGGAAGTTTTTTTTGTCATTAAATTTACCTATTCTTTCATTCATATGGCTTCTGGGTCCTATATTATACTTAGACCTTTACCATTCTGAAATTATGTAAGAAAAATTCTCTCAGGGTTTTTTCCTAGTAATTTTAAGACTTTACTTTTAATATTTTGGATTTATCCAGATGTAGACTATAAGATAAGGATCCACATTTTTTCCCCAGCTCTACATTTTGCTGCTAGAAGATTTTACAAAATTTTGCAATTACTTAGTAACTTACATTTCTTCCCAATTGATTTTGAAATCTGTAAGAGCAGAAACTTTGATTTCATATTTTTATTCTCTCACATGCCTGCCCTTTAATGCACTTCAACCCCAGCCCCAAGTTTTGCCTAGTACTTGGCAGTTAGGTAGTTGTTACTTCTGCATCTCTTGACTGCTGGGGAGGAAAGATTCCACCTGAGTTAAGGCAAGTCCTACCCAGGATGTGGCTGCAAATGAGACTGCAAAGTTCTCGACCGATGTCTTTTCATTAAACTCTGGCTTTTACCAAGTACAAGTACCAAGTGAGTCATACCGACACATGTAGAGGATGGCATCCTGAGGGGAAAAGAATTATAGTGGAAATAACCAAGGCTGCTTGGAGAAAAGCTTCTCAGCTGGCACTGCAGAACAGCAGCCACTGCCACAGCAAACAGCAAAACAATAACAAGCTTACTTGCAGAAGGTGGGAAGCTGCAGACGTAAATGCAGGCTCCCTTCCCAGGCTACCAGCAGTCCCTGGGGATGAAGTAGTCTAAATGGGCAGCAGTTGTGGAGTCCTCCCCGCTCACAGGAATGGAAGATGTCACTCACTAGCAGAAGTGCTCTGGGGTGGCAATGAGGAGTACTGTCTTTGGACTCTGACAGGAACATCTGGATGGCACCAGGCTCAGGGAGACGGGTCTTGTGTGTCCTGCTAAGCACTAACAGCAATAATTGAGCAGCAGCAATCTGCCTCACATCATTCTAGGCCCTAGGAGGGCACAAAGTTGGTTCTTGGCTCAGGTTATCAGGAAAGTAACGTATGTGCGTACAAATAAAGTGTCCAACAGCAGAAAGGGATGCCCTGAACAGTCCAGGTTGCACAAAGGAGTATGGACAAACAAGTAGTTTCATCCAGCTGGGAGCACTAGGAAAGCTCAGAAGGAGGATGCCTCCAGGAGCCAGTGAGTGTATTCTGTCACCAGGTGCCTTGGAGAGTGGAGGATCTGGAGGGCACTTTTTGAGGCTGATAGGAAGAAAGCAGACGGGTGGAGTGGTAGATGGAATGACGCCCTCACCCTCTGCAATGTTCACATTCTAATCCCTGAGATATGTGAATATGTTACTCTAGCTGACAAAAGGGACTTTGCAGATGTGATTAAGGATTTTGAGCTGGGGAGGTGACTCTGAATTACATGAATGGGCCCAGTATAATCACAAGGGTCCTTATAATAGGGAGACTGGAGTGTCAGAGTCACAGATGAGCTGTGATGATGGACGCAGTGGTGAGAGAGAGATGTGAAGATGGAAGGAGAGGGCCATGGGCCAAGGAATGTGGGTGGTCTCTAAAAGCTGGAAAAGGCAAGAAAATGGATCCTCCCCTAGAGACTCCAGCAGGAACAAAACCCTGCTGACACCTTGACTGTAGGACTTCCAACCTCCAGAACTATAAAATAATAAATTCATGTTGTTTTAAACCACTAAGATTGTCGTAATTTGTTACAACAGCCATGGGAAATGAGCACAGGTGGATTAGACACTTCAAGAGATGTAATTTCTTTGTGTAATTCTTTCTGGGAAGCTCCATGAAGCCTGACATTTAGTACAGATGTGCCCCAATCCTGCTCCATGTTACGAACTATAATATGGTAGAATTGGGCAGGAACAGACCAAAAGATCGGGGCTGCTGTGAAGCCCCCTGCCTTGGCACTTCTAGTCTTTGTGCTTCTCATTCGCAGCATGGTCAGCATATGCAGCGTTCACCCTCTAAATCAGTAGGAGCTGGGCAAGAGCATCTGAAAACCACTGGGTTTTAAAATAGTGATACAATCGAAGTTGTGCTTTAGGAAACTGGGCAGTTTCTCTCAAATCCCATGGTCAGCAAGTATCTGATTTCCCCTCAGATGGCATTTCAATTTGCCATTTCTGAACGGAGCTTGGTTCTTAAGAATTCTATAGTTGCTTATGGATTAGTTACTGCAGAGATGAAGTCTTTCTATATGTGTGTGAACTTTTAAAAAGTAAAGTCATATACAGATACCAGATGAAAAACAAAGTTTTCAAATTGTGATATCTGGGCACAAAGGGATATTCACTTATTTGGTTGTTCAGACATTCATTCAATCAACACATCTTTAGCAAGCATCTGCCACGTAGCAGATACTGCTGGAGTCGCTGGAGATGCAATGATGAGAAAAACAGACTTGATACCTCCCTTCATAGGCCTTACTCTCCAGGGAGGAAGAAGTGCAGATATGGGAAACCAGAAAAAGTGGAGAAAGGGTATTTTAAACATCTTTTTCCCCAGTTTTATTGAGGTATAAATGACAAATAAAATTTTACATATTCAAGGTATACAATGTGATGGTTTGATATACATATACATTGTGAAATGATTACCACAATCAAATTAATCAATATCTCCAGCCCTACACATAGCTACCATCTGTATGTGTGTATGGTGAGAACTTAACATCCTTTAGAGGAGAATAAAGGAAAGTTCGCTGGCCAAAATGCAGCACAAAAAATTGTGAAGTGGCACAGATTCCATGTGGAATGAGATGGCTCCTCTCTTTTTTTGTTTGTTTGTTTTATTTTGTTTTGTTTGAGACAGAGTCTTGCTGTGTTGCCCAGGCTGGAGTGCAGTGGGTCAATCTTGGCTCACTGCAACCTCTGCCTCCCTGTTCAAGTGATTCTCCTGCCTCAGTCTCCAGAGTAGCTGGAAGTACAAGCACGTGCCACCACACTCGGCTAATTTTTGTATTTTTAGTAGAGATGGGGTTTCACAATGTTGGCGAGGCTAGTCTCGAACTCCTGACCTCAGGTGATCCGCCCGCCTCAGCCTCCCAAAGTGCTGGGATTACAGGCATGAGCCACCACGCCCGGCCTGACATGGCTTCTTGAATACCCCAGAACCACAGTTTCTTCATCCACACTAGGGAGCGAGAATCTGGCCACTCTAGTGGCCATGGCATCAGAAAGATTCCACTGGCAGTACAGTGGAAATAGTACAATACAGCCCAAACAGAAACAGCATGGGATGATAACCAGACTCGTCACAGCCCCCGTGTGCCCAGGATTAGTTCAGCCTTCCCTGTGTGCAGTAGGCCTCAGAAACATCATGTCTCTGAGCTCTCACACTTGTGCACTCCAGAACACAAAACAGGCATGGGAAGGTTATGATGACTGTCACTCACAGAGAGTATCGCAACCTGGAGAAAACATGACAAAACTGTCATTTCTTAACCTTTTAAACCAGATGCCCTCCTGGGGTAAATATAAAAATCTACTTCCTTTTAAGTATATGAAACTTCAAAATATGTTAATCATCATGACTGAAAGCAAACCAAAGTGAAACAAAGGGTAATTGTAAAAGACGGTTTTGGATTTGATCTGGAAAGGTATTTTACTTTCATAATGACAGCAGCATTAAGTAGTGGCACGCAGGGTGGGAGTGTGGAAGAGGGGCTACTGAGGTCCTTGGAACATGAGGGCCCCTGTGCTTGTCTTCCACCCTTGCAAGGTGTCTTCTGAGAGCTTGACACTGTCACTGGTGAACTTATCCCAGTAAGTGATTCTTGACAGCGAGGAAGTTACACTAATATTTGTGTATCTGATTTCTTTCCATACTAAAAAACAATTATTAAATATTCAACCAGCGTATTTGATGGGAACATGACACACTACCTAAATATAAACAATCTCAAAAAAAGTCACTAATATAATGTTATAGTATGTGTAGTATGATGCAGAGGTTAATTAAGTGAGCTTATAGTCAGGTTACCCAACTTTAAACCCAGTCCCATTTATTAGCTATTGGACAAGGACAAGCTACTTCACTGCATTGTGTCTCAATTTTCTCATTTGTAGAATGTGGATATCTAGCATCTCTATGTCATAGAGTTGTGACTCATTCATTTACTCATTCAGCATTTACTCAGTGGGTATCAGACACAATGCCAGTTGCAGGGGAGATACAGCATATTTAAATGTCTACTGTTTTAAAAATCTTTTGGGAGATGTGGGCAGTGTCTACAGTTTTAGAGTTGATCTTATTTTCAAACTAGTTTTATTTGCTTTGACATGTTTTTGATGCCCTATTTTTTTTTTTTTTTTTTTTGCTAATGCCTTAACATAAAATATAATAGACTGTAAAAACTGTCATACAGCCGGGCGCAGTGGCTCACGCCTGTAATCCCAGAACTTCGGGAGGCCGAGGTGGGTGGCTCACGAGGTCAGGAGATCGAGACCATCCTGGCTAACACGGTGAAACCCCGTCTCTACTAAAAACACAAAAATTAGCTGGGCATGGTGGCACGTGACTGTAGTCCCAGCAACTTGGGAGGCTGAGGCAGGAGAATCACTTGAACCTGAGAAGTGGAAGTTGCAGTGAGCTGAGATCGCACCACTGCACTCCAGCCTGGTGACAAAGAGAGACTCCGTCTCAAAGAAAAACAGAACAAAACAAACAACAACAACAAAAAATCTCTGTGACCCTATTATCCACCCATCGTTGTATTATTTTGCCCTTCAGAGTTCTCAGGAGCCACAAAATATATAGACAAGTAAATCAACAGATAATAGCAAAGATATACTGGCAAAGCAACATGTGTGCAGACTTACAAACAAGTTAACAGAAATAATCGTTGGCAAAATATCCTCTGGAGTACCTTACTTACAAACAACATTTACAAATTAAATAGAGTCCCTCAGAAAAGGCTTGTAAAATGTAGCAATGTGGCTTTGGCCACCGCGTTTTCCTGACAGTGAGTCCTAATTCATAACACATAGCAGCAGCCTGTTATCCAAAGGTCACAGTGATGTGAGTGTAGGTGGCTTTCTGTTCCAAGATATCAATAATACCAGATCTAACCTCTGAGTAAGAAATATCTATTTCTGCTTCTTTTGAACTCCCACCCAAAAGAGAAAAATCACTCTCAGAAACCATGTTCCAGCTCAGGAATGCCCATAAAATAAGCCAGGGGCTTTGAGTATGGACGTGCCCCTAACATTGCTGGTTACCTGGCCTCATCTGCAGAGGGTACACCTACCTTGAAATCTGCCAACACAGCACTCCTGGTGGAGGTTTTGGGGTCATTTGATTGAAAGATTTTTCATAGTCTGGAAGGACAAATACACTATTAAAACAGAACAGAAATGGAAAATCAGGAAACTAGCCATATGCCAAAGATGACAAAAAGGCCACCAAGACATGGCAAAGTCCATCTTACAAACCATGCCACTTTTACAGGAAATCACTGTTGGCCATGACCTGAAGTCATGAGATAACTTCCACTGATCTGGATGAAAGTAAAGTATTTATAAAGAATATGGGCTTTAAATTTATGCCTGTAATGTTTCCAATTCAAGTCAAACTTTATCTCATTAGAATTCCTTTAAATATATATATAAAAAACTTTTAAAGAGAGCCTAAATTTTGGCTTATATTTAGATATCATGGAATATAGATCACAACTTCCAATTATATATTTGTGGCAACTTATTAAGGTGGCCCTTTTAAACTTTATGTAAATGAGTACAGCATACCAGAGACCAGGTCCAGCTTATTTTTTTTCTTATTAGTGTTATGTATACTTGAGACCAGAGTCTATTCTTAACCCTTCACTATACATATATGCTTATTTTATTGAAACAATAATATAATCTGCACAGCCTAGGTTACCACAAACTATGTTCTAGCTTTACCAAATAACTTTTATTTTCATGAATGAGCCATATTCTCTCCTTTCTCCAGAACTTTGCAGAAGCTCTTCCTTCTGATTTGGACATTCCATCCCTCTTAGCATGCTAACTTCTCATCTATCAAGTTCTAGCTTAAAGATAGCCTTCTCTAGGGCACCTTCCTTGACTCTCCAAGACTGAACTAGATGCCGCTCCCGTATCCCCCCATGTTATCCTGTGCTTCTTCCTATCACAGCCCTTATTGTAGTAGGTTAGAATTATTATACTTATTTATAGGTCTAGCTATGTCCTCTTAGACTGATAGTTCTCAAACGTTTTGGTCTCAGGACCTTTTGAACACTTAAAAATTACTGGGGATTACAGGTGCGGTACCTGTAATCCCAACATTTTGGGAGGCCAAGGTGGGTGGATCTCTTGAGCCCAGGAGTTCAAGACCAGCCTGGGCAACATGGCAAAACCCATCTCTACAAAAAATACAAATTAGCCAGGCATGGTGGCTTATGCCTATAGTCCCAGCTACTTGGGAGTCTGAGATGGGAGGATTGCTTGAGCCCAGGGGAGCCGAGGCTGCAGTGAGCCATGATCGTGCCATTGCACTCCAGCTCAGGTGACAGAGTGAGACCTTGTCTCAAAAAAAAAAAAAATTTTATTGAGAACCCTGCAGAATTCTTTATGCGGATATTTACTGTACTAGAAATTTAAATTGAGAAATTCTTAAAATTGTTTATTAATTCATTAAAAAATAACAATAAACCTATTTATTACATGTTAGCATGTAAGAACATATTTGTAGGAAAATAACTATTTTTCAAAATAAAAATTCCAGAAAGAAAAGTGGCATTGTTTTACATATTTACAGTAGACTTCCATATCTGCCTCTGCATTCAATATGTTGCAATAAATTGTTTTGGGTTGAAGTGTATGAGGAAAATTCAGTCATTCATACACATACACACAGTTGGAGAAGGATATTTTAATAACCTTTTAAGGTAATTGTAGATACTCCTCTTTGATACTATGCTGAAACTTGACAGGTATAGATTTTTAAAGTTTAGTTTCAACGTGTAATCCGAAAGAAAATTAATGAACTGTTTGTATTCTGTTACATTAAAGTACATCTATCCTATTTTTCACGTTGAGTGGATCTTTTATCCATGCATGATTTTGTAATGTCATGCTTTTTGGTCATTTGAAAAATATGGGTCAACTGAGTTATGCACATCATTCTAATTTCATAATTTTATTATATAATATTAAAAAATAAGTTTGTATCACTATTATTCTCATTAGAAGAGTCTTTAATTATTGGAGAGCTGTAAGTTCAAGTTTTCAAAAACTCTAAATTTCACTTAAAAGATCAAATTTTATTATTGGCAACAAATACTGTCAGTTGTTTTCTGTAACATGGCAGGCTCTCTTTGTTCATTTTTGAGAAAATATCTGCCAAATACTCAAGTTTGAATAACCACAGTTTGTCCATCATTCTCTCAAGTGAAAATTGTGTTCTGTGAGAAAAGTGGTTAGTTCAGCTTGCAACTCAATCACTCAAGTGTGTTTTCTCCGATCAGCCATTGTACCACACTATATAGCAAAGTGCTTCATATGTACGTCCCACTTTATTTTATCTTATCTTATCTTATCTTATCTTATCTTATCTTATCTCATCTTATCTTATCTTTGTGAGATGGAGTCTCCCTCTGTAGCTTAGGCTGGAGTCCAGTGGCGTAATCTCGGCTCATTGGAACCTCTGCCTCCCAAGTTCAAGTGATTCTCCTGCCTCAGCCTCCCGTGTAGCTGGGATTACAGACGCCTGCCACCATACCCGGCTAATTTTTGTATTTGTAGTAAAGACAGAGTTTCACCATGTTGGCCAGGCTGGTCCCAAACTCCTGACCTCAAGTGATCTGCCCGCCTCAGCCTCCCAAAGTCCTGGGATTCCAGGCTTGAGCCACTGCGCCCGGCTATGTCCCATTTTATTACACAGAATATTTTAAAAATATATGCTTTAGGGTGAAATGTAATACAATTAATCATTTTTCCTGCTTTGCTCTGGACATTTTGTGTGTGTGTGTTTGGGGGTGAACAATACAACAGCTGCCAGCATATTTGGTATTGCCTGCCTGATTCAGGCTAAGGATACCCACTGCTATTTTTGCACCATGAGTACAAATGCCATCTTAATATTATTAGGAAAATAGTGTGTATCTCCAAGACCCCCAGAAGGATCTCATGAACCACCAGGGGGTTCTGACCATGCTTTGAAGCTTCTAACTTAGAACATGCGTTTCTTAAGAGCAGGATCTGCTCTCAGTGTCCCCAAGACGTGACTAGCACAGTACCTGGTACATAAGAATACTCACTGAGAGTTGCTGAATGAATGAATAACTCAATTTTAACTTTCAAGCGCCTGTTTCTGGTTCTTTTATATATTTTGTAATTTTAGTATTTTCAAAGCATTATTTCTAAAATATCCTAAACATTTCTCTCCCTGCAGAGAGTGTTTTTTTTGGTTTTTGTTTTTTTACTTTTCTATTATTAAACTTTATTTTTTTATTTCAATAATTTTTTGGGTACAGGTGGTTTTTTGTTACATGGATGAGTTGTTCAGTGGTGAATTCTGAGATTTTAGAGCACCTGTCACCCAAGCAGTGTACACTGTACCCAATATGTAGTCTTTTTTTTTTTTTGCTTGCAGAGAGAGTTCTAAACCCAGCTTACCTTTCTTTGATCACTCTGAGTCACCATTGTGAACACTGGCTGAAATACAGTGATGGAATATTGGGATGCTGCCCCTGTAATAAGTTGTTCTGTATCTACTTCATATAGGGGATTTCAGTTATTGTTTTGTGGTTTCTTTTTTGTTTGCCTCCTTCATTGCTGATGGGCCGTCAGCCATCACTTACTGATGATGTTAACATTATGAACTTGAAGAAATACCTTGAATTATTTCTCCTTTTTACGTAGTTTACAATCTATAAGTTTAGAATAGTATGTCAAATAGATTCTAAACAGATTCTGAGTTGCCCCTTGAGTAAAATGCGTAAGTCTTTAGTGCATGAATTTTCCAAGATTTCTTTGGTTAACTAGAGACCTCTTTTTATTTAGTTTCTGGTCCTGAGCCATTTCTTGTCTCCCTACAGTTTTAGGGTAGCTGATTTTTGTATACATGAAGTTTTTTTTTTTTTTTTTGAGACTTAGTCTTGCTCTTTCACCCAGGCCGGACTGCAGTAGCAGGATCTCAGCTTACTGCAAGCTCCGCCTCCTGGGTTCACGCCATCTCCTGCCTCAGCCTCCCGAATAGCTGGGACTACAGGCGCCTGCCACCACATTTTAGTAGAGACGGGGTTTCACCATTTTAGCCAAGATGGTCTCGATCTCCTGACCTCATGATCCGCCCACCTCGGCTTCCCAAAGTGCTGGGATTACAGGAGTGAGCCACCGGGCCCGGCCGTATACATGAAGTTTTACTCTGTGTGTGACTGCAAAAAAATACCCCCAAATACACCAATTAATAATTTAAGTTAAATGAAACCATAGCAATTTAAGTTAAATGAAGCCATATGTCTGTTGTTACAGAGATGAAGGTAGACCTTATTTTGAAAAATATTCAAATTGTCATAATTAAATTCAAATTATTGGAAGAAGGAAAGAGGAGCTACCACGGGAGTGTCAGAAGATTCTGCTTAAACAGAATTTCAGTGCTCACTGCTTCATCTTCAAAAATTTGATCCTGAAACCTGTGAACTCAGCTTATACTGTGTTAATTTACACATAGTCATATTATTTTGTACTGTGGCTGCAGATTAATGCTGCTTTAAACTCATTTTAAAATACCACTTTAAAAATTAACACCAACATTTTGTTTATGAAAATATTTTCAAAGACATCAGACCTCAAAATTGTGCCTATGGAATAATGACTGTGACTTCCAAATGTGTGGACAGCAAACAGCAACAAACATTTTTGTTTAAAGTTATTTACATTTTCATGATTAGCAATTCCATCACTTCTCACATCTACCTGACTTAGTCCAGAAATACAGAAAGAAACTTCCCTGTCACACATCTGTCTTTGCAGGGGGACCTTAGTATACTATGCAAGAAGAGAGATTATCCAGGTTTCAGGTTTGAATGAGGATAAAACATCTGAATTGTGGCTGGAATTAGACAGTCTAACAAAGAATCAGAGGGTTCTGGGGTCTAGCCTTTGCTTTTCTTTTTTTCTTTCTTTCTTTCTTTTTTTGAGATGGAGTCTCGCTCTGTCACCCAGGCTGGAGTGCAGTGGCGCGACCTCGGCTCACTGCAACCTCTGCCTCCAGGGTTCAAGCAATTTTCCTGTCTCGGCCTGCCTAGTAGCTGGGATTATAGGCGCATGCCACCATGCCTGGCTAATTTTTGTATTTTTAGTAGAGACGGGGTTTCACCATATTGGTTAGGCCAGTCTCGAACTCCTGACCTCAGTTGATCCACCCGCCTCCGCCTCCCGAAGTGCTGGGATTACAGGCATGAGACACAGCACCCTGCCTAGCCTTTGCTTTTCTACTCACATTAAAGGAACCTTAGACATTTCCTAGTGGAGGGATTCCCTGCTTGCTGGTTAAGCATCACAGATTTCCATTTTCCTCAAGTCTTGAATTCTCTGGGAGGTGGAGTGAGTTGGGAAAGCCCAGATTCTTGCCTTGAGGTCTGCTATGAGCCTGGCAAACCGAGGGGCGAGGTTTCGGTAGACTGGGACGTGCAGCATCTGCCAACTCAGGGGCCTATTGGGTATACTGGTGAATTCTGTTCTTTTCCAGACATTTGCAAATGGAGGAACATGGAATTAAAAAATAAAAATCTTGCCTGCCACCCTATTTCCAAAGCTTTGGAGATATGGCATGTCTGTTATTTTTAGGCAGCTGAGTGTAGCCAATTAGGCTGACAAAGGATTCATCCAGTTTCTCCTCACCTAGTGTGGCTACAGCTGGTGAACAACATCATCTAAAGGCAATCAGAACAACGTCATCCAAAGGCAATCAGTGAGCGAGCTTTGGGTAAGGAATTCACCAAGGGCTCAAGGTGCTCTTTGGAGGCTGTGCAAGGAATTTAAAATCAGCTGAAAAGTGGATTCTCAAAGGTTTTCATGCCTACTTTCAGGCCACAACTAGTGGTTGTGCCGGGTCACCAAACTGTTAAATTCCATTTTGGGGAAGGATGTATCTGTTGTATCAGAGGAGTTTCTTAAATATGGGAGTATAATTCAATGTGGCCTCCCATTCCTAGGGAATAGTCTTCACGGTGGTAACTCAAGGTATAGTGGGCCTGGATCTGAACATCTTGGCTACTGCAGGAATTCTGAGTCTTGATAGAAGATGGCGGATTCTGCCCTTTTGCCTAGTGACAAAGTGACACAAATGATCTGTGCCACCCACCCCCCAACCCACCCTTCCCCAGTGACATGAACAATCTGCAGGGCCCTCACTCTCCCTGAGTCAGGCGATGGAATCTGCAGAGGGGCCAGCCTCATAGGGAGGCTGTCAGATAGCAGTACCCCAGGAAGCCTGGGCTGCGTTCCTCAGTCCTAGCTGATGCATCTCTCTCGGGCACTGGTTAGGCCAGGCTCTTTCTCTTTCTAGTGCCTCCTGTGTCCAGGGGGAGTCCCTGAAGTCCTTCTGCTTACATCTTTCTTCCTAGCCTCCACCACTGAGCACATTTTCTGGAAAGACCCCTTTTCTCAACATGCCCCTGCAGTTTTGTGATTCTGAACCTAGTTCATGTCATCCCCCTGTCTGAATCTCCCTTTCACCCTAGTACACCGGGAGTCCAGCTGACTGGCCTTGCTGCTATTTGGGCCACATTGCTGATTCCTGGTTGTTCCTTTTCTGAGGGCTTCTGCCACTGCTCATGTTTTTATCTTTATTTTATTTGGCTCCTATTAAAACTTACCCTGACCTCACCCTTACCCATCTCTAACTCTGGGAGAGAGAATTCATTAATTTTCTTTCATATACTCTTTCAAACACCCTGGCAACCTAATCACAGAAAAGTTCATCATGGTAGAGTGAGCCCCAGGGAAAATGTTGCAAGAAGTGTTTCTTTCATCTCAGGCTGGACAACGTAGTCTTTGGAAGGGAGGAACCACCCCTTACAGCTCAGAGGTTACAAACAGAGGCACTGGGTTCATTCCGGGTCTTGGACTCAATAGCTGAATTGATTATGGGCAAGTTGCTTAATCTCTCTCTGCCTTAATTTTATCTCTAAAATGCAGTGAGAACAGTCCTTATTTCAAATAAGTATTGAAGGACATTTAAAAACAACTAAAGTGCTTAGCACAGTGTGAGGCACATAGTAGGTGCTCAGTAGATGCTAACTATTGTTAGAGGAGATGCAAAAAGGGTCCCTCCTGTTATAAGCCAGTACCTCCTGCAAGCCTTGGGCTTTGGGGCTTATTTCCCTTAACCTCATTCTTTCCTGGACTGGATCCAGTGCCTCATGTGTCTAAGTCTCCATTATGCCTTGATGATGGGGACATCGCGAAAGTGTGAGTGTAGCTCTAGAGCTTCCCTGTCATTCCGCCCGTACTTGGAAGTTATTTCTAGATTGCTTGTCCTAGCCAGCTGCAGAAAGAGTAAGCAAAGAATAATTTCTTTTCCAAGTATGCATTTGCAGTACACATTTCCAGGCTTCTGCATTGGTCATAGTTTGGTAAAGCCTGACCTATATGATAAATTTTGAGCTATCTTAGATTTCTAATGGGTTCTGTATTTAGATCTTTCACTAAGCCTAGTGCCTATTGTCATCAACGATTTTCTCCCTGAAAGAACCCTGACTTAGCCATGCTTCCTTTTTCTACATCCCCATTTTTGACCTTCAGTGTTTGTTTTTTACTTTTTTGGCATGCTTTTCAATAATTCAGGAATTCAGTCCAAAGGATTTGTTATTTTTCAGGGACAGTTTGCACTCCAAAGAAAGGCACAAAGTATCTTTTGCTTTAGAGGTTTTCTGCATTCTACAAAGAACTTTATTTTTAAAACTGTCATCTGATTGAGCCTATTTTTTTCTGTCTAAAATAAACTCACCTATTGCTAATTTTTCTATGTGCTTGAAAACAAGATAGAAAGTTGTTTAGATGCCTGTCTGTCCCACTAGTGTATAAGCTTCCGAAGGCTGGGTGAGGGGTAGGGGGTCTAACAACAATATCTGGCTGATTCATTTTGTCACCCTGGTGCTTGAGTCCAGCTGATTCATAGGAGGCTCCCAATAATTGTTGAATAACAATTCAACAATTGTGTTGAATTGTGCAATTTTAAAGACTGGTCCTTTTATTTTAAAAAATCCTTTACGGGAATATTTTGCGTTATTTAGTCTTCTGGCAACCCTGTGAACTAAGAGCGGGTGGAAAGCTTTTTCTGGTTGAAGTAAAGAAACTGACTAGAGAGGGTAAGTAGCTGATCCAAGGTCCAGGGTTGGCCAGAACTAGTTAATGCTGTGCCCCAGGCTTCAGGCCTGTCTGATTTGTTGAATTTCAGATGCATATTCACTGGGGGAAATTATTCAGTGCAGAAATGTTAGAAGCAATAAATACACAGACTGTAATCAATCCAGAGGAATTAAAAATCTAACACTGAGTAAATAATGCCCTCACTGGAAAGCCAATAGGTTCATTAGGAAAAATTTGTAAGATGCAAGAGAAGAAGATTAAATCCAAGCTAATAATACGTGTGACATTTTTATAGAAATAGTCTGTGTACATAGCAAAGGAGTTCATCAGTTTTATTTACCTCATTATTCACTGTGTTGAGTTTACAAAAATCTAGAAAGTTGATAACAGTAATTAAGCAGGGAAACATGGCAATACCAGAGCATCTAGGTGAGCTGCAAGGCATTGGGCCAAGTATTTTTAACCACCCGACAGAGATGTTTGTCAGAAGAGACGAAGAAAGGAAGGAAGGGAGGGAGGGAGGGAGGATAATTTGATTTGCTTCCTGCCGTGTAGTCCCTCTTTTCACCCACTTTATCTCCAACCTACTGCTATAAAGACTGGATTTGTTTTGATTCTATAATAATATCCTGGATGACCATTTCCTTGGGCTCAGTGATCAGCCAGATTTCAGGATTGAGATGGGGCATTTAGGGAGGGTGTTGAAAGCATGGAGGCATTTGGAAACAAGTAGCTCTATGTGACTAGATGTAGGGGGCATGCCAGGGAGAGTAAAGCATAGCACTGCTTACATGACAGATTCAGACAACTGGCTGGATTCTGTGGACAATGGGTAGCCACTAAAGGTTTTAGAGTAAGAGAGCTAATGGGAGCCCTATCTTACGAATGATAGGAAGCTATGACAGCTACAACCAGGCTATGGAAGAAGAGGAAAAGGAGAAGCAGAGAGGCCAAATAATATTCCATTTGAGAAGTCAAGAGGAATGGATATGAGACCCTAACTTACAGAGTATGGAGAGGACAGTGAGAACATATCAGTAGCTCCCTGGGGCCAAAGTCCAAATTCTTTGACATGACTTACAAGGTTCCCCATGGTCTGTCCCCTCCCGGTCTCAATATCAATATCTCACCATCTTTCACCAATCACAAGTTCCTTTAAGCTCCTTGAACATGCCATGTTCTCTCTCACCTTCAGACCTTTGCATATGCTTCTCTTTTTGCCTAATATAATGATGAAGGCAATGATGATGCCGATAGCTGACACGTCTAGAGTGCTTGCCATGAGTCTGTTACTGTTCTAAGTGTTGGCATGTATTAACAATTTTCCAGAAGATCCTCCATTTTTTGGAGCAGTGCTGTATCTTCTCTCATTTTCTATGGGAGGCTAGTCTTATTGTAATGGGGTACTGAACTGAAATTACAAGCATGGGGTTTTTAGCCCATGCTAACGTTTTTGAGGCATACACCTTCTTGCAATATACTTCTATTAGAAAGTAAAAAGATGGCTACTCTGCATTTTGGTATGTATGTTTCTGTGTCTATTTTTAGAAAAATTAAAACAACTAAAAATGACCAGGAAATGATTTCACCATATTGTGACCTAAAGGCAATGTTATTACCTATTTTGTTCATCCCCGACTATATCCACAGCATATAAAACAGTTCTTGGCACATAGTAAAGACGTGATATATATTTGTGAAATTAATGAGTGAATGACTAAATTGATGAAATTTCTGTAGGGATATGTTGTAGTCCCCAAGTCAGCTCCTTAACCCTTGGCTCTACCTCTTTTCTTCACTCATAGTCACACCCACCAAGACCACAGCCACCCACTCACAGTGTAGTCTTTTCTCCTGTGGTCTTCTTCGAGGGTCACAGTGACCACAGCAGAACAAGAGTAATGAACTCAGGGAAATGTTCCTGTTAACTGTCTCCTCATCATGCCTGGTTGCTAGCCCTCTAGTGCCCAGGGTGTGGTGGGACAGGTGGAATACTCTAAAGGAAGTTAGGCATCTCAGAGGACCAGGCTCTGAGAGTGGAGGTGTGGGAGGGTGAGAAAGAGCAGTGCTTGACATGACTTGTCTCCAGATCTTGTTGGTGAAGGTAATTCTAAGATTCTAATTCTAAGACTCTCTAATGAAGATTAGAACTCAGGGGATGCAGCCTCTGTAGAGGGTATTGTCCATGTATATCTAGCCCTGGGTTTTGTGGACAAAGACCTGAAGGCCAGCTGCCCTCCTTATAACCTGAGATTTAGGGTTCATCCTCCTCACCAGGTGATGGTTAGAGCCATGAGCCAGCATGGCCAAAGGCACTTGGGTGAAAGCATAACCATGTGGGTGAGGTGGCTGGTGGGACTAATGGGCCTTAGAGACAGAACCAAGGCATATGGGAAAAAGAAGCTCTTTGCTTGTTTTACCCATGTCTTATAAAAACATGCCTGGCACTGGGACTTCAATGAGAGGAAGCTGAGGCACCTGGCCTCAGTTCTCATCCATAAAGGAAATCACAGCACACAGGCAAAGTGACCTCTCGGCTGGCATCTCCTAGTGGCCTGTGCACAATTCGGTTACTTCACAGGCTTCTAAGAGTGAGCCCCAGAAAAAGCACTGTGCTCTGTGATCTAACTGAGAACTTGAACCAGCTGTTCTTCTTGAGCCATTTATTTCAAGTCCAGCTCTCCAAACTGGATTTCAGAAGGATGTGCTGTTCCACCTGCCTCCACTTCCCCCTACAGCACATGTTCCAAGAACCTTTGTTCTAGCAATATGGCTGATGGGGCAAGGTTCTGAGATCTATCAAAAATAGATGTTATTATGTCAGTGATATAAATAATGTAGCTCCAAAATGGGGAAATTGATTTGAAGACTATAATTAAATGTAGCTCAAATGTTGTTGAAGGCTAATCAATATAGCTTCAGTTTGACTCTTTAAAGCTCTGAATTAGAAGGCAATGAATCCTTCTCTACTGCATTAGAAATGCACACCATAAGGTGAAGGGAAGGTTCCCAGGTTAAGCGCAATGGCAGCATGGAACAGATGTCAAATGTGTTCTGGGGTTTAATGTGTTAACTATAGTGCTTTAAATGCAAACGTTAGGATAACCCTCATTTGAGCACACGTGGATATGTTTCTAAGTTATTATCAAATACTATATTAAAGTTTTCACATTCATTTTTTAAAATGCTGTAAAGGTGAATGAATCCTTCTTAGCAGCCACCTAGTGCCTTAGGGCCTGCTGTGGAGGATTCTGGGTCCATGTTTTCAGCAGTCGTCAGCTGACACCATCTTTGTTGAAAAGGGACTGTCAGGGACACTCTCCTATAGGTACAATTTAAACTTTCTTTTTTTTTAACTTCTATTTTAAGTTCAGGCTTACATGTGCAGGTTTGCTATATAGGTAAACGTGTGTCATGGGGGTTTGTTGTACAGATTACTTCATCACCCAGGTATTAAGCCTCGTACCCATTAGTTATTTTTCCTGATCATCTCCCTCCTCCCACCTTCTACCCTCTGATAGGCCCCAGTATGTGTTGTTCCCCTCTATGTGTCCATGTGATAACTTTCATTTTTAAATATCTCCAAGTAGACAGATTCCCAACTGTTCTCAGTGACTAGTCCAGATTTGAATAGCTAAACCATAGAAAATAATTGCCCAACCATAGGGGACAGTATAGAGAACTAATAGTACATTCGCATGGCAGAATACTACGTGGCCATAGAGAAGAGAAGGTTCTTTATGGACAGATATCAAAAGACCTGTAAAATATACTGTAAAATGAAAAAAAGCAAGGTGCGGCCAGGCACAGTGGCTCACGCCTGTAATCCCAGCACTTTGGGAAGCCGAGGCAGGAGGACCTGAGGTCAGGAGTGTGAGACCAGCCTGGCCAACGTGGTGACACCCAGTCTCTACTAAAAATACTGTAATCCCAGCTACTCAGGAGGCTGAGGCACAGGAATCAGTTGAACCTGGGAGGCGGAGGTTGCAGTGAGCCAAGATTACACTACTGTACTCCAACCTGGGTGACAGAGTGAGACTCCATCTCAAAAAAAAGAAAAAAAGCAAGGTGCTAAACGTAATGTGCTACCATTCGTGGGAAAAGTGGCGAGTAGATATACATGTGCTGTGAATGCATGAAAGATCTCTGAATGGATACACAAGAAGGTTGAAACTGAGTGGCTACAGCATAGGGTGGCATGAAAGACCATTTATTGTCTATCTGTTTAAATTTTGACCCATGTGACTGCATTACTTATTCAAAAGTTGTTTAAAATAAAATCATAATTCCTCACCTAAGGAAATCCTACATTTCTTATACTACATTTCAAATTTGATTTCTAGGCTTAAAAGTCAGGTGGTTTCACATACTCTCTAAGCTTTCCCTTAGAAAAATAGCCCATGGGGCAAGGTTCCCTCTTGATTTTCCTTGGCAAACACTGTCTTTGAGAAGTTTCTCTCTCACAGGAAAATTAACAGGGAGGGAATTAGGGGACATAGTGTCTTGATCTTTCTGGATCACTCCTTTAGTTTTCCCAGGGGAAGGGAAGATGGTGCCTGCCGATTTCTCAAGGAAGCTGCTGGGAAGGTACTGGCACAGGAAGTCCAGCTGGATCTCAGGTCAGCTTTCTGAATCGCCACAATGATGGACAGCTTGCTGGAGACAGCCCTGGGCTCCCCCCACCCCCGTGTCCCCGGGGACTGCAGGGGGCAGAGCAGCGCTCAGCTCTGTAAGTTGCTCTAGGACATCCTCCTGCAGGGACTGAGGAATGACAGTGCAAGAGCTCGTGGCTGTGTCTGTTCAGCCCTTCCCAGCAGAAATCCTTGCCCTCTGGAAGGGACAGGGAAGGAGGTCACATAACTGCAGCAGCTCACATAGTCCTGACGCTGAGCAAAATGTTTCCAAAATGGAAATCTCCACACAGCAGCAGAGGCAAATGACAAACTTTAAAAATCTAAGATCTTTCATATTGAAAAGTCCCACCCAGCCTGTAATCCCAGCACTTTGGGAGGCTGAGGTGGGTGGATCACGAGGTCAGGAGTTTAAGACCAGCCTGACCAACATGATGAAACCCCGTCTCTACTAAAAATACAAAAATTAGCCGGATGTGGTGGCAGGCACCTGTAATCCCAGCTACTCAGGAGGCTGAGGCAGGAGAATCACTTGAACCCAGGAGGCAGAGGTTGCAGTGAGCCGAGATCGAGCCACTGCACTCCAGCCTGGATGACAGAGCAAGATTCCATCTCAAAAAGAAAAAAAAAAGAGAGAAAAAAGAAAAGAAAAGAAAAGTCCCACCCAGAAACTCAAAACAGGACTGCAACCATCTTTATTAACTAAGAAAGAATCTCCTTGAGAATGAATCAAATAGCTTCATAAATTGCTCCTCTTCTGTTTTGTGGAAATAGAGGTGAAGTTTTGCCCTCACAACATTATATTTACCTAAAATAAATAGCAAAAGATGACAGTGTCAATGGAAAATAAAAGACATTTCAGTTCATCAATAACTGGACAGTGATAAAAATAGGCTCTCAGAAGCCACAGCATAAAATATGCCCTCAAAGCTCTATGCTTGTGGGAGGAAATGGATTCTTTGGCTGATAACTGAAAACTCCTCCGAGGTGGTTGTTCTTTAAAGAGGCCCCCTAAGGCCCCAGGCTCTTCTAAATGTCCCCTATTTTGATGCATCTCAGCACTGTTCAAGAGCTTAAATATGATGCCACTGGTGGGCAATACACAAAAAAACTTTCTGCTCACTCTTCCCATCACCCCAGCATGAGCTGCTGACTAGGGCATCTCACCCCCAGACGTCGACACAAAGCTGATGTTCATAGAGATCAGTGGCTTGTCATTTCTTTCAGTAAGAAGTTAAGAACCAGTGCTAGAAAGGTGAAGCTCAGGGGGCTGAAGACCAAGGCAAGGCCTTGGAGGTGAAAACAAATTGAAGAAGAAAGAAACGCTCCCGTGTCCTGCTTAATGTAAGCATTAAACTTCCATTTGTATCCCAGCCACCTACCAGATCAATCCCTCCAATCTCTGTATTTGGTTCCTCATTTGTAAAAGAGAGATAATATTAGCCCACCTCACAGGGCTGATGGGAGGATTAACTAAGATAATCAATGTCTATAAAGCACGTAGATATTGCATGGCACAAAGAAAATGCTCAAAAATTGGGAGCTATTATTTTTGTTATTAATATGCATTAGTGGCTGGGCACAGTGGCTCATGCCTGTAATCCCAACACTTTGGGAGGCCAAGGCAGGAGGATCTCTTGAACCCAGGAGTTTGAGACCAGCCTGGGCAATATAGTGAGACCCTGTCTCTATTTAAAAAATAAAAATAAAAATTTAATTAAAAATATGCAGAAGTCTGGGAAGAAGCAAAGTGTAATGTTTCCAGTAGCCGTGTGCTGGGAGAAGCCCAAGTTATATTCAGAGACATGATTATGTTTTGTTTTTTCAAGTGCAGGCCTGGAAACCAAATGGAAAAGTCAGCAAGAGGATGACTGTGCTGCTCACATCCCTTTTCACTAGTTCTTGGGGTTCATGGTGTCCCCACCATGCAGCCCGTAACTCCCATGTGAGCCCCGACCCCTCTGCCTCTAATAATGACAGTCTCCCCTGTTTATCCACAACTGTCTGCCACACACTGTCAACTAGGTTATTCCAGGGTTGATTTGTATCCAATGTGACTGTAATCGACACTGTTATCATACCATAAAACCCAAGGTCACAGGTAGGTGAAGATGGGCTAAAGAATCTGTTATGTTCAATGAAAATAATATGAATAAATCATCTGAATAAAAAAACACAACTATAGGAAAACACATAAACCCAAACAACACATCACATTTTTATGTGATTTTATGACTTACTTCTTTTATGACTCACTTTCCTTCCTTCAGGCACCTTGGCCTTCACTTGTCTGAGGCAGGGACCCTCTGCTGTGGTCTTTCATAACACTAATGGGGAGAGCTGTTCCTAGAAAATATTTTGGGGACTATATAATATTCGTAATGAGAATATGGATGGATTTCAGTCAAAGAATTTCTTAAAAGGCACTTCAAGGCAAAAAACTGCTGCTCTCAGTTTAATGGGCTACAAGATTATTCCCCTGATAAGAGTTTCTAGCATCCCCTGAAAGATGAAAGTCTGAATGCAATGACCTGGCAGAGAATTGGCTTCTTGTCCTTGTCTGTGTGCAAACAAAGCCCTGGGCCAGAAGGGGAGAAGGTTCTGTTGGACTTTTTAAAGGCCCTGTAAACAATGCAGCAGCAGTAATTTTTAGATCACGAGCCCTTCCACAACTCCTTTGTGTTTTGGGCACAACACCTCTCTTATTGCTGATGTGATTGATGTCCTGCTGAGAACACCAAGCCCAGACCCACAGAACACAGAGAAACAGTGTTGGGGTAAATATCAGAGGACGATGCACTGCCTGGACTACAAAGACAGGCAAACCAGCTCAAACAGGGTTAACGTGCTGGTGATGTTTGTTACCTAGATTGTCTGATTTACCCAGAACAATTCAGATGAGGTCAGAACCATACAGATGGAGGTCTTTCTTTGCCTTTCTGTTGGATAGAACTAGTCTATGTGTTCCAGAATTCCTTCCAAACCCAAGCTCTCTAACACAATTAAGCCTAATCATTACCTCTATGCAACAGCTCTTTTTTGTTTGTTTGTTTGTTTTGAGTCGGAGTTTCACTCTTGTTGCCCAGGCTGGAGTGTAATGGTGCGTCTCAGCTCAACACAACCTCCGCCTCACAGGTTCAAGCGATTCTCCTGCCTCAGCCTCCTGAGTAGCTGGGATTATAGGCATGCGCCACCATGCCCGGCTAATTTTGCATTTTTTATGGGGGATAGGGGGAACATAGGATTTCTCCATGTTGGTCGGGCTGTCTTGAACTCCCGACCTCAGGTGATCCACCCGCCTCGGCCTCCCAAAGTGCTAGGATTGCATGCATGAGCAACCGTGCCTGGCTAAAGTCCTTTTTTAAAAAAATAAATAGTAGTGATATAGAGAATAATATCTTGTTTGTTTGTAAATCTCAGTGATATGGATAATATCTTTTTTGTTTGTAAATAGCAGTGATATAGAGAATATCTTATTTGAACAAGCTTGTCAATGTGTACCAAGCACTTTCACATGTATTTGTGAAAGACTTTAGAAGCATATTATGGTTTCTGTTGTTACTTCTCTTAAATATTTATATATGCAGCCACAGTTTAAAGGTGTCTAAAGGGCCTTGTAGTTTATTTTAAAAGAAGTTTTAAATTAATCCAGCAGAAGACCAATATAACAAGATAAACAAATCCTAGTCCACCTCTGGTCCAGCATGCCCCAGGAAGATAGCAGCGGCATAAATAAATAGCTCACACCAGCATTAGTGCTACCCACTTACACCAGCATGACATAGGGATGCTTCAGCATTCCAGCTTTACGCAGCCCTTTCTGCTGAATAGCTCAGCAAGGAGTTGAGATCTGTGGACTCTTTTTAAGGACCAGTGCCTTGCACAAACCCTCTGACCCCAGCTTTCTAGCTTATTGGGGGCTTTGAGTGAAAGGTGTCGAGTCCTGGGGTAGCTAGATAGTTCTATCTCTCCAAGCAGTTGGGGATCAATCATTATTTGCTGACTTTGAAAGGATTTTCATTTCTTTGTGTCACTGTGTCCTAGGGCCTAGGGATGCCTTTGGCACCAGGAGTTCATAATTTCTCTTTTCTTTTTAGGATCATAGGTGCAAAAAATGACAAGCAGAGAAATTTTATCTGTGTGGCTAGACATCTGACAAAATGTATCTCTCTGCATTCGCATTTGTGTAGGAGTTTTTATGAGAAAGTAATATCCTTTAAGACAAAACCCATGGCCTATAATATAGCTATTATTTTTGCATGAATTGGCTTTGGTTAACCAAATTTGGTGAAATACTCTAATTTTAAGAAGAGGTATTCTTAGAAATTTTCTATCAGTTAAAAAAAAAGTATCAGTTACTTCATGTCTTCTTGTGTTTATTTCCACATCCCTTAAAGGGCCACAGATAATTTTAAGCTTGAGCAAAGAACCAGGCCTCCCAACACAATGGAAAGAAAGGAGGCACCGTGTGAAGGGAAGATGGCATACGTGGCACAGACCTCCACCTCTGCTCACCACCACAGAAGGCCACTCCTGCATGGGCAGGTGACGGCAGCGTCAGGAAGGGAAATCAGATTTACTTAGGTTGTTAGTCATTATTAATTGCAATAGTCTTGTGCCTTCATTTAAAAAAAGACGACCAAAAAATAAAAACAAAAACATGAACACTAATTTTGCAAAATATTTAAGTGAAAACTACCGGCATAGGTGTCATTTTGCAAAAGAATTTGGCACTTGGGTACCTTACAGGATGTGTCCCTAGCACAGGGAAACTGTATTCAAGTTTTTAAAAAGGTTTTGCACACAGTGTGATTGGAAGACATTTGTCTACAGTTTTGAATATATGTTATATATATTATATATAGATAGATGATGTTTTTATTATTTATGCAAGCACTGCTTACAAACCCTTATTGCAAATATTTAAAAATAACATGTAGTTTACCTTCTCTAAATTTGTATTGAGTGAGCGAGGCAGAAAAATGTCCCATGTTCCAGTAAGATGAATCTCCTGGCATTAGACAGAGTCTATTTAACCTCTGTACAATGATTGACACACTGGATGTATCCATGATGAGCATTAGTGCTCTGCTAACGACGTCCTCTTGTGCACATGATATTGATCTGCTTGGGTTCCAGTTCACCAACTCCAGCTGCTCCCTGCTATCAGGAAGAAGGTGCTGAATAAGCAAGGGAAGGAAGGGACAGACCAAAGGGACTAATTCTTTCGTTTCACTCGGGAAGGCCTACGTGACCCTCAACAACATCAACAACAAAAAATTGCACTACAAGCCTGCCCCTAACAGTACTGGATAAATGAATATGTGGTCCTGCCTTCGGGGGGCCACTCAAGGGGCCCGCAGTATCAGGACCTGACCCAGGCCCTGCATTTTTCTCTGGTTCTTCCTATGTGTCCTGGGATCCCACACCAAGAGGTGTGGGGTTATTCTTTCATGGCCAGAAACGGGGAATGCTTCAGAGAATGGAAAGTGGGCGTTTTAGAGACCTCGACTGTGTTATTGTTTTAGTTTCCTGAGTGCTGTCTCAGTTTTACCATCTGTAAAATGAATAGCATCCACCTCACTGAGATGCCGTGATGATTAAATGAGATAATACCGGCGAAGTGTTTAGTGCAATGCCCCACATGGGGTTACCACTCGAAAAAGGGTTCATGGCTATTGCTACTGCCCATAGTTCTCTGAGCTGATAATATAGGGGGCTACACCCAGAGCCAACGTGGGCCCCAAAGAATGGAGAAAAGCAGAGCTTTCCCACCCCTTTGCCCCTCCTTTATAGAGGAACTGAGGCAAATCACACATTTCCCACTTCTTTGTAGAGAAATCGAGGCAATCAGCTGATTTTGGCTCAGTTTCTCTACAAATGAGTGGGAAAATGTGGGGGCTCCCTTCCAATAAGATTAGAACTATCCAAGGGCTGGAGTACCTATTGTTTCTTTCAAGGCCCTACATTTGTAATCTACCATGTTAAACTCTTGTTGGTTTTTGTTTCACAAATTCAAAAAGAAAAATGTTTTCAGCTGCTCCTTGAGTAGTTTTGTGTAGGCCAGCATTAGGTGAAAAATGTATCCACACATATACTCAAGCAATTAACTTGCTTGTGAGAATGAAATGAGCAAACCCAGAAATGCCATGCATTTTCCCACATAGAATGAGAGACTGAGCTCTTAATTTAAGATTGCAAGCACTGCAATGTTGTCCAGTTATTGAGACGCCTAGAGACGTGCATTTAAAATTAGAACCAAGGCTTATTGGATGATTACTATCTATATCCTATGTAAATATGAAAATTGTCTTTCTGTCTAAGTGGTTAAATATAGCGAGATCCTGAGATAGAGGAGTTCACATCTTACTGATATGGCAGACCCTATCTCAAGTTTAATGCTGTGATAGGTTAAGAGCACATTTCTTTAAATAGTCACAGCAGATCTAACAACTGGCTTTCTTCAACCTCCTTAAAAAGATACAAAATCCAAAAGCTAGAGCCCGGGAGGCTAAAGGACTGACATAGATGCCTTGTTTCATAACCAGTGGTATGAAGCAGGGCCCTTCTCAGGAGTTCCCCGAGTGCTTCCTGCTGCTGCTCAGGGTGGCACAGACTTTCCCTTCTCTCCATCAGAGGGTAAAGTGGGGATGGCCCTCTTGCACCTACTGTGCCTCTTGATTCTATGCCTTTCCCCTCTTTTTTCTGTTCCTCAGAGCCTTTCCAACCTAGTCCATTCTCTATGGTCCAGGCACATACAGTCAGGTCGAAGCCACAGTTCCACTTTCCTGCAGCAGGAGAGAATTGGTGGGTTATAGCCCTCCACCGTCTGTTAGTTAGGCATTGGATCTGGTGCTTTCCAAATGAGGATACTTTCCATCCATAGGGATGATTGGATGTGTGCTGTTGGGTTGGGTCACCTTCTGACTAGGGCAGGGGTGGGGATGGCCCTATTTCTTCAGTGAATGAAGGCCAGGGTGCCCAGCCTCCTGCAATGCACAAACAGTCCACACAATGAAGGACTGTCCCAATGCCAGTAGCATCCCCATTGCCTCTAGACTCTTCCAGACTCTTTCCAAGTGACTCTTCTTTCTGTCACAGGCTTCCCTTCCCTTATCTAAGACTGACCTCTAAGGCCACTAACTCCTATTTTTAGGAGCTTCGTCCCAGTCCCATTTCTACCACAGACCTAGGGTGAGGTCTCTGTGTGGTAGTGTTAACTCTGTGTGTAATCCCAGCATCTTATTTGGCCAAGATCCAATGGTAACTCCTGACCTCCTGCAGATGAATTTTATCATTTATGGGCACAGAATGAAAATAGTAGTGAAGGTGAACATCTCACTCCAGTATCTGAGTCCCCAGTCCCACTCCCTCCACTTTGCTGGTGCTGTTCCCTCTAAGCTCTGCTCTCTAATTTTGGCCCCAACCCCTCTGCCTGACCAGCTGCTTGCTTCTTCCTTACTTAGCCAATGGCTCCATCTGGTCAGACCTTAGGATGATAAGCCCAGTTCTGGCCTCTTGCCCCCAGTCCTATTAGTGTGGTACCAGTTCTCTACTAGTAGAGACTTCTTCTGCCTGGACTACAACCCATTGTTCTGGATTTGGGTGAGGAATGTTCTCATGCAATTATCTCTGCGTGCAGGATTACAGATGGTTTTTATTCTCTCCTAATTATACTATTCTAATTTTATTTTTTTAGTAATCAGAATGTAATCTTATACCCTCTCTAGTTAGTCTCTTATTTATGTTTTTTTATTATGCAAGGATTCTATGAATATATTTTAAATATATTTCATTTTTTGTTAAAACAATGACGTTAAGGTATTTAGAGTAAAAGGCAATCATTTCACTTCCCTTGGCCCCAATTTAATGTATTCTTTCCAGAATTTATCAGCTTGATGTGTATCACTCTAGAACTTTTCTATGCATTTACCTATAAATACATCATTTGTATGTACGCATACATCAGCTATAAACTCAGCCACACGTAAAGGTTAACAAATGATTACTTCTAGGCAGCCATGTGGTCCACCATCTTGGTTAGTCTCCATTTTGCTCTGCCCATCCTGAGATTCCTGCTCTCTTGGCTCAGGTTCCTTGTCTGCTTTCCCCAGCCTGATGGGGAATATGTTCAAATATTAGACAATAACATATAGGTAGGTAGCTACCATCTTCCTCTGGGTGCCTCAGAATTATACCTGAGAAAATACATAACACAATTTGCATTTTATCACATGCTGACTTTAGGGTGATTTCTCAATCTTGGCAAATTTAGGGGAAGACATTTTTACTACAATCTTTTACAATTTACAAATAATAAAACTATGTGGTCAGTTTATCAGCCCCAAAGTAGGTATTGTCCTATTAGACAAATAGTTGAACATCTGATATGTGGAAAAATATCCGACTGAGAAACGACAAGTAAAAAATAGAATTCAGAGAAGCAATGAGTCATGGCCTAAATGAACAAATACATTAAATGATATATTAAATGGAACAGGATCTCCAAAGGAACGTTGAGGCTGGCTTAAGGTAATCTTCCCCATCTCAGAATTGTAGATCTTAGAGGGTCGCAGGGATACTGGGGATCACAAACACTTTTTTTGTAACTTTATCATTTGCTTGGGTTTTTAATTCCCTTGAAGACATGATCAGCCCTCTTTACACTACTGCACACACACGCCCTTATTTTCGTCCTAAAATAAAGTTTGATTTAGACCAATTTTTTCTCCCTTACATGACTATAAATCTACCTCCCAAATAGATAAACAACCTGGCTTTCTGGGTTTAGCAGGATGGTAACATCTATGCTAATCCCTGATCAGCCAGGTGCTTGCCCCCTGGGAGACCTTGAATTAAGACCAGCCTCCCTGCTCCTTGCTATTCTCCAGTTACTTCCTCAGACAGTCACATTAGCATGCTCTTCTGCCCTCCTGGCCTGTGGGATAGGCTAACAAATGAAACATGGGAAAGATGTTTGCAAAAAGGAATCCCTTGTTGACATAGGCATGATGAAAAGAGACAGGTCAGCTCAGACAGGAGGCTTTACATCCCGACACTGGCTCCACCTCCAGTCATAGAACCCACCACCCTAAGTGAGTGCCAAGCACTGTGCTTGCAGCTAGGGGAAGGCAGCGATGAAACAGTCGATCTAGCTGGGAGGTGCTGACTAAAACATATGGAAAAGCAGACAACAGTGCTAGAAAATAGCTAGTGTCAACACCAAGTGTCACAGGATGTAGTTTCTGTATTCAGAATTTAAGATATCTCCTATGCAAGATGCCCCATCTTCATAGGTTGTGCGCCTTCTTAGGACCGCAGCTTTTGCTTCGTGGTGTAGTGTTTGGTTATAACTGATTTAGTATTGCTTATTATTTCATATATGTTTGTCGTCCCATCTGGCTTGTTAAGTCGTTGCAGGTGAGAGTCACATGCTTCTCTTAATACCTAAAAATTCATGGGCATGTAATGATCTCTCTTTCCCTTTTTTTGCAGTTCGAAATGTAATTCATATATCATATGATTGACTCATTAAAGGACAGAATTGGATTTTTTTTAGTATATTCACGGAGTTGTGAAACCATCATTACAACTGATTTTATGACATTCCCATCATGGCCCAAAGAAACACTGTGCCCTTTAGCTTTTTACTCCTCATCCTCCCATCCCTTCCCCCACACCCAAGGCAAACACTAATCGACTTTCTGTCTCTATGGATTGCCTATTCTGGACATTTCATATAAATAGAAGCATATAATATGTGGCCTTTTGGGTCTGGCTTCTTTCACTTAACTGAATGTTTTCATTCATGTCATAGCATATATCAGTACTTCCTCCTTTATGGCTGAATAATATTCTATTGTATGGATAGACTACATTTCATTTATCCATTTATCGGGTGATGGATATTTGGGTTCTTTTCTCTTTTTTGGCTATTATGAATAACTCTGCTATGAACATTCATACACAAGTTTTTGTATGGACATTTTTTCATATGTCTTGGGTATATCACAGAGTAAAATTGCTGGTCAAACGCTAACTCTGTCTTTAACTTTATGAGGAACTGCTAGACTATATTTCAAAAATGGCTGCATCATTTTACACTACCACCAGCTGCGTATGAATGAGGTTTCTGATCCTCACCAATATTTGTTATTATCAGAATTTTTGATTCTAGCCATTATAGTAGGTGTTAAGTGGTATCTCATTATGGTTTTGATTTCTATTTCCCTGATACCTAATGATGTTGAGCATCTTTTCATGTGCTTAATGGCTATTTTATATCTTCTTTGGAAAAATGTCTATTCATTTTTTTTCCCATTTTTAAATTGGGTTATTTATCTTTTTGCTATTGAGTTATAAGAATTTTTAAAATGCATCCTATATACAAGTTTCTTATCAGATCTGTGATTTGGAAAAACTTCTCCCATTGTGCAGATTGCCTTTTCACTTTCTTGATGATGTCCTTTGAAACACAAAAGTTTTTAATTTTAGTAATATTCAATTTATCTACTTTTTTCTTTTGTTGCTTGTGCTTTTGGTGTCATATTGTAAGGCTCCATTCCCAAATCCAAGGTCATCAGCATTTACCCCTATGTTTTCTCCTAAGAGTTTTATAGTTTTGGCTCTTCCATTTAGGCCTTTGATCCATTATGAGTTAAATTTTAGATGGTTAAGAATAATTTTTTTTTTTTGAGACAGAGTCTCACTCTGTCACCCAGGCTGGAGTGCAGTGGTGCGATCTCAGCTCAGTGCAACCTCCGCCTCCTGGGTTCAAGCAATTCTCCCTGCCTCAGCCACCTGGGTAGCTGGGATTACAGATGCTCGCCACCATGCCTGGCAAATTTTTGTATTTTTAGTAGAGACGGGGTTTCGCCATGTTGGCCAGGCTGGTCTCGAACTCCTGACCTCAGGTGACCTGCCCACCTCGGCCTTCCAAAATGCTGAGATTACAGGCATGAGCCACCACGCCTGGCCAAGAATGATTTCTTAATATACGTCTGTTGACTGTTGTATAATCAAAAGAAAGATCAAGCTAAGTTTTATTACTCATTCAGCAAATATTTATTGAGGACCTACTATGTGGCAGGTTCTTTTTAGGCATTTGGGATACAGCTGTGGGCAAAACAGGAGAGCCCTGCTCTTAGGAAGTTCTAAGAATAGTGGGAGACAGATAGTGGCATCATCTCAGATACAGCAGGAAATGCTGTGAAGAGAAAGTACAACTTGGTTTCAAAAAGTTTGGCCTGGGGACCTGATCCAGTCTGGAAGGCCAGGGAAGGCAGCAACCTGAAGAGGGAGGAAGAGGGAGTGAGGCAAGTGTGGGGTGAGGGGTAGGAAGAATGTTTTTAGCAGAAGAAACACCACACTGAGTGAGAAAGGGCAATGGGAACAAGAAAATTAGAGACGCAGGCAGGGGACAGAATCAGGAAGACCTTTTATTAAACCCTTCCTGTATTCCCTTGGAACACATGATCTGTCCCCCCTCACACTACCGCACACAAACATCTTTCTAAGCTCTTTTCTGTGCTGCATTATTTTAAAGAAGTTTTATTCCAACCCTGGGAGGCAGGGTCATTATGCATTCCTTGAATGAAGAAATCTTTGCCCAGGGAGGTGAGGTGACTGAATTGTAGGCCCACCCAGCCAGCAAGCAGAGAAGCCAGTTGCAAACCCAGGGCTGTCCAAGCCCACGCCCTGCTCATACAGGTCTGCTGCGCTGCCTCTGCTCAAGATGAGTCATCCTCCAGGGAAGCTCTGAGGTTGAGGTTTAGGAAAGAGCAGCCTTTATTGAGATATTTTAGTCAAGAATTCTGAAAATACTTGTCTGGAAGAGAGACTAGAGCACACAACTTGGGGCTAGAGTCTTCCGGCTGTGAAAGCATGAAAATGCCAGCTGCCCTACCGGTTGTTAGGGAAAAGCCTAGTCACCCTCAATGTCAGGAAGCCAAGCTTAATTGTTCCTTTTATGCAAAGAAGACATATTCTAAGATAAAGTTTTCCGGAGTCTCATGGCCTCAGCTTGGTGGTCACAGTGGACTTGAGGGGTCCATGCTTCTCTGGAGGTGCCTGATGTAAGATCATTCTCGGCTTACTCTGAAGAGTTCAAAAGCTGGACCTCAACATCATGTCACCACATGATGGTCCTTGCCTTGACCAGAGTGATTGATTCTTCTGGTTAAAGAAAACTAATAAATCATTTTATTTACTCTACTTCCCAAAAAGCACTACAGCCCTTTAAGGGACAGTGTTGCTGGTGTGGGTACGTGAATCTCAACTCTGCAGGCATCTGGAGAAGACTGATGGCACAGGAAACCCTAAATGCAGATGATATTTCCCACCTGATTACCCAGAAGCAATCAGCCTGGTGTGGCTGTACAGCCTTGGGCAGCTAAATGTCCTCCTTTGGAAGTTGCAGGCTTTTAGATTTCGGAGTCTGTCCAGCTGGAAGCTCAGGCAGAGATGATAAAGCAGAACTTATGGTAAAGCTTTATGAAAAGTAATATCCTAAAAGTAGATGGGGAAAGTTGCTTATCTCAGACTACAATGCTTCTTGAAATTTCTGTACATTTCTACCCCCACCCTGAGCCAGCCCTTCTCTGCTTATCTGTGAACTTGAAAATGAGACTAGGGATAAATTGGCCTCAGCGATGAGCTTGTGCTCTTGGAGTGTATGACTAAGTGCAAAGACACTTGTGGCTCGTGTAACTGGGTCTTACCACCTCATTTCTCTATTCCAGCTCATACTCTTATGTCTTAATCTATTTTGCTTGACAAAAGGCAGTGTCACAATTTCAAAATGCCGAGGGCCAGGCATGTCATTTTCATAAATGATTGAAATGGGCTAGGAGTTTTGCAAGAAGAAGCAGTACAAACAGAAAAACTGGAGATTCCCTCTCTAGAAGGGGCAACAGCTACTCAGTCCCAATTCATTGTTGCCATGCAAAAATTGGGCCAGTGTTGGAAGACATTATCATTTTTTCAAAAAAGCCAGAAATCCTTAATTTTATTGAACATTTTTATATTTAAAGCAATGTGGGGATCAGGCACACTGAAGGCTTATAGGCTACCAGCTTGCAATCTCTGCAGAAGAGCGTGGTGCCTGCAAACACAGACTCTGGAATCCAATTAACTAAATTTGCATTCTGTGTGAACTGTGGACCTTGAGCAAATTATCCAATCTTTTATTATCATCATCAATTAAAAATTCACCCATTGAGATGTTTTGAGAATTAAACGTGGTTAGCAGAATTCCTGACCTATGGTAAATTCTCAATAAAGGTTAACTATTCATATTCTACTTTGAGTTCCTTTGAAAAGACAATCTCCATCCTCAAAGAGCAGGTTTGCAAAGACTCCTAGTGCTGAAAACTGCCCAGCAACAGGCCCTGCTGGGAGTGTCTGAGCTGTAAGCTCAGAAGAGCAGCCGCTTGCTTTCCTGCAGCTCATCCAAGGCCAGAAACCCAGCCCCTCCCCCACTAGGCATGCCCAGAAACTATAGATCCTGCCTTAATTACCAGCAATTAAGCCGCTTCAGCCTGCAATACAGGATCAGGCACTGCGCCCTGGCCTCCTGAGGACCTTACAGGAACACGGCTCAGCCCTTCCAGATCCTCCCTTACCTCCAACCATTTATTTAATCCCTGGCCACCCCTACTCCCTCTTCAAACCTCCCTGGTGTCAGATACACACTGAGCCATGGAAACCTGAGGACCTTGGGCAAGGGTCCTTCTTTAGCTGCATTCTAACCCTCTGCATCCAAACAGGCATTCCCAAGAGCAAACCTCAGCTCACAGGAATCTCTCTGGATCACATGAGAGATGGAGGCCCCTGTCCTTGCCAGTGCATTTTCTTCATTGGCTAAAAAACATTTGTAAGAGGAAATTTTCTTACATCAGGGAAAGGAAATAATACATTTACTCAAGTGGGAAATAAACTTGAGAAAAGAAAAACAAAAGGCCTTCTAGAATGGGAGAAAGGCAGACTAGCAGAGGCAGAGGTGTTTCCTTATTTTTTAAATTTTTTATTTATTATTTTAGAGACAGGGTATCTAAAAATAAAGAGACCCCATTTTAGAGCTGGGGTCCCCAGCTTGGATGACAGAGCCCAGGCTGGAGTACAGCAGCACAACCATAGCTCACTGCAGTCTCAAACTCCTGGGCAAAAGGGATCCTCCCACCTCAGCCTCCTGAGTAGCTGGAATTACAGGCATGCCCTGCTGCCACACCCAGCCACAGGTATTTCTTTGAAAGAGGACCCTCTGCAAAAATTGAGTGAGTTAGTTAGGGAGATGCTGGGGGAGGTAGCCATTCAGACAGTTCTCCAGATACCTGTGCAGACTTTAAATAGCAAAATGGTAAGAACACCAGGGCTCAAACTTGGAGATCCATTTTAGTAAAAGCATCTCTGGGTTTGAAGCATTCTTGGACACAGGCAGGTAGGAGAGGCTGGAATAAGGAAGGCTGACTTTTCCCTTCGCCTTTGAGTTTCACATCTATGGCACAGTCTGAAACAGCTAGGAAATCTCCTCTACCAGCTTTTGTTTGCAGCCTTGGTCTCAAGGCGGCTTTTCCTAGCCCCTGGGGAGACTAGGCATGTGGCTTACACCTGCTCTTGGCTCTGGGGCTCTGAGGCCAGATGAAGCTAGTACTCAGGGTAGCTGAGCCACATCCATCTGTGACCCAAGGTTACAATGAACCTCTGGGAGGCCAGGCAGGAGCTTCCGTGGTCTCTAACCCACAGATGGCTTTGTTCTATTTACAGATCCAGAGCCAATGGAAATTCACTAATTCAGTAGTTATTAATGTCTGTCAGCCCAGTTAAAAAAACATACACACAATTAGAATTTAACGAAAATTTAAAATGAAGATTTAATGTAGCTTCTTTATATATATAGATCTTTTATTTCTTAGGCATGTCTGTGTTTACCTAGATAATTCAGGCAAAAAAAAAAAAAAAAAAAAAAAAAAAAAAAAAAAAAACAACTCCCACCAGCTTGACTCAGTGTGATTACCTACCTCAGCAGACTCTTGCTCTTATTTTTCATTTGTAAAAATTAACCAGCCAGGCGTGGTGGCTCATGCCTGTAATCCTGGCACTTTGGGAAGCCAAGGTGGGAGGATCACTTGAGTCCAGGAATTCAAGACCAGCCTGGGCAACATAGAGAGATCCCTGTCTCTACAAAAAGTGAAAATAAAAAATTAACCAGGCATGGTAACATGTAACTGTGGTCCCAGCTATTCAGGAGGCTATGGCAGAAGGATTGCTTGAACCCAGGAGTTTGAGGCTGCAGTAAGCCATCATCAAGCCACTGCACTCCAGCCTGGGCAACAGAGCAAGACCCTGTCTCAAAAAAGTAAAAAATTAACCAGATTATGGTGTGAGTTCTTACATCACTAAGCCTCTGCATGACTGGTTACTGGGTGCTTTACCCATGTGTTCTTTCCCCTATTCTACGATCTTGTTAATTGTATTCTACCAAACGGCAGACCTACAGCCTCAATAAGCAGCCACACAAGGACAAGTATAACATGTTAGTGCATACCCAGCTCCGTCAAGTTCTAGTACTTCAGAAAGTATGACAAACCAAGTAGACGCATGGTAACATTAATAAAAAGTAGAGGTCATTGATAGAAGCCTGGGAAGTTGGGGTGACATCAACCAGAGAGTCCATTACAACTAAGGATGTCTAGTCCAGATTGGAGGCTTCCAGGTATAAATCAGGGAAATTCATGCACAAACCAGGACATGTTTCTGAGGAAGCTTATTCACTGGTGTGGTGAATAGGGTCACACGATGAGGGAGAACTCAAGTAGTAGAAACTTCTGGTGGAAATGTTAAGAATAATCCCACAGGACTAGCCTCCTCTCACTTTTATCTCATCCCAGGATGAGATATACTAGGTCCTGGACCTCTGCTGCTTAGGACAAGTGGACTTGCTCTGTTTTCTCAGTTGCAAAATTAAGCAATTGGACTAGATACTCCCTGAAACCCTTTCCAGCTGTAATATCCTGAATTCTAAGACATCCTTACTTTATTTGTTCCCAAGCCTCCCCAACTCAACCCACCTCTACCTCATGTGACTGCACATATCAGGTGGCCTCACCTCCAAGTAGGAAGAGTCAGGGAGTTAGGAGAACATTATCCCTTAACCATTGGTGTTTCAGCACCACGGAGAGCGACACGAACGCGAAACTACTCCCCCATCCACTTTGCCCCCAAACCCTTAGATATGCCTATGCCCAAGTCATAAATATATCTCTAAAATAACCATTAACATATTTATTACAGAAATGAAGCCATTTCAATTTCTATATCTAACCCTATTTGCTCCCTTAGTCCTAACTCGATCATCAGTCATCAAGTTATAACAAGCATTTTCTTGTGTAGCCAAGCCCCAGGCCATTGAAGAATATTAGAGGTCAGTGGGTATAAACTCCTCCCAACATAGGAAACTCTCCTATACTATCTCTAGTGAGGGATATCAAGTGTCTGCCTGGTTACTTCCAGGTACAAGAAGCTTGGTACTTCATTGGAGATGACAAAAACTCTATTAGAAACTCATTTCTTTTATTGAGCTGAAAGCTGCTTACTAATAACAATTCTATTGTATTCAGATCTAGAATATGACCACTTCTTATCCCCTCCACCACTAGTCTTCTGGTCCTAGCCTCCATAAAGTTGACATGAAGGATTAAAAGGAGTAATCCTTTCAAGGTCTATGTCATACTCATGTCACTTTACTGCTCTATACTCTCCAGTGTCTCCCCGTTTCTCTCAGAGTAAAAACCAAACTCCTTATTATCATCTAAAAGGTCTTTCATGATTTGCCCCTCGTTTCTTCATCTATCTCTAACCTCATCCCCTACCATTCTTTCCTTCACTCACTCTGCCCCAGCCACACTAGCCTTCTTTGCCGTCCCTTGAACACCAAGGACACTCCTGCACTGGGTACCTTACATTTGCTGTTTCCTGTAACAAGAATGCTCTTCCCCAAGATACCTGCATGGTTCATTTTATCACCTCTTTTTAGTCTTCCCAAACGCTGCCCTAACAGTGAGATCTTCCTTGGCCATTCTGTGTAAGGCCCCACACACTCTATATCTCTGTTCACTCATAAGCAGTGATTGGTAAAAGCTGGTAAATATTTAACAGCCCATTTGGAGGAGGGATACTAATTTGTAGCATTTGCTGATTTCTGTGATGCAAATAGAAATTGCACCACCATAGCCAATTGCAGGCTACCAACGTGAGGTCACTGAAGGCAGAATTGGGAAAGGCTAACATTTTGTTCTGATGAACCCAAATAAACCAGATTAGCACACTGCTGCAGGTCGTAGAGGAAAGGAGCATGCACTCCTGGGGGTGAGTGCAGTGGTGGTCATGGGGTTGAATCGAGAGAATCCCAAAGGGAGGAAACACTGATGGGGAAAGAATTTTCCTATAGTAGGAGCATCTAGCTTTACTTCTGTCTTTCCAGTTGCTTTTGGAACAACTAAACCTTGGTGTTCTGTCTGCTCCTTGAATACCACGTGTTAAAAGCCAAACCCTTGCTTACCCTATCAAGCCAACATTTGCTAATTTTTCTTCTTCTGTCCATGGCACCACGACCTCTCATTCTTCCTTGCCATATATATATATATACACACTCCCAGTAGTCCAGACCCTCCAGGCTGATAGGACCATGGTATTTTGGAATAACTTATCTCCATAGCCAATGAGGACATGTGGATGCTTATAGATTGTATAGCGGGGTAAGCTGAGTGTATCAGGAACTGTCTATTGCTCTTTTCTCTGGTCGTCTGCATTTCACATTCTTGACTATAAGGGCTTTGGAATCACTGAGCCCATGTCATCTCTGGCTGTGCAGTGGACTGGTTCTGTATTTCCAGGACCATCTGACAGCACCTCCAAAGTCCCAGGACAACTGTCCTCACCCGTCACTCTTCAGCACATTGGTTTCTTGATCTTCTAGGATTATACATTCTCACTACCCCCAAAAATACACTTATGCACATTCCTATAACATTTTGCATCTAACTTAAGGATTACGCAGACTGCCCATGAAGCCAACTCACTGAATTCCTCAGTAGTCATGGCCCCCAAGTTAATCTCTAATGTCTTCTACTAGTTCTAATGCAGTACGATTACTTTATTCTTTTATGCTCCCCCAAGCTTAGTCAGCCAAGCAAGAGAGAAAGAGAAAGAGAGACAGAGAGAGAGAGTTAAATTATTCTTACTTAATTGGTCCTCTCCAGCTAAATATTGGGTCTTAATTATCAAATTAGTAAAGCATCTCTATGTTATTCATAATATGCTTACAAAAAAATGGATATGTTTTTGTAAACTATGTTTCACTGAAGGGTTTGACTAATGAGTTAATACAAAAACACTGAAAGCAAATTATATGATTACAACTCTTTTCTATCATTTAGAATGTTTATTTGCAATAATCTAATGCAAATAAAAATAGCTTCAAATAAGATGCTCAGTTTCATTTTTAAAAAGAGAAATGAGCTGTTGCAGTTGGTTTTAGACACTTATTTTGATTTTATTTTTTACATTGTGGTCTTTATGATGTAAATATATTACAAACTTCAGTCATTTTACCAAGAGATTATTTTTATTATTCTTGACTAACTCCTTTATACCCTTCAACATTGTCCTTTGCTTCTCAAAGACAACTCAGAATTTTTCAGAATTTGTTTTTTTAAAAAAGAACAACTACACAAAAATCAATCTTTTGATTAGAGTCTATACAGCCATTCTTCTATCACAACTCTGATTTTCATTTGGATGCTGTGGACATCTTGGAGACTCACCCACAGATTGCAATATCCTGAGATTTATCAGGCTTTTTGGCCAATTTTGAATAGGTACCGATTTGAGATTATAGGAACTATTGTGAAAGAAAGAAAAGAGGAAGATTAGTGTGTATGTATGGTGCATGCAAGCCCTTAAGTTTGTGCATAGCTTAGAAAAAACAAAGTGTGTACATCTGTCCACTCAAAGCAGTTGGAAATGAGGAATGCTGTTTTAAGTGGCACAACTCATGTGCCTATACATAAGATATGCTCTTGTAGGTGCATCACTTTCAGAAAAAAGTTAGTAAATGCATTAAAACATGTACTAAAAACTGCTTCTAGTTTGGAAGCTATAGTCAATTTTTTGGATAAAATCTAACCCACTCATACCAAATTGCTTCCACCTGTAACTGGGAAGTTGAAAGGGATTCTTCCTATTGCTTGACTTTTTTAAAAAACAAACTGGGTTATAATTCACATACCATAAAATATGCTCTTTTAAGGTATGTACGTCAGTGGTTTATAATATATTCACAAGGTTGTGCAATAATTACCACTATCTAACTTTATAACATTTTGTCACCCCTAAAAGAAACCCTATACCTATTAGCAATCACTTTTCATTCCTCCCTCCCCCAGCCCCTGTCAACCACTAATAAAGACAAAAAGTCTGATTTGGTTTGACCCATTCTCAATATATCATATATTTGGCATTTTGTGTCTGGCTCCCTTCATATAACATACCATTTTCAAGGTTCATCCATGCTATAGCATGCATCAGTACTTCATTCCCTTTTAGGCTAATATTTTATTGTATGAATATACTGCACTTTATTTACCTGTTTATAGGCTTTTAGACTTCTGAATTGTTTCCTCTTTTGGCTATGAATATTCAGGTATAAGGTTTTGGGTACACAAAGGTTTTCAATCCTATTTGGTATATATATATATACCTAGATATTGGTGGATCATACAGTAACTCTGTTTAACTTTTTGAGGAATTACCAAATTATTTTCTTTTTTTGAGTTGGAGTTTTGCTCTTGTTGCCAAGGCTGGAGTGCAATGGCACGATCTCGGCTCGCCACAACCTGAGCCTCCCAGGTTCAAGTGATTCTCCTGCCTCAGCCCCCAAGTAGCTGGGATTACAGGCATGTGCCACCATGCCCAGATAATTTTGTGTTTTTAGTAGAGACGGGGTTTCTCCATATTGGTCAGGTTAGTCTTGAACTCCTGACCTCAGGTGATCCACCTGCCTCGGCCTCCCAAAGGGCTGGGATTACAGGTGTGAGCCATCGCACCTGGCCCAAATTGTTTTCTCAAGAGACTGCACCATTTTACATTCTCACCAGCAAAGTATAAGGGTTTCAATTTTTCCATGTCTTTGTCAATGCTTGCTATTGTGCATCTTTTGTTGTTGTTGTTCTTGTTATTTGTCCATTTTAGTGGGTATGAAGTGGTATCCATTGTGGTCTTGCTTTGCATTTCTCTAATGACTAATGATGCTGAGCATCTTGTCATGTGCTCCTTGATCATTTCTATATCTTCTCTGGAGAAATGTCTGTTCAAATTCTTTGTCCATTTTTAGTAAGGCTGTTTGTCTTTTTATTGCTAAGTGGTTGGAGTTCTTTTTATGTTGTGCATAGCAGACCCTTATTCTATATACTATTTGCAAAGATTTTCTCCCATTCTGTGGATTGTCTTTTCACTTTCTTGATGGTGTTCTTTGAAGCACAAAAGTTTATAATTTTGGCAACATAAAAATTTTCTCCTTTTCTTTGGTTGCTTGTGCTTTAGGTGTCATATCTAAGAAATCATTGCCTGATTCACAGTCATGTAAATTTATATCTGTTTTTCTTCTAAGAGTTTTATAATGTTAGCTCTTAAATTTAGGGTTTTTGACTCCTTCTGAGTTAATTTTGGCATATAGTGTAAGCTAGGGGTCTAAATATATTCTTTTGCCTGTGGATACCCATGCCCTGACTTTTGAACTAAGGCCAAAGGCTGAAGACAAAGAAGCCTTAAGTACACCACAATGTGAAGAGGTAGCTCTTTCAGAGTTTACTAAGTGTTTGCAGAATGGAATCTACCACAGAAATTTCCGATGCCCAACTACAAGTCTGTTGTCTTCATAAGCAGACAACGAGGAAGGATGAGTGGTCAGAATCTTCAGGAGTACTGTTTTCCTGGTGAATGACTTTTTATTTCCCCAGCAAAGCCAAATGAGGGTGCTGAGGCAGCTGCAGAAGCTCACTTGTGAGGCTGGAGGCACCAGAGAGAAAGAAAGTGTGATATTCCTTGCCCCAGCTGACACATCTGCCTAGACAGGACTTGCTGATCTGCTAGGGAGAAGAGAATCCAGGTGAAGTGGACAGGCAGAAGGAAGGGTGGCTGGAGCAGCCTGACACTGGCTCATCTGGCTGAGGAGGGTGGCTGGGCATTAGCCAGCTCCCTGGTAAACCTCTAAGGCACTTGCCTGCTAGGCAAAGGGAACCCTAGCAGCAAGAGGCATTGGGGTATACTGCTTATGGCTGTTAAGAGATGGAGCCACAGCTAGATTCCCCAAGTCAGGGAACTATGCAGCAGGGATACCCACAGCTCTCTGCAGAACACATACGTACCCTTAGTGAGATTAGCTAGGGGAGGCACTCTGCCTGTTACCTGCAATTAAGTTGATGCAATTTAGGTCCTTGCATGTTTGATGTTAGCTGTCTCTGCACCCCAAATTGAAGGAGTTAGAAATTGTGAATTTGAGTAACAGCCTTAGAAGGAGATAAGGCTCATATAGCTTTTTCAGTCACTTTCTGTTAAGAGTGTTCTGCTAGACAGTAAGAGCCAGTCTAGCAGCACAGATTAAATTAAGGGTGTAAGATTAGATTAGGAGTGTTTTCTTTGCCAACAGCTTATTGGTTCACCTAGGCTCAGGACAGTTGCCATTAAGGTGGGTCTGGCGGGGGGCAGAATACAGAGAGCAGTAAGAAAAGAAAAGAGTGCTCAGTCTTAAAAACACAACTAATAAAATCTTAGATTGTTATAACTTAAGCATAGAACTGACCAGAAGAAAGTAGATCAGAAGCCTACTATGTTTTTGAGAGAGTTGTATTGTCAAATAAATCAAATGCCTGGCCTGCTGAACCATGTGACTCTGTAACCCCTAGGTCTATGAAAAACAAGGGTCCCTCAAGAATGCCATATTTTTCTGGTGGGATTGAAGAATTGTGATGAACGAGTGACTGCATTGTGTTTTCCATTCTCTATTCTCCTCTTTTCCAAGTGAGAGTCTTATTGTGTTTTTCTATTCCTACTCCATCATTACACATTTGGAATGTGTGTAGCAGATAACTTTACAGTACCAGACCACAGGTAGTCACATCCAATTCAATGCAGAGAACTGCAAGTGATCCTGGACTTTGGGCAGGCTGTGGTAACTCCTTGTGGAGAGAGTATTATCTCAGGTATATATTTTAGCCAAAAAGCCAAAGTGCTAGAAACTGCTAGTGGTCCCAATATTTGTCCTCTTTTTCACTGGGCACCTCGTTGCCCAGAATACAAACTACAGTTTTTCCAGTCTACCTGGCAATTAGTTGTGGCCATTTGAAAAAACTCTGGCCAGTAGGATATTAGTAAACATGATGGTGCAGCTCTGGAAATTATCCTTAAAGGAAGGAGGTGTTCCCTTCTTTTTCCATTCTCTTCTTTCTGGAAGGTAGTTATGGTGGCTGGAGCTGGAGTGATCTTTCATTATAAGGTAAACTTGGGAAAGCCATGTATTGCAGGACAACAAATTAGAAGCAGCTTGAGTTCCTGACACCATGGAATGACACCTTACCAGCACTGGGCTATCTACTTGAACTTCAGTAAACTCTTTCTTGTTTAAGTTAATATACTTTGAGGGTATTTTGTTTTTCAGAATTGAAATAAATCCCAACTAATAAGTAATGCTTTGGAACATCCCCTCAACCCTTTGTAACAGTATTGCATACTCTTCTCTTGTCATCATGTGTGTGTATATGTGTGTAGTGGGCTGGTGTTCTGGGAAGAATGGAGTAGAAGAATTCATTCATAACTTGTAAAGAAGTCATTTTCCAACCCTGAGAGGGGATCTGGGCAAGATAATGCAGAAGGACCCTGGCCCCTTTTTAATTCCTGAGCAGAATCACTTTTGAGTATTGGCAGTCATAGAGAGACCCAATGACAGCCTGCTACTGGTCATTTACTTCTCAGTTATGGAAATTGCAAGGTGAAAATACCCTGTCCCACTCTGCTCCCTGCCTTCACCCATCCAACTTCCATAGATAGCAGAAACCATTGCCCTGAACAAAAGAAAGGGTGCTGGTACATACAGGCTTATGTTTATTTAGCAAATCTTTCTTGAGCACACCTAACATGCACCATGCACTTGAAACGCAATTGGGGTAAGGTAGTGAACCAGAGAGATGCAAACAGCTGATCTTGTGGAGTGCACATCTTGTTGATGGATAAGTGATACAAGAGTAGACAGGGAAACTGCTGAGGCTAGTAAAATACTAGCCTTTACCTCTCCCTTATGGACCGCTCACAGCTCGTCTATATCTGTGACTTCTTTGCAGAGCTGAAGACAAAGTGCTACATTCAGGTTTAAGGAGGTTCCAACATCAACATTGATGCTGCCCCCCTTTTTTCCTGTCTTTTCAGCATGCCAAATGGCTAACAAAGTTTGTCAACTCCTAATACAGTATTATGTCCCTGTCTAACAAATCAGTTATAGGAGAAACAATTATTTTATGATTGGTCAATGAAAAAAAAAAGACTCTCACTCTTGCCTTCTCTAGGACATTAGAAATATACTTAATCTTTTTCTTCTTGCCTCACCCTGAAAGAGACAGTCAATCTCTCTGTGTAATCTGTTTTGCTTTTGTAGCAACAACAGCACTCAGCTGATTGGACCAAAAGAAATGCTACATGCATTAGTTCAGGCTTGTCAAGAAGTAAATGCCAAGATGGAATTAGATGTGCAAGAAATTTCTTGGAGAAGAGAGCAGGAAAGACAAGGAGAGCTTTCGGATTGCAATACAAGTCTAACACCAGTAGAAGGAGAGAAGGAAGGAAGGAAGATGGGGTAAGAAGAATCTCAGTCTATACTAAAATTTCAAGAAAGATTTAAGCAGGTCTATAGGGAGTACGTGAGACAAAATTCCCCTTGGAGGAGCCCTGCATCTCACTGGAATGAACCTGCCTTAGTACGCTTGCTGTGGTAGCTGGGGAGCAGCTCAGGGCCTTGGCATGAGTGTGCAAGTGGGTCCAGAGCGGGAGCAGTGGGGCCGTCGGCCAACTATGCTCCCCTAGCAGGAGACCTGAGTCTCCAACTATGCTCCCCTAGCAGGACACCTGAGTCCATTTTCATGGCCATCACAGTAAGTCACTCTTCTAAACTTGAGGAAGTCTTTCCTGCTGTGAGCTTCCATTTTCAGTGCTACCGGTTTTGTCCTAGGCTATTAATTGTTTCTGAGAAGCAGTTTCCACCTGACCCTTGCACAGAAGCCCCGGATCACATTTGATGCCTCTCAGAAGAAGCACACATTCTGCTTTCTTCTCCATACTCAGATTAGACAACTAGAAGATTTTTAAAAAATAGACTTTCTTTTTTTTTTAATATTTCATACCTTTATTACACACATAACTTTTCTTAATTGTTTGATATTTCTTTTTTTATATACTTTAAGTTCTGGGGTACATGTGCAGAAACTGTAGGTTTGTTACATAGCTATACACGTGCCATGGTGGTTTGCTGCACCCATCAACCCGTCACCTACATTAGGTATTTCTCCTAATGCTATCCCTCCTCCAGCCCCCCACCCCGCAACAGGCTCCAGTGTGTGATGTTCCCCTCCCTATGTCCATGTGTTCTCATTGTTCACCTCCCATTTATGAGTGAGAACATGCAGTTTTTGGCTCTCCGTTTTTGCGATAGTGTGCTGAGAATGGTGGTTTCCAGCTTTATCCATGTCCCTGCAAAGGACATGAACTCATCCTTTTTTACGGCTGCATAGAATTCCATGATGTATATGTGCCACATTTTCTTTATCCAGTCTATCATTGATGGACATTTGAGTTGATTCCAAGTCTTTGCTATTGTGAGTAGTGCCACAATAAACATACATGTGCATATGTCTTTATAGTAGAATGATTTATAATCCTTTGGGTATATACCCAGTAATGGGATTGCTGGGTCAAATGGTATTTCTAGTTCTAGATCCTTGAGGAATCGCCACACTGTCTTCCACAATGGTTGACCTAATTTACACTCCCACCAACAGTGTAAAAGTGTTCCTATTTCTCCACATCCTCTCCAGCATCTGTTGTTTCCTGACTTTTTAATGATCGCCATTCCAACTGGTGTGAGATGGTATCTCATTGTGGTTTTGATCTGCATTTCTCTAATGACCAGTGATGACGAGCATTTTTTCATACATCTGTTGGCTGCATAAATGTCTTCTTATGAGAAGTGTGTCCATATCCTTTGCCCACTTTTTGATGGGGCTGTTTGTTTTTTTCTTGTAAATTTGTTTGAGTTCTTTGTAGATTCTGGATATTAGCCCTTTGTGAGATGGATAGATTGCAAAATTTTTCTCACATTCTGTAGGTTGCCTGTTCACTCTGCTGATAGTTTCTTTTGCTGTGCAGAAGCTCTTTAGTTTGATTAGACCCCATTTGTCAATTTTGGCTTTTGTTGCTATTGCTTTCGGTGTTTTAGACATGAATGAAGTCTTCGCTCCTGCCTATGTCCTGAATGGTATTGCCCAGGTTTTCTTCTAGGATTTTTATGGCCCCAGGTCTTACATTTAAGTCTTTAATCCATCTTGATTTGATTTTTGTATAAGGTGTAAGGAAGGGGTCCAGTTTCAGTTTTCTGCATATGGCTAGCCAGTTTTCCCAACAACATTTATTAAATAGGGAATCTTTTCCCCATTGCTTTTTTGTGTCAGGTTTGTCAAAGATCAAATGGTTGTAGACGTGTGGTGTTATTTCTGAGGCCTCTGTTCTGTTCCATTGGTCTATATATCTGTTTTGGTACCAGTGCCAGGCTGTTTTGGTTACTGTAGCCTTGTAGTATAGTTTGAAGTCAGGTACTGTGATGCCTCCAGCTTTGTTCTTCTTGCCCAGGATTGTCTTGGCTATGCGGGCTCTTTTTTGGTTCCATATGAAGTTTAAAGTAGTTTTTTCCAATTCTGTGAAGAAAGTCAGTGGTAGCTTGATGGCAATAGCACTGAATCTATAAATTACTTTGGGCAGTATGGCCATTTTCACAATATTGATTCTTCCTATCCATGAGCATGGAATGTTTTTCCATTTGTTTGTGTCCTCTCTTATTTCCTTGAGCAGTGGTTTGTAGTTCTCCTTGAAGAGGTCCTTCACATCCCTTGTAAGTTGGATTCCTAGGTATTTTATTCTCTTTGTAGCAATTGTGAATGGGAATTCACTCATGATTTGGCTCTGTCTATTATTGATGTATAGGAATGCTTGTGATTTTTGCACATTGATTTTGTATCCTGAGACTTTGCTGAAGCTGCTTATCAGCTTAAGGAGATTTTGGGCTGAGATGATGGGATTTTCTAGATATACAATCATGTCATCTGCAAGCAGAGACAATTTGACTCCCTCTTTTCCTATTTGAATACCCTTTATTTTTTTTCTTGCCTGATCGCCCTGGCCAGAACTTCCAATACTGTGTTGAATAGGAGTGGTGAGAGAAGGCATCCTTGCCTTGTGCTGGTTTTCAAAGTGAATGCTTCCAGTTTTTGCCCATTCAGTATGATATTGGCTGTGGGTTTATCATAAATAGCTCTTATCATTCTGAGATACGTTCCATCGATACCCAGTTTATTGAGAGTTTTTAGCATGAAGGGGTATTGAATTTTGTCAAAGGCCTTTTCTGCATCTATTGAGAAAATCATGTGGTTTTTGTGATTGGTTCCATTTATGTGATAGATTAGGTTTATTGATTTGAGTATGTTGAACCAGCCTTGCATCTCAGGGATGAAGCCGACTTGATCGTGGTGGATAAGCTTTTTGATGTGCTGCTGGATTCGGTTTGCCAGTATTTTATTGAGGATTTTCGCATCGATGTTCCTCAGGGATATTGGCCTGAAATTTTCTTTTTTTGTTGTGTCTCTGCTAGGTTTTGGTATCAGGATGATGCTGGCCTCATAAAATGAGTTACGGAGGAGTCCCTGTTTTTCTATTGATTGGAACAGTTTCAGAAGGAATGGTACCAGCTCCTCTTTGTACCTCTGGCAGAATTTGGCTGTGAATCCATCTGGTCCGGGACTTTTTTAGTTGGTAGGCTATTAATTACTGCCTCAATTTCAGAACTTGTTATTGATCTATTCAGGGATTCAACTTCTTCCTGGTTTAGACTTGGGAGGGTGTATGTGTCCAGGAATTTAGCCATTTCTTCTAGATTTCCTAGTTTATTTGTGTTTATAGTATTATCTGATGGTAGTTTGTATTTCTGTGTGATCAGTGCTGATATCCCCTATATCATTTGTTATTGCGTCTATTTCATTGTTCTCTCTTTTCTTCTTTATTAGTCTTGCCAGCGGTCTGTTTTGTTCATCTTTTCAAAAAACCAGCTCCTGGATTCATTGATTTTTTGAAGGTATTTTTCTTTTGGATACCACTGCGACCATATTAGAGATGCTGGAGCCTGGAATTCAAAAGACTGAAACAAACCCCTGGACCACTCAACCTCTGTCTCTTCCTAGGTAACTTTGTCTGTGTCTGGCTCAGCCTTGCTTAGATTGCCTTTGGAAAGAATGCTGTCCTCCATGAGCCCTGCTGGGTCAGCCATTTTACCAGCATCTAGATCTCCTTCTGAGTGTGATGTTAGTGAGGAAGAGTGAGGCTGGAGGTATCAGAGACTGTCTCCACACAGTAGTGGTGACTTTGACATTGATCATGGACATTTTTCTAGAAAAATAACTGCTAATGGAAAGATGGGAGTATGTAGAGAAAAAAAATAATCATCACTGAGAGTCAGATGGAGTCAATTTATCATTCAGTCTATGAGTCACTAAAAATTATTCATTTTGTCTCTGGTATTGTGGACAAATCAGACATGACTTCTGTCATATTGGCTCTTACTGTATAACAGGCGAGAGAGGAAGTAGCAAAAACAGGCATTCCAATTTAACCTCGATGACTTTGCCAACCTGCTAGCCTAGGCAAATATGATAAACATAGATTTGATAAAGTATTCAACAAAGTCTGTCATGGTATTCCTGAAGGCAAAATGGGATAATGTGACTAGATAATAGTATGGTCCCATTTTATACTCAGGTCAAAAAAATGAACTATTCAAAGATAGAACTGAGAACACATGGCCAAGAGAAGTGATATGGTTTTGGTCTGTGTCCCTGCCCAAATCTCGTCTTGATTTGTAATCCCCAATGTTGCCATGTTGAAGGTGGGGCCTGGTGGGAGGTGATTGGATCATGAGGGTGGATTTCCCTCTTGGTGCTGTTCTTATGATAGTGAGTGAGTTCTCATGAGAGCTGGTCATTTACAAGTGTGTAGCACCTCCCTCTCCATGCTCTTCCTCCCTCTCTAGCCAAGTGAAGTGCTGGCTGCCCCTTTGCCTTGTGCCATGATTATAAGTTTCCTGAGGCCTCCCCAGAAGCCAAGCAGATGCTGGCATTATGCTTTCTGTACAGGTTGTAGAACCTTGAGGAAATTAAACCTCTTTTCTTTATAAATTACCCAGTCTCAGGTATTTCTTCATGGTAATGAGAGAACAGACGAATACAAGAAGTTTTCTTGGAAGAGACTTGGAGAGTCTGGGAGAGAAAAGTCAGTATAACTCAGCACTTCTACTTGACAGCCCAAAACTACTATATCTGGACCCTACAGCCCAGGGCATGGAGGGTTAACAGCAAACCAGAGTGGTTGCAGCCAGGTGCAGTGGTCCAGGGGGTGACAAGTGCCATGTAGGAAATACCATGGACTCCATTAGGTGTGGTCCAATCCATCACCGTAGACTTTTAAAAGTCATAGTCTAGTTAGAGGGTTATCAAAACATATCACAGAATATTTTAATAATTATACTTTCTTGGCAGTACACCAATAGGAAGAGGTCACAAGATACAATGCATCCCTGGGTTAAAGTAAACCACAACAGAGAAAGATCTCACAAATAAATTATTTATTATAATTAACAATTAAAATTAGGTCCAAATGCTTTTATTCAAAACAAAACCAAGAAAAATATTGAGACAGGTAATGCTAAGGGTTTCTTATGTGCCTGGAAATATGCAAAGTTTTAGTGTGCATTGGCACCTTTACGATTCACAGCAATCTATGAGGTAGGTGCTCTTATTACCCTCATTTTTCAGGGAAATCACTGAGACTTGATCAAGGCTAATAAGCAGGTCAGAATAGGAATCCAGGTTTGCCTGGCTTCAGAGCTTATTCTTTTTGTCACTAAACGATACTACTTTTGCAAGTAAATTTTTTCTTCTTATAAATAATGAGGTTAAAAACACCAACTTTTTAAAAATGGGAAGTATGTTTTAATCAAATATATGTATGCTATAGGGAGCATTGTCATTTATTCTCATCAGATCTTTACCTAATATCTGTTTGTTTTTTAGCATAATAGGAGAAATTCTATTTTCAAAGACACATTGCATTAAAGTGATGAAAAGCAGGAGCTGCATGTTTGGTGATATTCTGATACTCTTAACACAGCTTGCTGTTAAAACCATTCATTGTCTTACCTTATATACTTCAGTTCTCAATTCTTTTAGAAACCCAGATCCACCATTATGTATTTTTCCTTTGTAGAATTCCAATTTTGTATTGATTTGATCTAGAAAGAGTTTGAGAACAAGACTCGGTGTTTCATTGAAGACTTTCTTTTCTCAGAATTTGATCCACAGGAAATGAGTCTTTGTAGTAGACAGGCTTACAATACAGCAGATTGCTGCATTCCCTCGTGGATGTCCATGGCTCTCCTTCCTGCCAATGTGTTCTTGCTTGGGGGAGAAGATGTGCTTGTCTCCCCTCATGAATCTTCACGTCTGTAAACCAGTTATAGTAATCCTATTGCCTTTTCTCAGATATCCTCTTCCCAATCTCCCTTGCAGCCAGAGTGACAGTGGGATCTGATTTTGACTGATGAGATATATAGGGGAAGCTTGCTAGAGGGGTTTAGGAAATATTTTATTTTCAGATAAAGGGACAGACCCAGGAGAAAAAGCTTACTGGAGCCATGTCTTTTCTCCCTTCTCCTTGCTTCTTGTGGAGAAGCAACTTCCATCTGTGGCCCTGAGGCAAGAATCTGAGGATGCCAGAGCAGAAAATGAGAAAGGCCAGGGGCCCTGGCACGCCACTGAGCAGTTGAGTGAAGCCCGCCACTGCCTACTTCCTGGCTTCTTACTAGGCAAGAAAACAAAACTCTTGGTTGTTTAAACCACTGTTAGCCGAGTTTTCTATTTCTTGGTATTAAAAGCCCCCCAAACTTTTATACATCACAAATCCATATTAAATTTATAAGACAAGCTGCCCCAATGACACATGTCAATTCAGAGTTTACATGGTCAGTGCTGTCAAAGGGCTCTTGCATTGGTGATTTCTTCACGTTCTCGGGTATGGCAGGCCACTTCTAAATACTCTTATATTGTTCCTATGTATCAAAATAAAATACACTGTAGAAGAAAACCTACTTCTGGCATTGATATTTCCTTCAAGAATTACCTGTGAATATCTTAAGCCTCCTGAATTGGAAAAGTCTGACCCAAAAAGTGCCTCTCTTCCTGCTAAAGTCCATGAATCTTAAAGCCATCCCCGTGGCTACAGCTTAGAGCCTGCACAAGCATATAGATATAAAGAGCAGCTGTGATGCTGGCATTTGGTGGAGTGCTTATTAAAGGAACCCAATATGTGCAGAATACCGTTCCTGAAGGCTGCACTTAAGGAATAAACTTGGAGCCATTGGGGATATAATGCCTATGATTTCTCACCAGTTCATTTAATTAAACCCACTATGACACCTCAGACTGGTGCTCCAGGCCCAGAATTGTGTGGTCCTAATAGGGAACGTGTGGGTGATTCAGACCTAGGGTGATGAAAGGACTAGGACACAGGCTGCTGCTTCATTCACCCCCGGGGAAGGCTTTCTGTGATCCTCAGTGAAGAAGGAATAGAAGTTATCCTCAGAACTAAATTACTTGTTACTTGCTATCAGACTTAATCATTCTCAACCAACTCTTGAGCAAACTACACATAGTTCCTATTTCATAGTATGGGGTTAATAAATTTTAATTCTTTTTTTTTGCTTTTGTACATTTTCAAGGGAAAGAGCCCTTTCAGGATGATATCTGAAGTGGGTGGAACCAATTGACGATTTTCATAAAAATTCTCATCCCTAGAGTGGACGCCACTAGGTGAGCAGAAACCCTCCCTCCTCTTCCCATCTTGCTTAATGAGCTGCACCGGCTAATGTTTATAAAGCACCTAACAGAGTCTGCTCAGAGCAAACACCCACAAATAACTTTTTCTTCCTGCCAGTACATAATTTTATCTCAGCACTGCTTATATTTTCCATGAATAATTGTCACTGTTATTAATGAGGGTAATAGTCACACCAGGTACATCTTCCATCAGATTGTATCTTAAAGTGGGCAACACACTTTGAGACAATACCAAAATTCTTCCAGCCAAGAAGAAAAATTTATGTCTTTTGACAAATGGCCAATATACTGGGGATGTTTAACCTGGACTAACAAAGTCTTAGATGACAAACATTTGATAGATGTCTTCAATTATAAAAAGGGCTGTCATGTTGAGAAGGCTTTGACTTGATCTGTCTAGGTGAAAATAGGAACAACGAGTAAAAGAACTATAGAAATGATTTTTTAATTGCTACCTGCCTTAGTAATGTGGCTCACAAGAATCCCTGGAAAACTTAAGGAAGTACTGACATTGTTGGTTTGAAAATTTAGGAGACATAATGAAGGAGGGGAAATACTTTTCCTCCTTCCTCTTAGGTTCTGTGGCTTAGCCTGAGAATTAAAGTGGCAAAAGACAGATTGACAGGAGAAACAGCATATAAATTTTATTTGATATTAATATTTTACACATACATGGAGGCTTTCATATGTAAGAAATGAAGATCCAAAGAAGCAGATAGGCCTGAGAGCTTATATACCACATTAACAAAGAATTATAAATTTCAGAAGATGTGACAAGACAAAATAATATGACAAGGAAAAAAGGGGGTTGGGCTGAAGCAGCAGATTATGGGAAGGTGGCTAGGAAATAAATGGGAAACTAATAGAAAATAAGGTTATTTCAGTAGGCTTTTTTGTATGGATTCATCTGGGTGTTGACTCCCCATATCCAGTGATAAGAATGTTCTCCTCTTCCTGGTATAGGGAAAGCATCTTTCTCACAAGAAATTTGTGCCCTGCATTTAAACTAAAAGGCGTCCTACTGTTTGATCCAGCAACCTCACTACTAGGTATCTACCCAGAGGAAAATAAGTCATTATACAAAAAATATACTTGCACACACATGTTTATAGCAAAACAATTTGCAATTGCAAAAATAAGGAACCAGCCCAAATGCCCATCAATCAATGAGTGGATAGAGAAAATGTGATATTGGCTGGGTGCAGTGGCTCACACCTGTAATCCCAGCACTTTGGGAGGCTGAGGCAGGCAGATCACATGAGGTCAGGAGTTTGAGACCAGGCTGGCCAACATGGTGGAACCTCATCTCTCCTACAAATACAAAAATTAGCCAGGAGTGGTGGTGCATGCCTGTAATCCCAGCTACTCTGGAAGTTAAGGCATGAGAATGATTTAAACCCGAAGGTGGAGGTTGCAGTGCCACTGCACTCCAGCCTGGGCAACAGAGTGAGACTCCATCTCAAAAAAAAAAAAAGAAAGAAAATGTGAGATATGTATATATATATATATATATATATATATATATATATATATGATTTATATATATATTTGTGGTATATATGTATACACACACACACACAAACACACACCATGGAATACTACTCAGCCATAAAAAGGAATGAAATAATGGCATTTGCAGCAACCTGGATGGAATTGGAGACTATTACTCTAAGTGAAGTAACTCAATAATGGAAAACCAAACATCGTATATTCCCACTCATATGTGGCAGCTAAGCTGTGAGAACGCAAAGGCATAAGAATGATACATTGGACTTTGGGGACTCAGGAGAAATGATGGGGGGTGGCAAGGAATAAATGATTACACACTGGGTACACTGCTCAGGTGATGGGTGCACCAAAATCTCAGAAATCACCACTAAAGAACTAATTCATGTAAACAAACACCAACTGTTCCCCAAAAACCTATTGAAATAAAAAAAATTAAAAATTAAAAATAAATTGAAAGGGGAAGGTCAGAGAGCTCTTTCTGCATCTGCTGTTACTCAATTGCCTTAAGCTCAAATGAATCAACATGGAAAAATGCCATATTTTGGGGTGGTATGTTATGATCCTCTACAATGGAAACCAGGTCATATCCTTGCTCTAGCCCAAATCAAGTCAAGAAAAATTTCACCAAGATTTCACCTCCTTCCTCAACGTGACATGTAAGAAAAGGGATAGGGACATCTCTGGTCCTTAATAGCCAAAGATTTGCAACACTACTAGGAGGCTCAGTGTTATGTGGTGAAGAAGCAAACAAAAAAAAAATGTAAATGTTACATATGTTTGCACTGGTTCCTAGGAGGAGGAGTTTAACAGAAATAACAACGTTATTCTAAAGCAACTAGTTGAGAGTAACAGAAAAAAAAAATCTAGAAAAGCCATTATGCAAATGTGAGCCTATTCACAGCAATTCAAAACCATCTGCTTGAAGAAGTAATTTCAGCTAAGGGGATGTGAACATTTTCCACCTAGGTGAGTATTATCCCTCCTTGTCACTAATATCAAGTCTCTATGAATATTGATGATATTTTCCAACAGCCCCTCACATTTTCTCTCACTCTAGACATCATTGTTTTCTCTGCTTCACTGCTAGATGTTCTTCATCCTTGAAACCCCAACATCTCCTATATCCATCATCCTACAAACCCCCTTTTGGGCCTTGAGGAATAGTAATAGGTGCTTCACAATTATAGAAGCAGAGGCAGAACTTTTAGAAGGATGTTGTGTTGAAGGGGAAGGTGATCCCTCTTCCTGACCTCTGGCCCTAGTGTCCTCAGTTTAAAAACAGGACACCAGTTTTTCTTCCTTATTAGCAATATCTGAGTACAGCCTTGGTTACCTAAAAAGAAAAATAAAGCAAAACCTTTCTCTCAAGGGAAATTGAGGAATTCATTTAAAGCCATAATGAACTTAAACTCACACATAGAGTTCTTAAACATTCAATACAGAATAATGATAATATTCTCAGATAGCAATTTTTTATAATGGCTTTTTGAGGTATACTTTTCATACCATAAAATCACCAATTTTAAATGTACAATTTAATAATTTTCAGTAAGGTTACACTTTACTTAATTAATTATTATTTTTTTTTTTTGAGACAGAGTTTTGCTCTTTTTGCCCAGGCTGGAGTGCAATGGCACGATCTCGGCTCAGCGCAACCTCCACCTCCTGGGTTCAAGTGATTCTCCTGCCTCAGCCCCCTGAGTAGCTGTGATTACAGACATGTGCCATTATGCTCAGCTAATTTTGTATTTTTAGTAGAGACGGGGGTTTCTCCATGTTGGTCAGGCTGGTCTCAAACTCCTGACCTCAGGTGATCTGCCCGCCTCGGCCTCCCAAAATGCTGGGATTACAGGCGTGAACCACTGTGCCCGGCCACAGAACGTTAATCTTATTGTTGAGCCTTATTGTTGTGCAACCATCACCACCATCTGATCATACATCATTTCCATCAGCCCCAAAAGAAATACCATGTTCGTTTACTATTGCTCCCATTCCCACCCTCAGCCCTAGGCAAGCTCTAATTTACTCTGTTTCCGTGGGTTTGACTTTTCTGGACATTTCATATAAATGGAATGATACAGCACCTCTGACTTCTCTCACTAAGCATAAAATTTTTGAAGATCATCCACACTGTATATCAGCTCTTCATTCCTTTTTATTGTCAAATAATATTCCATCGTATGGAGAAACCACATTTGTTTATCCATTCATTAGTTGATGGACATGTGGGCTGTTTCTGCTTTTTACCTATTGTGAATAATGCTGCTATGAACATTCATGGCAACAATTTTGAATATCAATATCTAAAATTTTACCCTATGTCTTCTTTCCAATGGGTAAAAATATTGTTACAAAGATATAGATTCTCCCATCTGAGTCTCACTATTTGACCCTACTGCCTTCTCCATTTCTTCTTTCACTTCTGCCCTTGCCCATTCTTTGGCAACAGCATCCAGTACTAACCTGCTTGTTCATTCTCACAGGCCATATAGAATCCACCAACATCCCTAGGTAACATATCTGATTTCAGGCTGCATGCCCACCATTAGAATGTTCTAATTGACTTCCATTCTGTCCGAACATCTCCAGATGCCTCCCTCTGTCCGTCTTGTGAGGCATGGTATAAAGGTCTGCTTCCAGGACATATGGAGAAAAAATAAGTGTGTTGTTCTTACTGATTTTTAGTTGCATAAAGAAGATTACAGATGAGGGTAGCCATTAGGTAAAACCAACCACACCTCTTTTTAGCCAGCCAAGCAGCTTGGATTTACCCAGAACTGATGGCTGAGAGCAGAAGATCCAATCCTAGTTTAGAAAGGGAAAATACCACTCATTTAAACTTGAGATACATTTAAAACTGAGCAATATTTCTATTAAAATAGTATAGAAATGTTCTTTTATGCAGATCTCAAAATATAGTGCATATGCGCACGTTGTATTTTCTCTAAAGCAAAGTAAAATTTCCATTTATTCTGATGAAGAACTTGTTCATAATAGCTAATTGGTAAACTTTATGACCTTGACACTTCAAGAACTGGACTGTAATAGCTAAAGGAAAAAGTGTTGTTTATTATGTGGTTTGTATGTACACATATGTGTACATGACAAGTATTAAAATTCCTCAAAATGGACACAATTACTGATTCTTTTTTTCTTAAGAAGGGATTCCTTAAAGTTCTCTAAACTGAGCAATTGGTGCAGCCTATAACCTGAAGAATAGTTTTTCAGGGTTCCGTACTATGTGCGAAAGAAAGGGGTGAGAAACATTTATAGACAGAACTTTAAAAGTCAAGGCAAAGCCTTGTGCACCAGCCCCAAGCTTGGTCTGATCCCAGGACGTTTTCTCCCTGGTCATCCTTATCCCCTTCAGATTTCCATTTCCAGTAAAGTCAGTGGGCATGGTCCAGAAGGTGAGCTTTCCAGCAACTCTCCAGAGTCCAATTCCTCCCATTATAAAGAGTGTGGTGTCCCCAAAGCTGTTATTTCCTTAATTAGCTCATTTAAGGTTGGTTATTAACAGAATCACTTTCTCCTTTCCAGCGTTTCTGGGGGTGGACACTTTTGTGAGTGTTACCAAGGGAAGAAACAAAGTCTACTTTTTCCATCTCACCTGTCTCCTGACTCCAGCTTTCTGGCCAGAGAGATTTGTCCCTCCATCCGTAATCAAGAATGATTTTCAATCTGGATTCTAAACATATGTTGCTCAGGCTAAATGTCCCCTCTGTGCAAAGATGCGTCCAACATGCGTGTCTCTTAAAATGTCTTCCTCAGTAACTCTTTCAATGATTTGACCCATATATTAACCTGAACCCCTCCACAGGATCTCATCCTCATGTAATGAGTTCTTTAAAATCTACTTTTGGATGCTATTAATATGTCCAGAGTTTTCTGCCTCCGTCTGAGTCAATTCCATCATAATTCAGTCCAAATTGCACAGCTCTCAGAATGCACCCTACCTGTTTTGGTAGTTGTGGCTCATTAGGTCGTATGGATTAACTTAAAGGAATATAGAAATTATTGTCCCTTGTGACACGGGAGTCAGAAAAATTCCTTCTAAAAATATTTATGGGTGGGTGTGGTGGCCCATGCCTGTAATCCCAGCATTTTGGGAGGCCAAGGTGGGAGAACTGGTGGAGTCCAAGAGTTTGAGAACAGCCTGGGCAACATAGCAAGACTCTGCCTCTACAAAAAATTTAAAAAACCAGCTGAGTATGGTGGTGCATGCCTGTAGTCCTAGCTACTTGGGAGAGTGACTGGGGAGGATAGCATGAGCCCAGGAGTTTGAGGCTGCAATGAGCTAAGAAGGTGCCACTGCACTGCTGCCTGGGCAACAGAGTGAGACCCTGTTTGTAAAACATATATATATTTATAATGTATTAAATTATTATATTTTCCCAAGCCTTTCACAGTTTCCCCTTCATCACATCACTGTTTGCAATAACAGTGTTATTCTAAAGCAATTAGTCTGGGCAATACAAAAACAAACAAACTGAAATAAAAAGGATGACGTCACAAAAAAGCATGCCCAATTGTAATTGTTCAAAGCCCTCCTGCCATGAGAAATGAAAGTCAGACAAAGACAGAGGATGAAATATTTGAAAATGTTTTGCTTGGCTGAGCTACTCAACTTCCTTAAAAGGATTATTTGGCTTTTTATGATTATTAATGCTATTCCTCAACAGTTTTGGGTCCAGAGAAGAATATATATAATATGCCAATTGGAGCTGCCCTTTTAGTAGAATTGGTTCTCCTATGAACTAAATGTTTGCATTCCCCCAAATCCACAAGTTGAAACCCTAATCTCCAAAGTGATGGTATTTGGAGATGGGAACTTTGGGATGTAATTAGGTCATGAGAGTGGAGTCCTCTGGAAGGAATTAGTGCCTTTATAAGGAGAGACACCATAGAGCTTGCTTCCTGTTTCTCTGTTCTCCACAAGATGAGGATACGAGAACACAGTCATCTGCAAATCATGAAGCAGTCCCTCGTCATTCACTGTATCTGCTGTCACTTTGACCTTGGACTTCCCAGACTCTAAAACTATGAGAAATAAATATCTGCTGTTCCAGCCATCCAGTCTACAGTATTCTGTTATAGCATCCTGAACTAAGACAAGGTCTTTGGGAGCTACATCAGTAGTGTGTAGTTAATTGAAGGAATTAATGAACTTCAAGCAGCCTCCACTTGAGAGGTTATGGAAGAGTCATGCTCAGTAAGCACAGCAGAGGGGGACTGTGTGGGAGCTAGCTAATGTTTAAGGTTTGTAAAAATCCCATGCTTCCATGGATCTCTTGTTAGCCTCAGGGAGAAAAAGAGAGACAGATATAAACAATCAATATTTTGATTCCACTTTCTCCTCACTCTCTAAGTTCTTCCAGGAACTTAATATGTTTTTCCTCAGTTTCATTGATTATACAGTTCTCGTTCACCTAGGAAGTTTCACAGTTTATCAAAGGCTCTTGGCAATTCCCTTATAAATAAACTGCAATTCCAACAAAAAATATTGATGGAACAATTTCTGTCCAAATCCTCTGATGAGACTCTGATATAAACTCTGTGTTTTATTCTAGACTGCTTTTTATTGCCTAATGAATAGATTTTGCTTTGTGAAGACACAGACTGTCATGCTTTCATTTGATTTCAATAATTATGGGAAGGTTTCAGTTCTGGGCCAGGGAGTTTTACTATCCTCTGACTTAATCATGCTTCAGAAAAGGAGCTCTGTGTATTTATTTTGTAAAGCATTTTTAAAGCTTTCAGGCTATAGTCAATGAATGGCTAAAATCCAGAATACTGTAAACTCATCTTTTTTCCCATTCCACTGACCAAAGGGGTGTTTGAAGATTACCATCTGATTAACTGTCCCCACACTAAGAATGGGCTTTAGTGACAGGCAGAGTCTGTGGGACAGCATCATGCCTCTGACAGCCACTTTTAGGGAAGGATGTTAAAGAACCCCTGCTTTGTGTCTTTCTTAGTCATCATATGCCACATTTCCAGGCAAAGGAGATGAGTATCCTCTCTTCTAGGGATCTGTGAGGGGACCCCAGGGCCTCCCTTTGTCCTTCAGTGCTTGCTTCTCTGGGTCTCTTCAGACTCATTCCTGGGCTGGCTCAGGCCAGAGCTTGAACCCTGCTGAGAAAAGGCATTTTCAGTGAGCTTGTTTAGAATAGGCCAATCACTCTGTTTATTTTGCCTGAAGGGACTTGGGGAAGGGAACAGGGACATCCTAATACTTTTTAAAGATAAGTACTTGGTTTTTTGTTTTCCCAGGAGATCTGGCTAAAGAAAGCAGATTCATCTTAAAGCAGGAGCAATTTAGATAAGGAATGAGAAAGAACTTTTGGATGTGATCTACTGGTCTACCTCCCCATGAAGTGGAGTTTTCCTAGGAAGAGCAGACAGCTCAGAGCTATCTGCAGGTGAAAAGATAAACTATATTACCATTCAAGTTTGCTGTTGGCTCTGTAATTTCTTTCTGGATATGGTTTCTATTTTTGCAGCAGCAGAAAGATTTGATTTCAAAGACGGATAGGAAAACTACACTTGGGTGAACCTCTGGGGCACACATTATTAATTTGAGGTCCCTGGACTCTTCTGGTGTGCATCAGAGGTCTATGAACCTCCAGAAATTGTATGTGAAATTGTTGGGGAAGAACATTCACAGCTGCCACCAACCTCACAAGGAGCCTGTGATTAAAAAACAAACACAAAAAGAAACAGGAAAGAATTATTGTTCCAAGGGAAAAGTTCATTTAGTTAGGATGAGTACCTAACTCTAATCCTATTTCTTCCCAAGGCTTTGCAATGTGGTGGGAAGATGAGGAAGATGACTGAGAAGGGTGGTACAGAGTCCTCGTCACTGCTGGGGGGCTGAGCTACTGGGAGGCAAATGCAAGATGCCTCCAACCTCATTCATTCAGTCATTTGTTCAACAAATATTTATTGAGCACCTACCATATGCCAGGCACTAATCTAGGGTTTGCAGATACAGCAAGTAACAAAACAGATAAAGATTCCTGCTTTTATGAAACATTTATGGGGGAGCAGGTAATAAATAATAAACACAGCACAAGTGTATTACACAGTAGTATAGTATAGAGTGGAGGAGCTGGATGGAATGAGAGCAGTTTGCACTACCATGTAGGGTAAATCTCAAAGAGAAAGTATTATTGGTTGGGTGTGGTGGCTCATGCCTGTAATCCCAGCACGTTGGGAGGCCGAGGAGGGCAGGTGGATCACCTGAGGTCAGGAGTTCAAGACCAGTCTGACCAACATGGAGAAACCCCGTCTCTACTAAAAATACAAAATTAGCCGGGTGTGGTGGTGCATGCCTGTAGTCCCAGCCACTTGGGCGGCTGAGGCAGGAGAATCACTTGAACCCGGGAGGTGGAGGTTGAGGTGAGTCGAGATTGCGCCATTCCACTCCAGCCTGGGCAACAAGAGTGAAACTCCATCTCAAAAACAAACAAACAACAACAACAACAAAAACAAAGAGAGAAAGTGTTATTTGATCAAAAACTCAAAGGAGGTAAGGCATTAGCCTTGAAGATATCTTGTATGGGGGAAGAGCATCCCCACAGAAGGAACAGGCAGCTTCCTCCTAAGACTGGCAGGCTCTGGAATATTTGATGAATGGCAAAGAGGCCCGTGGGGCTGAAGCAGAGTAAACAAAAGGGAGAGTAAGTAGAAGAAGAGGTGACTCTGGGAGGGGGAGGCAGGCCAGGTAGGGCCTGAGAGTCTGTTGTAAGAACTTTGGCTTTACTCTGAGTGAAATGGACATCCATTTTAGGGTTTTGAAGAGAGAAGGTACATGATCTGACTTACACTTCAATAGGATTGATTTGGCTGCTGCCTTAAGGATAGACTGCAGGGGGAAGGGTAGAAAGAGGAAGATCAGTAAGAAGTGATGCAGGTGAGAGACAATAATGGCTTGGAGCACGGTGGCAGCAGTGGACATGGTGAGAAGTGGCAGGATTCTGGATGTATTCTGAAGGGAGAGCCAACATGGGATTTTCTTATGGGATGGGTGTGGGGCATGCATCAACACTCATCAGCTTCTCTTCTTCCATGTCTCCCCATCACTGGGTGCAGAATAGGCGCTGTCTCAGCCCTCTCTCTCTCCCGGTCTGGATCTGTGCTGTCCAGTACAGTAGCTACCACCACATGTGGCTGTATGGAGTACTTGAACGTGGCTAGTCTGAACTGAGATGTTTTTTAAGTATAAAATACACACCACATTTGTACCCCCAAAAGGAATGTAAAATGTTTTATTGTTAATTTTAAAAATATTGATTACATGTTGACATGATATTTTGTATATATTAGATTAGATAAAATATATTATTAAAGTATGTTTTATATCTTTCTTTTTACTTTTTGATATGGCTAATAGGAAATCTAAAATTACACACATAACTCACATTATATTTTATATTTCAATTGGACAACACTGGTCTAGAAGATATTTGAGAGACCTATGGTCACATTTGAATTAAGGGTTCCCCTGGGCTTATTCTTTCAAGACTGGAGAGGCAGACATGAAACTCCTACCCAAGAATGATAAAGAGCCATAAACTTCCAAAATATGTGATCTTCAGAGCCTCGTATGCTGCTTCCTTTGAAAGAAATGAGCCATTTGCTCATGGGCAGAGACTCTGAGGTTGGCCCATTTAAGCCTCAACAACCAATGGCTGGACATGGCTTGTAAGAGGCCACTGTTCCAGGCGGCCAGAGATTGATTTTCCTCCATCATCAGCAAAAACACACTTTTAAGACCCTCAGTAGCATTCCTCAGGTGCAACATTATGACCTCCAACTTGAAATATCAGTTTATATTGACCCAGTGGCTTCATGTGAATGTCAACCAGAAGGGCTGGGTAGTATCTGAGCATCTCTGTTGAAAATGTATGCATGCTGGAGCTGTGCATGTCTAAATTCCTTCCCCCACTTACTTTGCTGCTTAGAGAGGCCTTGCACATACACTCTTCAGTCAATGGCAAATGTCTATTTTATAGAGAAAGCAATAATACTATAACTAGTGAAAAAGGTTTTAGACCCATTAAGTCAGAACCTCTGAGGAGGGGACTGGGGATTCACATGTCTGTGAAGTTCCCCAGGTGATTGTCATACTCCCTGAAGTTAGAGAATTGCCCTAGGGAAAGAGCAGCTGGGTTCTGGCTAGCAGTTCCCTTTTTCCAGTCAAGAGTCTGAAGCTTAGCAGCCTTATTTCTTTCAGGCTTAGTCTAACGTGTCCTAAATTACTACACACATATGTGTGCGTGCCTGTGTGTGTGTGTGTGTGTGTGTTTGTGTGTATTTGGCCTTCCTCTCAGTCTATACATAATGTAAGACTCAGTAAAAAAAAATCACCATCCTATTCCCTCTCAAATTACTGATTCTATGATTCCCAAATCTGACTTCAGCCTTGAGACAGCAATAGAGGAAAGAGCTTGAAGATTCTTTTAGTAAAGTCAAGATAAGGTTAAAAATACATGTGCATGTGTTTTTCCCTGTGTGTGTGTATGCTGAGAGACAGAGAGAGACAGCGAGAGATCTAACAATAGAAGATCAATATCAATGACCATAACAACAAAAACCTCAACCTATTTTCCTTGCCTGGAAGGAAAATTCCATCCTGAGTCACAGGCAGGCAGCTCTGGGCAGCTCCCACCTCGCAAGCTCAGACTCTTCCGGCTTCTCCTCCTTGATTGGCTGCCTGGAGCTGCTGAGGGTGCAGGGTGATCTGTTTTGCTGTTCTTTTAGGGCATCCCTTTTAAAGCTCTTGTCATCTTCTGCACTCCTTCCCCTCCCCACAAGTGCTGCAATTCTTTCCAGTTGTTTGTCTCTGTAGGCCAAAACATCTTTGGGGGATTGCAAAAATGTCCCCTCTCTGAGAGTGGGCACAGGAAATTTAATCCCTGATCCATTGTCCTGTTTAGCAGCGAGGGCCGTGGACCACAGCCAGTTCAACACAACAAAATGTTAAGGCTTGTGTTTCCCTTGGCCATGCCCAAACAATTCCCCATCGCTCCACCATTCTCCTGCTCTGTTTCCTTTAGATTGCAGAGTCTTTTGGGGAGACGTAACTTTACCTTTCTTGGATGCAGTTGACCAAAGGAGCCACATTCCCAAAATTGGTTTGTTTACCTGGATTGCATTTTTTAAGAAACAATGTAATACACAGGCTGCCATGAATGCCTGTTTAGCTCACAGTGGGCCTGAATTGGAATACTGTTCTAATTGCAGTTTTAGTTCTGTCTACTGAAAATAATGTCTTTATGTGGTCTGAATGTGACCCGAGAACAGGAGCACATCTCCCAGAGCCCTATAAGCAGGCAAGGTTCTCCTACTGGAGGTGAGATGGATGGGGTGGGTGAAGGTCAGGAGTGTGTTGGGAGTGGAGGGTATGATGTTCTGGCTCAGGTGGGGAAGAGAGCCAAGAAAATTGTTCCTGAGCTCCCCTAACTCAACTGTTCTTGTGTTATGTAACAAAAGATAGCAGCCTGGAAGTATTTTCAATGGGTGGGACAAAGGACAGAGAGAGAGGACTTCAGGATGCTGAATAGACTCCAAGTCATTCACAAGATGAGGGTTTGGAGATGGGACAGAGCCCACATTTTATTTCTTTCCATGGTAGCCTTTCCATCAACTCTCTCCAGACCGATACATGAAGCATTTCATATTTTGTGAGATTATCCTGCTTTTTAATATTTCTGACAGGTGTCCTGCGGGTCCTTCTGGAGTGGCAATCTGTCCCTTTCTTCTGTTATGCAAATGTGCTCACCCTATTTTAGTTGTCAGGGAGAGGATCAGAGATGAAAGATGTCCCTCCTAACCAAGCTCTGCTGTCACTGGTGGATTAATAATAAAGTGTGAAGCATCTAAAAGGGACAGACAGGCTTCAGAGCTTGCTACTGATTACAAGTGATGCTGCTTCTTTCATGCTTTTTCTTACACTCTTTGGTGTTTGCATCGTCTTTCTCAAAGAGCCTCTGTTGCTGAGGCTTAGATAGTGTTCATTTGTATTTCTGAGCTCTCTGACTTTTAATATTTGACCTTTGCTGAGACAGGAAGCATTTAAGAAAGCTGGATTGTCAGAAGGAGAGGATGGAGGGTGTGAGGGTTGGAGTCAGTACAAAGTGGCTTATTACCCACCGCATCTGTATTGGGTTATCTTTTAAAGAAGGTACCAAATTTAAATTGCACATGATTAGGCTATTTTCTCAGAGTCAAAGTATATGTATATATTTTACCTTTCAAGGCTGAAGCAGGATGTTTAAGAGTTATGGAAGTGCACAAGTTTGGAAGGAAAGAAAGATGTGCTGGCAGATCATCAGAGCATAGAGTTAATTACGTCTCTTGCATAAACCTGTCAATATTTTCTTTCTCACATTAAAACTGCACTTTCTCTTCTGCTGCTGTATTGATGATGTTAACCCATTGTGACCTTTGAAAGAAGGAGGAGGAGGGGCTTTATTTTGAGAGAGAAAATGCAAATGCGAAACAAACAGGGCTAGAATGACAATCTGGGTCTCTGGTACAAATCACTTTGAATAATTTGGTGGAATGGAAGGTTGTTGAGAAGGCAAGAAGCTCTGACTCATCATTATTTTCTGTTGAGGAGCCTGCCCTTGAATTATGGTTTATAGAGCCTCAGGGGTAGAGGGGAGCCTTCACAATTCCGAGTCCAATCCGCTCTCCCCCAAATCTGTCCCTCCCTCATCAAGCGTGGCTCTGCTTGGCTGTACCCAGGCCTGGGGAGCTGTCTGCACTGAGAGCTAGCCTTCATATTAAGAGGAAATCTGTCTTCCTCCAGCTAGCATCCTTTGGGACTGGTCTCTCAGGGCTTTGAGGAGATGAGGGAATTACTCATCTCTGGCAGCCTGTGACAACCAAACATCAAGCCAGACCAAAATGGATGGCCTGTTTACCTAGCAGGCTCCCAGGAGGACATGCTGCTTCCTTGACCACAAGCCCCAAACACAATAGTAGTGTTCACAGTGGGGTGGCTGACCTACAGCCAGCATTTACAGCATCTACGCCCCTGCCATTCCCAGTGTGGGCCTTGAACCAGTAGCATTAGTATCACCTGAGAGCTTATTAGAAATGAAGAATCTGCACTTCCACAAGATCCATTTAGTAGATGATTCATCTGCACATTTTTCTGCACGTCCTCACTTGCTCATATAAAATTCTGGCTGACTCGTGCACCCTGATTCTGTGTGCCTGAGTTGGGGTCCCAGAATATGGTGCACAGCTACCACTGGGAATCAACGATCCCCTCCAGAAAGCTGGACTTCCACAGGGGTGGCAGCATTTTCAAAGAGGACAGAGATGAGACAGACAACAAGTGAGTGCTTTGAGGACATCCTCGTAAGGAGGTCACCCTGGAGTGGAGAGGAGCCCTGAGATGGACCCTTAAGATAGAGAGACGCAAGCTTCAGGGTGCCTCTCGCCATTCCCCTGGTGTAAGCCCCCAGGCCTACTTGCTGGGGAAAAAATCCAGCTCAATGTCTGAGAGAACTGTTAGATTTTGTTGCCTTTGTAAATTTCCCAAGTTTATTATTGTTCTTAGTCTCAATTTATTCCTATAATTTGCTTCAAAAAGATTATTTGCAGTATAATAGTCATATATTATCTAGTAGTATAAGACAACATATTTAGGTGTTGACTTTCCATGGATGGCAGGTAATCAGGGAGTTGGCAAGTCCACCTATCACTCACAGCCATGATTGCAGAGAGGATGCCCTGAAGGAAGAAAAGATGGTGTCAGTGAAAAGGAAAAGGAGATTCAGGAGTAGAAGGATGGGAGCCATGGAGGCCTGGAGATGGCCAGTAACCCACCATCGCCTCAGGGTTTAAGTGGACCACAGGGTGGACATCTTCGTTTCTTACCCAGTCAACACACAGCCTAAGGCACTTGGAAGGCAGCATAATATGCCATGGAGAGCTTGGCACTTAACAAGCCACGTATCCTTGGTAAAACCACTTAACCTCTTGGTGTCTTGTTTTTCCATCTGTGAAATGCAGATCATAATAGTGTTTACTTCATGAGAGCATTAAGAGGATTAATAAGGACATATCTGTGGTGGGCATAGTGTCCTCTTCCCAGCACCCACTCTGCTGTAGCTGTATAAGGCTTTAACCAGTGAATAAGAAACTCCATCTCCTCCACAGTGAATTGCTAGGTATGGGCAGACCTGAACCAATGTGGGTCTCTCCTATTAGACAAGCGTATGGAAGCACAAAGCCCCAGCTTCTTCTACTGGCATCTGCAAAGCATAGGACAGAAAGGCAGAAGGAATGTCAGAACTCGGTCAATATCATTGAGGCTCTGCATGAATCAGTGAAAGTTACCAATCTCTAGACTCCAAGTTATGTGTTGTAATGCGTTCTTTACTATGTAACTCCATTTGAATAGGGTTTTATGATATTTGCAGCTGAAAGTATTCATACTGATACAAAGCTGTATATAAAGCTGTATATACTTACCATAGTGCCCAGCACAGAGTAAGCTCTTGAAAATTGTTAGCTATTGTTATGATTCTATTATTATTATTGTACACAGTGTGCAAGGCACATACAGACCCTTGCTGGCAACAGCATCAATCCAAAAGAGGGACAAAGAATGAGACGTGTCTTTATAGTAGGTTGTAAAACAACATTTAATAATCTCATTTAACTGTAACCAGGCAACAGGAAAGGTTTTTTTTTTCTTCCCCTCGCCCCTCATTTCATGCAGAAAAAAAGAGGAAAATCTGAAGAAAACCAGCTGATTTAAAGGAATTAGTGAACCTTCATTTTAAAGGAATTAGTGAACCTTCATTAGCGACAATCCCCAGGCCATGCCTTAGCTCCCATACAGCTTCAGCACCTCCCCTCTTCCTTGACCTTTATATTTACACAATAGGGAGAATAATAGCACACCCGCTGGAGGACCAGGGCTGCAGCAAATGGTATCTTTGTGTTTGTTTCTCTTCGTTTTGAGAAGCTTTAAAAATACAGAAAAAGGCAAAGAACAATATAATGAGCACTCTTGTTCTCATACTGCTGGTTTTACTTCAGTTAATAAAATAAAAATTATAAAAAAATGTTTGAAGACTCTGGCCATTTCTTTCTCTCTAGAGACCACTTTTAACTTGAGTTTGATTCATTTATTTCAGCCAGTTTTTTCATGGACTCATTTACAGAATATATTATTTTATCTGTACTTTTTAAAATTTGTATACATGGAAGATTATAGCTCTAAAATATGCCCTTTTCATTGAGTACTAGGTTTTTAGATTTATCCCTGTTGATACATATAAATCTAGTTTGTTATTTTCATCAGTACAGTGTTTTTAATATATTTTAATTTATCCATTATCTTGTTAATGGACACTTGGTTATTTTCCTTTTTTTTTTTTTGCCATTATAAGGATGGCAGTAATGAACGCTCTTCTATGTTACCCATATCTTTAGATCTCTTTCATACTGAAATCTATCTAATGCATAAAACATTAAACTCATCAACACATTTATTAAGCGTAGTTGGTATTAGTGTCAAAAATTAGACAGGGGAATCTTAATTGATATCCCCAGACTTACACTGGGGACCCGATCTATAGTTTAAAAAGTTGTCAGTGCAGTTAAGAGTAAATATATGTAAGGCCGGGCGTGGTGGCTCATGCCTGTAGTCCCAGCACTTTGGGAGGCCGAAGCAGGCGGATCACGAGGTCAAGAGATCAAGAACATCCTGGCTAACACAGTGAAACCCCGTCTCTACTAAAAATACAAAAAAAAAAAAAGAGTAAATATATACATACCCAAGAAAGCAGAGCCAATCGGGTGCCTGTAATCTCAGCTATTCGGGAGGCTGACGCAGGAGAAGCACTTAAACCCAGGAGGCAGAGGTTGCAGTGAGCTGAGATCACGCCACTGCACTCCAGCCTGGGCGACGGAGCAAGACTTCTTCTCAAAAAAAAAGAAAGCACAGCCAATAATGCAAAGCAGGAGGCAGGAGATGATAAGTAGCAAATTAGAAGTATAGTCAATACTGTTAGAATTTAGAAGAAATGAGATTGAAGTAAGGTGATCAGGAAGCAGAATGTTGTTCTGGATCTTGAAGGATAAGTTTCAACAGGCAAAAGTGGGGAGGCTATTCAAGGCAGGGTTAGCAATATGAGCAAGGGTCAAGAGGTGGGAAGCATTGTAACGCTGAAGCCTCAGGTGAGAGGAGATACCAGAGCTCCACTTTGTTCCTTCCACTCTGGGAGCACTGACACATCTGTTTGGTCAGATTCCAGGACAATAACAAGTCCAGGCTTTGTTGATGGGTAGGAACATTGTAACTCTTAATAGTTGATGCCTTGGGATGTGGCACTCTCTTCTACCTTGTCTCTCCAGGTGGCTGGATGGGCAGGTCACAGATGGCCTGGGCTTGGGAAGACCCATCTTGCCTGCTTTCATTTCTCTTTGGTATTTGGCATTTGGGTACTCTGCCTCATTCACATTAGGTCAATGGTGACAATTGCTAAGCTTTTCTTCATTTTTTCTTTTCTTTCTTTTTTTTTTTTTTTTTTTTTTTTTTTGAGACAGAGTCTTGCTCTGTTGCCCAGGCTGGAGTGCAGTGGCATGCTCTCAGCTCACTGCAAACTCTGCCTCTCAGGTCCAAGTGATTCTTGTGCTTCAGCTTCCCAAGTAGCTGGGATTATAGGCATGCACCACCACACCTGGCTAATTTTTATATTTTTAGTAGAGATGGGGTTTCACCATGTTGTCCAGGCTGATCTCTAACTCCTAGCCTCAAGTGATCTGCCCACCTCAGCCTCCCAAGGTGCTGGGATTACAGGCATGAGCCACCGTGCCTGGCCTGTTGCTAAGCTTTTAGTTTGGGCTTAGAGAAGGAAGAGGTCCCTTGCAGGCCTCAGGCCTTAGCCCTAGTTCCAGCTTGGTTTATTAGTCAGTGCCGTAAATTGGTATACAACTTGACAGAGAAATTTTGTGTGGAAGATAAAAGAAATTGATGTGAAAGGGTAGGTTTTGGGTCAGATTGTGGTGAGCATTGATGTCAGACTGTGGAGTCTGACTGATTGCCGGAAACAATTAGGTGCCACTAAAGATTTTTAAGCAAGAGAGTATGGGATCAAGGAATGTTCTAGAAAGATCAGTCTGAGTTAGGGGAGAGTGATTTAAGACGCCATGGAGAAACCCAAATGAGTGATTAGCTAAAATTCTATTTCTGGACGAGGCAGTAGAAATAAGAAAAAAAGAAGAAACAGAAAAAGAAGGAGAAGGAGGAGGAAGAGTAAGATGAAGAGGAGGAGGAGGAAGAGAAGGAGAAGGAGGAAGAGGAAGAAGAAGGAGGAGGAGGAGGAGGAAGAGGAGGAGGAAGAGGAAGGAGAAGAAGAAGAAGAGGAGGAAGAAATGGCTGTGAGAAATCGAGAATTGTCAGGACTTGCTGAATAATGGATATGGAAGATGGTGGTACGAAGAAATGATCTGGATGTTTTTAAGCTAGGTAACAGATAATCAGCACAAGTCAAAGAAGAGATCTGGGATTCATGGCTATTGAGTTTGAGTCACTCACATTTTAGTCAGAAGTCAGATGATAACATCCAATAGGCTGTGAGAAATGTGAGCCTGGGGCTGAGGACAGGTGGGGAGATATGGGGTAATGATGAGTGGAGAAGTATCTGTAATGTTACCTAGTTTTTTTTACATATTCCACGTAAAATGGCTACCCTTTTGGAGTGCTGACACCATGTCTGTGAGCCACCATTCTAAGCTTTTTATGTACACTGATTCACTTAATCCTTACAGCACAATTTGAGGTAACTACTGTTGTTATTCCAATTTTGCAGGTGAAGAAACTGAGGATTACAGAGTTTAAGTGTTTGGCCAAGGCCCCAAAGCTCATAAGTGGTCGATGGGGATACAAAACCATGTAGTCTGGTGTGAGAATCCTAACTAACCCTCAATACTCAGGCAGCTTGTAAATTACACAAACCAGTTATAGCCCTTGGAAAATTTACTGTTGCTAAATATCACTGTCTTCTCTGGATGTTATTAAAAAGTAGAAAAGCAAGAAAATGCAACTATTTAAAAGATTACTCAAAGAAAATAATCTCTTCTTTTGATCAGTGTAGATAACAAGTAGTTGAAAGAGGTTAGAATAAGTTATTTTGTAGGTATTATTTCTTCCTCTCCAAAGGCCGTCAAAAGCCCTCTTATCCCTGCAGGCCTGGAATAGGTGAAATGGTGCATCTGCATTTTTCTGCCAAGGTTTGTTTCTGTGTCTAATAGCCCTGTTAGACCCTATAGGGCTGTGTACTTCCTGGTACCTTTTTAGGAGTTTAATATAACGTTTTATTGAATAAAGGAATAAATACTTAACTGACCATTTTCACATGTGCTATAGGATATCCCAAACCTTGGATATGTCTCAGGGAAAGCTTCCTATAGTTGATGATACTCAAGCTGAGTTTTGAAGGATGAATTTGAACTAGCTGGGAAAAGCTAGAACAAAAGGTTTCTGGGCTGATGGACTAGCCTATGCAAGAAAGGACATGGCAGGCAATAAAAAGCAAAAATAGACAGATGGGATTACATCCAACTAAAATGCTTCTGCACGGCAAAGGAAACAATCAGCAGAGTGAAAAGACACCTATGAAATAAGAGAAAATATTTTCAAACCATACGTCTGATAAGGGGCTAATATCCAAAAGGCATAAGGTACTCAAATAATGCAACAACGAGAAAACAATCCAATTAAAAATGGATGAAGGACCTGAATAGACATTTCTCAAAAGAATAAAAACGGCCAACAGATATATGAATATATGAAAAAATGTTCAACATAACTGATCATCAGGGAAATGCAGATTAAGACTACAGAGAGATATCACCTCACACCTGTTAGAATAGCTATTAGCAAAGGAAACATAAATAATGGCAGAGATGTGAAGAAAATGATGGCAGATTTGCACACTGTTGGTGAGAATGTAAATTGGTAGAGCCAATTTATGGAAAACAGTATGGAGGTGCCTCAAAAAATTAAAAATAGAACCACCCTATGATCCACTACTGAGCATATATCCAAAGGAAATGAAATCAGTATGTCAAAGAAAGTTCTGTACTCCCATGTTCATTACAGCCCTATTCACTATAGCCAAAATATGGAATCAACTTAAGTGTCCATCAACAGATGAATAGATAAAGAAAATCTGGTACATATGCACAATGGAATACTATTCAGCCTTGAAAAAGAAGACATTCTGCAACACATGACAACATGGATGAACCCGGAGGACATTATGTTGAATGAAATAAGCCAGGCACAGAAAGACAAATATCATATGGTCTCCTTCATATGTGGAATCTAAAAAGTTGATCTTGTATAAGTAGAAAGTGTAGAATGATGGTTACCAGAGTCTGAGGTGGGAGGGAGGGATTGGGAGATATTGGTCAAAGGACACAAAATTTCAGTTAGATAGGAAGAATAAGTTCAAGAGATCTATTGTACAACGTAGTCACTATATTTAGTAACAATGTATTGTATTCTTGAAAATTGTGAAGACAGTAGATTTTAAGTGTTCTCACCGCAAACAAATAAGCATGTGAGATGAGGCATAAGTTCGTTAGCTGGATTTAACCATTCTACATTATTTGCATATTTGAAAGCATGAGATTGTACACCATAAACATATACAATTTTTATTTGTCAATTAAAAAAGAGAGGGGGGTGCATGGCATGTACAGGGAGCTGCCAGCCATCAGTGGAGCTGGAGGAGAGAGTGCACCAAGTGAGGCAGAATGTGAAACTGAAGAGTCACAAGGGGGCCACACCGCAAAAACTTACTTGCTGTGAGGAGGAGTTTGGACTTTGTCCTGAGAGCAGTGGAGAGCTGTTGAAAACCTTTTTTATTCTTCCTATTGAAATTTCTTCTTTTCCAGATTTGTAAAAATTAAGGAATAGCATACATGTGAGAAAGTGCACAAATCTAAAGTTTGACTAAAGTTAGACAGTTCCAGATAATCCAGGCCAAGTTGTTCATCCTATCTAAAGTGTACCACTTAATTTTTAAGTATATATACACCATGTACACACCACCCAAATCAAGTCTCAGAAGGCTTCCTCGTGCCTTCTACTAAAGTGACCACTATTCGAAAAATCTCTCACCATGAATTGGTTTTGCCTCTTTTTGAACTTCATATAAATGGAATTATACAGTACGTTCTTTGTTGAGTCTAGTTTTTTCATTCAACTTTATGTCTGCAAGATTCATCTTTGTTTTTGCTGTACTTTTTTTTCTTTTCATTGTTGTGTAATATTTCATTGTAAGACCATATTTCAATTTGTTTATTCATTGATCTGTTAACAGGTGTTTGGATTGAGTCCAGATTTTGCCAATTATTAATAAAGCTGTTATAAATATTCTTGCACACATCTTTAGTGGGTGTATGTGCTCATTTCTGTAGGGTAAATACCCAGGAGTGGAATTGCAGGTTATAGGGTATATGTAAGTGTGCTTTTAGTGGCAACTGGAAAATGTATCCCAAAATGGCTGTGCCGTTTTATACTTCTACCAACAATTTAGAGAGTTCTTATTTTTCCACATTCTCATCAACCCCTGGTCTTGTCTGTCTTAAATTTTAGCTATTTTACTGGGTGTGAAGTCATATCTTGCGGTTTGAGATTGCATTTTCCTAATGACTAATGATGTTGAGAATCTGTTTACTGGCCATTTATATATATTTTGTTAAATGTCTGTTCATGTCTTTTGCCCATTAAAAAATAGGGTTGTTTGCTTTTCATGGTTATTAAAGAGTTGTTTATGTATTCTGGACACACATCCTCTGCCAGATATATTTATTGCAAATATTTGTTTACAATCTGTGACTTGCCTTTTCATTTTCTTAATAGTACATTTGAAGAGCAGAAGGAAGAGTTATAATGTATCAATTTTTTTCCTATACTAAGTGTTTTCTGGCTTTGTCTAAGAAATTATTGCTTAACATACAGATATGGAATTCTTTGTTTTTTTCTGGAAGTTTTATGTTTTCTTTTTTGCATTTAGATTTATGAACTATCTTAAACTTTTGTAATAGTTTGCAATAGGAATTTAGATTCTGTTTTTTCATATAGATATCATGTTGTTTCTGCACAATTAGTTAGAATTCCACATTGAATTTTCTTGAAGCTTTTGTCAAAAAATCAACTGGCCATATATGTGCAGATCTATCCATGAACTCTACTGGGTTTCATTGAGCAATTTGTTGATCCTTATGCCAATACCACACTGAATTGATTGCTATAATTTTATAGTAAGTCTCAAAATCATGAAATGTAAGTCTTCCAAATATGTTCTTTGTCTTTCAAAATGGTTTTGACTACTATATAGTCGAAATGGTTTTGACTATATTCTGTGCATTTCTATGTAAATTTTAGAATTCTGGTAATTTCTACAAAAAAAACCTACTGGGGTTTAGAATGAGATTGCATTTTCTCTGTAGATCAATTTGGAAAAAAATTGACATCTTAATAATAATAATATTGAAAGTATATATGTCTTCCAATCTATGAACTTGGTATATTAACCCATTGATTTACAGCTTAAAAATGTCTCTGAATAATGTTTTATAGATTTTGTGCATCTTATGTTAGTTTTATCACTAAACAATTGGGGTATTTTATGCTATTATGAAATGAACATTTGAAATTTTTTTCATTTTCTGATTGTTTGTTGCTAGTATATATAAGTGATTTCTATCTCTTGACCTTGTGTAGAGTGATATCGTTAAATTATTTATTATTTTTAATAGTTTTTCTATTGATTCTTTTGAATTATTTATGTATACAATCATGTAGTCTGTAAATAATGTTTGTTTTATTTTTTCCTTTTCAATTTTTATACCTCCTTTTTGCTAAGCTTATTGTACTGGCTTGGATCTACAGTAGCATATTAGTGACAGTGGTGATGGTGAACATCTTTGCTTTGCTGCTGAACTCAGGGATAAGCACGTAATATTTTATTATTAAATATATTTGCTATAGAACATTTCCTTTTAATCTTAGTTTGCTGATAATTTTTATCAAGAATGAATGTCTTGTCAAATCCTTTTTCCTACACTACTGAGATAATTATGTGATTTTTTCCATTATTCTATTAATATGGTGAACTACATTGATTTTTGAATGTTAAATCAACCTTACATTATTGGAATATAACCATTATGTGTTATCTTTTTATATATCACTTGGTTTAATTTACCAAAGTTTTGTTTAGGATTTTTCCATCTATGTTCATACATAAGATTGGTCTGTGATTTTTTTTTCTTGAAATGTCATTCTGAGGCATTCACCTAATGAAAGTAATGCTAGTTTTATTAAACAAGTTGAGAATTATTCATTATTTTTTCTTTTTCTTTCTCAGAAGAGTTTGTGTAAGAATAGTATTATTTTTTAAAATAAAAATTTGGAAGAATTCATTTGTAAAGTCATTTAATCCTGAAATTTTTTTGTAAGAGTGTTTTTAACTAGAAATCCAAATTATTTATCAGATAAGGAAATATTCTACTTATTTTTCTATTAATTTTAGAAAGTTTTGCTTTTCAAGGAACTTGTACATTTCCCTAAATTGTCACATTTATTGCCACAAAGATATACACTTAAATCCAAATATATCAGTACTTACAGTAATTGTAAATAGACTGAGCACTGAACTTAAAGAAAATTTTTAACAGTTATTAAAAAGTAAAACCCAATTAAATATGTTTATAGAAGATAAACTTTACATATAAGGATACAGAAAGACTGACAGTAAAAAGATGGAAAAAGATATACCATGCAAAGCAAAGACTGGTGTAGCTATATTAATTTCAGACCAAAAAAAGACTTTAGTCAAGAAATATTACTAGAGGTCATAATATTAATAAAATTCGTAACTAACTCTCTAGATTAATATAATAAAGAAAAGAGAATTTACCCTTTTGTCATAAATTTTTATTATGGCAAAAAGGTAAGTCCAACAGAAAGATTTAATGGTTTTAAGTTGTATAAAATGAATAACAGCTTCAAAGTATGCTTTTTGCTTTAGCTTTAGCTTTTGTTTTAGCTTTAGCTTTTGCTTTAGCAAAAGTTGATAGATTAAAAGAAACAGACAAATGTATAATCATAACTGAAGATTTTAACATACCTCATAGAACGAAAAGAAAAAATTATTAAGGAAATAGAAGCTTGAACAATATGATTAGACAACTTAATTGAACATTGCATCAAACAACTTCAGAATACATTCTTCTCAAGTTCATATGGAATATTTATTAAATACCATGTGTTGGGCTATTAAACAAAGAGACATTACTATAGACACTACAGATATGAAAGAAAATAAGATTATATTATGAACAATTTTATGCTAATACATTTTACAATGTAGAAGACTGGCTTTTAAATATTGAGTATCCTTTCAGAAGGATTACTCTGGCTGCAGTGTGGAGAACAGATTAGATGGGGGCAAGACCAAGGCAATGAGAATGTTAGGAGTCTACTGCAACAATCTAGGCAAAGATAATGGCGACCTATACAAGGAGGTGGTGGTAGGGGAACTGAAGAAAGAATCAAATGAAAGAGTGAATAATAAAGGACAGCTGAGGCTCAATGATTAAGGAACATTGCAAGACGTTGATTCAAATAATATTTATTGAGTATCTAGTATGAGCCAAGTACTGGTTACAATAGTCAGCAAGTATAAATATGGTTCCTCTCTTAGTGATGATGCTTATCTATGATTGGCATCAGAACCAGAAGTTGTACCTTACAGTCCTAACTTTAGTTTCAGGCCTAGGTGCTTTCCACAAGATACAGCAGCTCAGATCTCTCCTCTGTTATACAACTTGCTTTAACAGTTGCAATATTCTCGTATCTGCCTTTTTCAACCACCATAATGGTCAGGTTCTTCCAGGCAGCTGTTATTGATCTTAAAATGTTATAAGATTAAGCTGAGTCCTCATAAATTTCATTGGTTTGGCTCAAAGTTACATATACTAGGAAATGGCTATTCCAAAAATCAATATGCTTTCCTTTTAAAATGGAGAGGGGTTCTTTGTCATAGTGGTGTTTGCAATCTGTTGGCCACTAGCGCCTTCTTCTTGAGATAGGTCAGGCCAAGGTTTGATGAAAACAGCTTCTCCAAGCCACTGTAATCACCTTTGTTGAAAGCAGGGAATATGAAAAGTCTGGCAGCCTGGATTCATCTGGTTTGCTTTTTGTTTCTCCTCTGAACTATACAGAATATTGCAGTGGGAACATTTTTGAAAAGAAGAAATCAAGGCTCAGAGAAATAGTTATTTGCAATGTCATCCAGCTACTTGCACGTAGACCCAGAACCAGAATCCAGGACTTTCCCGCACTCTTTTATCTAATACCAGCACATCTGCATGACAGCATTGAGAGCCAGGGGTCTATCTAGTTCTCACTTGTTTTATATTTTGGAAAAATAAAACTTTAGCTTTTGTTCCAAATGACTATTTATTTCCAGTTCAAATCCTCCTCTCTATTCAAATCCTGTGTTGGCTCTCCACCATTGTCTCTGGCTGAAAGGAGGCCAGAACCTGAGCTATGCAAAGTAGGAGAAGTAGGTGCTATTTGAGATGATTTCAAGGACTCTGGGAAGGGCCTTATTCTTTCCACCTCCTTTTAGAAATCCAAACTTTCTAAAACAAAAATTTTCATTACATAAGAAGAGCTAAAGCCTGTGTTACAAATGCCTCTGGAAAGGGAAAGGGAAAGACCTCAACTGACACTGAATAGCAAATAATTGGCCTTGAACTCCTTCCTGGTCCCATTTTTTGACAGTCAGAAGAGAATATAATGCAAGGGCACTGGATGTGTTAGGAAGGATAGAAAGAAGTTTGCTGAGCTAGAAGAAAGGATAGAGGAAGTGTGTGTGTTGGAGGAAGAGGGAGCCTTTGGGGTGGAAGCAGGAGCTTGTCTACAATGTCAACTCTACATATCACAGCTTGGTTCTGCCTGGTCCTATCTGTCAGTCTGAGGTGCCCACATCCTAATGCTGGACCTGAATATACTGAAACACTTCCATTCTGGGTGCCAGCAACAAGGAATATGGGGCAGGGAAATGTCTTCAAGCCAGTGAGCACCCAGCCAGTTGTTCACCAGAGAGGGATCCCCACGCTTATGGCAATTAAGCCTTGTGATTAGTTCTTGGTTATTGGAATTGCCATGAAAATTGTTTATGTGAGGATTTTTTAGGGCAAACTCCTGTGCATGATACTATAATGGGTTATACACATCATTAAACATTTGCCCAAACCTACAGAATGTACAACTCCAAGAGTGAACCTTAATGTAAACTATGGACTTTGAGTGATACTGGTGTGTCAAAGTAGGCTCATCCATTGTAGCAAAGGTACCATTCTGGTGCGGAATGTTGACAAACTGGGGAGGCTATGCATGTGCTAGGGCAAGGAATATATGGGAAATCTCTGTACATTCTCCTCAATTTTGCTATGAACCTAAAACCGCTGAGATCCTGAATGAGATCATGTCCTTTGTAGGAACATGGGTGAAGCTGGAGGCCATTATACTAAGCAAACTAATACAGGAACAGAAAACCAAACACTGCGTGTTCTCACTTATAAGTGAAAACTAAACACTGAGTGCACATGGACACAAAGAAGGGAATAGTAAACACCAGGGCCTACTTGAGGGTGGAGAGTGGGAGGATGGTGAGGATAAAAAAAACTACCTATCAAGTACTATGCTTATTACCTGGGTAATGAAACCACCTGTGCCCCAAACCCCTGTGACACGCAATGTACCTGTGTAACAAACCCACACGTGTGCCCCGAACCTAAAATAAAAGTTACAAAAGAAATAAATAAAAAATAAGGTCTATTTAAAAAATATGTGTGCATGGTGGACTGGCTGGGAGTTCCTGCAGGAACACAAAGTGGAGGCGGCAGGGTGAGGCGCTTTGAGGGCTGGATAGGAATGAGGAAATCTGTGCTGTCATCCAGGTTCTGCTAAGTGTGGGCCCCTGGCCTCTGTTTCTTCATCTGTAAATGAGGAGGATGGGCTTAGGGGCCCACAGCCGCCTTCTGATCTAGGATTTTATAGTCTCCAGGTAATATATTTTTCCAGATTCTATCTTCTTGAGAGAAACACTATCCCTAGGAATAAAGGGATACCTGGGTACAAAGAAAGGACCTGTTTTCTCATTTGAGACCCTCAGGGCTCCCTCCAGTATAGAGGTTTGCTCCAGATTCAAGGGGGCCTGTGTGTTCTGGCCCTTCCTCAGAGTAGGTGCGGGGGCTGCTCATTGGGTGGTAGAATCTTTTCTGTGCCTCCCAGAATCCAACCTCTCAGCTGGAAGAATCACTTTCCTCCCAAGAGGAGCTTCGGCCATCAGCCCAAGCCCAGGACCCTGACAAAGAGGTAGGGTGTTGATTTTCTGGCAGGAAGGCTGTGTCACTTCAGCTTGCTGGACTGTTCCTCCTGTCTTCCCTTCTCACTCTGCCTGCCCAAGAGGCCACCCATGGATCAGCACGAGCTTCAGAGAAGATGTGTTTGTCTTCCTTTTGCAGCTCACAGCAAACAGTGATTCCACTCAAAGCAGAATGTTATTTTAATATCAGTTGGTGGTTCTATGTCTCTCACCTATGCCTTGGGACTCAGCCTGCACCCCATTCCCTCACCAGATTCCAGGACCTCAGCCTCTCCAAGAGAGTGGCAGACCCCAGCTCTGGGGCGTCTGCTGGGTGAGATTTCAGGTCACCATCTCTCATATTCCCTTCGAATTCAGATCACTATCTGCTTGGTCTCCTGTACCATGCTAGTTTGAGAGAGACAGGCGTTAGGAACTCTGGCAGTTTCTAAGCCTTTAATCAGCAAAAGCATTTGATGGAATCAAGCAAATTTTCAAGGTTTTCCTCCTGCTTATCCAGCAGAACACCAAGCCTCAGCCCCTCCATTCTGGACTGCAGCAGGCTTGGCTACAGAATGCTCTGAGCAGCTGCTTGCTGCCTCACTGCAGGGATCAAGCCCATCTATTTAGTGCCCCCTTGTCATTGGAAGAGTAATTTATTTCCCTCACTCTCTTTCATTCAAACCGCTGCCCACATCTTTCTTTTCCTTCTAAGTGTTTTCATTCCTTTTCCCCCTCTTCTGCCTAAGCAACCTTTTCCCACCTTCCTCTGCCTAAGCACTTAACTATGGGCTACTCCTGGGATATATGAGATGACTGATAGAGATTCAAGGAGTTTAAATCAGACCAGAGTATTACAAACACACACTCCCATGCTCCCCCCACCACCCTGCCGACTAGCCCTGGACAATGGCATTGGAGGTGTAAACACTAGACCAGCAATCTGTCTTCAGAAGAAGGGATTCCCAGGTTCCTTTCCTCTCCCCTCTGGGAATTTCCCACAGAAGCAGGGAGCCAAGCTAAGGACAGACTGCACAATTTTGCCCTTTGCCTTTCCTGGAGGTCTGTAGCTTGGTGGCTGGAAGTTGAAAAGGATCTTATTACATAAAAAAGAGCAATTGTCCATCCAAAGTTAGGGGAGTGGTTTGCTATGTATTAGGTTGGTGTGAAAGTAACTGTGGTTTTTGGTAGTACTTTTAATTGCAAAAACCGCAAATACTTTTGCACCAGCCTAATACATAAAAATGAGGACAATTCAGCCGTCAGGAAGGACTTTCTTTCCAGGTAGCTGGCCAGGCTTTGTCCTCACTCACTACTTGATCTGAGCTGGGCAGCAGCTGGTGCTCTGGGCCCTGAGGAGAGTGAAAGCCCTTGGTGGTGCAGCCCTGGGCACCAGATGAATCAATAGAGAAGAAGGCCAGGCTTTTTTCTGGTCACTTTCTTCTCCAGTCTGTTCTAGGTCATGGGAGAGACCAGAACTGTGGCACAAAGTTCATGAGATACCAGCAAGGAGCTCATTGGCTGGAGGAAAATTGTCAAAGCTATTAGGGATGTGATGTGGTGTGTGTGTGTGTGTGTGTGTGCGTGTGTGTGTGTGTGTGTGATGTATCTGTGCCCGTGAGGGAATGCTTGCAATATTAGTGACTTTTATTTTAGGGTGATGGAATGTATTGAAAACATTTTCTTTGTTCTTTCTTCTTACACAGAGATAGACTCATGGATGTGCACTCTCTTACACATTCTCTGTCAAGAAAACCGTTCTTCTTTCTGTATGTCAATCAAATGGGGCCTTCCGGTGTCTCTAATTCAATATCTTATTTCCCTTAAGATCTGGAGAGAAAGCTCTGATATAACCTCTGGAGCATAAGAGGATGCAGAGAAATTTGCAGCAGCTTCCTCCTCTGCCATCTCTTCTCCCTCAATGGCCCTCCAAGGAGCCATGAAAGAGAAGAGCGTGAAGCAGTCTGGTGAGCTGAGAGCTGAATGCAGAGTTCACCCTGGAGTCAGGCCAGGCAAGCTAAATGGCTGAAGCCCTACCTGGGCAGCTTAGGCTTGTGGTGAGAGGGTGGCAGGGTGAGGGACAAGTGAGGCTGCTTCACCCCAGAAGAAAGTCCTGCAGGCAGGTCAACATGGTGGCACCTGCAGAAGCGGGCTTCTGTGCCACCGTCCTCCATTCTTGGCCTCTACTTGGCATTCTGAATCTCCCCTTCCCCTGCCACAGTCCAGCAAAATAGCTCTCAGTAAATCAATAATTTCCAACCTACTAAAAATGAAAGCCAATCTATTCTTTCTCCAAGGGTTATTTGCATTGTAAGCCTGAGCCCCAGTTACTAAATAAAAGCCATTTCACCTTCTAAAGGAACAACACACATCAGCTCAGAGATAGGAGAGAAATTGCAGGAGCAAGAGTATCTTTTAGACTTTACAACTTCAGTTTACTTCCAACCCCCGTCCCACTCAGAAGAGGACTAGGAGGCTGCTTCCAAGGTTTGGCTTTTCAAGTTGGGAAACTCTCCTCCGATTGCCATCAACAGTATCTGAAATTGTCACCATTTATCTCTTAAGGTTAAAGCATTTCTTTAACCTTCTCATTACTCTTCTCATAACTCTTTAACCTTAACTCATTCTTTAAAGTCACAGTTTCCAGAACCATTACCTTGAAAAGGAGCAATTCAGTGCTTGGACAAGAGACCATTCATTTTCACATTGTAGACATCTCAGACCTGAATGGGACACCAAGCAAGCTAATTTCAATGGGCAGAAGGGGAAAGAGGTTTAAATTGAAAGTCAGGAGACCTGAGTCCATGAAGAGCTACATGGACCCTTATCCTTTACATCCCCATCTGTAAAATAAAATATCACCTGTTTTTCACAGAGCTGTTGTGAGACTCAAGAGAGAAAGTGCATGTGAAAGAACTTTTAAAATGGTAAGTCCCATAAAAATGTAGGCTGTGGTAACACTTGAATTTGTGAGATATAACGTCTTCCTTGTGCTGATTGGTCCCAAGGCACTGGGCCTGCAATTCAGGTACCTGCCACTAGAGGGACAGTGTTGTCATTAGCCTGCAAAAATCCTATACAGTCCACACTTCTTTGGCACTTCCTGCTGATGTCTAACAGCAGTTGTCCAGATGTTTCCATGCATGCTGGGACCCCAGGCTTGGCTAACAACCCCTTCACAACAAGTATAAACTTCATTTGCTCCACATCAGGCACTTGGTATTAAGTCTATATTTCCTCTTAGAACCTTCTACTCCCTGAAAGTGGTTAAGGAAACCAAGAGTAAATGAATTTTTGTGTGTGTGTGTGTGTTTGTGTTTGTTTGTTTGTTTGTTTGTTTGAGACAGAGTCTCGCTCTGTCGCCCAGGCTGGAGTGCAGTGGCGTGATCTCGGCTCACTGCAAGCTCCGCCTCCTGGGTTCATGCCATTCTCCTGCCTCAGCCTCCTGGGTAGCTGGGAGTACAGGCGCCCGTTACCACGCCCGTCTAATTTTTTTTGTATTTTTAGTAGAGACGGGGTTTCACCGTGTTAGCCAGGATGGTCTCGATCTCCTGACCTCGTTCTCCGCCCGCCTCGGCCTCCCAAAGTGCTGGGATTACAGGTGTGAGCCAACGCGCCCGGCCTAAGAGTAAATGTTTTTAATAAGTCAAGCCTGGACTCTTTCTGGACTCTCTCTATTGTCACTCTGACAAATCAAGTTTACTTACATCCTGAAAATCAGGCTGCTAGTGCCATCCTGCTAATGTTTTCACAAAGCCAGACTGTTCTGTCTTCGGTGACCATGTTAATAGGCTAGACTTTCTTTAAGCTTTCCCCAAGTGCATCCAAAATAGCCCAGTCCGCAGCAGTTAGTGCCAAAATGCAACATCACAGGTCACCGCATCCTCTATCTATTTGCCAACACTTGTGTCTCATTTTAGAAGAGAAAAATTGTTAGTGTGATACAAGCAATAAGCCCTGAAACCCATCCCCCATGGGGTTTGGCTTTAATGGCAGAAAATGAGGAGAAACTTTTAAGCCAATTGATGGGATGCAGGACTCAGAAAACTCTGGGAGTTGCCAGAGTCACAGGGTTAGATCCCAACTCAGACGCATGCAGGAGATATTCCAGCTCCTTTCTCTGACTTTGGAACCAGCTTTGGGTACTAAGAAAATTCAGTGATCTTTTACTCTATTTTCAGTTTCCTTCTTTACTTCATTTCTATGCTTCCCTGTCTCCAGAGAGTTGGGGATAGGGGTGCCATTACTCTCATAGTTTCCTTCCTGCCTGAATACTGGGTTCGGAAGAGTGGGCTCCTGAAGTCTGTGCAAAGGCTAGACTCATTTAGAGTGGCAACCAGGTGCTGGTCTTCTAAAAGATGCCCTTTGGGTAGGAGCTGAATGTGAAACTGAGGTCTGTGGGGCTAAGCTGAGGACTCCCTCATCAGGAAAGCTCTGCCTGAAGTCCTAGATATCTGCTGCATGTCTGTAGAGTAGAGGTGGAGACCCTTTTTCTAAGAGGGGAAACCAAGCAGTACTTTGCCTCTGGTTTCTTTCAGAACAGACAAGGTCCCAGACCTATGGGCACTCAGCCCCAGCCTATGTGTTGCCACTTAATGGGCCTCCTAAAATGTCCCTCTAACTTCCAGGGAGGCGTCCTTGAAGAATCAGATCCACAGTGGACATGGGGGTAAGGGAAAACAAACATTCCCTTTTAGGGCCGTCACAAAATAAAGCCCAGCTGCTCCAGGATCTGTCTTTCTGTGCAGGTAGTAAGCACCAGCCACAGATGTCCAAAAAAAGGATGTCAAAGCTTCATCAACCATTTGTATCTTAATAAAGTTCGGGAACTAAGATACTAAAAGAATGACACCCAGTACTAGGGGATAAAAGAAAAACAAAACTGGAGGCTGAGATGTAAGATCTTTTGCAGAAATCACTAATTTATGTATTTATTTGTTTGTTTGTTTATACATATATACATGCATATAGGCACCTCCTTGTTCCACATTGAATTGATTCACTTATTTATTCAAATATTTATTGAGCACCTGCTGACATTGTAAGCAAAACCAGACACAAACACTACCCTAGTGGAGTTTACAGTCTTGTGGGGGGAACAAATATTGACACCAAATCACACAAATAGCACAATGATAATAAACTGATAGGCACAGTGTAGGAAATGCAGAGATCCACAGAGGTGTGGCATGTGGGAGTCAGTGTGCAATGTGCTAATGAGAGTGGATGGTTACATTTTTAAGGATGCTGTGAGCCTTTAAATGCAGACACTATTGAAAATTAAATTATAGTCCAGGCGCGGTGGCTTACAACTGTAATCCCAGCACTTTGGGAGGCCGAGGTGGGTGGATCACTTGAGGTCAGAAGTTCGAGATCAGCCTGGCCAACATGGTGAAACCTGGTCTCTACTAAAAATACCAAAAAAAAAAAAAAAAATACATGCATTAGCTAGGCATGGTGGCCTGTGCCTGTAGTCCCAGCTACTCTGGAGGCTGAGGCATGAGGATCACTTGAACCCAGGAGGCAGAGATTGCAGTGAGTCAAGATTGCACCACTGCACTCCAGCCTGGGTGACAGAGCAAGTCTCCATCTCAAAAATATATATATTAAGTTATATATGCTAAAAATTACACGATTTATATTAAAAATGAGATACATATTTTAAACCCATTACTTCCTAATTATTTTACATTTTACTATTATCTATGCTTTTGAGGTTATTTATATTTTTTATGTCTGCATGTTGGAAATACTATAGAATGATGTTTTACTATGTCTGTCTTCCTAACTCTGTTGGACATCATGTTGATAGCTTAAAATTGGCCACGGTGGGAGTATTTATACCACAGATAAGAGCAAACAGTGGCTTTTGTTGTCCCAGACATCTGGCTGTTAAACATTTTCCAGCACACCACTGCATGACGCTGTGTGGCAGGGAGGGGTGACCTAACCTGAAGATAGCATGTGTGTAGACACGAACACCGGAAGTGTAGCAAATGCTGCTAGTTGTCCACCCACACTCATCCTCAGCTTGCCCTTTAAACAGCCACGGTTTTGTTCAGGCTGGCAATTTGCCCAGCTACGAAACCACATATCCTAGCCTCCCTTGGAGCTTGGGGTTGAAGCCACATGACCCAGCCCTGGCCAATGAGATGGATGTGGAATCTGCTGCCAATTTCTGGGAAGAGTTTTGCTTCTTGACGTGGGCACCGCCCCTTCCTCCTTACTGCTTCCTTCTTGTTCCTGCCTGCACTGCTGGCTGGAGGTGGAACAGCCATTTTGTGACTAGGAAGGGACCTCAAGGGTGAAACATGCCAAGAACAACAGCCAGGCAAAGACAGGAGGAGCTAGGACAGGGATGATTATGGAGCTGGCAGCCCCCCGGACTGCCCACCTCTGGGCCTCTTCTTAGGTGTAAAATAAACTCCTATTTGGTTAAACTACTCAGATGGGTCTCTTTACATGCTGCCAAGTGCAATCTCTTATTCAGTAGACTTTCCTGAAGAAGTGACGTTTGTGCTGAGTTGATGGGAAGAGGCAGGAGTTAAGCATCAGCTAAATGGGGCATTTATTTTGTGCCAAGTAAGCAGGCTTACTGTTTCCCAGCTCTCAGGTGTGCATGCCTGAGTTGACTTCTCCCTGCAAAAGATGCCTGGAATACGCCAGGTGAAAGGGAAGACCATGATGGGGTTGCTGAGGCAGTAGCAGTTTTGTTTTGTCCCTGGCGGATTCATATCATGGGTTAATTGGCAGTGGTGGTGGGTCCCTATACAAAAGGCTGGAAGGTGAATTCAGACTGGATCCAGCCAGTCGAGGCAGCACTAAACTGCAACCTCTCTTTCTCGCTTTCCCTACCCTGGTCCACAACAGCTTTCAAATCTTTCCAAATCCTCACCCCAGGACACGCTAGGCAGCCCTTTCCTGCCTGCTACGAAGCTGCTTTCCTAGGAAGGGGGCTTTTGAATTCAAGTGCAGAAAAATCTTCATATTAAAAAAAAAAAAAGCCTTCAACCGGTTGCTAGGGTTTTGTGTATCCTGCTTTAGGGAGCTTTCTCCAATGAAAGAGACTCGTCGCTATAGAAACTGCCACGTCACAGGACTTCTGTACAGCAGCGTCTGAGACTTAGGCTGCCTCTTCCAGGACAGGTTTTATATCAGAGCCCCTCTCACAGAAGTGTGTGCCTGGGACTGGGGAGGGAGAGGACCCTGGAATTGTCAGTGGCTTTAAATATCCCTCCCTCCCTTTCTTTCCTGCTCCCCACTTCTCTCTCCCTCCTGCCCCCCTCCATCTCTTCTTTCTCCTCCCTCTTCATTGCAAACAGAATGCAAAAGCAATTGCAGTAATACAGAGCATTTCTCTGTATGTCCACACTTCTTCTTAGCCATGGAAAGATGACGTTGCTACCACACCCATGCACATACACATGCACACACTCAGTTCTGGTAAGATAAATGGCAGCTTGGAAGGGACTCATTTGATGCAACACTCAATAATTCCATGTTTATGAGGACTCAAGGCTAACTCAAACCACTTGAGTCAAGCCCCTGAGTCAAAGCCCTTGAGTCAAGCCAAGGGAAGTTCACACTGAGGCAGTTGGAGGTGTGGGGGACCTTCTTCCTCTATTAAAGAGACATGCAAGGTCACGCATCTATCTTCTAGGCAAAGCTATTGTCTTCCCATATTAAAATACAGGTAGTCTTTGCCTTTTAAATAGGGTTATCATGTAGTTTATCATCCCAAGTGGGACATCTACAAGAGGAGCTGTTAGTAATTATACTAGGACAATGTCATATACCAGGATTGTCTGGGCAAATAAGGACATTTGTCTGATCCACTTGTAACTTGCAAACACATGCTTAACAAACGATGCACAAGAGAAAATGGCTTCCTGCCCCTCATCTTCCCTGAAGAGCTCACTGCTCCTGAAAACTGAGACATTTGGGGGATTGGAAGCTTTTGAATAACACGGGGGTTCAGAAGGAAAGAAAGAAATGAGTTGAAGGGTTAGCAGATTTTCGAGAAGATTCTTATATACATAATACTTCATACATGTGTATCTGAAGCATAAATACCCACTCCCGATAGAAGAGAGTGGCCATTTCCCCACACCCCCACCAACACACGTCTTCTTCAATCTTACAAGCCACAGTCTCTCTAATGTTCTTATAGAATGAAGTCATTCCTCTTATGTCTGGCTCCACCTGCTTTGCACACAGCCAGACTTATCTCCTCAAAAACTCAGTGCTGGCATGATGAAGACAAGCACAGTGACTTTAGGTCACCTTATGCCTCTGCGTGAGGAAGGTGCCAGAGCCACAAGACAGCAGGAGCTGGCTTCTTCCTAACGTGCTATAAAATCCCATAAGGCAAATCCCCCCACTACTTTTCTTTTTCAGAAATTCCAGCCTGTTCATGCTTGTTAATTTTCCCAAGCAAACGTTAGCATCAGCTAATCCCTTCACAGTTTTTTTTTTCTCCAAGTATCATCTTGAAGTATTTAACATAAAAGTTCATTTAGGGAGAAATGACACCTCTATGTTGTCTTCTTGTTATTTACATAAGAAATGCTTTATCTTTTCATTTAAGTCTCCTTTCATGTTAGAGTTTTGTTTTTGTTTTTGTTTGTCTGTTTTATAATACAGAGCCTTGAACCACAACTCCAGACAATCTGATTTCATATCTTTGGAGCTGGGTCAGGGAAAAGAGCATCAGCGGTATAACAAAACAGGCCCAAGGCTTGAAAGATAACCTTAGCATAATGTATTTCACATCATTGCCTACAGACTGCCTCAAATCTTGAAATTAGGAGGCAAATATTTTTCTAACTTGCCCTTTTTCTAAATTATTAATAATCATGGGTAAAACAGCCTTTTACGTGCTACACCAGGAATGTGGCCAAGTGTGTTGATGTGGAAAGAGGCAAGGTTAGCCCAGAGGACATGGGTTAGAGGAGGAAGAGGGGAGGAGGAGGGAGATGCCATTTTTGGAAAAGTCTGGGCTTTGGTTTCCCACCAGTGAATTTCATTTAAATAAAAAAAGCACTCCACATATGTATTGCTATGACAATACTAAGTCTCTTGCTCTGAGTTTCTTAGTATGTGTCAAACCAAACAGAGTCAACCCTACTGCCCAAAATTGTTGTGAGGCTCAAATGAAACCACATATCCATTTATACTGGAACAACTGTACCATATCCCCAAACTGTAAAATGATTAAAAAGTGAAATGTCATTATTATTACTTTTTTTCTCATGGGAAATTATATTTTAAGTTATAAACATGCGACCTGCATTTTGAAATCCAACATGCCCTTGAGTTTGGGATCCTTGCAGATGGCAAGAGTTCATGCCTATGTTCCCTACGTGCTTTCAGAAAGAAAAGCAGTCAGGTGAGGATTCTTTAAGGATCAGCCAGCTCCTTTTAAAAGGTAAAGAGGTGTTCTCGGCCGGGCGCGGTGGCTCACACCCAGCACTTTGGGAGGCCAAGGCAGGCAGATCACCTGAGGTCCGAATTTCAAGACCAGCCTGACCAACGTGGAGAAACTCTGTCTCTATTAAAAATACAAAATTAGCCGAGCATGCTGGTACATGCCTGTAATCCCAGCTACTCAGGAGGCTGAGGCAGGAGAATCGCTTGAACCTGGGAGCCAGAGGTTGTGGTGAGCTGAGATCACGCCATTGCACTCCAGCCTGGGCAATAAGAGCGAAACTCCGTCTTGAGGAAAAAAAAAAAAAAAAAAGAGGTGTTCTCTTCTCTTCCACATCCCCTCTTGTCTCATCTCATGGGTTTCAGGATTTTTTTTTTATATCCTATTTGTAATGGGCCCTTAATGCTATTCCTCATCTTTTCTTTCCTTTTGATACTTCTCTTGCCCTGTCTCTCTTTTCTCAAAAATATAGAATTGTCTTTTATCTTCCCTTAAAAAGAATCACTTCCACAATGATAAGTTAGTTCACATTTTTTTGGAAGTCCCAACAGTACGATGTAACAGAAGTGTTCACATTCTTTGATTCCTCAATCCCAACCTTGGGCAACAGTCTCAGGACAGCAACTCAAAAGAAGAAAAAAAAGACAAAAACTACATGTAAAAAGATAATTACAGAAAAATACTGGAAAATGTTCAAGGATGCAAATAAACTAGTGCTGAATTTATAAGAGAAAATAACACACAACTTTAAGGAAGAAAAGTGGAGACTTTGCAGAAATGTTTTTGCATTGCTTATGATAGGTGAAAAATTAAGAATACAAAACAATATCCACATTATGACTAAAATTACGTAAAATTATGTTCATAAATAGAAATGATCAGAAGAGGACAGAGAGGGGAGACAAGGCACAATCGCTGTGGGGCTGCTTTAATAATACAGAGTGCACAAAAAAGGAAGATCCTCTCGAGGGCTCCCCCCGAGCAGTTCACCCTTTCTTCCTCATTTTCCAGCCAATTCCAAAATACTGTAAGAAAAATAGAGGGTTTTGCATCAAGTAACATTGAAACATTTATTTGCTAAAAACCAAGTGTGAATTTTTGACATCTTCCCAATTGCTACTCCAACCACCAGCTGCCAGTAGAACACAGGATTGTTCTGCGGCTTCCTATAAACATCATACAGTTGTCATTAACTAAGGGTCTTGTTATAATGTAAAAAAATGGCAACTTTGCTTTCTTAAAGCAGGACGCTTCACCAGGCAAGGAAGTCAGCATGAGGCTGCGTGCGGCACAGCCCTCATTTGTGTACTTAAAATTTGTTTACTAAAATCTTTTATTACATTGTCATTAACAATGTTCCCAAATTTTTGCAAACACAGGGACTCAAACCACATCATAAATTAAAAGCAGGAACAGACTGTACCAGTTTGCTGGCACTCAAACATGATTAGCTTATTGGGCCATAAACCCAACTTTTAAAAATATAAGTAAATAATTTTAAGTTGGAATAAAACCTATTTAGTAATCAAGTAGGACTAGGACAGAAGCACTAAAATATTCTATGAAGAGCAGGGATGCATTATCCTATTCAAGTTTGTACTCTCAAATCATTTATATATTTTTCCTAACTACTTCTGAATTCACATTTGTTCTGGATAGGTTGGGTAATGCATATTATGTATTTGTTTAAATGCTTTATGTAAATGAACTCATTTAATTATCACAAATAACCCTAAGGTGTAGGTAGAACTATTACCCCCATGTGGCAGATCTGTAAATTGAGGCCCAGAGAGGCCACACTACTATTAAGTGACTAAGCCAGGAGTCAAACTGGGCTGTCCAGCCCTCAAGCGTATGTTCACGGAGAAGTCACCTATAGCACATCAGTGTTATTACTTTTGACTTAATAGTGCCCTGGCGCAGGTGTCCAGGGAAGGGTTCCAGGAAAGGAGGACGACACTGCTAGGGTGAAACACGCAAAGTGGAGAGCCAGAGGAACCCGGGGTGGACAGCCTGGGAAGGACATTGAAGCCATTGGGATTCGTTTCCTTGCTCCTAAGCAAAATGCTTGCTCAGCTAGGCTCACAGACTGGTGGTGACGACAAACTTTGTGAAAATGTTTACTAAGTTGTAAACCCTGCATACATCAAGCATTATTTTTTTCCAAAGTTAAAATTTCTAAATACCTGACTTGCAATAGAATTGCTGCTAAAATATATCACACACTTCGCCACCTTCTCTAGGGTGTACAGCTTTTTCCTGATGACTCAGTTTCACGTTGTAGTTAAAGAGCTATTTGCCTTATGCTAAAGCCCCTCAATTCTTCTGTCTGATTCTTTGTTTTTCTTGCTCATCAGCCTGCATGCGAGAGGATAAACACGGCAGGGCAGAGCTGGGAGTCACATTTCCTTTCTATCTGCTGTCTTCCTTGTCAGGCTCCCTACTCTAAAATTGCTATCCCTAATCTACCATGGACTTGGAAATAATGAAACCAAGCTTGTCAGAATCATGCCTCAAGTAAGAGAGTGAGTAGCTTTCAGGTGAGAGCTGCATCATCCTCTTCTGACTGTAGCTCACGAGCGTGATCATTTAGACTAATGTATTTGACAGCTCGGAGGCTTTTCCTGGTGAACTGCCCTGTGCCAAAGGTCGATATAAGGGACTCCAGGCCAGTGAGGTGAACGATATGCCTAATCTAAATTTATACTGAGTGTGTGAAGTTTTGCAAAATTATTTTAAAAGCTTAATAATCAACTCCTGACTTACCTACTGCCTGGACTGTGAATTCTGAATATCAAAAGACAATTTTTGATATCACAGCACATCCCTTGAGCACTGCCTTCTCCCTTCTGTGAGGGTTCTAATATTCTTACAGTGGAATATTATAGAGCAGTTATAAGATCCACATGTATCAACATAGTTATATTTCAAAACCATAATTTGAGCAAAATAGCAAGTTGTAGATCAATAAAAGCAAGTTGTAGTATAATGTCATTTATTTGAAACTTAAAGTTATGCAAGCAATATCATATTTTGTTTATAGACATATACATTTGTAGTAAAAGATAAAGAAATGCATGGGAACAGTTAACACAAAAATCACCAAATTTAGAACATTTGTTAGCTCTGGTGAATAAGAAGAAAAATTGTATGTCAAATGTTTTTTTTTTTTTCTTGAATTGGGTGTAATGTATGAATGGTAAGCAAAAAATATTTCATTATTTTATAAATGAAGAAAATAGGAAAAATAGATCAAAATATTTATAGCAGTCAATTATGGGGGATAGGATTATAGGTGAGATTCCTCTACTTTAAAAAATTTCCCCCAGTTTGTCTATTATGATATTTGTCTTATGACAGAAAAAGGACATTGATATATAAGAAGAAAGTCTGAAAAATTATTTAATCAGGCACAAAACCTTTTTTTCCTATAATGAGGTGCTAAGCTTAATAGTATACACACAGACACTCATGTACATACACATACTATATATGGAGTATGTAATATGTACACACTACATACTGTATATGTATATGTACAAACATACGATATATAATATATAGAGAGAGTCACACTGGCTATACACTTCTTACTAAGATGTAAATGATTGATCGATATCTTAGGAGCAACTGCAACAGAGAAGGGAAGAAACAGAGCAAGAAAACATTGAGTGCCTGAAAAGGTTATGAGTATGTTTGGGGTCGGGGAAGGGATGGAGGGTAGGAGGTGAAGTGAAAAGGAAAATCACAAACAACGATCACAGTTAGGGGAAAACTGGAGACCCCAAGGTAAAGTGACTGCTGCTACATGTGACTGGCAAGCCCAGTGAGTCCCACTCATGAGGGCAGGGGCTTGTGATCTGTACAGCCATGGAGGGTTTCTGCCATGTTCCCCTGGATAGCACCCCTTTGCAGTGAAGAAACAGAGGCCTGGGTTGGCTGGGTTGCTGCCCCTTCCCTCCCAGGACAAGGACAAGGTTAAGGACGGCTGGTTCATGTCTGAACTCTGCTTGCTGCCCAGCCTGCCTGAGGCCTGTGGCATCTGACCAGGATCTGCTGCCCTGGAATCCTTCGGAAGAAACGTCTGTTCTACCCTGATCACTGTCAACAACAGAGATTTTTAATTAATGGAAGCGGATGCATTTCTTTAATGCATACAGAAGTAAAAGGTTGATTTATGTCTTTTGCACACACATAGGGATAGCTTAATTTAATGAAGCTGAAACGGGGTGGGGAGAGGGTCTTAGTGAGACCCATCTGGCCCAGCTCCTGTTTACATGGATCCCTTCCCACTCACGACAGAGATGCTAATGTGAGAGCTACTTTCAAACACTATAGGATGTGGTGTAATTACACTGTTCATAAAAGAATTCCAAACTGGACTCTGTTTCGAATTTGATGGAATGTAATGAGAAATCTCTGTGGCAGATGACATTCTTCTTTCAATTAATGGCTTACCTGCTCAGAATCATCCCCAAAACCATTAGGCACTAATTAGAGAGATTTATGGCCTCTGAAAGGACCCAAACCAAACATTCTTCAACTAGAAAGTGCAGCAAAGCTATCTCCTTTGAGGACTTCCCAGAGGTCATGTATTTAAATGAAATGTGAGTAGACAAAAAAATTGTGTAGAACACTTTCCATCCAGATCTGAAAGTCAAATCGCCCAAATGCAAATCTCATTAGACCAGTTCACAATGTTTCATTCGTTCCTTCCATCTTTCAGCCATTCATTCATAAAAATCACCCAACAGACATTTACGGAACATTATTAGGAGCAAGATGTAGGGCTTGGCTGTGTTAAACTGCACGGAAGAATCGAAAGAGAAATCTCTCATAAGAGACTCTGCATGTTGGAAAGAGAACAGAAGTTAGAAATCCTTAATTTAAGCTTAAGCTTTCCCACTTGTTAGCTATGTGACTGTGGGCAAATCACTTAACCTCTCTGAGACTCAAAGTCCTCAAAACAAGGATAAATAATGCCTGTCTTTCAAACTTCATAGAATTGCACCGAGTAAAATAATGTATACCAAATCTGGCCATAAAGTGTGGCATAAATGTAAGAGGCTATTGATATTAAAATACTTACTGCCCAGGAGGGGAGATTTAAAGCACCCAGAAATACCCGTCATCCAGGGTGCCAACCATTAATAATGAGATTCTAAAAATATTATTAGGTGTAGAATTTATTTGAGTACAAAACTTGACAATAGTCACCTGGGAAACACTGACTCCAAAGGGATGGAGTCAGTGCTCCAAAGTGGGGAAGCTAAGGTTTCACTTACATAGGCAGAAACAGTTTCAGCAGAGTTGAAACGTTTTACATATAAGGCCAATGCATACATTACAGCTATTTGGTTAGTACACTGTGCTACATTCCAAGGAAGACTGCTGTAAAGAGGAGTAATGTTTGGAGGGAGTCATCTCTGTTCCTAATCATTTGTAGGAAAAGAAAAGAGAGAAGTTGCAACTGTATGCCATGTGACTCAGGCTACATAGCCACATTCCTCTTAAGGCTCAGAATAAAGTTCCAACAGCTTTTAGGTTTGAATTAATTTCACAAAGATGAAAAAAAAAACCAATGCTATTTTGATAGAGACACAAATTTACTTATTGGTTCCAAATATCTATTGAGCCCTAATATCGCCAGATAATGTGCTCAAATAAAGTGTAAAGGGGTTTAGAAGAGGAAGAATTATCTATGGGTTCTTTAAATCCTCCCCACCCCCACTACAATTATTCCCCAGAGCTTACAGAATCCTTATGATGATCAGTATGGCTCTCATTTTTTCAACTACTAAATAAAACTCACTGTGCATAGATTGATTTCCTTTTATTACAAGAATGTTATTATTTGTTCTTCAAATAATTTCATCCCAGCCTTTCCCTGCCCCACCTCCCTCTTTCTCTCACTTGAAAATGAGAAGTTGAGACAATGGACAAATTTGGAGGCACACAGACCTGCCTGGCCTCTTCCTGGTCCAAGCAGGGAGAACCAGGAAAGCTGTATAACATCTCTGTCTTGGTGATCCCTGTGCAGTGGGGGAAACTACACCAATCCTACAGTGTCTTATATAGGGCTGAGAGCAGCTTATGTAAAGCTTCTGGCATATTGAACATGCTGAGCAATTGCAGCCATTATCCTTGTAACAAAAGGCCATTTTAATCCATCTGCTTCCTCCCTTCATGTAATGACTCAGGTTTTGATAGAGGATTTGATTTAACTGAGTCATGTGGTTTTTTTTTTTTTTTCATTTATTGATCTGGGAGAAGAACAATAAGTATGGTTTAAATTTTTTTCAGTAGACTTTAAGCCAGTTATTCAACAGCTATAGACATGAAAAAACGACATAAATAGGCAAAATACTTGCTTCTTCTCTTATGATCCCTGGAACCGCAGAACCACAGAGTCCCCTTTCTTTTGAATCCATTTTTAGCCCTAGTATTTTTCTCAACCATTTCCCCTGTGGCATGGTTTATGCATCTTCTGCCAAAGGCAGGGGATGTCACCTTTTTGGTTTGGCTACTCTCACTTCAATAATTCAGTTAACAATTACATCTTACTTTTAAGCACATAATGAGAAGGGAATGGCAAATCATCTAGTTGTAAAACATGAAATACTTTGATTTAATACAACCCCTTTCCTTCCCTGGTAGTTCAAATACTTGTTTCAGTTATCATAGTAATAGAAATAGGTACTTTGTTTTGTTTTCTGCCTATAATGTAAAAAATGCTTTCTAAAGACAAACTTAAATCTGCTGAATTGATGCTGCAAGAGCAGTGAGCCTTGGGTGGAGGAGGATGCAGGTATAGGAGGTAGAAAGGGCAACGGCCCTGTGATCAGTGAAAGGATGCCCTGTGAATTCAATCCTTGAAAATGACCTTTGATTCCCCCCCAAAAGCACTCAAGGATGTCCTGAGGTTGTTACTAGTTGCTCATACCACCTGGGGGCACATAGCCGGAGCCTCAGAGCTGTGGAGGGGAGCCAAGAAGGCAAACCACCCCTACTCCCAAAATAGTGGAAAGAATATTTTAAAAGTCTCAGTAGTATTATCAGCACCTGGGTGCCTTCATGGGGACTTGGAGGCCAGGGAGGTTTGCTTCTTAGACGGAGGAGGATACTTTGTATAGTTGTCTTTTGAGTTTGTATGTCATTTACTTTCAGCAAAGGAATTTGTATGCTTACCTGTGTTTGTTGGTCTCTTTCCATCAACTATCATTTCCTTTATGGCATCACCCAACATGTGGAAATATATCTGTGTGATATATTCCTGGAAGTCCAACTGCTAGGTCAAGACTAGAACTCTGTTTTTAATAAGGAATGGTAAAAAGTGCAACCAAAATGAAAACTCCTATTCAGTAACTTGGGATTGGGAAACAAACTCCCATGATAAAACATATCAACCTCAGGTCTAGACTGTATACCATTCCTGGCAGACAGGGATAGTAAGAAAAATGATAGGACCAGCAAATTCAAAAGGCATCTGCTTGTTGAATCATTATCCAGGCAATGGGATACATGCATTGAGCAGCCAACCTCTCTGCTCCAGTTTTTACCTTTGGGAGGAAAGATCTGTCCAATGTCCTTCAGGGCTACCCCAAAAGGAGGCTCTTGGGAAGGATCCCCTTGTAAGGCTATATCACCTTAACAAAACACTTCTGAGTTTTTTCAGTATCCTTTGTACTTGGGCCCAGGAACTTCCTAAGCAGCCCAAGATCAACTCAAATTTGCTCATTGGGCTTAGGTTTTTGGGCTTTAGCTTCCACAAAAATCCTAGCTAATTATTTATTTCATTTTGAGAGAGTTCAGTTGCTAAACCAGTAAGATCTCTCCATATCTGGTTACTTCCTGAAGGTACATCAGCTTGGCCACCTGTTATGATGACCATATCCTCTTTGCTTATGACAATAAAAGCTGATGTGTGAAACCTGTTCCTCTACGTTCTTCTTCATCCAACAAGGGAGTCTAGTAGAAAGTGGTTTGAAGGTATATGAGATCAGGGTGCTCCAACATCTTCGATAGCACTGTTATAATTTTGAAGTTATCAAACTTTCCAACTCAGGGCACCTATCTTGTTCACAGGAAAGGTGCAAAGCTGATAATTTGATCTATGTGGTTTAGTAAGACACATGATTAATGTCTTATTCTGGACCTTGGAAATCTGATTTTCTGACCTGGCTTTTTCTCTATCTGCTTTTAGTGAAGTATCCTTGGACTAAAATTGGTCTTTCCTCCTCTACCTTAACCAAGATCACAAGAAATAATCAACATATTTTGACAGCTTTACAATTGACTATCAAATCCCATGAATCTTAGCAATTGATTAGCCTCACTCTCAGTGGGCATGTGCTCAGAATTCCAGAAGGCAAGAGCTATATGACTTAGCAAACAGCATTGTTACTGCAACACATGGGCCCAAAATCATCTTCCTTCTCAGCCCAATTTTGTCCATTTTTAACACTGTCCTTTCATGGCTCTTTGATTTTATAGATACATTCTAGAATCAAAATTTTTGTTAAAGTTGCATCAAATTCATAGAATAATTTGGAGAGAATTATTTATTTACATTATTGAGTCTTCCTATCTATGTACACGGTATATCTCCCATTTGTTTAGAAATTAAAGACATAAATCTAGGTCCCTTTTAATAGTTAAACATATTTGTTAATATCTTTTGATTAAGTCTTATGTTTTTCCAAAAAGGTCTTGCTCCTTTTCAATGCATTATTTTTTCTTTGTTCATTTCATGTAGTTCAGATCACTGAGCATATACATAGCAGTTATTTTTCTTGTTATTCCTTGTTATTTCCATGTGCATTCCCTAAATTCACATCTAGGCTGAATCAACTCCTACTTCAAGTACGAAAATGATTGTAATAAGAAATGTTATAGGTCACATTTGAATATGGAATGTGTGGGAGCTCTAGTGACTAGGATCATCCTATTTAAGACATTTATTCTTTATTCATTCACCTGTTCAACCTCCCTTTTTCTCATAATTAAATTTTAAATAACACATATTTTCAGCCTTTTTAAAACTCTGCTTCACCTCACAGCTCATCAGATTAATTAATTCTATGAATATCTGTTAAGTTTTTCCTCATTTACAGAATGAAACTGGAAACTAGAAGTTTATGGTACATTTTGTGGTGGAATTCAGTGATACCTAACATGAGCACTTTCCCCCTCTGCTCCTACCCCAGAGTGCACATCTTCTGAAATGATTCCTGCTGACTTGTTCAGAAGGAATAGCGGGTTCCCATGATAAGGTACAAGCTTACCCACAAGAATGCTTCTACCACGTGGGGAATCACTGGCAAGTTTATTCTATTGAGCATGGTCAAGAGGAGTGGATGGAAGAAGCATTTCACAGATTTTCCATGTATGGGCAACAGCCACTGATTTTTATGGAAAAAGCACTATGAGTTACTATTGTCATCTTTGAGGAGTAACAGATTACTGAATGAGCCCATGCCACATAAAATGTCAGGCCAAGGACTTAGAGTAAAGGAAACAGTGGCTGAAGGAAGCTATGGTTGCTTAGATTGCATGCAACTAAGCTTGGCTAGAGTCAGGGGCAGGAGTGAGAATTAGGGAAGGCTCCCTCTTCCATTCAGCAATGCTGATGCTGATGCCAGCTAGACTGGACCCAAGGTGGAAGCAGAGGCAGAGCAGAAGTTAGGGTGAGGACTTGCACCAACCCATATTCTTCCCCCTGCCATCATCCATGCCACTCTTCATGGCCCAGGACCCACAGTGCATGGACTTTTATTTCTCTGAGTATAAGCCCTCCCATGTGTCAACTTCTGCTACCACTCTCACCTCCCACTAAATAAGATGGTCTTGTGTCTCATTGCTTACAGTCTCAAATCTATCTTTCCTATGTTGTTTTCTAGATACTCCAATATATTCATCCTTGCTTGTGTATTATGGCTCTGCTCCCTCATTCATTCATTCATTCAGTCAACAGACAATTACTGATTTCCCCCTATGTGTAGCTCTGTACTAGGCGCTGTACATAACAGAGATAAAAGACAAAGCCTCTACCTTCAAGGAACTCAAACCAGTGGGGAAGACTGACAAATAAGCAACTAAATTACAATAAACTCAGTTCCATGCAACACACATTCACTAAATGCCTACCACTCAGGAGACATTTTAATAGGATTGCCTTAACCCAACTGATAACTTTAACTGGGAATTCAGGCAAGATGGAAACTGTGTGAAAAGTGTATATAAAATGCATTGTAAACTACAAATATTCGCTATTACTATGATGCACACAAGTTGACCAAGTCAAAGTTATTGCTATTGCTTCAGCCTCTCAGCTCTCTAGGCACAGGTAGAGACGGTGAGGAAAATGCAATTTTTACCTAAGCTCCAGACAACTCCTATCAACAGATGAATGAATGTTTCTCTCCAAAGACTGCTATACTCTTTTGGCTCTACTGAAGCCCTGGCTGGTGGTGACAGATGGAAGAAAGGTCATCTCCAGAAGTCAGCAAGGGGTTAAATACTCCTGCTTTTTTGTATCCATTTCCCTTGCCCTTGATGGGGGAGAAAGAACACTCCTCCTAGCAGAGACCCCTCCTTCACCTGGTAGGTGTCCAACTGGAAGCAAAAAGATGGATAAGGAAGGGGTCTTCAGTCCATCAAGGCTAGCTATAAAGTACATGTTAATGCTTTTTCATGATTTTCTCTGGAAGTCAAGGGGACTGTTGCCCTTGGTGATCCCAGAGAAACTTGAAAGAGATCTGATTTGGACCAATCCTCATCCAATCAAAATTCAGGACCACAAGTTCAATTACTGTCCTCTGCCACTCTGCAGGAAAACTTCTAAATCATGGCAGAAAACAAGAATTTGACCTGACAAGTATAAGAGATTTCACACAAGTTAATAGAACTTGGAATTATGAAGCCACTTGAAAATAGCTTTGGACTAAAGATTTTCTCCATGACAGTTATTCTTATTTCCTGGCATTTGTGAAAATGCCCAGACAGAGCCCAGTTACTTCTCCATATTGAAGTGAAGAATTTTATTTCTAATTTTTGCGTGTGCAACAGGTGGGGGTGGAGGCAGCAAAGAGGAATTTTATTTACCATTTTCTGAGACCTCCTATGCCACTTTGGGTCATCCAGGAAGCAGATGCCCATCAGAATAAAATAAGCAGAAGGGAAATGTTTGTGAAGGGTCCTGGGACAGAGCAGGAATAGACAGGGAGACCTTTTAGGACCCCATGCAGAGCTGAGACCTGTGCAAGGAAAGAGGGGAAAAAAGGAGAACTGGGTGGGAGGAGATTTAGGGTGCAGTGAAACTGATAAACTCTGAGCCAGGCCAAGAGGAAGCCCCAGAGCAAAGATCTGTTGTTAGAGGACTCCAAGTTGGGCAGGTATGGCTGGTTCTAGCAGCTTTATCATGCTTGGCCACTGGATAGAAACAACCAATGGAGAGCAAGGCCTCAATAGGAATGCTGCATTAGATCCACAGGTGCACAGCTGAAAACTGCCCATGAATTGCTGTCCTTGAAGGTTCTCTTGAAGAGAGATTTGAGTGGAGCACCTCAATGGCTACCACATCCACTCCTTGTGCCACACACATCCATTTCTCCACATGTGTTCAGTGAACAGCTTCCCTTCCATTCCTGCGGGCTTCTCTTCCTGAGGAGAAACTCAGGTTAGTTGGGCAAACTCAGTCCCATCTCTGCAATTGGTCATTGTCTCCCTTCTCCACTGTCCATGCTAAATTCCCCTCATCCTCAGTGTCACCTCACCAGGCCTTGAGAGCTTGCCCTGTGGTATGACCCCAAACTCTCATTCCTAAGTAATCTGAGCCCTCAGTACAACCAGATAAATAATCCTAAAATGTGCCCAGTTGGCTCCACTGAGTTTCACATATATTCCTCCCTGTTCCCATTGTGTAAAAGTAACCTCACCTCCCCTGCTGGCCACGGACAATTTTCCCTACCAAAATGATGACTTTACCTCTCACCTTCTGGTCTTTGGGCACCAGCAGTCCTAAGTACCCAGGAGGCAACCATAACTTGTAGTTCAACAGGACATGTGCTATATCTCCACAGGAATGTACCCTCTCTAGAGACTAGAACCTCTAATCCTACAAAGCCCAGTATTGTGGGGGTGTAAAGCACAAAGTCCCCAGATGGGTCACTGGACATGATGGCAAGTGGGCCTACTCTTGCTTGCAATCCTTGATTCCTGGATAGCTCAGACCTATTCAGACTGTGTTATGACAGTGAGTGGGACAGTTAGCATAGCTGTGGGGCAAAACTAAATGTCATTGTATGTTCCATGTAAATGCAGACCGTCTCTGCTCCTTCTTTCTGATTGGAATAAAAAGGAATGCCAAATCAACAGCCACATACCATGTATATGAGAATTTATGAAATTACTGTAGCAAAGATACTATGTTCAACACAGAACTATAATCCAGGCTATTGCTTAATTAATTTTATGGTAGTCTATAGCCATTCTTCATGATCCATCATGTATCTGCGGGGGCTAGACTGATTAATTAAATGGAGATATGATTAGAACTACTATTCAGCCCTGCATGCTTTAGGTTTTAAATGGTGGCACCAATCTCCATCATTCATACCTCCCCCACTCTGACCTACCAAAAAGAAAAATTTAAATGCAATATTGTTTTTATTTACTATTTTCTCCAGGAGGCCAAAAACAGAAGGCTTTGGAGGCTTCTACTTGGCCTTCCCCACTGTGCTAGCTCCTACCCGCAGGCCAGGGGTTCAATGTGAGAGTTATTCCAAATACAAAATATGGGTCCCTGTGAATCCATAGTAAGCCAGACTTGCCAGATCTCCATTCATTAGGGATCTATAGAAACATTCTGGGTCTCTGGGTTTCAATGTCAACTCAGACTCTGTGTCCAATACTTCTTTGAAATGTCTAGCCATTCCACTTTCCCAGTATACAGTCACACAAGTAAATGGCCATTGGTCCCTTTGAGGAAGGACTGAGGGAATCATTACAGTGTCTACATGCTATGGTATAGCAGGGTCCTTCCTCCTAGGGACCCAACCATCTCTTTAGTCAATGGGTTTCAGATCAGAAAATTGGCTGAGGGCTAGTAACTGAGCAAGTGATCATGACCTTGTATTGAGGCAACCTACCTCAGCCTCCTTCTCCTCTATTCTTACCTTCTTCTAATGGCATTAAGCAGCACTCTTGGCTTCCCACCTATTTGGCCATATTACATTGACCATCTCCACAATTTCCTGTGTTCAAACACATTTGGCTGCCCCTGACATTGCCGGTCATTGTAGTAATGGCAGCCCCTGGCATCCAGTGGTTAATGCTGCCACCTGGCCTCTATGACTTCAGGGCTCCATTGCTCCCATTCCTATCCATGAGCCCAGCTCTCCCTGCCACCATGGGCTTCACCAGCATGTTCCTGATGGCCCTAGTGAATGCTGTGTCTTCTGGGCTTTCCTATGCAATACAGTCTTCAAGTGGGTTTCTGACCTCACATAAAATATTGATTCCAACATTCTTTCCTCCTCAAGTCTTTTTATTCCTTCCTCCACCAGCCTCTGCTGGGGCAACTCAGGAAAGTCAACTTTGCTCGATGTTAGCCATTGCTTTCTTTAGGTTGCTAAGAGCCACCTTAGCCAGGCATTGGCCCCATACTGGGGGGTTCTTGCCTGTGTCCTAAGAAAGTGCACCAAGTCCATGAATTCCTGTTAATGCAGTTTTACGTTCTGCTCCCCCTGGATCAAGCACCCTGGAAATCCAATTCCAAGGGTATTCCCTTTCCTGTGCTGATACATACTACCTAATTTTTCAGCTCTTTCTGGGTATAATCTCTTCCCTGATTTATCAAGCCCATCATGTCTCAGTCACACTATGCTGGGATTTAACTCTAGTTATCAGCCTGTTAGCCAAGAGAGGAGGTGTGGGCAGCTATTGAGGGGCACTTGTTGCCTCAGAGGGAAGGGCTTCTTCAGCATCTTCCCACTAGGGGAAGTACCAGCTCTTAATAGAGATGGGTGGATTGCCTTAGCAAGTTCCGAAGGTACAGGGGAGTCTACATGACTAAAATTCTTGAGGGCATCCACCATGAGGTTCCTATCCTAGGTTCCAGGGTCCCAGCTTTTCCCAACCAGGCCTCTGAGTTTAGCATAATAGTCCTGTCTTAACTGAGCAGTTAAACATCTCTGGAGTTCTGGAAAACTGAATCCTGTATCCTCTCTTCAACTTTGATCATCCTCCTACTGCAGTAGATAAGAGGCCTCTGGCTCTCACACTTAGTTCTGAACTGTTCATTAACTGCCCTCTGTTTCTCATTATCCCTCCACGGGGTGTCAATACGATATAGTAATAACTGTCCTTGTAGCTATTGCTCTCCCTAGATATCTAAAATGCCTGAATCACTGTACTGGCAAAGGCATTCTCCTCTATTGGGACATATTTTTCTGGTCACTACCAATGACATCCTCAGCAATTGAGCCACACCACTTTATTCCAGGGACTATCTGCACCCCATATTTCTCTCAGGATGACATTCTTTTGCCAGCTGTGTGGTGAGTGAGCTGGACCCCCAAACCCCATTCTGTGTACCAGCTACTATCATTTTGAGTCCTTTAAGAGCAACATCAGGTGGAACTAGAAGTGCTGGAAATTCACTAGGGAAACATTTGTGAAGGGAAGAAAGGGCAGGAGTAGGTGGGAATGGCCTTAGAACATGATGCAAGCCAAAGGAAGCAGCTAAGAAAGGAGGATGGGTAGGTAAGCCCCAGACGGCAGGGCAGATCTGAGAAGGGCTCAGCAAGGCAAATGAGCCCAGAGCAAAGCTGGCCATCACAGGAGCCCTATGTCAAACAGGAATGGCATGGGGCTGGTATCTGGGCTGTGTCCAGTCTTGGCTGGGCCACACACACATTGTGTCATGGCCACGGCCACACACACAATGCCTCAATGTGGACTCCACTGGAGATCCAAATCTGCAGCTGCTGGAAATTATCTGCCAGTGGCCCTCCTCCCAATAAGCTCTCTTAAAGGGTTATCTTAATTGGGAACCGGATGTTTGATGTATCTGCCCACAGAAGTGAGAAGCCAGACATCTGGATGTCAGACCAGTGGCCAAACTCCAATGGGACAGAAACTTGGAGAGCTGAATTAGTTCCCCATTGGCTCTGAGGAAGAGTTCAAGCCATGGGTGAGGCCTTCCTTGGGCCATTTTTTTTGGGAGTAAGTTCTATACCAGCGGTATCTCCTGATCTCCTTTGGCCCTGTCAGAATTCTTACCCCCATAGGTTGAGCTGTATGCAGAACAAGATTATCCTGTCTGCCCTAAGCAGCTGTGGCTCAGGACCAAACCTGGTGGTTTTGGAAACTCAAGGAAGTATTTTTCTCTGGGCTCAAAGGGAAGTAAATTCAAGCCAATAATAGGGCTGGCTTATTGCGGTCAAATCTGACCATTCTAAACACTTGATCTTGGACTTCACTTTAATTTTTCTACTAATTGCGTTAAATATCCTCTCTGATAGGCTTGTCTTCAAACACTAGAGGTCTAATTTGTTCGATTGAGGAAGGAAACAAATGAAGGCTTAGAAGTTGAAAGCAAGTAAATCAACTAAATTCTCCCTAAGAAGAGGCTGATAAGAGGGACTGCCTGGGCAATGAGCTCTTAACATCGCTGTGTGGGACAATGGATTTTTCAAGAAGCCCATTTCAAGGAAGTTATAAATACAACCTTCCAGAGGCTAGAACAAAAGAAAAGCCAGAGTCTGTCATGAGGCAGCAAACAGGGAATGTAAAGCGGCCTAACCAGGCCGTGCATCAACAGGGTGTGCATGGGCTTCAGAGAGCAGGCACCCCTCTACTTAGAGGCAGCTGGAAGACTTTGGGCAAGGCAGTTGATGCCTGTGAGCCCCCATTTCCTTATTGATAAAACAAAATAAGAAAATACCTTTGTTTCTGGTGTATTTAGAGGAATTAAGAAGCAAAACAGCATGGCATAGTTGGTAAGAGTGAATTCTGGAGTTAGAAGCCCCATCTCTCCCTGAGCAGTTCAACTTTGATGCAGCCACTGAACCTCTCTCTCTAAGTGTCAGTTGCCGCTCTTTAAAATGGAGGTGTTGATCCCAGGGTTACAGAGTTGTTGTGATTATTAAGTCCAAAATGCACAGAGTATTGAGCACAGGGATGTATAGTGGTGCCACTTCCTGCCTTACACTTCAGTGAGCACCAGCTGTGGGCACGAGCATTTCTTCTCTGAGGGTTTTTTCTTGCCACCAGACCAGCTTTGCTGCCTGAGAGGTGGGCCAAACACTCCAAGGAATGAATGTCCCCCAAGGAACGGCCCTTAGCCAATGTCTGATGGTAACTGGTGTGGAAATATCCCTGTAACCTTCCCTCTGGAATAGGATAACTCAGGTGAGAGTCTCATGTTTCTTTCCCTAATGGCAACAAACCTCATAATGCACTTTTAATTGGCTGCCTTTTCCTCTCTGTCTCTCTTCCCTACTCCCCTACCATTTTTTCCTCCATCTCCCAAGTAAAGTACTTGCATTTGAATTCTTATCTCAGGGTCTGCTTCTGGGGGCATCTAAGATAGGCAGCCACACACACACACACACACAAACAACAAATCTAGCTGTGATTATTGTACGAAACGTGTTTTATAAAATACAAACCACTATATGTATAAATATTAGTACTAATAAAAATATTTGTCAAATTCTCAGTAGAAAAAGAAGGCATCCCACAACATCAACTCTAAGAGGTCCAGAAAGAACTTGAAAGTCCTCTTGTTCATTCGTACCAGCAGGCTCCACTCTTGCCCATCTCAGTGCCCTGCAGCCCAGCACATTCATACTGTCTGCACCTTGGAACCTGCCCATAGTATATGAGTGAGTAGCTTTCTGAGGCAGACTAGGGCAGAGAAAGAGATGTCTCCACAACAACCTCTTCCCTTCTCAGATCTAATATCAAGTTTGGACCTAGCTACTCTAGAGAAAACAAGGGGGCCTGGCCACTCCACAAAAGGCTGACAGCTCCCAGGATGCCTGGAGCTGCCCGGGAGGCTGTTTGGATTTAAACTTCTGTCTCAGCAAGAGATCTATTTCTTCCTCTACCCTCTTGAAATCTGCCAAATGTGCTTTGTAAAGCCCACCCTTAATAGGTCAGTGTGAAAACCAGCCTCTGCAGATTGACAAAATCCTAGGTTCTGAGGATGCCTTGCCGCTGCCTCCCCTGAAGCACCTGCCCAAACCAAGCCAGTCCCACTGAATCCCATTCCTGTCATGTCATGGAATGAATCCTGTTTTACATAGAAATGAAATATGGCCCAGAGGAGTTTTCTTTCAGGGTTCATTTTCAGTTCAGTTAGCATGTCTTGGCCTATGGGGAATCCCAAATGCCAAAACACCACTTCCAAACACGGTGGGCTGGCCTGTCTTCACATCCTGAGAGCACCTTCCACCAGGATGGCAAGATGGCTAATGGGGAGTGGGAAGGAGGTAGGACATCCTGAGCCACTTTTGACCATCGGGGGAACCTGTGATGGTAGAGATTCAATTTAGCATATTGGAATTTAATTTCTACATCTGATTTATAATCTAGAATTAACCTTCCCAAGGGCAGGGATATTTTTGTTTGTGTAAGGCTACATTCCCAGCGCCTGGAACAATGCCTGACATACAGCAAGCCCTCAATATTTTCTTGTTTTCTTTTTAAAAAAATTAAGCTATATTTTACATGTAATGAAATGGACAAAACTTCAGCAGGTGATGAGTTTTGGCAAATGTATATACCCATCTAATCCAAACCCAAATCAAGATATAGAACATTTCCATCACCTCAAAATATTTTCTAGTATCCCTTCCCAAGCAATCTTCTCGCTCCATCCTAGAGGCAACTGCCATGTGGACTTTTATCACCTTAGGTTATCTTGGACTTCATATAGATGAAATCTTACAGTAAGTACCTTTCACATATGACTTCTTTTGTTCAACTTAATATAGTTCAGATTCATCCATTTTGTTGCAGGTTTCAGTGATTCATTTCTTTTTAATGCTAAGCAGATTAAATTTATGAATAAATGTATCCCAACTTGTTTATCTAGTCTCATGTTAATAGACAGTTGTTTCCAGATTTCGCTGATCATGATTAAAGCAGTTATGAATATTCTTGTACAAGTACAAGTGCTTTTGCATACGGATTCATATGTGTTTGTTTCTCTGGGTATCTAGGAAGAGAATTGCTGGGTTGTAGGATAGGTGCCTATTTAACATGATGAAAAAGAGCCAAACAATTTTATAAAGGGATCGTACCAGCAATATATATTCTAACTAATATTTGGTGTTGTTAACCTTTTTAATTTCATTCTAGTGGATGTGAAGCAGAATCTCACTGTGGTTTTAATTGATATTTCTCTGATAACCAGTAATATCAAACATATCGTTATGGCATGCAGATAATTTGGATATCTTCTTCTGTGAAGCGTCTGTTCAACTCTGGCCAATTTTTGTGTTGGGTTGTTTGGTTGTTTATTATTTATATTAGAGACTTCTTTAATATTCTCGTTGCAAATACTTCAACAGAAAATAAATAAGTAAGCCTCAGAATTGGAAGAAAGTCAGAGCACAAGTTTTTGATGTTGATGAAGTCCAGTTTATAAATTCTTTTTTTAAATGGTTAGTGCTTGTTGTGTCCTGTTTAAAAAATCTTCGCTTATCCCAAGCTCACAAAGATATTCTCCTATGTTTTTCTGAAGAGGCCATATAAGATTAGCCTTTACATTTAAATCTACAATCCAACTCAAAATTAATTTTTGTGCATGGTCTGAGGTAGCAGTTGAGGTACATTTTTGCTATACAGTTACCCAATTGTTCCAGCATCATTTGTAGAAAAGGCTTCTCTTTCCTTACGGAATCACCATGATGTCTTTAGAGAAGATCAACTGACCACATATGTATAGATGTATGTCTGGACTTTATTCTGTTCCATTGAACTATCTGCCTGCCCTTTTGTCAATACCGTCTTAATTACTATAGCTTTGTATTTACTCATGAAAGTAGTGTGTGTAGATGCTCCAACTTTGTAATTTTTTAATGATTGTTTTTACTATTCTATTTACTTTTTATTACGACCTAAATTTTAGTGTCAACTTGATAATTTCTACAAAAAAACCTACTGGGATTTTAATACTACATCAAATCTCTAGATTAAATTGGGGAGAAATGATAGTTGAACAATATTAAGTATTCTCATCCATGAATATGATGCATCTCTCCAATTCTTTATGTCTTCTTCATATGTTTCAGTGATGTTTTATAGCTGATAGTTTTCAGTACAGAGGTCTTGCACATCTTCTAATAAATTTATTCCTCAGCATTTTATGCTTTATAATGCTGTTATAAATATAAACTTTTATATTTAATGCTCTAGTTTTTATTCCTAATATATAGAAATACAATCTATTTTTATATATTGGCTTTGTATCCTGTGACCTTGTTAAATTCACTTATTAGTTTGAATAGTTTTGGTAGATTCCTTTGAAATCAGATTATTTATGTCTGCAACCTCTGACAGTTCTACTTCTTCTTTCCAATTCTTTTGTCTCTTAGTTTTTTAATGGTTGCTTTTTTCCCTGGCTAAGATCTCCAATACAATGTTGAATGTAAGTGGTATATTTGAACAGATAATCTTGACTTGTTACTAATCTTAGAGGGGAAACATTCAATATTTTAGTTTTAATATATCATGTTAGCTGTTGTTATTTTGTAGATTGCCTTTATCAGATTGAGGAAGTTTCCTTTTATGCCTAATTTGTTAAGAGCTTTTATTTTCATCATGAATTAATGTTGGACTGTGGTCAAATGCTTTTTCTGCATCTATTGAGCCAATCGTATGTTTTCTCCTTGATTCTGTTAATATACAAACTTACTTTTATTGATTTTACTAATATTAAACCAACTTTGACTTCCTGGAACAATGCCCCACTTGGTCTTTATATATTATCCTCAATTGCTTGATTCTAATTGCAATATTGGTAAGAATTTTTGCATCTAGGTTTATGAGGAATATTAGTCTGTAATTTTCTTTTCTTTAGTGTCATTGCCAGCTTTTAGTATCATACTTATGCTGACCTTATACAATTAGTTGGGAAACATCTCCTTCTCCTCTCCATTCTGACAGTATATATAAGATTGATACTATTTCTTGCATAAAGGTTGAATAGAGCTCACTAGTGAAGCCATGCAGTCTGGTTTCTGTATGTGTGTGTGTTTGTGTGTGTGTGTGTGTATTTTTTAAATTATGAATTTAAATTCTGTAACAGATATGTATAGCTATTCAGATTTTATATTTTTTCTTGTGTTAGTTTTATCTTTCAATAAATTTGTCTATTTCATTTAAATTACCAAATTTTTGGCATTAAAATTTGTTCATAAAATTTTCTTATTATTTTTTCAATGCCTATAGGAGCTGTAGTAATGTCCTCTCTCATTCTTAATATTGTTGAATTATTCTCTCTTTTTTTTCTTGATCCATCTTGCTCTAAGCTCATCAATTTTGTTAATCTTTTTCAATGAAACAACTCTTGGCTTTGTGGATTTTGCCAATTGTTTGTATGCTTATTGTTTTATTGACTTGAACTGTTATATTTATATTTTTATATTCTATGTATTTTGGTATAATTTGCTCTTTTCCTAGCTTTTTTGGTGAAAGTTTAGATCATTGATTTTATATCTCACTTGTTTTCTATTGTAAGCATTTAATGCTACAACTTTTTCCCTGAGGATTTCTATAGTTGCATCCCACTAATTTTGACATGTTGTTCTCTCATTTCCATGCAGTTCAAAATATTTTAAAATTTTTCTTATGATTTCCTCTTTGACCCTTAGGTTATTTACAAAGTGTGTTGCTAAATTTTCAAATAGTTGAGGATTTTCATAGATATATTTTTTGTTACCGATTTCTAATTTAATTATTGTGATGAGAGAACATATATACAATCACTTGAAATGCATTGAGATTTGTTTTATGTTGCTAAACACATTGTTCCATGGATGCGTGAAAAGAATACAAACTCTGTAATTGTAGGGGAAGTGATTTATAAATATGAATTAGATTACATTTGTTGGCTGAGTTACCTCTATTATGTGAGAAGTCAGCAAACTTTCTGTAAAGAGCTAGACAGTCAATATTTTCAGCTTTGCAGGCCACACACTCTCAATAGCAACTATTCATTTCTGTTCCTATAATACAAAACCAGCTATAAACAATACCTAAATAAATAAGGTAACCAGATTTGGCTATAGTTTTTAGATGAGTTTAGTTTTAAGACCCCAGTTCTATATTGCTGCTGATTTTCAATCTGCATATTCTTTCAATTAATGAGAGAGGACTGTTAAAATCTATGCTCATAATTGTGGACTTGTTTAGTTTTTAATTTAGTTGTATTGATTTTTAGTGTTATTCCTGTATTGCTTTTGGACTTCATGTTTATTTGGTCTGATATTAACAAAGTCAAATCAAAGTTCTTATAATTAGTGTTTGTATGGTATAGTTTTTCCATTCTTCTTTTTCAACTCTTTGTGGCTTTGTATTTAAAGTATATCTCTCATAAACAACATACAAGTGAATCTTTCTTTTTATTCAATCAAACAATCTCTGACTTTTAACTGAACCGTTTAATTCATTTATATTTTATTGATATGGTTAGGCTTAATTTGACCAATTTGTTGTTTCTTTCTACTTATCACTTCTTTCTTGACTCCTTTGTTTTCTAAAAAAATTTAAAAAAGAATTTTAAAACGTATTTTAGTTTTAAAACATCATTTTATTTTACCTCACCTACAGGCTTTTAAGCTATATATCCTTATTTTATATTGTTATGGTTGCTGTGAGAAATACAATGTGTATCCTTAACCTAGTATATCTTGACTTAATATCATATCACTTCACATGTAATGGAAGACCATGTAACAATGCCAGTTTGGGTTCTCTGAAAAGCAGACACCAAGATGATATTAGATATGCAAAGTTTTATTGCGGGAAAAATCTATGAAGGATACAAGGCGAAGGAGCAGGAGGAAGTGAAGACATCCTTCAGGCTGCAATGTAGGTTTGACACCTGTAACAGGAGGCAGGAAAGAAATAATTATGTAAGTTGAGTCTCAAATTGCTACAGAGTTCTAAGAAAGCCTAGATCAGGCTGAAGAGGTAGGTATTCCTGAACAAATGTTGCCTACTGGATATGTCTGGCATTGGGCCAAAATGGAGACCGCCTGTAGTACTCTCCATGATATCAGTCATTGGCTGGCAGCAGCCAGGGAAAGCATGGCATAGGCATGAAAACTATGGTAGATACAAAGGGGCAATAGCTAGAAATTCTCAGTCAGCTATGCTTCCCACACCTGGCTCTCTTGAAGGAGTCTGAACAGCCTGCCTCCATGGCTGTCACATACTACCCTTTGTGCCACATAGATCTCCTTTCCGTGTATGTTCAAGGAGCAACTCCTTCAGGGTTCCTATGGGCTTCTTTCCTTCAGAAAAATCTTAGAAGAGAGATATTAGTAGGATAATGACAGCCCCTGCTGCTGCAGTTGGTCATGAAGCTGCAACTGATATATATCTTCTCCCTTCTTCACTATCCATTCTAAATTTTCATTATCTTCAGCTGTTTTGCAAATCTTGCTACTTTATTGGTTGGTATGACCCAAAACTTCATCATCGAGGGGTTTGAGATGTCTCAAGCCAGGTTCACTGCATATATCCATTCACAGTGAAAACTGGACAAGAGAATACCAGGAGCTGCCTAAGTACATCAGCTGACTGTCACATGCATTTTTCTCAGCCCCCATTGTGTAAGAACAGCCCAACCTTTTACTGCTGATCAGGGTCAGCTGTCCCTTCCAAGATGGAAATTCCTCTTTTTTTCCTGCTGGACCTTGGACACCAAGTGATCAATGGACCCTAACAACAGGCATAGCTTGTAGTCAATGGGATATTTGCTCTGCATCCTGGCAAAAGTACACCCCCTGGGCCTCTGACTTTGCAGTGTTCAGAGTTGTGGGAATGAAAAATATGAAGTTCATCAATGGATCATCGAGTGTAATGTCAAGTAGAGCCACTCCTGCTTCCACCCCTTGATTCCCAGACACATGTATTCTTCCTGTTGGGAACAAGCACTACATAGAGGTCTCTGATTTAGTATATATACTGCATCTTAAGGAATGGCACCTTTCGTTACAGAGCGTTGGCTCTAAACTGATGCTTCAGTTCTGCTTTCAGCAGATCTTTCCCGTGTTCTATGAGACTGATTGTCAATGTATAGTGCAATATGTGATACAACGACACAACTCATGGATTACATGATCAAGAACCCATTCCCACAAATCCTTTGCTATGAAGGGGGTTGCTTGGATAGCTGCATTGTATGGATTTTCATACCTGCATGTCAGGCATTCTGTAAGCCCTGAATCATGGGACTGGCTGAAGTTATGCAGACAGGTAAGGCAAATCCAAACCAGAATAGGTATCCCTGTGAGGAAAGCTACTAGGCCTTCTAAGATGGAGGGATCCTAAAGTGTTTAATTTGCCACTAGTGGCTAGTTGGTCTACTCTGCGAACGGCACAATGTTGAAGGCTAAACATTGGTGGCTGCTGTCTGTTTGTACTTTCAGAAGGAGCAAGAGTTAGATTGGCCTTTGCAAGTGAGAGCTCATGCTGTGTTTTCAGCTGTGCTGTCTGTAGGCCATTCCTGTGTTCTATGAGGCTGCCTGCACTGAATACTGTACACTGTATGGTGTAGTATATGATACAACCAGTGGATTCTATGGTCAAGGGTCCATTCCCACAAATTTGTTGTGGTGAAATGGGTTCCCTGAACAGATGCCTCCATCTCTGCCACCACAGCAACTATATTTACAAGCCCATGATTCCAGTTCTGGGGTGGCTATGATGAGGGCTGGCTAATGTCAACTAACTGACTCATTTTGTTTACTTTATTATTCAATGATTCTTCTGTTGAATGCTTTCTGGTGGGTGTTAAAGTGTGATAGAAAAATCACACATTGTTCCCACTCCCATGTGTCCATCCACAAGCCTCTACCCCACACAGCCTTGTTTCTGATCTTCCAGTTTTTTCCTTCTGGATCTCTGACCGTCTAACCAGGTCATCAGACATTACCCAGGAATCTATAAATGAATTTTACATTGGGCTACTTCTCCTTACACTCAAAGTGAATGACCACAGGTTGCAGCTCCACGCCTGGGAATATATTCCTTTTCACTGAGTTTCAAGTCAGCCCTGAATATGGATGTAATGCAGCACCATCTGTTTCCAGCTTACTTCCTCTTACCAAGTCAACCTAGCTATACACCAGGTTCAGGCTTTTTCCTCCTGCCTCAGCTGATCATGTGACAGCCCCCTGCAGCCATAGGTGTGAGCTGGGAGATGGGTACTGGTGCGACCTTAGCGAGCGACATGGAAGTGTGGATAACCTACTCATGCAGTTAGTTTGCGCCCTCTGGTCCTACATAGGCTTAATCCTGTAACATTTCCATCTTACAACAGACCACTCCTGGTCTGGTCCAACTTGGTGATTTGACAGTTTTGATAGACCCCAGATCAGAATGGATAGTTCCAGGTGCAGGGCCATTGTGTTCCAAATAATCAAGCATTCTATCTCCGCCAGGGCCCAGTATCATGCCAAGAGCCATTTTTCCAGAGACATAATTCTCTGCTACACATGGCATGACCTTGCTCCAGAACTCCAAAGGCCCGTGCTGTGATCCACCCACACAGCCTTGCCAGAAATTTCACACTGCATCTCTTCCCACCACTGATACCGCCAACACCATAGCCTCTAACAGGTGTTATATGGCCTGAGGGGTACGTGTTATGGGTTGAATATTTGTGTCTCCTCACCTAGAATTCATATGTTGAAATCCTAAACCTCAATGTGATAATATTAGGAGATGGGGTCTTTGGAAGGTAATTAGGTCATGAGAGTAGTAGAGTCCTGATAAATGGGATGAGTGCCCTTATAAAAAAGAGAAACTGGAGCTTTCTCTCACTCTCTTCTCTCTGTTATGTAAGGATACAACGAGAAGAACAGTCATCTGCAAACTAAGAAGAGGCCCTTATCAGACACCAGATCTACTGGTGCTAAAGCTTGGATTTGCCAGCCTCTAGAACTTCGAGAATTAAATATGTGCTGCTTAAACCACCCAGTCTATGGTAATTTGTTATAGCAGCATGAACTGCCTAAGATAGCAGGGTTGCTTGCACCACAGCCTGGATCTGCTGCAGAGCTCTTTCCTACACTGGGTGACATACAGAGGTGGCAGCCTCCTGTGTCACCAGGCACATAGGCCAGGACAATATTCCTGCGTGCAGAATGTGTTGTCTCTAGAACCTAAAAAAGTGGTCTGCCAGGCACTGTGCTTCCGTCTTAGTGGTAAGGGATGAAAGATGCAATCATTTTTCTTTTACTTTGGTGGAGATGTCTTAGCACATCTCAGACCACCACACCCCTAAAAACTTTACTAAAGTAGCGGGTTCTTGAATCATCATAGAGTTTTTCTCCCAATGTCTGGAGCCCATGAGTCTTAAATGGACTTCAATATAGTACCTCCTGTTGCTCATTTGTCTCAATCAGCATGATGTAATGGGATAATGTGATGTTTTACAAGATATTCAGACAGTCTAGATCTCTTTGGAATGTATTACGACAGAGGGCAGGAAAATTAACAGCCCTAGGGCAAAACTATAAATGAATATTCATTGTCTGTTCCAAATAAACATGAACTATTTCTAAACTTCTTTTCTGATCAGAAAAGAAAAGAACACATTCACAAAAGCATTAGCCTTATACCATGTGTCTGAGGCCTTATTTATCAATCTGCTCTAGCAAGGGCACCCAAGTATAGTACAGCAACTACAATTAAGGTGCCTATTTATTTGAGCTTGCAGTAGTCTGCTTTCATTTTCCAAGATTAATCTGGTTTCTGCAGGGCCCAGACTAATTAATGGATATATAATAAAGACTGCCACCTCTGCATATTTTAAAGCTTCAATGGTAGCATTATTCTTTGCCATCTCCTTGTGAAATGTGATAGGTATTTTTAAATTTACTATTTTGGCCAGGAGAGGCAGTTTCAGAAGTTTCCATTTGGCCCCACAATGACAGCTCTTATCTCATAGGCTGAGGATCCAATGCCAGGTATATTGATACCAATTATGCACACAGGAACTGGGGAAGATGACGACTGAGTGGGTCCACAAACTCAGTTGACCCATTGTAAGCAATATTTTTGTCAGGATTTCATATATTACCTGGCTCCTGCTAGCCCCTACTCTACTGGGTGGGCCATGATGAAATGGTGTTTTTAGGTATCAACAGCTACTCCAACCCTGTATCTAATTGTATTTGAAATGCCTGGGTAGTCCTCTTTCCCCAGTGTACATTCACCTAAGTAAGTGACTGCAGGTCCCTTTGACCAAGGAATAGAGAAATTATTAATTTTGTGCTTACTGGAGATTTCCTTCTGGGAACCTTGTTCTTGACTTTTATTGGGATAACTGCACTCAAGCTTCTGCTCCTCCATTCCTGCCTTCTTTTTTTTTTTTTTTTTTTTTTTTAGATGGAGTCTTGCTTTATCACCAGGCTGGAGTGCAGTGGTGCGATCTCAGCTCACTGCAACCTCCGCCTCCCAGGTTCAAGCGATTCCCCTGCCTCAGCCTCCTGAGTAGCTGGGACTACAGGCATGTGCCACCATGCCTGGCTAATTTTTTTGTATTTTAGTAGAGACAGGGTTTCACCATGTTGGCCAGGATGGTCTCAATCTCCTGACCTCGTGATCCACGTGGGTGGGCATGGTGGCTCACCCCTATAATCCCAGCACTTTGGGAGGCCTGCCTTGCCTTCTTCTTGTTGTTAATGTTAAGTACCACCCTATGGTAGCTTGCCCTAAGATACCCCATATTCTATTCACCGTGTCCATAACTCCCTACAGATCAAGACCTCTTGACTGTCTTTCCAACCTTGCCAGTTAATATAATTAACTGTGGCCCCCTGGCTTCTGGGAGTTAAGTGTCACAATTGGCCTCTCTAACTTTGGGGTTCTGTTGATTATGATGGATGTTAAGGAGCCAATTCAGTGACTATGTTTCCTACCATCATCCTGGCCTACACAGGAGAGACCACTGAATGTCTCAGCAATGCATGTCTCACTAGTGTCTTCATAATGGCCTTGGTAAATGGGCCTATGCTGTAAATGGGACAATTTACAGATGATATAGAAATTGAACAAATAAATACAAGATACTAGAAATAATTTTTAACTAATACACTAGAAAACATAAATGAAACTTTAAAATCATAGAAAAATACAACATATCCAAAATGCACACAATAAAATATGACACCTGAAATGTCCTCTAACTATAAATAAATATAACATTAAATCATAGACAGAAATATTTGCACAAAGAAAACCACAAGCCTGGGTGACTTTAAAACTTAGGCCTGGCCGGGCACGGTGGCTCATGCCTGTAATCCCAGCACTTTGGGAGGCTGAGGCGGGCGGATCACGAGGTCAGGAGATCGAGACCATCCTGGCCAACACAGTGAAACCCCGTCTCTTCTAAAAATAGAAAAAATTAGCCAGGCGCAGCAATGGGCACCTGTAGTCCCAGCTACTTGGGAGGCTGAGGCAGGAGAAAGGCGTGAACCCTGGAGGCAGAGCTTGCAGTGAGCCGAGATAGAGATAGCACCACTGCAGTCCGGCCTGGGCGAAAGAGTGAGACTCTGTCTCAAAAAAAAAAAAAAAAAAAAAAATTAGGCCTACAAAAATTCAAAGAATATATGATTCTAAACTTACACAAACACTTTTTGACAATTATAAAAGAGAAAGAAAAGACAAGGACCACTAAGAGGAAAAACGTTGTGCTTCCCAGGCCATCTGAAGAATGTAGGATCCAAGCCTCCAGAGCAGGACCAATTCTTGGAGGACCAAGTAGATACTCTGGTCTTGAGCTCTTCATAAACTTGTGCTTGGACCATCCCTCAAAGGTCCTTCTAATTGGCTGCCTTCTCATTCTTTTCTGACACAAACTTCTCTTGGTGCTTCTTATTGGCCATGTCTTGGAATTCTTGCCAAAATTTACTCGGAGGTGCAGGATAACTAGAAGAAGCTGTGGCTTAAGCCTCAAGAACCTGCCAGAGTACTGGGAGGAGTCACAGTCTAAGTCCCTAGGACTCACAAACTATGTTTTGTGAATGTCCAGCAGATGTATACTTATGTATGAAGCATGAAGAAAACCTCCAAGAGCTTGTCCAACAATTCCCGAGTAGAAAAAAATGTTTCCTGTTTATAGACCCACAGAAAAGTATGGGAATAGCATATGAAGGCTATATCAGGAAAAGCATATCTAAGACTTTAGTTCTAAGAATGGCAGAACAAAAAGATTGTTCCATAGAACAGTGAATTTGAGCCTTCTCGTGTGGGGTTTCCCTATCCCCTATAGCTCTGCAGGGAAACCCTGCAGCTTTATTTGCAAGAAGTGGCAGGTTTGGTTCAGGATTAGTGGAAAACTGCTAGAAATTTAAGGGGGACATTTTGGAGGCAAAAGAGTCATGGAAGAGCTGAAATAATAAACTCTCTACACACCCTCATTCTGACTGCTAAACTACACCATTACAAGTGTGCAGAGGAGGAAAGTGAAAGTCCGAATTTTCTTGAGGTCAGAAGGTGGAAGTCTTACTGACTTGATGTGTCTGAACACACCCTCAGCACTAATTGCTGGCTGACCACTAAACTATGCAAGCACAGGAGAGAGCCCCAAGGGGCCAGGTGTTTTTTAAAAGCCAATCTGAGCAGAGACATCAGCAACTTCACACCATAAAGGAGACAGATTTTGAAGCTTTAGTCCAGAAAATTAAATTGCCCATTAAAACAAACAAACAAGAAAACAATTACCCCCCCAAGACCCCAAATCCAGAATTGCTATTGTGTATTACCTACAATACCCAGGTTTTAACCAAAAATTACTAGACAGGCAAAGAATAGGAAAGTGTTACTCATACTCACGAAAAAAGGAAGTCAATAGAAACTGATTCTAAGCAGGCACAGATGTTGAATTTAGCATACAAAGATATGAAAGTAGCTACTATAAATATATTCAACAAATTAAAATAAATTATATCTTTAAAATAAAGGAAAATATACTAATAATGAGTGAACACATAGGGACCCTAACAGATACATGAAAACTATAAAAATGAATCAAATGGAAATTCTAAAACTGAAAGATACACTAACTAAAATAAAGAAAATTTACTAAATGGCCTCAATAGCAGATTTGAGATAGCAGAGGAAAGGATCAGTGACCTTGAACATAGAACACAGTGAAAAAAGATGGAAGAAAAATGAAGAGACTGAGAGATCTACTGGGAAATATGAACCATTTTATCATATGTCTAAATGGAGTTCCAGAAGAACAGAGAGAAAGAAGCAGGAAAGTATATGAAGAAATAATAACACAAAGTTTCCCAAGCTTGGTGAAAACATTAACTTCCAGGTCCAAGATGCTCAATGTATCCCAGTAGTATAGACACAAAGAAAACCATATCTAGATGCATCATATTCAAATTACTGAAAGCTAATGAGAAAAATCTTCAAAGCAACAAGAAAAATGACCATTTCATATAGGGGAACAATGATGCAATTAATGGCTGGCTTCTTGCCATACAAAATGGACGTCAAAATACGTTGCACAAACATTTTCAAAGTGCATAAAGAAAAAATACTGTAAACTAAGAATTTTATAGTCAATAAAGTTATTCCTCAAAATGAAAGCAAAATAAGAAAATTTCAAGATAAACAAAATGTGAGGAAATCAATCCTGGCAGACATGCACTATGAGAAATGTTGAAGGAGGTCCTTCAGGCTGAAGGGAAAACATATATGACAATAATATTACAAAGAAGAGGAATGTAATGAAGCTATATTGGGGCAAACATATTATCTCTTATTGAAAATAAGGCTACTTAAAGTAGACTATAATAAAATAAAGACACATATATTAATCCCCAGAATAATCACCAAAAATAATTCAAAGAAATATAGCTAAAAGTTAATAGAGGAGTTAAAATAGTACAATAAAAGATATTTATGTAGTGCAAAGTAAGAAATAAAGCAGTTATGGAAGAAAAATGAGAGATTAGACAAATATAAAATAGCAAAAAGTCATAAACAAATCCAAACATATCAATTATTACACTAAATGTGACTGCACTAAATACTTTAATCAAAAGACATAGATTGATACACTGGATTTTTTAAAAAAGATCCAACTGTAATTGTCCACAATTTTTCAGAGTGATAATAGTATTGTAAAACTCATGGTGATAGCTGCATAAGGCATACATTTTTCCAAAACACATCAAACTGTACGCTTAAAAAAAGGTAGATGTTTTCTTCATTGTCTTCTGGCAAAAAAAGGGGGATGTTAGCTTTATATAGATTATACCTCTATAAAGCTGTAAAAAAAAAACAATAAAAAGAGGACATATTCCAAATCATTCTATGAATCCAGAATATCCATCATAACATATTCAGATAAGAATAAAAAGGCAGATATCAGGCCATTCTCACTTAAAAAGTAGATGCAAGAATCCTAAACAAAATATTAACAAAATGAATTCAGCGATGTGTAAAGACAGATGAAACGTCAAGATCAAATTGGGTATATCCTAAGAATGTAAGGCTGGTTGAACCTTTAAAAGTTAGTAAGTACAATCTATCATAGTCATAAATTATAAGAGTAAACACATGGTCGACAGAAGAGACGCAGAAAGAGCATTTGATAAAATATATCATTCTTTCGGATTTAACAAAAATATAACTCTTATGAAACTTAGAATAAAAAGAAATTTCCTTAACATGATAAGTGAAAGAAAAGTAACAGTAAACAACATACTTAATGGTAAAAATGCTTGAGATCAGGAAACATCGAAAAATATCTGCTTTTACTACTCCTTTTCAACATCTTAAATGTGATGAACAACAGTTTCAGTCAGACAAGAGGAATAAGCTTTAGTGATCTATTAAACAGAATCGTGACTATGATAAATAATAATGCATTGTGTATTTCAAAATTGCTAAAAGAGATTTTAAATGTTTTCACCACAAAAAGTGATAAGTATGTAGCGATGGATTTGTTAATTGTCCTGATTTAATCAATCCACATTGTAAGCATATCAAAACATCACATTGTACCTCATAAGTACATATAATTGTTATTTGTCAATTAAAAATAAAAATTTAAAAATATAAATATACAAAGTATAATCCATAAAGGAGAAGATTGATAAAACAATATATGAAAATTGAAAATTTTTTTTCTAAAAAACACTATAAAGACAATGAAGACAAGCCACAAATTGTGACAAGATATTTGCAACTAATATAAACAAAGATTTAGTATTTAGAATGTATACAAAATTCCTACAAATTAATAATACAGAGATTGCCAATTCAATAAAATGGGAAAAATTATGAAAAATTTCACAAAAAAATACTAAGGCTGATAAACAACGAAAAAATTATCAAACTTTTGTATTCACAGAAGTGAAAATTAAAACTACAGTGAGATACCATTTCACAACTTCCAGTTTGACAAAACTTTAAAGATCAGACAATGTTAAGTATTGTTGTTATGAAACAAAAACTTTCATGCTATTAGTAGGAGTATGAGTTATCACAAACACTTTGGGAAACAATTGGCAGTACCTTACAGAACTGAACATATGCATACCCTATGATTCAGCAATTTCTCTATAATATATGCGTTCATAGAGTCATCTCTTGATATATGCAGGGGATTGGTTCCAGGACACCAGAATATCCCAAAATGCACACATATTCAAGTCCTGTAGTTGGCCCTGCAGAACCCACGTATAGGAAAATCTGGCTTTTCATAAACATGGGTTTTGCATCCAGCAAATACTGTATTTTTGATCCATATTTGGTTGAAAAAAACTCGAATATATGTACACAATAATAAACAAGTTTTGCACACTCAAAAGTTCTCTCAGTGGACCCACACAGTTCAAACCCATGTTGTTCAAGGGTCAACTGTATATATACGTACATATATTATATATAATATATGTATATATATGTATATACATACATATGTTCAAACATTCTTGAATATATACACATTTACTTGTGCAAATGTACACAGCTCAAATGCTCATCAACAGTACAACAGATATAAAAATTGAGGTTTGTTCATACAATGGAATAATAAATGGCTGTTAAATTAAGTGAGCGATATCTGTGCATATTCATGTGGTTGTATCTCAAAAATATACTAAGTGAAGGAGATAAGTCATGTGGATTTCATTTCAAAAAATGAAAAACTGGAAAAATTGAACAAGTTAATGTGTAGGGGCTATATATTAATAGGTAGTAAAGTGATAAAGAAAATCAAGGGAACAACTAACACAAAATTCAGGACACTGGTTATCTCTGGTGGGAAGGGAAGGGCATGATAGAGAGAGGGAGTCTAGGAGCCCCTAAGTTCCAGGAAGTGTTCTCTTTCTCATGTTTGAGTGGTGGGTACATCCCAAATTAATTTTTAAATTAAACTGTACATATTTGTTTTATACATTCTTTTGATGTGGGGTAATGAGACCTTTCATACACCCTTGGTGGAAATGTAAAATCATATGTCTCTTTGGGAAAACAGTTTGATAGTCTGTTAAAATGTTAAGCATCACATTAAACCTACCATATGATGCAGCCATTTACTCTTAGATATATGCCACAGAGAAATGAAGGCATGAATCCATACAAACACTTGGAAACAAACATTCAAAGCAGCTTTCTTTGGAATAAGCAGTAACAACTGGAAACAATCCAAATGCCCCCGCGCCTCCTCCACCAACAGGCAAATGGATAAACAAATTACATCCATACATTGAGATGCTACTCAGCAACAAAATGCAATGGAGCATTGATAACACATTATACTCAGCATATTTTGAACAAATCTTGTATTTTGAATAAATCTCAAGACAATCATGCTGAGTAAAGGAAGCCAGATTAAAAAAAGAACATATTGTATAATTCCATTTATATAAAATTCTAGAAAATGCAAACTAATCAACAGAGACAGAAAGCAGTTCTGTGGTTGCCTATAGGGAATTAGTGGGATGGATTATCCAGGGGCAGGAGAGAACTTTTCGGGGTGAAGGACTTCTTTATTATCCTGATTGTGGTGGTGGTTTCATCACTGTGCACATATATTCAATTGTACCCTTCAAATATGTGCAATTTATGTATGCTAATTATATGTTAATAAAGTGATACACAGAATATATTATATATATATAAAAGTTCAGATAATGGGAAATTTTACAAAGAAAAGTGAAATAGGACATATGATAGAGACTCTCAGAATATGCTGCCTTAGAGCCTTAGATAGGATGGTCAGGGAAGGCCTCTCTGAGCAGGTGGCTCAGTGTAATAGCTGTGGCCAGATGGCCTTCCAAAAAAGCTGTAACAATTCATATTTCTACCAGTTACGAATGAGGGTACATTTTACTCCCATTTCCCTACCAGGGGCAAGGACATGTGTCTATTGTTTTGCTGATCTGGTGAGAGATGTCCTTTCTCAATACCTTCTGTTAACCTTGTTATTTACATCAGTCCAAGCTACAAATCTATTTATTATTAATCCAGAGAGACACTCTTCCAGATCTAAACACTCAATCTCTCAAAGGAGCCAAGACGTAGTATGCATACCCTACAGGGCATCCATTTCTCCACACACCTCTCTGTGCTGGCCCGTCAGTGTTCTCCATGTCCTCTGTTATCAGGGCCAACAGCCTTTGTCTCTTTCCATTCAGCCGACCTTACAGCAAGGCAGTCAGGGCTTCCAGAAGGTTCTAAGTGGGTGAGTGAAAGACGGTTGGTTCCTTCTCTCCAATCCTTTGACAGGAGATTTACTTCATCTTTACACAGAAAGAAAAAATATTAAAGAGGGTAGGAAACCGGCTAGTTTAATTTAGGAAGCACCTCAAGTAATTAAGCATTGAAATGTTGCTTCCCTGGTGCAATATTCTCCAGCACATTTTCTTTGATTCAGAGCTAATAAAAATCAACAACAATGTGTTTGGGGGAAGGGCAGAGGATGATGAGTGATGAGGGAAAAGGGGATGTAAATGGGTCGGGAGAGAAGGATGCCAGTTATTTTAGCCTACAAAAAGGATGCATTGTAAGCGACCAATTTCCATGATGGATAAAGATGTGCATGTCATTGTATACAGCCCTGATTCTAGGAGACAATTGTGGACCCTTCTCCAGCTGGCCCACTGGAAGGATCTGACTATTTTGGCTCACATGATCCAATTCCAAGGGAGGGCTCTTATTTCACCTCTTCCCTGCTTCCTTATGCTGAGGAAAGCAGGATTACCGTGGCAATGGAAACAAAATGTTAGAAGGAAGTTGGCTCTGAAAAATATTATAGAATAATTGGTTATTCTACCACTGCTTTCTGCCAAACCACTGTCTTCCCTTGAGAGTCCAGAGTTCTGAATTTAAGAAACAAAATAAATCTTTTTGTTGCTCAGACACCTCTAAATTCATTGGTATCTTTGAGATCCAACACTCTCAGTGAACATATATTGTGTCTGCTGTCTGGTAGACGTTCAGAGCCAGCGCTAAGTCCTGTGGCCCTTTTATAGTGCTATCAATTTGTCATCTGTCCTTGTTTTAAAGACCAGCACATTTTTGCCATGGCCTCATCTCACGATAATGAAGTCTTTGGAAAATTAGCAATCTCAGGCATTTAAACTTGTATGTGCACTGTGAGGCAAGGTGTGGGACAATGACTCCAGCTGCTAAAAGGGGATGTGCAATGATTATACTTACTCAGTAGACTTTATTTTTCGCACTGCCTAGGCTGCCCCTGGTGATAAGTTAGCCATTTAGGAAGACATTTGAACTCTGCAATTCCCAGTGTGTTTCTTAGGTCTTTGTCTGTACTGTGTCCTCATCGGAAACATGCTTCTCTTTGTTCAAGCACTCATCCATTAGCCAAAGATATATTTTTCCTTTGACATTTATAGTCTCCCCTTCACATATTGAGCATTTTAGGCATTTAGGTTACAAGATATAATACAAATAGTCCTTATGATGGAGAATCTGAGAGTTTAATGGAGAAGATTGGGAGATACACACACACAAACACACACACACACACACACACACATGCAATGGCTAAGAATATAGGCTTTGGCATCACGTGACTTGGGTTGTAATCCCATCTCTGGCACTTATGGCCTTGACTAAGTCATTTAATCTTTCTAAGCTTCAAACTCTCATTTATAAGATGGAGATTCATTCATCTAACAAATATTTGTTGAGGGCCCACTTTGTGCCCAGCACAGGCCTCGTACTAGGAATCTAACTTTGGACCAGCCAGACAAAAATCCCTCCCAAGTGCAGCTAGCATTCCGATATTAACAGACAGATTGAAAGTTAAACAACAGAGACATAATACGCCAGGTAGTGATAAGTGCAATGAAGAAAAATAAAGCAGGGTGAGGGGATAGTAAATGGAGGAAGATGCTGTTTTTGGTAGGTCAGAGAAAGCTCTCTGAAGAGGTAGCACTGGACAGAGATTTGAGTACGTTGACAGAGGGTCGCTGTGACAATCTGGGAGAAGAGCATTCTAAGGCAGGCCCTGAGATGAGAGAGCACACCTGTCATAGTCAACCAATAGCAAAGTGGCCAGGGAGCTCATGGTCACAAAAAAAAAAAAAAAAAAAAAATTGGGCATTTGGAAAGAGGTGAGAAATGTGAACAACAGAAATGGATCAAAGGTTAGGTTAAGCTAGTAGAGGAGACTTCTAGTGTGCAAATGTGCCAAAAATTGCCCTCACTCTCCCCTTAGCAGCCTGGTCTCCCTCTTACTCCCACAACTACAGGTCCTGATAGTACTGGAATGAAAATTTTTGTGATAAACCTTGGAGGCTTGCAAATCTTTTAGATTGATGTCCAGAAAGAAAAGAAGATATAAGTAACAGAGAGAAGCTGAACTCCAGAGCAAAAGACCAACCTGAACCTGAAACCTTTCCCACAATACTCTTTAAGTTTTCCTACTCTGTGAAATAGCTACTTACACTGCCTGAAATTCTACTAAAGATACATATGTATCACTATATGCCCTCTCTCAAAAGAAGAAAACTCTCAAAATGTGACTAGAAGTGTTACCTAGTCATTTGCACATGAGTATAAATTAGTGTGTTCATCTTTCTTTCTAACATCTAGCTGACATCATTTTCTCTAGAAGAAAGAGTATTTCAGTTAAGGGTAAAAGATAATAAGTAACTCTTTATGTTTTTTCATGTATTTTGTTCTACTTTATATTCCTGCTGCTTCTGAAAAAAATTTGAGGCAGCAAATATTTTTAAATTTTGAAGATTTGTGGAATAAGATGGACTGATTCCACTCTTTCTTCTACCACTTCTGCCTCCTCCACACAAAATAGTGATGCTATCTATAGCTGAAGGTATAGTTGGAACATGTTTGGAGGTTTGGAGACATTGAATTAAAGTGATCCCTGAGAACATAGAAAGTAAATTGTTTCCCACTAGTTATACTACAAAATCCGCACATGTTGGATAAGAGCAATACTACATCAACCTAAAACAAGCCAACAAACAAACAAATAAAAAAAAACCAGAATGGCTCCCAGGCTACCAATTTTGGCTCTGATCTGATTGAAGACATCATCATAATTAAAGCAACAATGTATCTGGCAAAAAATAATAATAATAAATAAGAAAAGCCAGAAAGCCCAGAAAAGAGAATGTGAAAGAAGCAACTCCCAAGCCTTGATTATGCAGAATGCCAGAAGAGAGACTAGTAGGGTCTAAAGTTGTCCTGTCTAGTCCTGTGACAGTTGATCCCTGATCTAAGTGAGGCTCAACACAGTTTTCTGATTGCACTCCAGCTTCCCTTGCAGATTTGCTTCCAGGGAGGAAATGCACTGGTAGCAACATGCTTGATAGCCAGCAATTTTTTTAACTGCCATTCTGGTTGGCACATCTAGCTGGTATGAGTCTGTTTAACCTGAGTCAGACCCTGAACTCCAATCACTTCTGACTCTAAGGCCACAAGAGGCTGTGTGCACATGACCTGATTATTATGAACTGTGGCCCAGGACTAGAACTGTATTAATAAAGAGAGGGAGAAAAATCTTCCCCCTCCAATTTCTCCTCCTGTCCTCCCCTACTGTCCCCCACTAGTCCCCTCTTCTGCACCGACACATATTCTATTCCTAGATCCCTCATTTGTGTTACAATTCAGCTTCATTATAGATAAAGTGGCTTCTGGGGATATCGTGAGACCTTCTCTCCACTGTTATTTCTCTGAGAAAAAAAAAAAAAAACATTGTTAATTCCAATGTCTGATTTTCAAATAAATTTTGGACCATGACCCAGTTACAATGTGGGGACATTTTGTTCCTGTAAATTGGTCTTTCTAGCCAGTGTCTGGGAGCTGGCTGGGAAATGTACTTAGTAAATCACTCCCAGTGGTTTGGGAAAGGACAGAGAAGGTTCTAGAAGAGATGAGTCAGGCAAGGGGGTGGGCAGCACAGAGGGGAAAGGAACAAAGAGCCAAGCAATATTCTGAAAACAGAATTTGTACCCAGCCAGAAATAACTGTCTGATCAGGCCTAGCTAAAGGCTTTCTGAAATGACAAAGCAAATATTAACAGAGAATTCTTTAAGAGCCTCTCTCAGTGAACACAACATTTTTTTGGTGATAAGCCAGGTGGGTTTATGAATAATACACTTTGCCAAGCAATCTTGATAAGACCTCATTCTCCCCTGCAGGGCTGGAGAGTTGAGAACTGAAGCTTTTGTATCTCAACAAGAATATAGCACCTGACACAGGGACCCATCTCCCTGTACTCACCAAACAGCTTGAGATGAACATGATGCCTGTCACAAGGATGCTAAAAAGCCCAAAGGACATTCTTTAAAAAACCGAAGGAAAATGATCAGCTTCCTTTCAACCCCCTACATGGAAATGGTGGACTTGGGCAAGAATAGCTCAATACTTAGCCAGCTGCTTCTTACCTAACTGGTGTGTGAGTGAATGTGAGTTTCTGTTTGGCAGGTGCAGGGATCTCGGATGAACCAGAAACTGTCAAAAGAGAAAAACTCGTGCAATGTTGTTGCTGCAATCCTTCTATCTTAAAATTAAGCATGTGGTTCCTTTACAAAGGGATTATAACAGCAGCTTTGTCAGAGTGCCATGATTATACATATTGAGAACTACATTCATTCATCCATTCATTTAACAAACATTTATTGGCTGTACTGTGTTCCAGGATGCAACAGGCCTAGGAGAGGCAACAGAAGGTACACAGTTGCAACCTTGTAGGAAAGAAGGAGAGTACCCAGGAGACTTTGAAAGTACAGAGGATGGACATAGAAGGGGAGTGAAAACAGAGATTGTCCCAGCCAAGTTCAGTCCCAACTGGTCAGTCATTTATAGCGTAGAAAAGAGCGGTACCTCCAAAAAGGGGTGGGGCAGAAAGGCTGGATCTGATACTGTCTGGGAAAAGCAAACGAACACTCAAAAAACTGAACCCAAACAAGCCACAGCAAGTAAATACACACACAGGATGACCAACTTGCAATATGCACATTGTGGAGGAGAGGAGAGCAATGTAGGACTCTGACAGGAAGGCAGGCCGGAATGTGACCCAGAGTGACGGAAGCCAGAGCTTTCACAGGGAGAACAGAGATTAGCCTGACAGGGTCAGAATCTCCAGCTATTTTGACAGTGCTTGTCAATATTTATTTGTTCAAAGTGTCCCCTCCACTTGAGAGAGTTGATACAGTTTCCGAAATCTGACAACTAAGAAGCTGGCAGGGTAGTCCCGGAACAGCAGTGACTATTTTCAGCATGGGGTTAGGGGAAGCACTCCAGCTCTGAGGTCAGAGTTGAGTTTCTAGCAAAGCTCTGCCACTCCTTGGTCCTCAGTGTCCTCATCTGTACAATGGGGAGAATAATAGAATTGCTTCAAAGCAAGGATTAAATAAGATAGATTCTGTACCAAGCTTACCATGTCGTGAATAGCCAGCCTGTGTTAGCCATTATCATTGCCAGCAGTAAAGGAGAGCTATTAAAATTTGTTGTCTGGGGAGACAGCAGTGCCCTGGTGTCACAGCCACATGGTTTTTAGGCAAAACAGAAATCAGCCAGGAAAGGGGAATTCTGCATCCCCCTCCTCTGTGGCTCCTCATCTGCCGAAGCCCCTTCCCCTGGGACCACACTAATTTAGCAAGAAATGTGACTGTTGAGCCCAGAATCCTACCTGCCCATTCCCCAGATCCATGCACACACTTGCAGATAGACTTCAGGGCTGCTGTAATAGAGACTAAGGTAAGGAAGGAAGAAACAGAAAGCAACCCTCCAGTATGAGGGAAAGGAAAAATGCTGAGATTTGGTGAAAAGAAAAAAAACCCACCTCTACAGATCGAACACACCATCATAGAACAAGAGCCAGGATACAGAAAGGCTTCCTGAAGTCACTGAGGGGAGGGAAACTGAGGCTTATTAATGTAATGGGACTTCAGTTAAATGAAGGGCCACCTCAGTGACAGGCACTGAGGACCTGTGTCCTGGCAAGGCTTCATCCACAGTTCCTGCAAAGAGCAAGAGCAACAGGCCAGGAACTGTCCAGAATGTAGAATTAGGAATGGCCAGAGATCTGGTGAAGAGAGATGCAGAGGATCTGGAAAGTGCTCTGGGGTTGCCAGCCAAAGATGCAAAGAGGACAGGGAGAGTGGGTGGCAAAAGGCATGGCTCAGTTATCTCCCTGCGGGGGGCAAGGGCAGGAGGGGACACAGGCAGTGAGCACATCAGCTCTGACTCACAGGAACGGTAAAAAGGATCCACACTAATTAGTTTGGGGATTTTCTTCTGAATTAATTTATTTGATAAGGATTTCTCTGAGAGTCTGGAAATTAATCTGCTATGGTCTGAATGTTTGTGTCCCTCCAAAATTTATGTGTTGGAATCTCAACCCCCAAGGTGATGGTATTAGGAGGTGGGGCCATTGGGAGGTGATTAGATCAACAGGCCTTCATGAGTGGGATTAGTGCCCCTATAAAAGAGGCCCCAGAGAGCTGCCCTGCCCCTTCCCCCATGTGAGAATACAGCAAGAAGGCACCATCTATGAACCAGAAAGCAGGCCTTCACCAGATGCTGAATCTGCTGGCCCCTTGATCTTGGACTTCCCAGACTCTAGAACTGAGAGAAATAAATTTCTGTTGTTATAAGCTAACAAGTTTATGGCATTTTGTTATAGCTGCCCAAATGAACTCAGACACACATATTGGAATTGAGATGTAAGAACTAACTCAGACAAAGCATCTCAGTCCACTGTCATGTGTAACGGCTCCCAGTCCCTACCCCATTCTAGGGAATAGAGGACATCACCTTCAGCCCAATGCCAAGACCTGCCCAAGCAGAGCCACTCTCAGGTACTTCATGGCTGGAAAGAAGGAATGTGGTATTTGGATTCACAAGGCCTTATCAGGCATATCCAAGGGTTAGGAACAAGAACTTTTGGGCTCTCCTCTTGCATCTTCTAATAATCTGAAGACTCCATTAGAGTCAAGGTGACCAGCCAAAACATCTGGAAGAAGATGCCCAGAGATGATAGCAGAATTACAAAAAGAAAATAAATACGTGCTACAAATGGTCCCTAATTGAAGTTTTTAATCATGTCCCTCAAATTCCTAGTTTCTTCCTTAACCAAAGGGTATGAATCAAGTTAAGCATCTTGACATAGAGATTCTTAGCATAGAAACCTCCTTATGAGCATACAATGGTCAAAGAGAAACCTGGCATAACCCTCATCCCTGCATCCACCCCACATTCTAGCTTTAGGCTATTTCTTTCTTTTCTTTTCTGTTTTTGACTCTTGATCTTTTCACAGTTTATTCTTCTTGTACTTTTTTATTGATATATAATAGTTGTACATATTTTGGGGGTGCATGTGATATCTGGATCCCTGTGTACAATGTGTCATGGTCAAATCTGCATAACTGGATGCCCATCACCTCAAACATGTATCTTTTCTTTGTGTTGGAAACATGATAATTCTTCTTTCCTAGTTATTTTGAAATATACAGTAAATTATCTTTAACTATAATTTCCTTACTATACTACTGTATACTAAGCTATTTTTAAAGCCAGGACTCTCCAGACTTGGGAACATTTTCAAATAGAAAATAGTGGATGTGGCCGGGTGCGGTGGCTCATGACTGTAATCTCAGCACTTTGGGAGGCCGAGGCGGGTGGATCATGAGGTCAGGAGTTCGAGACCAGCCTGGCCAATATGGTGAAACCCAGCCTCTACTAAAAATACCAAAATTAGCCAGGCATGGTGGTGGGCACCTGTAGTCCCAGCTACTCGGGAGGCTAAGGCAGGAGAATCACTTAAACCCGGGAGGCGGAGGTTGCAGTGAGCCGAGATCACACCATTGCACTCCAGCCTGGATGACAGAGCAAGACTCTGTTTCAAAAAAAAAAGGAAAGAAAGAAAGAAAATACTGGATGTACTGTACTGCATTCTCCTAGAACCTATCCCAGACACTTGACCTTTGCTGGGACCCCATAGTCATTAATCCTGGGGGAGGCATGGAAGTGCTAGGATGGGTCTCAAACAGTGAATCTAGATGCTTGATAGATGCCAACTACAATGAATTCAGTATGGGACTTTTCTTTTTCTTTTCTTTTCTTTCTTCTTCTTCTTCTCTTTTTTTTTTTTTTTCAAGATGGAGTTTTGCTCTTGCTATCTAGGCTGGAGTGCAATGGCATGGTCTCAGCTCACTGCAACCTCCACCTCCTGGATTCAAGCGATTCTCATGCCTCAGCCTCCCGAGTAGCTGGGATTACAGGCATGCGCCACCAAGCCTGGCTAATTTTTGTATTTTTAGTAGAGACAGGGTTTCACCATGTTGGTCAGGCTGGTCTCGAACTCCTGACCTCAGGTGATCCACCCACCTCAGCCTCCCAAAGTGCTGGGATTACAGGTGTGAGCCACCACGCCCAGCCTGGCACAGGATTTTTCTTCTCCTAACTCTCTGCTTATAAGTAAAGATGAAAAAGAGCCCCAGATTAGTCAGTGAGCCCTCATCTCTTGTCAAATTCTCTTCATAGTTGTTCACAGATACTCTCCCCATTTTCATATTTGTACAGCTTGTTACCATGGGAACATCTTGGTCCCCTCCCATTCCCATGCATCCTGCCCAGAGGATGTGTAGGCGTGATACAATGGTTGCTGAACTTAATGAACACAATCTGGTACATAGGCATACTTGGGCCCTTTGGAATTCCAAGGCACCAGTGGATGACACAAGTAGAGGAAGCAGTAAGGTGCATCTGGAAGGCAAGACCTTCCTAATCTTGCTTTTACATCTACATTAAGGTTTTCAGAAATAGTAGAGCATTGATTGTACATTCAGAACTGACATGTTCCTTGGAAAGATCTCTTCCCTCTCATAATTCATAAAGTAGAAGCTACATTCTGAAACCTGAAAGAAGCTATTTCTAAAAGCAGAATCTTTGCGATACGGAATTTAAGAACTTCTGATGATTTTAAATGAGTAAGATGCTGCAATATTATCTTAGAAGAATGCATTATCAGAAAATATTCTGAGCCAAGAACACTTTGCAGAATTCCCCAATAGATGAGACATGTCAGACACCCATAGACTGAGAGCAATAAAGTGTAAATAATTTAGACCTCCTTGATATTATCCTGCCTGCTCATAACGTGTCTTTAATAATTAATTCAGCTCAACCTTCAAAAAAAATTATCCCTATGTAACTTAAATCACATCCTCTGTTTTGCCTGTTAACAATAGGAGATCATTTCCCATTCGGGACTTGTCCTTCCCAAGTGAGGTGCATTTATTTACGCATGAGACATCTTCCTGCTGTTGTTGGTTTTCACGAATGTATTCTGCACATGCTCAGTGAACATCATGATTCTGATCAGATTCTCTTCCAGGTACTCACCATTGTCTGGAACTGTTTTAGTGTTTTATATCTACTGACATAATTTCCACAGTAACCCTATGACTTTTCTATTTTACAAATGAAGAAAATGGTTCAATAATTTAAATAAAATGCTCCCATCACACCTGTCTACCCCCAGCACTGACAGATCATTGCCTGGCACAGTCACATGGGAACAAGGCTGTATATAACTCATATCACAGTGTATAAAGGGTTCATATTGTGTAGAAAACGTGTCTTATTTTAAAAGAAGCTGGTACCTTTAAATATCTGATTATTGAGTCCTACTAAATCATTCACACATAGAAAGCCTTGAGGGGTGGGGAAAGGGAAGTGACAAGGTATTTGAAAATAGATAAGGTATAGTGACATCAAATAATTCAACATAAAAGGCAGAGGGACACCAGTGGCAGGAGATTTAGAGGTGGAGAGAAGGGAAGTGGAGCATGCTTATGTTTTGTCAAATGCAGTTATCTGTAGAAATGGAAATTATTCCAAGAACGTCAGAGAGAAGAAGCTGCTATAGATGGAAGGGACAGAGCTGAGCAGAAATCCTTCAACCCAAAAAAAGAATCAGATTGGGTAAATTCATGACACTGTGACTCCAAGTAACTTATCCACAGCCGGGTGGCATCTGCATGGTATTTATGTCCTGAAACTTTGCCTCTTAAAGATGGCTGAGAAGGCCAAAACAGAGGCATCACAAATTAAGGAACCACATAGTATACTCTTTTATTGTATATTTTATTTTCTGTTTCAGTTGCAGATGCTATTAATTTGTGGGTCTTTTCTTTTCTTTAGAGACAGGGTCTCACTCTGTTGCCCAGGCTGGAGTGCAGTGGTGCAGTCATGGCTCACACTGCAGCCTCAACCTTCTGGACTCAAATGATCCTCTCACCTCAGCCTCCCAGGGTAGCTGGGACTACAGGCATGTGCCACAATGCCTGGCTAATTTTTTATTTTTTGTAGAGACAGGGTCTCTCTATGTTACCCACGCTGGTGTCAAACTCCTGGGCTCAAGTGATCCTCCCACCTCAGCCACCGAAAGTGCTGGGATTACAGAGTGAGCCACTGTGCTTGGGCTGTGCTTTTTTTCTAAATTGAAGTATAAAATAAAAAAAATAGTGCAATGTGTAAAGTACAGGAATCTTGTGTGTCTAGCTTAATAAACTTTTACATACACATGCACACACACACACACACACACACACACACGTTAATGTAACCAACATCTAGATCATGATACAAAACATTTCTACCATCCCAGAAAGCTCCCAGGCAATACCCACCAGCCTTCTCCAAAAGTAAAGACTATTCTTACTTCTAATACCCTAAGTTAGTTTTGCCTGTCCTTGGTAAATAATATAAATAAAATTGGACTGTATGTGCTTTTGGTTCTGGCTTTTTTCACTCAACATAATGTCTGTAAGATTTACCTACACTATCATGTATTTCAGTAGTTTGCTCTTTTAAATGGAAGTTTCATATTCCATTGTATAACCAGATGCATAATTTATTTATTTATTCTCCTGTTGATGGACATTTGCTTTGCTTCCAGCTTAGGACTATTATGAATAAAGTTGCTATGAAAATTAAGATGTAGGTTTTAAATGAATGAATGCACTCATTTCTTTTTCATATATACCTAAGGGTGACATATCTGAGTGACAGGGTAGGTATATGTTTAATGTTAGTTAATGCAGCTGGTAGGCACTGCAACATGGCCCTCAGATTCTCCTGCAGGACATTCCCCCCAGCTGCAGGACTGCTGCCAGCTCCCAACCCTCTTTGGGAATTGCTTCAGCTGAAGAACTTGCTTCTCCTTCAGCTCATTTCTATAACCACATGGGGTCCCTTATGACCAGATGACAAGAGAAGGAAAAAGTCTAAACTCAGTTCATAGATGAGTTGATTTGGATTTGAGCATAAGCCAAAAATGACTGATGGTTCACACTGACAGGTGAACTTGTAGACAGTGGTGAGGGGGAATCCTCTTAATGAACAGATCTTTGGGCAGTGAATCTGGTCATCTACTTTATGTGACAAGAGAAGTAGCCAGAGGATCAAATACACAAAGATTTCATGAGCAGTGACAAATGGCTTAGTCAGCTGATCAAAGGTTTAGAAAGGAGAAAGATAGAAAGATCAGAAAAAAGAAGTCTTGGGTAGAGAAATGGACATATGGGAGGGAGCATGAAGAGTGAAAATCTTCGTATTGCATGTTAACACCTACCAGAGAGCACTCACCATGGAAAAACAATAAAAAATCAAAGAGACAAAAATGACTCAACCAGTTGACATCAGCCACCCCTATCATTGGCCATGCCAGAGCCAGCACAATGGGCACAAGAATGGGGTAATCATAGTGGTGGGGATGGAGACTATATATGGTACCAACAGGATGCCTCCCACTTACAAAGGCTGATCTTGCTAATGCTGCTGTCAAATGTCCAACCTGCCAACAACAGAGGCCAATGATAAGTCCCTTAATTAGGTCAACCAGTCACTTGGTAGCAGGTCAATTACATTGTACCCCTGCAAGTTAATGAATGAAATTAAGGGAGTGTTTCATTTTGACAGTAATAGATACATATTTGGATATGGATTTGTCTTTCTGCCCACAGAGTCTAAACCAACTCCATTACTCAAGGGTTTACAGAGTGAGCCACCACTTTAAAGCAAAGAGTCTGTGTGAGTGTCCACATCACTATGGGATCCACTAATTATATCAAATACCACATAACCCAGAAGCAGTCAGCCTGATAGAGATGGAATGACCTATTGGAGACACAGCAGAAGTGCCAATTTGGATGTGGTATCCTGCAAGGATGGAGCGTACACTCTAATCAATGACCTTTATATGGTGCTATGTTCCTAATAGATTGAATATATTGGTCCAGGAGCCAGGGGATGGAAGGGGGAAAGGCCTCACCTAACATGACTCCCAATGACATACTGAGAGATTTTGTGTTTCTTATCCCTGCAACTCTGGGCTCTGTAGGTTTAGAAGTTCTACAGAACTTCTAAACAGAAACTTTGGGCTCTACAGAACCTTTGGTTCTGGCTTTTTCCGTTCAATGTAATGTCTGTAAGATTTATCTACATTATCATGTATATCATTATATACTAGGGAACACAGTAAGAATACCACTAAACAAGCCTGGAAATTTTAGGCTCATTCTGCCAAGAGACCAGCTGTCAAGAAAAGGAACCACTATACTGACAAGAATAATTGGCACAGATCATCAAGAGGAGGGCAGGAAGGAATCTTATTTACACCAGTGTAATCCATTTGGGTATCTCTTAATACTCCTATGCCCAGTTCTGGTGGCAAAAGGACATGTGCAGCAACCCTGGCCTGAGAAGGGAATGGTAACCAGGGACTTGGCTCTCTTGGAAATGAGGTTCTGGGTCATACCATCAAATAAGCCATTGATACCCCAGAGGAGCTTACTGGGGATGAAAGAAATCTAGATTGGGTAGCAGCAGATGGGGAGGATGAGCCTCATTCCCAGCTGAAATATCAAAGACTACAGTTTGTTCAAGAAGAAGTCCATCAGGATTTTGGAAGAGCTACACTCCAAGCCTCATGATGAAGTGAATCCAATTGGTACAGGGGTGGACCACAGTGGCACTGTGAGGTGTTACCCAGGTCTCCCTTCATAAATGAAGACTATTTCACCAGCTGTTGGGAGACAGCCCTCCATGGTCAGTCCTCTTCAAGAATCTCCTTGGCTGAGAAGAGGTGCCTCAGCGAAGGTCACACCTTCTTCCTTCTTCCCAGGCCAGCCCACATCCAATGACTGATCAGCACAGAAGTATAAAACAAGTCCCCTTGATCCAGATCAGAAAAATTCTGAATGGTCATTCCAGGGTTAGAGTTCCTTGTAAGGTCACCTGAAGTCTTTCCTGAGACTGCCTGTATATCAACTCTTCTCTCTACCCAATCCTCCTTTCTTCTTTTCTTTTTCCTTTCCTTTCCCAAGTGTTGGTCCCAAAAGTACTTCCCAATAAACTTCCTACATGGCAATCTTCATCACAGAACTTGCTTCCTGGAGAGTTCAACCTCCAGAGTTTTCCCAAGTGGCTGACCTAATTTACACTTCCATATACAATAGACAGAAACTCTAACTGTACTATATCCTCATCAAACTCTATATTGTATGTATTTTACAATTAAAATTAAATTTAAATTTAAATTTTGCCATTCTGATGGGTATGCAGTGAAATTTAAATTTTGCCATTCTGATGGGTATGCAGTGAAATCTCATTGTGGTTTTAATTTGCATTTTCCTGATGACTGATGATGTTGAGCACCTATTCAAATGCTCAGTGGACATCTGAATATCCTCTTTTGCCCATTTGTATTGATTTGTTTGTCTTTTTCTTATTGATTTGTAGGAATTCTTTAAATATTTGGATGTAAGCTGTTTGTCAGATAAATGTATTGCAAAAGATTTTCCCAGCCTGTGGCTTGCCTTTTCAGTCTTTTAATCACAGTATGCTGTAGTGTTTTTTTTAAAATACTTTTATTTTGGAATAATTATAGATTCACAGGACATTGCAAAAATAGTACAGAGAGGTCACCCAGTTTCCCCCAATGGTTACATCTTACATAACTACAGTACAATATCAAACCCAGGAAACTGGCATTGGTACAATGTGTGTATAGTTTTATGCCATTTTATCCCATGTGTATCACTGCAATTCAGACACAGAACTATCCCATCTCTGCAAGGATCTCCTTCATGCTATTCCTTTATAGTCTCACCCATCCCCTTCTCCAGCCCCCCATCATCTGTAACCCCTGGTAATCACTGCTTTCTTCTCTATCTGTACAATTTAGTCATTTCAAGAATGTTACATAAATGGAATCATAAAGTGCACGATTTTTTGAAACTGGCTTTTTTTTCCACTCAGCATAATGCCCTTGAGTTCCATCCAAGCCATTTTTACATGTAGAAAACTTATGTTACTTATACTACTTTGCATTACTTGATTATTTTTGTTCGATAAGGGAATAAACCAGTTTGTTTCGTTACTATAAATAGATTTTTGTCTTTCATGTAAACATACCAAGATAATTCCCGGGGATTTAAATATTCAGCCCTAGGTGCCAGACACACTGTCCGCAGAGGAGGCCCACACACTACCCACATCTGGTGGGCCAGGGAAAGGGACACCATGAACTTGCGTCCCACAAGTCACAATTATGGCTTCCATTATTGCCGGTGGTCCACAGGGGCCTCTGCATTCGTGTTACCAGTGTGGAAGAAGGAAATACAATAGAATCAAAACCGCTCTTTTTATGGTTCAAGGATAGTGAGAAAAACAGATGACTCATTTTGCTTTTAAGAATGATGAAACACACAGGTTTCAAAATGGGACATATTAAGAACCTCATTTGTTACGATCACTTTCAGGAGAAATTGGAATATCCTTTCTGAATGCAAAAGTGTCCAGTCCATGCTGCTCACTTTATTGCGGGAGACAACATTCTCTGAAGTCTAATTTCCCTTTCCGACTTCCATTCCTCTGCAGCTTCCTGTTCCAGGGCACCATGTCCTCACGCCTTCTCTAAGGTGTCTGCCATAAGCGCTAAATCTCAAGCAGTTCTGTGGCTGCGCATGCTAATCAACAGCCTGCAAAACATCTCTGCCTTTCACTTTGAAAGGGACACACTTGGTGGTGTTTTATTTCAGTTGATTCTCTTTGTATTCAACTGCATATTATAATGTCACAGAAGATATTGACAGAATATGACAGAAGGTTATCGATGCAAGAAGTGGCTGCTGCCTTTCCTTTCAGTTGGAGCAGTGGTGGTGAGGGGGAGGAGGAACAAAGGGGCTTTCTAGGGTGCCTGGTAAGTGTGCAAGGAAGAGAATGTCTAGGATAGCTTGGGTAAGTGTGGGGCTACACTGGGAGATTGCACTTTGGGCAATAATAACAAAGAGTGCCTGGTGGCCAAGCTTCATGGACAGTGGAGCTGGAGGGCCATTTATCAGTACTCATTTAGGTGTTACCTTGAAATTACATCCAGATTCTAACCCTTTTTTTTTTTTTACTCTCTCTACCACTTCCATCTTTCTCTCAGCCATCATCATCTCTTGCTGATGGGGTTACTGAAATGGCTTCCTGTTTCTACCATTGTGTGTCACCCTCCTACCCTCTCCCAAGAAGCCAGATCTTTTAGAAAATTATGTCACTCTTTTGATGAATATCCTTCAGTGGCTTCCTATCTCACTTAGAATAAAACCCCAAATACTTCCTCTGACCAAAAGCACCTATGTATTTCTCTGAGCCTCTTCTCACATTCTCCCTCTTGTTCCAGACATGCCAGCCTCCTTGCTGCTTCTTGGACATATGAAGACACTCCCACCCCATGGCCTTTGCCTTTCCCATCAAGCATTGTCCCTCTTTCAAAATGTTATAGATGTAAACTCATCAGTAAAGAGACGTGTTAGCAATGTGTGTCTCCAAAGGTACAATTTTTGAGAGTCACTATTCCTTTGTGCTTTTAAAAATGTTTCTAATTATTTTCAATGAATACCATGCGTTCATTTTTGTAACTGGAAAATAAATATAAAATTAAAAATCAAGATCTTAAAAAGACAGTGTTGCCTATTTCAACATTGTTGATTAAACCCTTTTAAAAGGGCTATCACGTAGGTGAAGTCTCCGCATGCAGCCCAGATAGTCGATCCGCATTTGGGGCCCACAAAAAGCCCACAGGTCTTCTCCAGGTCCCATCCTCCCATCCTCTTTGCCTCATCCTCATTTCCCTCAGGAAACAATCACCACACCAGGATGGGGATAACTAATCTCTGGGTGAAGATTCTGACTCACCAAATTGAATTGCAATGAAATGCTTTTTAATATATAATCTAGGATGATGAGTAAATAGTTATTTTCCTCTTGTGAGGAACATTACCTGCCATTCTAAAAATTAATCTTATTTAAGAGATGCTTAAAATATGGAGCAATAGCACAGCGTTTCAGACCAAGCAGTTAATGAGTAATTAAATCCGTGTGAATTATGAATCTCGATTCTTTCAACGCTATTTTCCTTTAGAGCTATTAGTTACTCTCTTTTTTTTTTCCTCAGATGCTACAGAGATTTACATTCTGGCTTTTCAGAATTCTCTTTGTAAAATGGAGAAAATGCTATTGGCCAACTTGAATGTAATATATACAACCAAAAAATTCTTTAGGTACAGTAGATAAAGCTCAGGATGGCATGGTTGAGAGGTTTCCATAAGGTTTGGTAGGCTAGCGTGAAGAGCGTGCAAAAAAAATTATTTCTACTTTTTTTGGAAGAAAAAAAAATGGCAGTGTATCAGGCGCCATAGCATTGCTAACAGCACTAGTTCCCACTTCATTTTTCAACTTCACATGTTCCCTAGAAGATAATTGGACAAAGCACTGTGGCATGAGGTAAGAGGTGGAGTATGGAGATCCATTCATCGTGGATTTTATTATGGATTTTATTCAAACCTTTTGTGTATGTCTTTGAGGCTCTTCAGAAATATTAAACTGAAATCTTGCTTTTAAATGTCAATGGTCTTTAAAAAAATGTCAATGGTCTTTATATCACTCTGCAGTTTCATCCGTTCCTTGGCGAGATCTGTAGAGTGGAACAGACTGTACGGCCTTTGTTCGCCTCCAGGCCCTATCCTGTGTTTGCACCTGTAACTCCCTCTGTGTTGCCCCGCCCAAGCCTCAGGAGCTTATGACATAAAGAAGGTGAAGCTTTTGTTGGAGTCAGCCTAACTGAGCTGTGCCATGCTTTGAAACAGGCTGGGCATTATCATGGGACAAGCTCTGCCATTTAAACAACTCCTTCAGACTGCTGCAAAATGTATTGATTTTGCTTAAGACGAACACCAAATATGGATGGTTTATCTCTTTTTCTTTAGGGAGTTGGACTTTTCAGCCACCTTGGGTAGCCCCAAACCTCTACCTTCCCTCTTCAGAAATGGTCTGTGCCCCCATTCTTCCTACCATAACACCTACCAACTCTACCATGGTGGCCTGTCGACAGTCCAGGGGCCACGTTCATCTTGTTCACTGTTGTAATCCAGAATCTGGTACAGAGTTTGGTGCACAAAGATGCTCAATACATATTTGTTGTATAAACAGAGGGGTGAATTAACAATCAAATGATGTCACATCTCCTATGCAACTCCCAACAAACAAAGCCAACACTATGCTTTCTCCAACTCTCCCTCCATGTTGCTAGCAGCTCTATACTATGCTCATATATGATCCACTTGGAGGAGGAGGCTGGAACCTGCCAGACTGCCCACATCAGCTCCTCATCACTTCGGGTTTGGTCTCTGCATTTGCAAAAGCACAGATTCTGTCACTTTTGCCCTGGCCTTTGACCTTTGCATAGTAACTCATGATGATATAAAAACTAAAGCAAGGGCTCGGTAATGTGTAAGCAATATGCTAACCAACTAGTGACTCAACGTTTACTAGACATGTACCTCATGCACTGGTACTGGACATGTGCCTCAGCACTGCTATATAAGCTGTCATGGTTGTTCCTTTTCGTTACCAGTGGTGGCTGCATGAGGATGGTGGTGTGCCCTTGGCTGGCATGAAGTAGGGTGCCCAAGAAGCTTCATATTCTACTCTTTGTTACTTGACTCTATTTACCGCTGGGCTCTAATACTACCATGTACTCCTGAATTTTTATTGCACCTGGATATCACTGCCTATCCTCCAGCATTCATTTTACAGCCAGGATTTCACTTTGAACATGATTTAAATGTGATGGACACCCCCACTGCCATCATGGCAGCATAGTGGCATACACGAACTGCTAATGTCAACAACATCCTTTCTTTTTATGAGTGGCCCCTCAGACACTTGGTCATGACTTGGGGTAGTTCACAGATTATTTTGTCAGCCAAACAGTTTTCGGTTGGATACTTTGTGTTTAAAATTAATAATTAGTAATGGTTTTTATTTAGCACTGAGAAATATATTTTCACTGGTTATATACAAAACAACCACATAATAATATCAATGATAATAACCACTATTATATAGCACTGACTTTGTGCCAGACATTGCTCCAAGTGTTTTACAACTTAACTCATTTCCTTCTCATTAGAGTCCTATGTGGTAGATATTATTATAATAATTGCCATTTACAAAGGAGCAAACTGAGACACAAAGAGGTAAATAACTTACCAAACACATCTAGTAAGAGGCAGTCAGAATGCAAACCCAGACAATCTTAGTCTGAGTCCAAGCTGTAAAACCCTATACTTCAACACTTACCTAAGACAGTAAGCAATTATTACACTGCCCCATTCTTAAATCTTAATGTCTCTAACCTATATATTCTCCCATTACTCATCTACATCTCTCCGCTTTTTCAAACTTATTGATTAACATTAGTGATCACTAATATTTATGGAGCCCTCACCGTGTGTCAGGCAACGTGGCAAATATTTTACATACAATAGCTCATTTAATTCTCATAATGATTTCTTAAGATATACCAGTTGTATTGTCCCTCATTTTGCAGAAGAGGAAACTGAGGGCTGGCAAGGTGAAGTCACTGGTAAAGTAGCTGAGCTAGGATTCCAGCTCAAGTCTGTGCAGCCCAACCATTACTCTACACTGCCCCTCTTACCTGTGCAGAGCCTCATGAACCACACCTCAGCTCTGATTGCAGGCCACAGCTCCACAATCACCTGCCCTTGATCAACTCACTACTAGTTATCAATTTTTTTTTTTGTAGCCTATTGAGGTCTTTTTCCATTTGGATCTCCAGCTCCCATTCCCATTTATCACATCTAGTCTGGGACCTATTGTGAGGCAGGCCTATTTTTTATTTTTATTTCTTTTGCAATTCCTCCCTGGACAGTACAGGTAAAGTATACCTATCATGTGCTTTTGACTGACAGAGTCACCAGACCTGGTCACTTGGCACAGTCAAAGAAGCCGGCTCTTCAGGAATGCACCTTCACTAGAGCACCGTGGTTCTTTTCTTTTCTTTGTTAGCTTTTCCTCCTTTGGCTCATGGTCAGGCTTTACTGTCTGTCCTTTGCTACCTGCATCGCTCCACCCCACTGGGTCAGTGGGCTGGAGTTAAGAGCACTGGCCATCACCCCAGACCCAAAGACTTTACCAGAAGCACCTAGTGTTCTTCTCTCCACACTCCAGTCAAGCAAAGCAGCCGGAATTGCTCTTCTCCCAGGAGGAAATTCATGGAGGAAATTAGCTCTAGGCTCCAGGTATGCAGAACAGAAGAAAGCCAAGTCCCCGCTAGTAACTACAAAGCCCACCAATATACTCCTCAACCAAATGGTAGTGGGGAGAGCATCCAAACAAGACTTCTCCAGTAGCAGCAGCAGCAGCAGCAGCAGCAGCAGCAGCAGCAGCAGCAGCAGGATTTCCAGACATCTATTATAAAACCAAGTTTCCCTTTAGGAAACTTCATACAGCAGATGCCCCAGACTAGACACATGGCTGAATTTTAAGTACTTCCATGTGAATGAGGTTGATTTCATTCCACTGATGGCACCACAACCATGCATGAAATGAAGCCATACACACACACACACACACACACACACACACACACACACACACACACAGAGTCAGCTCTCCGTATCCATGGATTCAACCAACAGCAGATTGAAAATATTTGGGAGGAAAAAGTTACAGTTGTATTGAATATGTACAGACATTTTTCTTTGTCGTTATTCCTGAATAATACAGCATAACAACTCTGTACACAACATTTACCTTGTATTAGGTATTACAAGTAATCTAGAGATGATTTAAAGTATACAGGAGGATATGCATAGGTTATATGCAAATACTACACCTTTTTTTCCTTTCTTTTTTTTTATTATACTTTAAGTTCTAGGGTACATGTGCACAACGTGCAGGTTTGTTACATATGTATACATGAGCCATGTTGGTGTGCCCATAGCGAGTTAATGCCCATTAACTCATCATTTACATTAGGTATATCTCCTAATGCTATCCTTCCCTGCTCCTCTCACCCCATGACAGGCCCCAGTGTGTGAAGTTTCCCTTCCTGTGTCCAAGTGTTCTCGTTGTTCAATTCCCACCTATGAGTGTGAACATGCAGTGTTTGGTTGCAAATACTACACCATTTTGTTTCAGGAACTTAAGCATCCGTGTATTTTGGCATCCATGGGAGGTCCTGGAACTAATCCCCAGTGGATACCAAGGGATGGCTGTATATGTCAAACTGCTTTTATACTGAACTTTTATTTCAACAGTCAGTAAGCCAAACTGATAACTTGCCAAGTCTCATACCCTTGTGCTTTTGTTTTGAGACACATCATCTCCCTGTAAATCAGCCTTTCAATTGAAGGATGGTTTAGATTCTCCTACACTGTTTATTTAGGGATATGCTTTTGCTATATTTTTATAACACTTTCAATCAGGATATTTTAATTTTTACTGACAAGCCATAAAAATATAATCACACTTCATGTCCTCATCATGTCTATCTGATAAAGATGTTGCTGTAGATTACGTGAGTCGCATTGGCTGATGCTCAGAGCCCTGTGCCTGTCATCAGACTGAGGGCCTGGTCTGTCTGAAGCATTTAGAAAAGGAATCATTACCCCAGAGTTGACCACTTATCTCAGCTTATAAAAATAAATATTTACCCAATAATATGGCAGGTTTATGAGCTGCATTTAATACTGCAATGAAAAAGTCTATCACTGTGTGTGTGTGATTTAGAGAGAGAGAGAGAGAGAGTGTGTGTGTGTGTGTGTGTGTGTGTGTGTGTGTGTGAAGGTTGCCATGGGAGACCTTAGTGCTTCCGAACCTTTATAATTATGAACAATAATTAGATGTAATGCTTTATGGTGGTGAAGCACCTCGTGGGCTCCTGATAATTGTAAAGTGTTTGGCAATTAATTCACACTCCCTGAGATTCAGGTTGGTATAATTAACCCCATGAGGAGAAGCAGCCTCAGAGAAGGGGAGCCACATGGTTGGGAACCATCCTGCTTTGCGTTGGCACAGACAAAGGGAGGCCCTCCCAGTCTTCCGGGCCCTGCACCACCTCCACCCCAAGCCTCTGCATACTCCCCTCCTAGGCCCCAGGCACTTAGCTCAACTGGCTGAGAGTGCGTGCCCTGCCGGGAGGGGCACGCGGGACTGAGCCCAGGCGTCAGGCTTTCAGCTTTGCATTTCTCTGCGCGAGAACCTGCAGCCCTGCAGAGCTGTGCCTCTTGGTGGGGAGAGGAATTCAGAAAGCCACGTGGGGAAATGGAGGTTGGAAATACACTGCTTGGTTGTCATCAGCTAAACTTTCATGAAATTGATACTTTTGTCCTCTCTTCCCAAAGCAGCTGCAATCTGGGGTTAGTCTTCAGTCTGCCAGCTTTTCTGATTATTGTTCCATAACGGGAACAACAAACACACTCTTAGACACCTGTAAGAAAGCTGGGAAGGGGGTGGGTATACTTAATGAAAAGTGTTATTGAAATGATCTATGTCTATAGATAGTGATATATAGAGTAATATATGTTATTGTATTATAATTTATATCTATTTATATAATGTATAATGTTATATGTACACGCATATTTTTTATATATATATATGTATGTATAAAATTGCAAGTCAACTCCTGAAATGAGTGGGTTGTATGCTTGGGCTCTGTCATGTCAATCAAAAACTAGATCTTCATTTTCTCCAAAGAAAAACAAAATTCTTGAAGAAAATTTTATCCAACACCACTTTTTGTTTCAACTTAAATTCTCATGGACTAATTCAAACATTTCATTTTCTTGGTTGCAGGCTATTACGTTCTGAACGCTGACGTATCCCATGAGCGAATGTGTTGGATCACTGCCATTGACAAACTGCAGGCCATTTCTCATGTCCCTGCCCAGATTACCTGCCCCCAGCTCTGAGAGGGCGTGGTGATGAATCACAGCGTGGAGTCCAGACCTGAGGGTGATAGATAGGTACAGACGGTCCTGGGACCACCTTCCTCAGTGCTATGCTGAGCAGAAAGATGGCACGGGTGTTTTCCTATGACACAGCTGTCTGATAAATACCCACCCCCAGCAAAGTTAATACCTGGATACACTGCACCGACAGCCAAGACAGAGAGGGAGGGGCAGGCTACGTAAGCCATGTCTTTCGCTTTACTCCAAGAAAGAATCTGGATAGCACAAGGCCTCCAGCATATTTTGACTGACTGTTTTGTACCAGAAAAGCTAATTTGCTATGATTAGTTGCACTACATTTGTTAGATAGTTACTCTATGTTTATTTGGAAGGCAGATCAGAGTATCTTTTGGTGATTTTTCTTTATGAGCTGAAGAAACTCTCTAAATTTTCTTTTTTTTAAAAAAAAAAGCAACCATGAATAAAACTTCGTGGGTCCTGGGAAATAGAAATGTTTTTGCACCATGAAAAGACAAAAGGGGCCTGCACCATTTACAAGGAGCCCAGCAGAAACGCAGAGGGAGAGGAGGGAGCCGGAGGGCCCAGGGAAGCCAGGTATAGGACTGAGGCCTGGGGGAGACTGAGCCAATGGTGAGAGGGGAGATGCAAGCTGGAGGAGCCTGAGCTAAATGCCCAGATCAGACAGGAAGAAATAGAGAGGTCTTTCAGAAAGTTCTCAGAATGGCAGACAGGAATAAAGGGAGAACTGGAGGCTTCATGGAGTAGCACTGTAGAGAGAGGGAAACCCTGGGGCTGAACACAGAGAAGTATGACTTCAGAAAAGCACGATCCTGGTGAGAAGAGACCCTAATCTCTTGCTCTCATCTTTCTTTCTTTCTTTCTTTCCTTCCTTCCTTTCTCCTTCCTTCTTCTCTACTTTTCTCCCTCCCTCCCTTTCAATCGCACTCATACACACACACACACAAATGTCTAATACATATCTTTCTTTCTTTCATGAAATTCCATGTGCTATGTAATATAGACCCTCTCTGGCCAACTATAAATCATCAGTAAAGTCTACATTTTTCACGAATGCCTGTAGTGTGAGTTTTCTTTTTAAGGGATACAAGAAAATCCTAAATCCTGCTTTGGGAGTGGCATGAGAGAAATCTAGGCATGTACATCCTCTTTTGATTCCTGTAGTCACAAAACAAGGTCAGAGTAATTGATAGGGGAGCAAAAGGAAGATAGAAGTTTGAAACCCTGATTCCACATTCCTTTACACCTGCTTAGCAGCTCTGACCTCTGTCCTTCCCATTCTGCAGTGCAATGCTCCCCCCACCTAACTCCCCACCTCCCCACCTCCCCTCTCCCAAGGGAAGTGAACCCAGGTGGTCATTGTCAGGGCAGTTCCCAGGACTCCGGAAAACCACAGCCTTATCACGTGAGCCTAGGCTGCCTCAGACCCAGGTGAAGTCTGTTTCACCTGGTCGCCACTTATCAGCAAGCTCTCCCATGCTTCTGAGAGGACCTGCTAGGCCTGACCTTTCTAATTCTGCACAAACTCGTTAGGGCTGGGCTCAGGTGGGAGCAGAAAGTAGGAGAGCTGTTCCAGGTGCAAGGCCATCTGGGAACCGAGAACAGAGGACAAGATGCCCTGAAACTCCATCTCAGGGTGTGCAGAGGCAGTTGTCAAAGGAGGCAGCACCTTCTTCATATTCTTAACACATCTTTGCAAGACTCGAGACTTCGCAATTTACTCACGGTGCTGATCAAAAGACGGTTTTTTTTTTAAGAGATTAAAAAAGAAAAGCAAAGAAAAGCCAAGTGTTCATGCATGCAGTCTTCCTAATTAACACGGCAGGCTTTGAGCGAGAGAGAAAGCACATCAGAATTTTTGGAAGCAGCTGTTCTCCCAGCAGTAGTCTCTTCTCAGGGAAGCTACAGGTTGATGCTCTCAGAGGCTGTGAATTCAGAGGCTTCTCACCACTTCAAATGAAGGGCAGGCTGAGGGTTGGGGAAAGTACTCGTTCTTAAAGCCAACCAAATAGGCAGCTGGAGCCACAGAACCTGGAATCCACGTGAGTCAAGAGTCACCCAAAGCCTGCACTGATCGAGGGCCGACTATGTGCCTGACTATGCTAAATTCATGACCTGCCTCTTCTCATTTCATCCTAGCAACAACACCATGTGGTATTATTGGCCCCACCTGACCAATGAGCAAACATCACTGCCCACAACCACCCAGTGCAGAAGCAATGCAGAATGGGATTGAAGACAGGTTTGCCTGAATTAAAGCCCATGCATCATGCTCCCCACCTGTGTGCCAGACTGCCTTCTCCTAGCTTACCCTTCTTTTGCTGTTGGGCTATTTCCAGTGTCTAGCATTGTTGAGATTAAATTAAAGCATAATAATTATGAAAATGAATTTTTGTTATATTGATTCTCCTTCAGGAAGCCATCACTAACCCTAGATCCCTCCTCTGTGCTCATGGCTCACATATTCTTGACCCCTATGGTGGCTCACATCACATTGCTTGTAATTATTTATTCTTACTGGCCTTTCCTGCAACACTGTGAACTCCTTTGGCGAGAGCAGTGTGTGAGTGGGGGGCAACTTTGTATTTATTCCCAGCACAGTGTCTGATTTGTAATAGATATTTGTTGAGTGAGTGACCTAAAACATTTCATAAATAAAATAGACAACAAAATAACAATGGAGTGGCTTCATGCAATGGAGAGCACACTACATGTGGAATCAGAAATCCTGCCCTCCACTCCAGCTGCCTTACTTATTATCCCTGTGCTTTGGAACAAATCATTTAGCCTATCTGGGCTTCCATTGCCTTGTCTACAATCGAGAGAGTTGGACTTGAGCTCCTCAAGGTCATACCTAATGCTGGCATTCTATGAGTCCAGGCTGAGCCAGAATCCATTCAAATCCTTCTTGAAGCCACCTGCTTCAAGGTACACTGCTCCATGCTCAGCAGTAATGCCCCTCCACAGACCCAGAGTTTAAGGATTTATTTCCTGGGCTGGCCAGCCCCACAGCTGTGCCCACAGAAAGGCCTTTTGGCCCATTCTCTGCCCCTGTACCAACATGTCTGCCGCATCCTTTTGGCTTCATCCTCACTCCAGCCTCTTTCTAATTCAGCTTGCTGCCTAATGACCCACTCATCTCTTCTATCTCTCCCATTTTTCCTGCCCTTGTGGCAGGATCCACGGAGGAGCTGAGACTCCTCTAATTAGAATGTTAGTCTCTAGCAAAAAAAGAAAATTTCAGGCCAGTATCCCTGACGAACATCGATGCAAAAATCCTCAATAAAATACTGGCAAACTGAATCCAGCGGCACATAAAAAAGCTTATCCACCACAATCAAGTCGGCTTAATCCCTGGGATGCAAGGCTGGTTCAACATACACAAATCAATAAACGTCATCCATCACATAAACAGAACCAATGACAAAAACCACATGATTATCTCAATAGATGCAGAAAAGGCCTTCAACAAAATTCAACACCCCTTCATGCTAAAAACTCTCAATAAACTAGGTATCAATGGAATGTATCTCAAAATAATAAGAGCTGTTTATGACAAACCCGTAACCAATATCATACTGAATGGGCAAAAACTGGAAGCCCTAGCACAAGACAAGGACACCCTCTCTCACCACTCCTATTCAACATAGTATTGGAAATTCTGGCCAGGGCAATCAGGCAAGAGAAAGAAATAAAGTGTATTCAAATAGGGAAAGAGGAAGTCAAATGGTCTCTGTTTGCAGATGACAGGATCGTATATTTAGAAAACCCCATCGTCTCAGCCCCAAATCTCCTTAAGCTGATAAGCAACTTCAGCAAAGTCTCAGGATACAAAATCAATGTGCAAAAATCACAAGCATTTCTATACACCAATAACAGACAAACAGAGAGCCAAATCATGAGTCAACTCCCATTCACAATTGCTACAAAAAGAATAAAATACCTAGGAATCCAACTTACAAAGAATGTGAAGGACCTCTTCAAGGAGAACTACAAACCACTGCTCAAGGAAATAAGAGAAGACACAAACAAATGGAAACACATTCCATGCTCATGGATAGGAAGAATCAATGTCATGAAAATGGTCACACTGCCCAAAGTAATTTATAGATTCAATGCTATCCCCATCGAGCTACGACTGACTTTCTTCACAGAATTGGAAAAAACTTCTTTAAACTTCATACAGAACTAAAAAAGAGCCTGCATAGCCAAGACAATCCTAAGCAAAAAGAACAATGCTGGAGGCATGATGCTACCTGACTTCAAACTATACTACAAGGGTACAGTAACCAAAACAGCATGGTACTGGTACCAAAACAGAGATATAGACCAATGGAACAGAACAGAGGCCTCAGAAATAACACCACACATCTACAACCATCTGATCTTTGACAAACCTGACACAAACCAGCAATGGGGAATAGATTCCCTATTTAATAAGTGGTGTTGGGAAAACTGGCTAGCCATATGCAGAAAATTGAAACTGGACCCCTTCCTTACACCTTATACAAAAATCAACTCAAGATGGTTTAAAGACTTAAATGTAAGATCTAAAACGATAAAAATCCTAGAAGAAAACCTAGGCAATACCATTCAGGACATAAGCATGCGCAAAGACTTCAGGTCTAAAACACCAAAAGCAATTGCAACAAAAGCCAAAATTGACAAATGGGATCTAATTTAACTAAAGAGCTTCTGCACAGCAAAAGAAACTATCATCAGAGTGAACAGGCAACCTACAGAATGGGAGAAAATTTTTGCAATCTATCCATCTGACAACGGGCTAGTATCCAGAATCTACAAAAAACTTAAACAAATTTACAAAAAAAAAAAACCAACCCCATCAAAAAGTAGGCAAAGGATATGAACAGACACTTCTCGAAAGAAGACATTTATGCAGCCAACAAACATATGAGAAAATGCTCATCATCACTGGTCATTAGAGAAATGCAAATCAAAACCACAATGAGATACCATCTCACACCCAGTTAGAATGGTGATCATTAAAAAGTCAGGGAACAACAGATGCTGGAGAGGATGTGGAGAAACAGGAATGCTTTTACACTGTTGGTGGGTGTGTAAATTAATTCAACCATTGTGGAAGACTGTGTGATGATTCCTCAAGGATCTAGAACTATACCATTTGACCCAGCAATCCCATTACTGGATATATAACCTAAGGATTATAAATCATTCTACTATAAAGACACATGCACACGTATGTTTATTGTGGCACTGTTCACAATAGCAAAGACTTGGAACCAACCCAAATGTCCATCAGTGATAGACTGGATAAAGAAAATTTGGCACATATACACCATGGAATACTATGCAGCCATAAAAAAGAATGAGTTCATGTCCTTTGCAGGGACATGGATGAAACTGGAAACCATCATTCTCAGCAAACTAACACAGGAACAGAAAACCAAGCACCGCATGTTCTCACTCATAAGTGGGAGTTGAACAATGAGAATATATGGGCGTAGGGAGGAGAACATCACACACCAGGGCCTGCTGGGGGGTGGGGGGCTAGGGGAAAGATAGCATTAGGAGAAATACCTAATGTAGGTGATGGGTTGATGGGTCAGCAAACCGCCATGGCATGTATATGCCTATGTAATAAAATTTCACATTCAGCATATGTACCCCAGAACTTAAAGTACAACAAAAAACATTTAAAAAAAGAATGTTAGTCTCTGTCCTAAAATGATTCCCTACATCCATAGCATATGGAGAGACACCCATGAAGGGTTAATTTTTAATTTGCTATCGTGAGATGTTGTTAATATATTTGAACAAATAGATTGGAGGACATGCTGCAATATAAGTATTACTAATTGACACCATTCCACCATGCACACTATTAATTGGGCACTGCCGATGATCCCTGAGTCCACTCCCTCCATCTAGTGGCCTTAATAAGAGAGTTCCAGAGCATTGTGTGAATTAGACTTCAGGGCCCCTCCATCACTGCCTGGTGCAGCCAGGCAGGCAGCTGTAAGGGCAGATACAGAGTGTGCTTCAGACAGAGAAGTGCCCTCGCTGCTTCGTGTTGTGTGTGAATCCCTCTAGGACAGAAATGTTTTGCAGTGAGGTGATGGCAGAGACACGACAATTGAGTCAGCAATAATTCTAGATTTCTGGTTTCTAAACCTGGCTTACTTGGGAGAAAATGATTTAAATTTGTCTTTGAAATGAAAAAAAGAAAGCAACTCTGAGGCTTCTTTGCAAAGGACTTTGTACAGTATTGCAGGAACAAGAGAAAACTATAGGAACTGGAAATATGCAACCTGGAGAAGAAGAGGCCTAGGCAGAGGATGCCAGGACCTCACATCTGTAAGGGTTGACATGAGGAGAAGGCAGTTGTCTGTGCCCACCCCCTAGCCCCGAGGGCAGAGCAGAAGGAGAGGCAGGGAGTTTGGAAGAGTTCAGCTCTATGTGAGAAAGCACCTTCTAATGATTAGAGCTCTGGAGTAGTGCACTTTCTGTTCCTGTAAATGTGTGAGTCTGGATGGCCACATAGCAGTGCTGTCCCAAATGGGCTCCAATAATACATATGGGGCCTGATCAGGTGAACATTAAGGTTCCCCGCAGCCCTGACGTCTGACCAGAGTGCTCAACTTCATGACTGTGAAAGGTCAATACTGAGCTGACAAGAGGGTGGGGTATCAGAGTCTATCTTGGGCCTGGAAGTCTTTTCACTTGTTTGTTTAATTATTTTCACATCTTTACTGTTGGTGGCAGATATTTTCGTTGGTGGATTCCACAGTAATTCCCAACCTCCTTCTCCCTTGCTGTCTGCCATTATAGAGTTCGGAAGAGTTGAATTCTTGCTTTTCCAGCCTCCCTTGCAGCTACCTGTGACCATGTGATCAGATGTGGTCCATGAACATAAATGGAAGTCTCCAGAAGAGAGAGGAAGCTTGTGAGGCCCATAGCACTCAGGTCCCAACAGAAACAGAGGGCACACTCAAACTAGGCTAATTCAAGGGAATAGTTTCTTGAATTAGCAGAGGTAAGGAGACTGAAACTGCCATTGCAAAATTGTAACTGAGACAGTGAAAAAGATCTGACCTAACCAACTCTATCTTGCTTCTAACCTCCAAGCTGTTCTTGTTAATTCCTGGGTGTAGGCTGAACTAACTTTGGGAGAAACTTAGTTTATAGTTTAAAACAAAGACAATAATAGCCCTCTTCCCTCCCAAAAAAAACCTCCTTCTTGCCTGGGGACTAGACAGCCTTTGTAGGACTAACAAATTAGCCACAAGATTAGAAATTATGGTTTAGGAGTCATGTAGCTGGAGGCTACAAGATTCTGACCCTCCCAAAACTGATCCTAAGATCAGTGCTTAAGACATTTTGCAGACCCGCACTTGATGGATCAGCTGGCACCACCCAGATTGATAAATTGGCTCATCTGATCTTGTGATCCCCAGCCAGGAACTGACTCAGTGCTAGAGGACAGCTTCAGTTTCCTATGATTTCATCTCCTACCTAACCAATCAGCCCTCATGACTCAATGGCTTCCCCCCACCCACAAAGTTGTCCTTAAAATCTCTGATCCCCGAATGCTTGGGGAGACTGATTTGAGTAATAATAAAATTCTGGTCTTCCACACAGCTGACTCTGCATGAATTACTCTTTATTGCAATTCCCCTGTTTTGAGAAATCAGCTCTGTCTAGGCAGCAGGCAAGGTGAACCCAACAAGCAGTTACAAGACCACAAAGATAGTGCGGTACCCAAGGCTAGTAAGAGCAGAGCTGCTCCCATCCCTAGACCCAAAGGGCCCAGGGAAAGGAGCACACCCAGGAGAGAGCTGTGTCAGGAGGGCTACCTGGAGAGGAGCTGTGGCCTTTGCTTGAAAAGTACAGCCAACCCCAGGCAATTCCAGAGGGAGGGAACAAGGGAATACCTCACTCTCCTCCCTCCCTCATCTGCTGGGACTCCCCATTGTCCTATCCCAACCAAAACCTGGAAACAACCTTCATGTAGTTCAGCCTCCTGGGCAGAAGATAGGGTGTATTAGTCAGGGTTCTCCAGAGGGACAGAACTAATGGGATATATGTATATATGAAAAGGAGTTTATTAAGGAGAATTGACTCACAGAGTCACAAGATGAAGTTCCAAGATAGGCTCTCTGCAAGCTGAAGAGCAAGGAAGCCAGTAGTGGCTCAGTCCGAGTCCCAAAGCCTCAAAAGTAAAGCTGACCGTGCAGCCTTCAATCTGGGGCCAAAGGCCTGAGAGCCCCTGGCAAAACCACTGGTGTACGTCCAAGAGTCCAAAGGCTGAAGAACCTGAAGTCTGATATTCAAGGGCAGGAAGCATCCAGCATGGGAAAAAGAAGAAAGCCAGAAGACTCAGCAAACTGTCTTATTCTACCTTCTTCTGCCTGCTTTTTCTAGCTGCATTGACAGATGATTGGATTTGTGCCCACCCACATTGAGGATAGGTCTGCCTCTCCTAATCCACTGATTCAAATGTTAATCTCCTCTGGCAACACCTTCACAGACACATCCAGAAACAATACTTTGCATCCTTCAATCCAATCAAGTTGACACTTAATATTAATCATCACATAGGGTAAAGAAGAATGGGGAGAATACCTAGAGGGTAAATGAAAGATATCAAGCAAAGGGTCTAATTCTTCCTCAGATGCGATGCCTGGAAGTGTGGCAGCCATCTTGTGATCATGAGGTGACTCTCCTTAAGGGACCTATTAAGGAAAAATTTGCCGGAAATCTGCCCCTAAGAAATGTACTTTCCCTTTGCCCAGTCTTGCTATAGCATTAAGGCACTGATGTTACCAGTTACTTGCCCCTGGTGCACAGGAAAACATGAAGCCAGGTATTGTAAAATTTGAGAAATAAAAATAAAATTCTAAGCCCCGCAACTGACTGAATGGACCCTCTCTTGGTTAAGGGGATCCCAGAGAAATCTTAAAACTGAGTTCTCAGTCATAGCAGGATGGGAGATCGGACACGCCTCGTTATGCCCCTCCCTCACTAACCACCACTAGGGCTTTCTTCCCTAAGGACTTAACGGGCACCAGTGCTTGTGAAAGACTTGCTCCACCACTGGTATCAACCAACTGCCTGACACAGCAATTTCAGTTTTAACACAACAAAACTTTCTTTTGCAGTTTTGACACAACAGCTGACCAGCATTCTTTTTTAAGAGACTACAATGGAGTGGTTCTGGCCAGTCTATGGAGAATGCTCAGTGAGGGTTTTGTGTCCTCTTCTTCACCTTTTGATGTCAGTGGGCTGAAGTCTCCACCCTGGGATTATGCTAATGCCACCATTTTTGTACATGGGACCCATGAAGAGGCATGAAGCTCAATTGCTCATGCTCATGTTGCTCCTCTCATAAATATTCATGGATCCTTCTGTAGCTTATTGAATATGTATATTTGGCCACCTCCTTCAGCATAAATCTCTGTCTTATTCTTACCACCCTCAAAGTGCAGGTTTCTGGCTTCTGGCCGGAGGCTACACTTCCCAGCCATGCAGAATGCTCACCCTGCAGGCTGCAATCCTTTATGAGAAATAAAGCTCTCCTTTCTACCTGTGTGAATCTTGTCATTCTTCAGCTGAACAACTTTAAAACTTCATATTTTCCTGTTGCCTCAACATCCCCACAAACAGACTGTGAGCACCTGCTCAGGTAACCAGGTGCACCAGTGCAATAAGAGTGGCCTCCGCCACAAGTTTCCCCTCCTACCCTTCCCTGGCTGTGTTCTAGTAACACTTAAAGGCACCCACAAAAGCCCCTGGTGCCTCTTCCTCCCCAGCAAAGGCCTTTGCCCATGGTTCCTTCTCTTTCTCCACTCCCCACGGTTCCGTTGGTGCTCCCTCCCCTGTGACCTCACTCACTGTGCAGTGGCTCTTTCTCTTTAGGACCTGAGAGTATAATAAACTTTTTCCCTCACCTCTCCTGTGTCCCCTCTCCTTGTGGCCACACTGACTGACCATCACCTAAAAGAACACAAACCAAGCCTAATCTCCAGACAGTCCAGAGAGGTCTGGAGGATATAACCATTCCCTCAGGCAGGGCCGATATCCATTCGGATGTGTGTTCTGACTGACCAGTGTCCATGCTCTATGGCTACTGATGAGGTTTCCTATGATTCTGCTGGTAAGGAAGTCTCAGAGGACCTCAGGGATCCTCTCCCTGGTTGGGTGGAATCGTTGACCATGGGACAGTTCTGTGGGGATTGGAAGGTCAGAGGCCTGGCCCTTCTGGTGAGAGAATCCCTCTGGGTCTCCAGCCATGCATAGCCATCTGCCTATACTTAAGTTAATCATTTCTGTCCTTGACTCACAGGAATACAGTTGCCCTTGATCCCTTTCTGCCCTTCGCTGTACGACTACACGATGTGTGAGAAACAGTCCTCCCCTTAATTGGCTTAAAATCTGGGGAAATAAATAAGCATGCATTCAGGGAAGAATTAGAGGACACCCGAACGTTAAACTTTGTGGAAATAGCCATAAGTGCCATAACCACTGAAGGTAGGCATTGGTCAGTAGGGGCGGGCAGACCAGAGTTAAAAGTCCAGCTCAGCTGCAGGGCAGGTCTGCTCTGCCCCTCACTGGGGCCTGCTGCATATTAGCTGTAACCATGCACAGTTACTTAATCTCTCTGTGCCTCACTTTCCTTCTCTGTAAAATATAAATAAGAATACTTGCCTTTCTGGGCTGTTCTTAAGACTACAAATAAATTACTATATAGTGATACATTCTGACAGTGCTTATTATACACCAGGTACTATTATAATACATAGATTAACTCTACAAGGTAGGCACCATTCTCCTCCCCAATATATAATGCAGGAAACTGAGTCATTGAAATGTTAAGTAACTTGCCCAAGGTCAATAGCTAGTTTGTGACAGAAAGAGAATTCGAACCCAGGCAACCTGTCTAGAAGCAGTCATCTTAACTACTGCATCACACTGGCTGATACAATAGGTGCTTAGCAATCTGTCACTGTTCCTACTATAGCCACCATTGCCACCATCACTAGTGTGAACTAGACTATCTGGTGATATTTTCATCAAGAGGTGTGTCTGGGTTTAGAGGCCAGAGTGTTTTGTTAGTTACATGAAAAGAAAGAGAGGATATTCGAAATGATAGTACAGCAAAAGCAAAAGCAGGAGCAACCCTGGACCCTGCAAGAGGTGGAGCAGACCTGTCTTGTTGAAAGGAAGCATGGGCTCAGGAGTAATAAAAACGGACCCAGATAGGTAGGGCTGGGGGCAGACCTTGGAAGCACCTGAGAACTCTGCAGAAGAGTCTGAAGTCAGTTACTGCCATGGGATGTCAGGCCAGTGGTTGGGTGGGGCAATGTGTTATCAGGATAGGAGCAGTGCTTTAGGAAATGCACTCAGCCGCAGAGAGCTCAGCCTTGGCAAGGAGGCTGCCAAGGATGCAGCTGATAACGATGAGGTCGCAAGGGAAGAGTCCATGAAATTAGAGAAGAAGGGCAAATGTGAGTGTCATTGTGAGGGCCAAAACTTGGTGAAAGAGATAGAGGGGTGCAGGAAAGGGAATAAGGAAGGAATAGATGAACCCAGCCTCAGGTTTACCAAAAACCCTTCCAAGGAGCAACTGTATCATTCCTCAACTTTCCCTTCGTCAGGTGATTTCACTTTGTCCTGGCACAGGGCAGCAAACATTTGCAGAGCATTTACAATACGCCAGTCCTGCACGTGATGGGCATCTCAGAAGACTGTGCTCCATGGGCCTGAGGCCCCTTGACACCACAGTGGAGGGTTCTTTCCTTTCCTTCTCTTGAAGAGCAGATGGAAACAATACACTACGACTCTGACTCTCTGAGGCCCTTCCAGGAGATGGGCTGAGGATCCGCAGCGTCAGAGAAAGCTGTATTGTCTGAAAAGCTTTTGTAAACAATCCTTTTGTTTAGAAATCACCATAGCTTGCTCCTTTGATATGAGGTGCATGCCCACGCATATTTTTAAAGGAAAGATGAGAGGAAAGCTTATCCACTGACGTCCGAATAAGGTGAAAGATGACTGAGAGTAGATATCACCACAGCTCTTAATTTCTGCTCTTCGTGAAAGAAGAAATGGGTTGGAACATTCCCTATCCTAGAATTCGATTGCAGGGTCAATTCTTAAAAACTTAGAGCTCCTTTGCACACCAGTTGTTGCAAACCCCTCTGAAGATTGTCACTATTACCCAGTGACACACCAGCCCTGGAATTTTGAGACTACTCAAAGGGTTGAAAGATCCTACCTTTAGGCAGAGGGCGGAAGCAAGGTCGGAAATGCTTGGCATTAAAAAAAGGGAATAAAGCGCAAGTGAAACCCTTTGTCAGGGCTCAGCCTCTTGGTATCCTCTAACTTTCATGTTCCTGTGCCATATCTCCCATGGGTGGTACTTCCCTCCTGGGAATGGGAGGGACTAGGGAAGCTCCTTATAACCTGGCAGCAGGTTCCAGAGTCACCTGGGCCAAAGGTGGCAAGGGAACCTGCACCGAGGGAGACACACTGCTCAATCCAGCAGAACCCCCATGCAGCCAGCTGCACCCCTCTGAACAGCCAAGTTCCCAGGCAAGGAGAGAATAGATGAGTCTGACAAGATTTGTTTTGTCAGAAAGCAAGTTTTATTTTTACCCTCAAGCCTGTGATCTTCTAGGTGTCGGCAAATTGGGGGATTATTTTTACCCAGATGTAGAAATAGTTATTCCACTTTGGTTTCCTCCCTGCATTTTCCACGCGGTGTTAGCTTTGCTGTTCAAAGCCACCTGACCTTTGTAGAGACTGAACTGAGATGGAATTGTGCTCATGCCACTGTCAAGCCACATTAACCTGGTCATGTTTTGTTTTGTTTTCTTTTTGTGAACCTCAATCTTCTTATCTGTAAAATGCATAGGGTTGGACTAGATGGTCTCTAGGGCGCGAAAGAATAAAAAAGCAAAGGTTCCCTAAAATTCATCTATGTTAATGCAATCTATTTTGTCTTTTCTCCTCCCAATTTATAAAAAAGACAACATCTTATTTCTGTATATCAGAGAACATTTTGCACACATTTTGGAATTTTATCATCTTTACCAAACAGAAGGAATGAATAATGGCGGGAAAAAACAAAACTAGAAGAGCACAAGAAACCAAAATGTCCAGTTTTCAGAGACTGAAACGTCTAGCAATTAGTTTCAAAGACCCAGCTTTGCAAACATCCTGGCTCGATTATGTCCCTGACACCTGGTTGCTGGAGCGCTTCCCTGCTGCTAGAAGCACTGCTGGAAGCACTAACTCTAAGGATCTGCCTCCCCAGTGTTTTGACAACTTCAGAGTTAAGAGCAAATAAGTTGAGCAGTAGAGGACATGACAAGGCCTTGTTGGGCCTTCCAAAGGACACAAAATGTTACAGTACAAGATTTCTGCCTTCTTGACCAAGACATATAGAACAGCAGCAGGATAAAAGAATTTGCAGTAAGTACTGACTTTGTGAAACAATCACCAGCCCTCTAGGAGTTCAGAGGAGGATGGCCAGGAAGGCTGGAATAGGTGCAGCACAGGGAATACTGACAAAGCTACACTAACCATCCCCAAACTCCAGACGTCAAGAAAGAAAGAATACATTACCTCTGAGCAACCAATCTGGTTGCCCCATAGTTTACTCATACCTTGCTTCCATTAAGATTAGCTGAGATGAGACTGTAAGTACAGATTTTGTTTCTGGGCTCTCAATTCTGTTCTGTTGATCTATCTGCTGACCCTGATGTGAGTACCACACTGTTTTGATCATTGTAGCTCTTTAGTAAGTTTTGAAATTGAGAAGACAAGGTCTTCCAATTCTGTTATTCTTTTTTCAAAGTTGTTTTAATTATTCTGGGTCTTCTGCTTTTCCATATAAGTTCAGCCTCATTGCTGTGAAAAGTGGGGCCAGGAGCTGGAATTATTATTTTTTTTGAAACAGGGTCTTGCTCTGTCATGCAGGCTGGAGTGCAGTGGCACAATCTAGCCTCACTGCAACTTTTGCCTCCCAGGTTCAATCAATTTTCGTCCCTCAGCTTCCCCAGTAGCTGGGATTACAGGTGTCCACCACCAAGCCCAGCTAATTTTTGCATTTTTAATAGAGATGGGGTTTCACCATGTTGGCCAGGCTGGTCTCGAACTCCTGACCTCAATTGATGCGTCTACCTCAGCCTCCCAAAGTGCTGGGATTACAGGCTTGAGCCACTACTCCTGGCCTGGGGCTGGAATTTTTACAGGAATTAAAGATGAATCTGGGAAGACTTGGCACCTTAACAATATTGAGCCTCCTAATTCATAAAGATGGGACATGTCCTTCTTATTTAGATCTCCTCTAATTGCCCTTAGCAATGTTTCATAATTTTTAGTGTACAAGTCTTATACTTCTTTTGTTAAATTTATTCCTAATCATTTTGCTATTTTTAATGCTACTGAGAATGGAATTTTTAAGTTTATTTTTGGATTGTTCATTGGTCATGTATAGAAATACAACTGATTTTTGTATCCTGTAACATTGCTTAATTTGTTTATTAATTCTAATTGTGTGTGTGTATGTTCCTTAGGATTTTTATCTAATCATTCTTACTTTAAGCACAATCATACGTCTGTAAATCCAGTTTGCTAGCTCACAATAGACTAGAAGCTATACATTAAGGAAACGAGCAGCCCAAGAAACAGGTGCACTGGTATTCCCAAGAGTTTTCATATAGTCTAGAGTAAATGAAACAGGGGAAAACATAGAAAAAAACCCCACGAGAACCTCAGAGAGTCAGTCTGAGATCATTTAAGTAGGGGTAGGAAATGCCACACCTCTTCAAAACCACTGAGGACACCATGGCATTAGCAGTCCGTGACAATTAGCTGCCCAAAAAGAAAAAAAATTAAATTAGTTTCAATGGTTGCTATTTGAGAAAATTAAATATATATGTCTGTCCACCTAAAATAGAAATATTTTTGAAGTTTTAACATTCGATAGAATACATTTCTTTTCCTATCGCAGATTGTTTCAGTTCTTTATTTTTCCTTGTGGATATGCTGTGTTAACGGTCATATGAGTGTGGTATGCTTGACCACAGATGGATTTTGTTATAAGCATCAAGGTGACTCTTACAGGACACTACAACGTGGGACTTTGTTTCTTCCATATTTGGAAGATAAATTTATGTGTAGACATTTTTGTAAGATACGGTTAATAACTAAAATTTATTGAAATGGTCTTCTAATGACTTGTATTCAGTTGCTTAAAAAGAGCATTGCTGCTACAACTATTTCTATTTTTAGAAAGGGTTTTTATGGACCAATGCCCCAGTTGTCAGCCAGAACTGTTTGTGTGTTCATTGTTTAAAATGTCACCTGTAAAATGGGCATTATTTATGTTTTCTTTTTTTTTGCATTCCTGGTAATTATATGTGTTGTATAAAGAAAATCTGTACATTGAGTTATAACACTAGTATATTTAAACTTACAGGCTTATTTGTCATATAAACCACCATTTTAATGTACTGTAATTAACATGGTTATAATATGTACTATCCTTCCCTCCTCCCATCTCACAACTTTGTGTGTGTGTAATAAATCAATTTCGGTTTGCAATAAAACCTTGAAAAGTATTTACCAAAAAAAAAGAATACATTTTTCTTTTCAAGAAGTTTCATTTAAATGCTCTTTGAGGTATTACCATCTTCTCTTTTCCCCGAATCCAGGGTCACCCAGGCTGCCACCAGGGCAATCAGGCATTTTCCCAATGGTTTCTGGTAAACTCTGTCTTGGAACTCTCTCAAGTTAAGTTGCCTTAGAAAATCATCTGCTGGCATTGAAGAATTTGCTAAGTCTGGGTGGAGTTCTGACGCTGCTTGTCTGTATTCTCAGGATAACAGCCTGAAAGCCTGGCCCAGGGAGAACGTTATGCATAGGAAATTAATACTGTGGAATCGTCTCTCCAGTCAGAGGAGAGGAAGCGCAGGCTGGAGCCATTTAAAGTGAGTTAAGTGCTCACATAGCAGTGGCACTGCCCCTGGGGCAACACAACTATCCCAAAGGCTGTCTCTGCCTTCTAGTCTCCCATCAGCTCAGATAGAACAGATGGGTAGGGCCTGGAGGATGAGGAGGACTGGAGTGTGCAAGAAGCAAATGCAAGCCAGTCCTTTGCAGAGCTCCTCAGAGATTGCCTGGGGTGGGGACAGCAGGAGGGCCAGCTGTCCCACAGCTCCCAGGGACACTTCAGCTGTGTGCCAGAGGCAGGTGGTAGTCGAAGGAATCCTTCTGTTTCCTTTAGTGACATGCAGGGCACGAATAGGGTGCTGCTCTCTGTCACTCTGTATTGCAGTCCTCTGAGTGGGAGGGAAATGAGAGGCAGAGAGAGAGAGTGAAGATGAGCAACAAAGATGCCGTGTCACTGCTGATCTAGGCATGCCTCTCAGCTCCTGCTGATCTGGAGGTCCTGGGAAGATGCTCATGACTCCTCCCCTCTCCTCACTGAGTCTGACCTCTATCTCCCAGGCCTGTTCTTACTCTGAATTCCCCTTCTGCCTCCCCAGAAAATTCACTTTCCTTCAATCATATTCCACCCCTGAGATCTTTGTTACGAGTATATGGGGTGTGGGGAGAGACACCCTGGCTACTCACAGACATCCCTATAGCAAATAGCCACAGCAAATACCAGGCAGTGGCTCACAGCAACCCATGTGATTCCGTGATACTTGCAAGGAGCCACTCTGCCTGCCCGGTGGCTCTCCGGCGGCTGCTGAGTCAGGTTCAAGAAGATCAAACATTAGCTGACTCTGAACCTGCAGGCTCTGGCGCCCAACCCAGGGGCTTTGGAACTGCATGCTGCTTTGCCTCTTAGCCAGGCAGGAAGTAAGTCCAGCAGGAGGGGAACGCCTCTGTCTGGGCTGGCCACCCTTCTCACAGCTCTCAACATGGGCCCTGGCAGCCCCAGCCACACCTTTCCCCTGCAAGCCAAGCCCACATGCACACTCATCCCGGGGCACTGGCTGAGCACCTGCTTATGGACAGCCTGCCTGATGATAGCAAACAAGATGAGGAGAGAGCAGGTGGGGATGCCGGTGGCAAGAGAGGAAGCAGGGACATCACAACTAGAAACAGGGATGGAGTAGATTCCCACCTAGAAGGCCCTAGAGAAAACTGGAAGCTAAAAACAGTTAGGCTTGCAAATAAGAAACCAACCTGACAGGTACAGAGGCTTCCTGAGCTATGAAATTATAATCACAGTCCTTGGCTTTCAGGAGCACAAAACGAGTGGCCTGGTGAAAGTACAAAATATTTATTCCGTACGTTTGAGAGTGGCTGGTCAATCAGGGACCTAAGGCAGTGGGGCCAGGCTGGCTGGGGGCAGGGTAGATGAAGCTCTAGCCTTGGGCATCTGTGGGAGAGCTAAATATGGGGACTTCAAACAGAAGCACAGCTTGTCCCCGGCCAAGCAGCCAATCAAATTTCCCCAAACAGCAGCTGTTTCGGTAACAATGCAGGAACTCTTCATGCTTCCAGCATTGTGAAGGACTGAGTTGTTCTACATGAGCGAGATCACCCTTTAAATGGCAAAACTTTTTTATTTTAATAACTTTAAATATCTCCCTCAAATGAACACCTGTGGCTCTTACCACCAGAAAATAAAAGGAAAGAAAGAAAAAGACGATCATGAGGCCTGTGATTCCCCAAAACTCATTTATGCAATCTGTGAACTCACACTGAGTTCTCCATATGTGCTAGGCACCAGCATGGGTATAACAGTGCCTCAGGCATGAACTCTGCTCTCCAAGAGCTTGCGGGGTGGTAGAGAATGTAAGCTGTGGCCACAAAAAACCACAGAACAAGATAGATGGTGGCATCTTGCAGGATGTCTCTTATAGGCAAGATCTGAGCCAAATGCTATGGCCACACATCGATTAGCATACATATATGTATCTCCTAGCTCTGCCCGCTGAGAGGGCCTGGACACAGTGACAGTCTCATAGCCACAAGCATGCCCGGTGGACCATTCTTGGTTTCTAAATATCATAAGCCCAATGGCCATTTTTGGTTTCTAAATATCTTTCTCTGATAAAAGGACCCAAGGCTGTTTGGAGCAATGGCCGGTTCTAGGGTGGAGGAAAAACGGATGGAGGCATGGCAGAAGAATAAAGGAGCCAGACTGAAGAAGCTCTCACTAGCCAAAGACACAACAATTTGTGCTTCATAACTAAATAGTGATAATATTAGATTATAACCCTAAAGAATAAATATCTGGGAGTCTATTCTGATATAAATGATTACATAAATAAATAAATGGGAGACAAGGGACAAATCTTTCTACAGAAGAATTCCAACAAGTAAACGTAGAAGCAATGAATGAAATAGAAAATCATCATTAAAACACCTCAGTAATAACTGCTGCTGGCAGGAACCCTAGATAAATGATCAAATAAGTGGGTGAAATTTTAAGAGGGAAACAGCTTCAAAGTATTTCTTTCAAAATTTACTAATTACTCTAGTGGCTGTAATATATAACAAATTCTTTGATACCCTGCTCTCTAGGAGGTGGTGCTTCACTCTCCTGCTCTTGGGTGTGATCTAGACAAAGAGACTCACTTTTAACAAGTTATTTGTGGAAGGAGACGTATAGTAACTTTACCATGGAGAAATCTGGCAAATATTACCTTAACAAAGTGATCAAGGTTAACATCGCCATGTTAAGTCACATTGATATCCACTATCCACTGATATGATGAGATGAGAAAGGCACTATTCTTCCCCCAAATCCATAACCTTAGTCCATGAATGAGAACATGTCAGATCAACCCAAACTGGGGGACATTCTACAAAATATCTAACTCCTACTATTCAAAGGTATCAAAGTCATGAAAGTCAAAGAAAGACTGAGGAACTGTCATCATTTGGGGGAGACTAAGAAGACACAATGACTAGATATAATGCGGTACCCTAGACCAGGACCTGGGACAGAAAAAGGACATTAATGGGAAAACTAAGGAAATCTAAATTAAGTCTATAGTTTAGTTAATGGTTTTGTATCAACGTTAATTTCTTGATTTTGATTAATGTACCATGGTTATATAAGATGTTAGCATAAATGGAAGCTAGGTAATGGTATAACATGAACTCTCTGTATTATCTTTGCAACTATTTTGTGAATCTAAAGTTATTTCAAAATAAAAAGTTTTTTTAAAAAAATGCTCTTACTAGAGGCTCTCAGTTCTAGGCAAGATGGAATATGCTTTCTACAGTTTTATCTCTCCTGCTGGTTACAATAAAACCTTGAACAAAATAGAAAATACAGCCACTTGAAGATTCTAAAAAATAAAAGTAAATCATAATAGTTGAAATAGGAAGGCAAATCAAAACTTGAAGGACTACCAGGACAGCCATGGTGAGTTTCCTGGTTTCTTTTTCCTTCCTTTGTCTACTAGGTTTGACCCAAGGACAAGCCAAATCAAGAAAATGTGCCATGCCATGAAAAGCCCAACCCTGAGGAAAGCCTGTCTTTCTGGCCAGAGGATTAGGAAAAGCAGCCCCTGTAAGCTGGAGACTGTAAGGAGAATCCAGGGTTTGTTTTGTTTTGTTTTCTCTTTTTTCTCTCAAAGCCCTTCCTGGAAGCCAGTCCCTGCCCCATAGTAGCACAATTGCCAAATGTGGTGGTGTGGTGGGCATCTGAAGTTCTGAGAGAAGAGTCACCCCTCCAGACATAGGAGCTGAGGAGAGGCGCCCCAGTCGTGCAAAGTGTAGGGGGACTTCCTATTATTTCTCTCTCACCTATTTCCTGCTTCAATGAATATAATTCAGAGGCAAACTCCATCTTTCTAGTGAGAGGACTCCAAAAAGGAGACTCCAGATGCTGGAAAGTGTGAGAAAAATCATTCGGAGGAGAGAGCAGAAATAGGAGATCCCCCATTTTTTGTAAGCTGTCACAAATCCTGAGCTCACAGACAATTGTGCATATGTAGAACACACCCCAAGAAGTATAGCAAAGGCTCTGAGAACTAAGCCTCAATGGCTTCCCCCAAAAGCACAGCTTTCAAAACTGTATGGACATTGGTACCACCCACCAACAGAAGGTGAGACAGAACTCACAGTCTAAGCCTGACTGGTGTAATTTCCTGCCAAAACACAACCTCTACATTATCCAGAGGAGAATCTCAGGGCCCAGAGATTCACAACAAAGTATAACAGGGCCCAGAGTCTCACAACACAATATAAACTGTCTTGGATATCATCGAAAATAGTCAACCTGCCAAGAACCAGAAAAATCTAATTCTCGAGTCAATCAACCAGTGACAACTTCGAGATGACCCAGATATTGGAATTACCGATAAAGACCTTGAAACATCTATTATGACCATTCTTCATGAGGAGAAAGGGAGCACTCTTGAATTGAATGGAAAGTTCTCAGAAGAGAAACAGAAATCATAACAAGAGAACCAAATGGAATTTTAGAATAAGAAATACAATATCTGAAATAAAAAATTCACCAGATAGACTCAAAGTTGGAGTCCGTCTTCAAAAAAGTCGACATGACCGAAAAAAGAGTCCATTAACTGAAACTAATTAGAAACGATACAATCTGAAGGACAGGGAGAAAGTAGGTTGAAGAAATGACCAGAGACTCAGGACCTGTGGGGTGGGACAATATGAAAAGTTTAACATGCATGTGACTGGAGTCCCTAAAAAAGAGGAGACACAAATTGGTGCAGAAAAAAAAATATATTTGAAGAAATAATTACAGAAATTTCCCAAATTCAGTGAAAGACATAAATTTGCCGATAATAAGAAGCTCAGGGAACCACAAACAAGACAAATGCAAATAAAACCATCAGAAGAAAACTGTGAAAACCAAAGGCTGAAGAAATATCAAAACCAGCCAGAGAAAATGACACATTGCATATAGATTAACAATTTAATTGACCGTGTATTTTTTTTCAAGCTAGAAAGAAAAGAACTGTCAACGCATAATTCTGTATCCCATGAAATCAAGACGTTCTCAGACGGAAGAAAACTAACAAATTTCATTACCAATAAACCTACTTTAGGCCAGGTGCAGTGGCTTATGCCTGCAATCCCGACACTTTCGGAGGCCGAGGCGGGTGGATCACTTGAAGCCAGCAGTTCGAGACCAGCCTGGCCAACATGGCGAAACCCTGTCTCTATTAAAAATACAAAAATTAGCTGGTCGTGGAGGTGCACACCTGTAGTCCCAGCTACTTGGGAGGCTGAGGTGGGAAAATCACCTGAACTGGGAGGCAGAGGCTGCAGTGAGCTGAGATCACACCGCTCTACCCAGCCTGGGCAACAGAGCAAGATTCTGTCTAAAAAAAAAAAAATTACTTAAAAAGAAAGTTACAGGAAGTTCTTCAGATTGAAGGGAAATTACCCCAGAGGGAGAATCAGAACTTCAGGAATGAAGAAAGAGCAACAGAAATTGTAAACATCTGTGTAAATATAATAAACCATTTTGTCCTCTAGAAATATGTATGACTATTGGAAGCCAAAATTAAAACATTGTTGGAAGGGAGAGTTTTCAATGCATATAGGTGTAATATATATGGCAATTATAACATAAAGGGAGGAGGAGGGTGTGGAACATACATGGTTTAAGATTTCTACATTCTACTCGAAGTGGTAAAATGCGAAATTTAAATAGAATGTGAGAAGTTAGGTAGGTATATATAATGGATACATAACACCTAGAGCAACTACAAAAATAAATATAAGATGATACCAGTATGAGCCTGGCTGCCTGCCCCTTCCCAGGTCTGGACTAAACACCCCCCATCTGAGACTATTCACCCATTGCTCACCCAAACCTTCCCTCTGGGGCTCAGCTGGAACCCCCTCCTATTGTCACATTTTCTAATCCCCCCATAGCTGCGGAGACAGAGGTGACTCAGCTCAGTCACATCCAGGATGCTACAAGGCAAGGAGAAGTTGAGGAAATCCAGACCCTTTCAGTCCATCCTCCAAGGGGAAAATTGCTGCTTGCCCAAGAGCCCACAGCAAGCCACTGTTAGAACAGTGGCCTGGAAGCAGATATTCCAGTACCACACGCCATCATGAAACTGGAGATTGGGGCTCCCTCCCCAGCTCCTCTGCCCCACCTGGGAGCAAGTGCTTGTGTCCAACTGTCCTCCAGGACTACTAGTAATGAACGCATACGTAGACGTTCTATGTGCCAGGCACTATTTTAATTGATTCTATTTCTGTCTATCTATTTACTCATCCATCCATCCATCCGTCCATCCTTCCATCCACACTAAGCCTCAAATTGCCCCAATTGAGATAGGTACTATCTTTCTCTATCGTTTATGGATGGAGAAAATCAAGCATTGGGAGGTTAAGAAACTTGCCCCAGATGACAGAGCTAACAAGTGTTGGCCCTGGAATTTGCATGCAGGTCTGGCTCTGGCATCTGAGTTCCTAACTACAGTTAGCAACACAAAGCACAGCTCTCTAAGACATTCCGTGGTCTGGAGGCTCCCCCTGACCCACACCCCCAGGATCATTTCTGTTCAGGTGGAATTTGGTGAAAAGGCATATAGAGGGCGGCTTTGAAGGAAGGAACTGGAGGGTAGGAGCTGGTAAGAGGCCTCACGCTGCTGACAGGCTGGTGGAGGGAGGCGCTTGGGTACCGTTGCTAGGCAACTGCCTCAGGCCTGTGGTCCTCTCAGCGCTGGAGCCTTCCTCTTGGGCTCCTCCGTTCTTCCCTAACAATGGCTGAGGACACCAGCACTTCCTCCCTTCTAGCTTGCTCCCTCTGAGTCACTGCCATTCCCAGTCACATGGTGTAAGCAGCTTGGCTTTGCCCCAAGACCCTGGTGGGGGCAGATAAGGAGCCTCCCATCATGCTTGAGTCCAGCCTCACTCTCTGGAAAAGTCTGGCCTCCTGCGGCAGCCAAGCATGGCAGGCCTCTGCCAACAGAGGTTAAGCCAAGCATCCTCAGACCATGTCCCAGCTCCAGTTCAATCTGACCTGCGTGCCGAGATTAGCAGCCAGCTAGTGGAGTGAAAAGGGATCTCCTCAACTTGCTTCCCTTTTGCCTTCCTCAAAGGTATTTGCTTTGTCATTTCTGTCCAAAGATCAACAAAGTGTTGCTGCTGGTGACACATCACAAATTTGCCCCTTGGACTTACCAGGAAGTCCAAAAGGAGGCCAATTAATCTCATTACTCTCCTATACTCCCTGTCTGCTTTAAATGTGATTCATTGAAGGTGAAAGGCTATTTTCACAGCCAACTATAAAAAGCCAAAAAAAAATGAAATCACTGTGACCCAGCAAAGAGGGTCGGACACTGGAAAGCATCCAGCATTCAGAGGACAGGGGCATCTCCCTTCTCTGCCAACAAGCCCACCAGCATTGGCATGAGTCACAGTTCAGTCCCCTCCATGGCAGCCTCCCTTGGCACATTCTTCCTCCCCTAGTGACATAACAGAGGCCCCTCCTTCCCACCACACTGCCCCATTCAGCTCACAGATCATTTAGCCACCTTCTAAAACACTGAATTGTACCACTTTCAGTAACAGCCTTGCTGGATACCTTTCATGGGCCAGATTCTTGACTTTCATAACTTATGTAAGTGATAGCCAGTGTCATGCTTGAAATCATTCTTTAATAACATCATTAGGAAACATGCCAATTTTTTTTTTTGTACAGGAAGAGCTAAGAAGAGGAGGCCAGGAAACAGCTCCTACCTTAAGTGCATCTGATGACAAATGACTCAAACACCACTTTGCAGAAGTAAAGGTGCTAGGCTGAGTCTTTGTAACAACTGGACCCAGAAGGGCACTGAGAAACACACAGCTGCTTTCTGTTGAAGACTAAAAGCATCCTTCAGCTACTCTAACATTTTCTCCCAGGCATTTCCAAAAGTGGGGTTCCAATGCTAAGGTCACTGGGGAATACTAAGTATCAAGTCCACTTCCTACTTGTTTCTCTTGAGCACACTCTAGAGTAGAACCCAGAGCTCTCCTTTAGTTCTTCCTGTGGTTCTTTCCCCCAAAGGAAGGGGGAAGATACACAGGTTGAGGAGGCAGAGGACAGGGCACACGAAGCTTTCAGAACTGTAGAAGTCTCCTATGTGATCCTGGAGAAAGCTGTGCATCTAACATACTGTCCTTTTTCCAGAAACCAGCAAGTATCTGTCTGCCCCTCCCCTAGCCTGGGTTCCCAGATTTGGACACCTGCCCCAAGAGAGATGGGGTCATCTTCAGCATCCAGCCTATGAAGTTCCCAGAGGGAGGGAGCCAGTAGCTCATTACCATTTCATCCTTTTGGTAAAACACCTAGAAGGGCTAGTTTGTCTTGTGAATAAAACATAGAGTTCTTTCTTACTTATCTCAGGACCCCAATTCACTTTGCCAAAAGAAAAAAACATTAAGCTGAAAGCCGAGTCATGCAAGAAACTGCCTTTCCTTTTGTTCCTAAGCAGAGAGCTACAGTTAAAGGTTAAATATCTCCACAGGTGATAACTCTATGTTCACCTTACCTTATATAAGGTGCCAATTTACTGAGCATGAGATGAATACATAGTTGACTGTTCCCCTACCTTCTCCTTTGTCTTACAACATGTGGATTAGCATACCCTCCCTCTTTCCCCTCCAGTCTAGTTTTCTGCTTTTAATATTGAAGCCCCCAAATTCATCTTTGGAGACAGGCACAGACCACAGACTGTTTCTGTGATTTCTGTGTTCTCTTCTTCTGGGCATGTCCTTACTCTTGGCAAAATACACTTCTAAATTGATTGAGACCTGTGTTAGATAATTTTTGGTTTACAAGCCCTGCTTACTCACCCCTCAAGAAGATATCTTGTTGGGCTGGGCTCGGTGGCTCACGCCTGTAATCCCAGCACTTTGGGAGGCCGAGGCAGGTGGATCACGAGGTCAGGAGTTCAAGACTAGCCTGGCCAAGATGATGAAACTCCGTCTCTACTAAAAATACAAAAATTAGCCAGGCATGGTGGTGGGCACCTATAATCCCAGCTACTCAGAAGGCTGAGGCAGAGAACTGCTTGAACCTGGGAGGTGGAGGTTGCAGTGAGCCAAGATTGCACCACTGCACTGTAGCCTGGGCAACAGAGCAAGACTCTGTCTCAAAAAAAAAAAAAAAGAAGAAGAAGACATATTGTTGGGTTTAGTCATCTGTGGCTCTGAGTGGTCACACTGGGTACCTTTCCAATGGGGCTACATAAAAGGGATCTGAACAACTACTGTTCTCAGGAAGAAAAGTGGGAAGTTCTTTAACTTCTAATCCCAGTAGCACTCCTTCTCCCACTCCTTCTATCACATACATGGACAGACACACAGACATAGCATGTATGCACAATTATGGATATAACAACTCCATTTGCTTTCCTAAGAAGGGCAAAAATCTTCTTCAATTCACCATCAGACTCTATCCTCACCTTACATTCTTCAAAGCCATAAATAAGGTATGAAGGAGTGAATAAACTCAAGAGGAAAAAAGGCCTTTTATGTGATGGGATTCAGGACATGCCACCCCAAAATATGACCAGAATGTGCCACCCTCAAATATGCTTCTTTGGCATAAGGATTATTTGAAGTGGTTCTTTTGACAAACTGCAGATACAGCAGTAGCTCTGAAAAGTTGTCTTTTTGTAAGAGAAATTTACATTTACAAAAGAAATTCCCATTTTTAAGGGTGCCTCCCTCTCTGCACCAGGAGGAGAAAGATTACTAAATTATCAGAAACTCTTCATCAGTGGAGAAGGCATCCACTTAAATCTGCATAGAAAATCTTACCCTTGGTTTATGGTGCTTTTCCTGGCCATTGCATCTTAATAGGGCCTTTTCCTATACACTCCTTTTTTTGTTTCAGAGAAACAAAATATTTAAGCCTAAAGTCTAATTTGAGATCTACAGGAGGTGTGTGTGTTATTAAACATTTGTTTGCTTTTCTCTTGTTAATCTGTCTTTTATTAGAGGGAGTCCCAGCTAAAAACTCACGTAGAATGGAGGAGAACGTTGTTTTTCCTTCCCACACATGTCTCACACTCACGGCAGAAAGCAAGGAAGAAGGGAAGGGAAAAATAACACTGGAGTAAGTGCTGTTGGAGAACCTTGTTCACAAGTTTCAAGAAGCCTGTCAGGCCCTGGAATTAACCTGCTCCCAAAAGAGATCGGTTGAACTATGTCCCCAGATAAACCCTCAGATTCCCGAATCTCCATATATCACATCCTCAACCGGTAGTGGTGTTTGATCATCTTCTCCAGATATACAGAAGAATCACAGGAGATCTGGCAAGAAGCTGCAACATTTCCTACTATGTCTGGTTTTCTTCTTGGTGTTGATGATGAGGCTTAAGAGATGATATAAGGAGAAGGAGAATTTCTTTTTGGAGATTAATAAAAATAATATTGAACCATTGCTGCATAACAAGCTGTCTTAACATTTAGTGGGTTTGTTACTGGAAAGGGGTTCCAATCCAGACCCCATGAGAAGGTCCTTGGATCTCATGCAAGAAAGAATTTGGGGCAAGTCCACAGAGTAAAGTGAAAACAAGTTCATTAAGAAAGTAAGGGAATAAAAGAATGGCTACTGAAAGAACAGAGCCACCCCAAGGGCTGCTGGTTGGCTATTTTTATGCTTATTTCTTGATCATATGCTAAACAAGAGGTGGATTATTCAAGAGATTTCCAGGAAAGGGGCAGGCAATTCCCAGAACTGAGGGTTCCTTCCCTTTTTAGATCACATAAGGTAACTTCCAGACATTGCGATGGCATTTGTAAACTGTCATGGCCCTGGTGGGAGTGTCTTTTCACATGCTAATGCAATATAATTAGCGTATAATGAGCACTGAGGATGACCAGAGGTCGCTTTTGTGGTCATCTTGGTTTTGGCAGGTTTTGGCCAGCTTCTTTTTTTTTCTTTAAAATTAAACTTTATTTATCAAAGCACCGTTAGAACAGTGAAAAGTCACAGCATGGGGGAAGATATTGGCAATATATATTTTTATTTCAATAGTTTGGGGGAAAAAGATGGTTTTTGGCTACATAAATAAGTTCTTTAGTGGTGATTTCTGATCGAGATTGTGGTGCACCCATCACCTAAACAGTGTACACTGTACACTCATCCCCCTACCATCCTTCCCCGCAAGTCCTCAAAGTCCATTATATCATTCTTATGCCTTTGCGTCCTCATAGCTTAGCTCCCACTTAAAAGTGAGAACATATGATGTCTGGTTTTCCATTCATGGGTTACTTCACTTAGAATAATGGTCTCCCATTCCATCCAGGTAGCTGCAAATGCCATTATTTTGTTCCTTTTAATGGATGAGTAGTATTCCATAATATATGTATGTGTATGTGTATGATATATATGTCACATTTTCTTTAGCTACTTGTTGGTTGATGGGCATTTAGACTGGTTCCATATTTTTGCAGTTGCGAATTGTGCTGCTATAAACATGTGTGTACAAGTGTCTTTTTCATATAAAAACTTCCTTTCTTCTGGGTAGATACCCAGTAGTGGGATTGCTGGATCAAATGATAGTTCTACTTTTAGTTCTTTAAGGAATTCCACATTGTTTTCCATAGTGGTTGTACTCATTTACATTCCTACAAGCAGTGTAAAAGTGTTCCCTTTTCACTACATCCATGCCAACATCTATTATTTTTGATTTTTTAATTATGGTCATTCTTGCATGAGTAAGGTGGTATTTCATTGTGGTTTTGATTTGCATTTTTCTGATAATTAGTGATGCTGAGCATTTTTTCATATGTTTGTTGGCTATTTGTACATCTTCTTTTGAGAATTGTCTATTCATGTCCTTAGGCTAATTTTTTATGGTATTATTTGTTTTTTTCTTGCTAATTTGTTTGAGTTCCTTGTAGATTCTGGATATTAGTCCTTTGTTGGATGCATAGTTTGTGAAGATATTCCTTCCACTCTGTAGGTTTTCTGTTTACTCTGCTGATTATTTCTTTTACAGTGCAGAAGATTTTTAGCTTAATTAGGTCCCATCATTTATCTTTGCTTCTGTTGCATTTGCCTTTGGGTTCTTGGTCATGAACTCTTTTGTCCTGCTTCTTTACTGCATCTTGTTTTATTAGCAGGGTCTTTGTGACCTGTATCTTGTGTTGACCTCCTATCTCATCCTGTGACTAAGAATGCCTAACCTCCTGGGAACCAGGAGGTCTCAGCCTCATTTTACCAAGCCCCTGTTCAAGATGGAGTTGCTCTGGTTTGAATACCTCTGACAGTTTAAAATGACATTGATCATTTGTTTTGCTCATTAATCTGCAATTTGAACAGGGTTCAGTGCAGCCAGCTCACTTCTCTCCAGCCGGCATCAGCTGGGGTAGCTTGCCTGGAACTGGAGGTTCCACTTATAGATGGCTCATTCATACGGCTGGCAAGTTAGTGTTGTCTGTCAGTTTCTCTTCAAATGGGCCTCTCCACAGTGTGGCTTGGGCTTCCTCACAGCATGGAGGCAGGGTTTCAAGTGTGAGCATCCCAAGATATGCAGGAAAAAGGTGTATCATTTTTCATGACCTAGCCCCAGAAGTCACAAAATATCACTTGCCCCATAGCCACTTGTCTATCTACATCCAAATAAAGAGAACATAGACTGCCCACCTCTATTGGAGGGGAGGAGAGTTACAGTCACATTGTAAAAAGAGTATATTGATTGGGGAGATGCTGTGGTAGCCATTTGGGGGAAAATACAACCTGCCACAAACATTAGCTATAACTAATATATGCTGAGTCCTTACTCTCTTCTGACTCTAGCCTGAAGTGTTTAATATGGGTTCTGATTCTAACTTCCACCAGAAGCCTATAAGGTAGATCATAGCATTATCCCATTTTACACATAAGGAAACTGAGGCTGAGAGGGAGGTTGATTATTTATCAGCTTGAAAATGGTAGAGCTGGACTTCGAATCCTGATCCACTTGGACCAAGTGGCAGAGCTCACAATTACCATACTACATGCCTCTCAGCAGTGATGGGTGGTCCTGATTTGGGATGTATTAACGTGAAACAATGGAACTGGAACAGAACTGAGGACAGGAGCCAAATTTTGGCTCCAGCTCTACTACTCATAATTAGAGATGTCATTTATTATATGCATCCTCTCACATATTCCTTGACATTATGCTTTGCAGGACTTATTATAGGATGCCCATTGAACAGGTCAGATAATTCAGGCTCCAAGAGGTGAAGTAACTCGTCCAAAATCAAAAATATGTCCAAGTCACACAGATGTTAAGTAACTGAACTGAGATTTAAAACCAGGTCTGTCTTACTCCAAGACTCTTAATCACCTCAATCCATGGCCTGGGTCCCTGGACAAGCCACTTCACTCCCTGAGCCTCAAACACTTCACCTGTAAAAAGGGAAGGAACCATGATTTCTAAGGTCCTCTTTGTTCCAATGACTCTACTGGATGGCCCTGGGCACTGGACACTGAGGCCTCTGGTGTTAAATCCCCTTAAAACATGGTTTCTCAACCTCAGCACTATGAATATTTTGGGCTAGATTTTGGGATAAGATTTTGTTGTGGGTGCTGTCCTGTGCATTGTAGGAATTATAGCAGCATCCTCAGCCTCTACCCACTGGGTGCCAGTGGCATTCCTTCCCCTCAGTTGTGACCACCAAAGTGTCTCCAGGCATTTCTTAATTTCCCTTGTGGGGAAATCTTGCTCCACCCCTTTGTCTCTTGCCTATTGAAAACCTCTGCCTTAAGTAGTTCAATTAGAAGTCTTTACAGAGGTCCTGGTGGTCAGAGCCACCTTCCTCAGAAGTCCCTGTCTCTTTACTGGTAATATCACCAGCTGAGAGGATCAGGGAGGGATCTGGATGGTATGACAAACCCATATTTTTCCTCTTGTTGAGCTATTCCTTTGCTTTGGACTCTGATCAACAACTCAGAAATTGATGGGACACAGATGTCAACAAATAGCCAAATGCTAGACCAAATGTAGGGAAGCAGGCTCTTTTCCCCTCCCCTCTCCCTGCCTCTCTCCCTCCCTCCTACCCTGACTCTCTCTGTTCTCTCTCTTTCACTCCTAACTCTGTTTTCTGTGTGTGTGTGTGTGTGTGTGTGCGTGTGTGTGTGTGTGTGTTTGCGTCTCTCTCTCTCTCTCTCTTCTTCTCTCTCTGTCTCTCCACCTCTCTCTCTCACCAGACATTGGCAGGGCAAAGGAGATCACTGTTGCCAGGAGATTGTTTGCATTCCCGGGTCTTTCTGGCAAGGCCTTCCTCTGAGTGGAGTCGAGGTAAGCCAGCCACCCATCTCCCAGTACCAGGCAGCCTGGCACCAAGGGTCTAAGCTAAAAATGTATCCTTCTAAGCTTTGCCTCCAATAGGTACTTGAGCCTGTGGAGGGGCTGACTCCTTTACAGACACTCCTTTCTCCAAATGAATTGTCATCTCTTCTAGGATTCTACAGGGTATTCAGAGCAGTGGTTTTTTAAAAACAAACTTAAAGAAAAATCAAGAGATTTGCTTGCCTCTGGTCATTTGGCACCTCTTTCTCCATAGCCCTTAAAGATAACCAACAACCCTTGCAACTCCAGTGCCAATTTGGGGTGCTCTGTAATGTAATTCTTCTGGTCTTAAAAGCCGCACTCACTGTGCAAATAGATCTTTCCCAAGCCCCAACTTCATCTTTGGATTACATTTTCCTTAAGAAATGTTTATTCTATAAATTTGCAGCTTGGAGATCCTTCTCCCTGATGGAGTAGGGAAGTAAAACAGGAAATGAGCAGTGCTGCTTGTCTTGCTGTCTGTCAACATTACATCATCTGCTCCTGGCCTTTATTTCTTCGTTGCTCTTAATCCCTGTGTAGCTTCCTAAGAGCCCTTGGTTTTTGCCCTTACCACTTTTCACGAGCCTCAGTTTGTTCTGGGATTTTACCTTTTTGGCTTGATTCCTTCAGGTTTGTGTCCCTCTTTTGTGTTTGTCTTGACTATATGGCCATATTTTTTCCAGAAGAATAATATTACACCACTAACATTTTATTTAGTAGCCTCTTCTATGCCTCCTAACTGAAGCATTTTCCCTCTTAGAGCCTCTAGCTATTAGATGTTACCTCTGTTTTTCTGGTTTTAGTCCTGAGCCTTCATACCCCCAGACCATACACTAGCAGGGCAGTTCTAGAAGTGCAGAGAACAAAAGAGCATGGCTTATAAAAGAAATCCCAATCCCAACAGAGTGTGAGATTAAAACAAAAACATAAAAGGAAAATGAGAGTAATAAGGAAAATTAAGGCACTTACAAACTCAGATTTCCCTGATCACCTGAGATGTTTGTAAAAAATGCAGATTCTTGGCCTCACCCCAAACCTCTTGGCTTTCTAGGATAGAAGCCAAAACATTCATTTTTAAACAATTCCATCAGCTGTTTTTTATGTATACTAAAGCTCAACAACAACTTCACTAGAGGCCAAAGAAAGGAGAGCAGAGTGAGATTTGGTGGCTGAAATGGATTGAAAAATCAAAGCCTACCCATTTCTCTGTACTACTGAATCACTATGAATTGAAACTCTGCCAATTACAAAGGAATACTTCAGCCTGGGTCAGAAGGCAGTTGAACATTAGAAGAAACAAGACTCCTGTTGAAGTATTTAGAGAGAAAGTTCTAGGGCTCAGTTGTAGAACTAGAACTTCTTGCTGACCTTATAATAGTCATTATTGCATTCTCTTCTTAAACCATCTGCATTTAGTAGGAAGATAACTCATGCTCTGTGATAGATACCAGGGCATCTGACAGTGAAAAGATGAGTTTTGAAGCCCAGCAGGTCACATTTGAGTACTATGTCTTCTACTTAATAGTCAACTGATCGTGTTCAACTTGCTTAACTATATATGCGAAATGAAAATAATAACACTAACTTTGATATTTGAGAACATCAAGTGAATAAATAGTATCTATAAAGCACCTACTGCATATTGGTTGTGCAACCTACATTCCTTTCTCTCCTTCCCTAAGGAAGATGTACTCCCAAGTATTCACCATTCTTCCCATTCCTTGGAAATTCTTAAGGAAAACTTCCCATCTAGTTTAGCTCAGTACAAAACTGCTGAAAACAGCCAAAGATCCAGGACAAGAAGGACTGATTCTGTCTTAAGGGGAATTCTAATTTATTGACTTCAATTAATTATGCATTACCTGTTCAAATCAATTGTTGCTTTGTCATAACTTCAGAATGAATAATGATCTGAAAATTAGAAACTTCTCTGTTTTGAAATGTATCCTGGAATTCTTTTCAAAAAAACCTGGTTTTGGAATATGAAGGCTATGGGATTTTGGAATTTCCTTCATACAATTTTGTTTCTTTTGAATAATATTTTAATCTTTGCAAGTACAGTGTGGATTATAGTGGAGTACCCTGGGAATCTGTATCCTTAACTACAGAACTACCCTTAATTCTAGTTCTGTTTTTCAACTAACATTGCTTACTCATTGGCAATCAAGGGCGCTAGCTATCTACCTACACATCTACCATGAGCTACATAACATCTAATTTGAATTGGTAGGTCACTACCTCCAAGCTCCAGCAACCCCTTCATACTCCTTCCAACACTTGTTTTGGCAGAACTATTCTCAGAACTCTCATGGAAAGCTTTAGTGGACTCAATAAGGAGTTTTGGTTTGTGTTCACATCTTGTATGTACGTAATATATTTACTGTTTTGGTCAGTTAAGGCTGCTATAACAAATTATCATAGACTGGTACAACAAACATTTATTTTATCAAGAAACATTTATTTCTTACAGTTGTGGAGCCTGGCAAGTCCAAGATAAAGGAGCCAGCAGATCCAGTGTCTGGCGAGAGGTTACTTCCTGGTTTGTAGATATCTGACTTTTCATTGTATCTCACATAGAAGAGCAAAAAATAGCTAGCTCTCTGGCCTCTTCTTATACTGGCCTGAATCCCATTCATGAGGATTCCATCCTAATGACCTAATGACCTCCCAAAGGCCTCTTCTCCAAATACCATCACATTAGGATGAGCTTTTTATCATATGAATTTGGGAGGAAAAAGGGGAGACAAAAACATCCAGTCCATTGCAGACTCCTTGGAGGGTAAGCCCTAGGAATAGAATCTGAGGGTGGAGCATGCTGCCAAGCCCTATTGTGTGAGAAACAAGGCCTGGAGTGTAATTTTTTTCAGCCTCTGTTGTTGGAGGGATAGTAATGGTGTGACTCACACAGGAAATATCAAGGTGCTATACAAGGGTGAAAAAGCTTAGCAACTTCCTAGTCATCACTATTGCAGAAAGAGGGCAGCTAGAGGGCTCTGGTAAGCTAGTTATATTCATTAACAGCCAGCCATTTTTGTATTAATACATAATATTTTACATATTTATGGAGGTATATATGATATTTTGTTACATGCATAGAAAGTGTAATGATCAAGTCAGGGTATTTGGGGTATCTGTTACCTTGAGTATTTATCATTTCTGTATGTTGGGGATATTTCAAGTTCTCTCTTCTAGCTACTTTGAAATATACAATACATTGTTGCTAACTACAGTCACCCCGCTCTGCTGTCAAACATATAAACATATACCTTCTATCTAACTGTATGTTTGTATCCATTAAACAACCTCTCATCATCCTCCCCTCCCACCCACACCCCATTCCAGCCTCTGGTATTTATCATTCTACTCTCTGTCTCCATGAGATCAAATTTTTTAGCTTTCACATATGAGAGAGAACATACAAAATTTATTTTTCTGTGTCTAGCTTATTTCACTTAACATAATGGAACTCCAGTTCCATCCATGTTGCTCAAAATGACATAGTTCCATTCCTTTTCAATGGCTTAATAATATTCCACCTTGTACATATAACACTTTTTTTTATTCATTTGTCCATTGATTGACATTTAGGTTAATTCCATATATTTGTTATTATGAATAGTGCTGCAATAAACATGTGAGTATGGGTATCTCTTTGATATACTGATTTATTTTCCTACAGATAAATATCCAGTAGTGGGATTACTGGGTCATATGGTAACTCTGTTTTTACTTTTTGAGAATCTTCATACTGTTTTCCATAGTGGCTGTACTAATTTACATTCCCATCAACCATGTATAAAAATTTTCTCTTCTCTGCATCATCTTACTAGCACTTGTTTTTTTTTTTTTGTCTTTTTAATAATAGCCATTCTAACTGGGATGAGATGATATCTCATTGTGGTAGATATCACATTTGATTTGCATTTCCCTGATGATATATATATGCCTAACATCACTTAGTTGTTTGAGTTTCTGACATAACCTGGGTATTAGTTCCTTGTCTGATGAAGAGTTTGAAAATATTTTCTCCAATTCAGTAGATTGTCTCTTCACTCTGTTGATTGTTTCCTTGCTGTGCAGACACTTTTTAAATTTAATATAATCCCATTTTTTCTATTTTTGTTTTTGCTCCCTGTGCTTTTGAGGTCTTAGCGATAAAATCTTTGCCTAGACCAATGCCATAAAGTGTTTTCCCTATGTTTTCTTCTATTAATTTTATAGTTTCAGTCTTATGTTTAAGTCTTTAATCCATCTTGAGTTGATTTTTATATATGGTGAGAGATAGGAGTCTAGTTTCATTCTTCTGTATATTGATATCCAGCTTCCCATGTCCTCTCCTCAATGTATGTTCTTAGCACCATGGTTGAAAATCAGTTGTCTAGAAATATGTGGATTTATTTCTGGATTTTCTATTCTCTTCCATTGGTCTATGTGCTTGTTCTTATATCAATACCATGCTGTTTTGGTTACTATAGTCTTGCAATATATTTTGAAGTCAGGTAGTGTGATGCCTCCAGCTTTGTCCTTTTTGTTCAGGATTGCTTTGACTATTCAGGTTCTTTTTCAGTTCCATACAAATTTAAATTTTTTCTCTATTTCTATGAAAAAAATGACATTGGCATTTTGATAGGGCTTGGATTGAATCTATAGATATCTTTGGGCAGTATGGTCTTCCTAATGATATTAATTCTTTTGATCCATGAGCATGGGATGTTTGTGCCCTCTTCAATTTATTTTATCAGTGTTTTGTAGTTTTCCTTTTAGAGATCTTTCACCTCTGTTCCATGGTGGGCAGGCCTATGCAAACCTGCCCCCAAAGTCCATGGAAGCTGACAGACAAAAGAAGGAGACTGATAAATCCAGTTTCTTAGAAAGAAACATTTAATCATGACTTATGAACAGAAGTTATGTCTATGTCTTAGGTGGCAGCAAGACAAGGTGGTGGATCCCTGCCCTTATCCAGATTCAGGGGTTATATACCATAGGAAACTGGTACATGTGATTTGGAAGGGATATGTAGGGCAATTGAGGTACAATGACATCAAGGTTGCTTTGACCTAAGGGCAGGATTTATGTTAAGTGTCTGCTCTTACACAAGGAATAATAGATAAACTGGAAATCTTAGAGGCCTTCTTGGAACTGGGGTTAATGAGAAGTCAACATGGCTGATTAGCAACCAAGATGGAGTTGCTTTCACCTCTACAACCTCCTTGGTTAAATTTATTCCTAGGTGGTTTTTTTGTAGCCATTGTAAATGGGATTGACTTCTTGATTTCTTTCTCAGCTAGTTTATTATTGGTATATAGAAATGTCACTGATTTTTGTATGTTGATTTTGTATACTGAAACTTTACTGAATTTATTTATCAGATCTAAAAGTGTTTTTGGTGAAAACTTTAGGTTTTTCTAGATGTAAAATCATGTCATCAGCAAAGACGGACAATTTGACTTTCTTTTTTCTAATTTGGATCCCTTTTATTGTTTTCTCTTGCCTGATTGCTCTGGCTAGAACTTCCAGTACTATGTTGAATAGGAGTAGTGAAAGCGGGCATCCTTGTCCTGTTCCACTTCTTGTGGGAAAGACTTTTTAGTTTCTCCCCATTCAATTTGACATTAGCTGTGGGTTTGTCATATATGACCCTTGTTATGTTGAAGTAAATTCCTTCTAAGCCCAGTTTGTTGAGAGTTTTTGTCATGAAGGAATGTTGAATTTTATCAAATGCTTTTTCTGTGTCTATCAAGAGGATTATATGGTTTTTGTCTTTCATTCTGTTGATATATCATGTTTATTGATTCATGTATGTTAAACAATTCTTGCATTCCTGAGATAAATCCCACTTGACCATAGTATATAATTTTTTTGATGTGTTGTTGGGTTTGGCTTGCTAGTATTTTCTTGAGAATTTTTGCATCTATATTCATCTGGGATATTAGCCTGTGATTTTCTTTTTTTGTTGTATCCTTGTCTAGCTTTGGTATCAGGGTAATGCTAGCCTTGAAGAGAATATTTCCCTTTCCTTAATTTTTTGAGGCCTTGAAGAGAATATTTCCCTTTCCTTATTTTTTTGAGAATTGGTGTGTTAGTTTTGCTTTGAAAGTTTAGTAGAATTCGGCCATGAAGCTATCTGGTCTTGGATTTTTCTTTTTTGGGAGACTTTTCATCGCTAATTCAATCATGCTTTTTCTTATTGCCTTGCTCAAGGTTTCTGCTACTTCCTAATTCAATCTTGGTAGGTTGTATGTTTCCAGGAATTCATCCATTTCCTCTAGAGTTTCTAGTTTGTCAGTGTATAGGTGTTTATATTAGTCTCTGATGATCTTCTGTATTTCTGTGATACCAGTAGTAATGTCTACTTTTTCATTTCTTGTTTTATTTACGTGGGTCTTCTCTAATTTTTTTCTTGGTTAGCCTAGCAAGTGGTTTGTTGATTTTCATCTCCAAAAGACTCAGCTTTTAATTTCATTGATTCTTTGTATTGGTTTTTAGTGTCTATTTTGTTTAGTTCTGCTCTGGTCATCATTAATTCTTTCCTTCTACAAATGTTGGGTTTGGTTTGTTCTTGTTTTTCTAGTTCCATGAGATGCATCATCAAATAATTAGTTTGAAATCTTTTTAGTTTTTTGATGTAGGTATTTACTACTAAAAAGTTTCCTTTTAGCACTGCTTTGCTGTATCCCATAGGTTTTGTTACATAATATGTTCATTTTTATTTATTTCAAGAATTTTTTTAATTTCCCCCTTAATTTCTTCCTTGACCCACTTGTCATTCAGAAGCATGTAGTTTAATTTTCATATATTTGTACAGTTTCCAAAGTTTCTCTTGTTGTTGATTTCTAGCTTATATTCTACTGTGGTCTGAGAAGATACTTGATATGATTTTGATTTTTTTTAAATTTGTTGAGACTTGATTTTGTCCTAACATATGACGTATCCTGGAGAACGTTTTGTGTGCCAATGAGAAGAATGTGTATTCTGCAGTTGTTGGATAAAATGTTTTGTAAATATTTGTTAGGTCCATTTGGTTTAATGTGAAGTTTAAATTCAATGTTCTTTTAATTTTCAGTGTAAATGATCTGTATAATGCTGAGAATAGGGTACTGAAGTCCCTAAGTGTTATTATATTTGGGTCTGTCTCTCCCCTTATGCCTAACAATATTTTCTTTGCGTATTTGGATATTTTGGTATTGGATGCACATATGTTTAGAATTGTTATATATTCTTGCTAAATTCATCCCTTTATCATTATATAATGAGCTTCTTCGTATTTTTTTACTGTTTTTGTCTTAAAGTCTGTTTTCTCTGATATTAATATAGCTCCTCCTGCTCACTTTTGCTTTCTGTTTGCCTGCAATACCTTTTTCCATCACTTTGTTGTCATTTTATGTGTCTTTAGAGGTGAGATGAGTTTCTCATAGGCAGTATATCATTGAATCATTTTTTTAATCCATTCAGCCAGTCCATATCTTTTAGGTAGCAAGTTTAATTCATTTACACTAAAGTTTATTATTGATATATAAGGGCTTATTCCTTTCATTTTATTACTTAATATCTTGTTTGGTATATCATTTGTTTCTTTCTTTCTCTGTTACTGTTTTCATTGTGGTTTGGTGGTATTCTGTAGCAGTAACATTTAAGTTTTTCTCTTCCTTGTTTGTGTGTTTGCTCTAGCAGTGGTTTTTATATTTTCATGTGTTTCCATGATGGTACTTATTGTTCTTTTTCTTCCAGTTATAGAAATCCTTTAAACATTTCTCAAAGGGCCAGTCTAGTAAGGATAAATTTCCTCAGCTTTTGCTTCTCTGGGAAAGACTTTATTTCTTCTTCCTTCATGAATGATACTTTTACTGGACATAGTATCCTTGGCTGGAATTTTTTTTCCTTCAGCACTTTAAATATCATCCCATTCTCTCTAGTCCTGAAGGTTTTTGCTGAGAAATCCATTGTTAGTCTGACGGGGATATCTTTATTGTGACTAAGTGTTTTTCTCTTGATTCTCTAGAATTTTATCTTTGTCTTTGATTTTTGACAGTTTGACTATAATGTGCTATGAAAAAGACCTTTTTGAATTTTATCTGTTTAGGGATCTTTGAGCCTCTTATATCTGGATGTCTAAATCTCTTGCTAGACTTGGGAAGTTTTTATCTATTATTTTGTTAAATAGGCTTTCTAACTCTTTTGTTTCCTCTTCACCTTCTGGAACACCAAAAATTCAAATATTGCATTTTATGAAAGGGCCCCACATGTTGCAAAGGCTTTGCTTATTCTTTATTATTTGTTTTAATCTGACAGGATTACTTCAAATGACCTGCCTTAAAGTTCTGATATTCTTTCTTCTGCCTGACCTAGCCTATTATTGAGGCTTTTGAATGTATTTTGTATTTAATTCAATGTAGTTTTCAGTTTGAGAATTTCAGTTTTATTCTTTTTCAAATCTGTCCCTTTGATATGAGGATATCTTATTCATATCCTGAATAGTTTTTCTCATTTTTTAATATTGTTTTTCAGAATTGTCTTGTATCCCACTGAACTCCTTCAGTATCAATATTTTGAATTTTTCTGGAATTCTGTAAATTTTTTTTGGTTGGAATTTGTTAGTGGAAAATGATTATATTCCTTTGAAGGTGTTACAGTTCCTTGCTTTTTAAAGTTTCGTATGTTTTTACATTGATAACTGCACATCTGGTGTAACAGTCACTTCTTCCCATTTTTTAAATTTGATTTCATAGGGGAGGAATTTTTCCTGAAGTTATATCTATTGTGTTTTTTGGGTAGGGCACTTTGGTTTTGATTCTGGGTGCATGCAGTACTGTAGTTTCTGTATGGTTACATCAGTGACGTCTGTGATTTCCTTGATGGCTTAGGGTGCATTTGTTAATGGGGGCTGTGGTAAAGTTTGGCTGAGGATTAGGACATCAGTTGGGCAAGTCTTGAAGCCTCAGTGGTGGCAGCGGTGGGCTGAGCATGCCTGTCCTTGAGCCCCAGGGTGGCATACACTGGTCCTGGTGTTAGCAGCTCCAAGCCAGTCAATTATTGAGCCTCCAGGTGGATTGCTTGGGTGCTGGGAATGACAGCAGTGAGTTGGGTGGGTGAGTAGGTTCTCAAGCTATTGGGAAGAAAATGTGTGGCATGGTTAATGGCAATAGTAGTAGTGGAACAACCCTCCGGGACCCAAGTGGTCCACATTGGTATTGGCAGTCATTGCAACAGGTTGGGTGGTCCAGTCCCCAGACCTACAGGTGAGTGTCAGCTTTGATGGTAGCACCAAGTTGAATGGAGCCAACCTCAGATCCCAGGAAGAGTGCTCAGGTGCCACTCATGGTGGACTGGGCTGGGTGATCCCCAGGCCCCTAGATGGTGTGCTCAGGTACTTGGGAGTTGGGAAGCAGCACCAAGTTGGGCAGACCTGCCCTCAGGCCCACCTGGTGGTACAAGCAGGTGCGAATGGGCAATCATTTTTATTAACAGGTAAAGGAAGCAGCCAACATTTTGCCAGGCACATTAGGAAAAAGCAGAGTTGTCTGGAGACAATTAGTAAGACTTAGTACATAAAGCAAGTACTTAAAGAAAGAAAGATTCTGGTGCACAGTGGCCTGGGGACAATAGCAACAGGGAACCCACAAAAGAGGATACAGAGACTTGGAGTAGAGACTCTTTCCTGAATTTTATTTGTTAAGGGTGACTATTCTGTAAGTAGGCAGGAACTAGAGACTGATGTGAAAACCTGCTGTATATTCTTTATACTTTTTGCAATTAACTGTATGTTTTAAATTGAATCTAATTTCCATTAGTGATTCTAGTCATTCTCAACTAAGCCTTTGTTCGTTTTCACGAACCCTTTTAAGTATGTTCAAATGGAGACACGTGTCTAAGTGAACTCTACTTGTTACACTTAAGTCTCTGATGTCAAGAACAGTAAAATCCAGGTAGTCCGAACCTTCCCACATTCACCCTCAAAATTCTGTCTTAGTGAGGCTTAATTCCCAAGATCCCTGGGTCTTAGGAAATAAAGAGCAGAAGCACTCCGTAAAATCAATAGACACTCCTAGATGTTGATTTTGGTTAATTGGCCTCCCGGGAAACTCTGCTTTAACTTTTACTTAAGTCAAGAATTTTAAATGGAAAGCTAAAAAGAAGTATAAATTAAGGAAGGAGGTGATCAAGAAGGCACTAGGCATTTGGATCTAGTTATTATAACAAATAACAATTAATAACATAATGTTTCAGACACAGTAGAAGTTTATCTTAGTCCAAGGTAGATGTTCCTTCTCAGTGGAGGTTGTCTTGCTTCCATCCCCCAACTGTCATTCAAGGACTCAGGCTGACAGGGGCTCTGTCATCTTCATCTAGAGTTTCTAAGATCACCACAATCATCTCCATCCCAGGGGAAAGAGCAGGAAGGAGGACTTAAAGGGAAATATCCATGGGCCAAGACTACAAATGGCACATACCACTTCTGTTCACATTTTTGGCTAGAACATAGTTACATGGCATCACCTTACTACAAGGGAGTCTGGGAAAGGTGGCCTTAGTTGTGTGCCCAGCAATATGAGGAAACAGATGTTAGTCAGTAGCAGCTCTGACTAGAAGTTACATGAATGTATTGACCACCCCCCACCTTCCGCCCACCCACACAGATACACACACTAACACTCACACACAACCTGGAATACTATTGGCTTCATTTCCAAGATGATTATAGAAAATTAAGAGAAAGTTTTGTTTGAAATAATAAGAGTAAGGTAGGAGCTGCCATTTACTGAATACTCACTGTGTTCTAGTACCTGTGTTAAACACACACATAATGTGTGTATTTAATCCTCATATCAACTCTGACTTTGCAGAAAAAGAAACTGAGGCTGAGAGAGGTTAAGGCCTGATAGGCAGTCAGTAAACAAGCTGGGGTTTGAACCCAGGTTGTCTGATTCCAATGTCCATACCCTTAACTACCTCATTATACAATCATAATCGCATCACAGAAGGACCAAAATATAAATTGCAATCTGCTCCAAAGTTAAGCCAGGGTTCTTCTATTTTCAATTCCAGGAAAAGGAAGGAATGATCTTCAGATTTTGAAAATTCTCAAGTGAATGAACTTGAAATAGAAAAGCAGGAAAGCCTTTGGCCAAGTTTAGAAATCCTTCGAACTCCTTGGAGTCTGCCATTGAAACCCAGCCTGAGCCTTTCTGGTTTATTTTTAGTTCTTACCAGGCACCATTTCCTGGATCAGTGAAGTAGGTTTAAACATCCTTATGAAGTCTTTGAACCTAGTGAGAATTTTTTAACTGAGTGAGGAAGAAATGCAGCTAAACCCTGGGGCAAAAATATCTAAAATAAGAGCCCAACATTTAAGCAGTAAGAGGCCATACCTGTCAAAGCCAGTTGGGCTTTCCTGTGACCCCACAAGGCTGAAATCCCCTTAGAAACCCTGCTTGTTCCTTGAGTCTGTGTCCGAGTCTAGGAAGTGAAGGCTCTGTGATTTACTTAGCACCCTTTCCCAACCCCGTCTGGAACCCTAATAATGTCAATGTAGATCCTTAAACTCTGCAAATATTCCTATAATCTTTGTGGTTTGATCTTGATCAACCACCCATATAGAATTCAAAACCCTCAATGCTCACTCAGGCTAAAATCAGGAGACAGAAGTAGAGATACACACCAGAAATTTCAAGTGAGGTGGGTTAGTAAATTCTGCTCACCACTGTCCACAGTTAGCAGCTTGTGATGCTTGTGAGCTCTGGGGCCAGGTCTACCCTTGGGTTTACTTTCAACATGTCATCATGGACAGTGGTCCTAATCCATGGCCATTTGCCCGCCTGCTGACACACCTTGCTCACCTATGAAGAGCATTTGAAAGACACATCACCATTTGCCTCTTCTCTGAATCCTCTAGATACTGCCTCTTTAGTTACCCATGTTAACATGCATCATGCTATGTCTTGGAGTTGTGAATGGAATTTTTGTTTCCCTTTATAATCATGAGAAAAAAGAGGTAAAGACAAACTTGTCCTGTTACCCATCCTCCTTTTCTTCCATGCAATTGTTTCCTCATGAACAGAAATAGAGGAAAGTGAAAACATTACTAGAATACGGCAAACTTTTCATGAAGCTGGGTGGTGGGTACAAGGGTGATCATTGTATTATTCCATGTAAACATTTTGTGATTTTTATTATTATCGTAATAAATCAAATATTAAAGGAAAATAAGTTAGACTGATTTTTTTTTGTTTTTATTTCCAACTTTCTATTACTCACCAGTGGATCCTGGGCTGTGTGGATACCCAAATAAAAGGCAATATTGGAGTTCTCTGTTGGGTACAAAGAGCTGACTGCCCCAGCTACTGGATATGTGCCCAAAGTTATTTTCCTTTACACTGTTTTATACCTTCCTCATATTGTCTTAGGTGAACTTGTGTTTCCCAAGACAACCTTGCAGTCTGCCACAATGTAGTTCCAGCAATGGCATAATCTTTTTCCTGTTAATAATTTCATAGGTATTTTAACAGGGAAACACCTTGGTTACTGAGCTGGGCAGGCATTTCTCTTCCCCTGTCTTCAATTTTCTTCACAGCATTCATTAGATTTATTCACAGGTAATCTTCTTTGGTAGAATTATAAATAATATCTTTATTAAAGTGCAAATTCTGACAAATAGAAATGGAATTGACTTTTGCATATAGATTTTATCATTTGTGAACTTGCTAAACTGTCTTATTAATTATAATAGTTTTTCTTGGACCACTTTTGGTTTATTTTCTATGTGGAAAATTATACTATCCACCAATAATGACAATATGGAGCCTTTTATTTCCTCTTTCGGTCTTATTGTACAAACCAGGACCTCTAGTACAATATTGGTGAGAAGCAAAGATATCATAATTGAGTTTTCATCTCTTCACGATTTTTTAAAAGTCACCTGTATGGAGATATAATTGTCATAAAGTAAAATGTATCCTTTGTAGATGTACAGATCTTTGTGTAACTACACCCACAATGAAGATGTACAATATTTCCATCAGCCCAAAAACTTTTCTAATGTCCCTTTGTAGTCAATCCACTTCCCTCCCTACCCCCAGCTCCTGGCAATCTTTGATCTGCTTTTTGTCTCTGTAATTTTGCCTAGATCAATACTTTATTGCTTTTTGCAACTGAATTGTATTCCATTTTAAGGCTGTAACACAAATTTTTTTAATCCAGTCACTAGTTTACAGACATTTGGGTTGCTTCTTGTTTAGGACAATCATGAATAAAGCTGCTGTAAGTATTCAGGTACAAGATTTTTGTGGACGTATGTCTAAATTTATTTTGGATAAATACCTAGGAGTAGGATTGCTGAACTGTACAATAAGTGTGTATTTAACTTTATAAGAAACTACCAAACTGTTTTCCCAAGTTGCTGAACCAGCAAAATGGCTCTTCCACCAGCAATGTATGAAAGTTCCAGTTGTTTCACATCCTTGCCAACACTTAGTACTTTCAGATTGTAAAAAAATGTCATTATTCTTGTATTTATGGTATATATGGTGGTATTCACTTGTAATTTTAATTTTATTTCCCTAATTACTAATGATGTTGAGCATCTCTTTATGTACTTATTAGTAGTTGCCATCATATTTCTTCTTTGGTAAAGATCTATCCAAATCTTTAGCCTATTTTTAAAAATTGAGTTTCTTGTTTTCTTTTCTTTTCTTTCTTTCTTTTTTTTTGAAATGGAGTTTCGCTCTTGTTGCCCAGGTTGGAGTGCAATGGCATGATCTCGGCTCACCACAACCTCTGCCTCTCAGGTTCAAGCAATTCTCCTGCCTCAGCCTCCCGAGTAGGTGGGGTTACTGGCATGCACCACCACACCCAGCTAATTTTGTATTTTTAGTAGAGGAGAGATTTCACCATATTGGCCAGGCTGGTCTCAAACTCCTGACCTCAGTTGGTCCACCGGCCTCGGTCTCCCAAAATGCTGGGATTACAGGCGTGAACCACCGCGCCCGGCCTTGTTTTCTTATTATGGTTTTCAGAGTTTTCTATCAATTCTAGATACCGTTTCTCCTCAGATTCTGTCTTAAATATTTTCCCCCAATCTCTGGATTTTTTTTTAAATTTTCTTAATAGTGTCTTTCAAAAAGCTGAAGTTTTCGTTGTGATGGCATTTAACTTTGTCTTCTCTGGCTTGTGCTTTTTGTCTCCATTAGGAAATCTTTGCCTCTATCAAGTTCACAAAGAGTTTATCCTATGTTTTCAACAAGGATTTTTAAAGTATTGTTGGGTTTTACCTTTCAGTGTATAGTCTTTCAGGTTACATGGTGCAGGTTATGGACCGAGATTCTTTTCATTTGTTTGTTTGGTTGTTTGTTTTTCCAATTAGTATTATCCGTTCAAACCTTTGGAACACTTCTGAAGCCAAGCATGTGCGGTTCTTACGGTTCTTACACCTACAACAATTTTCCAACTCTCCAGGATACCAGCTGGATGTTCAATGATTCAATTCAATCCTGACACTAACTGCTCAAAGTTAACACCACACCCCATATATTAAGGGGCCAGTTCTACAAAACTGCTCCCCATTATACACGCCATTCACAAGTCCCAGGCCTCCTGTACCCCTGACCAACCAGCAATACATCAGAGATTCCCATGACTCCATCCTTGGGTTGAATAATTTGCTAGAATGACTCATAGAACTCAGGAAAACAGTTTACTTACTATTACCACTTTATTATAAATAATTCAACTCAGGAACAACCAGATGGGAGAAATGCATACGGCACACCACCCTCCCAGAACCTCTAATGTGTTCAGCAACCTGGGAGGTCTCTGACCTCGTACTTTAAGGTTTTGATGGAGTTTCCATTACATAGGCATGATTGATGAATTATTGGCCTTTGAATTATTGGTGATTTAATTCAATTTCCAGCCCCTCTCTCCTCCCATGAGGTCAGGAGGTAGGGCTGAAAGTTCCAAATCTCTAATCACACCTTGGTCTTTCTGGTGACCAGCCCTCATCCTGAAGCTACCTAAGAACCTCCAGTCCCAGTCATCTCACTAGTATAAAAAAAGACACTCATCACTCCAGAGATTCCTGAAGCTCTTGCGTCAGGAACCAGGGCTAAGACCAAATATTATAATAAAAGATGTTTCTATCACCCCTGTCACTCTGAAAGTTTTAGGAGCTTTGAGCCAAGAACCAGGGAAAAAGACCAAATATATATTTTGCAATATCACAACAATGAGTATCTAATTTTTCCAGCATCATTTGTTGAAAAAAAATACTTTTTTTCTTCATTGTATTGCCTTTACACTCTTGTTAAAAATCAATTTTGTAGATACAGTTTGTGAGGGTGTATATGCGCAAACACACATAACACACACACAATCTGTATTTGGTATTGTTGATATACATGTGTGTCCTTTCACCATTACCCCACTGTCTCAATTACTGTAGCTTTATAATAATACAGAAATTAGGTGGTGTGAGTCCTCCAAATCTGGTCTTTTAAAAAATTGCTTTGGCTATTCTGTTGTCTTTGCTTTTCTACATAAATTTTAGAATTAGATGAAAAATTTTCATAAAAATGCCAGGCCAGATTTTGATTAAGTATTGAATCTATAGACTAGCTTGGAGAGAACTGATATCTTAACAATGTTGAGTTTTCTAATCCATGAAAAGGGTATAATTCTTCATTTATTTAGCTCTTTTTGTTATCTCTCACCAATGTTTTGTAGTTTTCAGCATACAAATTTAGCCAATACTATCTCTAGTATTTTATGTCTTATATATAAATGGTTTTATTTTTTAGATTTCTATTTTCAAATGTCTGTTGCTAGTAAATATAAACACACTTAATTTTTAAAATATTGACTTTGTATCATATGATCTTGCTGAATTCACTTATAAGACCTAAAAACATCTTTACAGGTTTTGCGGGTATTCTCTGTGTGTGCAATTATGTTGTTTGTTAATTAAGATAATTTTATTTCTTCCTTTCCAATCTATACCTTCTTATTTCTTTCTCTTGCCTTGTTATGCTAGCTTGGATATCTAGTATGATACTGTATAGGAATAGTAGGAGGAGACATCCTTGCTTTATTTCCAATCTCAGCGAAACTATTTTAGTCTTCCACCATTAAGCATGATATTAGCTATGGGTTTTTGGTAAATATTCTTTATCAATTTAAGGAAGTTACCATTTTTACTAGTTTACTGAGAGATTTAACACAATGAGATATTAAATTTTTTCGAATAATTTTTCTGCATCAATTGCGATAATATGATATTTTGTTTCTAGTCTGTTAATAAGGTGAAATTGATTTATTCTAACATTTTGAAATCTTACATTCCCAGAATAAACCCCATTTGGATAAGATATATTATCCTTTTTATATATTGCTAGACTCAATTTGCAAATATTTTGTTAAGGATTTTTGTGTCTACATTTATGTGAGTTATTGGTCTTTAATTTTCATTTATACAAAGTCTATATATAGTTTTGGTATCAAGGTTATGCTAGCCTTATAAAATGAATTGGGAAGTATTTTCTCCTCTTCTATTTTCTGGAACAGTTTGGTTAAAACTGTTATTATTTCTGCCCTAAATATTTGGTAGAATTTACCAGAGAAGCTGTCTCTATTAATTGCTACATAAAAAACAACCCCCCAAAATTAGCATCTTAAAACAATGAACTTGTTTTATTTCCCAGCTTCTATGGGTCAGGAATTTTGTACTGGCTTAGCTGGGTGGCTCTAGCTTAAGGTTTCTCATGAGATTGTAGTCCTATGATAAGTCTTTTTTCTGAAAAGTTTTTACTTCATCTTCACCTATTAAAAGTATTTTCTCTGGGTATAAAATCCTGGGCTAACAGCTTTTTAAAAAAATTCCTTAAGATGTCACACCTTTGTCTTCTGGTTCACATCATTTCTACTCTGCTATATTTCTTATCATTGCTCCTCAACTGTAAAGTGTATTTTTTCTCTGGCTGTCCTCAATATTTTATCTTTACCTTTGATTTTCAGCAGTTTGGATATAAGAAGTCGTGTGTGTGTGTGTGTGTGTGTGTGTGTGTGTGTGTGTCTGTACGCTTGGAGTCCTCTGAGCTTCCATTTGATGTTGCCCCACAGATCTTGGATGTGGTGTTCTTTTTATTCTTCACTCCTTTCTTATTTGTATTTCAGTATGGATAGTTCTTATTGCTCTATCTTCAAGTTCATGGAGTCACCATAACTATGGTGATTCTACAAATAAGCCTGTCTACTAATAAGTTTCTCTCTATTAGCACCAACATTGGGATCATCTCTGAAACTTGTTCTGTTAATTGCTTCACCTATTGACAATCGTTTGATTTTTTCCTTGCCTTTTTGTGTAACTTAGAATTTTTTACTGACTGCCAGATGTGCATAGAATAGTAGAGACTGTGTTACATAGTATTTGTGTTGGACAGATTCTAAAATAGCCCACAATTATCCCCAATTCCTGGTATTCACACCTCTGTGTTATCCCCCCGCCTAAGGGAGGGCAGAACCTATGACTTGCTTCTAACCAGCAGAATATAGGAAAGAAGATGGGATGTCACTTTGGCAGTTAGACTCTGTAATAACTTCCATCCTGCTAAAGCAGACTCTCTTTTTTACCTTCTCAGCTTGCTTGTTTTGATGAACAAGTGATCACTCGGAGGCCCACATAGACAGGAACTGATGGCAGCCTCCAGCCAACAGTCAGTAAAAAAAGTGAGGCCCACAGTCCAACAGGCACAGGAAACTGAATCCTGCCAACAACCATGTGAGCTTAGAGGTGGATACTTACCACTCAGCTTTCAGACGAGACCTCAGCCCTGGTTGACACTTTGATTGCAGCCTCATGAAAGACCTTGAAGCACCACCCCCAGTTAAGTCCTGCCTGGATCCCTGACCCACAGACTGTGAGATAATAAATGTGTGTTGTTTAAACGACTGAGTTTGTGATAACACTGTTATGCAGTGATAGATATTAACTAACATAGTTTTTACATGTAAATATGCGTGAGACTTCTCCTCTGTTAGGTCATCAGTGTAGGAGACTTGAGGAGTTAAAGAATATTTTTGCCAGGATTCTATCACCAGAGATTCTGATTTGATTAGTTGGAGCTGTGGCCTAGATATTATAAGTTTTCAAAATGACAGATGATCCTAATGTGCAGCAAAGTTTAAGAAGCACCATAAAGACAGTTTTTCACGTTTCCCTTCTGTTTCAACTGTCACTTGTTTATATTCTCAGGTTGTCTTCTATAAATAACTTTGCCTCAATACTGACTCTTTGGCCTGTCTGGGCATGCCCAGCCATTCCTTCCCTTATGCATACACACACTTTAGTACTTGGTTCTAGTCATATAGCATTGACAAGCCCAGATATTTGTAGCGTGTCTATGGACAGTGACACTCAGAAAAGGGATAAGTCTCTGTGTCTCCTGTCCCTCCACCCAGTGGTACTCGGCTGGGGAGGTGTAGGATGGCAGCATCTGTCAGGAGAGAAAGAGGAGCTGGAAAGCTGGGATGAGGTAGAGCACTTTTGGCCCATGAGTGACACATCCTAGCACAGTTTAAGAAGTTTCAAGAAAACATCAAATATTCTAGAGTATAACAAGTAACAGAAAAAGAGCCACCATCAGAAGGACATGCAGTAAATGCTGGGTCTGAAAAATCCTGGAAGAAAAATGACCTTGCTCCTTCCCGTGATAATTCACTGCATCATTATTGTTACTTCCTTAGTGCCAAGAATACTAATGCTAATGCCTTAGTATTTAAGGGCATATGTTTGTGCATATCTGGGTGCAGTATATAGAAATATCAAATTGTTTAGTTATTTTTACTAGTTAGGCTGGCTGGTAGCTGGCTTGTCCTGACTGATAAGTGTGTTTCTTATTTGTGTTCACAATAAATCATGGGGGATGCTGGACAGAAATCTGCTGAGAGTGATATGATTATGATGTTAATGGTTTGGGACCTTGAAGCCCCCAAACCACAAGGGCATAATAACCTGACTTGGAGGAGAAAATCCTGCCCTGGCTGGAAGCCAAGGGGACAGCTGACAAGGAACACAGCCTGGTCTTGCACATTTGCCACTGGCTTCCTGCTCTGCTCCATGGCATCCTGCTCTGCTGACCACCCACTCTGGAAGACCAGCCTCACTGCCCATCTCCAGGCACTGCTGCTGACTGTGAGTGATCATTGTCTCCTCTCCCCAACCCTGACTGTGAGTGATCATTTTCTCCTCTCCCCAACCCTAACTGCTAAGCTGTGCCAGAGGTTAGGCATTGATTTATGGCTTGTTTGCTGTTAAAACTAGCCCACATAAAAAGGAAAGCAATTTAAATAGTACCTTGCTGTGAAAGTTTTTATCCTTTCTTAACATTTCTCTTGGACAAAAGAACTGTGAGATTAAGGCAGCACTATACCTCACTCCCCACAGAGCTAAATTGCTCTGTGCCCTACCCAAAAGGCCATCTATCAGAGGGCATAAAGCGTAGTGGTTGGGAACATGCACTTTGACATTAATAGAATAAGGTTTTCCAGCTCTGCCATTTATTAGCTTTATGACTCTCAGGCAAGATACTTAACCCCCCTAGGCCTCTGCATTCTCATCTGCTCAGCACAGTATCTGGCACAAGTTAGTTGCTCAATAAATGGAAGCTGTTATCATTGTTATTTAGACTTTTTCACCCAGAGCTGTAATCTGTCCAGACACCCTATCACAAACTGGGGTATAGTTCACCCAGATTAGAAAATTATTACCTCTATCCCCATGCCTTCCTTCAACATAGAGATCAATCCCTGGGTAGTGACTTCACTCATACTTAGTTACCCATCCACATATTTCTGTATATGGAAGTCAAAATGCCCTTTTGTTCCTAACAAATGCCTCTTACACATGCAAAGCATAATGCCAGGTGCTGGAGGAAACAAAAACACATACGACTTATGAGCTTGGAAGTGGATCCTTCCCCATTCAAGCTTTCAGATGAGACCTTAGTCCTGATTGACATATTAATTGTAGCCTCATGAGAGACCTTGATGTGTAGCCCCCATTTAGATCATGCCTGGGTTCCTGACCCACAGAAACAGTAAGATAATAAATGTACATTGTTTAAGCCACTGAGTTTGTGGTGATATTGTTACTAGAAGCAACTGCTTCCAATAGCTTACAATCTCTTTAGGGAAACATGACATGCCTACTACATGTTAGCCAACAGTAGGAAGTACCATTTAATAAATGGTACAAAAATGTTTAATTCCCAAAGTGATCTATGGTTAATCTATATGTGGAATTATTACTACTTAATGATAACTAATAAACTCTGAAATACAGTATTGAGGCCTTAATTGCATGTGTTTGAATTCAGATGTTAATTGTTTAAAATTTTTAACTTTATAGCAGGCAGGTATTGTGCTATCTTTAGTCATCTATTAAACACACAAAAGAAATAGATGTATAGATGTATAAGGTAAGATTGAAAAAAATCTATATCTGTGCAAATTTTACTGTTGCCATAGTGTTAGCTTTTGCTACCCACAATCTAGGGCAGGTTACAGTTTTCATTCATTTTGACTCATTAACCTTTCTTTTGACTACCTGTAGCCTAAGTGGAGTCTGAGTCATGGTCATTGAGAAATGATGAGGAAAGAAGACCTCTGATTCTTAGCAGCTTAGCCTCGATTTGGGCAAAGCAAAATATCACCATAAAGGTTTTTCTGGCTTCCCATAATCCTCTGCTAACTGTATTATGGAAATGACGGTAATTACTTCAATGTCCCTGGTGATTCTTGTGTCTTTGGTGCCGTTCATTGTCAATTCACCTCAGTCAACCAGCTGTCTCAGACACTTGCCTTTTGTACCAAACCTTTAATGAAACTGGCATTTGTGTCAATAAACTTTAAGCCCATCTTGCTGAGATAATTATCTGGGTCACTCAAATTCCAGCTACTTCAAATAATTACAGCTTTTAGCCTTGAATATAAGGTGATAATTAAAGGAGAAGGAATCAAGGGTCCCTGTGCCCAAGTCAATTAGATGAAAATGCTGGCAGGTCTCGACTCAGGCCTCTGATTTGAATGCATAAGCCTCTGGGCTATATCAGGGCCTCACAGAGAATAAGTCACTCATAAAATACATATTTGTTTGGCTGAACCATGATCTAATTGTAGACACAACAATTTCACCATATTAGCTGTTAAGGGGAAAAGCCATCTCATGAACATTAGGACTGCTTTGTGGTACAATGGCACTGAGGACCAACAACCAGAGTCCTATTCCATTTTCCATAAGAAGAACCAAGAGTATAGCAAAAATCTCTGTATAGATTTTAAAGCTATCCACATTCAGAGGCTAAAGATGAATGTTATAGTCTCACTAGATTTCTTTTCCATGGCTTAGTAAAACTTCAAGAGACTGCCTTTGTCATTTCATGGTCCCAATATATACAATGCAACAAAATTCCCTGATTTCAAAAAACATATTCTCATTTTGCTCAAAAGCTTGAAATGTTGAGGAAAAAAAAATCCTTGGAGACCAGGAAATTGTGACACCTAAATCCCTTTCCTTCCATGGACTAGAAAGACAAAGCCCTTTATTAATCACCCCCACCCCCACCTCCATCTCCACCTGTCAACGTTTAAAACTGGAGACTAATGGCAGACAGGCTTCTCCTGCAGATCGTAATTGCCTTTCCAACAGAGAAGCTATCTCCAAAGCAACCAAGATATGAGCTATGAATTCAAGCTGAGACTCTATGTAAATTGCTTGCAGTGAAATTGAAATTTCCAAAAGAAAGCTGCACTGATTCAGTCTATTAAATGCATTCCTATCTCAAATCCAAGGATGTGCTCTAGCAGCTAGGAAACTGTCCATACTTCGTACGTTGTACGTGGAGATAAGACCCAAGTGCTTTATAACCTGGTCTTAAATTTAAAAAGAAACGCTGCCATTATTGATAATACAATTAAATAATCATTGTTCATTATCTAAAGCAGTCTGACTGTCCACAGCTGCCCACATTAGTCCCAAAGTGAAAAAAATGGTGTTTTACACACGCTCACTTCACACTGGCTTTCTTTTTTCCCACATTAGCTTTCTCATGCTTTTGTACAAAGTCGTTTTGGTCTTTGGCATGTTTTGACTACTTAGTATCAAATATTCCTATATGTTTTCCCATTTTGTTTTGTTTTCTTAATATTTCTTCCATAAATCCCTCTATCCCCAAAACAGGATCTAGGGTCAGATAATATTCTATTGCACTAAGCAACACTATTGTCCAATTATAATAATAAACAATTTGCCTAGGAAACCCTGCATAGGGCATGAGATATGTGAATCCTTGGGGGCACAAAATTTGGTGAGCCCTTGTCATAAACCATTGAACTACAAACACTTCAGACTGCCTCCATCAGCCATTAACAGCCCTGCCCTCTCCTAAGTCCACCTTACTTCCCCTACCTCCACATCCCCTTCACACACAATAACTTTAGGTTCCCTCAACCTTTGCTTATGAAAATCATAGAATGGGGGAATAAACATGAGGGACTCTCTCTGTAGCATTCCCTTGCCTTCATTCTCCCCTTTTCCCCTTACAACAGAACCCTGATTTTTAGGAGGTCCCATGGCTGCTTGGAATAGACTTTATGTCCCAGCCTTCATTATAGTTATGATGACCTATGACTAGTTCAGGCCAATGGCATATAGACAGAAGTTTATTTTAGCCATGTTTGGGAAAATCCATTACAACTTAGCTGGCCTGGGTTCTTAACCTCCTTTCTTATTTGTCCCTTCCTCCATCCTGCTGTCTGGTAGGTATGAATGCTAGAGTTCCAGCCACCCTCTTGGTGCAAGAAATTGAGAGCCATACCCTAGGAATGGTGGAGAACTCTAGGAAACAGCCACAACACTGGTCCTTGATTGTCCTCTTCCAGATTTTAATGTGAGAGGGACATTGTATTAGTCAGGTTTGTCTAGAGGGACAGAACTAATAGGATATATATATCAGCTGATTAGATTGTGCCCACCAGATTAAACGTGAGTCTGCCTTCCCCAGCCCACTGACTCAAATGTTAATCTCTTTCAGCAACACCCTCACAGACACACCTAGGATCAATACTTTTTATCCTTCAATCCAATCAAGTTGACACTCAGTATTAACTATCACAAGTCCACCCCTTGTCAATTTGAACCCATACACATCTCCTGAGATCATACATAATCTTCAAATAAAGATGATGATAAGGTCATAATTACACCTAACGTAATACAACTATTCTTTGTACAACCGGAAACGCACCAATCCCCAACCCAAATATCATTACATAAAGTTAACAATACTTAAATGCTGATATGAAGTCAATAAATTTTGTGTCACATGGTAAAGGAGAAGGAAATAAAATGAAGATCTTTTCTTAGTACAAGTGTATACATGCACAAAGATGTTTTTAACAAAAGAAGGAGGAAATACTCGTGACAGTTACAGTCCTTGTTTCTGCAGCTGGTCACATGGTTGTAGCTCATATTGATGACTATCTTCTTCTACTCCCCATTCTTTATACCCTTTGCCTTCAGCAAGCGCCTCAGCAGATCATGGTTTTTTTCTTGGTGGAGTGACCCAAACCTTCATTCCTGAGGGGTCTGGACCATTTGTAGTCCTGCCTGGATTGGGCTGTCGTAGTTTCCCATTGACCTTAATCACAGGGCATGGTAACACTAAGAGACACCCTAATGGACCTCCTGTATTCCATGCATACTATTCCTTACCTCCATTGTGGAGTAGTAGACTGATTTCATCTTGATAGTCCAGGTCAGCCACCCGAGCCAACATTGTAACTCCCTTCTTAGCCTGCTGACTTAAAGGTAGGAGGAACCCAAAGTGTCCAGGTGGCAATCTTAACTTCCAGTTTAATGGAATTGTTGTTGTGTCTCCTGGTGACAGCGTTCCTCCCTCTGGAACTAAGACCTCTAGACCAGCAGAACATAATGCAGCAGGAACAGAAAGCAAAAATTTTGCTAGTGGATCAGTAGGGGTGATGATGAGTGGTGCCACTTCCACTTCCACCCCTTGATTCTTGGACCTGTGAATCCTGGCTATGGGAGAAACAGTACCATATATTGGATGCTGATTCAGAGCATACACGGCCTTCTGGACAACTCTGCCCCAGCCCTGCAAAGTACTGTCACCTAGTTAGCATTGTAATTGACTCCAAGAGGCCATTCCACCGTTCTATCAATCCAGCTGCTTCAGTGATGGGGGACATGGTAAGACCAGTGAATTTCATAAGCACGAGCCCGCTGCCACACTTTTTTAGCCATAAAGTGAGTGCCTTGGTCTGAGATAATGCTGTGTGGAATACCATGACAGTGGATAAGGCATTCCATGAGTCCACAGATGTTAGTCTTGGCAGAAGCATTGCGTGCAAGATAGGCAAACCCATATCCAGAGTAAGTGTCTATTCCAGTGAGGACAAACCTCTGCCCTTTCCATGATGGAAGAGGTCCAATATAATCAACCTGCCACTAGGTAGCTAGCTGATCACCCCAAGGAATGGTGTCATATCAGGGGCTCAGTGTTGGTCTCTGTGCTGGCAAATTGGGCACTCAGCAGTGGCTGTAGCCAGGTCAGCCTTGGTGAGTGGAATTCCATGTTGCTGAGCCCATGCATAACCTCCATCCCTGCCACCATGGCCACTTTGTTCATGGGCCCGTTGGGCAAGGACAGGGGTGGCTGGGGAAGGAGGCTGAGTGGTGTCCATAGAATGAGTCATCCTATCAACTTGATTATTAAAATCCTCCTCTGCTGAGGTCACCCTTTGTTGACCACTCACATGGGATACAAATATCAGCATGGTTTTTGATCACTCAGAGGTCAATCCACATACCTTTTCCCCAATTTTCCAATCATGCTTCTTCCAAGTCCCTGACCATCCAGCCAAACCACTGGCTACAGCCCATGAGTCACTATATAATCACACATCTGGCCATTTCTCTTTCCATGCAAAGTGCACAACCAGGTGCACTGCTCAAAGTTCTGCCCACTGGGAAGATTTCCCTTTGCTGCTGTCCTTCAGGGATGTCCTAGAAAGAAACTGCAGTGCTACAGCTGTCCACTTTTGGGTGGTGCCTGCATATTGTGCAGAACCATCTGTGAACCAGGCCCTAGTCTTCTCCTCCTCTGTCAACTGATCATAGAGAACTCCCCATGAGGCCATCGGTGCAGGCTGGGGAAAAGAAGGCAGGGTGGCAGGAGTGGAGACCATGGGTGTTTGAGCCACTTCCTCATGTAACTTACTTGTGCCTTCAGGACCTGCTCAAGCCTGATCAAGTATATATAACTTTCATTTGATGATGGAATGCTTCTGTGCGTGACTCACTTTATGGCTAGATGGGTCAGAAAGCATCCAGTTTATGATAGGCAGTTCAGATCACATGGTGACATGATGACCCATAGTCAAACATTCAGTTTCCACCCAAGCCCAGTAACAGGCCAACAGCTGTCTCTCAAAAAAAACAGTAGTTATCTGCAGAAGATGGCAGGGCCTTGCTCCAAAATCCTAGAGGCCTCCACTGTGATTCACCTATGAGGGCCTGCCAAAGGCTATAAATAGCATTCTTATCTGCCATTGACACCTCAAGCACCATTGGATCTGCTGGGCCATGTGGCCCAAGTGGCAGAGCAGCTTGCACAGCAGCCTGAACCTGTTGAGGAGCCTTCTCCTGTTCTGGATCACACTCAAAGCTGGCAGGCTTTCGGGTCACTTGACAAGTGGGCCAGAGTAACACACCCAAATGAGGAATATGTTGCCTCCAAAATCCAAATAGGCCCACTAGGCGTTGTGCCTCTTTCTTGGTTGTAGGAGGGGCCAAATGCAGCAATTGATCCTTCATCTTAGAAGGAATATCTTGACAGGTCCCACACCACTGGGCCCCTAGAAATTTTACTGAAGTAGAAGTTCCCTGAATTTTAGTCGGATTTATTTCCCATCCTCTGGCATGCAAAGGTCTCACCAATAAGCCCAGTGTGTTTGCTACTTCTTGCTCACTGGATCCAATCAGCATAATGTCATCAATATAATGGACCAAAGTGATAGCAAAGTGAAAGCGAAAAGAGGTCAAGTTCTCTCCAAATAAGATTATGACACAAAGCTGGAGAGTCCATATACCCCTGAAGTAGGACAGTAAAGGTAGATTGCTGGCCTTGCCAGCTGAAGGAAAATTGCTTCTGGTGGGCCTTATGGACAGGAATGGAGAAAAATGCATTTGCCAAGTCAATGGCTGCATACCAGGTACCAGGAGACGTGTTAATTTGCTCAAGCAATGAAACCACATCTGGTGCAGCAGCTGCAGTTGGAGTCACCACTCAGTTAAGCTTATGATAATCCACTGTCATTCTCCAAGATCCATCTGTCTTCTGCACAGACCAAATGAGAGAGTTGAACAGGAATGTGGTGGGAATCACCACCCCTGCATCTTTCAAGTCCTTGATGGTGGCACTAATCTCCACGATCCCTCCAGGGATGCGATATTGTTTTTGATTTACTATTTTTCTACGTAGAGGCAGCTCTAATGGCTTCCATTTGGCCTTTCCCACCATAATAACCCTCATCCTACCAGTCAGGGAGCCAGTGTGGGGACTCTGCCAGCTGCTAAGTATGGCTATGGCAATCATGCATTCTGACACTGGGGAAATGACCATAGGATGAGTCTGGGGACCCACTGGACACTCTGTAAGTCAGAGCTGAGCTAAAATTCCATTAATTACCTAACCTCTGTAAGCTCCTACTTTAACTGGAGGACCACAATGACATTTTTGGTCCCCTCCAATTAGCATCAGCTCAGAGCCAGTGTCCAGTAGTCTCCAAAATGTCTGATCATTTCCCTTTCTCCAGTGCACAGTTACCCTGGTGAAAGGCCAGCAGTCCCCTTGGGGAAGGATAGGAGAAAGATTCACTGCATAAACTGTCAGTAATATAGTGGGGTCCTTCCTCAAGGAGGCCCAGCCTTCCCTTCATTCAAGGGGTTCTGGGTCTGTAAACTGGCTCAAGTCTGGAAATTGATTGAGGGGGCTGTGACTCTGTTTTTATAATTCAAATTAGTCTTTGTCCATTCGATCTAGAAGTTTTCTGCTTGTATAAATTAAGTAGGAATGCGGTAGGCTTTGTATCAATTTCTAGGAACACGGTGATTAATTAGCCAATGCCAGAGCTCTGCACAAGTCAGACTATTCTGACACTTTTCCTCTGCTGTCCATTATGGTAGCTGCTACGCCCACTTTGCCTTTGAAGATTGAGGGCCGCCACTTAGCCCCTGCCACCTCGGGTCTAATTATTCCCATTGTATTTAAATTTTGTAGCTGAGTGACTGTGGTTCCCACCATTATATCTGACATATAGAGAAAAGCAATTACAAGGCTCTTCAAAGATGCAGGTGCTGCCCTCACAAATCTATTTCTCAAGATGTTGGTCGAGGGTGTATCTTCTGGACCCTCCCAGCTGGGATGAGTAGGTCTAAAGTGACTAATCCACTCCACCATTCCAATCTCCCTAAGCCTTTGGATCCCTTCCTCTACTTTAAACCAAGGGAGCTCAGGCATTTCTAGCTCTCTCACAGTGGGCCATCTTTTAATACATATTTTAGCTTACCAAGCAAATAAAGTATTAGAACCTTTTTAACTCCCCGAGCTGCAACATTAAAAGCAAAGTCCCTACTTAGTGGGCCCAAATCAATAAATTCAGCTTCATCCAACTCTATGTTCCTTCCACTTTTATCCCATACCCTTAATATCCATTCCCATGCCTGTTCTCCAGATTTCTGTTTATACAAATTGGAGAATTCAAACAGTTCTTTTCCAGTGTAACACACCTCCTCATGGGTCACACTCTCAACCTCACCTCTAGGGGACCACTGGGACTTTGGTTATAGGTCTAGAAGCAAACAGGGGTGTTGGGGGTGGGTCCTGAGGAGACTCAACAGTATTTTGCCTGGCAACTGCCTCAGTGGAGGCCATCACTGTTGCCTCAGGCAGCGCAGGGTTTATCTCCTCAGACAAAGGTGGGAAGGCTGATGGCAGCATGGGTTGGGGAGGGGATGTTGCCACTATTGGGGATGGGGAAGCTGCTCCTCCTGGCAAAAAAGGTCCATCAGAGCTTACAAACTCTGTCCCCAGCTTCATCAGGGTCCTCCCACATGTCCCCATTCGAAGCTGCAGGGTCCCATTCTTTTCCAATCAATGCCCTCACTTTAACTGGTAGACACCTGGATAGGCTGTGCATGCATTTTCATTGCACGTAAGCCACTTGCATGATAAGAGCTTGTGTTTCTTTTTCCATAATTTCAGCTCTTTCTCTACAGAAGAAAAGACTGTCACTCAGGGCAATCTTAGCAGATTTGAGTATCTGTTTCTGAGGCTGGAAGACAGAATCCTTGAGTTCATCATTTTCTTTCATCACTTTGTCCACTGAACTTCGGAGCAACCAACCAGCTTCATTATGTTCCTTGCTTCTCCACATATGGTCAAAGGTATTATGTAGAGAGTCATTAAACTCCCTGCCTCTCACAAGTGGTGAATCAGGAGTGTCAAATGCATTTATTTTGCCTAACTCTAAACAGTTCACACCAAGGACTATCAGTGTTCCCCATACTGTTAGAAGTAGAGTCCTTAGCATTTTGGGGTCAATCATATTAAGCAGTCAACTCCAGTAACCCTAAAACCAACAAAAGAACTCCATCCTTAATATTCTGTTCCTCTAGAACCACTCCTGGTACCAAAACCTGTATTAGGGTTCTAGAAGGACAGAACTAACGGAATATATATATATATATATATATATATATAAATGGGAGTTTGTTAATTATTAACTTACACGATCACAAGGTCCCACAATAGGCTGTCTGCAAGCTGAGGAGCAAGGAGAGCCAGTCTGAGTCCCAAAACTGAAGGACCTGGAGTCCGATGTTTGAGGGCAGGAAGCATCCAACATGGGAGAAAGATGTAAGCTGGGAGACTAAGCCAGTCCCTCCTTTCATGTTTTTCTGCCTGCTTTATATTTGCTGGTGCTAATTAGATTGTGCCCACTAGATTAAGGGTGGGTCTGCCTTCCCCAGCCCACTGACTCAAATGTTTATCTCCTTTGGCAACACCCTCACAGACACACCCAGGATTAATACTTTGTATCCTTCAATCCAATCAAGTTGACACTCAGTATTAACCATCACAGACATGTAGTACCATTTTGTTTAAGCCACAATTACTTGGGAGGGTTCATACTTACAATGGAATTTAATCTTAATTATAGGCACTCTCTGATTTTCATTAGCACCAAAGGCCAATTTTTATTGTATCTACATTCAAATCATGAATTTTTAATGCAACTGGAAAGATCATGTGCTTAACAAATGTTTGACAAACTAATTAAAAGACTAACTCTATAATTAAAGGCTCAGTTTTACTCATTTATTTAATGCCAAAAATATCAGAATTTTCACAAATGAAAACTGAAAAGCACGACTTATTTTTTTATAAGCAACTTGTTATCAGACTCTAGAATCTAGGCTCACCAACCATGTGACTTCATTTTCTGGAACTCACTTTGCTCATCTGCAACATGGGCACCTTATCTTAGAGGGCTAGAAGATGGAAAAGAACAGGGCAAAAGGAAAGCCAAGTGGGACAGCCTCTGGCCCTGGACCCCCTGCTGCCTCCCAAGAGCTCCACCTTTAGAATTTCACATAAGATTGTGTTTTATAAGAGAGTTTCACTAAGGAAATGAGGATCTTGAAATCCACTGGACCAGATAATCTGTAAGAGCCATTCCAGTTCTGCCATGTTATGATTAGAAACACTCCCACATGGCCAGAATAAGGCAGGTAGTAGCACTGCTGTGAGCTGAGCCAATTTGGGAGTGGCATTGTCCTAGATGTGTTGTTAAAGGCAAAGGCCAAGTTGTAAAGGCAGAATCGAGATGGGAAGACAGCAGATCCAGGAAGAAGGTGATAATGTAGGGCTGTTTCTTCCATTTGGTTTCATTATGCATGAAACACAAGGACAAGTACATGTTAAAGAATAGACATTTGTTTGATAGATGCATATTAAAGGTTATATATTGATAAACAGTTATAATATTACAATTAAACAGAAGAGATGTCACCCAGATATATCTCATCTCATTCATCCATGAAACATTTAACTAAAGAAAGGACTGGCAAGGCTGAGTGCCATCCCTACATGCAATGCTGATAGGGATGGGCCTGGCTGGAGATGTTCATGCCGCTAGAGCATGACCTGGAAAAAGCCCTGCCAGCTCCACCCCAGACATGAAACAGACACAGGTCCAGGAGCCAGGAGACCCTGTTTGAGTCTCAGCTCTTCCCCTTCATCAAGTCATTCTCCCTCTCTGAGTCTATTTCCTCTTCTGTAAATGAGTGGGTTGGTCTAGATGATCTTTAAAGTACCTTCAGTTCTAAAACTCCAGGGTTTCATGTGCAAGATGGTGGCAGGGTGGGGGTAGAGGTTGCAATGCTTCTTCCCCACTCGTGCTGTGTGTCTGGATAGAGGAAACCTCCTCAGTAGGGGAGATTCTAGATTCTCTTCACCTTGTACTTCCACTGCACGTGTGGAGATGGAAGCTTCTCTGCTTGGTAAATGTGGGGAGAATGGGTGGTCATGTTCAACTCCATCTTCTTGTTTGACACTGGGGCAAGCAGTCCGTCTCCATTTCTGCTCCAAGAGCAGCCCCCTCCCTAGAGCAGGACTGCCTCCAACCAACACTGGTGTTCCTCATTTGGGGGCTCAGAACTAGCAAGGCCTCTTGGCTAACGTGCTAAGGGTACATCCTTTCACCTGGCCTAGGTGTGACTTCATTTACTGAATGCATGATACAGCTGACCTGGCAGAGCTGACTTGAGGGGGGCATGAGCCTTCACCCCATGTGCCAGCATCAAAGGGGCTTCCTCTGTCCTGGCTACTCTTTCATAAAAACAACTTTATGGTTGTTTTCATAAAACACTACCACTATTATCCTCATTTTATAGGTGAAGAAACTGAGGCTCAGAGTTTAATCAACTGGCCCGAGGTCTCACTGCTAGCTGATAGAGTCTTTGTAAGAATTGTATGCACTGTCTCTGAATGTGTTTTTTGACGTTGCATCTCCCAGGCCTGGCTGTGTGACATGAAGGGGCACCATGGATGCAGCCTGTCTGGGGAGCAGCCCCCATTGGCAGCCTGATGGGTGAAGGGAGAAACCAGTCTTCAAAGTCACACCTCCAAGAATCCTGGATCTACTCCTCACCCAGCCCCTACTCAGTAGCAGCTGGCTGCACAGAGGCGACAGGTGGAGCTATCAGCTCCAGAGGAAACCACTTCTCTCCACCGATGTGGGGCAGTGAATGTGGAGGGTGGGGTGGGCAGCCTTGCCGTCTGGCTGAGTTTCTCTCAGGAAGTGCAGCTCACCTGGGGGTCCCTCCTGACTGTGGTCTCCAGCCCTCCCTGTCAGAAGAGAGAAACATCTACCTGGCAAAGCTGTCAGCTGCAGTTAGAATGAACCATCTTCAAACTCCAGCAGCCCCTAGCTTAAATGTTACTTCCTCAGGGAGATGTCTTCATCATCTGGATCAGCAGGTCTGAATTGTGGTGGCCCATTCCAATCCCAGAGGGCTTTAAAAAACAATGATGTCTGGGCTCCTTCCCTTCCCTGGTAAATCAGAATCTCTGGGATTGGCCAGGGTTAGAAACCACTGTTCCAGACAAAGCTCATTCCCTTACCCACCATCCATTCCCACTCCTGGGTTCACATCCCACTTGTCATTTTTACCTGGATGGCTGCGTTAGCTGCTGACCTGTAACCTCCATGAGAGTGGGGGTTGCAGCATGCCCTCCTCTCCAGCACTTGACATGGTTCTTCACACTCAGCAGCAATTCAAAGAACATTTGGCAAATAAGATCAAACAGTGATGACTTGGCATTCAGGACTTTTTCTCAAAAAAATTCAAAATACTTTTACATGGAAAATTGTTTGCATGTGTATTTCATAATCGAAAAACACATTCATAAGCAGCTTATGCAACTCTTACATAAACCTTGTGCGATAAATACTATCACCTAGCTTTGAGACCTTACTCAAGCTAATTAAACTCAACCTCAGTTTCCTCATCTTTAAAATAGGAATAATAGTACCTCCCTCTTAAGGTTATTAAGAAGAATAATTGAAATAACCCTAACACTTAGCACATTGCCTGGCCCACAGTGAGGGTTCAAGAATATTAGCTATTATTGTTGATAATTCACCTCATGTTACAGAAGGTAAACTGAGACTCAAATAGGCAAAGTGCCTTGCCCAAGATCCCACAGGGTTAGGACCCAAACCAATGTCTTCTGACTCCCAATTGTGTATTCTTTCACATTCCAGTTGAGAATGTTTTTGTAAGCTAGGATCTACAATATCAGCCTAGTTTTCCAGATGGGAAAATTCACCACTGAGAGAGGTGAATCAGCACAGTGCATTGGATTAGGCATGAATGGATGTTCCTCTGCTCTGGCATGGGCTAAGAGTGGGCCTTCATCCAGCCCCATTTTCTCCCTGTGCCTCATTTTCTGCCTCTGTAGACTTGAGAGGCTGATCAGGTGATCATGAGTTCTTCTCCAACCCTGACTATGTGAGATGTGTCCAGTGATCCTCTGCATGGTGTGTGGGTGCTCTGCTCCTGCCCCTGGGCAGAGCAGCCTCCTTCCTCCCACAGCATCCACGCTGAGCCCAAAGAGAGGAGATCATAAATCATCCCTCCCTGCCCATAATGCCTTGCTTTTGAAGGAGCCAGGGAAAGATGAGGCTGCCCCTGGGACCACAGGCCCAGCATGTGACGCCCTCCCCCTGCCCAGGCTGCTACATTCATTATGCACATCCTGAGTGAGGAAGCTCTGGGGAGCCCCATTCCAGGAGATGACAGTCTCAGGTTCTTCTTCGAGAGCATTCTACAAGGTAGTAAATAGACACTAATGAGCCTCTGGCTTCTTAATGTGCCGAAGTGTCTCTCTCACTGGTTTTGCCAGTCACGGAGCATCATTCTTCCAGGAAAAGCAGCTCTGGCCTTCCTCAAGTCCAAAAAGAAAAGAAACTAGGCAGAGAGTATATTAAAAACCAGGTAGAAAAAAAGAAAAACATGACCCTGAAACCACACCAATTTGGTGATTTTTTTTCTTTTTGCTGTCCTAGGACTTTTTTAAATATTGAGGAGGTATGACATTTCCAGGGAGAAAACACACACAACAATTTTTTTGTTTTCATTCAGGCAGGAATTAACAAAGAGGTAAATTGCCTCCACTTTTGGCTGTTATCTTTTCTGCTGCCTTGAGCATCTAAATTGTGAACAGGGAAGAGTAGCCAGAAAAGGCCAGCACCTGTGGACAGGCAGGAACCTTTGAGCTGACCCAGGCCACTGAGAGTCACAGGCCTGAGAGCTAGAAGCTGCTCACCTAGATGAGATGACTGGAACAGCCTGTCCCTCTCACTTGAGGTCACATGTAAGTCAGCACATGCCTAACATTCCTTCCCCTCAGCCTCCCTGTACTGCACAGGACTGTTGATGGCCTGCCTCTGGCCAGGCACGAGCTGCTTCCCTTATCCATTCACGCCCATCATGAGCCAAGTATTCAGAACAGGATATCCACCCTACGTCTCATTGCCAACCAGAGGCTTTAGCATTTTGCCTGGTAATTCATTATCTCATCCTCACGCATCCAGTGACAGATCCTCACAGGTCCCAGAGCAGTGAGGAAGAATGGCTACCCTTTACAGAGCACCTCCTCTATGCCAGGTTCTTCACATACCTTCTGTCATCCATTCATTCTGCAAATATCTACTAAATCCCTGCTATGGGCCAGGCATTATGCTATGCTTGGTACTGGGGATACGATACTGAGTAATTTAGACAAATCCCTTACCCTTACAGAGTTAATAGACCTTATCTCAGATCTTCTCAAGAAATCTATATGGGGGATATTATTATTCCCATTTTACAGATGTGAAAACTGAGGCTTAGAGAGATTAAATAATTTGCCCAAGATCACATAGCCAAAAAGAAAGTCAAGATTTGAACCTAGATCTATTTTTACCCAAAATCTGTGTCATTTTTACTATACCACATTATTTTTTAGCAAATATAGGAAAGTGGGTCTCTTGATCCTGCATTTTTGGGGCTTTACTCACTGAATTTTACACATTGGAATGCATGTCTTAAGTTTCTTTCTACCTGGTGCCTAGCACAACATGCTGCATAACAGGCACCTAATTAGGTGGATGAATTAATTTAATATATTAACTCACTGTGAGCCCCAGACCAGTCACCTGCCCTTCTCATCTTCCTCTCTAGCCACCTCTCCCTCTTCACAGCCATGGGTGTAGGCTCGCCTGCACCCTCCACACCAGCTTCCTCACATGCCATTCACTCCTCACCCCACCAGAGATGCTTTCTACAAGACAGCCAGAAACTTCTTTGTCATTAAATCCAATGGGTGCCTTTCCACACTCATCTTCCTCATCCTTTCACAACATGTGACTCCTGGGAATTCTGCTGCCCAGGCTGCCAGGACTCCTACATCTCTGGCTGTTCCTCCTTGGTTCCTTTTTAATTACTCTTCCATTGCTTCTCAATAAATACAGTTTCCCTGGGGTTTTGGTGCCGGCTTTCTCCTCTCCTCAACTCTTGGTTTCTTTTTTTCCTTTTGAGATGGAGTTTCGCTCTTGTTGCCCAAGCTGGAGTGCAATGGCATGATCTCGGCTCACTGCAACCTCCGCCTCCCAGGTTCAAGAGATTCTCCTGCCTCAGCTTCCCAAGTAGCTGGGATTACAGGCACGCACTACCACTCCCGGCTAATTTTTTGTATTTTTAGTAGAGACGGGATTTCACCATGTTGGTCAGGCTGGTCTTGAACTCCTGACCTCAGGTGATCCACCCGCCTTGGCCTCCCAAAGTGCTGGGATTACAGGCATGAGCCACCGCGCCCAGCTCTCCTCAACTCTCTACTTTCTCCCTGGGCAACCACACTCCCACTCAGCTCTCTCAAATCTCTATCTCACCCAACATTTAGATGGTGAGCCTGAACTCAAGGCACCCTCCCACAAGGCTGTCCTCTTTCCTACGTTACATGCAAGAATTAGTGACATCCTTGTCACTCAGACACTGAAGCCTCCTCCTTCTCCCTCACCTCCACATTCCATCTAGCAACAAGCCTTGTCCATTCCACTCCTCAGGCATGTCTTGAACTGTCTCCTTCTCTCTTTCACGACCACTACCTAATGCTGGGGCTTCGTCATTGTGTCCTACCATCACTGCGACAGCCACCGACTGATCCCATTTCCCTCAGTGAGTCTGACCTCCTTCAGTCCAGCCTCCACCCTGAAGCTGGAAGAAGCTTTCAAAAACTACAAATCTGTTCATCACTCTCCTGCTCTAAATTATCTTAGAGGATTTCCCCTTGGTTCAAACTCATTACCATGGCTCCTAGGACTTTTGACGATCCTACCCCTGCCCACCTTTCTGGCATCATTTTTTTTCACCCTCCACCTCCATCCTGCATGCTATGCTCTGACTGTACTAAAACAGGTTGCAGTTCCCATACCATGCCAAACTCTCCACCCCAATATATCTCTGTACTTGCTGTTTCTTCTACTTGTAAAGCCTTCTCTGACCGCCTTTATCCTTCAGGATTCAGTTCAGTCTCATCTCCTGTAGGAAGACTTCCCTCGACCTTCAGTCCTAGAAGAGGGGCTGTCCTCTGGGCTCTCATCCTTCTCGTGCATTCCTTTCTCATAGCATCTAACACTCTGCTCTATAAGACCACATTATTGGACTTCAAGGTCCTCATGGGCATAAACTCTCTTTTTCATCTCTGTGCTTGCAAACCCTCATACTGCTGTGAAACTTGGTATATAGAAGATGCTCAGTGGAAGAATGAATGGGAAAGCATGATGGATGGGTGGATATGAATGAGTATGTAGATAATTGAAACCAAGATGAAACTGGAGTTAAATAAGTCTTCTGTCCAAACTCCTTCCTCAACTCCCCATCTTCCCAGAGTGAAAGTGGAACCATGCAAAATGGTTCCAAAGCCCCTGTGCTAAGCAAAGTTCTACAAGCTATCTGTGGAAAGCACATGGCACAGATGGAGAAACAAAACAAATAGAGTTTAATAACCAGCCAATATTTTTAAAAGGGGTATGTCTGGGTTGGCACAAAAAGAAATTCAGAAAATGCTGACTTTTATTTAAAGTCATATCTACATGTACATTCTACAAGGATGCAGAGAGCAGAGTTTTCAACCAACCAATAACCTAAATGTTCCACTGGGCACAACTCACACCACTCCACACCAAGCCATGGGATCTCTGACAAAGGGGAATCTTCTAAAAATATCCAAGCACCTGCTTTGACAAGGCAAAACAAACCATCGTTAATTAGTATGATGGAAAAAGAAAAGCATTTCAAAATCATAATTGAGATCTGTACTGAAGGTCTGGAAATTGAGGAAACCAACTGACTGCAACCATCATAATAGAAATAACAGCACTGAGTCCCACTGGGTGCCAGGTGCCGTACCTCTCTGCCCCAGAACTCAGCACTTCACATGACAGCCACCCTCACACCTCCTCTTTCATCTGATCTCACGACAACCCTGGGAGAAGAGCAGGGTGGGGCAGGGATTCGCATCCTGGGTAAACAGACAAGGAAAATGAGCGAAAGGAAAGGACAGGACTCTGAGCTCAGGGAAAACTGACGCTAGGTTCTTTTCTCAGCACTGGTTTGGGGAAATTTGTATGGAAAGTTGCCAGAGGCAAACATTAGGGAATACCTGAAGGAGGCAGATTCTGCCATTTTATCTGATAAAGATGTCCCTCCAGTGCTAAACGTGAGAGCTGCCTTCCTTTTCTCATCTTCTCCTTTTTTCCCCTCCTCTCATTTCCACTCTCTGCCTCACTTATGACACTCCAGCTACTTGGGAAAACTTGGTTTCTAGTACCTGCGAAGGTCAACCTTAGTTACAAGGTCTTTTCATCTGCTGTTCCCTATTGCTGGAAAGTTTTCTATAAGGAACTCTGTCTAACCCTTCAGGTCTCTGTTCAAGTATTAGTTCCCTAGAGACACCATCCTTGTACATACTTGCTAATAAGTCACCTGACAACCCCTACTCCAACTCTCTTTCATTCATATTTTGTCTCTACAGGATAGGTCCTGGGTCCAGAGGGGATGAGTTAGGCTTCCTGATAATTTAATGTGACCTCTATGCTTTCACAGATTTTCATCTTCAACTGGATTTTCCCTTGGAAAGGATTTTGTGTTCACCTTTTTATGTCTAGAAGATGATGCTGATCTCTCTGCCATGAGTCCTGACAGTGCTGATTTTCTTCTCTATCCTTACATAAGTCAATCCTGTGTGATTTATCCAAGGATTGTCAGAGCCTGGTCTTTCCAGTAATGCAGTCCTACTATTGATATTGCGAATGTAGCAGTTGTGCAACTCACCATTGTGCTGATACTATTAGTTGCCCCTCAACATCTGTTCTCTTCTTCCTTCATTTAAAGAAAAACATTGTTTTTCTTTAAATTAAAAAAAAAAACATTTTAAGAAAAAAATGTAAAACATTTTTTAAGCTGACTACAAGTCATTCAGTATGAAGACTACATTTCCCAGACTACCTTGCTTCTAGGATGGTCATATGACTAAGTACTGGCCAATGGGATGTGAATTAAACAATGTGTGCAACTTCTAGGTCACATCCTTAAAAGGAAGAGGAGAGGCCTTCACTTTCTCTTTCCCTTCCTGCTTGCCTGAGATGGTGATCCATCTCGAACCTTGTAGATAACCACAGATACAGTACTGGCAGGTCAGCAAGACAGAAGGAACCTGGGTCTCTAACACTATAGGAGTGCTAATCCCACCCTAGACTGCTCACTCGCAGATTGTTATTATACATGAGAAAGAAATGAAGTTCTCTCTTGCTTAAGCCATTGCTATTTGGGTCTCTGTGTTATAGCAGCCAACCTATAATCTAACTAGTAGAATCTGAAGTTATCATATTTACTTATTCATTGTATATTATTCTCTATTGTCTTTACAAAACAAATTCTTAGAGGGCAGAAACCTTGATCCTTGGTCACCACTGTATCCCTAGAATTTGGAGCAGTGCCTATAGATAATGAGGACACATTAGGCAATGAATAACAGACAATAAGTGGATATTTGCTACATTAATGAGTACATGAAAGTATACATGAGTCACTTGCTTTCACTGGCTGACTTTCTGGGCAGTCTTTTGCTTTTCTCCTCCCTTTCTGGCCCTCTCTCTGACCCTGTTATAACAGAACCCCCAGTACTGGGAATGCCACATCTCTCCCGCATACTCCTTTGATCTTAATGTGGAAAATGAAGTTTTCTGGCTCAGGGGTCTGAACTTTTCCTTAGTGCTTTGTACACCTGAATAAGTTTGGAAAGGCCTTTTGACATAAAATTATACTTCAAAGAAAGTCACCGGGATATTGGATAGCATCTGATCCTTCTGCCCCAGTATCACCAGGGTGCTCAGTTTCTTCCCTTTCGTGATGAAATATCAAAACATAAAAAACAGGGGGTTATCAATTATACAATCTGTTATATTTTTTTCTCCCCTCCTAGCGACCCTGAGATGATATGAGGGCTGTCTTGGGGTAACTTGAGGTTGTGAGTCTGAAAATATCAGCCTTAGTTTAGAGCATTTCTGTCCAGTAGAACTATAACCTGGGACACAAATGCAAGCCATACGTATAATTTCACGTTTTATAGTAACCATATCACATTTAAAAGTAAAAAGAACTGTCATGTACTCATAATAATAATTTACAATTTTAAAAAATTTAAGTAAAAAGAAACAGATGGAATCAATTTTAACAATATGAACACGTTCAAAATATCATTTCGATGTGTAATCAGTGTAAAATTTAAGAAAATATTTGACATTATTTTTCTCATACTATCTTTGAAATCCTATGTGGATTTTATACTATTTATAGCACATGTCAATTCAGTACATTTCCAGTGCTTACTAGCCACATGTAAATTCAAGTGCTTATGAGCTACATGTAAGTTCAAGTGCTTAAGTGTGCTATAAGTTCACATGCTTACTAGCCACATGTGCCTAGTGACTATCATTTTGGACAGTGTAGATTAGAGGAAAAAGCATTAAATTAGGCTGTGCTCAAGTTCTATTCAGTTTCTTCATCCAAAAAATGGAGCTAATTATACCTCCTTCATAATCTTTTGGGGAGGAATTATAGAACTAATATAAATGAAAATGTTAAGTGTAAGACAATGTGTTTTTTATAAAAAACAGATATGATATGCTAGCAGAAAGTGTGCTAACAGGTCCTAGCACACTTTCTGTTCCTCTTCTCCATTAATGTCAGAGTTATTCTGCAAAAGAAGGCAAAAAAAAAATAGACTCACCTTCTTGGTTCATGGATGAATCCTAATTGACTAATCTAAGGAGTTTTCATTGTAGAGTGAAAGCATTTAGCTACCTCATATTACAAAACAATAAATGGTGAATCTGGCACATTTCCTCTGCCCTCCCAGTGGTATAGACTCTAAAATGAGCTAACCTTACACTAATCAGGAGGAGAGGGCAGGTACTGGTGAAGTAGGAGGTGGGACATGACTCCAGAGGCAGGGCTTGAACTCCAGACCAGATTGAAGACTAGCTGAAATAGGAAAGAAGAGGCAAAAGCACCTTTCCATAAGACATGCCCACCAGTGCCATGTCAGTTTACCACTGCCATGGCAATATGCAGAAGTTACCCCCCACTTTCCATGTCAATGACCTGGAAGTTACCACCCCTTTTCTAGAAATTTCTGAATAACTCACCTCTTAATTTGCATGTAATTAAAAGTGGGTATAAATATGACTGAAGAACTGCCTCTGAGCTGCTACTCTGGGCACACTGCCTATGGAGTATCTCTGCTCCACAAGGACCAGTGCCTCTGCTGCTGCCATACACGGCCTCTTCAATAAAAGTTGCTATCTGGCACCACTGGTCCACCCTTGAATACTTTCCCGGGTGGAGCCAAGAACCCTCCCAGGCTGAGCCCCAATTTCCGGGCTCATGGGCCCTGCATCACTGGCACTGACTTGAGAAAAGGATCCGAAAAACATAGGATTCTTTTTGTTCTATAAAGAAACATAACAATGCAGTGCATACATAAACACTTTCTAATTTTGTCTGGATATCATATTTCATGGGTGTACATCAGGTTATTGTTAACATTGTTTTATTAGTTATCTATTGTTGCATAAGAAATTACTCTAAAACTTGGCAGTTTGAAACAATAAGCATGTGTTAGTACCTCATAGTTTCTGTAGGTGAAGAATACAGGATTGGCTTAGCTGGGTGCTTCTGCCTCAAGATTTTTCATAACATTGAGGTCAAAATGTCAGCCAGATCTGTGGTCATCTGAAGGTTTTACAGGTGCTGGAGGATCCACCTCCAAGATGATTCACTCACAAGGCTGTTGGCAGGAGGCCTCAGTTTCTCAGCATGTGGACTTCTTCAAAGAGCTGGTTGACTGTCCTCATGACTTCTCCTCCCAAGGTCTCTCCTAGAATGAATGATCTAAGAGAGCAAGGCAGAAGCCACAGTGTCTTTTATGACCTAGGCTCAGAAGTCACACACCACCATTTCTTCAATATCCTCAGCCCTGTTCAGTGTGGGAGGGAACTCTACAGGTGTATCAATACCGGGAGGCCAGGATTCTGCAGATCATTTTGGAGGCTGTCTGCCACAATTGTCAACTGATGCTAGTTGAAAATGGGGGCTCACTTATTTTTTCAGCGTGATTAATTCTGGAAAAGATTTTCTTGTTTGTTTCTAACACATACACACGCACAAACACACACACACACCACAGTATTATTGGTTATTTGCATCATCACTTACATTGAACATAATCTTCTGTGATAAGAAGAGGCCTAGGTCTGTCACCCCTTTTCAAGGCTCCTTCCCTGGACCCTAAAAATTGGCTGCAATTGTCCCTTGGGTTCCTGTTCATTCCCAGCCCTTCATGTCCCGCATCAGCTCACGGACCTCAGGCATTGAAGAAGACCTTACCACAGAGCTTGCCCAAGCTACAATACACGAAAGATGATGTGATGTGGTTTGCATCATGTTAAGTTTCAGATTATGGAAAACTACCAAGGTGAAGTTGACCAGGAGATGTTTAGAGACATACAGAACTTCTCTCCTACTGAAAGATAAGAACTGAAATCAACAGCATAAACAAGATAGTCTCTGTTTTTCTAATTGTATTAACGGATGTGCTGTCTTAAGGAGAGGTGAACAAAGCTGAAAAAGCAGAGGAATCAGAGAGCTCAGAAAAGGGTGGCCAGGTATTTCCAAATGTCGTCAGCTTTCCAAAACTGATTCTCATAGTGCTAGACCCAAATACATATATATATATTTTCCTGAACTTGGAAGTTTCTTCTCTTTCCTTTCATTCCCATTTTCTTTAAAATGTCACCAAATCCCATTATTCTTTTGAAGGCTCTCTAACATCTGTTCTCTCCTACTGCTTGCCACAGTCTAGCCTTGGTTAGACCCTGAGGATCACAATCCCTCCCTCGCCCCACACAGACTATAACAGCAGACCAGCTGTGCTCCTTGAACTAGCCCCAGAATTACACTACTTGGCCAGTCTGTTCACTCTGCTACCTCTGGCCACTCTGGGACCAGCTTGAGGTTGTTCTCCAGGGCTTCTCCCGTGGGATCCTAGCTGGCTTCCTTCCCAGCTGAAGATCACTGGCCTTGCTCCTCAGGCCACAAGGAACCCCTTCCCTCTTACTCTGCCTCTCTGAAAACTGATAAACTGATAATGCACCACTTTCCTGCCTGGACCCTGGCTCAGCCCCACCCGTAAATGACTCGGCTGCGCAGCTCACGCTGAGCACTGCCCAGACCCGGGTGTGAGGCTTAGACACCCATGCCCACTACCAGCATCATGATTCCCACTAAGTAAGTCTCAGTCACTGTCCTCTGCCTGCCCCGCCTCCAACCTTAAAATGCAAACACTCCTGAGGTTATTTATAGTGTGATTCAGCAAGCCTTGGTGTGGGGCCTGGGCATCAGTGTGCTTAACCAGCACCCATGGAGATTTATGGAGCACAATTTGAACAATACTGTCCTCAAGCCTCAGTATGACCTCATTTCTCTAATGCTTTTCTTCTGTGGTGGCTGAGAACACAGACTACTGGCAGGTCTGGCTTCTCTGACAGTCCTGCCCCAAGGTCCTGGGGCACTGAGCAAAAAGAGCTCTGCCCATGCATACTCACCACAGGGTGTCTGGACATGTGCACACACACATACTTGCACCTGCACACATATATGTCCACATTCACACAGGCACACACATTCACACATGCACACACACACACTCACACTCACACAGGCACACACAATCACATGCACAGCTGCTGAATGCAGTGTCCCTGCAGGGTCCAGTCTGAGCCTTGATGCCAGCCTGTCCCTTGGGCCCCCAATCCTTCAAAAATACCAAGTAGATCACAGCCCTTCTCCTCCCACAGACAAAAACACGATTTAGAAGCCGTCATCAAATTCCTGCCTGAGGATACATATCTCTGGGCTGATTAAATAAACACAGCTTAATTCAATTAAAGTGGATCAGAACCTGCATAAACTCTGCTGGCAGCCAGAGGAGTTGCTCACGAATCCTTCATTTTTATAAATGAGTGATGGTTCGCCTGCTCAGGGGCTTGCCCAGAAAATGGAAGGGGCTTCTGCATAGACACAGCTCCCTCTGGCCAGGGGAAAGCATTGATTGGGTTTGTTTTTTTTGTTGTTGTTTTTTTTTTTTTTGAGACAGAGTCTCACTCTGTCACCCAGGCTGGAGGGCAGTGGTGTGATCTCCACTCACTGCAAGCTCCGCCCCCCGGGGTTCATGCCATTCTCCTGCCTCAGCCTCCCGAGTAGCTGGGACTACAGGTGCCCGTCACCACGCCCGGCTAATTTTTTTGTTTTTTTAGTAGAGACGGGGTTTCACAGTGTTCGCCAGGTTGGTCTCAATCTCCTGACCTTGTGATCTGCCCGCCTCGGCCTCCCAAAGTGCTGGGATTACAGGCATGAGCCACCGCGCCCAGCCTGATGGGGTATTTTTATTGAGGGGACCAGGTGGATTTGGAAGCTTTTTGTGCTTTCTGGGGGAGTAGGCATCATGTCCAGTTGCTGAGCACAGGATGAATATGACTCAGGCTGCTTTCCCAAAGGCAGAGGGTGGCGAGAGCCCTGGCACCAGTGATCAGGTGTATGGGAGAGAGGGAGGGAGACAGAAACAGAGAAAGAGAGAGACAGAGACAGAGAGGGAGACAGGCAGAGACAGGGAGAGAGGTAGAGGAAGAAACAAAAAAGCAGAGACAGAGAAAGAGAGACAGTGACAGAAACGGAGAAATAGAGAGACAGAGGGTGACACAAATAGAGACACAGACAAGGACAGGGAGAGACACAAACTGAGACTCAGACACAGAGAGACCAGGCACGGGTAAAGCTTAAAGTTCAGCCACAGTTAAGGGTATTACAAATACGCTTAGCACATTCTGAGAGATTTTGAATGGTGTTGGTTGCTGCAAGGAGTCAGCAAGGAGAAAAAGGCACCTGTTCTAGCTAATTTTCTCAAGGGAGGAGTGGAAGAGAAACAGAAAAAAGCAAGTGTGTAAACCTCATGGAGCGAATAGAATTCCTTTGCTCTGCAGGACAAAACCCACTTCTGCCTTCACAAGGAGCACCTCAGAGGCCCACGGGAAAGACCTGCTCAGCACAGCTGTAGATCATTGAGGTCTGGGGCCCTTCCCTGTGATTTCCCTGTACTGGAGGAGAGGCAATGGAGAAACAGCACAGATACCACCGCTTTAAGGGAACCTCTCAGACAGTGAGCCTAATGTCTGCCCCCGAACTACGCCCCATCTAAAAACTAGATTGAGTGGCACCTTGTGAAACGGCTCAGTCTCCAGTGTGCTGGAGGTGATCACACAACTTGGGGGTCTCTCTCATCTCTTCCTTTCTCTCCAGGGACTTGCTTCTTCAGCCTTATTCATCTCTGCTAGCAGGCTGGGGAGGGAAGGACAAAGAGGTAAAATGTACATTTTACAAGTTCCAGTGGAAAGTCTTTGGGGAAGGAAGTTGAAACTAATGGGCAAGCTGTGGCTTCCATTAGCCCAGAAATGTGAGAGAGGTGCTGTGCAATCTATCACTGTCCTTTGTATGTGCCGGTGACGCTGCTGACAATGTTATTTTCTGGCTTCAAACTTACCCTCATCAGCAGGACTTTTGCACAAATTTCTTCTGGAACTGATAGCTTACATCACCTTACAGACTCTTCAAGCCCCACCACTGGCCGCCCACATAGCTGATCTCTCATCTCCCCCTACTACCAACTCAGGCTCTGAGCAACAGCTTAGCAGACATTGCTGTTCCTATAGCCTCTCACCTGTTTTCTCCTCCAAGCCCTAAGCTGAGCCTTATCCCAGCCTGGACCATCTCTCCATTAACTTTCTGACAAATAGTAGAGGGTCTTTTTGCCCTTGTGATCAAGTGTTTCCTATGCATTGAAGCCTTTCAGATGTCTTCTCCAGCTCCATTCATTCCAGACTCCCCTGTGACTCCAGGGTTGTGAGGACCAACTGGAAACATTACTATAAATCACAGGACATTACACTAGTCTAAGGAACATTGTCATGGTTCACACTGACTCTAAACTTTGAGCATATTAAAAAGCCATTTAAAACCCAGAGGCCCTAGGGCTTCTAGTTGAAAGCGACAGGCTCAGCCCTTGGGTTTATCTCCTGTCTCTGCAAATAATCCAAGACAGCCCCATCAGGAGACTTAAGATTTCAAAATCCTTCTGTAAGACACAAAGCAGATGGAGGAGTATTAACTAGGAGCTGAGCCGAAGAGGCTGCTGAGAAGGTAAAGGCAATGTAAGGCAGGCATGAGACATGAGAGTGGAGACGGGGTCAGTAGTTGAAACTGTGTATAGAACAATCCCCCTGATGTTTCCCTCTAACATCCCCGCTTACAAAAACGCTAGTAGCCAGGTAGTTAGATCCCAGCACAGGGCAGGAAAAAGCCTAAAAAAAAAAGTGAAATTCTGTCTCTGAAAGAAACATGAATGGACTTTCTGAGAAGGACTAGGGCCTGTAGCATGGGGTTACTGTTTGCCACAGTAAATCCTTCTCAATCTGACCTTTAAAGATCCTCCAGAAAAATGAGTGGCTGCCTTCCCACTCACAGTAACCAGCCCCTCCCCGGCTCGCAACCCCCAACGCAGGGCTCTTTGGCAACCTATCATCTCATTCTTAAATATCCAGGATCGCCAAACTGTTGAGTCCAAAACATGAAATGAAAACACCAAGAAAAAAATTAATTAAATGGCCTTGAAAGAAAAATAAAGAATAGAAAAGAATTAAAGTGAAAAAAACTCTAATTAGACTTCCAGAGAGTTATGAAAAGATGCTGTATCCACAAAACATAAGTGGAGAAAACAGACCATAAGAAACAAAGAAAAAAATTTAGAAAGTAAGACTATGACTGCTAACATTTTGGGTGCTTCTTGTTGTTGTTTCAGTTTTCATTTTGTTTTGTTTTGTTTTGTTTTTGAGATAGAATCTCACTCTGTCACTGCCAGGCTGCCAGGCTGGAGTGCAGTGGCACAATCTCAGATCACTGCAACTTCTGACTTCCTGGTTCAAGAAATTCTCATGCCTCAGCCTCCCAAAGAGCTGGAATTACAAGTATGTGCCACCACACCTGCCTAATTTTTTGTATTTTTAGTAGAGACGGGGTTTTGCCATGTTGCCCAAGCTGGTCTCGAACTCCTGACCTCAAGCAATCCACCTTTCTCGGCCTCCCAAAGCAATGGAATTACAGGCATGAGCCACCACACCCAGCTGTGACTGCTAACATTTTTTTGTTTTGTTTTGTTTTGTTTTGTTTTTTGAGACAGAGTCTTGCTCTGTCGCCCAGGCTGGAGTGCAGTGGCATGATCTCAGCTCACTGCAAGCCCCGCCTCCCGGTTCAAGCCATTCTCCTGCCTCAGCCTCCCGAATAGCTGGGGCTACAGGGGCCCGCCACCAAGCCTGGCTAATTTTTTTTGTATTTTTAGTAGAGACGGGGTTTCACCGGGTTAGCCAGGGTGGTCTCGATTTCCTGACCTCATGATCCACCCGTCTCAGCCTCCCAAAGTGCTGGGATTACAGGCATGAGCCACTGTGCCTGGCATATGTATAAACATATATAGCATATGTTTACATACCATAGTGAGATAAAGAGAGAGGAAGGGAATAAATATATTATATATATATTTATAGCAGATATAAAACCATATATATATATGATTTTAAATGGCTCTTTAATATGTATAGTGCAGCAAGAAAAGAAATTTGGGTAAATCTTGTGGTCTTTATTTCTGCAACTGAACACAGGTCAAGTGAACTTTCCTGTTCCTCAGCTGGTAATTGTAGTAGGCATATTGTAGATAGGAAAATAAACCTAAACTTAAAATTAAAATCTATTTTAGTGAGGACAAATTACTGCCTTCCATATGATAGAAAGAATCCAGCAAAAATAGGCAAATGGGATTGTATCAAACAAAACATATTCTGCACAGCAAGGGAAACAATCAATAGAATGAAAAGTCAAACTACAGAATGGGAGAAAATATCTGCAAACCGTTCATCCAAGAAGAAATTAATATTCTGAATATATAAAAAACTCAAACAACTCAACAGCTAATGAAGCAAATAACCCAACTTTTAAAACAGGCAAATGAACTGAATAGACATTTCTCTGAAGACATACAATATCCAACAAATACATATATAAATGTTCAACATCACTAATCATCAGGGAAATGTAAATCAATACTACAATGAGATACCATCTCACCCTAGTGAGAATGGCTATTAACAAAAAGACAAAAAGTTCCAAATGCTGGTGAGGACATGGAGAAAGGGAACTCTTACATGCTGTTGGTGGGAATGTAAACTAGTACAGCCATTAAGGAGAACAGTATGGAGGTTCTTCCAAAAAACACAAATGGAACTACCATATGCTCCAGCAATCCCACTACTGGGTATATATCCAAAGGAAAGGAAATCAGTATATCAAAGGGATATCTATATCCCCATGTTTATTGCAGCACTATTCACAATTGCCAAGATATGGAATCAATGTAAGTGTGCATTAACAGATGAACAGATAAAGGAAATGTGGTGTATATACAAAATGAAGTACTATTCAGTTATAAAAAAAGAATGAAATCCTGTCATTCATGGCAACATAGATGGAGCTGGAGGACATTATGTTAAGTGAAACAAGCCAGGAACAAAGTTAAACACCCCATGTTCTCATATGTGGAAGCTAAAAACAGTCAGTCTCATTGAAGTACAGAGTAGAATATGGGTTACTAGAGGCTGGGAAGGTGAGGAGGTTGGGAGGATAGATATTGGTTAAAGAATATAAAATGCACAGCTAGATAGAAAAAATAAGTTCTAGTGTCCTATAACACTGTAGGGCAGCTGTAGTTAACGGTAGTTTAGTATATATTTTCAAACAGCTAAAAGAAAAGATTTGAATGTTCCCAACACAAATAAATGATAAATGTTTGAGATGATAGATATGCTAATTACTCTAATCTGATCACTCGATATTGTTTGTATTGAAACATCACTATGTACCCCATCAGTATGTATGATTAAAACTAGAATAACAAAAAAGTATCAGAAACAACCAACCTGCCACATGGTTCCTGTCTCACCCTCTCTGTGCCACATGGGAGATTCAGGGTTGTATTGCCACATTGGGAACTGAGAACCTTTGCAAATGAGAAGTGCTTCTGTTTATCTGATTGTTGAGATCCCCCTTTGTAACAAGGAGCCTTTGGTGAGCAGCCTTGTGGAACACAACTATTCTCACACTTTGTTCGTTCTAAGAAGCCAATGCATAGCTCTTTAAACTTCCTGTTCTCCTGCCCTCCAGTTTTGCTCCTTTCATGCCACTATCCATGGGCCAAACTACTGTGTACTGCCCAGAAAGTAGTGCACACTCTTTCCTCAGGACACCCTTTTTCCATGCACATGGACAGTGAGATGTTCTGTTAAAATCTCTGCCCAGTATGAGGATTTATCTTCCCCAAGGTCCTTCAGGGCTACCACATGTGAAGCTTCTGTGCCTTCAGAACATCTGTCTGATGCCAGAGCATTGAGCCCTGTTTGACTTATGTTCAGTTTTCAGTACTTGCTAAACACGTTTCCCTTTTCCCGCAGCCACAGACACCTAAAAAATGATGTCTACCATTCTTCAGTTTCAAGTCCAGTCCCTGAGCACTGGGAACAAGCTACCATTTTATAGATAAAAATATATTTATAGAGGCTCAGAGACAGACTTTTGAGTTCATCTAGTTCAGCCGTCCCCCAGCGATTCTTCCTTCAAGGCTACTCACAGCCCTTAGTTAAGGGTCATTCACACAGTGGGCACCCATTAAGTTGCTTACTCGCTGACCATGATATCCCAGTAATGTGGACCTTTGATATGCCAGATATTTAAGGTCCCAGAGGCCCTAGGTATTTATTATATTATTTAAAAATAAATACACTATAGCAAGTTGAGTTTTCCAGGAAACATATTCTGAGATGAATATTAGGGGGCAGAGGTTTATTAAAGAAAACTCTTGGACTCAGCACTTTTGGAAGGAAAGGGAACGATGCAGGATTGGGCCAAAGGAGAATATGGACTGGGGTGCAGAATCAGTGAAGGCTTCAGGGACCCCAGCAGGAAGCTTGACACTGACATGGCCTTTCAGAGATGTCTTCAGCTGGAGCAGAGGGTGTCCAGCCTGCAAACACTAAATTTTCACTGGAAATACTTGATCTATATTTAGATTTCATAAAACTTAAAGTTTAAAAAGTTGATTCACATACCTGCATTATTTCAAACATACTTAAAATTTTTCAGTAACCAAACTGCCTATCAGTTTTTAAATTTAAATTGAGTAAAATTAAATAAAATCAAAAGCTCAGTTCTTCAGTCATACTAGCCCCATTTCAAGTACTTAATAGCCACATGTGGCAAATGGCTGCCATATCAGACAGTGCAGGCCTACAACACTATAAAAATCACATGCAGGCCGGGCACGGTGGCTCACGCCTGTAATCCCAGCACTTTGGGAGGCCGAGGTGGGTGGATCACTTGAGGTCATGAGTTCAAGACAAGTCTGGCCAACATGGTGAAACCCTGTCTCTACTGGAAAAAAAAAATGCAAAAATTAGCTGGGTGTGGTGGGGCAGGCACCTGTAATCCCAGCCATTCAGGAGGCTGAGGCAGGAGAGTTGCTTAAATCTGGGAGGCAGAGGTTGCAGTGAGTTGAGATCACGCCACTGCACTCCAGCCTGGGCGAGAGAGCCAGACTGCATCGCAAAAAAAAAAAAAAAAAAAAAAAATCACATGCATGTATTCCTTGGGCTAAAAAGGATATGGCTTTAGTTGCTAAATGCCTTGTCTTAGTCCATTTGGGCTGCTATAACAAAAATACCTTAGACTGGGTAATCTATAAACAATAGAAATTTATTGCTCACAGTTCTGGAGGCTGGGAAGTCCAAGATCAAGGTGCCAGGAGATTTGATGTCTGATAAGGGCCCTTTCCCCATAAATGGCACCTTGTAGCTGTGTCTTCACATGGCAGAAAGGGCAAACAAGCTCCTTCATGCCTCTTATATGAGGACATTAATTCCATTCATGAGGGCAGAGCCCTCCTCCCAAAGGCCCTACTTCTAAACAATGAGGATTAAGTTTTAACATATGAATATTGGGGGGACACATACTTTCAGACCATGGTATGCCGCAATTTCCTCATCTGTAAATTGGAGCCAATAATGTAGAGCACGTATACAGGTCCCTACTAACTCACCAACGGTCAACTTACGAAGACAAATGTATGCAGGTGCCCACTTCTGCCACAAAGATTTTAGAGAGTCTATGGATCCCAAAATGAAAATAGAGAAGAAATTGAAGAGGGAGAACAAGTTACAGGAGGTGAACATAGCAGATTCTAAGCAGTGTCACAAGCCAGTCAGCTTGTTTATAGGGTTTTGCCTTGACCAAAAATCTTAACCACTAATCTCAAAAGGTCAGAATGTCCCACTTCACTTTTTTTAGTGGTACTCATAGTTCTACCAATAGAAAATCTCTGTTTTTCTTTTAAAAATTCAAACATTCAAAGATACAAGATTATTCATCATTCACATCTTAGAGATTGTTTGATCATATACCTTTGCTCTTTACACCTAATTCAGATCAACAGTGACTTCAAGACCTTTCACCAAAAAAAAGGGAAGATGATAACATACGGGCATGAGACATCTTCAGAGGGTGAAAAAGTCTGAATGTGGCACCTCCATGGGGAGCTTAGAGTAGCCCGGGAGCTCTTGGGGGCCTGGGAAGCTGTGACAGAGGCATCAGAGAGTGGAGGAGGCAGAAATAGGAGAGGCTGCCAGGGAAATGACACTGAGCACAGTCCTGAGTAGAAAAGAAAAAGAGGAACATTTTTTTCCTCCTTTACTTCCTTGTTATTTTTCTCTTTTTTCCCTCTCCTCTGCCTCCTCTGTCTTCACCTTTATCTTTTCTCCTCTTTCTCATCTGCTCTTCTCCTTTCTCTTCTCTGCCCCTACTTACCCTCCTTACCTCCATTAAGGACTTTCTGCTCCCAGATATAAGGAATCAGCCTAGGATTTGAAGCAGTACAGCTCTACATACTGAGTTAAATTTCCTATTTTGGACTATCCTAAAAATGTACCACTGTGTATAGTACTACTTTTGTAAGAAAATGAGTTCCTCATTCCAAGCCACTATTTGCTCGGCTGGCAATGCCCTGTAGACTCTGGTATGCAGTGCCCATAGTAAAGCTCGTTAAACATTAGTTCTTAGAAAGAAATAAATGCATTGAAGTTCTTCAATGTAACTATATTCCTGAACAAAAAAAACTAACCAAATTCATTCTAATATGTGTAATGGCCAAGTTTAGACCAGACTGTGATTAAAACATTCATTCGTCAACTCAGAAGCCACCTTTGATATAGCAACTACAAAAATCTTCTCAATAGCTGGAGGCCATATGTTAAAGAAACTTGATGAAATATTTTCAGCAGTGAATGCCAGCTTTTCACATCTAGGACTGTCAGAATGTTGAGTTCTGAAATTTGATCTAAATTCAGTTTCACATTAATAAATGAAAGGTTATTTTTCTGTTACTGACACTGAAAATACACAAATGGCACTTTCAAATTTGACCATGTTCCCTGGTTAAATTTTCAAATTAGTTAAGAAATGTCAGCCGGGCACGATGGCTCACGCCTGTAATCCCAGCACTTTGGGAGGCCGAGGCCAGCGGATCATGAGGTCAGGAGATCGAGACCATCCTGGCTAACACAGTGAAACCCCGTCTCTACTAAAAATACAAAAATTAGCCGGGCGTGGTGGCGGGTGCCTGTAGTCCCAGCTACTCGGGAGGCTGAGCCAGGAGAATGGCATGAACCCGGGAGGCGGAGCTTGCAGTGAGCCGAGATCATGCCACTGCACTCCATTCCTGGGCAACAGCAGAAGACTCCGTCTCAAAAAAAAAAAAAGAAAAAAAAAGAAATGTCTAAATGTATAATAATTTGTATAAAATGCTGGTTTAGTAGGGTCTTTTTTCTATTGTCTGAGTATGCATGCAATGAAAATCATTCTTTTGTTTGTGTTTATTGTTATTACCGGTTACATACACAAAAACTTTGGAACAATGTTAAAAGAAAAATTGGCTCACAATTTCACCACCTCTACAAATCAACATGTTTTTATTTCTTTTACTTTATAACAGACACTTCCATCTGGATACAGGCAAAACTCACACACGTGATGTCATGAACAATTGAATTATGCACGTAATTCCTACTCAAATACACACAGGTGTATGATCATTTTTACAGCTTTATAGTTGAGAAAATAAGTATTGTTGTTACTGTGCAGCCAGAGCACAGGTCTGCACAAGTTCAGACTTGACCCTGCCTCCTACCCCCTCGAGCAAGCTGGGATCTCAGCAAGCTCTTCCTCTAGCTCTCTACCAACTGCCATGTCCAGATGGCAGTCACATACCTGAATCAAGGAGAGTCACTCAAGCTTTGGAGCAGGGGCCTCCTGGCCACAATTATCTTTAGAAATTTAAATGTGGCAGAGAAAAGCTGTCATGAACTGGGAAGTACTAAAGTGGACTCTGCCAATCAAAGTAAAAGAACATCTGGCCTTAGCCCAACTGGGCCCTACTTCCACTCTCAGCATAGACTTGCAGAGCCTTGCTGCACTCATTTGCTGTGCTGTCACTTGGGCCAATTAGTAATAATGAGCTCCCTCCAGCAAGGGTGATGTTAACAAGGGGGTGAAAAGAAGAGGGACCACAGTGCCCATGCAATCTTACATATACATGTTAGGTGCTTAACAAGTGTTTGCTGCTTGAGCTACTTGCAGAAAAGTACACAATTAATAAGCTCAATAAATTAACTCAAGTAAAGACATACTGGTAGCCACAGTTCAGATCAAGGAATAGAATGCTCTCAGCAACCCAGAAACCTCCCTAGAGTCCCTTTCTTCTCCCCAAAGGTAAACATTATTCTGATTTCTAGAACCATAGTTTATTCCATGGTACCTCACACAGGAGAGACAATACATGTTTATTTTAACATCATCATTTAGATTTGCCTGATTTTGAACTTTATTTAAATGGAATTGTACAGTATGTTTGTTTGTGAAATTATTTCTGTTGAAGCACATCATTGTACTTGATTCATTTTTCACCCCTGTATTCAATTGCCTGCATATGTCATGATACACACGTATGCCTTTTCTTCTGTTGAAAGACATTTGGGTTGTTTCCAGCTTTGAGCTATTACAAACAATGCAGCAATGAGCATTCTCTTGCATGTCTTTTGGTATACGTATATATGCATTTCTATTAGATATATATCCAGGAGTGAGTTGCTAGATCCCAAGGCATATGTGTGTTCCAAAGTAATGGTGTCAATTTGCATTCCCACCAGGCGCATATGAGACAGTGGTTTCACATCCCCAACTGCACTTGGTATTGTCAGTCTTTTTAATGTTAGTCTTTCTGGCAGATGTGTAGGGATATTTCATTGTGGTTTTAATTAAACATCCCGGACCGCTAAAATGACTTCGTTAGCTCTTTGTGTGTTTAGTAGATATTGAATATTGTCATTTGTAAAGTTCTTTTTCAGGTCTTGTTTCCACTGTCTTTATTCAATTACCTGTCTTTTTCTTATTGATATGAGGCTGTCTTTCTATATTTTGGTAATGAGCTCTTTGCTGTATGTACTGCAAACATCTCCCACTCTGTGACTGCCTTTCCAACTTGTGTGTCTTTTGATGAACAGAAGATACTAATGTTAATGCAGTCCAATTTATCAATCTTTATTTTGTGGTTAGTGCATCTTGTGTTCTGTTTATCCTTGTTTACTGAAAGTCATAGACACACTCTCTAATGTAGTCTTCCAGAAGATTGGTTTACTTTTCACATTCAATCTATAATCTACCTGGAATTTTTTTGTAGTATCAAGTAGGGGTCAAGATTTCTTTTTCCAAATGTATATCTAATTGGCCCAGCAACATTTATTCAAAACACCATCTTTTTCCTATTGCTCAAAAACCCTACCTTTGCCATAAATCATATTCATATACATGTAGGTCTGTTTCTAAAGTCTATTCTATTCCGTTTGCTTTTTTTTTTTTTTTTTTTTTTTTGGTGTTGGGGAGTTATCCTTGCACTAACACTCAGCTTTTTAAATTACTAAAACTAGGATAAGACTTGGTTTCTATTAAAGTAAGTCTCCAACCACTTTCTTCTTCATCTGCAAGATTGTATTGGTTATTCTTGCCCTTTGCAATTCCACATAAATTTTAGAGTGAGCTTGTGAATTCCCCACAGAACAGCTGCTTGGATTTTAAATGGGACTACATTGAACTTACAGGTTAATTTATAGAGAATGGATATCTTTATTAAATTGAATTGTTTAGTTCATAAACATAGCCTACCCCTCCATTTATTGAGGTTTTCATTGTGGTGGTCTTACACATCTTTTATTAGATTACTAGTTATTTGATATGTTTTGATGTTATTGTAAATGACATAATTTTAAAAATTAGTTTTCTAATTCTTTGGTCCTGGAATAAAAGGACACAATTTATTTTTACATATTGACCTGATAGCCAGTTATATTGTTAAATTTATTTATTAATGCCAATAATTTATAGATTTATGTTTTCTGTACACACAATTGTATCATCAGTAATAATAATAGTTCCAATCCATTTATCCTTATAAAAATTTTTTATTGCTTTCTGCACTGCCTAGAATCTTTAGGCATGTTGAATAAAAATAATAATAGTAGGTAGGAATACTTGTCTCATTTCTAGTTCCTGAAGGAAAACATTCAATGTTTCACCATTAACCATGATATTTGCTATACACGACTTTTGTCTGATTAAAAATATTCTCTTCCATTTTAGTTTTCTAAGAAGTTTATGTTTATTATTATTATTAGTAGTAGTAGTAGTAACAGGTGTCGAATTATATCAGATTATTTTTCTATGCCTATTGAGATGATTGTACAATTTTTCTCCTTTATTTTGCTAAGTCTCCTTTTTTTGTTATTATATGAATTAAAACAATTGATTTTTGAATGCAAAATCAATATTGCATTGAACATAGTTATGGTGTATTGTTCTTTTTACAGATCATTGGATTAATTTTTAATATTAGAATTTTTAATCCTAGGATTTTTGCATTTATATATATGAGAGAGATTAACCTGCAATTTTTCTTTTTTATAAAGAACTCATCAAGTTTTTATGTCATGAAGTTGGTCGGAAAGTTTTGCTTCTTTCTATTCCCTAGATAGATTTATGTAAGACTGATGTTAATTTTTTTCCTTTAAAATAATTTGGAATTTGGCTGATGTAGCCATCTAGACCTGAAGTTTTCTTTATAGAAAGTTTTTATTTATAGATCCAATTTCTTTTATATGTATAGGACTATTAAGATCTTTTATTTCTTCTGTGTCACTTCTGGTAAGTTTTTTTCTAGGAATTTATCAATTTTAACCAAGTTGTCAAATGTATTGGCATAAAGTAGTTCATTATATCCATTTATTATTTTTTGCATGTCTGTAATATTTGTCTTGTCCCCTGTTTCATTCCTGATATTGCTATTTGGTCCCTTCTTTGTGATTGGTCTCACCGAGAGTTTATCAATTTTATCAGTCTTTTTAAGGAACTACCTTTTGGCTTTGTTGACCTTCTCTTATACATTATTTTCCTATATCATTCATTTCTGCTCTCAACTTTTGTATATTCTTCCTTCTGCATTCCTTGGGCTTAATTTGCTATTATTTGCCCCCTTATTAAGATGAATTGAAGTGATTGATTTTCAGCCTTTCTTCTTTCCAAATATGCACATTTAAGGCTATAAATATCTTCCTATGCATGATTTTAGCTGCATTACATGTTTTAATGTGTCATATTTTAATTACCATTCAGGTAAAAATAACTTCTTATTTCCATTGCTAGTTTCTTCCTTGACCCATGGGCTATTCAGAAGTATATTGCTTAAACTTCAAACAATTAGGAACTTTCTAGTTACCTTTTGTTATTGATTTTTACCTAAGTTTCATTGTGGTCAATGAACATACTCTATATTATTTCAGTCCTTTGAAGTTTATTGAGACTTGACTTATTGCCCAACATATAATCAATTTTGGTCAATGTTTTATGTGTACTCAAAAAGAATGTGCATTCTGGAGTTGTGACTGCTGGGTTCTATGCATGTCAATTAGATCAAGTTTGCTAATCATGCTGCTTACTAACTTTTTGTGTGCTTGCTCTAATAGTTACTGAGGAATAGGTGTTAAAATTGCTCACTATGGTTGTGGATTTATCAAGTCCTCCTATTATTCTTGTCCATTTTTACTGGCACTCTGGCCAATAAAATGCATATGAGAGAAGAACTTTAAGGTATAAAAATGGAGAGGTAGAGATGAAACTAACCCTATTTGCAGATGATATTATTGTTTCCCTAGGAAACCCAAGGAAATCAACTTTTTAAAAAAAGACTACTAAAAGCAATAAGAAAACTCAGCGATGTTATGGGGTAGAAAACATATAAAGAAGTCAATAATTAGAAGCAAAAAGATTATAATGGAGAGAAAGAGTCCATTTACATTAGCCAAAACTACAACAACCAAAAAAGATATTATTTCTTAGGAATAATTTTAACAATAAATGTATAAGACATGGACCTAAAAAGCTGTTTCAAATATTCCAGGACACACAACAGAATACATAAACTAATGGGAAAACATACCACATATTTTGACAAGATAACTCAATGCTGCTTTCTTTCTTTTATCAAGAGTATGCTGATATTTCTAATTTGATTTTTAAATTTAGCATAATTTCAATAAACCTAATAAATAGTTCTCTTTTTTTAAGCTAGAAAAAAATCCTAAGGTTCATATTGCAAATAAGCAAAGAAGATTTTCAAAGGAAGCTCTGATTTTTAAAAAAATCAATGAAAGGGGATTATCAGATATAAAAATATTCTAAAAGGGCACAGTAATTAAAACAAGGTAGAATTGGTTCATGAATAGATGAAGCAATGGAATAAGAAAGTACAGAAAAAGGAGTGGGACAAACTTAACTTTTGAATAGTGGTGGGGCAACAAGGTAGCTATCTGGGAAATATTAATGTTGGACTCATTTATCATTCTGTGTTCCATGATATATTCCAAATGAACCGAATCTTTAATATTAAAAAAATCAATAAATGTAGTAAATGAATAGATGAGATAATTTTTCATAATCTCAGAATATAGAGGGCTTTTTAACTATCCCCAAATCCAAAATTATAAAAAAGATAAGTTCAACTATATAAAAAATTTGTTTAAACCTTTGCATGACAAAAGTAAACTTCACCATAATAATAATAAAGACAAACTGGGAAACATAATTATAACTGATCATAGAATAATCTCCCTAATATATAGAAAGTTCTAAAAATGGATAAGAAATAAACCAATAACCCACTAGAAAAATGGACAAATGTTATAAACAGACAATTCAAAGAATATGCAAATTATTCTTAAACATATTTTTAATGGTCTGTTTTACCCATAACAAGAAGCATGAAAATTGAAACTACCTGAGATGCCATATTTCACCATAAAATTCGCAAAAATCCAAAATTTGATAGCATCTTCTGTTGCCAAGTCTGTGAGAAATAGGCACTCTCATACCTTGCTGGTGGGAGTATAAATTTATACAGCCCATACAGAGGGTTGCACTTAGCAAGAGCTATCAAAATTACAAATGCATGTGCTCTTGGATTCAGCAACTACACTTTGGGGGAATTTACCTTACAGATATATTTGCATATCTACAAAACGACATGTATACCATTTATTGATTGCAGCATTGCAGTCAACAGCGAAAGATTAGGAGGAACCTGGATACTTGTCAGTAAAGGACTGGTTAAATAAATTCAGTGGAGTACTTTGTAACAGTAAAAAGAAATAAGAAAGCACTTTACATATTGATATGGAAAGCTTCTAAGGTATGTTAAGTGAAAAAAGCAAGGTACAGAATGATGTGTAGAGCATGCTAACATTTACATTACAAAAGAGGGAAAATATATTTTGTATTATAAGCATATATATATGACAAGGTCACACTGTCACCCAGGCTGGAGTTCAGTGGTGCAATCACGGCTCACTGCAGCCTCGACCTCCCAGGCTCAAGTGATCCTCCCACCTCAGCCTTCCAAGTGGCTGGGACTACAGGTGCACACCACCACATCTAGCTAATTCCTGTATTTTTTGTAGAGGTGAGGTTTCCCCATGTTGCCCAGGCTGGTCTCAAACTCCTGGGCTCAAGCAATCTGCTCGCCTCGGCCTCCCTAGGTGCTGGGATTACAGCCATGAGCCCCCATGACCAGCTTTATTTATTTTCCAAATTTCTGAATTTGGAAATTCATATTTATTTTCCAAATTTCTGAAAGGGTAAGTAAAAGACTAAAAGCAGTGGTTAACTGGCTACTGGGGCCTGGGGGAATGGCCACATGAATGTCCAATGTGAAAAGGAGATTTTTCACTGTAAGATTTTTCATTCTTTTAATGCTTTACTATGTAAATGTACTACAATTCCAAAACATCTAAAAATATTTTAAAGCAAAGAACCATCCTAACAATGCCATCAAATACATTTACTGCCACACATGGCTTAAATGCACTGTAACTCTAGCAAGGCCTCTGCCGTTACTAGGTACATCAGTTAGGATGGCTTTGACTGTAAGTGGTAGGAGGCTTGAACAATGAGGATAATATATTATCACAATTAACAAAATATCCAAAGTCAAACTATCCCAGGGCTGCAATTTCTTCTGCAATTTCAAGCATCGCGTAGAGACCTGACTGTCAGCAGCCAAAATGAGTACTGTCCATGTCCTCTTGTGCATGGCCCAGAAGTTTCCCAGTAGTCTTCCTCTCAGGTCCAATTGGCCAGTAATGTGTAATCTATTCATACCCAAGCTGCAACACAGACTGGGGTGTAGTAGCAATAAGAATAATCACTAGGCTGGGCACAGTGGTTCATGCCTGTAATCCTAGCACTTTGGGAGGCTGAGGTGGGTGGATCACCTGAGGTCAGGAGTTTAAGACCAGCCTGGCCAACATGGCAAAGCCCTATCTCTACTAAAAATACAAAAATCAGCACGTGCCTGTAATCCCAGCTTCTTGGGAGGCTGAGGCAGGAGAATCGCTTGAATGCAGGAGGCAGAGGTTGCAGTGAACTGAGATCATGCCACTGCACTCCAGCCTGGGCAACAGAGTGAGACTCTGTCTCAAAAAAAAAAAAAAAAAGAAGAAGAAGAAGAATCGCTAATATTTATTGAACACTTTATATGCTCCAGATACTACATAAGCATTTTACATGCATCAACTTGTTTACATTTCAAAGCTACCAGTTAGAGAAGCAGTTTTGTTATATTCATTTTACAGACAAGGAAACTGAGGCACTGAGAAGGTAAATAACTTGCCAAAGGTCACTTAGTTTTAAAATGATGGAGCTGAGACACACTTTGGCAATACTGGCTCAAAAATCAATGATCCCAGGGATCCTATTATGTATATTACCTGAAAATAAACCTTAAACAGCTATAGCAAAAGGTTGATTCTATCAGCAAGGAAGAGAGGAAGAATGGCTATTGGATATGCAACCAGCAATATTTTTCCCTAGAAACAGATTGCCCAAATTACAGCCCTTGACTGGCACATACCACCCCATCAGTGTGCGACACTGGCCATTCATGAACACCTCCCTAGACCTGTGTCTCTAGTTACCAGGCAGGAAAACACCTTGGGCAATGACTGGGATCTTTCTAAAAGCAACAGCAGCAGCAGCTCCACCTACAGAAATCTCCAAATCCGTAGTCACCATGCCTATCAGGGAACATTGCGATGAACTCCAGGGAATAGACATGCTTCCTTCCAGGGGCAAGATGGCAACAGGAGCCTCAGATCCTCATGGAAGACTCAGGTGCTCTCATGGGCTACCACATATCCACAGTTCAATTGCAGCCCAAGTTTCAGTGCTTCTTTCTACTCAGGCAGAAGTGGTGCAGGACTATTGACCCAGGATTTCACATGCATTGGCAGAGGCACACCCTGGGAATCACACAAAGTTTTTGGTTTGTAAGAAAACCAGTCATGCCTGGATTTCACAGACAGATCCCCTAACCAGTCTGCACTGCTGCTGATCAGATTATCACTGGGCATTTTCCTATTTCAGAGTCCCCCACCCTCTCTGTGCCATAATTGCCATTTGAAAGCTCCCTACTGCTAATTAAAACATTCAAGACAAAGAGCTCTTAAATTAAAATTTCCATCCTCTAGGACTTCATAGCAGCTAACTCTGCCCTCATGTGCTAAAAATATTCGGGTTTTTCTCCCCCTGTCATTAATCTAGTAGTTTTTTTTTCATGTATTTGTCTTTTCATAGAGTCAGAGATGCAGTGAGTCAGTTTCCTCACCTCCCAGGCACATCGCCCAGGGAAGGGGGTGGATATATTCTTAGCCAGGAGAGCACTTTGCTCTGTCTTATGTAAACCTCCAGGAGATGGATGCCTCTAGGCGATGACAAAGAGGAGACCAGAATGAGCAGAGTTGGCAAGAGAATGAAACCCCTGAACAAGGAGCCGATCTCCTATAGAACGTGCTTGCTGCCTGCAGATTTAAAATAGAGCCGCTGGCCTGTAGGAGCCCTGCCTTCTCTCAGAGAGGAGTGAGTACAAGGGAGGGATTCCTCTCCAAGTGTCCTCTCCCAGAGGTGTCAAAACAGTTGATACAGTGGGCTCCATGTCTATCCATCAACATGGAGGGTCGTGGCTATGCCAAGGAGGGACTAAAAGATCTGGCCACCAGGACACCCAGAACTCCTAAGAAGAAATTGTAAGAATTGTAAGTATTAGGAGTGTGTCTTGCTGGCCATCAAGACCAACTTTCCTCAGGCTGCAGAAAGACCATCATCATATTCATATATGTCCCAACCCATAATGTTAATTGATTTGTATTTTCTAAAGCCAAGAAATCCATAGTCATTTATTTTTTCAAAGCTGTGCAGTCTGGCTGATCCACCTGGCTTTGGAGGTTGATATGGTTTGGCTGTGTCCCCACCCAAATCTCATCTTGAATTGTAGCTCCCATAATTTCCACATGTCGTGGGAGGGACCCAGTGAGAAGTAATTGAATCATGGGGGCAGGTCTTTCCCGTGCTGTTCTCATGATAGTGAATAAGTCTCATGGGATCTGATGGCTTTATAAAGTGGAGTTCCCCTGCACACTCTCTCTTGCCTGCCGCATGTAAGACATGACTTTGCTCCTCATTTGCCTTCCACCACGATTGTGAGGCTTCCCAGCCATGTGGAATTGTGAGTCAATTAAACCTCTTTCCTAATTACCCAGTCTCAGATATGTCTTTATTAGCAATGTAAGAACAAACTAATACAGAGGTTAAGTGCTAAAAAGACCAAAGATCTGAGAGATGTGTCCATGTTCTGAAAAATCCTGATCAGGCTTTACAGTGGCTTCTTTCAGCTCTGAAACTTCCCCAGTAATCTCCAGCTCTGGTGTGGCCTCTGACCTTGGCTAAGTCCATCACCCCTCCAGGCCTCCATGGCTCCATCCTGAATGAGGAGATGGATTCTCATCTCCACAAACCTAGTCCAGATTAAAAGTTCGGAGATCAGAAGAGGCCTGTGCTTCCCTTTGGAGGATGAAAGTGTCTTACGTTCAACCCCTGCCTCTAGCTTCAGGTTCCTTCACTTTCTCTCTTTGGCCCTGCCCAAAATCTAGTGGAAATGCTAGGCAGATCCCCTGACAAAGGTTGCAGCAGTTAGTTACCCTCAGGTGGCCAACACTATCAATAAATTATTTATAGGGTGTGTTAGGCCAAATAATACTCCTCCCAAAAATACCACATCCTAATTATTGGAACCTATAAATATGTCACATTAATTACAAAAGGGACTTTGAAGGTGGAATTAAGGTTGTTAACCAGTGACCTTAAAACAGGGAGATGATCCTGGATTATCCATGTTGGGCCAATCTAACCATGAGCTCCTAGAAGCAGTGAAGTTTCTCTGGCTGGAAGTTGGAGAGATGTGTCAAAAAGGAAAAGCCTGAGAGAGTCAAAGTGTGAGAGAGACTTGACTCCCCATTGCTGGAGGAGGCCACGTGGAAAGCATGAGCTTCCAGAGAATGACCAGTCCCCAGCCAACAGCCACCAAGGAAATAGGGACCTCAGTCCTACAACCACAAGGAACTGAACTCAGCCAACCACCTGAATGAGCCTGGAAACAGAGTCATTCCCAGAGCTTCCAGGAAGAAACTCAGCCCTGCCAACACCAGGGAGACGCTAGGCAGAGGACTCAGTTGAGCCATGCTATACCCCAGCTTCTGACCTACACAACTGTGACACAATAAATGTGTGTTGTTTTAAGCCATGAAATTTGTGGTGATTTATGATAGCCACAATAGAAAACTAACATACAGATGTTCCTGACAATTGCATTACTTTAACATGAAAAGTTTGTCATTCCAGAACACCTCCTTCTGCATCTGGTAGTGGAACAGCAAGACTGGCCCAGGGGCTGTGCTCTTCCTGGCCACTGAGCTCTGTCTTGCTTCCAGAAACTGAAATATTTCAAAAGCTTGACAGAAGGAAGAAACAACAGAGGGAAGGAGGGAAGGAGGAAAGGAGAGAGGGAGGGAGGGGGGAAAGAGGGAGGGAAGGAAGAGGAAGGAAGAAAGGAGGAAGGGAGGGTGTAAACGAGGGAGGGAGGGAAGAAAAGAAGGAAGGATGGAAGGAGGAAAGGAACAGGGAGAGATAGGGAAGCAAGGGAGGGAGGAAGGAAAGAAGGCAAAGAACTGGCCTTGATGTTGTTATTACTATAACTCCAAAAAGCATCTAATCCCCAAGAATGCCATCTTCATAAATTAAGAAATGTGAAGTTGGCTGCATGGCCATATGGAAGAGGAGGGGCCAGGAGTGCCCTGGGGATGCTTTGGAATCCAGCAACTTAAATATCTGCACAGAACATCTTGTGAGCAGCCCTTTGGCTGTGAAAATGCAAATGACTCAGACTGGCTGCCAAGAGTCACCTGTGAAGCTCAACTGGCACAGGACTCAGGGCTGAGCTCCATTCTTAACTCTCCATCCCATACAGCCAAACAAGCAGAACACAGGTTGCGCCCAAGGGTTCTGAACCCAGGATGTATAAAGAAGATGGTCTGTTTCTGTTTCTCTCTCTCTCTCTCTCTCTCTCTCTCTCTGTCTCTCTCTCTTCCCTCCTCTCTTCCCTCCTTTTGAAGTTCCAAGGTCAAAACTGAAAATTAACCCTGCCCTCTCCAGCTCTCAACTTTACATAATGAGATTATACCATTAATTTTTATTCCTCATAAACAGGAAGAGAAAAGAAAACAAAATTTAAGAGTCCATCCAAAAGTCATCTCCCTCTAGCTCTTGAAAGTTCTCCCTGCCTACACAGAGTCATTCAACTTCACTCACACTCACCCCACACCTCTGACCCTTTTCTAGTAATTGCCTCTTGCCAGCCCAGGCTCCAGGGAAGCAGACAGCTGGGGAAGCAGAACAGGGGTGATGCCAGATAATCCACCACGGGGAAAGACATGTTATGGTCATCAAGAGCCTCTAGGCTCTGAGAAAGTCCAGGAGTTCTTCCCATCTGGTAAAATAATTATAAAAACTGATCTCATTCTCCAAACAGCCTAAGCACTGAGCAGGGACCTGTACTCCATTTTAAAGGTTACAACACAAAGATTGGGAATAATAATCCATGATCTAGGCCTGTGTTTCCAGAAATTTCAGTGGATATTCATGAACTTCACATACAGGAAAGAGCAATGTAATAAGGATTGGGGAGCTAAAGGAGGTTCATTTCCCTGGATGCTTCTCTGTCTGGATAAATACCATTTCATCCATTTGTCCATCCAACCATCCCATAGCTCCATATACACATTGTGCATGTACACACACATGCACACTCATGCACACACATGCACACACATGTGCGTACACACACATGTACATGTGTGCATACACATGCATGAGCCTCCTGCATTACTACTCCAAGCCCAAACCTTATCTCAGCACCAATTCCAGCCTCTTTGGGAATACCACTTAAGATAAAACCCAGTCTGAAGGATGATCCTTCTCATACAAGTCAGCTTGCAAAAGGAAAATAGTTACCAACCTTAGAAACACAAGCACCAGGCTAGAAGCAGAACTATGAGCAAGAGAAGATATCAGGAGACCAAAGTGGGTCCTGCCAGCCAGCCCCAACTCCAGGAAGGAAACCTCTCGGCCTTAGTATAACCTCAAGATCAATCAAGCCCTCCCCAACCCCACAGAGCTGCTGCTGCCCAGCCCCACTGATCCCAGAAGCCCAGTTGTCTACTGTAATGTGACCTTACTCATGAGACTCAGGGCAAAATCTGTCCTAGCATTTGGGAAAGCATGTCCCCCTGATTTGATCATTTTTGATTTCTCCAGTCCCATCTGTTGAATACTATTACTCTGCTGAAACACAAGCTGTGGTGGTATTAATTTCTTTCTCTCTCTTTCTTCCACACCTTATGATATGTAACAATAATTCTTCAGAAAGAGATGTTTAGTATTTGAGTCACTGCCCTGTGAAAAGCAACAATAGAAGAGTGAACATGAGCCATGATCATGTGCCAAGCGCTTTACATGAATTCATTCATTTACTCCTCACAACAAAACTATGGAGTGGATTCGATTATTATCCCCATCTCACAGTGTAGGACACTGAGGCAAGGGAAGTTAAGTGACTTACCAAGGTCATAGGGTTACTAAGAGGCAAATCTGGGATTCAAATCCAGAGAGCATGGCTACAGAGTGCATTGTCTTAAGTCTCCACCTCTGTGCTTTCAAGCCTCCCCAGTGATTTACCCAAGAAATGGGCCAACGCCTACAAAGGCAATAAGAAAATAATGCAGATCAATAGCACATTGTTCATAAGAGAAAAGAAATGTGTGTCCTCTGCAATACACACTTTCACATACACACACACACACACACAGACACTTATTCACACATTCCTTCCATATCTGGATCAAAGAGTTATCAAGGCTGCGTGGGCAGAGACACAAGGCTCTTCTCCTTACCTCATTACCTTATGCTCTAGGGAACAGACTAGCCCAGAGGATAACAGAATATTTTTTCAGTATGCTTTGGGAAATAAAGGTAGAGGACAGGGCAGGGCAAAGTGTCTCACGTCTGTAATCCTCTGCTTTGGGAAGCAGAGGTGGGCAGATTGCTTGAGGCCAGGAGTTTGAGACCAGCCTGGGCGACATAGTGAGACCCCATCTCTAAAGAAATAAAAATTTAAAAAATTAGCCTGGCATAGTGGCAGGTACCTATAGTTCCAGCTACTCAGGAGGATGAGGTGGGAGGATTGCTTGAGCCCAGGATTTCAAGGCTGCAGTGAGCTATGATTGTGCCACTGTACTCCAGCGTGGGCAACAGAGCAAGAATCTGTCTCAAAAAAAAATCTAGGGGGCAGAGAGAAGAGAGGTTGACCTCCAGCCCCTGAGAGCCCCTCTTTGTTATGCGGCTGATGACCAGGGACACCTGCATGATCTGCTTATCAGAGGTAGGCATGCTGCGTCTCTCCTTTGTTCTTCATCCTCTTCCCTCCTCAGCTCTGCTATGATATGTACATGTGACCACCTAATTACACCACATTCCAGCAGCACATTGTATGCAGATAACAGAAACAATGGTTTGGCTTTGAATAACATTTGAGACAACATGAAAAGGGGGAAAGGATGATGGCCATTTTACCTTTTTTTTTTTTTTTACCATTTTAAATCATTGTTTGTCTTTCAGCATTCCACTAAATGCCACATATAGGAGGGCAAAAGAGTTCAAAGAGATGTGAGGGTGCTGATGACATACCTATATCTAATTGAATAGCTTGTATCTCATTGAAACCCACATTGCTGTGACCTCAGCAATTAAAAGACAGTGCTATTATTGTTACCTGTATTAGTTTTAATTCCATAACTGACAGCTATATAACTGATAGCATAACTGCACCTAACAACTTCAAAATCTCACAATCAACTTTTGTTTTCTACCCTCCTGGGTCCGTGGGTCAGCTAGGTTTGACTCCAAGCTGCGGTTTGTACTTGGTCGGCTCCACATGTCTCTCAGTACAACTGTACTAGCTTCCACTTGAGAAGCTTCTATCATGTGTTCACATGGCAGATGCCAGAAGCCCAAGCAGTCATGGCAAACAATGAAATCACATACAAACCTTCTCAGATCACCTCTATTAACCTTTCTTTCACCAAAGTCATGTGACCAGGTCCAGCTTCAGTGGAGCAGGGAATATACTCCTCACAAAGACCACGGAGGCACAAAGCAAAGGGCATGGATATTCAATTTTGTAACCTGAAGGGAGCAAGGAATTGGGAATAATCGATTCCACCTCATTACTCTTATGGCCTTCATATTGGATTTTCTCCCCAGAGTCCTTTCTCAATGATCACATCTCAAAACCAGAAGAGCACTGAAGAAAAGTCAGTAACACATAAAGCCCATTAGGGTGAAATGGGAGTGTAGGCATGTCTCAGAGGCTCAGGATCCTAACTGTGGTTTTGCAAAATCAGAGCTAGACTTTTTGCAAAGTGGCAGTGTAGCTGTGAGGTAGAAAGGGAATTAAAATTGGAATTATACTGTACATACTTTTATGTAAACAGACTTTTTTATCTAGTAAAGTATGTCAATAAGTATATGTCATTTTCAGTTTTTAGTAATCACAGAATATTCCAGTCTCATTATGTGCCAAACTTAATTTAACAATTCATCATTAGATATTTTTGACCTTCCAACTTTTTACTGTCACAAACAATGCAATACATCCTTGATTGCAATGCAATACAAACAATTGTAAATCTTTGCGCACTTGTCCTTATCATTTCTTTAAGATAATTTCATTTGGGGGTCAAAGAGTAAACACATTTTTAGGTTTTTTATGTCTACTGCTAAAATGACTCCAGGAAAGCTGTATGGATTTAGATCCCACCAACAGATATAAGGATTAGCCAGTGAACTGATTTTAAATGTTGCCCTGACAGACTTATGCAGACCCTCATCAAACTTAGATAATAAGCAAGACTCCAGAAACACCATGCCTCCTAGATAATCGGATCAAAAGGCAAATGTTATTACTCTACATCACCTCTGACCCAAGCAAGAGGATGAAAGATGAGTGCAACTGGTTATCCATCAGCCAAGACACTGAGGGCAAAGTGAATCAATTGAATATCAACAGCACTCCATGGTTCAGTAGATCCTTCCAAGAGAAATTCATTTCATGAACAACTTTTATTTATTACAATGACAGCAACACATATCATGGATATTAAGAAAGAAAACAGCCAATAAGCTATCAAGTGAAAAGTAAAGGCCCCTTTCCCAGTCACCATTTCCGTTTTCAAGATAACTCACTATTAATTGTTCCTTATGTAAATAGCCACAAGTTGTCTATGCATTAGATGTATATAGGGATATATTATCTTTAAATTGCATGACACTTCCACTTCCAGGAAGATGGAGTAATAGTGACTGGCTTTACCCTACTGCTTTGGACAACAGAAAAAACAGATACAACATGTGAAACAAGACACTTGGTATGAGGCAATGAAGCACACCAATCTTTGAGAGTTGAGAAATAAATAAGATCAGCCTGTGGTTTCGCCAGCTTATTATAGGAAGAAAGTTTCCAGGATGTGGAGCAGGGGCAGGGAAATAAGGCAAAGCTGAGGGGTCTTCCAGGTTCAAGAGATGATGCTGGGAGTCTAAGGAAGCCAAGGTGGCTGGAGTTTTCAGGTAAGAGTATTAGAGAAGACAGAGTTCAAGAAAGAGAAGGGAGACAGAGAGAGGGAGCAAACTATGAAGAGTCCTCCTTGAATTTTTAGCTGAGTTCTTTTTTTTTTTTTTTCTGAGATGGAGTCTTGCTCTGTTGCCCAGGCTGGAGTGCAGTGGCATGATCTCAGCTCACTGCAGCCTCCACCTCCTGGGTTCAAGCAAGTCTTCCACCTCACCCTCTAGAGTAGCTGAAATTACAGGTATGTGACACCACAGTGGGCTAATTTTTGTATTTTTTTTTTTTCTGTAGAGATGGGATTTCGCCATGTTGTCCAGGCTTGTCTTGAAGTCCTGACCTCAAGTGATCCATCCACCTCAGCCTCCCAAAGTGCTGGGATTACAGGCATGAGCCACCATGCTCAGCCTAGCTGAATCTTGATCAGTGTATGTGTGTGAGGAAAATAACTGAAACAGGAAAAAAAACTCCTAGAAGCAAAGAGGACTCAAAGAGGACTGGAAATAGTTCTTGTTCCCAACAACCAGAGTTGTAACAACCTCATAAGTCACACAATATCAGGTAGAGTACTCAAAAGGGATTTGTCTCAGTAGTGGGGCAAAATTAACCCTGGCTAAATATTATTCTGGTACTACCTAACAAAGCTTGAAACCAAGATCTGAAATAATCAAACTATTTCCAAATAACCACAGCTCAGAACAAAGCTCAAGAATCTTTATAGAAACACACAAACACACACACACACAAAGCCAGGCAAGGTGGCTCATACCTGCAATCTCCACAGTCTGGGAGACCAATACAGGAGGATCACTTGAAGTCAGGAATTTGAAACCAGCCTGGGCAACAAAATGAGAACTTCATCTTTAAAAAAAAAAAAAAAATAGTCTTATAGTCCTCAATACTTGGGAGGATGAGGCAGGAGGATCACATGAACCCAGGAGTTCAAGACTACAGTAAGCTCTAATCATGCCAGCCCTAGTGACATAACAAGACACTGTATCTTAAAAAAACTAACACACAATATTTGACATTTGAACAAAAATTACCAGATTACCAGACACAAGAAGAAATAAAAGAATGCACCCCACAAGAGGACAAAAATCAATCAGGAGAAACTGACCTATAACTGACACAAAGACATTAAAATAATTATAACTATATTCAATATGTTCAAGAAACTGGAGAAAAAATTAGCCAGGAAGATACAAAGAAGAAATAGTTGGACTTTTAGAGATGAAAACTATAATCTGTGCAAAATACACTAGATGGATTAACAGTAAATTAGACATTACAAAAGAAAAGACTGGTAAACTTGAAGACGAAGTAATAGAAAAAGGCTAAAAGTAGAATTAGACTCCATAAGCTGTGGAAAAACCTCAATCAACCTAAAATATGAGTAACTGGAATCCCCCAAAGGAGAGAGGGAAGGGCAGAAAAAAACCTTGAAAATATTATAGCCAAAATTTTTCAAATTATGATGAAAAAAATAAGCCCATAAATTCAAGAAACTCAACAAACTCCAAGCACAAGAAACATGAAGACAGATACATTGAGGAACATGAAATTAAATTACTTAAAACCAGTGAAAAGAAGAAAATTTTAGAAGCATCCAGAGAAAAAATGGCAGGGGAAAAAAGGTAAGAATAATGGCAGTTTTCAAGTCAGGAAAAAGAAAATGTAAGCAAGGAGACAGTGAAGCAACATATTTAAAATTCTAAAAGGAAAAAAAAAAAAAGACTGTCAACCTAGAATTGTATGCCCAGCAAAAATACCTTTCAAAATAAAGATGAAAAAGAGTTATGATATGATCTAGCAATCCTACTGTTAGATATATACCCAAGAGAAATAAAAAATATACATTCACTCAAAAATTTCTACGCAAATGTTTATAGCAGCATTATTCACAATAAATAAAAAGTAGAAACACCCCAAATGCCCATCAACTGAATAATGGATAAACAAAATGTGACATAGCCATATGCCATAAAAAGAAATGAAGTACTGATGCATGCTGAAACATGGATGAATCTTTAAAACAGAATGCTAAGTGAAAGCCAGTTACAAAACACTATGTATTGAATGATTCCATTTACATGAAATTTCCGGAATAAACAAACCTATAGAGGCAGAATATAGATTAGTGGTTTTTTAGAGATGGGAAAGGTTGCAGGGAATAAGGGAGTGACTGATAATGGGTATGGGCTTTTTTTTGTGGGGGTCGTAATAAAAATGTTCTAAAGCTGATTGTGGTGATGGTTACACAACTCTGTAAATATCCTAAAAATCACTGAATTGTACACTTTAAATGGGAGAATTTTATAGTATATGAATTATACCTCATTACATATGTTAAAAACAGAATTTTTAAAAGGTAAATTGAAGACTTTTTGAACATACAAAAGCTGAAAAAAATTATCACCAGCAGACCTGCACTACAAGAATTGTTAAAGAAAGTTCTTCAGCAAAATGGAAATCTGGATCCCTGTAATGGAATGAACAGCACCAGAAATGGCAACTTTGTGGATAAATATAAGACATTTTACTTATTTTATAAATCATTTAAAAATGTAATTGACTATTTAATGATAAAATAAAAGCAAGGCACTGTGGGGTTTATAAATGTATTACAATAGCACAAAGGTCAGAAAGGGAGAAATGGAAGTATAACATATTGTAAATTCTTATACATGAAGTGGTATAATATCATTTGAAGATAGATCTCTGATTTTTAAAAAAGTATATTATAAACCCTAAAACAATCACTAAAAACACACATGAATTTAAGAGTTTTCACTAAATAAGCCAACAAAGCAGGAAGAATGAAATCATTTTTTAAAATTAAATCAAAATAAGGCAGAAAAGAAAGACAAAGAACAAAGGAGACAAATAAAAAACAAAAAGTAAGATGGTAGATTTAAACCCAACTATGCCAATAATTCCATTAAATATGCATGGTCTAAACACCCTAATTAAAGGCAGAGATTGCCAAACTGAACAACAACAACAACAAAAAAGCAAGACCCACTAAATATAAAAACCCACTGATATGGTCTGGCTCTGTTTCCCCACCCAAATCTCATCTTGAATTGTAATCCAAATTATAATCCCCACATGTTGGGGGAGGAACCTTATGGGAGGTGACTGAATCATGGGGGTGGTTCCCCTATGCTGGTTTTTGTGTCAGTGAGTGAGTTCTCATGAGATCTGATGGTTTTGTGAGGGGCTTTCCCTGCTTAGCTCTGCACTTCTCTCATTCTTCTCTTTCCTGCCGCCATGTAAGAAGGACATATTTATTTATTTCCCTTCCTGACATGATTGTAAGTTTCCTGAGGCCTCCTCAGCCATGCTGAACTGTGAGTCAATTAAACCTCTTTCCTTTGTAAATTACCCAGCCTCACATAATGTCTTTATTAGCAGCATGAGAACAGATTAATACAGTAAATTGGTACTACAAAGACTAGGGTGCTGCTATAAGGATACCTAAAAATGTGGAAGTGACTTTAGAACTGGGTAACAGCCAGAGGTTGGAACAGTTTGAAGGGTTCAGAAGAAGACAGGAAAATGTGGGAAAGTTTGGAACTTCCTAGAGATTTGGAGGGCTCCGAAGACAGGAAGATGTGGGAAAGTTTGGAACTTCCTAAAGACTTGTCAATTGACTTTGACCAAAATGCTGATAGTGATATGGACAATGAAGTCCAGGGCAAGGTGGTCTCAGATGGAGATGTGGAACTTGTTGGAAACTGGAATAAAGGTGACTCTTACTGTGTTTTAGCAAAGAGACTGGAGGCATTTTTCCTCTGTCCTAGAGATCTGTGAAACTTTGAACTTGGGAAATATGATTTAGGGTATCTGGCAGAAGAAATTTCTTTTTTTTTTTTATTATACTTTAAGTTTTAGGGTACATGTGCATATTGTGCAGGTTAGTTACATATGTATACATGTGCCATGCTGGTGCGCTGCACCCACTAACTCATCATCTAGCCTTAGGTATATCTCCCAGTGCTATCCCTCCCCGCTCCCCCCACCCCATCACAGTCCCCAGAGTGTGATATTCCCCTTCATGTGTCCATGTGATCTCATTGTTCAATTCCCACCTATGAGTAAGAATATGCGGTGTTTGATTTTTTGTTCTTGCCATAGTTTACTGAGAATGATGATTTCCAATTTCATCCATGTCCCTACAAAGGACATGAACTCATCATTTTTTATGGCTGCATAGTATTCCATGGTGTATATGTGCCACATTTTCTTAATCCAGTCTATCATTGTTGGACATTTAGGTTGGTTCCAAGTCTTTGCTATTGTGTATAATGCCGCAATAAACATACGTGTGCATGTGTCTTTATAGCAGCATGATTTATAGTCATTTGGGTATATACCCAGTAATGGGATGGCTGGGTCAAATGGTATTTCTAGTTCTAGATCCCTGAGGAATCGCCACATTGACTTCCACAATGGTTGAACTAGTTTACAGTCCCACCAACAGTGTAAAAGTCTTCCTATTTCTCCACATCCTCTCCAGCACCTGTTGTTTCCTGACTTTTTAATGATTGCCATTCTAACTGGTGTGAGATGATATCTCATAGTGGTTCTGATTTGCATTTCTCTGATGGCCAGTGATGATGAGCATTTTTTCATGTGTTTTTTGGCTGCATAAATGTCTTCTTTTGAGAAGTGTCTGTTCATGTCCTTCACCCACTTTTTCATGGGGTTGTTTGTTTTTTTCTTGTAAATTTGTTTGAGTTCATTGTAGATTCTGGATATTAGCCCTTTGTCAGATGAGTAGGTTGTGAAAATTTTCTCCCATTCTGTAGGTTGCCTGTTCACTCTGATGCTAGTTTCTTTTGCTGTGCAGAAGCTCTTTAGTTTAATTAGATCCCATTTGTCAATTTTGGCTTTTGTTGCCATTGCTTTTGGTGTTTTGGACGTGAAGTCCCTGCCCATGCCTATGTCCTGAATGGTAATGCCTAGGTTTTCTTCTAGGGTTTTTATGGTTTTAGGTCTAACGTTTAAATCTTTAATCCATCTTGAATTGATTTTTGTATAAGGTGTAAGGAAGGGATCCAGTTTCAGCTTTCTACATATGGCTAGCCAGTTTTCCCAGCACCATTGATTAAATAGGGAATCCTTTCCCCATTGCTTGTTTTTCTCAGGTTTGTCAAAGATCAGGTAGTTGTAGGTATGCGGCGTTATTTCTGAGGGCTCTGTTGTGTTCCATTGATCTATACCTCTGTTTTGGTACCAGTACCATGCTGTTTTGGTTACTGTAGCCTTGTAGTATAGTTTGAAGTCAGGTAGTGTGATGCCTCCAGCTTTGTTCTTTTGGCTTAGGATTGACTTGGCGATGCGGGCTCTTTTTTGGTTCCATATGAACTTTAAAGTAGTTTTTTCCAATTCTGTGAAGAAAGTCATTGGTAGCTTGATGGGGATGGCATTGAATCTGTAAATTACCTTGGGCAGTATGGCCATTTTCACGATATTGATTCTTCCTACCCATGAGCATGGAATGTTCTTCCATTTGTTTGTATCCTCTTTTATTTCCTTGAGCAGTGGTTTGTAGTTCTCCTTGAAGAGGTCCTTCACATCCCTTGTAAGTTGGATTCCTAGGTATTTTATTCTCTTTGAAGCAATTGTGAATGGGGGTTCACTCATGATTTGGCTCTCTGTTTGTCTGTTGTTGGTGTATAAGAATGCTTGTGATTTTTGTACATTGATTTTGTATCCTGAGACTTTGCTGAAGTTGCTTATCAGCTTAAGGAGATTTTGGGCTGAGATGATGGGGTTTTCTAGATAAACAATCATGTTGTCTGCAAACAGGGACAATTTGACTTCCTCTTTTCCTAATTGAATACCCTTTATTTCCTTCTCCTGCCTGATTGCCCTGGCCAGAACTTCCAACACTATGTTGAATAGGAGTGGTGAGAGAGGGCATCCCTGTCTTGTGCCAGTTTTCAAAGGGAATGCTTCCAGTTTTTGCCCATTCAGTATGATATTGGCTGTGGGTTTGTCATAGATAGCTCTTATTATTTTGAGATATGTCCCATCAATACCTAATTTATTGAGAGTTTTTAGCATGAAGGGTTGTTGAATTTTGTCAAAGGCTTTTTCTGCATCTATTGAGATAATCATGTGGTTTTTGTCTTTGGCTCTGTTTATATGCTGGATTACATTTATTGATCTGCGTATATTGAACCAGCCTTGCATCCCAGGGATGAAGCCCACTTGATCATGGTGGATAAGCTTTTTGATGTGCTGCTGGATTCGGTTTGCCAGTATTTTACTGAGGATTTTTGCATCGATGTTCATCAAGGCTATTGGTCTAAAATTCTCTTTTTTGGTTGTGTCTCTGCCAGGCTTTGGTATCAGGATGATGCTGGCCTCATCTAATGAGTTAGGGAGGATTCCCTCTTTTTCTATTGATTGGAATAGTTTCAGAAGGAATGGTACCAGTTCCTCCTTGTACCTCTGGTAGAATTCGGCTGTGAATCCATCTGGTCCTGGACTCTTTTTGGTTGGTAAACTATTGATTATTGCCCCAATTTCAGCTCCTGTTATTGGTCTATTCAGAGATTCAACTTCTTCCTGGTTTAGTCTTGGGAGGATGTATGTGTCGAGGAATGTATCCATTTCTTCTAGATTTTCTAGTTTATTTGTGTAGAGGTGTTTGTAGTATTCTCTGATGGTAGTTTGTATTTCTGTGGGATCGGTGGTGATATCCCCTTTATCATTTTTTATTGTGTCTATTTGATTCTTCTCTCTTTTTTTCTTTATTAGTCTTGCTAGCGGTCTATCAATTTTGTTGATCCTTTCAAAAAACCAGCTCCTGGATTCATTGATTTTTTGAAGGGTTTTTTTGTGTCTCTATTTCCTTCAGTTCTGCTCTGATTTTAGTTATTTCTTGCCTTCTGCTAGCTTTTGAATGTGTTGAGATTTACACCCTCTCCCCCGGATTTTCAAGGGCCAGCGAGAGCTCACCGGATGCCGCCAGAACCGCGACGCTTTCCAAGGCACGGGCCCCTCTCTCGGGGCGAACCCATTCCAGGGCGCCCTGCCCTTCACAAAGAAAAGAGAACTCTCCCCGGGGCTCCCGCCGGCTTCTCCGGGATCGGTCACGTTACCGCACTGGAAGAAATTTCTAAGCAGCAAAGTGTTCAAGAGGTGACTTGGGTGCTATTAAAAGCATTCAGTTTTATGTATTCACAGAGATATGGTTTGAAATTGAAACTTATGTTTAAAAGGAAAGCAGAAAATAAAAGCTTGGAAAATTTGCAGCTTCATGATGTGATAGAAAAGAAAAACTCATTTTCTGAGGAGAAATTCAAGCTGGCTGCAGAAATTTACATAAGTAACGAGGAGCCAAATGTTATTCACTCAGACAAGGGGGAAAATGTCTCCAGGGCATGTCAGAAACCTCCATGGCAGTCCCTTCCATCACAGGCCTGGAGGCCTAGAAGGAAAAAAACTGTTTCCTGGGCCAAGTCCAGGGTCCCCCTGCTGTGTGCATCCTCAGGACTGCATCCCAGACACTCCAGCAATGGCTAAAAGGGGCCATGGTACAACTCAGGATGTTACTTCAGATGATGCAAGCCCCCAGCCTTGGCCACTTCCATGTGATGTTGACCCTGTGGGTCCACAGAAAACAAAAATCGAAGCTTGGAAACCTCTGCCTAGATGTCAGAGGATGTATGGAAACGCCTGGATGTCTAGGCAGAAGTCTGCTGCAAGTGTGGAGCCCTCATGGAGAACCTCTGCTATGGCAGTGCAAAAGGGAAATGTGGGATCAGAGTCCCCACACAGGGTCCCCACAGGGGCACTGCCTGGTGGAGCTGTGAGAAGAGGACTACCATTCTCCAGATCCCAGAATGGTAGATTCACTGACAGCTTGCACCATGTGCCTGGAAAAGCCACAGACACTCAAGCCAGCCATGAAAACAGCTGGGGTGGGGGGCTGTACACTGCAAAGCCACAGGGTTGGAGCTGCCCAAGGTCATGGTAGCCCACCTCTTGCATCAGTGTGACCTGGATGTGAGACATGGAGTCAAAGGAGATCATTTGGGAACTTTAAGGTTTAATGACTGCCCTATTGGATTTCAGACTTGCATGCGGCCTGTAGCCCCTTCATTTTGCCAATTTCTCCCACTTGGAATGGGTGTATTTACCCAATGCCTGCACCCCCATTGTATCTAGGAAGTAACTAACTTGCTCTTTATTTTACAGGCTCATAGGTAGAAGGAACTTGCCTTGTCTCAGATGAGACTTTGAACTTAAACTTTTGGGTTAATGCTGGAATGAGTTAAGACTTTGAGGGACTATTGGAAAGGCATGATTGTGTTTTGAAATATGAGGATATGAGATTTGAGAGGGGGAGGGGCAGAATGATATGGTCTGGCTCTGTGTCCCCACCCAAATCTCATCTTGAATTGTAACCTGAATTGTAATTCATGTTGGGGGAGGGACGTCATGGGAGATGACTGAATCATGGGGACAGTTCCCCTGTGCTGTTCTCATGATAGTGAGTGAGTTCTCACGAGATCTGATGGTTTTGTGAGAAGCTTTTCCCTCCTTCGCTCTGCACTTCTCTCATTCTTCTCCTTCCTGCTGCCATGTGAAGAATGATATGTTTGCTTCCCCTTCCACCATGATCATAAGTTTCCTGAGGCCTCCCCAGCACTACAGAACTGTGAGTTAGTTAACTCTTGCCTTTATAAATTACCCAGTCTCAGGTGTGTCTTTATTAGTAGTGGGAAAACAAACTAATACACCCACGTTAACTAGGAAAACAAATAAATTCTAAGTAAAAGGATACAATAGATATACTATGCTCAAAATCAAAATAAAACCGGAATGGCTATATCATCCTCAAAATTATTTAGAGCAGACAGTTCTATATGGAGTCTAATGCTCAAATACTTTTGAAGTAATTTTTGATCAATGTTACCATACTAGTGGGTCATTTAAAACCCAAAAGGAGAGAACTCCTTGTTTGGGCTGAGTCAAGTTGGGGAAGAAAAGTGACTTCCTCTCAAAGACCAAATGTAGGTGTTCTAGGCAGTCCCAGCTGAGGTCCCAGCCAACAGCCAGTGTGATCTGTTGCACAAGTGAGTGAGGAAGACTGGTTTCTTACTTTTGATTTGCCTCAGCTCCTATCAAATAGAGAACAAATTGGCTATTCCCACCAATCCTTGCTCAAATTGTAGATGTATAAGGTTATTGCTTTGAACCACTGAGTTCTGGAGTGATCCCTACAATAGATCACCATAACAACTTCCTCCACTCCATCCCCAACTGCTGCCAGCAATCATCACATTCAATATCCTGAGATGGCAATAGATGTCAGATAACACTATGCTAACAATTTATACTGTCTGGGCTTATAGTATGCACTCAAAAAATGATAAGAAATGCCAAGCATGTTGGTTCACACCTATAATATCAGGTCTTTGGGAGGCTGAGGGGGAAGATCACTTGAAGCCAGGAGTTCAAGACCAGCCTGGGCAACAAAGTGAGACTCCCATATATACTAAAAAGTATATATATATATAAGGTGGGTGCAGTGGTAGGCACCTGTAGTCCCAGCTACTCAGGAGGCTGAGGTGGGAAGATCACTTCAGCCCAGGAGTTCAAGACTGCAGTGAGCTAGAAATAAACTTTGGGAGGCCAAGGCAGGTGGATCACGAGGTCAAGAGATTGAGACCATCTTGGCCAACATGGTGAAACTCCATCTCTACTAAAAATACAAAAATTAGCTGGGTATGGTGGCATGTGCCTTTAGTCCCAGCTACTCGGGAGGCTGAGGCTGGAGAATCACTTGAACCTGGGAGGCAGAGGTTGCAGTGAGCTGAGATCAAGCCACTGCATTCTAGCCTGGTGACAGAGCGAGTCTCCACCTCAAAAGAAAAAAAGGTAAATATGCAAAAATGTTTGGCACAGAACCTAATACTTATAACTCTTTGATAAATGTCATTAAATTTTGTATTAGCACAATTATCATTGCAATTTAAGAGAAGTCAGGGTGAGCTTTATGGGCACATGACTTCTGCAGTCAATCAGAAAAGACCCAGTCCTGACATACTTCAATGTAATAAAAGCTATTTATGACAAACTCATAGCCAACATAATACCAAATAGGGAAAAGTTGAAAGCATTCCCTCTGAGAACTGTAACAAGACAAGGATGTCCACTCTCACCACTTCTATTCAACATAGTACTGGAAGTCCTAGCCAGAGCAATCAGACAAGAGAAAGAAATAAAGGGCATCAAAATCTGTAAAGAAGAAGTCAAACTGTCACTGTTTGCTGATGATATAATTGTATACCTAGAAAACCCTAAAGATGCCTCCAAAAAGCTCCTAGAACTGATAAATGAATTCAGTAAAGTATCCAGATACAAGATTAATGTACACAAATCAGTAGCTCTGCTATACACCAACAGTGACCAAGCTGAGAATCAAATCAAGAACTCAACCCCTTTTACAATAGCTGCAAAAAAAATAAAATACTTAGGAATATCCCTACCCAAGGAGGTAAAAGATCTCTACAAGGAAAACCACAAAACACTGCTGAAAGAAATCATAGGGGAAACAAACAAATGGAAACACATCCCATGCTCATGGATAAGTAGAGTCAACATTGTGAAAATGACCATACTGCCAAAAGCAATCTACAAATTCAATGCAATCTCCATCAAAATGCCATCATTGTTCTTCACAGAACTAAAAAAAAAAATTCTAAAATTCATGTGGAACCAAAAAAGAGCCTGGACACCCAAAGCAAGACTAAAAAAAAATAACAAATCTGGAGGCATCACACTGCCTGATTTCAAACTATACTGTAAGATCATAGTCACCAAAACAGCAGGGTACTGGCATAAAAATAGGCACATATACCAATGGAACTGGATAGAGAACCCAGAAATAAACCTAAATACTTACTGCCAACTTGATCTTCGACAAAGCAAACAAAAACATTAAGTGGGGAAAGGACACCCTATTCAACAAATGGTGCTGGGGTAATTGGCAAGCCACATGTACAAGAATGAAACCAGAACCTCATCTCTCACCTTATACAAAAATCAACTCAAGATGGATCAAGGACTTAAATCTAAGACCTGAAACTATAAAAATTCTAGAAGCTAACATCGGAAAAACTCTTCTAAACATTGGCTTAGGCAAGGATTTCATGACCAAGAACCCAAAAGCAAATGCAATAAAAACAAAGGTAAATACTTGGGACTTAATTAAACTAAAGAGCTTTTGCTTGGCAAAAGGAAGAGTCAGCAGAGTAAACAGACAACCCACAGAGTGGGAGAAAATCTTTCCAATTTATGTATCTGACAAAGCAGTAATATCCAGAATCTACAACAAACTCAAACAAATTAGCAAGAAAAAAAATCCCATCAAAAAGTGGGCTAAGGACATGAAAAGACAATTCTCAAAAGAAGATATACAAATGACTAACAAGCATATGAAAAAATGCTCGACATCACTAATGATCAGGGAAATGCAAATCAAAACCACAGTGCAATACCACCTTACTCCTGTAAGAATGGCCATAATCAAAAAATCAAAAAAATAATAGATATTGTCAGGGATACAGTGAAAAGGGAACACTTCTACACTGCTGTTGGGAATGTAAACTAGTACAACCACTATGGAAAACAGTATGGAGATTCCTTAAAGAACTACCATTCAATCCAGCAATCACACTACTAAGTATCCACCCAGAGGAAAATAAGTCATTAAACAAAAAAGATACTTGCACGAACATGTTTATAGCAGCACAATTCACAATTGCAAAAATGTGGAACCAACCCAAATGACCATGAATCAACAAGTGGATAAAGAAACTGTGATATATATATATATCATATGATATATATATATCATATGATATATATATATATCATATATATATATATATCATATGATATATATATACGTATATATGATGGAATAGTAATTAACCATAAAAAGGAATGAATTAATGGCATTTACACAACCTGGATAGGATTGGAGACTATTATTCTAAGTGAAGTAACTCAGGAATGGAAAACCAAACATCATATTTTCTCACTCATAGTGAGAGCTAAGTTATGAGGATGTAAAAGCCTAAGAATGACACAATGGACTTTGGGGACTCAGGGCAGGGAGAGGGTGAGGGATAAAAGACTACAAATGGGGTTCAGTGTATACTGCTCGGGTGATGGGTACACCAGAATCTTACAAATCACCACTAAATAACTTATTCATATTATCAAATACCACATGTTACCCAAAAACCTATGGAAATAAAAAAAAATTTAAAGAAAGAAAGGGCACAGTCTTTCATCTTATGCTTTTCTGTTACCATTTTGTTATTAATAATAATTTTCTCTTTAAAATTGTATTTTGTAAGTAAAATCCAATAGGATGATGGATTCTCATGAGCAGAGGACATACACACAACATGAATGTCTGCCACCATTCCTCACCACTGCTTTAACATATATCATTGTTGATGCCCTTTCAGCACAAACCTCTTGTGGACCTACAATGTGTAAGGGTTTGGTGAGACTCAAAAGGAATATAAGATGAACGTGTTATATCTACGACTGAGTAAGTGAAGGTGCTGACATCCCCAAGAAACCATGTTTTCATTTCAAATCAGATCTTGCTTCAAATGCCTCAAGAAAGCAATGGCATTCTAAGGAACATAAACCACCAAGAAACCCAATCGTACTTTTCCTGACCCAGGTTACTTCCCTGTATTAGTCAACCACTTACTCTGAAAATGATTGCATATAAGGAAAAGAAAGATAGGGCAATACACAGTTTCTTTTTCTTTCAGATCTTCCTTACTCACCAGTAAGCCGAAGGTAGATAGTGTTGGTAGAATGTGTACATATCAATAAGTGAAATAAAAACAGTTCAATTAGTTTTGTGTAGCATTTCCACTGTTCTGGTAAGAACAAAATACATATTCATGTATGAGCTATGAAATACAATTTGTATAATTTCGGGGACTATGCGTGACAGTTAAATGCTCATATATTTGCATTTAAAACTAGCATTGCACCATATAAAGATAAACTGTAAAATTCATGCTAACAATTTAAATTTTTAATCTTTCTTTACTTAGAATGACATTAAATAGCAATTTAAAAGAAATACCACCATGACAAGTCAAGGGAGAGGCCATGGAAGAAAGGAAAAAGCTTTTATATTTTAGTGCATACCTTTAACAACACTTATTTTCTATTTTTTAAGAAAAGACAAAAGGTCCTGCATTTTTTTTGCACTAGACCCCACAAATTATGTAGCTGGTCTTGAGAGATGAAGTCTATTCTGCCACAATGCAATAACTGCAATAATTATAATTCTTAAGAAATCACACATAATAAAAGATGTATTATAAAAATAGTTGTGTCATTGGAAATAAGAGGCTGTAAACTAAAGAACTTCAGAATCATCGAAGACATTTTTCTATAAAATTTTCACTGATAGAGGGAGGATTTTTAGCTATAAATATATGGCTACAACACCTAACATCACCTAGTAAATCCAGCACATGAATAAATCTACATTTTGCGCAAGAGTAATGGCCTTTATTTCCTATTGCCACCAATATTATCAGTAGTAAGAGACTCTTTCATGCTCTTTTCAGCTTTTTCATCTATTACCATGTTAAGCAAAGCAAGAAGCCATTCCAACAAAGCAACTGTTTCCTCCATGGCTTGTTTCCTTTCTCTGTGGGTACTACATCCTTATTGCTATTTATTCCCTATCATGATAGCTTTATCATCTATCTGTCTGTGTAATGCAAATCATATTCTTAAAATAACATACCACTTACATCTACTTCATATCATGAGACACTGAAGAGAAATGTCTATAATTATGATACTTCAACATCTCGACAGACTGAAAAGTAAGGAAACAGCAAAAACTGAGAACCTAGAAATCAAGGTGCTATCTGGAAAACAGCAACCCAAAAATTCAAAGAAACTTTAAACTGGTTCCCTCATGTTACAGCTAGAAGGTAACTTGTCAAATCAAATCAATTCTTCTCATATTACAGCTGTAGAACTTGAAGGCTGGAGACCTTTAACAACTTGTACAGGTACTGAAGTCACGGGGGCAGAGTTTAGATACATATATAAATATCTTCACTCCTGATTGAGAACCCCTCTACCATACCCCAGTGCAATATTTATGTTTGCAAAAAGAATTCCTTCGGTTAACCTCTCCAAAGGAATGCCCAAGTCACTGAAAGGAAAATTCTGGCGTCTCTGTCTAATTAAATTTAATTTTAAATGAAGCAGATATTTTCTTTGGAAGAAGTTAAAACATTTGAACTACCCTTAAAGAAGAATTTTTACTTTTTACCTTAAAAAAAGATTTTAAGGACTTTGGGTCTTTGGTCAGCACTTTGGCAATGTAAACTAACCTCCATTTTGAGTTTCTTAAAATTAATAAATTGTACCAGGATCAGCAAGTGTCTTTGTTTTGTGCCCTCTTGGTACCTCAAATTAGTTGATGAGGCAGCCATAAACCCCAACACAGGCACATAGGTTCAATCCTTAGGATGGAAAATTGCTATTTTCTGAGTCAAATTGAATAATGATCATTTGCAGTGTGGCTAGCCATGTGCCAAACACTATCCAAGCTCTATGATTACACACTGACAGCTGAAAGAGAAGACTCCAGCCCTTGCGATCATAACTAAGGAGGGAGGATAAGCACTTGAACATCCAAGCATGATATAATGCGGTGCCACACCCTCTCCATAAGCTGAGTGCTGTAGACCACTCGACTTGAAGGATACTTGCAATCTGCTGGTATGCAATGGTGAGAAGGGGAAAAAAGTTTGTAGTCATCATTTTAAGTGTGACTGCTTCTTATACTCCTTGGAGGAATAATAGCATGTTTATTTATTGAGCTTATTTATCTAGCCTCTGGTCATCTCCATGTCAGTGAGTGTGTGTCAAAGATCAGAGATACAGAGCACTGAGGAAAAAGAAGGAAAGGAAAGAAAAACAAGAATCCTGCTAAGTCAATTTAGTGAGAATCCCAAAACCTCTATATGTCATCACCCTGGCCCACCTTCAACATGAACCTTAAGGCAATTTAGCAAGAATCTCCTCATCCTTAGTCATTTTCCATCTATCGACCCCGTCTCTGCTCATTGGCTGTAAATCCTCATCTATCCTTGCAGTATTCAGAGTTGAGCCTGATCAGTCTTCCCTGTTGCAATAGTCTTGACACCTATTGCAGTGGACCTGAGTAAAGTCTTCCTCACCCTTTTAACAAGTGTCAGAATATTTTTTCGTTATACTCTTTCAAAATCATCAACTCCTGGTTATTCTTTTACTTTTACCAAGATTTAGAGTGGTGATTTTTCAAGCATGTAATACAAAACACATCTTGATTAATTATGAAATGAGAGGTAAATAATTTTAATCAAGTAATTCCTAAAGTATTGAACTTTGTGAATGATTTACCTTAAAAATTGAATTAGAGTGGATTCAAAGTTATCCCTGTAATTGCACCCCCTTGGATTGTAACATCCTCTCTTGAGTGAGAGAAAAAGAGACAGTTATAACTGATGCTTAGGAAAATGTTACATATCCTTTAGTCAATCTTAGGTCTATCATAGCCCAGAAAGCACTCCAGTATCAAAGTACTGTTAATCAAATGATTATAAACTTCTTTCCATGAAACATATACACACATATGCACACATAAAAACTATACGTTAGAACTATGCAGTAGAAGCAAACATTGCTAGTGATCACTAATATCTGGTTCTCCTCTTCCTGGTCCCCAGCACATAGGAAGAAAACATTATTCGGCCTCCTTGTAATTAAGTGGGTCACATGACTAGGTCTTACCAATGAAATGAGGGTGGACGAGATATATGTCACTTCCCACCTGGGGAAATGAAGTCAGATTCTCCTGTGTCTCTCCTCTCTTATGGACAGCCAAGGAGGCCCTGTGTTACCAGTGATGCAAGTACAAGTTAGTAAAGCCTCTGTTAGCCTGATCCCCCAAGCGACTGTATAGGGCAGAAATCCCCATGACCCTTATTACATGTGTACTGTGAGTGAGAAATAAACACTTGCTGCATTAATTACTGGTATTTCAGACTTAATATGTTATCACAATATAACCTGGCATTAAACTGACTAATTTTTCCTAAAGCATTGGCAGCAAGTAGGATGAGGTTGTACAAATCAAGCTAAGCCCATGATGGAATACCATGTATATGTCACCTATTGTACTGGGCAGGCCAAGCCTCAGAATGGTTTTCATGTTAAAATTCTTTTAAACATGTTTCCTTCTGTGCATATATCCCTATCCTGCTAACCCAAGAGCCTGGTGACCCTGGACCCAGCTAATTGGATCAAGGACAGGCACTTGCCCTAAAGATAGCCAACATACAGAGCCTGCCCATCGGTTTCTCTTTCTCAGGAATTCAGACTGGAAATATGGGTGGAGACAACATGTAGAGAGACAAAATGATACCTGGAGAAGCAAAGGAAGAGAAAAGACCTGAGCTTCGTTAGTTATGGGGCTCTAGAGTGGGGACCACAAACATCTTCTCCTGAGGGGCTAACAAGATTACCAGCTGCTTGGATTGCCTTTTGTATTAGTTTGGCAGGGTTCCCATAACAAAGTAGCACAAACTGGGTGGCTTAAACAACACAAGTGTATTGTCTCATACTTTTGTAGGCTGGAAGTCCAAGATCAAGGTGTCAGCAGGGTTGGTTCCTTCCAAGGGCTGTGAGGAAGAATCTGCACCATGCCTCTCACCTACCTTCTGGTGGGTTGCTGGCAATCTTTGCTGTTCCTTTGCCAACAATAGCCAACAGGAAGAAGCAACCCAAATATTCACTGACAGATGAATGGATAAACAACATATAGTACATACAGATGATGGAACATTATTCATCCTTAAAAAGAAAGGAAAATCTGATACATGCTACAACATAGATGAGCCTTGAGGAGGTTATGCTAAGTGAAATAAGACAGTCGCAAAAAGACAGATACTATATGATTTCACTTATATGCCGTATCTAAGGTAATCAAATTCATGGAAACAGAATGTAGAATGATGGTTGCCAGGAACTGAGGGGAGGGGGAATGGGAAGCTGTTGTTTAATGGATATAGATGAAGAAAGTCTGGAGATTGGGTGCACAAAAATGTGACTATACCTGTCACTACTGACTTGAACACTTAAAAATGGTTAAGGTGGTAAGTTTTACATTACATTTGTTAACCACAATTAGAACTTTTAAAATTATTTTTAAAGTATTAAATAGCACCTGAAATGAATGTATTGTTACTCTTACCAACTAGGAAATATAACTTAAAGACTAATTTTGGCAATTTTATAAAGATACTCACACCAGATAAGAACACCACTTAATTTTTTGATACCACGTGCTCTGCTTCTCCCTGACCCATTTATTCCTTCACTCTGATCCCGAGATCTGCCATATACCACAAGTGCCTAACTACAGTGGCTTCCTGAACCCTTGAAATCTTATGCAAAATAATATATACTATAAATTGTTCTGATGAGACGTCCATAAAAGTCATCAAATGACTGATTTGATCAAATAACAAATGTCAAGTAACAGATTCAAAAAGAGCAAATAACGTCTCCAAAGTCTCATAGCTCATAGAGGGTGACAGAACTGGAATTGGAACCCAAGCTTGTCTTTGTCCAAACCCAAAACATTGGGTCACCTCTACAGCAAGGCAGAGGCATTAACTATTTTTGTATAATAGAGAGAACATAATGAAAAAAGAACCCAAAGCCACAGATTAGACCTCATAAAATTGTTGTGAGGACTAAATAAAGATGTTGGTAAAATGCATGGGACATTGTAGGTGTCCCCTTCTCTCCCCATACTACCCAGCAAGATTACAGCCTGACACCACAGTGGAAATTAGTTTAAATTGCTGCCCTTCCCAGCAGTATCTGCATTTTAAGTAAAAGACACAAAATTGAGGGCACAAATTCAGTTGGAAGATAATGTGGGACCCTGTCTAGACTCTCAGATCATGGGAGGAGGCCATATTCCACTCTTCCTACTCAAAAATGCAGCCAAGCTCAGCATCGCCATCCTCCTTGAACTTCTCCTCAGGTTTTGCTTAGGGAAGGAATTCTTGGCTCTCATGTCCTGGGGGACAATAGGCTGACTATCACTGGCTTCAGGGTCAACTCATGCCCCTTAACAAGCTCCTCGCTGGGGTGAGGCCTGGGCCTGCATCTGCTCTGAGGTCTGTTTCCGCAAGCCTGCTTAGGGAGTGTCATTTAAAATCTGTCCATCTCCAAGGACAGCATCTTGTCACATGACAGCTGAGCCTGGGGGAGCAGGATGTTACAGACAGAAGTGTCCTTTCTAATGACATATGCTGAGCAGCAGGAAGAGCCTGCCAGGGAAGAGGCCATGGAAGTGAGCAGTGACTAACACAGCAGCCTGGAGAGCGCAAGCCTGGGCACCCTGCTGCACGAAGGAACAGCCTCGGATGGGTGTTGAAGAGGAGCTGCAGAGAGCAATTTAATTGCATCAACTCAGGCCTTGTTTCCCCAAGTGGCTTATTCTATAATTTGTTCAAACTTTTTTTGCAAAAGGAAAGTAATTCTGCATTCAGGAAGCACTATTGATCCTGGCTAATTTGGTCTATAAGGAACAATTTAAACAGACAGTCAGGTTGTCATGGTAACATGCCTGTTTTATTTATAGTAACAAGTTCAAGGTATGGGATATGAGACTCAGTGCCTCTTATTGCTGTGATTTTCGAGCTGTGTTCTAAAGAGATGAGAGTGTGAGGGAAATACTCCAAAGCTATGAGATAGGGGTGGGGTTCTGGCTTCCACCTCCATTACAACTAGAGCAGCCTTGCTTTCATCTCTTTTACATTTAGCATTCTGCTGCTTTATAAATAAATAAATAAATGAAAAACAGAGAGCTGTCTAGGAAGAGGAAGGGAAGAGGAGTAGGGAGGAAGAAAAAGCCACAGCTGCTAAGGTTGATAGAAGAAAAGCTGCAATTGTCATCCTCAGCTCTCTGTGCCTAGACTTGGACTTGACTACATGCTACACTCATGCCTGTGTGGTACGGATAAGAGTTTGAGCTCTTCCCTTTGTTGTTTCTCTCTGTGTGTCCTATCTGACATTATGACCCCAGGGAAGGTGAAGGTGAATATTAGCACAGGAAGTTAGGAGAATGTAGCATAAGGGAGGTCTCTGACAGGCTTGAAGAAAGGGAAAGCCCGCCCCGTCTGCCACCTCTGAGGGGTAGGGAAAGGAAAAGTGGAAGGCAAAGACAAAGATTAGACACAGGAACACCTCTGGGAACAAAACCCAGGAGACAGGGGTGGCGGCAGTCTTGGATGGGTTTTGGAAAGGGGGCTTTGGTTACTACTGTCTGTCTAGAACTCTATGGGAGAACACCTAGCAGGTTTCCAAAGACAGCTGGAGTGGCGGTAGCAGAGTAAAACAGGAGGGGTGGAGGAGACAGGAAAAGAGCCGGAGCCTGCCTCCAGAGCAGCTTCATCTCCCAAATCCCTATCTCATGCGTCAGAGAAGGGACATAGAGGTCATTCCCTGTCCTGGAGGGTAGCTGCTGATGATAGCTGTGGGTTGAATTATGCCCCTTAAAATGATATGTTCAAATCCTAAACACTAGTATCTGTAAATGTGACCTTATTTGGAACTAAGATTTTGAAGATATAATCACATTAAAATGAAGCCATACTGAATTAGGGTGGGCCCTAATCTAATGATTGGTGTCATAAGAAAAGGGAAATTTAGACACAGACACAGGAGAATTCCAAGTGCAGACAGAGGCAGAGATTGAAATGATGCATCTACAAGCCAAGGAATACCAAAGATTGCCAGCAAGCACCAGGAGCTAGAAGAGGCAAGGAAGGATCCTCCCCTAGAGCCTTCAGAGGGAGCATGGCCCTGACCTTGATTTCAGAATTTTAGCTTGCAGAACTGTGAGACAATAAATGCCTATTCTTTTAAGCTACCAGTGTATATTCATTTGTTACAGTAGTCCTAGAAAACTAATATACCAACACACACACACACACACACACACAAATATAGACCCTACTCTCCTAGTGAGCCACTATTATAGATAGAAGCATGTTTGGGAACACAGGTGGGGGATGAAAAGATTGGGAGATGAACTACTCTATTGAGTGGGGTTCCCCTACACTTAGAAGAAAGATACAATTGTATCAACATAGAAGTATAGGATAAGAACCCTCCTCTAAAGCCATAGCCCACATGCATACCTGAAATGTAATCCTAGTTTCACCACATGTGGAAAGCAGGTGATCTCTTTAGCACTGGTAGTTGCTGAAGGAGCTCTACATCTCTAGCACAAATTGGCACACAAAGTACTTTTCATTGATTTACTTGGTGTACAGCTATGCTGATTTTAAAGCAGCTAGAAAATCCATTTCTAAAATAGAAGGGCTGTCTTCTAAAAGCATATCTAGTTACCAAGTTCATAATGTTCTTGGATCAAAATGGTTTGGAGAGGGGAAAGGAACCTGCCTCTATTTTCCCATCTTTCCCTCAAGGCATAGATCTGTGAGTTATTTTGGCCTACTCCTCAGGCAGCTCCCACCCAGAACATTTCAGCATATCATTTGCTTCAAGGGTCATCCTTTTCTTTGCCAGGTTTCCCAGAATTAAACAGAAAAAGCCTGGGAGTGGGCAAGTTGGCAAAAGGAAGAGAGGCCTGTTTGGCTGTGACATGTGGGTGGAGGTAACAGATAAAATGATGCCACAAGTCTACAAATACTGTGAGGTTTTAATCCCTAGCTCCAAAGAAACACATTGTCATGGTCTGGTATCAAAGAAACTATTCTCTGCATTTCCCTGGGCAGTATTTCTCCAATAGAGGGAATCTTAGAAATTACAAAACACAGATAAGGAGCAACCACAATTCTAGTCTTAAGTAGTCTGAACGAGCACCCGTTTTATTGGCTATTAGGGAAGGTGACCAGGAAATATAATTGAACATTGTGCTTTGGCCTGGTCTGAAAAGCAGACTTGCCTTGAGATAGGAGACTCAAGCTACTGACCCCTGGGATTCCTTTCCACCTGACTGTGATGTGTGTTGAGTAATACTAGTGGTTTCTTCTTTGTCTTTAGCAACAGAGACGCTTGCACACTTGCTAAGACCGCCTCCTAAGTCACATGGCTAGTTATATTCAGAAGCATTCCATGGGCAGAAAATTGTAATGCCTTTTCCAATTACGTGAAACTTCATGTCAAAACACTGTCAGTGATGGGGCTTTCAGTTGCAGAATTTTCCTACTAAAACCTTGCAAGGCTAAACATATGCTTGCTTTTTTCCATTCTGACCTGTCTCTGGAGGGCTGGGAGAAAAAGGCAGCCCAACAATGAGCTTTATGGCACTGGGTTGTTCTGCCTTAAGCCAAACTCTCAGATACTATGGCTTCAGGGCTCATCTTTGCATGACGTTTATCTAGGTTTAAATATCCACATTTCCTGTTTGACACCAGCTTAGGAAAATGCAGAGGCAATAATCAGGCAGTAACTGCAGGTTTGCAGGTTTTGCCCAGAGGTGATTTCTTTTCCATCATCAAGATTCATCACCATCAAGATGGTAGGTTTCTTCATTAATAACCATGACAGTGACCAGTCCTTCTCATTTATCAACTTATTGCTCATCCCAAAATGTCAAGTAATCTAGTAGGATTAGGTAGCTGTATGCAATGTCTCCTATCTGAGCCCCCTTCTGGACAATCTAGGAGACAACCTGGCTTTTTCTTGCATAAAATTGAATAATCATTAAAGAATCTTCACAGAACTATGGAATCATGGGGCTCAGAGGGATGCCAAGATGTTAGTCAATTCATTCTCCCCAATTCTAGACAGAAGTGCATGCAAGCCATTTGGGATAGTAGTCACACCTAATCCATATGCACGACTATGGAGATTACATATATATACATAAACATGTAAATACATATGTAAATATCAATGGTATATAAAACTAAAGGAAAAGTGCCTCATACTGCGTTAAGTACTTTACTTACATAATAACTACTCTATGAAGTATTATTATTATTCCCAACTAGTAGAAGTGTAAATCAAGGTTAAGAGAGGTTCCAAAAACTCATCCAAACCAGTGGCAGCAGTAAGACTCAAATACAGGCATTACTGCTATCCCAGAGGGTCCTTGTAACTAAAAGAATTATGTTCTTATTGTTGTTGTGTTTCTTCTTTTCACATGAATCCATGCCATCTTTATTTCAATACCATTTAGCAAATATTTTGAGTGTCTAAAAGCCGCACGTTCTTTTCAAAAAAATTTTTTTTTTTTTTTTTTTTTTGAGATGGAGTCTCGCTCTGTTGCTCAGTCTGGAGTGCAGTGGCGCGATCTCGGCTCACTGCAAGCTCCGCCTCCCGGGTTCATGCCATTCTCCTGCCTCAGCCTCCCGAGTAGCTGGGACTACAGGCACCCGCCACCACGCCCGGCTAATTTTTTGTATTTTTAGTAGAGATGGGGTTTCACCATGTTAGCCAGGATGGTCTCGATCTCCTGACCTCATGATCTGCCCCCCTCGGCCTCCTAAAGTGCTAGGATTACAGACGTGAGCCACGGCGCCCAGCCTTTCTCATCATTTTTAAAATCAGTTTGAGTCTACAAACTCTCTGCAGAATCCTTGGTGTTTCCTAACCTTGGTGTTTCCTAGTTTAATTTTAATGCCTCCATTGCAGTGCAAGCCCACTTTCCCATATTTTGTCTTATGGGAAATCATAACAAATGCTTTCTATTTTTTTACGTGGTTGAAGATCGCTGACCATGTGTGCGCATGCATGCGCACGTGTGTGTGTGTATTCCTAACTACAAAAAGGAGGATGATTTTTCCATCAGTAATTTGGAAGAGACCTGCCCTTGGCAGATAATCTCCAACTTCTTTACATATTCAGATTGTTTCAGTTGTGTTGTGAAGTGTCACAGTTAAAATGGAGAACTTACACATGACATTTATACTACCACCATCACCCCAGTTAATCCTCTTTTGAGATTCATGAAGTACCAAGGACACACTTGTCTTGTGAATAAACAGTTTCTGTTCCTTGCGGCCTACAATCCATGGCCTGGATGGATCAAAGTGGAAAAATTTAACATAACATCCAAGCTTTGAGTAACGAGAACTTAAAGGAACCTCAGAGAAACTATTTGTCTCTAAAAAAGTCTTCCAGAAATCAGCAGAATTAACTTTATCAGAAGTAGCAGCTAATCTGATGTTGATGACAGATTCATTATTTCAAAACACAGGATGCATTTATGAACTTCCTTATTTTAAAGTTAGATTCAAAGGGGAAAACATTGCCTTTAATGACTCTGTTTTTTTTAATTGACTCATAAAAATTGTATATATTTACAGTGCACAATGTAATATTTTGATATATGCATATATTGTGAAATTATTAAATTGAGCCAATTAATGTACCAATCATGTCACATACTTATTTTTTGTGGTGCAAAAAGAATTCAAATATATAATGCATTATAATTGTTATTAAAATTTAGCAATTTTTAAATATACATTATATTAACTATAGTCACCATGCTGTACAATAGGTTTTCAGAACTTATTCATCCTGAAATGACTCTGATCTTTAAAATGCATTTAAATTGTTTGTTTAATTACCTATTTCTAGAGAGGTCTCTGGAGGACTAGCTAATTAAATGTTTACAATATCTAACAGCGCTGCATCATTAGCAGTAGCTCTCCACTAAGTACCATCACCAGTTCCAATTCTCCTTCCACGGACTAACATATCATGGAAGGATTCACAGCCCAAGAGTGTTTCACATTTCAAACACTCATCCTAAGACAGTAGGATGTTTTCCAGGTGTCACAGCACTAATATTGGCCCTTTGGAACACATGGAAGCAGAAACACAGCTATTCTCTATAAACAAGAGACCAGGGCTACAGGAGAATTTTTATGTTTTTTTTTTTTTGAGACAGAGTCTCGCTCTGTCTCCCAGGCTGGAGTGCAGTGGCACAATCTTGGCTCACTGCAACCTCCCCTTCCCGGGTTCAAGTGATTCTCCTGCCCCAGCCTCCTGAGTAGCTGGGATTACAGGCACGTGCCACCATGCCTGGCTAATTTTTGTATTTTTAGTGGAGATGGGGTTTCACCGTGCTGGTCAGGCTGGTCTCAAACTCCTGACCTCATGATCTGCCCACCTCGGCCTCCCAGAGAATTGTTATCTTTAGGGAACCAGATGAACTATATTGTGTTCAGCCAGGTTCTTAAAGGCGTTTTCACTACCATCACAGCCAGAACTCTGACCATTGTGTATCATGGTATTTTTTCCCAAGCTGAGTGAACACCATTACCTGGACAGCTGACAATGCACCAGAAGTTACAGGCCTAGGAGTATGCATGTTTTTGAAGTTCCTCTAAAAATATGATGATCACCCAGGCTTGGGAACCATTGGTCAATTGTGCTCTAGACTGTGCAGTCCCTAAACAGAACAGAAACCTAGGTCAAGGAAGGCACAGGGATGAGCAATGTTGTTGCAAGGAATAGGGAAGAACCAGAAAAAGAAGAGAGGAGAGGGTGGGCAGATGGGAGAAAGAGGGGGCTGAAAGTGAAGGGCAGAAAGCCAACACTGGCCCAGGTCTCTACTCTGTTTAGGAACAGCTCTACCTAAGAGCAGGCCAGGGTAAGGAATGAGTCCATCCACGTGGATTGGAGGCATTGTAATACAGTAGTGAAGAGCATACCCTCTGGAGTCAGACTGCCTGGCTGGGAATCCTGCCTCTGCCTCTTATAAGCTGTGGGACATTGGGCAAGTTATGTAACCTCTCCAGGCCCCAGTTTTCTTATTTATAAAACGGAGGTATTAAAAGTAGTGGCAAAACTGCACTCACTTTTGCACCGACCTAATACTATAGTAGCTACCTCATAGGGATGTTAAAAGTATTATAAGAGCTTTAAGTGCTTAACATAGTCCCTGAATCCTAGTACAGTCATGAGTCTCTTGCATTATTCGGTGATTTTGTCATTGTGCAAACATCAGAGTGTACTTACACAAACCTAGGGAGTATAGCCTACTACACACCTAGGCTATATGCTACAGCCTACTGCTCCTAGGCTACAAACTTGTACAGCACATTATTGCACTATACTAGGCAATTATAAGACAATGGTAAGTATTTGTGTATCTACACAGATCTAAACATAAAAAGGTACCATAAACATATGGTATTATAATCTTATGGGACCATCATCATATATGTCGTCTATTGTTGACCAAAACTTTGTTATGCAAAGCATGACTGTACTGTTCTCTCTGCCCATTGTGACCCAGCTGTTGAGATTAAGTTGTAAGTGTATAAAACTACATGTTGTTGAAGAGGAGGAACTTTTCCTCTACTCTGTTGGGTTTAGTCAGTGGGGGCTTGTGAATTTGACTGACACAAGACAAACTAATAGTAGAAAAGAAATATAAATGTATTAACTTTTTAAAATTTTACATTCCTGGGAATTCACAGAAAAGAAGTGAAACTCAAAGAAGTGGTTAGACTAGGGAGCTTATATATCCTTCTTTTTTTTTTTTTTTGAGACGGAGTCTTGCTCTGTCACCCAGGCTGGAGTGCAGTGGCGAGATCTCGGCTCGCTGCAAGCTCCGCCTCCTGGGTTCACGCCATTCTCCTGCCTCAGCCTCCCGAGTAGGTGGGACTATAGGCGCCTGCCACCATGCCTGGCTAATTTTTTGTATTTTTAGTAGAGACGGGGTTTCACCGTATTAGCCAGGATGGTCTCGATCTCCTGACCTCGTGATCTGCCCGCCTCAGCCTCCCAAAGTGCTGGGATTACAGGCTTGAGCCACTGCGCCCGGCCTATATATCCTTCTTAACGAAGGAAAGAGGGTTTGGGCCTCAGGAAAAATAAATTAACTGAAAGTGACTAGGAAATACATGAGAGAACTAATGAAAAATAAGGGTTATTTTAGTAAGGTTTGTTTATGCAGACTTGGTGCCGGCTCTCCATCACCAGCGATAACAGTCGTGTTCCTCATCCTGGTTTAGGAGAGGGGAACTTATACCACCTTCACCAGGGGAAACTCATGCCCTGCTTTTAGACAGATAAAGGGAGAGCAGAGACCTCTTCCTGTATATGTTGATCTTTAACTGCCTTCAGCTCAAAATAATCCTTAAGCTAAAGAGGTGCGTTTTGAGGTGGCATATCCTGATCTCCTTCAACATAAAGACTAGCTAATGTATGTTGATGGTGAAACCGATGGCCTAGATTTCACAAGCGCCTCACACTGACCCACGGGGCCATCTGTTCACCAGTATGTGAAGCAGGTCATAATGAAGGAAAAAGGTTTGAAAACTACAGTGATCTAGGGGAACTTAGTACAACAACTTTTCAGGAAACTTTTTGGCATGTATATCGCATGAGTGGAGGCTATGGGTAGTAGGAGTTGAGGGAGGTCAGCAGCTGCCTGTAACTGACTGACCACTGGTGTAGTGGGAGGACCACTCAACTGGGTGGGATGATGGAATGGTCCACCTTTTATAGGCATTGCACTTTTCTGAGCTTCACTTCCCTCACCCATCACATAAGCATCCTATTAGGTTAGTGCAAAAGTAATTGCGGTTTTTGCCATTACTTTTCATGTCAAAACCGCAAATACTTTTGCACCAATCTAATAATACCTTCCACAGAGCACTGTGAGGGTTAAATAAAGTAGTGCCAGCGGAAAGAAAACTGAGAAACATAGGATCATTCTTACAGTTTCCTCACTGCATTCTTTTACCCAAATCACTTTTCAGGGATTCCTGAAACATGAATTTAAAGATTACCAATAAGTAGGCTGTAAATCTCCAGTGCTTAGTAACTAACGCCAAGAGTAACTGGGAAAGATTTGCTTTATTTGTTTTTGTGTTTTGGAATTTTATTTATGTGTTTTGCTTTGCTTTGTTTTTAGGAAGGCCAGGAAGAAGAAGGGAGAGGAAATATTTACAGACAGCAAATAGGCTTTTCCTGAGAAATCTATGGTGACCAGGGAAGCAGCTAGACAAATGCCCAAGTTTCATTTCTGTCTCATTCCTCCTGGGTTTAGTCCCCAGGGAGGAGTTTGGGACTCAGGCCAACCCAAGCCACAAGCCAGGCTCACTCAGGACTATTTATAGAGCTGGGTTGTTGGGTAGCTCTCTTTCTACATGAATATTTCCAGCTCTTTCTGATTCAAAACAGCTCTTGACAGCCCTGGCCCATAACAGTGTATGTTTAAGTGCTTTTACATATCAATATCCTGGCTCTCACTGGATGCATAAATTAAAACAATGTTAGTCTTTCTGGTTTATTCCATTGAGTAAAATAAATTAGTCAGTAGTAACCATGCATTGTTCTCCTTTGTATTATAAGGAGAAATATTTAGCTTTGTTGTCACTGACTTAGCCTTTTCCATCTCCTAGAAAGATAAAAACCCATCTGTAACAAAGGCTTCAACTGTACTTGTTTTAAGCATGTTCTAAGATTCCTCCTCTCCCTTAAAAAGGATTCTGAGATTACAGTGTCTCCTCTCTCCAATTTAGACGGCATTATGAATTATGGATATACCATCCGCTGAGGCCACCAGTCACCGGTATTGAACAGTTTTGATGAAATACTGTGACCAGCTTAAATTGTTTTTCAGAGACTCAAATAGACTATTGATAAAACAGCTCCAGCTGCCAGACCCACCCCCTGGTAATGAGTGTGTCTTTATTTGGTGAGAAAGTGTGGGCTTGCTAGGCTAGCCTTGAATTGTCACCAAAAGTGAAGAAGGGAATGGAGATAGAGACCTCATGGGACTAAGGATGAGAGGCCCTTAAATCCTCTTTTTGGGGGCTTATCTTGCACAAGGATGAATTGACTGGGGAAAGAGCAGCACTTATTCTCAGTGTTTTCCTTCTGGCTATGTGACATAAAAATCTACACTAATATCAATTTTCATGGGTAACTAGTGACCCAAGTGACACCAAAATGAATTTCTTAGTAGTAAAAATGTATCATATTGAAAAACAACTTTTCAGAAGAGTGGCCTAGAACCTCACAGGCTTTAAACATCTATTTGTTATAGTATAAGGTGCTGCCACAATATCAGGCCGTACTACATACTTGCTATTCTATTTTTCTAAATTTGTATGTAAACTTGAAACCCAAAACCTGAGAATAGAGGTCAACCGAGTCATGGAGTCCCAAGATTTCCTTCATATCTTCCTCATATTTTTTCTTTTCATATTTGTTTTCCTTTTCAAATTACAAAACTGATAAATGTCGTGCAGAAAATTTGGAAAACACTATAATCCACACTCAGAGGTAACTATTATTAACGGATACGGTTTGGATCTGTGACCCCATCCAAATCTCATGTTGAAATATAATCTCCTTTGCTGGAAGTGGGCCTGGTGGGAGGTGATTTGATCATGGAGTGGTTCTCTCATAAATGGTTTAGTACCATCCCCTTGGTGCTGTTCTTGTGATAGTGAGTCCTCATGAGATCTGGTTGTTGAAGTGTGTGGCACCTCCCCCATCTCTCTTCCTCCTTCTCGGGCCATGTGAAGTACCTTGTTCCCCTTTCGCCTTCTGCCATGATTGGAAACTTCCTGAGGCCTCCCCAGAAACGGAAGCCACCAAGCTTCCTGTACAGCCTGCAGAATCATGAGCCAATTAAACCTCTTTTCTTTATAAATTACCCAGTCTTAGGTATTTCCTTACAGTAATGTGAGAACAGACTAATACGTTAACATCGTATGTCCTTCTAGTCTTTTTTCTTTGCCCATATATGCAGATATACTGTTATACATATATGCATATTTTTTTACAAAACTGATGACATACTCTATATTTTATTTTATTTTATATATAACTTTGTCACTTAGTAAATTATTTTGTAAACATTTTTCTAAGGTGGTACATTTGATTTTTACTGGCTATATAGTAGTCCATCACATGGGTGGACCATAACTTACTTAACAAATCCACTATATCAATATGTTAGGTGGTGTCATTATTATAAAAATTCTATGATGAACATCCTTTTGCGTATATATTTGGCCATAACTCTGCTAATTTCTTTAGGATGAGTTCCATAAGGCATAATTTAAGGCTTTAGTCATAGTATCATCAGGAAATGATGCAGCAGCTAACCCTCCCTCAACTATGTATTAAAGTGCCTGTTTTGCCAACATCCCCATCATGGCTGGATATTGTAATTTTTAAATGATAACTTGTCAGTTTGATACCAAAAAGTAAAAATGGAAATAATATCTCATTGCTTTCACTTTCACTTTTTGTTTCTTAAAGACTCTATTGTATATACTATTTATTAATATTTTTTCTTTTGTGACTAGTTCATTTGTATTATATGCCATTTTTATACTGATCTGTTTATATATTTTTCACAGATTTGCAGGAGCTCTTCATTAAAAAAATCAGAATGACATCAGCAAGATGGCTGAATAGAGACAGTTGGCAATCATCTCTGCCAAGAAAAAGGACCAAGGCAATGAATAAACAGCTAAGGTATGACTGGAGTGTAGAAGAGACAGCACTGGAGTGCAGTGGGAGTGGAGGCACCTCCATGCAGCCCCATCTCTTTCACCAGAACAAGTTGGCCTGGAGACAGGAGGTAGTTCTCCTTGCAGGGAAATGGTAAGCAGAAGAATGCCACCAGCACCCGTTGCCACTGAAAACACTTACAGTTCTTACAACAGGAGAAACACACAGTCCTCACAAGCCCTGAGCCCATTTTGGAGAGCTGCCAGGAATTCACACAGCTACAGTGTTCTGGATTAGGAGCACAAGGTGTGCACTCTCCATACCCCATCCAGCCGCTGTGAGCCAAGCTATAGCAACATGGTGCCATGTTGAGACCAGAGCCACCTCTGGAGTGTGCCTTCCCTGAGGGCCAGTAGCTACTGTACCTGTCCAACACTGGGGCTCCATCTTCATTGCATCAAGCCCACATGGGTGGCTGAACGCCACAACCCCAGCCTGAGCCGATCATCAGCTGAGACTCTGGTCCTACACACCAGGGAACAAACCCATACACATACACTTCCAGCTAGAGGAACAGTCTGCCAGTCCCACCCAGGACAAACCCACACTTGAGCTAGCCGAACTACTGTGTGTCCTCCCCTGAGTGGGAGAAGTCCCTGAGTTACCAAGAAGCTGATATGCCCCCAAAGCCAGTGGTGTAGTTTCATGCTTGTGCTCAGGGCCTGAGAAACAGCCCAGTGGCATCCACCTGCCCGCCTTGGACACATCCCTAGCCTGCCCAAAGGCCTCATGCCCACATCTCAGGCTTGAGAAACAACCATACAGTCCATGCCCAGAAGACATGTTCCCAGGCCAGCTGAGCAGCCGTGCACCTGTGTCCCAGGCCACAGAAACAGCCCCATGGGCTGTGCCTCACAGGCATACCCCAAGGTTGACTGAGCAGCTGTGCACCCTCATCCCAGGCCAGAGAAATATCCCATGGGCCAGCCTCAACAGACATGCATCCAGGCTAACCAAGAAGCTATACAGCCATGTCCTGGGCCTGAGAAACAGTTCTAGAGACTTCCCCTGGCAGACATACTCTCAGGCTTACCTAGAAACCGCATGCCCATGCCCCCTGCCAGTGTAATAACCCCATGGTCCCAACCCCAACAAGCCAGACCCCAAGTTGGCTGACCTGCTGTGTGCACACATGTGCCCCTAACCTGAGAAACAGCCCAGTGACCCAGTGAGCCCACCCCCAACAAAGCCACACCACCACCATCACAAACTCTCTCAGCCTAGGCCACTGAGACACTCACAAGCATTGCTAGTGTGGATTGCAGCTGAAGAAACTACACAGAGACTACACAACTGTGTCCACCTAGAACCAAAGACAACACACTCCAACCAACACCCAAGACCCATATATATGAATAAGTCTTTCCCTGTGAAACCTACTCCATAAAATTGGAAGAAGCGACTATTCCACCAGATGTATAGAAATCAACTTTAAAACACATCAAACATAAAAAAGCGAAGAAATATCATGCTTCCAAAGAAACACAATAATTCTTCTGTAGCAGACCCAATCATAAGGAAATAAACAAAATGACAGAAAAGGAATTCAAAATAATAATCTTAAGGAAACTAAGTGAGATACAAGAGAATACAGATAGACTATTCAGTGAAATCAGGAAAACAATGTATTATTTGACTGAGAACTCCAACAAAGAGATAGATATAAAAAGAAAACAGAAATCCTAAAGCTGAAGAATTCGATAAATGAAATTTTAAAATACAACTGAGAGCTCAAACCACAGACCAGACCAAGCAGAAGAAAGAATTTCTGGACTTGAATACAGATCTTTTGAAATGACACTAAAAGGATAAAGAATAAAAAAGAATGAAGGAAGCCTACAGGATTTATGGGACATTATTAAGCAAACAAATACTCACATTCGATTTAGTGTTCCAGAAGGAGAAGAGAAGGGAACAGATATAGAAAACATATTTAATGAAATAGTAACTATAAAATTCCCAAGTCTTGAGAGAGATATGGACATCTAGATGCAGGAAGCTCAACGAACTCCAAATGGATTCAACCCAAACAGATTCTCTTCAAAGGACATTATAGTCAAATTGCCAAAAGTCAAAGACAGAAAGAATTCTAAAAACAGCCAGAGAAAAACATCAAATCACATATAAGGGACTCTCCATTAGACTAACAGTGGATTTCTCAGCAGAAACCTTACTGGCCAGGAGAGAATTAGATTATATATTCAAAGTACTGATAGAAAAAAAAAAAAAACAACTGACAGCCAAGAATATTATATCCAGCAAAGCTATTCTTCAAAAATGAAAGAGAAAATCTTTCACAGACAAGCAAAAACTAGGGGAATTCATCACCACCAGACTGACCTTACGAGAAATGCTCAAGGCAGTCTCACATCTGGACATGAAAAGATAATAACCACCATTACAAAAAAACAAAACTATAAAACTACACCATAGAGCAAATGGACCTAACGGATATTTACAGAACATTTCACCCAACAGCTGCAAAATATACATTATTTTCATCAGCACATGGAACATTCTCCAGGACTGGCCATATGTTAGGACACAAAACAAGTCTCAAAAAAAATTTTTTAATGCAAATCATATCAAGTATCTTATCTGACCACAGTGCAATAAAAGTAGAAATCATTAATAAGAGGAACATTTAAAACTACACAAATATATGGAAATTAAACAACATGCTCCTGAATGACCAATGGGAGAAGAAAAAAATTAAGAATAAAATTTAAATGCCTATAATCCTAGCACTTTGGGAGGCCAAGGCGGGCAGATCATGAGGTCAGGAGATTGAGACCACCTTGGCTAACAATTGTGAAACTCCGACTCTACTAGAAATACAAAAAATTAGCCGGGCATGGTGGCAGGCGCCTATAGTCCCAGCTACTCAGGAGGCTGATGCAGGAGAATGGCGTAAACCCAGGAGGCAGAGCTTGAAGTAAGCCAAGATCACGCCACTGCATTCCAGCCTGGGTGACAGTGCGAGACTCCATCTCAAAAAAAAAAAAAAGAATAAAATTTAAAAATTCCTGAAACAAATGAAAATAGAAACACAACATACCAAAACCTGTGGAATAAAGCAAAAGCAGTATTAAAAGGCAAGATTATAGCAATAAATGTCTACATCAAAAAAATAGAAAGGGGCAGGCATGGTGGCACATGCTTGTAATCCCAGAATTTTCGGAGGCCAAAGCAGGCAGATTGCTTGAGCTCAGGAGTTTAATCCAGCCTGGGCAACATAGCAAGACCTTGTCTCTACAAAAAATACACAAATTAGTCAGGTGTATTGGCATGTGCCTGTAGTCCCAGCTACTTGGGAAGCTGAGGTAGGAGGATCACTTGAGCCTCACTTGAGCCCAGGAGGTTGAGGCTGCAGTGAGCCGAGATCATGCCACTGCACTCCAGCCCAGGAAACTGAGTGAGACCCTGTCTCAAGGGGGAAAAAAAACTAGAAAGTTTTCAAATAACAACTTAACAATGCCCCTAAGGACTAGAAAAGCAATAACACCCCAAACTCAAAATTAATAGGAGGAAAGAATAATAATTAAACCAGGACTAAACAAAATTGAGAATTAAAAAAATAAAAAGGATCAACAAAACAAAAGTTTTTTTTTTGAAGATGAACAAAATCAACAAACCACTTGCTAGACTAACAAAAAAAAATTAGAGAAGATTGAAATAAAATCAGAAATGGAAAAAGAGGCATTACAATGATACCACAGAAATAAAAAAGATCATCAGAGCCTATTATGAACAACTATACACTAACAAACTAGAACTCCTGAAGGAAATGAATAAATTCTAGAAGCATACAACTGATTAAGATTGAATCAGAAAGAAATAAAAAATCTGAACAGAGCAGTAATGAAAAATATGATTAAATCAGTAACAAAAAGTCTCCCCATAAAGAAAAATTCAGGACCAGGTGGCTTCACCACTGAATTCTAACAAACATTTAAAGAAGAATTAATATTAATTCTTCTCAAAGTATTCCAAAAAACTGAAGTGGAGAAAACTCTTCCTAACTCATCCTACAAGGTCAGTATAACCCTGATACCAAAGCCAGTCAAGGACACAAGAAAAGAAATTACAGGCCAATATCCTGATTAACATAAATGTAAACATCTTCAACAAAATATCAGCAACCCAAACACAACAATACATCAAGAAAATACATCATGATCAGGTGGGATTTATCCCAGTAATTCAAAGATGGTTCAACACATGCAAATCAATAAATGTGATATATCACATAAAAAGAATGCAAGATAAAAATCATATGATCATCTCAATAGATACAGAAAAAGCATTTGATAAAATTTAATACTACTTCATAATAACTCTCAATAAATTAGATATGGAAGGAAAGTACCTCAATATAACAAAGGTGATAAATGACAAAACCAGAGACAACATCATACTGACTGGGGAAAAGCTGAAAGCTTTTCCTCTAAAAACTGGAACAAAACAAAGATGCCTACTCTCTTCACTGTTATTCAACATAGTACTGGAAGTCCTAGCCAGAGCAAACAGGCAACAGAAAGAAATAAAGGGCATCCAGATAGGAAAAGAGAATGTTAAACTGTCCCTGTTTGCAGATGACAAGATCTTAAACCTAAAGCCTCTACCAAAAAATTCTTAGAATTCATAAACAAACTCAATGAAGTTGCAGCTTACAAAATCAACATACAAAAATCAGTAACATTTCTATATGCCAGCAGCTAACAACCTGAAAACGAAATCAAGAAAGTAATCTCATTTGTAATAGCTACAAATAAAATACCTAGGAATTAACTTAACAAAAGAAGTGAAAGATTTCTATAGTGAAAACTATAAAACACTGATGAAATAAATTGAAGAGGACACCAAAAAATGGAAAAATATTCCATGTTCATGGATGGGAAGAATCAATATTGTTAAAATCTCCATACTACCCAAAGCAATCTGCAGATTCAATGCCCCTATCATACCAATGACACTCTTCACGGAAATAGAAAAAAAATCCTAAAATTTATATGGAACCACAAAAGACCCAGAATACCCAAAGCTATCCTAAGCAAAAGGAATAAAACTGGAAGAATCATATTTACCTGACTTCAAATTATACTACAGAGGTATAGTTACCAAGACAGCATAGTACTGGCATAAAAGCAGACACATAGACCAATGGAATAGAATAGAGAACTCAAAAATAAATCCACACACCTACAGTGAATTCATTTTTGACAAAGCTGCCAAGAACATACACAGGAGAAAAGACAGTCTCTTCAATAAATAGTGCTGGTAAAATTAGATATTCATATGCAAAATAATGGAAACTGGACCCCTATCTATTGCCTTATTCAAAAATAAAATCAAAATGGATTGAAGACTTAAGTCTAAGACCTCAAATTTTGAAACTACTACGAGAAAACATGGGGGAAAATCTCCAGGACATTAATCTGGGCAAAAATTTATTGAGCACTACCCTACAAGCACAGGTAACCAAAGCAAACATGGACAAATGGGATCACATCAAGTTAAAAAGCTTCTGCAAAGCAAAGGATACAATCAGCAAAGTAAACAGACAACCCACAGAATGGGAGAAAATATTTGCAAACTACCCATCTGACAAGGGATTAATATCCAGAATATATAAGGAGCTCAAACAACTCTATGGAAAAAATCTAATAATCCAATTAAAAATGGGCAAAAGATCTGAATAGAAATTTCTCAAAAGAAGACATATAAATTGTAAACAGGTATTTAAAAAGGTGTTCAACATCATTGATCATCAGAGAAATGCAAATCAAAACTATAATGAGATATCATCTCACCCCAGTTAAAATGGCTTTTATCCAATAGACAGGCAATAACAAATGCTGGTGAGGATGTGAAGAAAAGGGAACCCTTGTACACTGTAGATGTGAATGTAAATTAGTACAAACACTATGGAGAACAATTTGGAGGTTCCTCAAAAAACTAAAAATTGATCTACCATATGATCCAGCAATACCACAGTTGGGTAATGCCCAAAAGAAAGAAAATCAGTACATCAAAGAGATATCTGCACTCCTACATTTGTTGCAGCATTGTTTACAATAGCTAAGATTTGGAAGCAACCTAACTGTCCATCAACAGATGAATGGATAAAGACAATGTGGTACATATACACAATGGAGTACTATTCAGCCAGAAAAAGGATGAGATCCAGTCATTTGCAACAACATGGATGGAGATCATTATGTTAAGTGAAATAAGCCAGGAACAGAAAGACAAACATCACATGTTCTCACTTATTTGTGGGATTTAAAAATTAAAACAATTGAACTCATGGAGATAGAGAGTAGAAGGATGGTTACCAGAGGCTGAGAAGGGTAGTGGGAGGCTGGGGGATACTTGCAGATGTTTAATGGGTGCCAAAAATTAGTTAGAAAGAATGAGACCTACTATTTGATAGCACAACAGAGTGACTAAAATCAATAATAACTTACTTGCACATTTTTAAATAACTCAAAGCATGTAATTGTATTGTTTGTAACTCAAAGGATAAATGCTTAAGGGGATGAATACCCCATTCTCCATGATGTGCTTATTTCACGTTGCATGCCTGTATCAAAACATCACATATGCCCCTAAATATATATTCCCACTATGTACCCACAAAAATTAAAATGTTTTAAAAAATGAATCAAAGACATAAATGTAAGTCCCAAAAATATAAAACTACTAGAAGAAAACAGGGAAAACACTTCAGGACATTGGTTTGGGCAAAGATTTTATGAATAAGACCTCAAAAGCATGGCAATAAAAGCAAAAATAAACAAATGGGATTATATCAAACTAAAAAGCTTCTGCACAATGACAGGAACAATCGACAGAGTGAAAAAACAACCTAAAGAATGGGAGAAATTATGTGCAAACTGTGCATCCAACAGATGATTAATATCCACAATATACAAGGAGCTCAAACAACTCAACAACAACAACAAAAATCTGATTTTAAAATGGGCAAATGATCTGAGTAGACATTTCTCAAAAGAAGACATACAAATGGCCAACAAATATATATAAAAGTGCTCAACATCACTAATCATCAGGGAAATGCAAGTGAAAACTGCAAAGAGGTATGATCTCACCCCAGTTAAGATGGCTATAATCAAAAAGAGAAAAAATAACAAGTGCTGGTGAAGAAACAAGGAAAAGAGAACTCTTACACATTGTTAGTGGGAATGTAAATTAGTACAGCCACAGGGAGGACAGTATAGAGGTCCCTTTAAAAAAAACTACAAATAGAACTACCATATAATCTAACAATCCCACTATTGGGCATTTAGCCAAAGGAAGGGAAATCAGAATATCGAAGAGACTTCTGTGTTTACTGCAGCACTATTCACAGTAGCCAAGATATGGAATCAACCTAGGTGTCCAACAACTGACGATACAGAAAATGTGGTGTATATACACATGGAATACTATTCAGCCACAAAAAAAAAGAGAGTGAAATCCTGTCATTTACAGCAACATGGATAGAGCTGGAAGACATTAAGTGAAATAAGCCAGGAAAGGCAAGAAACATCGCATGTCCTCACTCACATGTGGAAGCTGAAAACGTTGATTTCATAGAAGTAAAAGTAGACCAGAGGATACCAGAGGCTGGGAAGGGGAAGGGGAAAGGGAAAGGGATAGGGTGATTTTTTTTTTTAAAGGATACAAAATTTACATCTAGATAGCTGAATAAGTTCTAAAGTTCAATAACTCCGCAAAATGACTGTAGTTAACCATAATATATTATATACTTTCAAATAGCTGGAAGGAAGAATGTTCCCAACACAAAGAAATGACAAATGTTTGTGATCGTGGATATGCTAATTACCCTAATCTGATCAGTATACATTATATGTATTGAAACAGCACTAGGTACTCAATAAATATGAACCGTTATTACATGTCAATTAAAAAATAAAAAATCTTCTACACAAATATCAGTGTTTTGTCTATCATTTATTTTATAAATGTTTCCCAATTTCCATTTTGTTTGCAACGTTTTACAACACCAAATATTTCTAATCTTTATGTATTTAAATCTACTGTTCTTCTTCTTTGTTTTCTTCCTTACATAGTCTTTTCTCTTCCTCACCTCAAGATTATATAATATTTATATAATTTTACCTTTTCTTATGGTTTCATATTTATATATGCTTAATTCTTAAACAGTTAAGAATTCATTTTGGAGTAAGTCATAGGATAGGAAAGCTAACTTAATTGTTTCCCAGGTGATTAGTCAGTCACTGAAAAGTCATTCATGGGACTGTCTACCTTTTCCTCTCTAATTTGAAATGGAAACTTTGTTACATACTAACTTTTAAATATATGCATAAGGTCTATTTATAGACTTTGAAGGTTTTCCCACTTTTTTCTTTTTGTCTATCCATCAGTAAAAATATTTAAACCATGTTGACCTTATAAATTTGTTCTGACATCTGGTGGTAATAGATACCCCATGATTCTTATTTTAACATTTGTTATTACTGTTCTCATTGTTTATACTCCCAGATAAACTGGAGGATCATTTTTAGGTTACAAAAATATGTTTGAATTTTGACTGGAACTGTGTAAAAATTTTTTAATTAATTGTGGGAGAATTGCTATCTCTCCAATAGTGATACTCACCATCCAAAAATAGTACCCCATTTGTCTTAGCTGCTCTCAAATGTCTGCAGTTTCCCTTATAAAAATACTTTGGCCCTTGTGAGGTTTTTCTCCCTCCATTTATTTTATATTTTAGATGGCTATTGCAATGGATAAGGAAATTGTTGATTTGGCCATTCTCTTTTTAATTTTATACAGTTTTTCATTGATTTTTTTTTAATTTTTTTCCAGGTGGCCAACTACATAACCCATAAATAATGATAATTTTGTATCTTCTTTTCCAGTATTTGACCTCACATATTTTTTTATGTCTAATTGTTTTTTATAATTTCCAGAATAATGTTGAACAATAATGGTTAGCTTTCTTGCTCCTTTTTAAATTTTCATAGGAATAATAATAGCTAATTTTTTTTTTTTTTTTAGTTGAGATAGGGTTTCACTGTGTTGGCCAGGCTGGTCTCAAACTTCTGACCACAAGTGATCCTCCCGCCTTGGCCTCCCAAAGTGCTGGGATTACAGGCGTGAGCCACTGTGCCTGGCCTGGTAATAGCTAATATTCTTTAAGGGTTTATGATATGTGAGGCACTGTTCTGAGCAACTTAATGATTCACCTATTGAATCCATCCAACAGCTCTTTGAGGTAGCTACTATCAATATTCCCATTTTACAGAAAGAGAAAGTGAGACACAGAGATGCTGAGTAACTTGCCCAAGGTCATCCTGTAAGTAACTGACAGAGCCAAGATTTCAATCAAGGCATTCTGATGAGTAGGTTGGTGATGATGACCTGGTAACTCTCTCTAGCAATGGATTGAATCCTTAGCAGTACCTTTAGTTCTCATACTGCTAATGCCAGCCTGCAGAAAACAGCCACCCCTAGGCTCCCCAGTGTCAGTGAGGATGATGAGATTCCAAAAGAGCTCAAGTCAGGTAGCAACACTTAACCACCAGTGGCAAGGGTGGGGCGTAACTACCATAACGGGCAGCAAGGTCACAATGGAAGTTGGGGCAGCCATGGTGTTCCCAAGGACAAGGTCAACAAACAAGTGTACTGCTTGAGACATAAGATCACAAGAGGTTAAACGTGGATGAGCAGAAAGTTGCCATGAGCTCCCCAGTGGAAAGTCATGATGGCTCACCCAGTTTCCAGACCTGAGCCAATTCTCAGACCTAGAACTGACCAATTGAAGGAGTGGCTGAGTCCCCTTGTGGAGAACTCTGCAGTGTCACAGCAAGTGTCCTCAGTCATGATTCTACCATCCTTCCCAAAACAACAGAGCCATTTACCTGAGTAAGCGCACACTGCAGAAAGAAGAATAGCCGCATTTTTCAAGGGCTCTTGGATACGGGATCTAAGTTGACACTGATATAGGGACCCAAAACATGAGCAGGGTATCCCTGTTATAGAGAGGACATTGGAGGACAGGTGATAAGTGGAGTCTGTCTTATTATAGACTCCATGTGTTTGTAGACCCATCCATATGGATCCATGTGTTTGTAGAGATCATTTCTCTAGTACCGGAGTGCATAATCTGGACTAATATGGACTGGTAGAATCTTATATTGGTTGCCTGATCTCTGGAATAAGAGCCCTGTAATAGTTTTTAAGCTATTGTCTCTCAGGTTCAACCCACCCCTACCTCTTCTGCCTCCCACACACACACTTCTATGTTCTGCTTTGTGATGCTGGGGCTGCGGCTCGGAAAGCCACATTTCTGCTTTGCCAGCTGGCTCTACATTCAGCTCTTCCAATACGGGAAACTTGAGGAATAAGAAGACGTGTACTTCGTGTTCTTGTCACAGCACCTCAGTCTCACTGCTCCCCTCGGCATTTGCAGTCACAGCATGCATTCAGTTTGCAGGATTTCCAACACTGGCAGGACCAGTCTCACCATGGTCCCCAGAAACACCAGCACAGCTGACCAGGACCTTTTCCTCAGAGTTCTGGGTCACAGCCCCAGGGGATGCCTCCTCTGAGCTCAGAGTCATCAACATAAGCTGAGCAGTGGTCCCCTTTCAGAGGTCTGAGATTCAGCTTCTACTGCAAGCTTTTACCTATCAATAATTCCAACTTCTTCCCTTGTTCCCCCAGGTGTAAGCGTGGTAGCTGAGATATCTTAGTGTTCTCTCTTTGCCTTTCCAGTTTTTAAATAACTACTTAATAATTCCTTACATTAAGTCCTTTCTGTTAAAATAGCATGTGTGGTGTCTCTTCACTGAGGTATTATAGGAAAAGCCTGGTGAAAACCTTGAAATTGCCCCCCTCTGCCCTGACAAGAAAATGAGAAGCAATGCTTCATCACAGGAAGAATGGCAGAGATTGGGGCTACCCTCAAAGACATAAAGGAGGCTAGGATGGCAGTCCCTTCGTATCCCCATTTAGTGTACCAGTCTGTCTTCTAGAAAAAGCCAGTTGGGTCATGCATTTTATGGTGGACTATCATGACCAAGTATTAACCCCAACCACAACTGCTGTTCCAGATGCAGTATTTTTACTACAGCAGATCAACATGGTCTCTGGTACTTGGTGTAACACTACTAAATTGGAAAATGCATTCTCTTCAATCCCTTCTAGAAAGGAGCATCAAAAGCAGTTTGCTGTCACTTAGAACAGACAGATACATACATTCACTGTCATGCCCTCATGGCTAGATTGCAATAAAGCTTAACGGGATTGGGATCATCGGGATATTCTATAGGAAATCTCAAGGTTTCACTGTGCTGGCAACATCATTTAATTGTGCCTGGGGGACAGGAATGGTAAGCATTCTGGTCAGGTATATCTGGATCAGAGAGTGGAAGAGGAAGCTTACACACAATCAAGGCTTTGCTGCGGTCAATAAAGCTTTCAGGGGCCCCGTGGTTTGAGACATGCCAGGTCACTCCTCCAAGGGGCGAACAAATGTGTGCACTTTCTACCTCCTACCACTAAGAAAGTGGTACAATGCCCAGTGGACCTCTTCAGATTTGGGAGACCATATCCACCACACTTGTGAATACTGCTTCAACTCATTTAGTAGTGAGTCAGAACACTTCTGGTTTTGAGTGGGTATTATGGGTCAAATGCGTCCCTGCAAAATGTATCCGTCAAAACCCTAACCTCCAGTACCTCAGAATGTGAGTATATTTGGAGATAGGGCCTTTAAGAGATGAATTAGTTAAAATAAGTTCATTAAAATGAGTTCTAATCCAGTCTGACTAGTGTTCTTATAAGAAGAGGAAACCTGGACACACAAGGAAGTGCCAAGAAGCTGACGCACAGAGGAAAGTCCCCGAGAGGGCACAGCAAGAAGGCGGGCCATCTGCAAGCCAGGGAGAGGCCTCCAAAGAGACCAGACCTGCTGACACCTAGACCTCAGACCGTCCAGCCTCCAGAACTGGACAGGTTTTTGCTGTTTAAGCCACCCAGTGTGTGGTATTTTGTTATGGCACCCCAAGCAAACTAATAGAGTAGGCATGGAGCAAGTGAGGGCACTGGAACTGGTCCAGGTTGTGGCACAAGTAACTCTAGTGTTTAGCTCTGTGACCCAGAAGATTCCATGCTGCTAGACTCACTAGAATCTTTGACAAGCCTCAATGGGAGAACCACAATGAGAGCCCCAGAGGTCTAGAGCAAGTCCATGACACCCACAAAAGACAACTCTTCATTCAGAAAGCAGCTCCTGAGTGCTGCTGTGGCCATGAAATGACTGAGTACCTGAGCTTGGGACATCAAGTGACTGTGCAACCAGCACTGCCTTCTATGGCATGGATAATATCAGACCTGCCAGGACATAGGATTGCATCGAAAAAAAAAAATCCCTCCTAATCTGGGACTTAGACCTCTCAGAGAAAAAGGTCTGCGTTATTCCATAAGGTAAGCAATCTAAACCAGTAGAAATGCTGGCCAAGGGGCTGGAGGGTCTACAAAGGGTAGAATAGAAGAGAGCTGATCAATGAACATCGTGGGAAAGACTGCAGCAGTAGACAGTGAGATCCTGGCCCACTAATGCTCCTGTTGTCTTTTTTTTTTTTTTTTAATGTTTATTTGTGACCTTGAAGAAGCAGTGATAGGATAGAGTAAGCCTAACACAGGACACAGGTGGATCTGAGTGGAACAAGGTCTTGACTGCAGTTGACACTGTCAGTGCCCTGCCCAGAGCCCCTCACCCTTAACACTGCAGAGCACACTAACCTTCTACCTGTCAGCGCCTAGATTCATTTGCCTGGGGGTTTCCTCTGACCTACAGAGCTACTCTGCTCCTGTGCACAGCAGGCCAGATGTGCCAGGGAAATTACACCGTGGCCCCAGGAGCAGCCTTTGATTAATAACTGATGGCAACTGGAGTATAAATATCCCAGTTCCCTCACTTCCTAGGTGGGATAACTCCAAGGCCCATGTTTTAGACGACCACTCAGTGTTCCTCAGAGAGATTAAACTCTGATTACCTTAGCAGTAACTTGTTTTGTAAGAACCATTATTTGCTGCCCTCTCCCCCTGGGTCATTTCTTCCCTGCCACACCTTTTGTGATCCTTCCTCCATCCCCCACCTCACAAAAAAGTGATTGGCTTTACTGTCTCAATGTCTGCTGCTGGGAAAACCCAAACCAAGGTAAGACATTACTCCTACAAAAATACAGACAGTCTCTCTCTCTCTCTCTCTCTCCCAAGTCTCACTCCCACCACCCAGACTGGAGCGCAATGATGTGATCTCGGCTCACTACAGCCCCGGCTCAGGTGATCCTCCCACCTCAGCCCCCAAGTAGCTGGGACTACGGGCATGTGCCACCACACCCAGCTAATTTTTTTGTATTTTTAGTAGAGATGGGGTCTCCCATGCTGGGAGACCTTAACCTTGCCCAGGGTGTTCTCAAATTCCTGGACTCAAGGGATCCGTCCACCTTGGCCTCCCAAAGTGCTGGGATTACAGGTGTGAGCCATCATGCGTGGCCCAAAATATAAACAATCTCTAATCAACAACACACTCCTAATTCCTCCCACTGTTGTCTGGGATTGCTCCCTCTTATACATGCAGAAAAATGAGGTAATGGGCTGCGGAAGTGATGGGAAAAGAGTACTTGGCCACTTAATGGGTCAACACCTGCAAGATAAGGCAGCTACACTATATTCTGATGGACACAAACCTTGGGTTTCTGCCTGAGGGAGTAAAGAACAGAGAAGGTCTAGACTCTACATTTTTCCTGTGTCACTCTTGTGTGACCTAAAACCTGGGTGTGCCATAAGGCATTCCTCAAATCTACTCCATTTGTCTCTCACATGATGAGCAGAGATTCCTCCAAAAATCTGGCATGTGTCATCCATTTTTATTCTTTTTAAGGCAGAATTTCCCTATTTTCTCTGTCTTCATTTTCTGTGCTATTGTGATACTTTAATGAAAGTTGAATGAGATTGCATGGTGGACGACGCTGGCCATATGATATTTTGATCTGAACAACTGCAGTATTCCATCTCATGAAGTGGTGAAATGATAAAATGGAAGATGAAGTTCCAGAGGTTCATGAAGACCTTCTTCCTGGAATAAGGCATTCTTTCCAAATAGAGCCACAGTAGAGATGTACTGTCAACAAGAATATGCTACATTGTGTAAAGTACTGGAAATTCAAGTCCTCATTAGCATGGTTCTTCAATGATTCCTAAGAACATTATTCATGAGCTTGGGGAGACATAGAAAAAGAGATAAAAACAGAGTAAGCGCACGCATGAGAGGGAGAGAGAAGAAAAAGAGAATGGTGGGGTCTACATTTCAAAGAGGATGTAAGTCATATTTATTTCCCCAGAGACCTAATAAACTGGTCATTCCATAATGCTTAGAATACTTTGAGAAGAATTAAGAAACAATTTCATTTTATAGTCAGCATTCCCAACTATTTCATTCCACAAGTGAAATGTTAACGGGCAAACAATCACAATGCTGCAATAAATTCTGGAAGCATAGGGGTTATTTTCCTTTTGGGCTGGGTCATGATTTGAGTGATTTTTCACTGGTTAAGTTCCACTATTATCTGGGTGACACCTTTTGTAATAATAACCTTGCTTTGCTCCACATCTTGTCATATTTATCTTTCCTGACCAGCTGCCATTCACACTCTGACCCTGTGATAGTAGCTAGTCTGCCCTGACCTTTGCAGCTGGGAAACTCAAAGGGGCTAATGAGCTACCAGTTCACACCTATCCTAATTAGCTATCTTTAACAGCTGTAGGAAAGAGTCAGTTCTCTGTGATCTTTCTATTATAAAAATTGAGAGCAAGTTAATCTAAACTGGAAGCGGAAAAAAATTCACCTTGGAAAATCCAAGGAGCTTCTCAGTCAAACTGAAATCCCATTTTAGCACTTCCAAAGTCTCCCAGTGTGACTCCCAACACTTACTCTGGAGCTGATGATATTGGTTTAAAGATTCAAGCACATATTCAGTATGCTGTACCTAAAAAGTACTAGGAAGTGAGGATCATGAGACCATATAAATGAACCATGGCTAGCAAATAAGATGCATTACACATTTTAATATAAAACATTTGAGTCACCCAGATACCTAATTTCCCTGAATCCTCCATTTAATACTCTCTAGGGATGTGCTTGAAATCACATCACATCTTATTCAGTAACAAAAATGACATAAAATAGTGTTTATTTGACTTTAACGCACATTAAGATTACCTAGAGAGGTAATCTCAAGCCCAGCCTGAGACTCTTTTTCTGATGGCAGGGGTGGGACCTGAGAATCTGCATTTAAAATAAATATGGACCAAGTTTTTCCTGAATTCTGGCTTTCAAAGTTCAAATGAGAGGATCAGGAAAAATAAGTAATGGGTACTAGGCTTAATAACTGGATGATGAAATAATTGGTAAAACAGACCCCCAAGACACAAGTTTACCTATGTAACAAACCTGTACTTGTACCCCTGAACTTAAAATAAAAGTTAAAAAAAGTGTATATTTACAAGCCAGATTTTTTTAATTGATACATAATACTTGTGCATGCTTATGGGATACATGTGATACTTTGTTACATGCATGGAATTGCAATGATCAAGTCACGGTATTTAGGGTATCCATCACCACAACTATTAATTATTTGTCTGTGTTGGGAACATATTGAGTCCTCTCTTCTAGCTATTTTGAAATATATAATATATTATCATTAACTATGGTCACCCTACTCTGCTATCAAACATTAGAATTTATTCCTTCTATCTATCTATCTATCTATCTGTATGTTTGTACCCATTAACCAACTTCTCTTATCTCCCCACCACATACCCATACTCTTCCATACAAGCCAGATTTTGATTGTAGAATTTTTCTAGTCAATCTGATTTTCTGAGTGGTGAAGTGGAAGGCATTTTGGACTCAGAATAATGGATTTGTGTTCAACTCTGGTATCCCTACTATGGAATGCACTAATGTATATAGTCTTATTTGGTGAATGATAAAGAAATATGACAATAAAAAAAGTTCCAATGTCTAAAAGTTGAAACTGAGAACTGTGATAAGACCCAAAGCTTCATCGTGATTTAATATCATTATCGAAAGGTCACAGAAATGCAAATAGAGCATCTGAGATGAATGAGACAGGTTAATCCAGCCTATAGGCCTATGGCTGTTGAAGCTTTGATCACATTTTTCAACTGGCCCTTTTATATCTAAACTGCTTTCAATGTAAAAATTATCCCAAAGACTAAAAAGGCCAACTAACTCATCTAGCACCTAATTTGCCTAGTACTGTTCTAGTTATCACCGGAAAGTCAAAAGTAGAGGAAGATACTGTCCCTGTCCTCAAGAAAATAGAAGAGATTACATCATCCCCATGAAATCAGAAAAGAATGATGAAATGCTAAATTGGCCCCCGACCATAAGAAGAAAGAGATCCATGCAGGTTGCAGTGTCTGGAGAAGGCTTCATAGGGAGAGGTGGGAGTTACACTGAAATTTGACTTGGAAATATTTGAATTGAATTGGGAAAAAGAAGAAAGCAGAATATTATGTGAATTATGTGATATTGGAATGAACACACATGTCAGAAGTCTAAGCCAAATGCATCAGATTCCACAAGCTTCTTGGGTGTCTACATGGGTCTCAGGTCTCACTTAGCTTTAGAAGTGAAGATCTAACTGGAGGTGGAAAATGTGCCAAAATTACAACCTACAGAGTGATTTTTGGAGGAAAAAACAAGTAGACAGTGGGGATGAGGACTGGACTGGGATAGCCTCAAGTTCCATGCCTGGATCTACTGTTGTCTGCTGCACCGCATTGAATCATACATTTAACTTCTCTATGCCCTGGCCTCCCTTCTCCCTTCTCCTCCAAGATGGGGCCAGTATTGCTTACTTCATAAGGAGTTCTGAGTAAATGAGAGGCACCTGCAAATATCTGAGAACTAGCCGGGCATGGTGGCTTACGCCTGTAATCCCAGCACTTTTGGAGGCCAAGGCAGGTGGATCACCTGAGGTCAGGAGTTTAACACCAGCCTGGACAACATGGTGAAACCCCATCTCTACTAAAAAGACAAAAAATTAGCCGGGCATTGTGGCAGGCGCCTGTAACCCCAGCTACTCAGGAGGCTGAGACAGGAGCATTGCTTGAACCGGGGAGGTGGAGGTTGCAGTGAGCCGAGATCGCACCGTTGCACTCCAGCCTGGGCAACAAGAATGAAACTCCATCTCAAAAAAAAAAAAAATTAGCTGAGAACTAACACATAAAAAGAAAGTTTGAGAATTTACAAAAGTAAACAGTGAGAGTAACAAGTCACCAGAGGGAACTGTTCCCTTGTTCCCTGGCGTGTGCTGGCGTGTGCAGAGTCGCTGCAGCTGCAGAGCCTGAGGCACCCTACAGGCTGGGTAAGAGGAGAAAACCAAGGGCCCCCTCCCTGGAATGAGCTACCTGAGAGAGAGGGACCAAACCCCAGTTATGAGCAGGAGAATACAAAAACAATACTTTGTCAACATCTTATGAACAGGCCTCAAGACAGCCTTATAATTAAACTGAGAGGAGACCGAGTATGTTTGATTGTCAGTGGTTAAAAGGGGCTTTAGAATTTCCTGCTACCTTCCAACTCCCCATGAAAAGATCTTTTCTCCTTCCTTTACACACAGGACTTTCACATGTCATTCCCATCAATGCAGATGAAACTTTCTCACCACACCCACCATCCTCTTCACAAATCAGCCTGAGCCACAGTAACCCACAGGAGCATGGCTTCTCATTTCCCAGTCTAGCAGTCAAGGAAAACTATTTTTAAAGCCCCAAATCTTTATAATCAACTGAACTATTACCTGATACAAACTGTCGTTTGAAGCAAAATATCGTTAGAAAACAGAAACAAAAAATATATACCTTGTGCGATTGGGTTAATGGATGCTTTTGAGTTCAAAAGAGCTGTGGTTTTATCTCCCTTCCACATCTAATTTTAGCCTGTTTCCTGCCCTTTGATTTACTTGGCCAACAACTCCCAGAGTTAATTGGCTGGGAGGCTGAGATGCCAGAGACTGAAGTAGCTGTCGCCCACAGCTCTTCCTCAGGGGCGAGCACACAATCTTAGGTGATGGATCAGTCTCTCCAGTGGGCAGGGCGGTCCAGCTCAGGGCTTCTTTTCACAAGGGTCATAAAGGCCAGGTGGGGAATGGCAGTGTCCGGCTGAGGGAGGGAGCTGCCACACTGCCTGATCATTCGCGTGGCAGCAGCGGGGAGGAGATCGGCAGCACCTTTGGCCACAGAGCTGCGCCTCTGTCACAAACAGTAAGGCAAGGAGGCTCTGAGGACTGAATTCAGCCTCTTTTTCACTGTGGAGGCCGTTTCTTGGTGAAGTGTGGACCTGCTTCTACACTAAAATGAACCCTTGCACAGGGGCTCATTTTTGCTGCATACTCACCTGGTTTAAAATGAACCAGGCCCTAAGCTGTGTGTAATAATCAGCAGTTCACAGAGAAATTCACAAATGACTCTTGGCAAAATCAAATTAGCTCAGCATACACAATACATAAGGCTAGAAACGTCTATGCAGATAAATCTCAGTCTAAAATAAAGCTAGTTCTTTTTAAACAAGGTAATGGGGCAAATTATTTTGGTTTTCTGAGTAATGATCTTTTAAAGAGCAACATCTTTATCTGTGTGCTGGAATATAATGGACTTAACCCATTTGGGCCTGCTGACTCATCCAGGCCAGGCAGATAGAAGACCAGTGAATGAAGCTCACAATTCCACTTTACAGGAATCAAGTTCTGATTTACAGAAAAATTAAATTGCGATTTCATCACAAAGCAAAACATAATTAAAGGACTCTTATTATCTATTTGCATGCACAGAGCTGAGCTCAGTGCCAAGCCAGCAGTGTTTTTTCTTTGGATGTAGCTTTTGGCAGGGCTCACACCATTAAAGCACCTTTCATTTTAGAATTCAACAGGGTGACTCAATTTTTCATCAATTATGAGACGGTTGCTATTTATCATGATAGGGAGCCAGTATCAAAACCTTCATTTTTCAAATAAGAAACCGAAAACGCAATCAAGTTCAATGACATGGCCAAAGTTATACACAAAGAATTACTCTCTGGAAACACTAGTCTTTCAGTTTCTCAAACTCCTCTATGTCTGGAATGTTCTTTGTGCCCTCCCTCCCACCTCCTACCCCCAAGTACCTTTTCACCTGGTTAACTCATTCATTCTTCAGATCTCAATGTAAACATCCCTTTCCTTATTATATGCTTTCATACAGTTGTGTAACTATTTTTCATAGCACTTACCATAATTTGAAACAATACGTTTGTTTTTGTTTATTCAATTAACATCCATCTCCCTGACTGACTATAAACTCTACTAGGGCTGGGACTGGATCTGTTCTTGTCCATCACTGCATCTCAAACACCCAGCACAGCACCTGGCTCATAATAGGCTCACACTGAATGGATGGATTTGTTTTCTGCGTAGCATACAATTTTGCATGGCAGACCTACATATTTAAAGGCTATTGTAGTACTAGCCAAAAAGTTATGCATGGTTTTCTAACCTTGATGCAAAGTGAAAATAATGATTTCGAAGATAAAAGCCAGTGTTGCCTCTCTCATCAACACCTACTGACTCCTTACCACTTTGTCACCACTGCCATGAAAGAATCCTTTGTTAAAGGGAAAAGATCACTCTTTCTCCCAACGTAAGCACATGGTGTTTATACACATATAATAACACTGTTAATATCAAGCTATAAAAATTAATTGGCTAAGTTTCCACTTTTCAGTGATACCTACAGTCATAATCCTTAGTCACGGAGCAGCTGAGCTGAACCAAGAAGTGCCGGAATCCCCCAGGTGTCTTTTCAAATAAGTGAGCATCTCTAAGATTGCATTGTGCCTCAAGAATATTAAGTGTGTCCTCACATTGCAGTTTTCAATTACTTCAATATCCAAAGATCTCTAATAACAATATACGTCAGGCAAGTAAACAAGGTCTCTGAAGTACATTCCTATGAAGAATTTGCAATATAGGAGCAATGGGAAAAGCACATATTAAGCTTCTGCCTCACCCTTTCTTTGATGCAGACTTTCCTATGCCAAATTCAATATCGGAAAGCAAATGAAATTTGCCTTAGTTCCTCTCTTACCTCTTTTAGCAGCTGTCCCCACCCCCTTACCTTTGAAGATTCCCTGTATATTCGGTTCCTCACCCAGTTCAGTGCTCCGCCCCCAACCCCATTGTTCAGAATCCCCTGCCCACTCCACTCACCCTCCCACCTAGTCCCCTGCCACCAGCCACTAACAAAGGCTTGCTCTCTCCATCAGTGTCCAATGTCCATGTGTATTTTAATTAGAAGTAGTATCACCGCCAAAGAGTGATTTTGCTAATGGTGAGACATCAGGCATCAGTTTTGAGACATAATGTACCCCAAAATTAGAGTAAACTGTGACCTAATCTTCTTACACATAAGACAATTTCATCCATTAATCTCAGAGAAAATTCTTTCTGGCATAACAAATAACCCAAGCGGCTGGGATTACATCATTAAATATTTTGTTTCTGCAATTCCCAAGACTCTTTTTACAGCTGTAGATACCCTGAGAGGACCTACCAAAACAAGAACAACAGAAATCCTGCCTGGGTCCTCAGCAACTCCCTCCATTCCCCCTAATGCCAGTATTTATCAGCTCAAACTATTCAACAGCAAAGTGGGGCTTTGTATTTTTATCATCTTAATATACCTCTGAGCTGAAAGGATACAACACAACAAAACAAATTTAGCTAATAATTCAGTATGCGACTAGAATTAGCAACCAGCATTTTGCTCTTTGAAAAAATAGAAGTCGTTGCTGTTACTTTGCCTTGGTGTGATTCTTAATCTGCTTCTGACATCTTTGAAGGTGAAGTCCATTTCAGACAGCAGGGAGCAGGATTCACACAGATTAGATAAAAATTTCCTCTCTGAGCCTGCCAGTGGTGGCTGGACAGACAGTCTTAAATGTCTCAATGAAAGGGGCTTCAAGAGAGCCCTTCGCCCTACCTCCTCCTCACTGTCAGCTCCCAGTCCAGATCCACATCTGCAGCAACTTCCTAGCTGGTGCCATGCCACCAAGCTAAGAACTCTCCCATCAATGCTCACTAATGAGTAGCACAATCTGTCTAAATACAAAGCCAAACACACCCAGCAAAGGGGCCAACACGTTAGAATGTCTGAGTAAATGTCTACTCGTCGGTTGAGTGAAAATGTGCATGGATAAAATCTTGCACCAAACACCCAGAGCTTTCTTAATGTGGGGAGAAATTTAGTTTCATTGTTCACATCTCTGTTGAACTGGTCCAGGCAAAAGAGGTGACATTTTGAATGAGATGTTCATAACAACTACATCATGTTTTAATTACCAAAATAGCACACAAAACAAATATCCCTCCAGGACAGGGTGAGGTTCAGAGAAGATATGTGGGCTGGAGCACTGTTAGGCATCAAATAGGCAACGCATTCTTCTGATTCAAACATATTTTTAAAACAAAAATATCTACAGTGAAAAGTCTTCTCACCACTGTCTTCTATCCAACTGCTTTTCACTATTCAAGTAACTACTATTCTTATTTTCCTATGAATTCCTAGAGTTTCTTTGTAAGTATGTCTAGAATATGTATTATCCCCCCACCACTTTTTAAATAAAAAGTAGCATATTATGCATACAGTTCTGCACATTTTCATTGTTGCATAATATTTTGTTGTGCAAATATACTATGATTAACCAGTCTCTATTACAAACTTTTGTGTGCTTCCAATCTTTTATTATTTCAAGTGTACAATGAATAAGCATGTACAAATTCTTTCTGTACCTATGCAAGTATATCTGAAGGATGAATTCACAGAAGTGGAATTACTCTGTCCTTTTTTAAGCTACAATTTTAACTACTTGCTTTTAGTGGCATAAAAACATTCCTGGGTCAAGATCACTTCATCAAAACAACCATATCAATGTTGATACAAGGAAAGAAACCCGTTTTAACAGCATTGGCCAGTATTGGAAAAAATGTTGTTAACTTTCAATGGCTACCAACCCCTTTCTTAAATGTTGTGGACATTTATTGGGTTTTGGCCACCCAGAATTTAAACCCCTAAAAATGGCCTGGATACCAAACTTTAAATATTGCATCTCCTGTTTACAATTCTCAGAAACAGAGATGACCTTAGGCAAAAATCTACGCTGAATCACAACAAGCGCTTAATGGTTCCTTTACATAGTCAAGATACTTGGCAGGAGGCAGATTTTAAAAAGAAGGATGATTTTAAGTGGGTTCACATGTGTTAGAACTACAAAGAAAAGTAAGGGAATGCTGAATTCAACTTTCACAACAGGGTGTCCTCTTATAGGAGGTGTTGTGAGGGAGCCAGGAGCTTCAAAGGCACTGGTAATGTTTTATTTTTTAAGTTGGGTGGTGGGAACATGGGTGTTAATCTTATTAATACCATTTATGCCATCTATACACTACATAATATGTGTGTATATATATATTCATAACTTTTAAGAATATAAATGTAGTCAAAAACGCTAAAAAGAAAAATAATGAGAACTTGACTTACTAGATGTGATATATAACTTTAAAATATTGCAATATTGATACAGGAAGAGAGAAAAATGGAACATAAAGCATAAAGATTGCAGAAATTAACTCAAAAAGTGAATTATCATGTGATAAAGATGGCATTTACAATCAGTAAGAAAAATATAGACTATTCAATGATGTGTTGGAGACAGGCTAGAAATTTGAAAAATATAAATGAATCCCTAACTCATTCTTATGTCAAAATAAATTCTAGATGAATCACAGACTTAGATGCAAAAAAAATGAAACTATTAAAAACATTAAAACCATAAAATCATAGCAATCCTAAAATAAAATTTAGCTGACTATAAAAATTGGAGTGAAGGAGGTTTTTATAAATAAGACACAAAAGCAGAAGACTATTTAAAAAATATTCTTTGGGAGGACGAGATGGGCAGATCACCTGAGGTCAGGAGTTCAAGACCAGCATGACCAACATGGAGAAACCCTGTCTCTACTAAAAATACAAAATTAGCCAGGTGTGGTGGTGCATGCCTGTAATCCCAGCTACTTGGGAGGCTGAGGTAGGAGAATTGTTGAACCTGGAAGGCGGAGGTTGTGGTAAGCCAAGATCGCACCATTGCACTCCAGCCTGGGCAAAAAGAGTAAAACTCCGTCTCAAACAAACAAAAAATCTTATTATATTTGATTATATGATTGACTGAACAACCTAAAAATTAAATATTCTGTGTGGCAGGCTGAATAATTGCCTCTCAAAGATATCCATGTATGTGAATATTACCTTATACAGAAAAAGGATATTCTATGTCCTTTAAGTTAAGAATCTTCAGGTGGGGAGAGTAGCCTGAATTGTCCAGGTGGGCTCTATACATAATCACAAGAGTTTTTATAAGAGGGAGGCAAGAAGGTCAAAGGACTCAGGAGATGTGGAGACAGACGCATGAAGTGTTGCAAGGAAGGAGTACAGGACAAAAACGCCACGGCAACCTTTAAAAGCTAGAAAAGACAGGGAAACACTCTCCCAGAGCCTCCAGGAGAACTAGCCCTGCCAACACCTTGACCTTAGCCCAGTGAAACTGGACTTCTGGGCTCCAGAATGGTAAGAGAATAAAATTATGTTACTTAAAGCCACAAGCTTGTGATACTTTGTTATAGTAACAATAGGAAACTAACACATTCTGTCTTTCAAAAACTACCACAAATATTTTAACAAAATGACAATACGCTGATAGCCCTAATATGAAAATAGTTTTTAAAAAATCAATTAGAAAAACATTTTGATATTAGTAGAAATACAGGAGAGACTAACAGGCAATACACAAAAGAAAAAACAGCAATTGGCCAACATACAGGTAAAAAAAATTCAACTTTATTAATCATCAAACATATAAAGAACAAATATTTTTCACTTTTCAGATTGGCAAAAAAAAAGTTTGCTAATACTCTATATTGAGAAGTGTGTTGGCAAAAGGGCAGTTTTGCATACTATGGATGGGAGTATAAACTCATATAACATCTCTGAATGACAATTTTTCAAAATGGTTCCAAATTTCCAGCAGGTTCACACCTTAATTTACATACTCTACTTTTATGAATTTACCCAAAGTTGCAATTCCACAAATTGTGTAAAGAAATACGTATAGAATTATTCATTTAGCATTATTTGTAGTGGTGAAAAATCATGAACCACCTAAATGTTTGTAAATAGGAGATTCACCAAATAACTTATTGTGCATCTGTATAATAGAATACATACTGGTACCAAAAGTATTATTGACATGAAAAAATATGCAGGCACATCTCCTTTTATTGGGCTTTGCTTTATTGTGCTTTGCAGATATTGCGATTTTTACAAACTGAAGCTTTGTGGCAACAGTGGGTCGAGCAAATCTATTGGTGCCATTTATCTCATAGCATGTGCTCCCTTCATGTCACATTTTCATAATTCTCACAGAATTTCAAACTTTTTCATTACTCTTATATCTGCTATGGTTATCTGTGACCAATGATCTTTGATGTTACTATTGCAGTTGTTTTGGGATGCCAAGAACCACGTTCCTATAAGACGGCAAACCTAATTGATAAATGGGTGTGTTCTGACTGCTCCATCAACTAGCGATTCCCCTACTTCTCTCCTTCTCCTTGGGCCTCCTATTCCCAAAGACATACCAATACTGAAATTAGGCCAGTTAATAACCCTACAATAGCCTCTAAGTGTTCAAGTGAAAGGAAGAGTCATGTGTCTCTCACTTCAAATCAAAAGCTAGAAATGATTAAGTTTGTGAGGAAGGTATGTTGAAAGCCAAGATAGGCTGACAGTGAGATCTCTTGTGCCAGTTAGCCACATTGTGAATGCAAAGAAAAAAGTTCTTGAAGGAAATTAAAAGTGCCACTCCAGTGAACACACGAATGATAGGAAAGCCAAAGAGCCTGATTGCTGATGTGGAGAAAGTTTCAGTGGTCTGGATAAAAGATCAAACCAGCCACAGCATTCCCCTAAGCCAAAACCTAATCCAGAGCAAGGGGAAGAAGCTGCAGAAGAAAAACTGGAAGCTAGCAGAGGTTGGTTCATGAGGTTTAAAGAAAGAGGCCATCTTCATAATATAAAAATGCAAGGTGAAGCACCAAATGCTGATGTAGAAGCTATGGCAAGTTATCCAGAAGATCTGGCTAAGATCATTGATGAAGGTGGCTACGCTAAAAAACAGATTTTCAATGCGGATGAAACAGCCTTAGGGTGGAAGAAGGTGAGATCCAGGACTTTCACAGCTAGGGAGGAGATGTCAACGCTTGGCTTTAAAGCTTCAAAGGACAGGCTGACACTCTGGTTAGGAGCTAAAGCAGCTCGTGACTTTAAGTTGAAGCCAATGCTCATTTACTATTCTGAAAATCCCAGGACACTTAAGAATTGTGTAAAATCTACTCAGCCTGTGTTCTACACATGGAACAACAAAGCCTGATGACAGCACATCTGTTTATAGCGTGGTTTACTGAATGTTTTAAGCCCAATTTTGAAATCTACTGAGAAAAAAGATTCTTTTCAAAATAGTAATGTTCACTGACAAAGCACCTGGTCACCTAAGAGCTCTGGCAGGGATGTACAAGGAGATTAATGTTGTTTTCACACCTGCTAACAAAATATCCATTCTTCAGATCAAGGAGTAATTTTGGCTTTGAAGTCTTATTTAAGAAATACATTTTGTAAGGCTATAGCTCCCATAGATAGTGATTCCTCTGATGGATCTGGGCAAAGTAAATTGAAAACCATCTGTAAAGCATTCACCATTCTAGACGCCATTAAGAACATTTGTGATTTGTGGAGGGAGGTCACAAATCAACGTTAATAAGCCATTACAATGGTCTGTGCCTGTAATCCTAGCTACTCAGGAGGCTGAGGTAGGAGGATTGCCCACAAGACTGTTGTGGGCTATAATTATGCCTATGAATAGCCACTACACTCCAGCCTGGGCAACATAGTGAGATCCTGTCTCTAGAAAAAAAAATTAACAGGAGTTTGGAAGAAGCTGATTCCTACCCTCATGGATGACCGTGAGAGGTTCAAGACTTCAGTGGAGGAAGTGACTGCAGATGTGGTGGAATAGCAAGATGACAAGCATTAAAAGTGGATCCCGAAGATGTGACCAAATTGCTGCAATCTCATGATCAAACTAACCAACAAAGATTCTTATGAATGAGAAAAGAAAGTGATTTCTTGAGATGGAATCTACTCCTGATGAAGATGCTATGAACATTGTTGAAATGACAACTAAGGGTTTAGAATATTTTGTAAACTTGATAAATAAGCAGCAGGGTTTGAGAGGATTGACTCCAATTTTGAAAGAAGTTCTACTGTGGGTAAAATACTATCAAACAGCATCACATGCTACAGAGAAATCTTTCATGAATGGAACAGTCCTTTGATGCAGCAAACTTTATTGTTGTCTTATTTTTAAAAATTGCCACAGCCACTCCAGCCTTCAACAACCACCACCTGATCAATCAGCAAACATCAACACTGAGGCAAGACCCTCCACCAAAAAAGATGCCAACTCACTGATGGCTCAGATGATCATTAGCATTTTTAGCTATAAAGTATTTTTAATTAAGGTATGTACATTGTCTTTTAGACATAATACTATTGCACACTAGACTACATTATGGTATAAACATAATTTTTATAATGCACTTAGAAACCAAAAACCTCATGTGACTTGCTTTATTGCAATAGTCACTTTATTGCAATGGTCTGAAACAAACTCACATTATCCCAGGGGCATGTCTGTGTACTGAAAAGGTGTACAAAAGGTATATATGTTGTCATCCCATTTATGTAAACAATACATGAAATTCTGTGTTATATATTATGTTAGGTTTGATTATCATTTCAATTCTTCACTTCTCCTTTGCCATGTGACCTTGTAGTACACTGGAGTCGGGAGAGTGCATTTCCCATCACCATTAATCTTCAGCTTGACCATTTGATTTGTTTTGGCCAAGGGAATGGAGGCAAAACTGACAATGTGTCAGTTCTAAGCCAAGCCCTTAAGAGGCATTACATGGTTCTGCTCACACACTTGCATTTCTGCTATTGCCACAAGAAAAATATGTCCTGGGAAACTGCTGATTTAAGAGGAATGTAAAAACAAGTGAAGCAGAATGAAACCAACCCAAATCTTGAACCAAGACAAATTAACCCACCATCTAAGAAAAGGTACTCAAGCCAAATCATAGACCCACGCGCAAGAAAAATAAACCTGTGTTATAAGCCATTGAATGTTAGTTGGTGTATTATGAAGCATTATTGTGATTGTAACAAAGGCATACATTGTATTATTTAATTACATACAAGAAAGAGAAATCTGAAGAAGAAACTGCCGTCGTATTAACCTTGCCTATCTCTAGATGATAGGATTTAGTACTGATCATTACTCTTTTAGTAATTTCATCTAGTCTCATTCCTTTATTTTTTTCTTTCTATATATATATACATTTTTTTTTCTTGACATGGGGTCTTGCTCTGTCACCCAGGCTAGACTGCAGTGTTGTGATCACAGCTCACAGCAGCCTCGACATCCCCAGGCTCATGTGATCCCCCCACCTTAGCCTACTGGGTAGCTGGGACTACAGGCAGCCTACACCACCAGCCCTGGCTAATTTATTGTATTTTTTGCAAACGGGGTTTTGCCATGTTGCCCAGGCTGGTCTCGAACTCCTGGACTCAAGTGATCTGCCCATCTTTGCCTCCCAAAGTGCTAGGATTACAGGCATGAGCCACCACGCCTGGCCTAAAATATATATATTGAGACAGGCATCCTGCTATGTTGCTCAGGGTTATCTCGAACCCCTAAGCTCAAACAATCCTCCTGCCTCAGCCTCCCACGTAGCTGGAATTATAGGCATGCTCCACCACATCTGGCTCGTGACTTTATCTAAGGGCTAACAACTCAGCCCAGCCTCCTTTCTGAACCCCAGATCCATCCATTCAATTGCCTATTCAACATCATGTGAATCTCTCAATCTTAATATGTCTAAAACTGAACTACTGATATTCCCTTCAAAAATCTGCTCTACCTACAGTCTTTTCCATCACAGTTGAAGGTAAAACCATTCAATTGTTCAAGCCAAAAAATGTAAAACAATCTTTTTTTTTCTTTTTTTTTTTTTTAGTATACTTTAACTTCTGGGATACATGTGCAGAATGTGCAGGTTTGTTACATACGTATACATGTGCCATGGTGATTTGCTGCACTCATCAACCCATTATCTACATTAAGTATTTCTCCTAATGCTATCTGTCCCCTTGACCCCACCCCTCAACAGGCCCCAGTGTGTGATGTTCCCCTCCCTGTGCCTATATGTTCTCATTGTTCAACTCCCACTTATGAGTGAGAACATGCAGTGTTTGGTTTTCTGTTCCTGTGTTAGTCTGCTGAAAATGATGGTTTCCAGCTTCATCCATGTCCCTGCAAAGGACATGAACTCATCCTTTTTTATGGCTGCATAGTATTCCATGGTATATATGTACCACATTTTCTTTATCCACTCCATCATTGATGGGCATTTGAGTTGGTTCCAAGTCTTTGCTATTGTGAATAGTGCTGCAGTAAACATATGTGTGCATGTGTCTTTATAGTAGAATGATTTATAATCTTTTGGGTATATACCCAGTAATGAGATGGCTGGGTCAAATGGTATTTCTAGTTCTAGATCCCTGAGGAATTGCCACACTGTCTTCCACAACGGTTGAACTAATTTACACTCCCACCAAGAGTGTAAAAGCGTTCCTATTTCTCCACATCCTCTCCAGAATCTGTTGTTTCTGGACTTTTTAATGATCACCATTCTAACTGCCATGAGATAGTATCTTATTGTGGTTTTGATTTGCATTTCTCTAATGACCAGGGATAATGACTTTTTTTTTGATATGTTTGTTAGCTGCATAAATGTCTTCTTTGGAAAAGTGTCTGTTCATATCATTTGCCCACTTTTTGATAAGGTTGTTTGTTTTTTTCTTGTTAATTTAAGTTTCTTGTAGATTCTGGATATTAGCCCTTTGTCAGATGGATAGATTGCAAAAATTTTCTCCCATTCTGTAGGTTGCCTGTTCACTCTGATGATAGTTTCTTTTGCTGTGCAGAAGCTCTTTAGTTTAATTAGATCCCATTTGTCAATTTTGGCTTTTGTTGCTATTGCTTTTGATGTTTTAGTAATGACATCTTTGCCCCTACCTATGTCCTGAATGGTATTGCCTAGGTTTTCTTCTAGGGTTTTTATGGTTTTAGGTCTTACATTTAAGTCTTTAATCCATCTTGAGTTAATTTTTGTATAAAGTGTAAGGAAGGGGTCCAGTTTCAGTTTTCTGCATATGGCTAGCCAGTTTTCCCAACACCACTTATTAAATAGGGAATCCATTCCCCATTGCTTGTTTGTGTCAGGTTTGTCAAGGATCAGATGGTTGTAGCTGTGTGGTGTTATTGCTGAGGCCTCTGCTCTGTTCTGCTGGTCTATATATCTGTTTTAGTGCCAGTACCATGCTGTTTTGGTTACTGTAGCCTTGTAGTATAGTTTGAAGTCAGGTAGTGTGATGCCTCCAGCTTTGTTCTTTTTGCTTAGGATTGTCTTGGCTGTACAAGCTCTTATTTGGTTCCATATGAAACTTAAAGTAGTTATTTCTAATTCTGTGAAGAAAGTCAATGGTAGCTTGATGGGAATAGCATTGAATCTATAAACTACTTTGGGCAGTGAGGCCATTATCACGATATTGATTCTTCCTATCTATAAGCATGGAATGTTTTTCCATTTGTTTGTGTTCTCTCTTATTTCCTTGAGCAGTGGTTTGTATTTCTCCTTGAAGAGGTCCTCACATCCCTTGTAAGTTGGATTCCTAGGTATTTTATTCTCTTTGTAGCAATTGTGAATGGGAGTTCACTCATGATTTGGCTCTGTTTGTCTATTATGAAGCAAGTCCTTAGTGACCTACAAAGAGACTTAGACTCCCACACAATAATAGTGGGAGACTTTAACACCCCACTGTCAACATTAAACAGATCAGTGAAACAGAAAGTTAACAAGGATACCCAGGAATTGAACACAGCTCTGCACCGAGCGGACCTAATAGACATCTACAGAACTCTCCACCCCAAATCAACAGAATATACATTCTTTTCAGCACCACACCACACCTATTCCAAAATTGACCACATAGTTGGAAGTAAAGCACTCCTCAGCAAATGTAAAAGAACAGAAATTATAACAAACTGTCTCTCAGACCATAGTGCAATCAAACTAGAACTCAGGATTAAGAAACTCACTCAAAACTGCTCAACTACATGGAAACTGAACAACCTGCTCCTGAATGACTACTAGGTACATAAGGAAATGAAGGCAGAAATAAAGATGTTCCTTGAAACGAATGAGAACAAAGACACAGCACACCAGAATCTCTGGGACACATTCAAAGCCGTTCGTAGAGGGAAATTTATAGCACTAAATACCCACAAGAGAAAGCAGGAAAGATCTAAAATTGACACCCTAACATTACAATTAAAAGAACTAGAAAAGCAAGAGCAAACACATTCAAAAGCTAGCAGAAGGCAAGAAATAACTAAGATCAGAACAGAACTGAAGGAAATAGAGACACAAAAAACCCTTCAAAAAATTAATGAATCCAGGAGCTGGTTTTTTGAAAAGATCAACAAAATTGATAGACTGCTAGGAGGATTAATAAAGAAGAAAAGAGAGAAGAATCAAATAGATACAATAAAAAATGATAAAGGGGATATCACCACCGATCCCACAGAAATACAAACTACCATCAGAGAATACTACAAACACCTCTACGCAAATAAACTAGAAAATCTAGAAGAAATGGATAAATTCCTCGACACATACATCCTCCCAAGACTAAACCAGGAAGAAGTTGAATCTCTGAATAGACCAATAACAGACTCTGAAATTCAGGCAATAATCAATAGCTTACCAACCAAAAAAAGTCCAGGACCAGATGGATTCACAGCCGAATTCTACCAGAGGTACAAGGAGGCACTGGGACCATTTCTTCTGAAACTATTCCAATCAATAGAAAAAGAGGGAATCCTCCCTAACTCATTAGATGAGGCCAGCATCATCCTGATATCAAAGCCTGGCAGAGACACAACCAAAAAAGAGAATTTTAGACCAATAGCCTTGATGAACATTGATGCAAAAATCCTCAATAAAATACTGGCAAACTGAATCCAGCAGCACATCAAAAAGCTTATCCACCATGATCAAGTGGGCTTCATCCCTGGGATGCAAGGCTGGTTCAACATACACAAATCAATAAATGTAATCCAGCATATAAACAGAACCAAAGACAAAAACCACATGATTATCTCGATAGATGCAGAAAAGGCCTTTGATAAAATTCAACAACCTTTCATGCTAAAAACTCTCAATAAATTAGGTATTGATGAGACGTATCTCAAAATAATAAGTGCTATCTATGACAAACCCACAGCCAATATCATACTGAATGGGCAAAAACTGGAAGCATTCCCTTTGAAAACAGGCACAAGACAGGGATGCCCTCTCTCACCACTCCTATTCAACATAGTGTTGGAAGTTCTGGCCAGGGCAATCAGGCAGGAGAAGGAAATAAAGGGTATTCAATTAGGAAAAGAGGAAGTCAAATTGTCCCTGTTTGCAGATGACATGATTGTATATCTAGAAAACCCCATTGTCTCAGCCCAAAATCTCCTCAAGCTGATAAGCAACTTCAGCAAAGTCTCAGGATACAAAATCAATGTACAAAAATCACAAGCATTCTTATACACCAATAACAGACAGACAGAGAGCCAAATCATGAGTGAACTCCCATTCACAATTGCTTCAAAGAGAATAAAATACCTAGGAATCCAACTTACAAGGGATGTGAAGGACCTCTTCAAGGAGAACTACAAACCACTGCTCAATGAAATAAAAGAGGATACAAACAAATGGAAGAACATTCCATGCTCAGGGCTAGGAAGAACCAATATCGTGAAAATGGCCATACTGCCCAAGGTAATTTATAGATTCAATGCCATCCCCATCAAGCTACCAATGACTTTCTTCACATAATTGGAAAAAACTACTTTAAAGCTTATATGTAACCAAAAAAGAGCCCACATCGCCAAGTCAATCTTAAGAGAAAAGAACAAAGCTGGAGGCATCACACTACCTGACTTCATACTATACTACAAGGCTACAGTAACCAAAACAGCATGGTACTGGTACCAAAACAGAGACGTAGACCAATGGAACAGAACAGAGCCCTCAGAAATAATGCCACATATCTACAACTATCTGATCTTTGACAAACCTGACAAAAACAAGAAATGGGGAAAGGATTCCCTATTTAATAAATGGTGCTGGGAAAACTGGCTAGCCATATGGAGAAAGCTGAAACTGGATCCCTTCCTTACACCTTATACAAAAATTAATTCAAGATGGATTAAAGACTTACATGTTAGACCTAAAACCATAAAAACCCTAGAAGAAAACCTACGCAATACCATTCAGGACATAGGCATGGGCAAGGACTTCATGAATAAAACACCAAAAGCAATGGCAACAAAAGCCAAAATTGACAAATGTGATCTAATTAAACTAAAGAGCTTCTGCACAGCAAAAGAAACTACCATCAGAGTGAACAGGCAACCTACAGAATGGGAGAAAATTTTTGCAATCTACTCATCTGACAAAGGGCTAATATCCAGAATCTACAATGAACACAAACATATTTACAAGAAAAAAACAAACAACCCCATCAAAAAGTGAGCAAAGGATATGAACAGACACTTCTCAAAAGAAGACATTTATGCAACCAAAAAACACATGAAAAGATGCTCATCATCACTGGCCATCAGAGAAGTGCAAATCAAAACCACAATGAGATACCATCTCACACCAGTTAGAATGGTGATCATTAAAAAGTCAGGAAACAGCTCTCCCTCTCCCTCTCCCTCTCTCTCTCCCTCTCCCTCTCCCTTCCTTCAGTCTCCCTCTGTTGCTGAGGCTGGACTGTACTGCCGTGATCTCAGCTCGCTGCAACCTCCCTGCCTCGGGCTCCCGTGATTCTCCTGCCTCGGCCTGCCGAGTGCCTGGGATTGCAGGCATGCACCACCACACCTGACTGGTTTTTGTATTTTTGGTGGAGACGGGGTTTCGCCGTGTTGACTGGGCTGGTCTCCAGCTCTTGACCTTGAGTGATCTGCCTGCCTCGGCTTCCCGAGGTGCTGGGATTGCAGACGGAGTCTCGCTCACTCAATGCTCAATGTTGCCCAAGCTGGAGTGCAGTGGCGTGATCTCGGCTCGCTACAACCTCCACCTCCCAGCCGCCTGCCTTGGCCTCTGAAAGTGCTAAGATTACAGCCTCTGCCCAGCCGCCACCCCATCTAGGAAGTGAGGAGCATCTCTGCCTGGCCGCCCATTGTCTGGGATGTGAGGAGCCCCTCTGCCCTGCCGCCCCATCTGGGAAGTGAGGGAGCGCCTCTGCCCAGCCGCTACCCCATCTAGGAAGTGAGGAGTGTCTCTGTCTGGCCACCCATCATCTGGGAAGTGAGGAGCGCCTCTGCCCGGCCACCCCATCTGGGATGTGAGGAGTTCCTATGCCCAGCCACCACCCCGTCTGGAAGGTGAGGAGCATCTCTGCCCGGCCGCCACCTCATCTGGGAAGTGAGGAGCGCCTCTGCCCGGCCGTCACCCCGTCTGGGAAGTGAGGAGCGCCTTTTCCTGGCCACCACCCTGTCTGGGATGTGAGGAGAGCCTCTGACTGGCCGCCCCGTCTGGGAAGTGAGGAGCACCTCTGCCCGGCCACCCCATCTGGGAAGTGAGGAGTGTCTCTGCCCGGCTGCCCCATCTGGGAAGTGAGGAGTGTCTCTGCCCGGCCGCCCCGTCTGGGAGATGAGGAGCACCTCTGCCCGGCCGCCCATCATCTGGGATGTGAGGAGCACCTCTGCCCAGCTGTCCCGTCTGGGATGTGAGGAGTGCGTCTGCCCGGCCGCCACCCTGTCTGGGAACTGAGGAGCGCCTCTGCCCGGCCGACCTGTCTGGGAACTGAGGAACGCCTCTGCCCGGCCACCCCGTCTGAGAAGTGAGGAGCGCCTCTGCCCGGCCGCCGCCCCGTCTGGGAGGTGGGGAGCGCCTCTGCCTGGCCGCTGCCCCTGTCTGGGAGGTGGGGAGCGCCTCTGCCCGGCCGCCACCCCATCTGGGAGGTGGGGAGCGCCTCTGCCCGGCCGCCGCCCTGTCTGGGAGGTGGGGAGCGCCTCTGCCCAGCCGCCACCCCGTCTGGGAGGTGGGGAGCGCCTCTGCCTGGCCGCCCTGTCTGGGAGGGGAGGAGCGCCTCTGCCCGGCTGCCCATCGTCTGGGATGTGAGGAGCGCTTCTGCCCAGCTGCCCCGTCTGGGAGGTGTACCCAACAGCTCCAAAGAGACAGTGACCATCGAGAAAGGGCCATGATGACGAAGGCGGTTTTGTCGAAAAGAAAAGGGGGAAATGTGGGGAAAAGAAAGAGAGATCAGATTGTTACTGTGTCTGTGTAGAAAGAAGTAGACACAGGAGACTCCATTTTGTTCTGTACTAAGAAAAATTATTCTGCCTTGGGATGCTGTTAATCTATAACCTTACCCCCAACCCCGTGCTCTCTGAAACATGTGCTGTGTCAACTCAGGGTTAAATGGATTAAGGGCGGTGCAAGATGTGCTTTGTTAAACAGATGCCTGAAGGCAGCATGCTCGTTAAGAGTCATCACCACTCCCTAATCTCAAGTACCCAGGGACACAAACACTGCTGAAGTCCGCAGGGACCTCTGCCTAGGAAAACCAGAGACCTTTGTTCACGTGTTTATCTGCTGACCTTCTCTCCACTATTATCCTATGACCCTGCCACATCCCCCTCTCCGAGAAACACCCAAGAATGATCCATAAATACTAAAAAAAAAAAAAAAAAAAAAAAAAAAAAAGTCAGGAAACAGCAGGTGCTGGAGAGGATGTGGAGAAATAGGAACACTTTTACACTGTTGGTGGGACTGTAAACTAGTTCAACCATTGTGGAAGTCAGTGTGGTGATTCCTCAGGGATCTAGAACTAGAAATACCATTTGACCCAGCCATCCCATTACTGGGTATATACCCAAATGATTATAAATCATGCTGCTATAAAGACACATGCACATGTATGTTTATTGCAGCACTATTCACAATAGCAAAGACTTGGAACCAACCCAAATGTCCAACATCAATAGACTGGATTAATAAAATGTGGCACATATACACCATGGAATACTATGCAGCCATAAAAAATGATGAGTTCATGTCCTTTGTAGGGACATGGATGAAACTGGAAACCACCATTCTCAGCAAACTATTGCAAGGACAAAAAATCAAACACCACATGTTCTCACTCACAGGTGGGAATTGAACAATGAGAACACTTGGACACAGGGAGGGGAACATCACACACTGGGGACTGTTGTGGGGTGGTGGTAGGGGGGAGGGATAGCATTAGGAGATATACCTAATGCTAAATGATGAGTTAATGGGTGCAGCACACCAACATGGCACATGTATACATATGTAACAAACCTGCACGTTGTGCACATGTACCCTAAAACTTAAAGTATAATAATAATAAAATTAAAAAAAAAACTTGCTTTATGAATCTGGATGCTCCTGTATTGGGTGCATATATTTTTAGGATACTTAGCTCTTCTTGTTGCATTGATCACTTTACTATTATGCAATGTCCTTTGTCTTTTTTGGTCTTTGTTGGTTTAAAGTCTGTTTTATCAGAGACTAGGATTGCAACCCCTGGTTTTTTTGTTTGTTTGTTTTCTTTTTTTTTTTTTTTTTTTTTTTTTTTTTGCTTTCCATATGCTTGGTAAATCTTCCTCCATCCCTTTATTTTGAGCCTACGTGTGTGTTTGCATGTGAGATGGGTCTCCTGAATACAGCACATTGATGGGTCTTGACTCTATCCAATTTGCCAGTCTTTATCTTTTAATTGGGGCATTTAGCCCATTTACATTTAATGTTAATATTGTTATGTGTGAATTTGATCCTGTCATTATGATGCTAGCTGGTTATTTTGCCCATTAGTTTATGCGGTTTCTTCATAGTGTCAATGATCTTTACAATTTGGTATATTTTTGCAGTTACTGGTACCAGTTTTTCCTTTCCATATTTAGTGCTTCCTTTAGGAGCTCTTGTAAGGCAGGCCTGGTGGTGACAAAATCCCTGAGCATTTGTTTGTCTGTAAAGGATTTTCTTTCTCCTTCACTTAAGAAGCTTAGCTTGGCTGGATAAGAAATTCTGGGTTGAAAATTCTTTTCTTTAAGAATGTTGAATATTGGCCCCCACTCTCTTCTGGCTTGTAGGGTTTCTGCAGAGAGATCTGCTGTTAGTCTGATGGGCTTCCCTTTGTGGGTAACCTGACCTTTTTCTCTGGTTGCCCTTAACATTTTTTCCTTCATTTCAACTTTGGTGAATCTGACGATTATGTGTCTTGGGGTTACTCTTCTCAAGGAGTATCTTTGTGATGTTCTCTGTATTTCCTGAATTTGAATGTTGGCCTGTCTTGCTAGGTTGGGGAAGTTCTCCTGGATAATATCCTGAAGTGTGTTTTTCAGCTTGGTTCCATTCTCCTTGTCACTTTCAGTTATACCAATTAAACATAAGTTTGGTCTGTTCACATAGTCCCATATTTCTTGGAGGCTTTGTTTGTTCCTTTTATTTTTTTTCTCTAATCTTGTGTTCATGCTTTATTTTATTAAGTTGATCTTCAATCTCTGATATCCTTTCTTCTACTTGATTGATTCGGCTATTGATACTTGTGTATGCTTCACAAAGTTCTCATGCTGTGTTTTTCAGCTTTATCAGGTCATTTATGTTCTTCTCAAACTGGTTATTCTAGTTAGCAGTTCCTGTAACCTTTTATCAAGGTTCTTAGCTTCCTTGCATTGGATTAGAACATGAATTTTTAGCTCAGAGGAGTTTGTTATTATCCACCTTCTGAAGCCTACTTCTGTCAATTTGTCAAACTCATTCTCCATCCACTTTTGTTCCCTTGCTGGCAAGGAGTTGTGATCCTTTGGAGGAGAAGAGGCATTCTGGTTTTTGGAATTTTCAGCCTTTTTGCACTGGTTTTTCCTCATCTGCATGGATTTATCTATCTTTGGTCTTTGATTTTGGTGACCTTCAGGTGGGGTTTTTGCATGGTTGCCCTTTTTGTTGATGTTGGTGCTATTGCTTTTTGTTTGTTAGTTTTCCTTCTAACAGTCACCCTCTTCTTCTACAGGTCTGCTGGAGTTTGCTGGAGGTCTACCCCAGACTCTGTTTGGCTGGGTATCACCAGCGGAGGCTGCAGAACAGCAAAGATTGCTGCCTCCTCCTTGCTCTGGAAGCTTCATTCCAGAGGGGCATCTGCCAGATGCCAGCTGGAGCTCTCCTGTATGAGGTGTCTGTCGACCTTTGCTGGGAGGTTTCTCCCTCTCAGGAAGCACGGGGGTCAGGGACCCACTTGAGGAGGCAGTCTGTCTTTTAGCAGAGCTCGAACGCTGTGCAGGGGGATCCGCTGCTCTCTTCAGACCCAGCAGGCAGGATTAAGTCTGCTGAAGCAGATCCCACAGCTGCCCTGGGAGTTTTATCTATAAGCCCCTGACTGGGGCTGCTGCCTTTCTTTCAGAGATGCCCTGCACAGAGAGAAGGAATCTAGAGAAGCAGTCTGGCTACAGCGGCTGTGTGGCACTGCAGGGGGTCCACCCAGTTCGAATTTCAGGGTGGCTTTGTTTACACTGTGAGGTGAAAACCACCTACTCAAGCCTCATTAATGGCAGACGCCCCTCCTTCCACCAAGCTCAAGCATCCCAGGTCAACTTCAGACTACTGTGCTGGCAGCGAGAATTTCAAGCCAGTGGATCTTAGCTTTTTGGGCTCCATGGGGGTGAGATCCACTAAGCAAGACCACTCAGCTCCCTGGCTTCAGCCCCCTTTCCAGAGGAGTGAAAGGTTCTGTCTCGCTGGCGTTCCAGGTGCCACTGGGGTATAAAAAAGAAATTCCTGCAGCTAGCTCAGTGTCTGCCCAAACGGCCGCCCTGTTCTGTGCTTGAAACCCGGGGTCCTGGTGGTATAGGCACCCGAGGGAATCTCCTGGTCTGCGGGTTGCAAAGACAGTGGGAAAAAGTGCTATCTGGGCCAGATAGCACTGTCTCTCAAGGAACAGTCCCACACGGCTTCCCTTGGCTAGGGGAGGGAGTTCCCTGACCCCTTACACTTCCTGGATGAGGCAATGCCCCACCCTGCTTTGGCTTGCCATCCTTGGGGTGCACCCACTGTCTAATCAGTCCCAATGAGATGAACTTTGTACCTCAGTTGGAAATGCAGTTGGCCTCACTGGGAGCTGTAGACCAGAGCTGCTCCTATTCAGCCATCTTGCCCAGGAATCCGGAGTAATCTTTTTTTTTTTTTTTTTGACCAGTGGGGTGATCTCAGCTCACTGCAACCTCCACCTCCTAAGTTCAAGTAATTCTCATGCCTCAGCCTCCCATGTAGCTGGGATTACAGGTGTGCACCACCACACCTGGCTAATTTTTGTATTTTTAGTAGAGACAGGGTTTTGCCATGTTGGCCAGGCTGGTCTCAAACCCCTGGCCTCAAGTGATCCACCCACCTCAGCCTCCCAAAGTGTTGGGATAACAGGCAAGAGCCACTGCGCCCAGCTGGTATCATCTTTTCACTCTTCCTCTTCTGATATCTGCCACACCTAGTCCCTCAGAAATTATATTGGCTGTAACTTCAAGATTATCCAGAATCCTGGCCCCTTTTACCATCTCCACTGCTACCACCCTGGTCCCAGCCACCATTTTCTCTTCCTTGGATGACAGTATGAACCTCCTGACTGGCCTCCCTGCTTGTCCCCTGCTCCTCCACCATGGCTTCTAGAATAAACCTTTTAAAATACAAAGTCAGGTTATCTCACACCTCTGATGAAACCCTCCAAGGGCCCCCATTTCACTTATGCCCTGGTCTTCATTGCCTCTGACCTCACCATTGCCTACTCTTTCTCTGACCCCATCTCCTGAGGCACAGGGGACTTTTCTCACTTTAGGGTTGGTGCATCTGCCATTGCCTCTGCCCATAACATCCTACCCATCAATATTCCAAGCCTCACTCTCACCTCATTCAAGTCTCTGCTCAGTTGACACCTTTTCAAAGAGGCTTATCTCAGCCATCCTTTCAAATTAGAAAGCTGCTCCTTTCTCTGCCTCAACTCTCTTTCCCCATTCCTCTGTTACTTTCTTTTTTTGTTTTTTGTTTTTGTTTTTTTTTTGGTCATACCACTTACCATCTTCTCATATACTAATTATGTACTTTACTTAATTATTACCTTTCGTATCTGCCTCCCGTGCTAGGGGTTCAGCTCCCCAAGGGCAGCTACTTTTGTCTGTTTTGTTCACTGCTGAGTCCCAAGTGCCTAAACCATATCTGGCACATAGTAGATACTTTAAAATTATTTGTAGAATAAATGAAGGAATTTCTTCTTTGTAAATATTTTTTCTTATACCTCATTAGCATGTATCATTTTAATAAATAAAACATTTTTGCAAATCCACAATTAGGTATTTTTGTCACCAGTCAACTTTTTTTTAAAGACTGGTTAATCCCATAAGGGTTCTCTCCTTCAATAGAATTAAATCTGTGAATCTCCTATGACATTATCACCCTTAAAGTTTATCCACAGCTCCAGGTCCAACAGCTATCCTGATACCAAAAGCTGTTCAACTGATTTTTTTTTCAGCCATTGGTGATTTTTTCTGCAGCACTAGCCACAAATGTTCTCTTCAGTCTGCTTCAACTATTAAAACAAGGAGAGGAACAGCCTCAACTGGCCCTTCTAAGGTTCCTGAACAAGGTTCCCTTGAAATACTTTGTATGTCTGTGACAAAGACAGAGAAAAATAATTATTTACGTGCCAGGAACTCTCTCTACCACTCTGCTGGCTAGCTTTTACCTCTTTGGTAGACAGTGCCTGCGCTATTAGCTAAACTCTGACAACTGGATGTTTGTACCTAGCTCTTCTCCCTGATTTTCATCACTGAAAGCTCCAGCAGGTTCTTGGTTCACCAGCAGACCTGCTTGGATTCATCCTGTTTTCAGTTACAGACTAAGCTCTCCAGAGTAAATACATGCAGCTAAAAACCTTCAGACAAGTGGCTTGGGTGGAGGAAGTTTACCACCCCCATCATCTCCATCAGCCACCCCAAATAAGCATCACATCTAAGTAATAGACATCATGCTCACAACTAAAAGGCAGGGTTGTATAATGGACAAGTGTATAGATTTTGGAGTAAAACTACATTGGCTTAAGTCCTTTCTTCACCACCCGTGTATGACTTTGAGCAAGTTACTCACAATGCCTCAACTGGAAATCAGTACAGTAAGGTTAATAATAAAACATCCATCATAGGGTTGTTTTGAAGATTAAATGAAGCATTCTCACTGCAAAATAAATTTTCAATCAATGGTAGTTTAAATTATTATGCAAACTCTGTTGCAGAACAAGTCCCTAGCTGACCCCCTTTGAACCAGATTGGCACCCCTAAGCCCTTTATTTAGAAAGTTTGGGAGAACCCCTGATTTAGACAAGATTTGCCAAGCACTTCCAGTTTTCTATGGTCACCAATCCAATAGCTCTTAAAAGGAGATATCTGTTTGCTTATGCTGTAAGACCGCCAGCCCAGTGACACCCTCTACCCAACACCTTCACACAGAGAACCAAATAACCAGAAGGGCACAGGCCATGTTGCCTGTTCTCCAGTCTGTGAGCAAGGGTAAAGTTAGCATTTTCAGACAGAGTCTGCTACCGAGTAGAAATCAGCCATCTTGGAGTCTATACTCCCACGACCACCTCAGTCTCACACTTCTGCAACCCCAAAGATTATTCACAATTGCAATTTGATAAGATCTACCAAAGACTGCAAATGCAATTAAGACTTGAAGCATCTCCCATTTTCCATTTTAGTCAAAGAGAACAATGCCAAGCAACTTCTTGAAAAGTCAGAGTTTCCAGAACTCTGTGCCCAAATTTCAGACCAAGAGCTGGGAACTGATGAAAACACAATGTAATCTTAACCCCATGCAACCTACTCAGTTTCTAACATTTATCACCCAAGTGATCTATTTGGATGAAAAGGAAATTCTATCTGTTGCAGAATTATGTTCTACACGAATTCAAGGAGAATTTGTTTCATTTGCCATTTCTTCTGGGCCATGAGGGTCTCCTTGTCCTCTGAAAAAGCAGATGGTGCAGCTGAGGTTGTGAGCTCTCTGACCAAATCCAAGTGACAGGAAGGGGACCTGCAGGCACAAAGAAGCAATTTGACTTAGAAACGTCACACTGCAGGCTGCCGATTAAAAACCTTTGTTGAGATGCAGTCAGCCATGGAAGATGTCATGTGTTGTCAGGTTTAGAGACACCTGTGCCACTGATGGGTGGCTTCTTCCATTGACTTCGGCACTCCATCTGAAGTGAGAGGGCATTCCTACCAAGAACTCTGAGACTTAAAGGGAGAATGACACAGGAACAAAGAACACAAGCCTAAAAGTCAGATTATTATGCTACCACTGACTCTATTATGAAATTCTCAGTTCTCCAGACCTCGGTTTATCTTCTGTGCAGTGAGGGATTTGAGCTATAGGATCTCTGCGGTCTGTAACTCCAGCCACAGGAAATGGAAGTCTGCTCCCTTTCACAAAGGCTCTTTGTCGTGAAATCCCTTGCTGCTGACCCCCTGGACCTCATGCAAGCACCATCTTTAGAAATTAGCATTATATTGATTTTGACTTGGCTGTCATTGATGCTTCTGTTTTATGTGTTTTAATTAAATGTTATTATTTGCCACTGTGTCCCGAGGCCATGTGTTGGGAATGGGTGAGATTGCATAAATCAGACGTGGAATTCTATGTTGGGAGTCCATTGACTCTCTCAGGATATCGCTGTAATTATTTCCCTTGGATCAATAGAGAAGCTTTGATGTTGTCTTTACAGCCAAGAGAAGGCTTCTTTCCATTTATCTCCCACCTTGTTGAAAATGCACAGAGCCCTTCTCTAAAACTCACCCTCCCTTAATATAAAAATGAGCATTTCATTGTGTTTTCAATGTTGTTGCTATTTTTTAGGCACTGTCATCTTTCAGAGCCACCTCCACCTGGGGACTGGGAGCCAGTTTCACTCTGCGACATGAAGTCCCGTCTTGGGCCTGGGCCTTCTGTCCGTTCCCCTCCGGCTCCCATCATGGTTCCTCTCTGCACTGCAGGCCTGGGGCCACTATTCATTCTAAACTTCTTCTAGATGCTTGTGTTATCAAGGATGTCATTTTTATTACCCTCTCTACACTCGCATGTCTGCCTTGCATAAAGTTAGCTCTCAGTGCATGTTGGTTGAATCGAACTAAGAGGAGAGAGTGAGGAATTTGAACTTCTCTCCAGCAGAGTCACCTAGAGCCAGTCGAGGTTCATTTCAGAACCTGTACCCTAACTGGGACAGGAAAGACTGTAGCTGGAGGAAGAAGAGAGGCTATGGTTTTCTAGAGCATCATTCTGTATGTTAAGTCCAAACAATACTAACGTTTTTTTAAAAAACTCCCATTATATATAATAAATTCTTAGCATACTTTGGGGGTGGGGCTGGGAGGGATGATTTACTAACCATTTTTTGCTCATGCTTAATAAATATTTCCTGAAAGTATACAAGTCAAGAATCCAATTCAAGAAATGAGAAAAAAGAGCATCTTCCTCAAAAAAAAGAAAAAAAATTTTTTTAAATCAATGAAATTCATTTTGTACTGTTTACAATTTTATTGCTGCATCCTAGGCACTGACACATAATAAATGCTCAATAAATATTTATTGAACAAAAATAAATCAATAAACAAATATTTCTTGAATAGATATTTACATAGAAATGAGGCACCAGAGCAAGTGCAAATATCCCCTCAGACTCCCTGTCTTCCTCAATCCAAATCCAACCACCTCCAAGAAACAGGGCTTTCCCCAACACTGGCATTTTCATTTTTCTGAATTTCTAAAGCCATAGGTTTCTGCTTAATTATACCTTTATTTACTTAAAAAATATTTATAGAGCACTATGTGCCAGTCACCATTCCAAGCACTCATATATATCTCATTTAATCCTTAAACAATTCCATGAGTGGGTATTAATATTACTAATATTATTATCTTCAACTTACTGATGAGAAAATTGAGGCATGAAAGAGCTAAATAACTTGGCCAAGATCACACAGCCAGTGAGTACTGGAGTCAGGATTTATCTATTTTTATTTTATTTTATTTTAGAGACAAGATCTTACTCTGTTACCTAGGCTTGAGTACAGTGGTACAATCACAACTCACAGCAACCTCGACCTCCTGGGCTCAATCAATCCTCCCACCTCAGCCTCCCAGGTAGCTAGGACTACAGGGTCACACCACCATACCAGGATAATTTTTTTTATTTTTTTGTAGAGACAGGGTCTCACTTTGTTGCCCAGGTTGTTCTCAAACTCCTGGGCTTAAACCGTCTTTCTGCCTCAGCCTCCCAAGGTGGGTAAGCCCCAGAATCTGTTTTTGTGACCACTATTCTGGGCCACTACCACCCTTGCCATGATTGATCTTCAGTTGTTTCATGCCAACCTGGGCTCTCTCGTTGTCCTGTGAGCCTCCTGACAGGTGGGACCACAACTCCTGCTGCTTTTATCACATTCCCCCATCATATTTATTCAATAAATGTTTATTAAGCACCTCCTTTGTTTCTGGCATGTTCTAGGTTCCAGGAATACAGCAATGAACCAGACTGTCCAATCCCCTCCTCATGGAGTTTACATTCCAATGAGAGAAAAACAGACGATACCCAGGCAAACAAGATACTTAGAGATCATTACAAGTGCGATAAAGGAATAAAACAGAGTGAGGAGTCAGGAGGCCTTGAGGCAGAGGGAGCCTCCTTACATCATGGGGTGAGAAAGGGCTGTCTGCGCTGAGCCCTGAGGAAAAAGAGCCAGCCAGTGAGGAGTTAAGGGAAGAGAGCTCAGGTGCAAAGAGCCTGAGGCAGAAATGGGCTTGGCAAGTTCTGGAAGGAGAAAGATGCCTGGAGGGTGACCAAGCAGGATAGGAGAGGGGAACAGAGCTCAGAGCTTGCAGGCCTGGGGAAGTTTGGATTCTGCACACGGTGTTGAGAGAAGCCACAGGACATGACACAGCGCTCACATGACACAGTGAACACTAAACGACTACCACATCTCTATACCTGGGTGCCTCTCTGCACACCAAGCTACCTGGAACCACTGAGCACTGCCTCCGGGGTGCCCCGTTACCCCCAAAATTGCTGTTCTAGTAGGGTGCCGGGGACAACCTTGTGGGCCTGGAGTCAGATGGTCTGAGTTTCAATCTCTACTCTTCTGATCACACGTTGAATGACTTTAGGCAAATTATTGAACCTAAGCTTCAGTTTTCTAGCCTGAAAAAAGTACATCATAAAGGACATATCCCAGATTACTGTAAGGGTTAAATGAGCGGATAGGTACCACATGCTCAGTCGTTCTTATGTTGTGGTGGTGATGTTTATTAATCGTGCTAGGAGTTCAGCCCTGAAGTGTAAACACTTCCTAGCAGAACGTGCTGTAATTTCTGGCATCAGCTATACCGTTTTCTGGGCTAAGAGCAACAGATCAGTGAAAAGGGTCTGAAAAGAAGAAAAAAAAAAACGGTATGATACAACACGTCTACTATTTCCCAAATAACATGACCTCTACTTTCTATTTTTTATGCAACACGCTGGAAAGTTCTAATGCATTCAAAATCCCTCTCCAAGCTCTCTCTGGTTTCTTATTAGCATATGTCCAGAGACAACATCAGTCGTGCGACCCTCTGAGGAGAATCGATGACTGAAAATGTAGCGCGCCATGACCAGAAACTCAATTCCCGGCCAGATGAAAAAAGAAGCCCATTTAACCCAAGGAATGTCAAGGCCAGGGTTTCTGTTCAGATATCCTGAGAAACGAGTTACATGGAAACGCCGAGACGGAGGCCTCCATCCCCACGCCGAGCATGTCTTTTCTTTGGTGCGCCAAGGAACCCATTAAGAACCAAGCCCTGGCGCCATCTCCTGGCAGTCTCGAAAACTGAAAAGCAGACGTTTAACACAAGGGACCCCTCCCTCTCCTTGACAGAAATTAAGTTCGGGGGAAAAAAACTGGTAATTTCATGGGAACTTCTGTGTTTTCAACCTCCTGTTAAATATTTGAATCGAGAAGAGCAGATGGTAGCAGTCTCAGCCATTTACAGTCCCCACAAGGGACTGTCCCTGCTATACCGCCACTTCCTTTGTTTCTGTAAGAGCTTGTCACTCAACAGAGGTACCAGAGATCAGAGCCAGCACATTTATCTGCAGTAGCTGGTGCTTGGCCCCACTCCCACAAGTGCACCCAGCATTACCTGAGGATAGTCCTCTGCCCAAATTAACATCTTCAAATACATCTACTTTCTCAAAATACTTTACACAAAGAAAGCATGCATGAAATCTGCCTTCAAAGAGGTGGGCTCCAAACTCACTGCAAAGCTGCAAGCCCAAGTTCACCTCAGTACCCAGAATCTCATGATAAGGATCAGTTTGGGGTCTTGCTCTCCCTAGGGAAAGACCAGGTGGCACCTTTGCCTTCACAGCCACTTTCACTTTCCAAGGCTTTGCCTGGCCCGGGGAGTTTCCGCAGTTAGCGTTCAGCTTCATACTCACCATAAAGCCAGGTAACTTGGCATCATTAGACACAGAGCCTGAAATGACTAGAAAAAATAAATCTGCAGGGTTGCTGACCAAGGAGTGAACCAAAATCCCCAGGAATTTGGTCTTATTCCTCTGGAAGGACAAGCAGGGTGGTTTTGAAAACAGGGAAGCCATTGGCTGGGCTGGTTCCTCCCTGCTTTACTCAGGGATATATATTTACTTATTTAAAATGCATTGAGCCCTTTCTGCTTGGCAGATAATGTAAAAAGCACTTTACCAGCAGTTCTTTATTTAATCTCAACAACAACCCATACAACTGGTATCATTTTTATTTCCATTTAACAGATAGAAAACAGAGAGAACTTTACATAACTTGCCCAAGATCTTAGAGCAAATAAATGGTAGAGAAAGGATTCAAGTTTATGCATCCTGATTCTTCTTAACCACATAAGAAAGTATCTCTCAGAGACCCAGGACTTGGGATTTTCATTGGCACTTCTGAAAACACAGCCACTCCTCATGTTTGTAGGATGAATGAAATGGGATAATTTTCCCTAAAGAAAAAAGGTGCCCTCCATAGCCCTTCGAATGTGTGTGTGTGGTGGGGGAGGAGGAGATGCAGTAGCATCTGGCCCCGAATTTTAGTCCTTCTTGAACAGCATATACCCCATGTAAATTCTTTCCCCTGAGTCTTCACACGCTTGATCCAGTTACTGAACCGTAGTCCTCATCCCCAGCCCATTTTTTAGGACCTTGTCCTTAATTTTCTCATATCATTCATGCCTGATGACTGATTTCTCATGGTTATTTGCAAAAGCACAAATACAAATGCTATTAACTGGTAATAAAACAAGCCAGCCATTTCTAAAACTCAGTGCTGGTGACTGCTTAGTGGTCTTTGGGGACCCTGGGTTTGCCAGATCCCACTAAAGCAAACATTGCTTTCGATACAAACTTGCCAAGCGTGATTTGTAGTGATTCGAGACCAGGACAAGGCAGTACACAGTCAGGTATGGGGCGGCCGGGTATGGGTAGTGAGTTCTACTCATGCTCAGAAATAGAAATGGTTGGCATGGTGGGAGCAGTCAGAGGGGAAGCCACTGCTCCTGCCCCTGCTCTCTTTATACCTTGCCTGACCTCAGTATCTGATGTGTAAAATGACAGAGCGCAGTTGATAACAAATCCCTTTTGAGCACTGACCATAATTCAGGCACTCTGTGGTCCTGGTGATACAGTGTTGAACAAGACAATGATTTTGTCCTAATGGATTTTATAGTGTGGTGGGGAAGAAGGGGAAGGCAGATGATAAACAGATAAATAGATAAGTTACATGGTAGGTAGTGATACAGGCTACAAATAAAAGTAAGTCAGGGTAAAAGGATAGTGAGTTGCAGTGGGGTGCCAGAAAGGGAGGCTAGGGAGATCTCTTTGATGAAATAACATTAGAGTAGGGGTGTGGATGAAGTGAGGGAGCAACCCAAACTCAAAGCTGTGGGAAGAGCATTCCTGGAAGAAGCAGCAGGGAGGAAAAGGCCCTGAGATAGGAACGACGCAATGTGTCCGATGAGCAGCAAGGAGACCAGTGTGGCTGGGTCACCAGGAGTGTTGGGGAGTGGCAGGAAATGAGGAGCACCCAGGAGCCAGAGCATGGAGGGCCTGGCAGGCCATGGGAAGGAGCTCAGTTAGGAAGCCCCTGAAGGCTTTAGAGTGTGTGCCAGGCAGGGCGTGGTGGCTCATGCCTGTAATCTCAGCACATTGGGAGGCCGAGGCTGGTGGATCACTTGAGCTCAGTTTGAGACCAGCCCGGGCAACATGGCAAAACCTCATCTCTACAAAAAATACAAAAAAAAAAAAAAAATAGCTGGGCATAGTGGTAAGTGCCTGTAGTCCCAGCTACTTGGGGGGCTGAGGTGGGAGAATCACTTTAGCCCAGGAGGTTGAGGCTGCAGTGAAATGAGATTGCACAACTGCACTCCAGCCTGGGTGACAAAGTGAGAATGTGTCTTAAAAAAAAAAAAAAAAAAAGTGCGTGTGCCAGAGTATCTCTAACTCTCTCCGAATCTAGGCCTTGAGACTTGAGCAGGACCATCCTAAATAAGTAGGACCTAGACTGGAGGAATACAAATGCTAAGTATTCACATTTAACATGGTATGGGCTCCTTTGCAGTTAGAGAGTCACTTAATTAGGGAGGTAACCAAAGCAAGCAGAAAAATACCAGAGTTAGAGGTTCAGAGACCAAAGAGAGTCCCAAGCATTTCATGAGCAAATTGGGAAATACGTGGTGCAACTGACCTCTTTAGGCAGCCAGTCCCTTATGCTGTCTCTCTTCTGGCCCAAGACTCTCAATATGGTGCCCTGTTAGGGCCATGCAAGGCCCTGTCCTCCTAAATACCAACCTGCCATTTGAAACTTATTCCTCCTTGTTTCATTGCCACTGTTATCTGTACTGTAGATTACAGGTAGTTGCTAATGTAAAATAAATCCAAGCTAACTTGGCACTTCCCAAATTTCCTAGAAGTCTACTAAGGTAGAAGAGAGAAAATTGTGGCCCCAGAGCATCTGGAAGTTGTAAGGTAAGAAGCAGTCTGTTGCAAGCAGGAAACTTAATTGAAGATTCACATTTTGTCATAAAATTCATGTGAATGTTGCATTCTATTCCAGGTCTATTTGTAAGAACTTAACAGCAATGTGTTACATTACTCAATGACCAAATATGACCCACCAAGAAAATATGTCACATACATTATCCTGTGCTTTGCCACACACCTAGCACACTCTACTGTGTCCCTATGACTGGAAAAACGCAACTTTTTCTAGTTGAAAAGCATTAAGTTGATAACTAAACTTAACCCAGTTAAAGCACTCTTCTCTCCAGAAAGATCTTAAGTCATTGCTAATATTTGGGATTTCAAAGATCATGGCTCACCATTGGAAGGAAAATGTGAAGCAGAGGGCTCCTAAAGCAGATCTGGGTGTCTTCTTAAATAAAGACCCTAATGCCAGGCCCGATTCCACAGTTGTTTATCTTAGGAAAGCCCAAGCCATTTCAACTATGGGTTGAGTTGCCAATACAAGTTGGAAATATTCTGCATCTTAGCCATCTCTGAACATCAGCAGGCATACATGAGAATAGCGTGCACAATATGGCAGCTTCATAGCTTTACATAAGTGTGAGTACATTCCTTCAGTGTCGCACGCCTTAGAAAGTAATGTTGCAGTGAATACGAAAAGCATTCACAAACTGACATTTCTGTTTACCTAAGTGGTAGTTAGCAGCATCTCTGAATGATGATGTTTCTCCTATTATTTAATATCTGACAATATCTTGGCTCATGTTCTAGTGGATTTGATATAAGAAGGTTACTTGTGCAACACAGTTGTCTGTAGAGATAGAAGAATGTACTTATTTGGGGGTAAAAAGGAAAATAGAAGGATATATGCATTATGATACATGCGTCAATATCACTGTGACTATACAATGCTGTATCTTGAGGGACTTACTCTAAATACCATCCTTTCTTCCATCACATAATGCACATAATCACAGGCTTTCTGGCTCCTAGAAAAGGAAAGAATGCCATATTGATTGCTGTGGATACTAGCGGATTGAGCAGGCTGCTTCTGCCATACAGTGGGGACTGTTGAAATGGCAGCCACAGGAAGTGTCACCTACTTTCAGTCAAAGAGAAAACGTAAAATATTTACTGTCTATGCAATTCCTATTTTCAGTTATCTCAAATTAACAACAATTATAATACATAGCACACACAGAATGCTTTATATAATTGCAAGTGCATTGTGCAGCACAAAATGTACTGAAGATATGGTAAATATATAATTTCATTCTGTCATTTTACCTTATTAAATATCTAGTTTTTCTTGTATTTACAGTAAGACTACTTTTTAAAATTCAGGTCTGATATGTGTTTTTATACTTAATTTTAAAAATAGTATACTAAGTCCAAAGTAAGTAGCATTTTTGCTTTAGGGGGCAAAAATATCTCAGTCTGTGATGACAATTTTTTTTTCTATGAGAGGTTCCGTTTTTGTTTAAGCTAAGCATTGTTTTTAGGTAGAATATTCCTACCCCAAAGATTTAAGAATTCTTATAAAATAAATAGAAGTCTTTGTTTAACTTATAAGTTAGTTTTTAAACTGGATATTAAAAGAATACTCTAATGGTTGACTTCCCAAATTGATAGAGGCAGATGCAGGGATGGGTTATTTGGGCAGCTTTCCAGGGCACCAATCAACCAGGAGAACTGAAACATCAAGGAAAGCATAATGAAATGAATTTATGAAATCTCTATTTCAGACAGACTATTATATCTAATCTGAAGGAACATCTGTGATAAGCTTTTTGCATCTGGGAGGAAAACCCCCAAGTAGGAAGATAAAACTGACTGTAAGAAGAGTTTGAAACACTTAGCCAACAAGCAATAGAGGCGAAATTTCCTTTTTTTATTTTATAATTTCAACTTTTATTTTGGATTCAGGGGGTACATGTGCAGATTTGTTACATGGGTATGTTGTGACCCTGGGGTTGGGGTACGAATGATTCCATCATCCAGGTACTCAGCAAAGACCCAATAGGCAGTTTTTCAGCCCTGGTCACCCTCCCTCTCTCCTTTCCCCATAAGGGAACTTTCTTAATCTGATAAAGGGTCTTTACCAAAAATCATCAGCAATTATCATATTAAATGGTTAAATATTAAGAGCAATGCAGTAATAGCTTGTAATAGTGAAAAATTTGGAAAGCCTTAAAATCCATCAATCAGAGTAGATAAATTGCGTGTGGTGTTATTGCACAATGGAATACTAAATAGCAGTTAAAATTAATTAGCCACTTGGATCTACGTGGGTAGAGCTTGAAAATATGTTTAGAGAAAAGAGCCAGTTACAGAGTATTGAGTGAAGCGTATGTAATTCAAGTAAACTTCAAAACCACACAGCAGCATTGCATATTGTTCACAGATTCATAAAAGTATAAATGTATGGATGCTCAAATTCTTGATAGTGTTGCCGCTGGGGAAAGTGGAAAATATATAGGCCTTCACTTTCATGTAATATTTTCCTTTTTTAAGAAAAAAAAACAAGTAGAGGAAGAAGAAGAGGAAGAGGGAATATAGCAATTATGTCCAAATATTAAACACTTTTATAATTTTGTATGGTGGTGGTTACATAAGTGTTTTTCATATTATTCTTTCCTTTTTCCACTAAAAAGCAAAAGAGGCTGATCTGATTCACTGCAGAATCTTTGCTATGCCAAGTATAATTTGCAAGTCTGGGGCCAGATCTAAACAAACCAAGGGCAGAATGATCAGCATTTCTTCTCAATAAATTTGATTAAACATCTCAAGAACACTGGTTTGAAGGTGCATCAGATCATTTTTCTGCCCAGGACACCTCTATGTCTCCTCCAGCCCTTGAATTGACACATTCAGTCTTAAAACTTAATGTAGACATAACCATCAGTTTTTTTTGGTGTGGAGCAGCCCTCTTGGTATCCTGAAACTCACAGTTAACAACTGAAAGAAATTTCTGTGATAAACTTTTAGAGACAAAATAAAGAATAAAATTGCAGGCCAAATATTTTCAACTGTACAATGTACAATATCTCCTTCTAGTTTCATACGAATACACAAACACACACAAACACACACTCTCTCTCTCTCTCTCTCCTCCTGTGTAAGTAAAACAGATACCATGAGAATTTGAAAGGGAAGAAAAAGAACTTGTCATTTACCTTTCTTAGGCATATAACCATTTGTCTGAAATTCAATGAATCCAAAACTCTCACTCTGACTTCAATATCTGATCAAAGAAAAAGGAATCGGAAAAAAAATCATTGAAAATCTTAACAGCAGCAAGAGAATGGGGCAAAATGGGATCCTCATCGATTTTTATTTTTGTTTGGATTGTCACTGTGCATTTTAGCAAATAGAAAAATGTCTATTTTTTGCTCTTGTTCTAACTCAATAGAGATACAACAACAAAAACAGTCTTATGACTCCTGTCACTCCCCAACACAGCAGACATTAGGAACAGAAACTTGGCAAACACAAATAAAGGAAATTTTAATTTAATTTACTACCATAAACAGCATAAATGTGACCACGCAGTAGAAGCTCCCTGGAGGGAATATTTCTTCAGAAATAAAAGAAAATATGATTTGGAAGAACTGTATTTTAGGTGATTATTTATCTGTGTAAGGAAGCCAAAGCTTGCTCTAAAATAAATTTTGCAGTCTGGACTGCAGTCTACAGAGAAATGAGACTATAATCAATTTGTTCCTTTTGCTTTCACAATAGAGCCACTCACAGTTGTGATGAGAATCATCCCAAATTATAAGGCATAAAAACTGGCATTGCCTCACATGTTATTAGTCTATTTGCAGATGGCACTACAATTTACAACCCAACCCTAGTACAAGAAAAGCTGATTCCACAGATACTCTGCCTGTGAGCAAAAAGGAGCTGTTAGAAATCACAGCAGAGCCATACTCTCTGTAAGCTTTGCAAAATGTACATTAAAGAAGTTCTTGAAAGTTATAGGAAATAACCTTACCTTCTTCAATCCATTGCAAATCTTTAGACCAAATGTGGATATAAACTAATAAATGTTTTTGTTACTCTCTAATGTAATCACAAACAAGTAAGCATAATTATTTCATAGAGGGGGAACTAAAAAGGACCTAATATGTTGAACAACTAGCAAAATATATCCAGCAAAACTTTGCAAAACTTTACTTAAGATTCCTCCAACATAAAATTAAAAATATTGACTATGGAGCTGCCAAATACTAAAACTGGCAACAGCAAAAAAGGCTATTGGCATATATTAGGAAATTCATCTCAAAGATTGAGGATTCCAATTCTTAGGGATTTTTTTTCTGATATTTTACTTATGAGCTGCCCAAACACTACAAGTTTAGTGTGAAAGCTAAAGTAACCAGTCAACTCCTTATATTTATATTTAATATTTGAACAGATGGAAATTCAAATCATCCTCACAAAACTGTTATCTTCAACTCAACAAACAGCTACAGAGGACCTGCTGTTTGCACAATGCTCAGAATGGTAACAAATATGTCTGGATAAATCTTACCACAATTTTATCACCTCCTCCAGAAAGCCTTCCCAGATGTACTCTTCTATCCTGACTGATTCATAAACTGGAGTTTATTTTATCATTATTTGAAAATATATGCTCATCACAAGAAATTTGAAAAATACAGAGAAAGAGAATAAGGAGGGAAAGCCATCCATAGTCTCACTAGGTAGTTATTAAAATCTTTATGTTTCCTCACAATATTTTGCTGAGAATTTTTATATAATTGCAATTATGTAATATATCCAAGATTGTACAAGCCAACATTTCAAAGTAATATACAACATCAGGCCGGGCGCGGTGGCTCGAGCTTGTAATCCCAGCACTTTGGGAGGCCGAGGTGGGCAGATCACCTGAGGTCATGAGTTCTAGAACAGCCTGGCCAACATGGCAAAAACCCCGTCTCTACTAAAAATACAAAAATTAGCTGGGCGTGGTGGCACACGCCTGTAATCCCAGCTACTTGGGAGGCTGAGATGGGAGAGTCGCTTGAACCAGGGAGGCGGAGGTTGCAGTGAGCCAAGATCACACCACTGCACTCCAGCCTGGGTGAGAGAGTGCTCCTCCATCTCAAAAAAAAAAAAAAAAACGGAATATGCAACATCATAAACCAACTAGATCTAACAGAACAATTTACCCATCAACAGCAAATAATTTCAAATGCGCATGAAAAATTCTCCAGAATAGACCATATGTTAAGCCATAAGATGAGCTTCAATAAATTTACAAGATTAAAAATAGACGGAATATGTTCCCAAACCGCAGCGGAATGAAATTAGAAATAATGACTGAAAGAAACTTGGGAAATATACAACCATGAAAATTAAAGAACACACTCTTTTTTTTTAACTTTTAGGTTCTGGGGTACGTGTGCATGTTTGTTATATAGGGGGCTCTGGGGTACATGTGGGGGTTTGTTATACAGCTTATTTCACCACCAAGGTACTGAGCCTAGTACCCAACAGTTATTTTTTCTGATCCCCTCCCTCCTCCCATCCTCCACCCTCAAGTAGGCCCCAGTGTCTATTGTTCCCCTCCTTGTGTCCATGAGTTCTCATCATTTAGCTCCCACTTGTAAATGAGAACATGCAGTATTTGGTTTTCTGTTCCTGCATTAGTTTGCTAAGGATAATGGCCTCCAGCTCCAACCATATTCCCACAATAGACATGATCTCATTCTTTTTTATAGCTATATGGTATTCCATGGTCTGTATGTACCATGTTTTATTTGTCCAATCTGCCATTGATGGGCACTTAGATTGATTTCATGTCTTTGCTATTGTGAATAATGCTGCATTGAACATATGCACGCCATGTGTCTTTGTGGTAGGGTGATTTATATTCCTTTGGGTATATATCCAGTAATGGGATTGCTGGGTTAGATGGTAGCTCTGTTTTTAGCTCTTTGAGGACTCACACACTGCTTTCCACAATTTGAACTAATTTACACTCCCACCAACAGTGTATACGCGTCCCCTTTTCTCTGCAACCTTGCCAGCATCTGTTATTTTTTTGACTTTTTAATAATAGCCATTCTGACTGGTGTGAGATGGTGTCTCATTGTGGTTTTGATTTGCATTTCTCCAATGATCAGTGATGTTGAGCTTTTTCTCATATGCTTGTTGGCCGCATGTATGTCTTCTTTTGAAAAATGTCTGTTCATGTCCTTTACCTACTTTTTAATGGGGTTGTTTGTTTGTTGTAAATTTGTTTAAGTTCTTTGTAGATGCGGGATATTAGACTTTTGCCAGAGGCATAGTTTGCAGATATTTTCTCCCATTCTGTAGGTCATTTACTCTGTTGACAGTTTCTTTTGCTGTACAGAAGCTCTAAGTTTAATTAGATCCCATTTGTCATTTTTTGCTTTTGTTGCAATTGCTTTTGGCATTTTGTCATGGCTTCCCTTCACCTTCCATCATGATCGTAAGCTTCCTGAGCACCTCAGCAGAAACGGATGCCAGCACTAGCTTCATGTACAGCCTGCAGAACTTCAAGCCAAACAAACCTCTTTTCTTTATAAATTACCCAATCTCAAGTATTACTGTACAGCAATGCAAAATAGACTAGCACAATATAAACGCAAAAATACTCAAGAAAATGCTAACAAACTGACTCCAGCAACACACAAAAAGATTATACACCATGACCAAGTGGAGTTTATCACAAGAATGCAACATTGGTTTAACATCTGATAAACAATCAATGTAATACACAATATTAATAGAATAAAGAACAAACCCCATATGATTACCTCGATAGATACAGAAGACAAAATTGATGAAATCCAACACCCTTTCATGATAAAAGCATTCAACAAAGTAGAAATAGAAGGGAACTTTCTCAGTCCAATAAAGAGCATCTTTTAAAAAATCTACAGTTAACATAATACTTAATAGGGAAAGACTGAATGCTTTCCCCCTACCATTAAAAACAGGAAAAATATTCACTTTTACCACCCTATTCAATGTTGTACTGAACACAAATTTGCCTGGGCAAGAGAAATAGATAATATCCAATTGTAAGGAAGAAGTAGAACCATCTCTGCTCAGAGATAACATGATCTTGTATATAGAAAATCCTAAGGAATGCAAAAAAACTATAAAAATTAATTAAAGTGTTCAGCAAGTTTCACAACACAAGATCAATATACAAAAAGCAGCTATATTTCTATACACTAGCAATGAACAACATGAAACTGCAATTAAGAAAACAGTTTTAGTTACAATAGCATCAAAAAGAATAAAATACTTAGGAATAAATTTAACAAAAGAAGTGCAAGACTTGTATACTGAAATTTAAGTTCTAAATAAATAGAAAGACATCCCCTGTTTATGGATTGGAAGGCTTAATATTGTTAAGATGGCAGTACTTCCCAAATTGTTCTACAGATTCAATGTAATCTCTATAAAAATTCACCTGGTTTCTTTGCAGACATTGGCAAGCTGATCCTAAAATTTATATACAGCTGCATGGGACCCAGAATAGCAAAAAAAAAAAAAAAAAATCTTTAAAAAGAAGAACAAAATTGAGAGGATTCACACTTCCCACTTACAACACTTACTACTAAGCAACAGTAATGAAGTATGGTACAGTCATAAAGATAGACAAACAGATCAATAGAATTAATTGAGAGTCCAGAAATAAGCCTGGATGCCTATCATCAACTGATTTTCGACAAGGGTGACAAGACACTTGAATATGGACAGAATAGTTTTTTTTAAATAAATGGTGCTGGGACGACAGAATATCTACATGCCAAAAATAAAGTTTGACCTCTACTTCACACCATATATAAAAGTTAACTCAGAAACAGTGACATGTACCTGTAGTCCTGCTACTCAGGAGGCTGAGAGGCAGGAGGATCCCTGATCTCAAGCTCAGGAGCTTGAGACCAGCCTGGGCAACATAGCAAGACCCCATCTCAAAAAGACAAAAATGAACTCAGGATCATAGGCCTACATGTAAAAGCTAAAACTGTAAAATTCTTAGAAGAAAGAATTTTACAGGACTAAATCTTCCTGGATTAGGCAGTAGTTTCTTAGATAAAACACAAAGCATGAAAAGAAAAAAATAGATAAATTGGACTTACATCAAAATTTAAAATTTCTGTGTTTCAAATGATACTGTCAAGAAAATGAAAAGAGAACCCACAGAATGGGAGAAAATATTTGCAAATCATGTAGCTGCCAAGGGACTTCTATACAGAGCAAAGGACTCTTACAACTCAACAATAAGAAGAAGACAAAGAGCTCAACTATTTTAAATGGGCAAAGAATTTGAAAAGACAATTATTTGGAGAAGAAATACAAATAACCAAAAGAACATTTTAAATGTTCAACGGCATGTCATTGGGATAAAGAAAATCAAAACCATTTCATACCCATCAGGATAACCACAATTAAAAAAACAGAAAATAGCAAGTGTTGGCAAGGATATGAAGACATTTTAACCCTCATACTTTCTTTGTGGTATTACAAAATGGCACAGCTGATTTGGAAAACAATGTGATGGTTTCCAAAAAATGTTAAACATGGAGCTAACATGATCCAGCAATTTCACTCCTAGGTATATACAAAAAAAAATTTAAAACATGTGTCCACACAAAAACTTGTCCGCAAATGTTCATAGCAGCCATATTCAAAATAGACAAAAAATGGAAACAATTTAAATGTCAATCAACTGATGAATGGATAAACAAAATGTAATATGCCACTATAAGAGAATATTATTTGTCTATAAAAGGAATGAAATGGTTGGGCGCGGTGGCTCACGCCTGTAATTCCAGCACTTTAGGAGGCCACAGCAGGCGGATCAAGAGGTCAGGAGTTCGAGACCAGCCTGACCAACATGCTGAAACCCCATCTCTACTAAAAATACAAAAAAAAATTAGCCAAGTGAGGTGGCGGGCACCTGTAATCCCAGCTACTCAGGAGGCTAAGGCAGGAGAATCGCTTGAACCCGGGAGACAGAGGTTGCAGTGACCAGAGATCGAGCCACTGCACTCCGGCCTGGGCGACAGAGGGAGACTCCGTCTCAAAAAAAAAAAAAAAAAATGGGAATGAAATAGTGACACATGCTACCACATGAATAAACCTTGAAAACATTATGCTAAGTCAAAGAAGCTAGACACAAAAGGCAACATATTGTAGGATCATTTATATGAAGTTTCAGAATAGGCAAATCCATACACACAGAAGTAGATGCCCAGGTCTGGATGGGTGGAAGGGCAGAGAATGAAGAATGACTGCTAATGGGTGCAGGATTTCTCTTTGGGGTGATGAAACTGTTCTGTAATTAGATAGTGGTGATGTTTGCAGGTTGCACCATTCCAAGTATAGTAAAAATCACCAAACTGCACACATATAAAGGCTGGATTATATGGTATATAAATGATCAAGTAGAGAACAATTAATATACAGTAATTTTTAAGCAGATACACATCATAGATAGAAAATCATAGATAGAAAATCACAGGTAGAAAATGATGTGCAAAGGAATTTGACATCACTTCTGTCCCTGGGTCATGTATTCATCTTTCTCAATTTAAAAAAATACTGAAGTCATTTCATTCAAGATAAATTATCTTTATTATCTACTCTATCAGATTTCTTTCAAACTGAAAAAACAATACATGCTTGTATTGCCGCTTATTTTCCAAGAAAAAAAAATCCTGAGTATCAAAGAAAAACCCAACATTTGCCTTTCCCGTGACTCTCACTCCTGCTATTATCCCTTCCTGAAAACAAGAAATGTTAATTTAGTGTCCACATTTTTCTACATTCATATGAATGCACACAACTGAAAATATTCACACCAATAAAAGGCTTTTCTGATTTTACAAAAAATACAATCATTTATATACATTTCTCTGCAATGTACTTTGCTGGTGGCCTTTCCTATCGGTCATTGCATATAAATCGAACTCCTTATTAGTAGCTATGTAATATTCTAGAAATCTGGACATGCCACAGTTTATTCAATCACTCCCTATTGATGGCATTCAAGTTGTTTTACTTCGCTTTGTCACATTCAATGTGTATCTTTATACATATCCTTATAAGCTAATTCTTTTATTTTTGTAGGATAAAATCCTCCAATATAAGTTTTAAAGACTCAGAAAATCATTACTCGGCTTGGCAATAAAAAAGTTCATTATGTTTCATTAAGCATCCTGCTTGGTGGAATCAGGGGAAAATGTATTTATTTCTCAGCACTGAATCATTACCCTCTGTACAGATTACTTTTGTTTGCAAATACATAAACAAAATACAAATTGCCTATGTTCACCAAACAAAGCTTTAAATTCTAGCTGCACCAGGGAGCAAAGGAGGTATGGTGAGAGACACATTTCCTGGTACAGGAAATGAGCAGCAGGGTGAGGAAGCAGCTTGAGGAAGCACTGCTGGACCAAGCTTCACCTTTGCCTGCAAAATCCCCCTGAAAATAAACACTCCACAGGGGTCCTGAGTGCAGGGTTACAGTTAGGTTTGGGATTAGGCTTAGGTGAGAACCACAAGTCCTTTCAGACCATGCTTGCCCTTATTTAGCTCTCCAGTTTGCTTCTCTTGGTTGGCTGGAGCAGTTTTTTCAAGAAGGTAGCGTGGATGGTGTGATTCCTGCGCCCATACACATCTAAGAATAACTTTCTATTGCCATCACACACAAAAGACAACTTTGCTTATTTTAAACTTTACTTGTCTCCCTCCAAATTCTGTAGATACTGAAGTTTTTTAAGCCTTCTAGCATATAGTGATTGTGAAGATAACACAACTTTTGTTTATTTGCTGGTGTCATTAGAAGGTATTTAAAAATACTCCCATTCCAGCAGGTGTAGCTAAAAAGAGAAAAGAAAAAAAGAAGGTATTTTCAAACCTCCATAATTGTGTGCTCTGCTCCCTGCATTTTTCCCAGGAGTATGTGTAAAGGGGTGTCCGTGTGTGTGTGTGTGTAGAATATAAATAAAGTAAATTAATAAATAAACTCTCTGGCCGGGCGCAGTGGCTCACACTGTAATCCCAGCACTTTGGGAGGCCAAGGCAGGTGGATCATCTGAGGTCAAGAGTTTGAGACTACCCTGGCCAACATGGTGAAACCCTGTCTCTACCAAAAATACAAAAATTAACCAGGCGCAGTGGCATACGCCTGTAATTCCAGCTACTTGGGAGGCTGAAGCATGAGAATTGCTTGAACCTGGGAGGCAGAGGTTGCAGTGAGCCAAGATCATGCCACTGCACTCCAGCCTGGGCAACAGAGCAAGAGTGTCTCAAAAAAAAAAAAAAAAAAAAACTATCATTAAAATGGCCAACAGCTAAACCGTCTGGTCTAATGCACTCACAGCTTATCTAAACTAATAAAATAAGGAAGGAAGGTCATATGAAATATGCCCACAGCAACATGATTATATCAGTAATTGTGAGTCTTGAAGAGCCAAACAGAAAGGCCACAGAAAATTAGCCTGATGTGATAATTTAGAGATCTGATTTTGCTATTCTCTTACTTTATGTTATTCAATGCCACCAGAAGCAGCCATCCTACCCTGTTGTTCCAGAATGTTTAAATTATTTTTTGCCATCAGCTACTCAGTTTTTCAGAGCACCACCTTCTGGCGCACATAGAGGGAACGTAACAGTTGTTTTACACTGTTGGGATACTAACCCGCAATATGAAAGCGAATTTTCCCCCTTTTCCCCATTCTGGCCAGTTTCCCCGCTCCTCAAAAATCTACCTTTCTCTTAGGGTATCTTGCCAACTGGAGCAAAAGTGGAAGTTATAAGCAGAATATAGGGGAACTTAGAACCTAGAAAAGGTAACCCAACAGGTTTGAAAAAGAAACAAGGGCCAATCCTAGAATTTGTAAGAAGTGATAAAAGACATTATGGCATTGCAACTAGGATGAATGAGCAGATACAACTATATTCTGTCATTTTATTGCTCTGCTAAAGTTTCAGTTCCAGAGAGACACTCCTGTCAGTCTCAGGTTGCATTCCCATTTCTTGGCAGGAAAGGACAAAATATCTTGACTTATGGTTCCATTGTAATGACTCAAGTAGAGAGGAGTCAGTTTCCCAAAATAGCATCAGAGTGCTTTTAGGAGAAAAAACTACTCAATAATTCCTGCAATTGACAGATAAATTATCTTTTCTAAATAGATTTATAGGACTTTTTAAAAATCTGTATAATTCAAAATTTTTCTTTGAATATATGTAGATGTGGATCTCTTCTGTTTTCATCTGAAATGCAGTGAACCCCTGCAGCCTGCAAACTTAGGTTTTATTTCATCTTTTATGATTGCTTCTATTCCATGTGTTATGCTGTCTTCCCTAGAAACACAAAGTAATCAAATGTTAGAGGTTTCATTTTCTCTCTTTCCTTCTGCTTGTGCATTTTTTTCTGCATCCTAGAAAAGCTTCTCAAATTTGTTCAGTACATAACTGATTCTGATTTACAGTTAGGTACTGATCATGTTATTGTGCTCTTGGTTTACTTGAAAGCCTTCCATATCTCAACATGCTGTCTTCTTTCAGCCTGTTGTCTCATCATGGTGTTATGTTCCTGTTTCACAACACAATGCCTCATTGAATTCTATTATTGCAGATTCTAAACAATCTCCTGTAATTTTCTTCTTGTTCCTATAGGCTCTTCAGAGATAGAATCTTTCTATGAGGTTCCAGAGTACTGTCCTTTATCCATTGTTCTGCAGTATTTTTTTACTGGGCTCATGTGTTGCTGATGTTTACTCGTTCTCAAATGAGGCAAAATCTATCCATACTCCTTGAAAGCTAACAGGCAGGTGGTATTTGCAATTGACCCCATTCTCTCTCTACTTCAGTATGAATCAAAGAATCCACTCAGGTCTTTAAGGGATAGACCAATGTGTCCTGTTCACAGTTTATTTCCCAGATAGTCATCTTGAGAAATGACCTATTGGTGAAGTAGCATCTTTCCCTACCTCCATGGTCCAGTTCTTCATGATAAGCTTCACTGTGACTTAAAATCACACCGCTCGGCAGTATCTCCCGGTACCTGGACCTTGTGTTTTAGAAAGCCCCACTCTGACATTTTTTTGGATTATGTCTGTCTCTACCGCAAGAGGAATCTGCAAGACCAAGGGCATGTGCCCACCCAGAGCCCTTCTAGACCACTTCCTAGATGCTCAAGAGCCTTGAATTCTCTGCCCAAACAACCCCAAGCCTGCTTGCAGGACCTGTACAGGCCTTGTCCATAGGTGCATCCTCCCAGGGGTAAACCACACCACTGGTATTTACACTCCCAAGCCCAAAGAATGTCCAGGGCAGCTATTTGCAGAGGCTCTGGACATTCCAGGTGGGGCATCCACACACATGTACTCAAAGATGCTTGCAATGAAGGAGACAGTGATGGAAAGGGAAGGGGGCTCAGGTGGGGGCCAATGAGCTTGGGCCCAGCCTTCTCCTAGCCACCACATTTCAGCATGAAACTCCAAGGAGTTTGAAAATTCAAAATTTGAGCCTGGCCTTCCAGACTATTTTGAAAGCGTATTTGTCAAAGTAAGTGTTAGAACTTATTTTATCTAACCTTGAACGCTCGGCCCCAGGTCCTGTAAATATTAGGGGTGACCTAAGGAGCAACTTCTAAGGCTCATCCTGCCTCCTCCCACTCACAAAGAAGCAGCTACTTAGTTCCAGAAGCTCTTCGTAAGTATGTGTGTCAGTAAGTAAAACATAATCAAGAAGGGTCCAAGCTTGCAGTCCCTGGATGGATTGCCATCACACTCATGTGTGAGCAGGGCTCCCGAAGCTTTAAAACTGGCTGTGCTGTTCTCTTTGCTTTACCTACACTCTATCAGGCATCTTCTAAAATTAAACTGTTGCATCCACATTGAAAATCTCCTCAGGCAGGTGTCATCCACACCACCTCCTTCTCACCGCCTCAATGATCTCCAACAGTATTCTACAGAATTTTTAGCAACCACGGTGTAAACCACCTTCGTGTTCCAACCAGAACTCCTGGGATCTGTGTGTGTGGTGTGTGTGCACTCCTCCAGCTTCCGTGTGTCTTTACTTCTAACAGCCCATACCTGTGGCTCTTTTAGAGGACTGCCATCAGGCTACAAGGCCACTTTGCCACAACAGGCAGAAAACAAGGAACACTTGGGAATTTACATCTCCTTGTTTGGCCCTTAGACAATGATCAACTTGTATTGGAATATGAAACCCAGCTCCCTGGCCTGAGTCTGATCAAACTCTCAGGGTAACTTACCCACCAGGGTTCCTCGGATACATCAAGCCAAAGCTACCTCCCGCAGGGCTTTACCTGAAATCACACACTTCCGCTTCCCTGTCCTGCTTCCCCTGCTCCTCACCGGTTTCTCATAGGAACTTCAGTATCCGCACCTGGGAAAGCCAGCCTAAGACACGTGGTCTTCCTTCTCCCCACCTCGGGACTTAATTTAATGTTAAGCAGATTCCAGTGAGGCTTGGGCCTTTGGAACCATCCAAGGCATGCAGAGTTTGCAACAATATTTGCAGCAGCAGCCCCTCTGCCATGTTTAATCTGTAATCTCTCAAACCAACTCCTAGCCCTATCTGAAATTAACAATAGGTCAATAGGCATCTGGTGTTGATGCTGATCCCACGGCCATTGTTAGGGGATCTTAATGACTTTTTTTCTTTTTCTTGGGAAACATGGGGAATTAGAACATTGTGATTTTTATTTATTGCTCTTGAGTACCCATCTTTCCGAAAATAAATTATACTAAACTCAACAAGAGATGAGGTCATTTTATGTTTGCCAAATTCCAATGAGAAATCTCAGTCCAGAAATTATGCTTTCTTACTGATTTAATGAATATATTTTAAAAATAAAGAGGAAAAGAATTTCCCAGTAAATCCACCTCAAATGAGGTAAAAGTTACACTTAGATGCCCCAAATGCCACTATGGCCAATAATTTCTTCCCAGGGAAGTAAGAGAAGAGGACAGAGCCCCTCCCATTCTGAGGGAATCACTTGGTTGTATCCACCCCATAAAACATATAAGCAGAAGTCATAAGTATGCCAATGCCTAGAAAAAAATTATCTCACCATAAAAGCCAAAAAACAGTAGAATAGCATCTAGGTGTGATTTGCCATTGTCCAGTGCAGAGAACAAGAAGTATATTAGAAAATCCTTTAGTCCAGTGTCATGTGGCAGCCAGCTCAAGCTGGCTTTGGAACCTATTACACATCTTTCCCCAGCTCCAAGTTTAGTGAGGTCAGGCTCATTGTTTGAAATCAGCCATGCTGGGAGTATTTACACCATAGAAATTGGCAAATGTTACAAATCAGAGATTTTTTTTTCCTTTGAGGGCCTAATTACCAACATATCTTATTATAAGGAATTTTTTAAAGAGCCTACTCCAGAGAAGCACATCAGTCTTGTTATTGACAATATTCTAACATGACAGCTCTTAAAATTTTCTAATTCATCTGTGACTCTTATTCATTTCCTGTTCGTTATTGTCAATTGCATGAGCACAGCACTTTATACATTTTGCATGATTGACTTTGTTCATGAGGAACAGTCTCTTATTGAACAATTTATTTCATATTTACATGTGGAATTTGTCATTTTATCATTGTTTTGAATGTGTAAAATTATCTTGATTTTCATTTTCATCATAATCATCAGCCTTTTCTCACTAGCAAATGTAATACTCTGCTTTTGTACTTTCAGACATGATTGTATTAAAGATTATATATTAAAAATTTTACAAACATCACTACACTCAGCAAACAGAGTCTATAGCTAACATATTTCAGAATAGTGAAAGCTAAAATGCCTGCTCAAAACTGCTTCCATTTTCTGTTGGTGACTGGAAATATTGACATGGTTTTGTTTGTGTCTATTAAAAAATTATCATATAGCAGGGTAGTACTTAATTTATACTATAATTTGGATTTAATGAGGAAATCTAATTTATTTATTTTGTCTATAATTAATCTGATCTTCCTACTACAATTTCCTACCACTGTTTAGCAGAGGAAAATTAACTAAATGTTCAGTACAATTTAAAGTTTATTTCAAACCAATCATTTATGTTGTTTTATAAATTTATATCTTTATCCCTTGGTTCACACTGGTATCTCTTAACTCCCTATCATGTGAGGGAAATATATTAGCAGCTCCACCCTTCTTCTCCTCCTCGAACATTCTACTTCCTAGCTTCTGCCAACTGTTTATTTAGTCTTGTTGTTAAAAGGATAATTACATCCAAAATGCATGATTTTTGATTGTGCATTTATACTTAATGGGAGACCAGGTGACCAGCCAGAGTTTTTCCTGCTGTTCTATCCCTGTCAGGTCTTTCCCACCACCAAGACAGCTGCCTGGATGCTCTGTGTGTGTCTGTGGAGTTTGACTAGCCGACTTCACTATAGGGGAGACAGTTGGGGCACTAGACCTGGGCCTCCAAGTGACATATTGGCATTAAGATTGTAAATGTTTCCATTATTATAGTAATAAAACCAATGATGACAGATAAGGCATCACAAGGTAGACTAGCAGTACCTGAAACCCCTCTTTCCAATTTCTCGTAAAGTATCCAACAAAATGGAAAGGACTATATATTGGTAATAATAGTGTAACTAACGATAAGAAAAGACCATTCCCCAAAGTCTAGGCTGCATCATCAGTAGGGATGGACTGAGAAACAAAGTGCTGGACTTCTGCAGACTGACCACAGTCCTCGCGGAAAATAGAAAGAGGTCTGCCCCCACAAGGAGCATAGAAAGATTCCAGACTGTGAAATAAGTGGACATTACACTACTGCACACAAACTGTCTGTTGAACTGCCAAGTGCAAGGTCCTTCCACCCCTCCTTAGGCCATTTACACTGTCACACCTGTTGATTCAGCAGTAGCCACTGTCAAGATATAGGGAAGGTAGCACTTAGACCCAAGCTAAGTCAAGCTAGGTGACCGGCACCACTACACCGTGTCACCAAAACACATCATATGACCCATATGAACTCGGATGGTCCTGAAACATCTTCCTGTGTGCAAAGAGTCAGGGAAGAAGAAGGTGGAAAATAACAACAGAGGTTCAGTTGCCACAGATATGATACTTATTCTTCTGAAATATTTAATGAAGTTATTTCTTAATCAGTTCAGGCTGCATAACAAATTACCATAGACTGGTTGGTTTACAAACAACAGAAATTTATTTCTCATAGTGCTGGAGGCTTGAAGTCTGAGATCAGGGTGCTCATATGGCCAGGTTCTGGCAAGGGCTCTCTTCCAGGTTGCAGATGGCTGACCTCTTGCTGTATCCTCACTTAGTGCAAAGAAAAAGAGAGATCACTGACCACTTCTTATAAGGACACTAATCCAATTAATGGGAGCTCCATAAACTAATTATCTCCCAAAGTCCCGTCCTCCTAATACATTGGGATTAGGGTTTCAACATATGAATTTGAAAGTGAGACAAACATTCAGTACATTGCAATGATCATGCATAACATGCAAAAGAAATCAAAATACTAGAATTAGAGAAAGCAAAGAGATTCCTGATAACAAAAGTCACTAAACAACTCAGTAGTAAACAAACAAACAGCCAAATTTAAAGACGGGCAAAGGTACCAGTACCACGCTGTTTTGGTTACTGTAGCCTTGTAGCATAGTTTGAAGTCAGGTAGTGTGATGCCTCCAGCTTTGTTCTTTTTGCTTAGGAGTGACTTGGCGATGCAGGCTCTTTTTTGGTTCCATATGAACTTTAAAGTAGTTTTTTCCAGTTCTGTGAAGAAAGTAACTGGTAGCTTGATGGGGATGGCATTGAATCTATAAATTACCTTGGGCAGTATGGCCATTTTCACGATATTCATTCTTCCTACCCATGAGCATGGAATGTTCTTCCATTTGTTTGTATCCTCTTTTATTTCATTGAGCAGTGGTTTGTAGTTCTCCTTGAAGAGGTCCTTCACATCCCTTGTAAGTTGGATTCCTAGGTATTTTATTCTCTTTGAAGCAATTGTGAATGGGAGTTCACTCATGATTTGGCTCTCTGTCTGTCTGTTATTGGTGTATAAGAATGCTTGTGATTTTTGTACATTGATTTTGTATTCTGAGACTTTGCTGAAGTTGCTTATCAGCTTGAGGAGATTTTGAGCTGAGACAATGGGGTTTTCTAGATACACAATCATGTCATCTGCAAACAGGGACAATTTGACTTCCTCTTTTCCTAATTGAATACCCTTTATTTCCTTCTCCTGCCTGATTGCCCTGGCCAGAAATTCCAACACTATGTTGAATAGGAGTGGTGAGAGAGGGCATCCCTGTCTTGTGCCTGTTTTCAAAGGGAATGCTTCCAGTTTTTGCCCATTCAGCATGATATTGGCTGTGGGTTTGTCATAGATAGCTCTTATTATTTTGAGATACGTCCCATCAACACTTAATTTATTGAGAGATTTTAGCATGAAGCGTTGTTGAATTTTGTCAAAGGACTTTTCTGCATCTATTGAGATAATCATGTGGTTTTTGTCTTTGGTTCTGTTTATATGCTGGATTACATTTATTGATTTGCATATGTTGAACCAGCCTTGCATCCCAGGGATGAAGCCCACTTGATCATGGTGGATAAGCTTTTTGATGTGTTGCTGGATTCGGTTTGCCAGTATTTTATTGAGGATTTTTGCATCGATGTTCATCAAGGCTATTGGTCTAAAATTCTCTTTTTTGGTTGTGTCTCTGCCAGGCTTTGGTATCAGGATGATGCTGGCCTCATAAAATGAGTTAGGGAGGATTCCCTCTTTTTCTATTGATTGGAATAGTTTCAGAAGGAATGGTACCAGCTCCTCTTTGTACCTCTGGTAGAATTCGGCTGTGAATCCATCTGGTCCTGGACTTTTTTTGGTTGGTAAGCTATTGATTATTGCCTGAATTTCAGAGCCTGTTATTGGTCTATTCAGAGATTCAACTTCTTCCTGGTTTAGTCTTGGGAGGATGTATGTGTCGAGGAATTTATCCATTTCTTCTAGATTTTCTAGTTTATTTGCATAGAGGTGTTTGTAGTATTCTCTGATGGTAGTTTGTATTTCTGTGGGATCGGTGGTAATATCCCCTTTATCATTTTTTATTGTATCTATTTGATTCTTCTCTCTTTTCTTCTTTATTAGTCTTGCTAGCGGTCTATCAATTTTGTTGATCCTTTCAAAAAACCAGCTCCTGGATTCATTAATTTTTTGAAGGGTTTTTTGTGTCTCTATTTCCTTCAGTTCTGCTCTGATCTTAGTTATTTCTTGCCTTCTGCTAGCTTTTGAATGTGTTTGCTCTTGCTTTTCTAGTACTGGTACCAAAACAGAGATATAGACCAATGGACAGAATAGACCCCTCAGAAATAATGCCGCATATCTACAACTATCTCATCTTTGACAAACCTGACAAAAACAAGAAATAGGGAAAGGATTCCCTATTTAATAAATGGTGCTGGGAAAACTGGCTAGCCATATGTAGAAAGCTGAAACTGGATCCCTTCCTTACACCTTATACAAAAATCAATTCAAGATGGATTAAAGACTTAAACGTTAGACCTAAAACCATAAAAACCCTAGAAGAAAACCTAGGCAATACCATTCAGGACATAGACATGGGCAAGGACTTCATGTCTAAAACACCAAAAGCAATGGCAACAAAAGCCAAAATTGACAAATGGGATCTAATTAAACTAAAGAGCTTCTGCACAGCAAAAGAAACTACCATCAGAGTGAACAGGCAACCTACAGAATGGGAGAAAATTTTTGCAACCTACTCATCTGACAAAGGGCTAATATCCAGAATCTACAATGAACTAAAACAAATTTACAAGAAAAAAACAAACAACCCCATCAAAAAGTGGGCGAAGGACATGAACAGACACTTCTCAAAAGAAGACGTTTATGCAGCCAAAAAACACATGAAAAAATGCTCATCATCACTGGCCATCAGAGAAATGCAAATCAAAACCACAATTAGATAACATCTCACACCAGTTAGAATGGCGATCATTAAAAAGTCAGGAAACAACAGGTGCTGGAGAGGATGTGGAGAAATAGGAACACTTTTACACTGTTGGTGGGACTGTAAACTAGTTCAACCATTGTGGAAGTCAGTGTGGCGATTCCTCAGGGATCTAGAACTAGAAATACCATTTGACCCAGCCATCCCATTAGTGGGTATATACCCAAAGGATTATAAATCATGCTGCTATAAAGACACATGCACACGTATGTTTATAGCGGCACTATTCACAATAGCAAAGACTTGGAACCAACCTAAATGTCCAACAACGATAGACTGGATTAAGAAAATGTGGCACATATACACCATGGAATACTATGCAGCCATAAAAAATGATGAGTTCATGTCCTTTGCAGGGACATGGATGAAACTGGAAACCATCATTCTCAGCAAACTATCGCAAGGACAAAAAACCAAACACCTCATGTTCTCACTCATAGGTGGGAATTGAACAATGAGAACACATGGACACAGGAAGGGGAACATCACACACCAGGGACTGTTATGGGGTGGGGTGAGAGGGGAGGGATAGCATTAGGAGATATACCTAATGCTAAATGACGAGTTAATGGGTGCAGCACACCAACATGGCACATGTATACATATGTAACAAACCTGCACGTTGTGCACATGTACCCTAGAACTTAAAGTATAATAATAATAAAATTTAAAAAAAAAAGATGGGCAAAGGACCTGAGAAGACATTTCTCAAAAAAAAAAAAAAAAAAAGACATACAAATGGCCAGCAGGTATATTTTACAATGCTCACTTCACTCACTAATCATCAGGGAAAGGCAAATCAAACCCACAGTGAGATACCATCTCACATCTGTTAGAATGTTTATTATCAAATATATGAAATATAACAAGTGTTGGTAAGAATGTGATGAAAAGGGAACCCTTGTACACTGTTGGTGAGAATGTAAATTAGTATAACCATCATGGAAAACCGTATTGAGCTTCCTCAAATATTAAAAATAGAACTACCACATGATCCAGCAATCCCACTACTGGGTGTACATCCAAAGGAAGTGAAATCAGTATGTCTCAGAGACATCTGCATTTCCATGTTCATTGCAGCACTATTTACAATAGCCAAGTTAAGGAATCAACCTCAGTGTTCACCAGTGGATGAATGGGTGAAGAAAATGTGGTATATATACACAATAGAACATGATTCTGCTTTGAAAAGAAGAAAATCTTGTCATTTGTAACAACATGGATCAACCTGAAAGACATTATGCTAAGTGGAATAAGCCAGGCCCAGAAAGACAAATACTGCATGAGAGGTTCCATTTATATGTGGAATCTCAAAAAGTAGAACTCATGGAAGTAGAGAGTAGAATGGTGGTTGCCAGGGGCTGGAGGGCAGGGAAGTGGGGGTCTGTCTGGGGACACACAAAGTTTCAGTTAGATAAGAGGAATAAGCTCAAGAGATCTATTGCACATCATGTTGACTATAGTTAATAATAATATATTGCATATTTGAAGTTTGCTAAGAGAGTAGAGTTTAAGTTTTCAGCACAAAAAAAAATGCTAAGCATGTGAGGTACTGCATACGTTAATCTACTTGATTCAGCTATACCATAATGTTTACGTATATCAAGACATCATGTTATACACCATAAGCATATACAAGTTTTATTTGTCAATTTAGAAAATAAAAAATCACAGCTGAAACACCTATATGGCTTGGGTAGATCCTGTCCCTGACTGCGGTGTTCTCTTTCTGCTGCAGAGGGCAGTGGAAGACCAGTCTCTTCGGTGCCTGGCCTCAGCATTTTAGAGCAGGACTACTCAGAACTGCGTCAAGGCCAGCGTTCAACGTGACAACTCTTTCTTCCACGGCAGGTTCATCGTGAGGTTAAAGACCCATGACCCCAGAGACTGGGCCTGTTTCCCTGCTCTTCCCATATGAATCAGACATTAAAAGCAAGAGCTGCTAAAATAAAAATGATTAAGCCCTGCCAAGTCTGTGATTCTGGAAGTGGTGAATATGACGTTTCTTAGGGGTGGGGGTTCTGGGGATACGTCTACAAGTAAGTCCTCTTCCTGTCTGTGGCACAGCCTTCTTCACACCCAAGAGGGGCACCTTTATTCCTTTCCACACACACAAGATTTTAACCGTAGCTGCTTTCCTTAGAATAATGCCTCTCATGCTAAACAGATTCCTCACTATCGTCTCACTTTCCAGCTGAGAACTGGTGGCCCTGCATCCAGAGCAGGCACATGGCTCCAGAACGGCTCTGGACACTGCTGTGGATCCAAGCAGCAACTACCCTCTTGCTGTTGTTACTAGTTGATACTTTGCAGAAATGGCATCAGACCCCTCCTATGGATCTTGACTTTCCTGTTGTTCAGTCGGCAGTGGGTTGCAGATACTTTTCATGCAGCTTTACGAACCTATGGATCTGCCTCATCCTCTGCACCTGTTGTACCCATTCCCTATGTGCTCACATTAAAGTGCTCCCCTGCCAATGAATATTTGGGCTGTTTCTATTCTGGGTTGTTTTTTATTTTTAATTTTTGTAGGTACATAGTGGGTGTATATATTTATGGGGTACATGAGATATTTTGACACAGGCATGCAATGTGTAATAATCACATCATGGTAAATAAGGTATCCATCTCCTCAAACATTTATCCTTTGTGTTACAAACAATCCAATTACACATTTTTAGTTATTTTAATGTAGAATTAAATTATTTTTTACTATAGTCACTCTGTTGTGCTAGAAAATACTAGGTCTTACTCATTCTTTCTATTTTTTGTACCCATTAACCCTCCTCACTTCCTCCACCTCCCCCTACTACTCTTCCCAGTCTCTGGTAACCATCCTACTCCCTAGCTCCATGAGTACAATTGTTTTAATTTTTAGCTCCCACAAATAAATAAGAATATGCAAAGCTTGTCTTTCTGTGCCTGGCTTGTGGTTTTTTGTTTGTTTGTTTGTTTGTTTGTTTTACAGAGTCTCACTCTGTCACCCAGGCTGGAGCGCAGTGGCATGATCTCAGCTCACCGCAACCTCTGCCTCCCAGGTTCAAGCAATTCTCCTGCCTCAGCCTCCTGAGTAGCTGGGATTACAGGTGAGCACCACCACACCTGGCTAATTTTTGTATTTTTAGTAGAGACAGGGTTTCACCATGTTGGCCAGGCTGGTCTCAAACTCCTGGCCTCAAGTGATCTGCCCACCTTAGCCTCCCAAAGGGCTGGGATTACAGGTGTGAGCCACCAGGCCCAGCTGATTGTTTCTAGTTTTTATTATCATAAATAATATTGCACTGAATAGCTGCACATCTGTAAATATTTTGCCACAGTACGTTCTAAGAAGTAAAATTGCTGGACATAAGATATACAACTTTAAAATTTCAATATGATTTTAAGCCTCTCTCCACCTGACCTTGGGCATGATGAGCAGATGGAAAAAGGTCCACAGAGCCCAGCAGCAACATGTCTAGGACACCTCCGCCTGCACAGGGGGCAGAGCCTGTTCCCTTGAGAGTTTCTGAAGTGGGCTCCACAACAGATTTTTAAAAACCCTCAGTGGACAAAAGTCTACTCACGCTGCTTTGGTAGAATTGGACATAGCCAAGGAGCTCATCAGAAAAGGAGCTGCTAGTCACAGGCAGCAACAAACCCACCTCCACACAGGGATCCACTGTGGGGCTGCAATAACTGCTCCTTCTCTGAGTGATACAGGACATTCTGAGGAAGTAGATGTGATACCATCCAGATCCTACAGAAGACATAGGATCAAAAATTTTCTGTCGTTCACTCAAGAAGTGGCTGGTGGATGGGCAGTATGTAATGACACAAGCTCAGTGAGTACAAGCTGAGACATGATGGGAGTCTACGGGTCCCATCTACACAGCTTGATGCAGCTCTTCCAATTAATGGCCAGTGTCTGGCTGAACTATTATAGGTGATAAAACATGCCACCGTAAAACTAATTAAACTGCCAAGATGAGGCATAAGAATGAAGATGCACACACAATGGAATGATGTTTAGTCCTGATGTTGGTCCTTAAGCAGACCCTGTTTAGCCATAGCCTGAGTCCCTGACTCCATTGCACACTTGAGCCAGGATGGAAAGGGCTCCACTCACCAATCATTATTTCTTCCATATGCATGGCCTCTGCAGCTACCACTGTGTTCCACCCACAGGAGAATGACAGTGGGCAAGTGCAAACTGACTGGAATTGACAAATTGTGAAATGACATACTGTTCACACAAAGATGCACGATTTTCTGGGCAAAAGGCACAGCTTCATATGAGTGCAACAGTAGTCTTCACCAGAGATCAATGAGCTGGTGAGTGTGGTAATTTAACCGTGACCAAGAGACCATAATTAAGGGAAAGAGCATTCCAGGCCATCGCCTGTATGATGAAGACTACAGGTGTGGGCTCAGGGATGTCCCCACAGTCACCAGCATGAAGGACAGCAAACACAAATGACTCTCAACTCCTCTGTATCTACTGGGCATACCTGCATATTGCTGAATTATTGCAAGTAAGGTTAGAAAGAATTCATCCTACACAGATTGACCACATGTAAACCTAGAAGCTGAACACTAGTGCCGTGAAGACTTTCCATTCTTTCCTGTTTAATTGTACCACCTGAAAGATTGCTTCAAGTTCCAAAATAGTTCTAAAGAACAATCGGTTTGAATTTCTCAGGTGAAACCCTAGAGCTTGCATTCCATCCTTTTCATAATAGTCAGCTTATTATTAAATGAATGAGACAGCATCTTCAGCAGCCTGGTTATGCTGTGCTGAGTTTCTTAAAAATGTAGAACCCCAGTATCTTTACATATATCTGGAGCCCATCTCTAGCCAGAATCATCAGTGTGCTTCCTGGTTGACATAAGAAAAAATCTAGAGGAAGCCACTTTTTAATTTTTTATTTTTTTAAATAGAGACAGGGTCTTGCTATGTTGCACAAGCTGGCCTCATACTCCTGGCCTCAGGCAATCCTCCCACCTCTGCCTCCACCTCCCAAAGTGAGGACAATTCCTATAACAACCAAGAACGTAACATTTATTTGGTTGAGTAAAATAACCTCTCTATGAACTTGCTCTGGACAAGGAAGCTGTGTAAGCTGTTGAAATTTAAGGAGATATAACTCTTGACACAATTCCTCCACTCTAAAAATAAGAATGGCAGCTTGAGGCTACAGTTTTGTTCCAAATGCATAAGGTTAAACTGCCTTTCAGATGAATTGACTAGCTCTCTCTTCAGAATGGAGCCAGTGGCTTAGAATGAGACCACTGGTCTTACACTTCGTTGGTTATTTTCAGGATGACCCTGGCTGTGGATAGAGGCAGAATGCCTTGAGGATGGGCCTGTGTGGAACAGAGATCATGACCTTTATCCTGATGGTGACCGGCCAGCTATTTGGCTGCCAGATCTGGGACATGCCTAGAGCCTTATGAATGGGCTGCCTCAGATGACCACCATCAGCTGTCCTGGTTTGATACTGACCTATAAATTATCCATAGGAGTGACAATACAAATGGATTTGAGGACTAATTCAAAGAAAAGAATGTACAAAAATGGGTCATAAGATGAAATTTTTTAAAACCGAATCTTTATTTAACAAAATAATAAATGTAAAATATTTGTAAAGGAACTCATTTTGCTTGCTCAGAAGTGGCCCTTTAATGTCTTCTTTGGAATAATGGTTAGTTATTTAAGTTACAATAAATAGTGCACCGGCAATTTCTAATTTTTAAGAAGTATAATAAGGGCTTGGTGAACTAAGGCCTGTAGGCCAAATCAGCCCACTGCGTGATTTTGTATGGCCCCTAAGCAAGAAGAGTTTTTACATTTTTTTAACATTTCAGCAAAAAATCAAAAGAAGAATGATATATCATACATATGAAAATTATATGAAATTCAGTTTCTAGTATCTGTAAATAAAGTTATATTGGAACACCACTTTGCTCATTAGCTGACATATTATCTGGGACTGCTTTCGTGTTTCTACAGCGGAAGTGAGTAGCTGCAACCGAAACTGCATAGACCACCAAGGCTGAAATGTTTGAAATCTGGTCTTTTACAGAAAAAGTTTGCTAAGTTCCATTGCAGAACACTAATTCTAACTTTACTCTAAAAAGTCTAACATTGTGTGGGCTCTTTAAGTAAAACTGACAAACCAAAGGGTTCCAATTATTTTCCTTTTTTATATGCATAAAATAAGCAAGTGGATCTATTTCATGGCTCTGGTCAAATACTGCTTAAAATATTTCTGGGTGAGGGTTAATAAGAGATGTCATTTAGAATCTTACACCGGACAGTTTTACCAGTTGTTGATCCCAAGATGCTCAGGAGAAAATGGATTTACCAAAATGATTCCAAATCAAAATAAAATTTTAAATTGATAAAAAGTTAAATATATACTGAGAAAAATCTTAATATATATTGATAAATTGCCCTCCAGAATATAGTACAATCCTAAATTGTCCTATATTACAATCCCGCCAGTAATAAAAAAAAAGATATATGTAAATCCTTGTATCTATCCATTTCCCCATATCCTTGCCAACAACTGATCTAGTGAAAAATGATGCCTTTAAATTTGTAGTTTCCTGCTTATATGTGACAATAAGCATGTTTTCATGTTTACTGGTAATTTTTTATTTCATATTCTGTGAATTCCCTATGTATATCCTTTGCCAATTTTTTTTACTGGGTTGCTTTTCTTATTAACATTTAATTTTGTAGGATTTACTATTGTTTACAGGTCTCAAAGTGCAGTCAGTTTTCAGAAAGCAAACACAATCTGATACCACAATCTAAATTAAACTCTTGTACAAGTCAGTGCTGGGGTTAGCATATTGCCCCTAGTGTGTGTTGTACACCTAGAATAAAGCACAGAAAATTGCCAAATGATAAAAGCCACATACCTTGTCTTTCCTCCTCTAAATAAGCAGTTCAAACAAAGAAGGAAATTGGTCGTTAAAAATAGCTGCTGATTTTATCAGCGGGACTCAATAATAGTCAAAATCAGTTTTGGGCTCTGACAGCAACAGCAAGTATTAAACATCCTTGGGTGTGCAGTAATGATGGTGAATTTTTTAGAAGATAGCAAAGAAATGTCCAGATCCTCCTGCAGAGGAAAGGGGCTAAGCAAGACCAGATCAGCTTGCCAGGGAAAGATTGGAGATGGGAGGAAGTTGAAGCCTTTGGAGTGTGTCATGATCAGTCAAGGTGATGTGGATCAGCTGACAAGTTCAAAGGGCAGGGCCAGGACCAAAGACAGGAGGCAGCCTATAGTTTAGGTCATGGATAGATCTGGAAAGATAGAGAGGTGGAGAGTGAAGCAAGGCAAGCCCTGGGAGCTTGCTGTTCCAGAGAGGGAGGTCCCGACCTGCGATAACAGCCATAGGACACATGCATGTGGGTGCCCAGGCTGAGTGGCTTAAAGCACAGTTTCTTCATTCTCACTGTGAAACCTCTGGATGCCAGGGACCCTCCCAGAGAAATGGATTCATTTGGTCCAGGGTGAAGTCCAGGCATCAGTATTTTCTAAAACCTCCCACGTTAGTCTCCCTTGAGAACCATAGCCCTTAAGAGTCAAATCAGCAGGAGTAGATGGAAGAGGTGCAGCTGCGGCCCTGTGCAGGTGTGTAACTGCTGTGCTCGGAATGACTACCCCCAGCCGTGGTGGAAAGCTACTCTGGGCTGCCCAAAGTCAAACTTGAGAGGGCAATAAATCCCAAATACTATGCCATACCATGCCACAGGGAAGAGGCTTATGCTAGAGAAACTATGTGCCATAAATTAATCTAGGAAACATGGCAGAAGTGGCTGGTCTGAGCAGAACATAATGTGTTTTGTGTGAGACTCCTGTGGGTGTATGGATCAACTACATGTCAGAATGTTCCAGTTAGAAATATAGATGAATCACTCAGGACAGAATGCTGGGCTAAGGATATGCATTAGGAACTCACTAAAAAGAGCTGCTACCTAAGGAATCGTGACCCCAAAAAATTCCTGTGTTGAAGCCCTAACCCCCAATGGGATCGTATTTGGAGATGGGGCCTTTAGGAGATAATTAGGTTTAGATAAGCCTATGAGGGTGGAGTCCTCATATGGGATTAGTGCCCTTATACGAAGGGACACCAGAGAGCTTGCTGGCTCTCCCCAACCCCCAAAGCCCCCACCATGTGAGGACACAGCCAGCAGGTGGCCTACAAGCCAGGAAGAGGGCCATGACCAGAAATTGACTGTGCTGACACCTCACTGACTCTTAGACTTCAGCCTCCAGAACTGTGAGAAAATAAGTATCTGTTGTTTAAACCACCCAGTTTATGATATTTGGTTATGTCAGCCTAAACTGACTAATACAAGAGCCACGGGAAGGGATCAGATTACGCAAGGAGAGGCAGAGAGTGGGGTGAGACCACGCACCTATAACTGATCCCTGGGACCCTACACTTACGGCAAGGCAGAGCAAAGAGATCCAGAGACGATGCAAACAAAGAGCCAGAGAAATAAAACTAAAACTAGGAATGTGTCAAGAGAGAAGAGATTTGAAGAAGGTAGGGGTGCTCTGCAGAGTAACTGGAGAGAAGGGCACAGTGCAGGGAAGGGAGAGAAGCCTTTCACATCCTCTGCAATGAGGCAGACTTAGAGAGACAATGTCACTTGACGGAGAGAGGCAGGCAACACATTGCAGAGAAGGAGTTCTTTTTCTTCTGCCCCCTGGTAGGGCTTGCAGCCTGGCCTGGTTAGTCCAGCTGTGGGCCATAAGGCTTTGGGCTGGAAAGAACATTCAGAGCTCCTCCTCCAAAGTGAGAGGATCGCTTGAGACCAGGAGTTCGTGAACAGCCTAGGCAACGTAGCAAGACTCGGTCTCTACAAAATATTTAAAAATTAGCCAAGAGTAGTGGTGCATGCCTGTAATCCTGTTTACTCAGGGGGCTGAGACAAGAGGATCACTTGAGCCCAGGAGTTCGAGGCTGCAGTTGAGCTATGATCGCATTGTCCTCTAGGCTGTGCCAACCTAGGCAATGGAATGAGATCCTATCTCAGAAGAAGAAGAAGAAGAAGAAGGAGAAGGAGAAGAAGAGAGGGGGGAGGGGGAGGGGGAGAGGGAAGGGGAGAGGGAGGGGGAGAGGGAGGGGGAGAGGGAGGGGGAGAGGGAGGGGGAGAGGGAGGGGGAGAGGGAGGGGGAGAGGGAGGGGGAGAGGGAGGGGGAGGAGAAGAAGAGGAGGAACTCCTCCTAAACCAGCTGGTCCACCAGGAATGGTTGCTGCCTGTGTCTGGAGCCCACAGAAAAAGCAAACAGTGCTTACCTCATGCCCAGGATACATAGTCAGATTACTTCATAGGCCTTTTCCTCATGTCCCCAGTTCCTAGCTGTAACCTCATTGAATCTAGGGCCCAGCCCCTTGCCCCCCAGCCTCAGGAACTGGAGGCTTGGACTCTCTCAGCTACCCCCTGCCAGCTCGCTTTCTTGGGGCTGGTCCCTGCTTCCTTACATTAGCTTAGGCAAATCTCTGATTTGTACCTTGGACACTTAGCTATGACCAAGAACTGCAGCCATCTCCTGGAAGCCCTGACTTCTGGCTACCTCAGGCGTGGGTGATGGCAAAACAAAACATGTCAGTACTCCACCTTGCATTAGGAACTTGCTGCTGCCAGCTCATTGGTCCCTACTGGTCCCCTTCCCCATGCCACCACTGCCCTATGCCAGCTTAGTCTGTTCCCTGCCTTCTGCCCCTCTGCCTTGAGAGCCCCAAGCGTGCCAAGAGGTTGGGGCCACAGCACTAATAACACATACTCACACTTTGCTCAGAAGCACTGTCCCAGTTGACCCTGCTGAGTGCCTCAATGCCTCTGCCAATATGGGAGCCCATCACTTTTTAAAAATAATGTGAACAGACATCTCAATCCATTTGTCTCAATTACAAATCAACAGAGAAAATTCAAACATTTACCAGGGTAAACATGAGAGCTGCCTCCAGGCCACAATAATTTTCTTGCTGGAATGCAGTCATGACAAACCTTCTCTCACCTCCCTCCCTCCACATCCTCCCCATAGAGCCTGCCTGTAGCTCCTCAGACTCAGATGATCCCAACAATGACTAGACAATAGGCTTGAAGCAAGTTTCCGGGACCAAGCCAAACCCACGCTGCCTGTGGCCCAATCTATAATGAATGATTGGGGATGTTGGAAAATGCTGTGTGTCATATATCACCCAAGGAACAATTTCCTGGTGTCAACTTTTTAAAAGTGTTTTCCAAGAGGACTTGGAAAAATAAAAAAAAAATTCCACAAGACAACATCACACTCCTTGAGCTTTGTAGAAGTCTTTGACGTGCTCAGATGAAAGAAACGGTCCTCTGTAATTAATGTAAGCCTGTGGACAATCCCCTAAGGTCTGATAGGTGTTGAACCAAGCCTGGCGGATGCAGAGGAAGCAGCAGGAGGTATTCCAGCCCTGTTTGCAGCTTCAAGAAAAGTTAGATGAGCCCCGAGTCTGTTGTCACCATTTCCCCACAAATGAGGCAGAAATGAAACCAAACCAGAGCCCCTACTGAGAACCTGGATATACAGAAAGGCTATGATCATCTTTGGCCCTGGCAAAGCTACTAAACTGCCTCAGTTTCTCCACTGGAACTGAAGATGGATGCAGCTTGGACCAAAGGATACTATTCTCTATAGGTATGTGCCCTTGCTCACTCCCCAGCCCTCTCTCTCCTGCCCTTAGTCACTCCATTCCAGGGGAATAGACAGGACTGGTCAGCCCATGAACCCAAATATCTGTATCTCTAAGAAATGGTGGTGGCCTCCTTCCTCGAGAGCTGCATGTTGCTAAGTACCCCCAATGATCAGATTCTATCTGCCTCTTCAGATCCTGGGTATGGATCTTTTATTGCTATATCCATTTTCTTGGCCTGTCCCATAATCCTCAGGCAGGCAAAAGATAAAATATTATACAGAAATATAGATAACATGGCCCAAGTGGTCTGCCTTACTAAATCATGCTAAGTTAGTTATAAACACAAATATCTCCTCTTACCATCTTAACAAGTCCAGCATCAGGACCAAAGCCATACCAATTACTTTTCTGAGTTACTTGGGCCAGAGGCTATTACTGGGAAGAGTGATTCAAGTGAGGGCGGAGAACATGCCACCCACTCAGGTAAACAGCTGCCAAGCGTCAGAACGGGCCAGGCACAGGCCTTGGGAACACTGAGTCCCAACCCTGATTTTGTCCCAAGGTCACTCTGGACTTTGTTTTCTGTCTGCCTCACCTTCTTCCTTTGTGGATGAGAACACTGGCTGCCTGCCAGAAAGGGCCGGGCTGAGGAGTCCCTAATGAGAGACCTGGCAGCACTTTATGGGTGCCCTGTGTGGAACAGCACGTCCTCGTTAGCCCACATCCACCGCCTCTCCTCGGAGACATCAGCAGCTCCCCGCAGGCAGCTCAGAGGATGCAGACACCCACAGGCCTGTCAGCACTGTGGCCCTCCAGGGGGTGTGAAGGTCGTTCGGTTGTATCGTCACTGATCATAACTAAATAATGCTGTGCTTCTATTTCTGCCAATCAGTAATTGACTTAGGATGCTTAATAAGAGCCAGACATCATCACCTCATTGACAGCCCACCAAACACAGTGGTGTTCATTCCATTAATACTGCTGAGGTTTTATATGGAGTTTGTTTTTGATGCAGGGGACAATGGAGAGGCTCATGGCCAACAGAAATGGTTGGTGAAGACTATCGCCCACCCAAATGATGGGGAAAATTCAGCTTTAGGCCAGTCTTTTATTTTATTTTATTTTATTTTATTTTATTTTATTATCATTATTATTTTTGAGACAGTCTCGCTCTGTCACTAGGCTGGAGTGCAAAGGCACAATGTTGGCTCACTGCAACCTCCGATTGCCAGGTTCAAGCGATTCTCCTGCCTCAGCCTCCTGAGTAGCTGGGACTACAGGTGCACGCCACCACGCCCGGCTAATTTTTGTATTTTTACTAGAGACAGGGTTTCACCATGTTGGCCAGGATGGTCTCTGTGTCTTGACCTGGTGATCCACCCACCTTGGCCTCCCAAAGTGCTGGGATTACAGGCGTGAGCCACCGTGCCTGGCCTAGGCCTGTCTTTTAACTTGCATCTCTCCATTTGTCATCTAGCTTTGAGTCACTTAAAATAAGTTGGTCCTCTCTTGGGCGAAATTGGACCATCTTTGGATCACAAAAAATATTCCTGCAGGTAACCTACCAAACCAGTATCCGGCATTCAGTAATGAACCACATTCTAATTACAAGGACCTCACCTTTGGCAGCTCACAATATCTTTCCCTCTTTCCTTCTCTATTCCTTCTCCTTCAGAAGCAGCAGCAGCAGCCAGTCAGTGCTGCGAACCATAACTGCATGAGTTCTTATGTCACCATGATTATTGGAAAGAAGAGCATGGTTGCATTCAACTCTATCTGTGGTCATATGATCAAAGACCAAGGAATGACAAATCCTGCCCTGTCATCACATTTGTTTCCTACAGTAAGATTCCAGGAAGATATATGCAAGGTGCAACAGCAATATGAGAATAAAAAATCATTTTATTAATTGCTCTCAAATGCCTGATGTTTTGAAAAGAGCTCCATTAAAAATACTGAGTTGGCCGGGCGCAGTGGCTCACAACTGTAATCCCATCACTTTGGGAGAACAAGGTGGGTGGATCACCTGGGGTCAGGAGTTCAAGACCAGCCTGGCCACCAACTCTATAAACACAAAAATAAGCCAGGTATGGTGGCGGGCACCTGTAATCCCAGCTACTAGGGAGGCTGAGGGAGGAGAATTGATTGAACCTGGGGGTCGGAGGTTGCAGTGAGCCAAGATCACGCCTTTGCACTCCAGCCTGGGTGACAAGAGAGAGACTCTGTCTCAAAAGAAAACTAAAACAAAAACAAAACAAAACACTGAGTTATGGCCCGGTGCAATGGCTCACACTTCTAATCCCAGTACTTTGAGAGGCTGAGGAGGGAGAATTACTTAAGGCCAGGAGTTTGAGGCCAGCCTGGATAACACAGCAAGACCCCATCTCTGCAAAAAAAAAAAAAAAAAAAAAAAAAAACTGATAATAAATAAATAAATGGTGAATTAGAACAAGTCGATTCTGCTTGAGACCTTAGCAGGACTTATTACCTCCCTGCCAAACCTAAATCTAGGGATTATCAAGCTCAGATGTGCTTTCAGAGAGCTATAAAGAGATGGATGAACTTTCAGGGCCACCCAGCATGCTATCATCCAATTTCTTGGACTCAGCATGAAAGAGAAAGAAATGCATACAGAATAAAATGTAAACAAGAGAGGAGTGGTGGAACCAAAGATGGCACCCTTCAAGGCACATTGCCCCACCTCCCAGTAATTGTCTGGAACTCTGTTCCATCATCAGATTAACAAGTTATCTCCCTTTTGAGAGATAGATAGAGGTATATACTCACAGGTGGCATGAAGAAAGAGCAGTGTTCCTTCCTTTACAACTGGCAACATCATTAGTGTTATCATTAAGCCAAAACAAACATTCCTGTGTCTATGCAGTCATCCTAGGGAACCATCACTTATTTACTGTGCTTCTCCAAAGTAATAGGCATGGTGCAAGGCATCCACAACACCAATAGAGCTCTCTCTAGTGATTATAGCTTAAGACAATACTGTGAACTCAGATGTTATATTTCAGAATGCAACTAGGAATGGGACATTGACATTGGCTAGAGAAGCCCCCAAAACAGGCCTAGGCCTCGGCAATAGAGCTTCTTGCATGGTAGAGCAGGCACTCAGCTTCAGGTCATGGGGACAACTCCAGCTAGGAAATTAATTCTAGCACATAAAAGGTAAGTAACTGAGATGTCATCTAATAGTCCAGTCAAAGGTAACAATAGGGGTGTCCTGTCAAGCAGACAGATGGGCAAAGCCCACCAAGGTTGAAGGGAGGTGGTGAAACGGCAAGGAAGAGGATGAGATGGGTGAGAAAACGATATAATCTGAGGGTGACTATGAGTAGCTGTTCTCCAAGGTGGCAGTGGGTAGGCGGTTGACCAGGGAAAGATTGTTTCAGGCAGATGGAGCAGTGTATGCGCAGGTCCAGAGAGAAGAGTTGACAGATTGTATGTATCCATTAAGTATTGCAAAATAGGGAAAGTAACAGATACCTGGGAAAAAAAAAAGAGGTAAGTTTATTTTTGTCTTAACTGAAAGTCCAAAAGTGGGCATTTCTCAGTTCATATGTCAGCCCCACGAAGTCTTCACTGACCTGGACTTACTTATCTCTTGCTACTTCATCACATTACTGGAATTACTGCCTCACGATCTCGTGATCATGGCTGCTTGAGCTCCATGCTTGACATCTGCATTAAGGAAAAAGAAATAATCAGATTTGCCATTTTGGAGGATGACTGTTCCTACACTGTGAAGAATGACTTGGAGGAGATAATACCTGTTACCAGGCTATTAAAGTAATTCAGGAAAAAGATCATTGCAATCTGGATTGCTTGAGCTCAAGAGTTCGAGACCAGCCTGGGCAAAATGGTGAAACCCCATCTCTACAAAAAATACAAAAAATCAGCTGGGTGCCTTGGCATGTGCCTGTAGTCCCAGCTACTTAGAAGGCTAAGGCAGGAGAACTGCTTGAGCCCGGGAGGCAGCGAAGGTTGCAGTGAGCCAATATCACACCATTGCACTCCAGCCTGGGCAACAGGAGTGAAACCCTGTCTCAAAAAAAAAAGAATATTAAAAATTCCAAAATTGATGATAAACATGAATCCAAAAATCCAGGAAACACAACACATCCCAAAAAGAAAAAAGAAATCCACACCTACAGATATTGTGGTGAAAGAAAACCAAAAGGACAGGAGAGGATTTTGAAAAGTAGCCAGAGAAAATTGATAGATTACTTTCAAAGTAATGACAGTTTGACTGAAAGAAAATTTCTCAACAGCAACAATGGGTATTTAGAAAAGAAAGAGAAATAACTATCAACTTAGAGCTGTGTGCTCAAAAGCAACTATCATTCAAGAATACCAGTTGATCCTGATTCCAGACAATTTAGAGTGAGTACATTTTGTTACTGGCAGCAAATCCACAGGTGTCTGCGGCAACCTCAATTCTTGACTCCTCAGAAGAAAGAATTCAACTGAAGGATATAATGCAGAGTGAGAGGCCAAGGCAAGTTTTAGAGCAGGAGCGAAATATTATTTAAAACTTTAGAGCAGGAACAAAAGGAAGTAAAGTACACTTGGAAGAGGGCCAAGCAGGCGACTGGAGAGAGCCAGTGCACGGTTCGACCTTTGACTTGGGGTTTCTTATGTTGGCTCTCTTTCTGCATGACTTCTCCCCTGCTGTTCTTCCCTTGGGGTGGTCTGTAAGCATTTGCAGTGGCCTTCCAGTACCTGGGAGGGGCCACATGCACAGTGTGTTTACTGGAGTCGTACCCATGCTCACTTGAGGCATATCCTTCCCTTACCAGTGGAATGTTCCTAGAAGGTCATGTACCAGTTAAACTCTGCCATTTTGCCTCTTAGTGCGCATGCTTGAACCCACTCACCTAACTCCTGAGATCTTTTCAGGAAGCTGCTGATCACCAGTTTCAGGTGTTTCTATCTGTTGGGAGACTGCCTTTCCCTGGCACAGGCTGCAGCCAATTACTATCTTAGAGAAATAACTGCCTGACCATTACCTGATGGTCACCTGACATTCCTGGCTGGGGGTGGCAGGAGCCCTGCCCTGCCCTGCTCATGTCTGACAAGCTACCTACTATAACAATTTGACTCTGTTGCTCTCATTGAACACAACTAAAACAATGGGCAGAATTCATGAGCAGCTGTCTCAGGAATATGAAAAGTAAATAAGAGATAACAGAAAGATTGAGGAAGGATGCCAAAATTTTAAGAATTGATCTGATAGTGAGTTCCCCTTTTTTTTTTTCCTTTCTAATATCTCCTGGCCTAGATTCAAAAGCAACACAAAACTGGGTGAGGAAAGGAAGAGCTCCAAGAGAACCCCTCTCCTTCTGGTCTAAGGAGTGGGAAAGGAGATTTCTAAAGGTCAGAGAAAGTAGGAGAGAAATCCATGTTCTTTCTCTCTTTTTTCCATTTTTTCTTACCCATAGCAGCAGCAACAGTGGTAGCAGTTACTTACAGTCTGAAAGAGAGGAATCCTTCTCTCTGACCAGAGTATTTGTGATTCCAAGAGCATGGAATTAATTCCTGTTCCTCTCTCTCTCTCTCTCTCTCTACCCCCCCACCCCTTCCTGTTGCTTGTCCTTGGATCCTTGGACAGAGATGCAGTAAAAGGAAGTATAGAGCAGAAGAAAGAAAAGAAGACCCCTTATTTCTAGCCCAAAGACTAAGAACGGAGGCCCCAGTCAGCTGGAAAATGTTACAGAGATCACGGAGAAGAAAGAACTCGAGAGAGTAAACAGAAAGTGTGCATGAAACTGCAGGCTCAACTCCAAGCTGTGTGTGCATGGATCTGACCTTAAGCAGTGTATTAAAAGCTTTGAGATCTGCACTGTAAGGCAGACCACTTCCTCGGTCCCAGATGGGCTAGTGTATATGCTGGACAGATCCAAATAGTACTGCAGAGGCTTTGAAAACAGAACTGACGCAGGAAACACAGTGCACAGAAAGTAGGCCAAAACTTGAGACCTGAACCTAACAAGGTCAGCTGTCTCTTTTAACATAAATCAACGTTGTCCTTAAAATCTAAATAAGACCTAAAGTTTCATAATGGAGGAAGTTTACCACACAACAAATACTCACTTTAAAAAAATTATAAAGAGCAAACTTTGGAAAGAATGACTTTTTTCCATGAAGACAGACTAGGATGCAAAAAAAAAAAAAAAAGGAAAGATAAGCAAATAAAGTTATAAATATATTCTTTCATTGCTTTACAAATATATAAGTATATTTGTAAATATATTTATAATCTATATTTAAAACAAAACAAAATAAAACTGTCATGTAGCGAAAGCGATATTTAGATGGAAACATATGGCCATGAATTCTCCATGAATAGCTCATGTTCCTGCACAGCCTGAGTCCTCTGAGTGAAGGCATTTACAGCCAATGCTTGCATAAGGAGACATTTCAGGGTAGTAAAGCTTAGAGACATCTCACTCCCTAGAAATAACCCAAGGTAACAAAGATAAAGACCTCTTTCTCCTTTCCTGGAGGAGATTTACTTACATTTCAGGTTGAGTAATCACTCTCTCTGAAGGGGAGGATAGACAGATCCCAGAAGTTTCATACAAGTTTAGAGTCTTTTAATTTCAAAGTTCTTTTGAATGCTCCCCATTGCATTACAGGTACCATGATACCCTCACCGTTTCACCCCATAGGATTAGGGCTTAGGAAAACAGCACTGTGAATTTACTCTAGCTTATAAGTATTCAACATAAGATATTAGAAAAGAATAGTGAAATGAACCCAAGTAGAAAGAAGAAAGTATATTTCATTTAATAGAAGACACTATTGATTTTATGCATTGTTTTTTATATATCAAGAGCAGAAGAGGGAAAATGTAAATATTTTTAAAACTTATTTTAGGCTTGTTTGGGTACAGTTTTATCAGCATAGTATCATTCAATTATTTTTCAACTTCAAGTTGTCAGTGTCTGTGGCTTTTTTACATAATATTATCTTCTGTGCTGTTGAGAAAATGAGTGATGCAACATTTCTTAAAAGAGTGTGCCATGATTGTCTCAGGGATTTTGTTCCATTCTACAAGTTTTGATGCTGTAAAGGATCAGAACATGCTATTCCAAAATATGCCACTTTGATGTATTTTGAGCTGAAGTCACTTGAGAAACAGCAGATTCAAGAAGGGCTCTCTGACCACCTCCTTTCTACCTAAAAGCAGGTCATAAGATTTCCCATGAGAAAGGTACCCTTCCTGCGCCAACAAGTTGTATTCTTATCACCAGAGATGGAGCATTGATACCAAGTTTAATCTGTACAAAGAAACCTACTGAAATAACCCTTATCTTGCATTAGTTTCACCCACATATTTCCTGGTCACTTTCCCAAAAGTTATCATCCCTAGCCCAAACTCCTTTTTCCTTTGTCTTGTCACAACTCCACAATTTATTTTTCTTTGTTGAAATGGTATATGAGATCTCAGGTCTATCCACTTGTTTGGGTCATCATTTGTTTTCTATGGAAGCTCCAATGCCATTAGAGAAAGTGAAAAGTGAAAAGACAAGCCATAACCTGGAAGAACATATTTTCAACACATATTACCAGCCAAGGATTAGTTTCCAGAATATAGTTTTACTACTTCTTCAAATCAATAAAAGAGACAAAAAATCCAATAGAAAAAAGGAAAAATCACATGAATAGCTATTTCACAAAAGAGAAAACACAAGTGATAACTGGAAATATTTTTAAATGCTCAAGATAATTAAAAACTAGTAAAATGCAGATTAAAACACAATGAGGTAGCGTTTTACACCTACTAGATTAGCAAAACTTAGGAAATACGACAATTCTCAGTGTTAAGAGAAGAATATAAAGTTTATCAGTATACAGGAAATCTCATGCAATGATGGTGAAAGTGTAAATTGATGCAACCATTTGAAAAACTTGTCAGCATTATAAGTCAGTATTTAAATTTTTGAGTAACCACATTAAACAGGTAAAAAGAAACAAATGAAAGTAATTGCAATAATATATTATACTTTACTATATCTAAAATAATATTATTTTAGTAATATATTAAAATATTATTATTAATATTATTAACATGGAATCAATATTGAAATAATTATTAATGAGATTTTTTTCATAATATCCAGGATGCATTTTACACATTCAGAGGCTGAATTATCACTGGAAATCTTTGATCTCTATTTAGATTTTATAAAACTGACAGCTGAAAAAGTCATGGACATACTAAAATTGTTCCAAGCATACTTAAAAATTTTCCAATAACTACATTTCAGTATTTAAATTAAAATTAATTAGAATTAAATTAAATATTCAGTTCATCATTAATAGTAGCTGCATTTCAAGTACTCAGTAGCCACCTGTGGCCACAGTATTGAACAGCCATAGTCTTATAAGTTGGACATTTATATACTCTTTGCTATGGTTTGAATATGCCCCCCAAATTTTGTGTGTGGGGAACTTAGTCCCCAAATTCATAAGTCGATTGGAGGTGGGGCCTTTGAGAGATAATTAGGATTAGGTAAGTTCATCAAGGTGGGAACCTCATGATGGACTGATGGCCTTATAAGAAGAGGAAAGACCTGAGCTAACAGGCATGTGCTTGCCCTCTCACCACAGGATGCCCTCCGCCATGTTATGACACAGCAAAAAGGTTCTCACCAAATGCCAGTGCCATGCTCTCTGACTTCCCAGCCTCTAGAATCATGAGCTGAATAAACTTATTTTCTTTATAAATTACCCAGCCAGTGGTACTCTGTTATACCAACATAAAATGAACTAAGACACCCTTTTGACCCATTAATTCTACTCCCAAACAAATTCCCAATATCAGTAGTTGTCTGCAAGCATCAAAATATCTGGAGGGCTGGTTAAGACACAGATTTCTGTATCCCACCTCAGAGTTTCTGATTCAATGCGTCTGGTATGAGGTCTAAGAATTTGCATTTCTAACCGTTTCCCACATGATACCGAAACTGCCCTAAATGATGTGTATGAGAAAGTCTATTGCAGACTCTGTGATAGCGAAAGAATGGACTCTAATAGCAGAAGAATGGACTTTTGTAAAGGATGGTATAAACACACAATAGAATACTATACAAAACTGGAAACGATGTGTTGTCAAATAAAACAATAGGGATAAAACTTAGAAGTATAATATTGACGTTTTTAGTAAAGTAATTTCAAGAAGACTGCAGACAGTATGTTGCTCTTTTTATAAAACTCAGAAACAAATGATATATTATGTGGACATAATTTTTTAAAAAACTCTTTTATTTTAAAAAACAAAGGAATAAAAAACACAAAATTGGGAATAGTGGTTGCCTCCAGGGATAGAGGGGAGACATAAAGTTTAAACTAGATTCACGGATGTTCATTTTATTATTATGCTTTATAAATTATATACATGTCATGTTATTCTGAAGTATCATATATAACGGTAAAGAAAATAAAATAGAAAAATTAAAATTATACTATATATCACAGAATTTCAAATATATTTTAAAAATTCATGCATTTATAGATGCAAAGAAAAAATCTGGAAAACATAGAAGAATGTTAACAGTGCTTATTTCTGGGTTTTAGAGTTTGAATATGTTTTTTTCTTTCTCTATAAAATATGTTTTCTATAATAAACATGCAGTGCTTTATAATTAGACAAGTTTGTTTCTTTTTATCTTCACCACATATGGAATTCAATTTGCTATTCTCAGTTATTCCCCAAACCCTCTGTACATTTCTGTACTACCTCAGTACCAAACCTCAAAAATAATCCACTTCTATTATCTACAACATATGTCTTAGAGGCCTTTTTGTGTTTTCATTAATGTTAATAGCAACAAAGACAGCTGACTTTTATTGAGTGCCTACTATGTGTTCTTGTGTTCTGAGTTTTTAATGAATAAACTTGGTTAATTCTTACAAAAAAAGCTACGTACAATTATTCTTCTCATTTTACAAGTGTAGAAAAGGAGGTATGATGCTTACTTAAGCAGCTTGATTAAGTTGCTCCTCCCAAGCCATACCACTAAAAAGGTGGTTTCCCATCAATGGTATCAGTGAGGAGGAAAGCAAGAGTTTTCATTTCATAACTAAGTCCTGTTTTGTGGCACATTTTCTCAGAAATAACTTGGAGATATTTTCTACATACCAACCAAACGTGGGGAAAGGACTCATGGAAAATTTATTAGATTTCCTGATCTGATAAATTAAAACAAGCAATTGTAATTACTGCCAATGACAGAACTTCCTGACCAAAATCAATATCTGTCTCAATGAGTAGTGTTTGGCTATTCTCAGCCTAATCAAGACAAGCAGAAACCTGGATGACATCAGCAGTGGTCGGTCAGGGTCAAAAAAGCCTTCAGCTTCCTCAGGCCCCAGAGACTCCTACAATTTGGTTCACCTTTAAAGAAAAGAGCCCCAAATCCATTAACTGTGTTATTAACTGCTAGAGAAAGTTCTGTGACTGTTTCTCTCATTTTCTGTGTGCGTAGATATTTCATCTTTGATGCTGAGATAATCAATCATCAAAGTTGCAAAATACAATGGGAAATAGAAGTTGATTTTTTTTTTAAGCAGCATCATGCTGGGATACTGAGGCCCCCTCAGTTCACAGGTTTTGCTTTTCAATCAAAAGTGGCCTGAGTCATCACCAAGCAATTTATCTACTTTTATTTTAATAAAATCCTCAAATATATCGTCTCCTCTACCCAAGCCAGCACCAAGGCCCTTTGGGAGCTTCATGTTTCTCTCTTCTTTTCTCTCTTTCTACCTTTCTTATGCCTTAGTGATAACTTCAAGTCTTTAGAAGCCCCAACTCCTTCCAAATAAATAAATAAATAAATAAATAAATAAATAAATAAAGTCTACTTAATTTCATGTCAAGGAAGTAAGCACCTGCAAAAAACAAAATCGTAAATCCATAATGACAGAAAACTTGGGTATATTTGTGGGAGCCAGCCTGAGCAGTGGGGTTTGGGTCTGACCAGGTTCAGAGTGACCACGGAGGCCATTGAAAGTTGTGTTAGACCAAGCTGGCGGCTTGGCTCAGCTATCCGGAAGGGCAGAGCCACACCCCAGTCCAGTAGGTAAGGACAAGGGATTTGTCTAGGCAGAGAAACCAACACACAAACAATCCTTCTCATTAGACGAAAATCTATAACTTAGAACGATGAATCACCTACAGTCCTCACAGTTGGTTTGAGAGAGCAGTTTCCTCTCTAAGTAAAGCCTAGAGTCTGCCAGGATTTAAATAGAAAGGAACTCAGAAAAAAAAAAATCTTCAGGTGGAAGGAGCAGCAGAGCGCAGTAGTTATAGTCACAAGTTTTGGTTCAAATCCCCTTCGGACACTCACCAGGTGTGTGAGACTTTAAGTTCACTCACTGAACTCTTTCAGCCCCAGTTCCTTCATCTGTAAATATGAAGAAAGGATCTATGCCATACATTTTTTGGGATGATTAAATATGACCATGCATATGAAGTGCCTAGTTCATAAGAACTCTATAAGTAGTAGTTGCAAGGGTCAGCTGAATGAGGACTTCCTGTGTTGTACAACTTTAGAGAGCACCATTCATACAGAATTCAATGAGAACAGTACTCCGTGGAGTTGTGCAATATGGCAACCCCACAGCTAAAGCTGAGCTCTTATTCTTTTGCTGATACCCTCAGCCTCACAGATACTCTATTCTCCACCAACTTTCCTTTAAAATGCTGGCCTATTAAAGACATTTTTTTCTTCCTTTTCCATGGCACAGCTGAGAAACATTGAAATTTTCCAAAGAAATATCGCTAAAGACCAGCAAACAGTCCAAATATGAAATTAACTGTGCCATTTGGCCAGGCACGGTGGCTCACACCTCTAATCCCAACACTCTGGGAGGCCGAGGCGGGCGGATCACCTGATGTCAGGAGTTCGAGACCAGCCTGGCCAACATGGTGAAACCCTGTCTCTATTAAAAATACAAAAAATAGCTGGGCATGGTGGTGCACAGCTGTAATCCCAGCTACTCAGGAGGCTGAGGCAGGAGAATCACTTGAACTCGGGAGGCAGAAGTTGCAGTGAGCCAAGATCACGCCACTGCACTCCAGCCTGGGTGACAGAGCAAGACTCTGTCTCAAAAAAAAAAAAAAGAAGAGAAAACTGTGCCATTTGCAGTAATTTCAAAAATAATAAAGTATTTAGAAATAAATTTAAAGAGATGCAAAACTTGTACTCTAAGAATTACACAATATTATTGAAATAAATTAAGGAAGCCCTCAAAAAGTGGAAAAACAATCTACATTTATGGGTCAGAAGACACTGTTAAGATGGTAATGCTCCTGAAATTTATCTACAAATTCAGTGCAGTTGCTATCAAAATTCTAGCTGCTCTTTTTGCAGAAATTAACAAGATGATCTAAAATTCATGTGGACATGCAAAGCGTTCATAATGACTAAAACAATCTTGAAAAGAAGAACATAGTTGGAGGGCTCATACTTCCTGATTTCAAAATGTCCTGCAAAGCTACAGTAGTGAAGACAGTGTGACACTGGCATAAGTATATACATATAGATCAATTGAATAGAATTGAGAACTCAGAAATAAACACTCACTGGCCAGGTGCAGTGGCTTATGCCTGTAATCCCAACACATTGGGAGGCCAAGGCAGGCCTTGCTTGAGCCCAGGAGTTCGACACTAGCCTGGGCAACATGGCAAGACCTCATTTCTACAAAAAATACAAAAGTTAGCTAGGCATGGTGGTGTGTGCCTGCAGTACCAGCTACTCTGGAGGCTGAGGTAGGAGGATCACTTGAGCCTGGGAGCTGGAGGTTGCGGTGAGCTGAGATCATACCACTGCACTCCGGCCTGGGTGACAGAGCAAGAAGCGGCCTCAAAAAATTAAAGAGAGGAAGGGAAGGGAAGGGAGAAGAAAGAAAGAAAGAAAGAAAGAAAGAAAGAAAGAAAGAAAGAAAGAAAGAAAGAAAGAAAGAAAGAAAGAAAGAAAGAAAGAAAGAAAGAAAGAAAAGAAAAGAAAAGAAAAGAAAAGAGAAAGAAAGAAGGAAAGAAAGAAAGGAGAAAGGAAGGAAGGAAGAGAGAGAAAGAAAGAAAATATTTACATTTTCAGCCAATTGATTTTCAACAAGGGTAGCAAGACAATTCTGTGGGTAAAGAATAGTCATGGTGCTGGGACAACTTAGATACCCATTTGTAAAGAATAAAGTTGGACCCCTACCCCACACCTTACATAAAATTTAACTCAAGATAGATCATAGACTATAGTAGGTAGAACGATACCTTCCCCAAAAGATGTCCTAATCCCCAGAACTTATAAAATACTAAGCAACATATCTGGAAACAAAAGTGACTTCATCTTGGATGCTAATCTGCCATGTTGACTTCTGATTAACCCTAGCTTCATGAATTCCTAGTGAATTTATTGTCATTAGTGTGAGAAAATGTATTTACTATCAATTCTACTCCAGATCAAAACAACATTAATGTTATCACACAAATTATAGGCTACGGCACACGTAGCATTCTTGCCTATTCTGGAGGTCTGCTTTCAATTGTCCAATTGCATATAGAGCATGCACACTCCTTCCCTGTCGTATACTTCTTCCCTGGATCTGAGGAGTAACAGGTGTGAAGATCTACCTGTCTTGCAGCCACCCAAGACCACACTTCCATCTGTAAGTTCCCCCCATAAAACATTGTTTACTGACACACTGAATTTGTCTGCCATGTTCTTTGGTTTCTTGGCTCTTTCTGTATTTAGGGACTGCTTTGCATATATGGCTCTTTCATGGAACACATGGCAAAAGTGAATTAAGGTTACAGATGGAATTAAGGTTGGTAATCAGCTGACCTTAAGATAGGGAAAGTATCCTTGATTTCCAAGTGGGCTCAATGTAATTACCAGGGTTGTTAAAAGTGGAAGAGGAAGTTGGAAGAGGGAGCTAGAGAAATGGCAGCATGAAACAGATTTAGCCTGATGTTTTTGACTTTAAAAATGGAGGAAGGAACCATGAGCCAGAGTGAGTGGCATCCAGAAGCTAGAAAAGGTAAGGAAACACATTCTCTCCCAAAGCCTCTAGAAGAAAAACAGACCAGCCAACACCTTGCTTTTAGCCCAGTGAGACCCATTTCAGACTTCTAACGTTCAGAACTGTAAGATAATACATTTGTATTAAGTCAGTAAGTTTGTGGTTGTTTGTTTGTTACGGCAGCAATAGATAACATAGAGACCAGAATGTAAGCGTTAAAAATAGAAACACCTAGAAGAAAACATAGGAGTAATTATTTGTGACCATAGATTAGGCAATTGTTTCATAAATATGACACCAAAAGCAGAAGCAATTAAGAAAAAATGGATACATTGGATTAAATCAAAATGTATAGCTTTGATGCTGTAAAGGACACATTCAAGAAAGTGAAAATACAACCCAGATAAGAGGAGAAAAATATTTGCAAATTATATGTGTAAGAGACTAGTATCCAGAATGCATAAAGAACTCTTACAACTCAACAATAAAAAGACAAATAATCTAATTTTTAAGGGGGCAAAGGATCTTAAGAGTCATTTCTCAAAAAAATGTATATATACAAATGGCCAATAAGTATATAAAAAGATGCTCAGCATCATTAGTAATTAAGGAAATACAAACCAAGACCACAATGAGATACCACTTCACTACCACTAGGATAGCTATAATTAAAAAAAAAAAAAAGACAATAATAAGTTTTGGCAAGAATGTGGAGAAATTGGAAACCCCACACATTTCTGGTGGGATTATAAAGTGATGCTGCCATGTTAGAAAACTATTTGACAGTTCTTCAAAAAGGTTAAACATACATATGATCCAGCAATTCCACTCTGGGCATATATCCAAGAGAAATACAAACACATGTCCACAGAAAAACTTGCATGTGAATGTTCATAGCAGCACTTTCCACAGTAGCAAAAATAGAAAGATCTGAAGTGTTTATCAACTGATGAGCAGGTGAATTATATGTGTCCTATCCATATGATGGATTATTCAGCAATTAAAAGGAATAAAGTACTGATAAATGCTACAACATGGATGAACCTTGAAAACATTAAGTAAAAGAAACCAGACACAAAGGGCCACGTGTTGTATGATTCCATTTATATATGAAATATTCAGAGTAGGCAAATCTATAGAGGCAGAAAGGAGATTAATCGTTGCCTAAGGCTGGGGGAGTGGGGAATGGGAAGTAACTGCTAATGACTACAGGGTTTCTTTTAGGGATTTAAAAACATTTATTTAGGGGGGATCAAACTTTGATCATAGTGATAGTTGCACAACTCTGTGAATATACTAAAAACCATTTCACACTTTAAATGTGTGAATTGCATGATGCTATGGTCTGAATGTGTCCCCCAAAATTCATATGTTGAAACTTAATCACCAATGTGATAGTACTGAGGTGGGACATTTAGGAGGTGATTGTCACGAGAGCTCAGCCCTCATGAATGGGATTAGCAATCTTGTTGAAAGGGCTGGAGGGCACTAGCTAGGCCCTTTTTTGTTTCCACCCTTCCACCATATGAGGACACAGCAATCATTCCCGCCAAAAGACACGGCAACCAGGCACCATCTTGGAAGCAGAGACCAGGTCCTCGCCAGACCCCAAACTTGCTGGTGCCTTGATCTTGGACTTCCCAGCTTCCGCAACTGTGAGAAATAAATTTCTAATGTTTATAAATTACCCAGTCTCAACACAAATGAACTAAGGCACGAATTAAACTGCTAAGAAAAGTTTCTCTCCCCACCCACTTTCTGCTAATTCAGCCCAGTCACTGCCCAAATGGCCATCAGGAGCTTGGTTCTTTCTGTAGCAGCCACGGCCTGGGATGTCTTTCAAAATGTAGCTCACTTTGCTCTGCCGAAGCTAGGTTGCTTCAAACCTAAGCCTCTCTTACATCTAATTTTTCCTTAGTTTCCAAGAACAACCAGATTGAGCCTGACATACAGAATTTGGCAAAAGAGGTAATTCACGAACCAACTCAATCACTACTCAGCTTAAAACCTAAGGACCCGTTTTCCAGTATAATGTTTCCAGCAATCATTTAATGCTGCTGTCTAGAGGATAGACTCACATTGCTGTTATTGTGGGCCAGAATAGAGATTTAGTGTTATCTAGGGGAAGATTGTAGAAAAATAAAGTGAGGACTGGGGTGAGTAGGGAATCAGAAATAATTATTTTTTATTATTACTAGGATATCACTTAATTCATATCTGTTGTGGAGAGTCCAATGGGTACAATCAAAAAGCTCCCTTGGAAGACATAGCTGACAAAAGTTTGTGACACTAAGATTCCTATGTCCTGGGGGTGAAGAGATCTGCTCCTCTGTAGAGGCATCCCAACTAGCCCATTGGAAATGTACAGCACGGCACAGTGGCTCACACCTGTAATCCCAGCATTTGGGGAGGCCGAGGTGGGAGGATCACTTGAGCCCAGGAGTTCGAGACCAGCCTGGACAATATAGTGAGACCCCCATCTCTACAAACAAAATTTTAAAAATTAGCCTGGTATGGTGGCACACACCGGTGGTCCCAGTTACTTGGAAGGCTGAGGTAGAAGGATCACTTGAGCCTTGCATGTTGAGGCTGCAGTGAACTGTGATCATGCTACTGTACTCCAGCCTGGGCAACTGAGTGAGACCCTGTCAAAAAAAAAATAAGTATACTGGTAATGCCTCCATTCCTGAAGGCCACTTCTTTCCTTTATGCCCATCTCATTTATTTAAAATCTCCAGTATCATTTTCATTTCCCCTTTAACCTTGATTTTTCTGAATTGATTGTTAGACTCCACCTGGAAACATAATTTGCATTCTCCTGTAAGCCATGCACACAGACCCTCATAACAATCATCCCTCACAATTCCATTTCCTGTGCTTTTTCTGTTTCTCTATTTCTCCAGAAAGAGCAGAACACAAGGTCTTGCTGCAGCTGTTGGTACGTGACAAGCCTGTCTCTTAGGAAGTCAGAAACACAACATAACCTTGGCCATGTGCTTAACTCCAAAACCCTGCACTTCCTCAACTATTTTATTCTTCTGACTTTTAAGAACATTGAACCATTAAAAAGTATCCTCTCATACAACAAATATTTATTGTACTTCTATTTTGTTCCAGACATTGTGCTTATCTCTAGGGATCCAGTGGTAAGCAAAATAGACATGGTCCTTATCCCTGGGAAGTTACTGAGGGAAAGAGTGGTAACCCGTCACTAAAAAATAAAACCACATACTTAAATAGGCACTGTTTTAAGTACTTAACATGCATTAATATTTTATTTTCCCAACAATCCTAAATGTTATTATTTATATACCCATTTTATAGATGAGGAAAATGAAGCTCAGAGGAGTTAAATAACTTGCCCAAGATTATCTATCTAAATAGTAATGGAGCTAGTACTCAAACCCAGACTGTCAGAGTCCAAATTTTGTGCTATCTGTCTTTTTTGGTTTCAATAATTTTGTTTGTTTGTTGAGACAAGGTCTTGCTCTGTTGCCCAGGCTGAAGTGTGTGGCATGATTATAACTCACTGTAGCCTCAAATTCCTGGGCTCAAGTGATCCTCCCACCTCAGCCTTTTGAGCAGCTGGGACTGCAGGTGTGCACCATTATGCCTGGCTAATTTTTTGTTTTTTCTAAAGATGAGGTCTTGCTATGTTGCCCAGGCTGGTCTCAAACTCCTGGCCTCCAGTGATCCTCCCACCTTGGTCTTCCAAAATGCTGGGATTACAGGTGTGAGCCACTGTATCTGGCCTTATCAGTTTTTTCAATGTATTATCTCTTTGTGACACTATGAACATATGTATTCCCTTTGTGATGCATCTCTCTTTTGCAGAAACATCTATTTTATCTAGAGTGACAGACCAGAAAGAAGATTGCTGAAAACAGGTTGAGAAACAGGGCAAAGAAAAAAAAAATCCATCAAACATCTGGCATCAAGCCAAGAAGCCCAGTCCAGTTTGAGGGGAGCCTGTTGCAGTTCTAGAAATGAGCAGCAGCACTGGATCCCACTAACTAGAGGCAGCCATCAGAATCCTCTACCATTTGCAATGGCCTTGCAAAAGAAAGTGAGACTGCCCTGCCAGTTACAGTTCTAGATAAGCCTACTATGGCCCCAGAATGGATCTCTGGCTTCATAAAAACCAGATTCTAGATTCTACCTAGTGCAAGAGAACTCTGATATCTACCTAAGCCTTCACCTACAAGGAAACACACCTTCACTGACAATCTGAGATCAGTAAGAAACCTGCCCTCACCCAGAAATGGCTTTCTCTCCTCTCAAAACTCAAATATGACCAGCTCCGTAGTGGGCACTGCCCAACAGCTTCCAGCTGCAGGCATGGTTTGAAGTGTCCCTGAAAGGTCTCTTCCAATGCAGGAGCCCCGCTCTTTGTGTAGGGCTTTCCCTGAGGATATACCCAGGTCACTCTGCAGAATACACCAGATGTAAGTCAAGCGACTAAGAAAGAAAGAAATAGAAAAAAGTGAATGAGACCCCTAAACTCTCTAGCACCTGCCTGCTAAGGCTTAAGCAGGCCTTAGAGCCCCAACCAGTTTCCTATAAGAGAAATGAACAGAGACAATAAAGTCAGAGCAGTATCACCAAGTATCACCTTGCCTTCAACCTTCTCTGTAGAAGCCTGGATGGGTAAACTGAATTGTATTTCAAAAGGTTGTGCTTTGGCTGGTCTAATTTGACTTGAGTAACCTAATCAAAAACCATTTCAGTGACCTCCTATTTCCACTGCCCCTAGGCTCATACTCTGTCTTATTTCCTTGCGATCTCACCAGTGGTGAGAAGAGAAAAAAGGAAAGATAAACCTGTGGGGAAACGTAATAAAGAAAAGGGGAATCTTTCTCCCTAAGGTCTTCAGTGTCAGCCTAAAGTTACCTCCCCTAAAGTCTTCCAAGAGCCATGAGGAAGAGGAAGGCTCCCAGGGGACAGAAGGCTCCCAACCCATCTCATCGCATTGAGGAAGGGAAGCATTCCAAAGGGGCCAGCTCCAGCAAGAACACACACGGGGGATTCCAAAAGATATTTGTATTACAATATTCTTCGCAGCATATTCACAACAGCCAAGAGGTGGAAACAACCCAGTGCCTATAAACAGATGAGTGGATAACCAAAATGTGGTGTATACATACAAGGGAATATTATTCTTCCATAAAAACAAATGACAGTTTAATATATACTACAAAATGGATGGACCTTTGAAACACATTCAGTGAACTAAGCCAAACACAGGAGAACAAATGTTGTATGACTCCACTTATATGAGTTACCTAGAATAGGCATATTTATAGAAACAGAAAGTAAAATAGAGGTTACCAGGAGCTAGAGAGATGGTTATTGTTTAATGGGTACAGAGTTTTTGTTGGGGGTGATGAAAAAGTTTTGAGTATAGATAATGGTGTTGATTACATAACATTGTGAATATATTTAATGCCAATGAATTGTACAATTATGAATGATTAAAATGATAAACATTATGTTTTGTATATTTTGCTATAATTTTTTTGAGACAGAGTCTCAGTCCGTCACCCAGGCTGGAGTGCAGTGGTGCAGTCTCAGCTCACTGCAGCCTCCACCTCCCAGTTTCAGGTGTTCCTCCCACCTCAGCCTCCCAAGTAGCTGGAACTACAGGTGCATGTCACCACAGTCAGCTAATTTTGTGTATTTTTTTGTAGAGACAGGGTTTTGCCATGTTGCCCAGGCTGTTCTCGAACTCCTGGGCTCAGTCTCCCAAAGTGCTGGGATTACAGGTGTGAGCCACCACACCTGGCCTATAATTTTTTAAAAGGCCAAAAAAGAACACTCACAGAGAATACCAAGATTCAGCCTCATAAGGAAGATTCAGGAAGGAAAAGAGCCCCCAAAGGCTTGAAAAATGAACAGGAGTGATGATTTTCTTCTTATTTTCTCTTTTATTCAATTTTTGTGAAAATAGCAATAAAGTTAGGAATAAAAAACTAAAAAAGAAAATTTTTCACCATGAATTGAGTAACATGCTTGTTATTCAAAGAGTTATTGGATGAATGCATGGTCTCCTCTCACTACTCAATAAAATTTTCAGAATTCCAGAACAAGCTTAGGATTCCACAATAACTAACTACCCACTACAGCCAAAGGGCTGCTAAAACTTTTAGAGCATTTAGCTTCAAGCGCCCTAAGTCTGTCTTGATCTAGACATCCCACCTGAAAGTCTACTCTGTGTCTACCTGCTCCTTCTTACTAACAGGACAGGAGTGACCAAACTCTTGCTCAGATTCAATAGGGAAACCCCATTATTATGTCCCACCATGTCTACAAGAGATGTCATGGAACAAACGCTATAGACGCCACTCATAAACTCAGAGAGCCCAGAAAATGCTGCAGAACTTTGCTTTATTCTTTGGAATAGCTAACCCTTATGGAGTTCTTATAGTGTTCAGGTGCTGTTCATATATGTTAATTCATTTAGTTCTCCTTGAGTCTACAAGGTCAGATTAAATGGGGGGAAATGTCTTCTTAAATCACAAGTGTAGTGATTTAAACACGGTATCAGTGGCTTTACGCATCCATGGCTTTACTAGACAATTTTGTTTTGGAGGGCTGTATCCAGTTCCTTTTGCTACATTTTAAGAAAGTCTCTGCCTTTACTGAGAAAGGCATATAAGTAAAGGTGACCCCACCTCCTATCTGAAAGAACAGACAGGCTAAACACCTGCTTCATTTGATCCTATTACGCCCACTTCCACATCCTCTGTCTCTGTGAGGGAAGAGTTCAAAGGAATTCAAGGCAAAACATCCACCCCTGATTTATTTATGAAAGATGTTCTGTCTCTGCACAGCCTACATTGGAGGAAGAATTATTATTTTTTCCTTTTCCTGAGGGACATCATTAGCATAGTGATAATTAATGAAAGGCAGCAGCCGGAGTTGGGTAAATTACTAATGGTTTCAATCATCCAGAGAGCAGACAGCCCTGGGTGCAGTTGTCCTTGGTGACAGCATAGAAGTGCTCTGGGGAAACAGGGATGGTGGGCAGAGAAGCAAGGCCATGTGTATGTAGCTCTGCCTTCTGGAGTCTGCACACATAGGTTTGGCTGTTCTCATCCAAATGGGCTGGGTTTTCACGCAGAAGTGTTCATGGATTAAAACTGGGGGTGGGTCCCTCTTGTAGATGGTGGATACAATCAGATTCTCCCTACAGAATGGCTATGTGGGAATTAGGACTGGTTCCAGATACCTGTTGGAAAGTTAAGGGTAGGGGGTGGTCTCTTACAGCAACCACAGAAACTGGAAACCAGCGGGCAAAATTGAGAACTGCACTAGATCAATGCGGAAGAGTAGCTGGAGGGTCTATCCAAAATGGGATATCAGAACCAAAGGGATGGAAACCAATATCAGCAGCTAAGATACACAAACCAAAGGGATCCAGACAACCTGGGGAAATGAAAGTGAGGAGTATTGTGTGGGAACAGGCGAGAGAAGAGAGGACCAGGACAAATTCCCAGGGAAGAGGAATTCAATGCCACAGTAGGAATCTTTCTCCCTCCATAGGTTCACCTTTATGGGTCCCTCCTACACAGAGCCTTCTTGTTACATAACATCATAAGCTCCTTGAAGGTGGCAGTCTTTACTGTTTTCTTCTCTGCTGTATCCCTGGAGCCTACCACAGTGCCTGACGCAGAAAAGGTGCTTTAAAATGTCTGTTGAATAACAAATAAAGGGGTGAATGAATGAATTAGTGAACGAATGAATGAATGAATATATCTATCTTGCTATACTGGATATTGGTCAAAGGAAATAAATTTGATAAGCCACTTTTTATTTATTTATTTATTTATTTACTTTGGATACAGAGTACAACTCTGTCACCCAGGCTAGAATGCAGTGGCACAACCTCAACTCACTTCAGTCTAGAGCTTCTCAGGCTCAGGTCCTCTCATTCAGCCTCCTGAGTAGCTGGGACTACCGGCACATGACACCATGCCTCACTAAATTTTGTATTTTTTGTAGAAGTGAGATTTCACCATGTTGCCCGGGCTTGTCTCAAACTCCTGGGCTCAAGCGATCTGCCCACCTTGGCCTCCCAAAGTGTTGGGATTATAGGCATGAACCACTGCATCTGGCCTAGCAATTTTTTCAATAAAACCACATTAATTATTACTTGAAGTAACAAATAATTTACTGAAAAACTCATTGGAGAACAGGAAGAGAGGTTTCCAATATACATCACACAGCAAATCACTTAATAAATGCTCGTTAGATATTTATGTTTTTCCCCAAATTCCTTCTCCGGATGTCTTCTCTTCTTCAACCCTTCCCCAATGCAGAACACAGGATTTTATTACTGCTTATGTAAAAAAAAATCCACTGCTCTTATAATCATAACGTGATTTAAAGAACAAGAGGTACCATTCCCACATCCCATCTCAGAGCTCGTGGTACCCTCTCTCTCTTTGAGAGCATATTCTAGCCTTTGAGATCTCCAGCCAGGGACAGGTATCAGCAAAATGTGATAAATCTGGTCCCAATATCTCCCTACAGAGCCCTGATAGCTCAACTTCTCTGCAGTCACCGAAAAAGAGGCTGTGGAAAACCCACCCCCTGGGAAGTCTGCATAAGTGAGTGGTCTGTGCCTTTCAGGAGTATTTCCTTTTTACACCAGAACTATGAGAAAAGGGGGTCTGGGAAAATGATTGTAGAGAATTATCCAGTAGACTGTAGATTATTTACTGAATAAAACCAAATCTATTAATTAGAGAACAGTCTCAAGATTTGTCCCCCAGGACTCAGAGGACAAACACCAAGATGAAAAGGAGAAAAGAAAAGATGCAATTCACATAAACATGGATATGAGAGAGCCTACACTTATGTAAAAGGAATCCCGGAAAGAAACTGAACACACAGCAGAGAAACAGTAAGCAAAGAAACGAGAGAAATACCTTTCACTTACCCAAAGCAAATCTTGAATGTTTCCATTGAAAGGGCTCAACAAGATTCAGACAAGATACAGAGACAGACCTATACCAAGATACCCTGAGTGACATATAAGAAGCTCAAATATAGGAAAAAATACCTACTCAGAGACTGAAAGAAACAAGATACCTGGGGAAAAAAAGGCAACTACAGTGAAAGATTTCCCTTACCCCAATACCAGAAAACAATGGACTAATCGCATGGGAAGGAGTTTCGATACCTCTGTTATTTAAACAAACAAACAAAAAAAGTTCCTTGCAAGAGCAAAGTAAAACCAATCTCAAGAATGCAAAGATTCAGAAACATAATACCCAAGTACCCACCGTCAAAAGGTTACTTAAAGGAAGACTACAATTAATTAAAAGTAAGAACTCAAGAATTGAGATGATTTTATAAAAGAATCAATGATGAATAATAAAACTTAGAATTAGGGAAAGAAAATTGTTGCTATGTGGTTGCAAAGCTTAAGGCAAATGTTAACAAATCACTCCTAAAGTGAAGTATATACAAATTTAAATATTAAAAATCTGGATATGAAATATCCGATTATTTTAAAAGAGGCTAGAAAGCAAAGGAAGTCTCAACTCAAAGACTCCTACTACACATCCAAATAAAGATGCCATGAGGCCAGGCGCAGTGGCTCATACCTGTAATTCTAGCACTTTGGGAGGCCAAGGTGGGTAAGGTGGGTGAATCACGAGGTCAGGAGATCGAGACCATCCTGGCCAACAGGATGAAGCCCCATATCCACTAAAATACAAAAAACTTAGCCGGGTGTGGTGGCGTGTGCCTGTAGTCCCAGCTACTCAGGAGGCTGAGGCAGGGGAATTGCTTGAACCCAGGAGGCGGAGGTTGCAGTGAGCCGAGGTCGCACCACTGCACTCCAGCCTGGACAACAGAATGAGACTCCGTCTCAAAAAAAAAACAAAAAAAAAACAAAAAAAAAAGAAATATATATATATATATATGCATCCCAAAATGAGAAATCTAGACCCCCACAGTCGTTGTTGGAGATTCACATAAGGAAGCCGCACACCCCAATGTCAGAATCTGATTTGGGTCTGGTATTGGAGTAATTGGTTACAATGGCTAGTATCACTTATCCTAATACACATCAGAAGTGATACTTCAGGGCCAGGTGCAATGTCTCACACCACTAATCGCAGCACTTTGGGAGGCCAAGGCAGGAGGATTTCTTGAGGCCAGGATTTCAAAACCAGCCCGAGCAACATAGCGAGACCCAATCTCCACCAAAAAATGAAAATAAAAATTAGTCAGGTATGGTGATGTGCACCTGTAGTTCTAGCTAATCTGGAGGCTAAGGCAGGAGGATCACTTGAGTCCAGGAGTTCGAGGTTGCAGTAAGCTATAATAACACCACTACACTAAAGAATTGCTACTTCAAAGCAAATTTACAACTTTAAAAATATATATTAAAACACCAAACTATTGGGAATAAATTAATTTTCAAGGAACTAGGAAGTAAAACCTAAGAAAATAGAAAGAAACAAAGATAATACCAGAAATCAGTAAGTTAGAAAACAAAGCAACTATAGAGGATTAATAACACAAAAACATGACCAATAAATATACAAATCCCCCCCAAAAAAGAGAAAGAGTATTTAAGCAATGTTAGAAATGAAAGTGGGACAAAATTATACTTACAGAATAGATTTGAATCCAATGCCAGTGAATTTCATAACTTAAATGAAAAAGACAATTTTCCAGAAAAATATAGAACCTTTAAGATGGACTCAAGAAAACAGAATAAACCAATAGTTATCTCTGTGAGTGGTTTGGTTGGTTGGTTTTGTATCTCTGAGAGTAGTTTTAATGCACAGCAAAGATTAATCAAGTGCCATCTTGGGTTTTAAAGTTATCCTTCAATTTATAAATTCAAAATCTTAGCTCTTCCTTATTCTATTCTTAGATCTTTTTTAACACCCTTCCTAACTAGATTTAAATTAAGTCCAAATGAAGTGTGCAAATCTCTCATGTCTCATCTATCCCCAGTCATAGTTCCAAGGTCATTTAAAAAATCATTGAAGAAATTGACTCAGTAATCAAAGTCTTCCGCCCACAAAAGAATTTAACCAAACAGTCGCAGATAATCTCTCTTTACAAACTGTTTCAAAAGACAAGGAAAGGGAAGGGGAAAACAAACTTCCTAATTCATTTTTTGAAGCTATTACAGTCTAACACTGAAACTAAGCAATGACAGTATAAGAAAAGAAAATTACAAATCAATTTTTCTTAGAAGCATAGATTTAAAAGTTCTAGTATGTATACCAACAAATAGAAGCCAATAATGTGTTATAAAATTTGTCATAACTAAGCGGAGTTTATCCCATGCAAGGAAAAACGTCATTATAAAATCTATCAGTAAAATGTACCACTATCAAGCAGACAAGGTGAATGACCAGACAGCACATATAGCCTGTCTACAACATCATTTAAGGGGGCCGGGGGACTCATGATGGGGACAAGAGCAAGAGCAGGTTTGTGACTTTCCACTGCCTCTTGCATGCTGAGCAATGTCCAGGATATAGGATTAGATGTTAACCTCTGAGAAAGGAACCTGGCCCTTGGGTTATGGGATGTATGAGCCACTCACCCCATGGGATCAGCAGCTATGACTGTATGACAGGGCAGAAACTTGGACTCCAGCTCTGATCTTCTACCCCAATACTCACCAAGATTGATCACTCCAGTATTGATAAAATGGGAAGGCAAAGTTACTTTTAACAAGCCATCAAAAATTAAGTGCTGCTATCATTAGTGCAGAACATATTAACACCATTAACTGAAAATCTGGGCCCCCAGACAAAATTTTTGGAAAAAAAAAAAAGCCTCTTCATACAGAGCCCACAGATTCCCCATTACCAATTTCCTATAGCCACTTGTCCATATCCCTTAGTCTCATCAAACAAGAAAGGAGGGATGACAGAGTAAAGGCAGGGGTGAGGGGAACAAGCTAAAAAGGTTTAGAGTCAAGTTTATATTCTTTTCTTTGAACTCCAGATTCCTCCAGCATCTCTTGCTTTTGGGGAAACACACCAGGCTAAAAGGGAAAGCAGTTCTGGCCAGGTGTGATGGCTCATACCTGTAATTTCAGTGCTTTGGAAGGCAGAGGCAGGATTGCCTGAGCCCAGGAGGTCAAGACCTAGCCTGGGCAATAAAGCAAGACCCCATCTCTCCAAAAATTAATTTTAAAAAATCAGCCAGGTGTGGTTGTGTGCATCTATAGTCCTAGCTACTTGGGAGGCTGAGGTGGGAGGTTTCCTTAAGCCCAGGAATTTGAGTCTGCAGTGAGCCAGGATGGCACCACTGCACTCCAGCCTAGGCAACAGAGTGAGACCTTGTCTCTAAAAAAAATAATAAGGAGAGAAAGCAGTTCTGTGTGTTAGCCCTGACGGTACTGCCTGTTCACTAAAGCAATTTCCTGATCTGACTTATTTAGGAGTGATAGATAGGAATAGTTAAGGGGCTCAAGAATATTCTAACTGAAATGATTTCTGGAAAAGTAGCAGACTGTGAAACTATTAAATAACTACTTGCACTTATTAAAAATTAAAACATATCCCATTCTGCCTGGGCGACGTGTGTCGCGCCTGTAATCCCAGCACTTTGGGAGGCCAAGGTGGGCAGATCGCTTAAGCCCAGGAGTTTGAGATCAGCCTGGACAACATGGCGAAGCTCCGTCTCTACTAAAAATACAAAAGTTAGCCAGGCATGGTGGTGCATGCTTGTGGTCCAAGCTACTTAGAAGCCTGAGGTGGGAGGATCACTTGAGCCTGGGAGATCGAAGCTGCAGTGAGCCGTAATTGTGCCACTGCACTTCAGCCTGGGTGACAGAGTGAGACCCTGTCTCAAAAAAAAAAAAAAAAAGAAAAGAAAAGAAAAGAAACAAACAAAAATACCACATTCTAATCACATATAGGCTTGTGTAGGGGAATTCAAACGGAAACACAGCCCCAAAAAATACACCTTGGCCCCCAGTGAGCAATTTTTATTAAGGAAAGATGTGCTTTCTGGGGAATTCAAAGCCCAGTCTGTTGATTGCCTAAGTGACATGGAGAAAAAGGACAAATCTTTGGAGTCAAAGGGATTACAGCTAAAATTATTATTTAGGATTATATGGTGTAAGCAAATTCCATAATTCTCTTGCCCTCTGTTTTCTACTCTGAAAAATAGTAATAATATCTATCTTGCAAGATTAGGCATGCTAATAATAATAATCACACTGAAAATGGTAACTGTGTATAAGAATATTTTCTATCAGAAAACTCCCTATGAATCCGTGGAGGGGCTTTATTTTTCAATTCTGCTATTATGCAAGTGCCTCTTGAGTTTGGATTAGGAAGCTGTTAACATTTATTTCTCTCATGATGCTGCTACTTAGATGTTACTTAGTCTGGTTTAAACCCTTGGAAATGTGACCTCAAATAAGCACTCAGAAATATTTAAAAGCTACTTAACTTTACATTTAATATGTTTTAATTTCTTGAGTTGAATTCTCACCTCCTCCAATTTTTATTTGTTCCCCTCAAAACTATTTTCTGAAATGACTCTTTCTCCTGGAATAGAGAATTTTTTCCAAGAGTGTGAATTTACTTGTGGGAATGAATGGGTCTTATAACCTTGGAGTCTTTAGACAAATAACAACCCTAAACAGCCCATATCTTTAAATCAATGTATATTTTCTAATAAGGGAGTTGTCAAAACAAAATTTCTAATTTTTCAAATTGCTTTTAATGTGACTAAAACATGAAACTGTTTATAGTTTATTGGTCTCACTGTTTAAAGTAAAGGGTCTGGCTAAAGGTTTTAATAAACAAAATTATATAACCTCAACTCCAACCATCTCCATCTCATTCATCTCTCTCTTTCTCTCTCTCTCTCTCACACACACACACACACACACATACACACACACATACACACACCACATCGCTGCAATCAAAGAAAAATAGAGTATACTAAAACTGGCTTGGCAAACTTCTAATTAACGATCAAAACTCCTTGGAGCTAAGGTGCCATTTTCCCAATAGGCTGCTATTTTTAAAATATTTTTCTTTGAAAACAACAGCATGATTAATCTCACCATTTCCACTTAAATTACTTATATGAAAACAGCAGTGCACTATGGGCAATTATTAAAAACACTTTATTATGTATAATTTGTACATGCTTCAATTTGTGTCACTTAGGGTGATTTATTTTCCAGGTTGTAATGACATCTACCGAGATTAGCTAGATCTAATTTTCATTCTGCCATGCCACATACAAAAATACAATTTTCAAACAAAGCTTCCCTTCTTTACACAAAGGTACACAAGAGTTTGTCAGACAAATAAAATAAGAATACTTCACACACGTATCAACACCATACAAGGCATTATTCTTCACACAGTAACATCTAATGTGTTCTTTTATTTTTGAAACAGCAGGAAAAGAGCCCTTTCCCTTCAGAGGAAAATAAAAACTTTATCTGTTGCTTAAGCCAAACTCCAGGGAGGAAGGTGTGGTCCTCTGGGGAAAGTAGAGGGATGGGGATGTATGGAGGAGAATGGACGCCCCTTCATAAGCACTTCAGGAGGAAGGAATTGCAGGAGGTTCCTCGGGGACAGTCACACAGCTTCCCGATCCTTGCCCCTTTCCTCACTGCACACTGCTCACCGGCGTCACACTGAAACAACAAAATGTGTGGTCATCGAGTATGAACAAACCCAGGTTCCCAACAGGCAAGTCTCACAGTCAACGCAATTTCTGTCTCTTGAAAGGGGCAATTGGACCCCATCACCATCACAAGAGGTCTACGTACAGTCAGATCTGAAACAGGGAGCCTTGTGCTTATAACCTCAGTGAGAGTACATTTTTTAAAGAAACTTACATTATTAGTTTTATCCTAGTTTCTTCCACCTTTAAGTGGCGAGGGTTGGGGGGCGTGGGAAGGGGAGCATCACATTTCCTGGCTCCTTTTCTTGCCCTCTCAGAGGGGAAAAAAATCAGACCTTTTTCCTGAGCAACAAACAATAGACTTACACTTTCTTACAACCCCTGTTCCTGCTTTCCCATTTCCTCACCCGGGAAGGAAGAAGGAGCCCACAGAATCCTGCAAGCCCATTACCTAAGTTATTTAGCCACATCCTACGGAGAAGACTGTGTGTACGATTCAAGGCGGTGTACTTTCTCTTGGAAAAACACGGGAAGGGAGTGACCACAAACCTTACCATGGGGACTTGGCCATACTTCTTCTCATAGATGGGAACACGTTTACTCTTGAGCTTCTTCAAGACTTCTTGCAGCGCTTCGATCTGCAACACACCGCTTCGGAGCCTGAAGTTGCCGCCTTGGCTGCGAGCCCAGCCCAGGTGCGCACTTCCAGCCCTAGTTATAAGGAGCCCCGGACCCACACGCACTCTGCGGTGGGACTCCGCGGACACAGGGAATGGTCGAGGGGTGGAAACTTAGCGGACGCTGTCCCAGGTACTGACCGCGGGTCTCTGAGCCGCTGGGGTCCCTGTTGCTCAGAGGGGCCGGGATGAGGGATTCGCTCAACAGACTGCCAGGAGCCCGTGAGCTCGAGACGCTCTTCGGATGGCAGTGGGTGCCTGGGCGTTGCGCTCAGCTCCCCGCGCCCTGACTCTGGGAATAGGAGTGGGGGTGGGGGGAGGAGGGAGGCGTGCAAGAGAAGAGACAAGGCGACAGCTCAAGGGGGTCGAGAGCGAGGGGAATACCGACCAGCTCCTTCTCGTGGGAGGCATCATCCACGGCAGAGTAGATGTCCAGGGCTCGGGGCTGGAGCTCGGCGTCCTCCTGGGCACGGGTACCCAACAGAGGTAGCATCAGCAGCAGGGCGGCGCCCAGGAGGGGCAGCAGCCTCACGCGGGAGCTCTCCATCGTTCTGAAACTCGTCGTTGCTGGGGCACCACGCGCTCCCACCTTTTATAGTGAGCCCGAGCCCCCGTGCAGGAAAGAGGGAGGAGGCGAAGAAGGAAGGGGGTGTGGAGGAGGGCCCGGGTCAACCGTCTGTAGGCAGCGCTCCGCCGGCGCTTGACGTCAATGCCCGCCGGGTTCCAGGCGCCTGGGAACGAGGCTCTGCGCACAGATGGGCTAGAGCGCAGAGAACAGGACCCTGCGCCCCCAAAGGCTGTCAGTCTCACGGCAAGGGATGCTCCCCGAGGGGCCTGAGCTGAAGCCGAGGGGCTAGAGGTGAGGGACGGGAAGCGGGAGGGGCCTAGGAAATGGAAAATGCCTTCGGGTCAATGCACAGGCAGGAGAGTCGTTTCCCAACACCTAGCAGTGGTGACAGCTGCAACATCCACCTCGCCAGCCCTGCCTTGCCTCGCACCCCAACCCCAAGTGTGGCGGTGAGAAGGGGGTGTTGCCTCCAGACAGCCACATTTGCTGAGCACCTTACTCTGTGGGGTAGGGGAAGCAAACATACTATACAAAAGAAAGAGAAATAGTGGCCCTCCACGTGATGGGTTCTATGATGGAATCTGTGTGACAATAGTTAAAAGAAGAGAGGGAAAACAGACAAACCCGGATTCAGCAGTGGTGTTGGAAGTGCAGAGAGCCAGGCTCTGGTTCCCATCCTGGCTACACCACGTAAAAGTTGTATGACTTTGAACAAAATGAAGAACCTCTCCAAGCCTCAGCTTTCTCTTTTGTAGATCTAGGATTAAAAAGATATACCTCACAAAGTCATCAGTAGGATGAAATGAGAGATTAAGTATGTCAAACTCCTGGTTCTTAGCTAAGCTTCCCTGTCCCTCCTTTTTGAACTTTGAGGCTGCCCAGGCAAATTTAACCATCCCCAGAACCTCCCCCCACCCACCACCAACCCTTGGTATCCAAGAAGCCTGTCTAGAAAGAGAGTAAAAGAGTGAAAAGAAAGACAGCTCCATGATTATGAAAATATCTCCAGAGATCAGAAGTCAATGGTGAACCAGCTCCCCAACAACTTGGGAGAACAATGTGGCTTTTTTAAAAGTTGAGATCCTTACAGCCTGAATGCACAGGAAAATTCCTGTAGGAAAAGCAATGCTTTCCCGCTTAGACCTGCTTGCTCACCTGGCTTCCTTCACCACACCATCTTTCCCTCAACTGTTCCTAAATTCATCCACTCTTCTCCATCCCCATTACTACAACCCAGTCCTAGACAGCTGCCCCAGTCAACTTAATGTCTACCACTTAATCCCCACCCTATCTTCTCTTGCCTTCCTCTACTCCATAGTTCACCACCAACCAGAGTATTTTTCCCCTTAAAATACACTAATGACTCCTAATCTTACTAAGCACTGAATCTAGATTCCTCATCCTGACTTGCAAAGCATTATATGATCTTCACCCCTCTCCACCTCATGTTCTACCACTCTGCCCCAGACTCCTCCACTCCAACCTCACATGGCCTTCTTTCTGGTCCTCTAGCAGGCCAATCTCATTCATACTTTGATGTCTTTGCACTTACCCCTCCTTGAAAGGTCTTCCTGTATTTCCAAAAGGCTCACTACTTCTGTTATTTAAATCTCAGTGTAAATATCTATGACTACTCAATCCAAACCATCTATCAATACTTTTCTCCCACAAATTTATTGCATAGCAGATTATGTGGGTCATTAAGATAGTTTAATACACAATATATGCCTGGTTACTTCAACTATCAAGTATTTAATTGGTACTCAAATACTCACTGGGAAGCAATTCAAGAAGTGATATCTCTTCTAATGAATAGCACACATATTAACAGCATCAAAATATTTTGCTGTGGGGTAAACCCAACTTGAAAATGTATCTAACACCTCCCTCAGCTCTGCCTTCCACACATACCTTTTGATTCTGCACAAGAAAACTTCAGTGGCAGCACGTTTTACTGTTAAAACCTTACAGAGACATATTGACACTCACTGCAAAAACCATCTCCAGTGATCTTTAAACTATTCTAAGCTTCAGAAGAAAAATAATCTCAAATAAGATTTTAGCCTATTCTTCCTGAAGGATGTAGATATTGTCAATGCAATACTTTCTCTCCAATTTTGTTCTACCCAGACACAAGTAATAACTTTCCCTTTGTGCTACTTCTATTGGAAAAAAATCCAAAGTTTAAATCTTGCTGAACTTGAGTTGGTGCTATCATTTTCTTATAAGGAAGGCACATTTAGTTAAGGGGTTAGGGAAAGGACTCTTGGAAAATCCTGTGAAACAAGCCAGGGGCATCTTTGTCACTTACATACCACAGGCTTTTCTTCATCTTGAACAGAATGACTTTATAAACTGTCTTTAGCTAGCATGGTATAGTAAATTCTAGGCTATCTTCTTCCCAAAGACAACTTTTATGTAAGTTAAAACTCAAAAAGAAACAAAAGCATGAGACATTCCACAGTCTTCATATTATGCCCTGTTAGGAGAATTTGTATATTCTTACTACTTTGTAATGACTCCATTAGGGGAAAAAAGCCCATCACTGATGCCCCAAGCAATTAAAATCATATGGAATTTAACTACTACTTCTCACCCCAGATATAGAAAAGGGAGGCAGGTCACCTCATGAAAGAGAAGCAATGGCCAGGATGGGTCTTTGGAGATTTAATGTGAACAAATCTCTCTTAATCATCTTTTCTGAGATAGAGTAGGCCTCCAGTCCTGCTCTTTGAAATAGCTCAAGTAAAGAAATCTCATAAGCAGACAGCCAAGAAACCAGTGCCAGCAAGATCTACTTACAACATACTGCTATCTGAGAACATTTTAAAAACCTCTTCTTACTCATGCCTAACTCTTGGAGTCCTGAACTTTTCACTATAAAAATAACCCATCAATTGATTTGTGACTTGGCAAGAAAACGATGTCTGTATTGTTCTTGGAAAAAAGAAAACACACACACACACCCCTTAAAACATATGTGTTCAATATTACTAAATTAGAACCCTAGAGCCCTAAGATTTTAAGTAATGAGAAGGTCATGGCAGAATTTAACACCACAGTGATGTTTTTTCCTAAGCTTTAGTATTTCTCTCTCCCTTCCTTTCTCCTTCAGTTGTGAATAATTTCTGTTCCTATGTAACTCAGAATAACACTGGCCTCTTAGGTTGTCGTATTTCCCAAATATCAGACTACTTTGTTAACCATTAACCCTCCTCTCCCATCCCTCACCCCAACCAAGTCTTGTTCAACAGTAAAACATCCTCAATTTCAGCGAGGTGCAGTGGCTTACACCTGTAATCCTAACACTTTGGAAGGCCGAGGCAAGAGGATTATTTGAGCTCAAAAGTTCAAGACCAGTCTGGTCTGGCTGGGCACAATGGCTCACGCCCGTAATCCCAGCACTTTGGGAGGCCAAGGCAGGTGGATCACCTGAGGTCAGGAGTTTGAGATCAGCCTGGCCAACATGGCAAAACCCCATCTCTACTAAAAATACACAAATTAGCCAGGTGTGGTGGCATGCACCTGTAATCCCAGCTACTTGGGAGGCTGAGGCAGGAGAATTACTTGAACCCAGCAGGGCAGAGATTGCAGTGAGCTGAGATCACACCACTACACTCCAGCCTAGGTGACAAAGCGAGGCTCTGTCTCAAAAACAAAACAAAACAAAACAAAACAAAAAAACAGTCTGGTCAACATGGTGAAACCACATATCTACAAAAGAAAAAAAAAAAGAAAAGAAAAAAAAAATTAGTCAGAAGTGGTGGCACATGCCTGTAGTCCCAGCTACTCAGGAGGCTGAGGTAGGAGGATTAATTGGGCTCAAGAAGTTGAGGTTGCAATGAGCCATGATCACACCACCACTGCACTCCAGCTTGGGTGACAAAGTGAGCCCCTGTGACAAAAATAAAATAAAAATTTAAAATTTCAATTTAAATTTTGGTAAGTCCTCAGTTTTATTGACTTCCTAAATATTCATATTTAAGACTGTTTCTCCTTATTTGTGTTAGTTGCACTTTCCTCCAAGTTAAACATCACTCTGTTCTCTTTGGTACACATATGCAATCTCTTGGGTGACTTTTTTTCATTTCTACATTGTTTGCTCTCCACTCTTCCTCCCTGCAGAAGAGAGATTAATTCCCATTGACATTTATGTTCTGTTTACTTCCAAGCCATAGCCTTCCAAAGGAACTGCTATTCACTGTGTTCTAACTAAACATCTTTATCACTATCTGAAAGAAAATAATCTGTAAGTAAAGGACACTTGGAGTCGGTTCTAAATTGGGAGGGGTGGAGATGCAGTAGCAAAGAACATGTGCTTTACAGACTGCTTCTGAAGGAGCAAAGCAGGCGAAATTAAACAAAGCTTTTCAGTCAATTTTTTAAGCTTCCAATTGAAAAGCTTTCCATTTCAAGACTTAATTTTAAAATCTGGGTGCCCTATATGCTCACAACTCTGCTAAGTATTTTGAGGACTGCTGAGATAATCCAGACACTTCTTGCCTTGAGGATCTTTGGGTCTAGTCATTTGTGCCCACGTCCACAAACTCCTAAAATACAATGACTTAGTGAGATGAGGGTCCTACTAGAGAAAGAGGAGCCCAGAGAAGTCAGAGATTCATTGCCACAAGAGGGAATCTTCGTGAAAAAGGGGCATCCTTTGAATGAGCTACTGAGTCCTAGGGGATGGGTAGAATTCCAACAATAGCAAACATCCCACTCTGGGACCTTGGGGGCGGGCAGGCAGCAAAGTCAAGTCATCAAGGTAGGAGATCTGGGGAGCACTGAGTGCTCTGGGTTGCTGGAGAGCAGGGTGCATGGGAATGTGAGAGACGGGGAAGCATAATGGGAAACAAGCCTGAAAAGGAACTTTGGAGCACAAAAAGAAAATCCAGAGTGGCAATAGATAGTTCCAAATTTGGATCCAATAAACAGGTGGTAGGAGCACAGATGAACCCAAAAGATTTCATTTTTCAAATACTAAAAACAAGCTTTTAACCTAAAGGTCTAGCCTGAGAAAAGTGGTCCTTTTCAGATATAGGGAGATAGCACTGACCAAGAGATAGATTGTTTCCTAGGACAAGGAAACATTTATCTGGATCCCAGCACAGCACACCTTGTTGGAGTGCGGCAGGGGTGGCATGCCAAAACCACACTTTACATGCCACCGCTAACACCATCTTCTCCTCTAACTTTTCCAGATCCAGATCTCCTAAGCTTACAGAAAGTGTAAAACTAGCACTAAAGCAGCTGATTAGAATACCCAAGAAATTAACTATATGACTTAATAGGGAGCAATTTTGAATCATTCAGTGATTGTTCATTGTCTATAGGTTCAAGTCAACTTCTCAGCATGGTGTTGAAGTTTCTTATAATATGGCTCTGGCCATATTTCTAATCTCATTTTTCTCTGCTCCCAACCAGTTCCATCAGATATATTTTACTTTGTAGGTACATCAGCCTTATTTCTTAATTTTGCACCGAATTTACTAGGTTATGCTGCTACAACAAACAACTCCCAAATCTTGGTGACTTAAAAAATATGCAGTTATATTTCTCACTCGTGTCCCATGTGCATCAAGAATTGATGGAGTGTTCTATTCATCGTCACTCAGGGATCCAGACTGACAGACCATCTACCATCTCTAAAGTGGCTAATTTTGTTCCAAATGGAAAAAAGAGTTTGTTCTATTCATCGTCACTCAGGGACCCAGACTGACAGATCATCCACCATCTCTAAAGTGGCTAATTTTGTTCCAAATGGAAAAAAGAGTTCTGGACAGTCTTTAATGAACAACTAAAAGCTTTGACTCATAAGTGATACTTCACTTTTCCTTCCAACTCATTAGCCTGAAGTAATCACACAGCTCCACCAAAGTCAAAAGGACTAAGAATTACAGTGTTAACAAGTACCTAGAATGCAAACATTATGGAACAACACTAATGACTACACATGTGTCTGCCTTTGTTCATGCCCTTTCCTAGTCCTCGAATGTCTTTACCATACCTTGAACATCTAAAAACCTCATGCTTCCTATCGGCAGAATTTATTTCCTTGTGGATGTATGATTAAAGGCCCCCACCTCTTGCTAGCTGTTGGCTGCAGGCCACCCTCAGGTTTTAAAGAGGCAACTCATAGTTTTTAGAAGCCACCCTTCATTCTTTACCACCTGAGTTCCCTCAATATGGCCACTTCATTAAGGACAAAAGGTGACTGTTTAAGTGCAGTCTGCTAAGATGGAGCTTTATGTAAATTAGTTCAACCATTATGGAAGACAGTGTGGCAATTCCTCAAGGATCTAGAACCAGAAATACCATTTGACCCAGCAATTCCATTACTGGGTATATACCCAAAGTATTATTCTACTGTAAAGACACATGCACACGTGTGTTTATTGCAGCACTATTCACAATAGCAAAGACTTGGAACCAACCCAAATGCCCATCAATGATAGGCTGGATAAAGAAAATGTGGCATATATACACCATGGAATACTATGCAGCCATAAAAAAGGATGAGTTCAGGCCAGGGGCGGTGGCTCACACCTGTAATCCCAGCACTTTGGGAGGCTGAGGTGGGCAGATCACCTGAGGTCAGGAGTTCAAGACCAGACTGGCCAATATGGTGAAACCCTGTCTCTACTAAAATACCAAAATTAGCTGGGCATAGTAGTGGGTGCCTGCAATCCCAGCTACTCGGGAGACTGAGACAGGAGAATCACTTGAACTCAGGAGGCGGAGGTTGCGGTGAGCAGAGATCGTGCCATCGCACTCCAGCCTGGGCAACAAGAGCAAAACTCCATCTCAAAAAAGAAAAAAAAAAAAAAGAATGAGTTTATGTCCTTGGCGGGGACATGGATGAAGCTGGAAACCATCATTCTCAGCAAGCTAACACAGGAATAGAAAACCAAACACCGCATGTTCTCACTCATAAGTGGGAGTTGAAAAATGAGAACACATGGACACAGGGAGGGGAACATGACATCAGGGCCTGTTGGGGGGTGGGGAAGTAGGGGAGGAATAGCATTAGGAGAAATACCTAATGTAGATGATGGGTTGATGGGTGCAGCAAACCACCATGGCACATGTATACCTATGAAACAAACCTGCACATTCTGCATATGTGTCCCAGAACTTAAAGTATAATTTTTTTAAAAAAAAGATGGAGCTTTAAATAATGTAATGTAGTTGCAGAAGTAACAGTTAATCACTTTTGCTATATGGTATTGGTTAGAAGCAATTCACAGTTCCCATCCATACTCAAGGAAAGGGGATCACACAAAGGGGTGAATACAAAAGGCAGAGATCACTGGCGTCACCTTAGTTTATGTCTGCCACATATATACACTGTGAAACCATCACTACAATAAAGATAAAAGTTTCAATCACCTTCAGAAGTTTCCTTCTGCCCCTTGGCAATCCATCCTTCCTCCATCCTGTCCCCAGGCAACCACTGACTCATTTTTCTATCATCACAGGTTAGTTTGCATTCTCTAGAATTTTGTATAATTGAAGTCATACGATATGTACTTTTTTTGTCTGTCTTCTTTCACTCAGCATAATTATTGTGAGACTCAAACATGTTATTGTGTGTATCAATAACTCATTTCTTTCCATAGCTAAGCAGCATTCCGTCGTGTGAATATATCACAGTTGTTTATCCATTCATCTGTTGATGGACATTGGAGTTGTTTCCGTTTTTGATATAACAAACAAAGCTGCTATGAACATTTATGTGCAAGTTTTTTTATGAACATATGTATTCACTTCTCTTGAGTAAGTGCTTAGGAGTGAAATGGCTAGTTCTTTTGGTAGATGTATGTGTAATTTTTTTAACAAACTGCCAAAGTCATTGTATCATTTTATATTTCCACCAGTAGGCTAGGGTAGTTCTATGTCTTTGCCAGCATTGGTACGATTGGTCTATAATTTTACCTAATCAAGTGAGAGTGAAATGATATGTCTTTGTGGTTTTATTTTGCAATTTTCTGATGACTAATGATGTTGAACATCTTTTCATATGTTTATTGGCCATTAATATATCTTCTTTTGTGAACCATCTGTTCAAAAAAAAAAAACTCATACTTTGAGACACATTCTATCTGAAGTCTTCCTCATCACGGCTCCATCACACCATGAGATCTGCCTTGTCTTTGTTTCTATAGATCTTTATACACATATTTATTGATACGTCTAATGTGTTCCATCATATGATCATATATCTATCTCACTTGCTAGACAAGGAGATCCTGGAGGGCAGGGAATGTATCTAATCACTCTTATATTCCCAGTATTTATTATAGTGCCTGATAACCAGATGTATAGGGGAAAGTTAATTGCTATGAAATGAAAGATAACCTGTAGACACTAACTAGATGACCATTCAGTAAAGTACATAATCTGTGATGCACCAAGCACTTTAGAAGCACTGACAATTTACTGTCTAGAAACACCATTATCATCCTCATACCAGGAAAAAAAAATGTGCCAGAGAGGAATAAATTGTTTAACAGATAGTCAGTCTCAGAAGCAGGATATCTGAAGTATAGACTATGGCCTCTCTCAACAGTTCCTCTGACAACTAAGTGCATTTCAATTGCAAGATGGAACAATTTTTCTAAATGCAAAACTTGCTGTGTCACTGGAAGAGGTATAGTCTCCACACTTTTGCCACAGACTTCTACTGCAGTGCTTTCCCCTCACACTCCATGGTGCAATACGAGGGGGAAGAAACTTGGGCAGGATCATACCCTAAAGAATCCTGGGGAGTTTAAATCTTGTCCCTGATCACCAATTTCCAGTGTGTTTTTGATGGCCTAGATTATGGACTTGGAGAAAATTATTCCTGTGCAGGACAGGAGTTTGTCTTTAAAGGCATCTAAGGTCACTTTTTAAACCACAATTCTGAGACTCTTCTATGCTTCCTTCAGAACTCATCTAAGTGAGGTCTATTTCTTTTGACATAAATTATAACCTCAGGAAAAACAGAATACCATCTGGCATGATCCAGAGAGGCAGGGCCTGGGGGCAAAAGTATATTTTATGGGAGGAAGGATCATCAACCAATCTCTCCTTTATTTTTTAGGGGATTTCTGGCCCTGACGTTTATCTGCTGTGTGTCAGGAGAAGTTTAATCTGATTCTGGTTTTAGCAATAGATTCATCACGTTGGCTTGGCTTACCAGCTAAGTCAGGGTCTGACTTCTCCTGCAAGCTTCTCTGCAAGCTAGATGTATTACCATTCAGATCTCAGCACTTCCCATGAAGCTGCTTCTCCAAAGCCAGCCTGGTGAGGCCTCTGAGGTAGATGAGCTAGCAATCACTCCTTAAGCTCCTCCAACATTTGCGGAAAGCCCACAGGGACTGTGCTTATTACTCAGGAAGGCGAGATTAGAGTGGGACTTTGAGAAGACTGAAGCCCATAGGATGGCAGGCTTGCCCAGGACCATGTTTCAGGTTTCCTCTCCCATTAATTGACTGCTGCGAGACAGTTGTATGAAAACACAGTTTAACTTTATGAACAGGATTATTCATAAAGTTATAAAGACAAGGGAGGTGCTTATATTTCTATACAGAGAAAACTTAGAGAATTTAGGGAAGGCAATCTAACCAATCAGAAGAAGGGTGCTAGGGGGCATGTCTTGAAGCTGCATTTGTCACAGAGAGTTCACTGGTTGTGGGGGATCTTAGGGAAGTGACAATGGAGACTATGGGGCTGGTAAAAACCCTCAACTTCCCTTACTGTTTCACATTCCCTTAATTTTTCACTCTTCTCTAGGAAAGATAGCTCTTCAATCATAGCCTTGTCTCTTAGACAAGACTTGGGCTTTCTATACACATCCATTTGTGGACGTAAGCTGTTCCTTCTCTTTTCTGTACATCATAGCACGGCAAGGCTACCACTCCCTCTGACCATGTACCATTTACACTGTGTCACTGTTCACAAATATGTAGTGCCCCTTCTTGGAGGAGGATTATACTTTGGGGCCCTGTTGAACTGATATGTGACCATGTGACTAGCACTGGCCCAAGAAATACAAGTAGATGTATGATATAACCTTTCCATGCGGAAGCTGTAAAAACCAACGCATACTTTGCCCTGCTCTCTTTTTCCTCTTCCAGGATGATTTGCAATGTTCCAGATAGAGGCAGGTCTGTCAGCCTGAGTTCTGGAGTGTTCTGAAGGGAAGAAAATGTTAACCATAGTTACAGCCAACCTTCAATGGACATATAATGTGAGTAAGGAATAAACTTTTGTGGATGTAAGCTACTGAGATTTTTGGTCATTTGTTACTGCAGCATAATTTAGCCTAATCTGATCAATACAGGTAGATATCTCACAGATAGTATTAGTTATCTACTGCTGCATAACAAATTTCTCAAAAACTTAGTGGCTTCAAACAACACACATTTAGTATCTCACCATTGCTGTGGGCATGGCTGTGGGCAGAAATTCAGGCATGGCTTAGCGGGCTCCTCTGCTTTAAAATCTGTCATGAGGCTACAATTAAGGTGTTAGCCTAGGGTCTCTCACAAGACTACAATCACAAGGTGTTAACTAGAGCTCAGCTATCTCAAAGTTCAATTGGGACCAGATCCGCTTCCATGATAACTCAGTGGTTGTTAGTAAGATTCAGTTGTTCACAGGCTGTTGAACTAAGTTACTTGCTGACTCTTGACCAGAAGCCACTCTCAATTCCTTTTTAAGTCACCCTCTCCATTGGAGCAAGCATGTGAGAAGATACTAACAAAACAGGAGTCACAGTCTCTTCCAAACTAATTACAGACTTGACATCCCATCACTTTTACCATATTCAATTCACTGAGTCCAGCCCACACTTAAGGGCAGGGGATTACACAAGGGTGTGAATAGGAGGAAGCAGGGATCATGGGGGACCATGTTAGAAACAGCCTACTACGATGACTCTGACAACAAAATAAAACAATTCAACAAGAATCATGTAAGAAACTAAGCTTGAGTGGTAAGGTAAGAAACAGAATTATGGAGTTTTATAACTGGGGCTCTGAAGCCCAGAAAGGTTACCTATCTTTCTTAGGATACACAGTTTGAAGTAAAGCCAAAAGTAAAATTCAGATCACTGCCATTTCCACTAGACAGAGATAAATGAAAAAATTAAACAGCAATATGAGACAAATTGCATTCAATTAAAATGGAATCTAGGACATCAATCACTAATTAAATAGTTAAATAAATCATCAATCATAAATGACAATGAGTGAATTAAAAGTGCAGAAAAGGCAAGCTCTTTAGGCTGGGGCAATCGAAAAAGCAGGTTATTAAATGAACTAGGCTTCAAAGGGTGGAATTGTTCGTTTGAGCAGAGAAGAAAGGAAAGATGTTCTTGGCAAGGGACTGGCCAAGATGAGGCTTATTCAGGGCTACCCAGGCACCACACAGGAGTGTCAATGTTACTCCTCTTCTCTCTTTAATCTAAATTCATCAGATGACATTCTTGGTCCATGCCTGTATTCCTAGCACTTTGGGATGCTGAGGCAAGAGGATCTCTTGAGCCCAAAATTTCAAGACCAGCCCTTGTAAAACATGAACAGTTCCATAGCTAAGCCAGTATAAATGGATAAAGTCAAGTCATTCTTATTTCAGCAGAGATTTCCACTGTCCTCTCATTTAAGTGGTCGTGAACACACTCCAAGGGGCTTCCCAAGAGTTCCTGGCATGCAGAGATAAGCCCCCTAAATAGTAAATCATCAAACCTTGATGAAAGACTTATTTATCCTCACCTTGAGCAGACATTCTGCTCCCAGTTTTGCAGGTGATAAAACTGATTATTTAAGTAACTGTATGCAGGTCCCCAGGTAAGTGGGAAGGAGGTTGAATCCAGATCCTCTGAAAACCTAGTGTTTTTTAATTTACATTGCCCTTCTACTTTGTTACCAATTTTATCATTTTTTTAAAGGAGATAGAAAAAGGAGCAAAAGAGAAAATAAAACTTGAATTCTAAAAAAAATCTTTAAATATTGTAAAAGAGATTCTCTAGTGTTTAATATCCTCCTTGTTTCCTGAAAAACAAAGTTGTTTTCCATGGGAAGCTGGAAATAAATGTCAGGCTGAGTCTCCAAGTGCAAGCGTTGACTTTCCAAATGTGAAACGGGACTGGCCACTTTATGACAAAGACCTTGAACTTTGGACTGAGACCTGTCTGGTGCTCCAGCAAATATCTTCCCTCTGAGTAGACAGAGGAGGCCCTGGAAGCCTTCTGGCTGATGGAAGAGCAAAGGTCTCACCCTGAGTGAACACAAAACCCACCATGCCTGAGTGATAAGGAAGACCCTGAGGAGCCACAGCTGTGAACATTTATGATGCTTTTTGCCCAGACGCAAATGTCATTTTCTGCCATTTGCACTCTTGACCAGGGTAGCCCTGGATGAAGACATCACTGATGGACATGGCCTTTGCCCGGCACCCTGCAGCGGGGGTTGGTTGGAATGGATATAATTGTAGCTTCGCCTACAGCGGCCGTCACACACCCACAGAGACCAAGCTCTCCCAATGCTTGCTGATGAAAATTTCTCCTCAGGAGATGAAAAAGACTTCAAAGAAACCTGTCACGTTTGTCTTATATTTTATTATGTGTCTTACTTCTGAAGCAAGGATGCACCTAAAGAGCAAGTGGCTTCGAAATGTCATTACTTGTTTCCTAGGAAGTTTAAGCTTTGCCATATGATAGTCTTAATGTCCAAAGCATTTCAAAGGAAAAAGGAAATAATTCTCGGTTCATTCCTCATCTATTCTCTTTCCCCACCCACAATTCTGTAAAAACATGTCTTAACTCTGGAAGCATAGACGTAAAAGTCATAAAGACCCAGTTGCTTGTCAGGACAGGGTGAATGGGGTCACCTAAGAGATGCTGTGAGCAGACTAAACAGCCACTTTGCATACAAGATTTCAGGAGCTCATCTCTCTGACAGAGACCCAAGCCTGGAGTGCTATTTATGGGGAAACCCTAAAGCGGAGCTTCCTAACTTGGCTGCAGATTAGAGCCACTTGGGGAGCTTATAAAAAAGGAAAATACTAGTATGAACTCCATCCTCAGGGGTACTGATTCAATTGGTGCAGGGCAGTTGCCAGGTAAGGGTAGTTTAAAAGCTCCCCAGATGGGAGCAGGAAGTATCTCGTACTTTCAATGATCAGTATGGCTCTTTTGGTGCTTATGCACAGAACATCAGCTGGGCATTTGGGTCAGTTAGCTTTGTTCTAGCTTAAGGGTTACAAACTCTGATTTCTACAAGCAAGGTAAGGAATGAAGAGTGCCAGATACCAGGAAACAGAATGGTGGAGCTTCTAGTTTTTCAAAAGGAGATGAAGACTTTTTTTATGTGAAAGTTTCCCAAATTTTTTTAAAAATTACACAACTAATTTAAACTCTTTGAAGATGTACAATGTGGCCACCTTCGTTCCCACCTAGAGCTTTTTCTATGCTAAGTCCTCAGATGCCTGGATATCTCTTTCTTGAGGAAAGAAAGAGCACGTCCATCTGCAGAGCTTGATTGCATGACCTGCTAAATGTTGGGCCCCATCAATTGGCAGGAGTCGGAGGAGGTCTCATTCATACATGTTTTCAGTCGACATTTAGCAAGACCGTGGTTTCAGGGAAGACACAGGAATGTCCTCATAACCAAGATGGGTGGCCCTGGCCCTAAGAAGCTTTACCAGGGCTTCTTAGGAATATGCCACTGGATAAGGGCTTGGAGGAAACCCAATAAAAATAAATAGGGGAATGATTAAGCCCCTAAAAATCATTGTTGAAGCTTTTTGTTAAAATCACCAGTTAAAGAGCGTGGGTGAAGAAACACAGGCACTGAAACCAGGCACTTACCCACTGTATGACACCGGGCAAACCAAACCATCATGGGCCTCAGATTTCACATCCATAAAATGGGCATAAAAATACCAGCTCCATGAAGTTGCAATGACAGATACAATGACTACCATACCTGGCACATAGCATGCAACTCACAAATTCCCAGTCACATAAGGCAACCATTTTTTTTTTCTGCTTGGTAATCTAATCACAGCCTCTCCAAACTCTTACAGCTGGAGAGTTCTTCCAGATATCTAATGTAATTCTAATTTCCCTTTATCTGCAACAGCTGACAACTACACTGTCATTCTATGTGTGTGGAACAAAGGTGACAAATGCCTTCTTCAGTCATAGCTCTTTCTTCCTGCTAGTGTCGTACCAAGGCTGTCATGATTCCTGTTGCCCTCTGAATTCTGCCTTCCTTTCCACACACCTCAAACATATCACAGTATTACTATATCGCCTGCCACTTGGCCCACTGGAATGGGAACGCCACAACTTAGCAGTCTGCATATGGTCGCCTGACATAATTATCCTCATAGAATAGACTGTGTTGTTCATCTTTCCATCCTCTTTAGATATACAAATGTCACCCAGGAGATGAACTGTCACCCAAAGCACTTTCTACCAGCCTCTTTATGCAAAACCGCATCTTGCCTCCAGCACCCATGCCAGTTCCAAGATCACATTTCCCATCTAATCTTGGTGGTCCTTGCATTCCACAAAGTAGCTGCAGTCAGGGCTCCCCATCTTTCACAACATCTGTCTACATTCAGTTTAATTCCTCAAATGTGCAGAGATTTCTCTCTCCAACCATCCTCCTAAGGCCCTGGGGAGGAAAAGCTGAACAATACACAGCCTTTTGCCCAAGCTCCCCACAGTATTAAAATAGTGTACCAAGTTTGCTTGAGGGGATGACATCTCACCACAAGTTAGACTGCTCTTCAGTAATACTTCTCTGCTCTGTATCTCTTCACCAAGCCATCTGTGGTCCAGAGTCCCTGGTGCCAGTGTGGAGTGGGTAAGACTATGAACTGATATAACTGATTCTTTTTAAACAAAGAATTTTGATGCCCAAATAGGTCCCCTTCGGAACAGTATACTTAGACTCAAAGGCTCAGGACCTACACCCCTTTCCTAGGAAGATCCGTCACAGCTGATCTAATTAGCAAGCAATTATTGCCTGTGGGTCAGGGCTGCTGATGGAGGGCTACAAATACTTCTCTGTCCTTTAGCATTGGCGAGGCTGCTGGGTGTGTGGTGGGAGGTCAGCAGGGGAGGGGTGGAACCAAACAACGACAGGACAGTGTAATATGAGAAGAGGAAAACTCAACTCAGAAGCTGTGCGTCTAGCTTCCTTCAAGTCCCAGTCTCCAACACAGCAGCCATAGGGGGCTTTTTTAGACATACATTGAGCCCTGTGGTTCCCTTGCTTAAATCCCTTCAGTGCTAATTCATAACTCCTTACACAGCCTGCAAGTTGGGGGTGATCCGGCCCTTGCCAACCTCTCCACCTTCACTCATTTATGAGCATCTCTTAGGCTGTGGGCCTCAGCTCATCTTATTTCATGCCATTCCCCTTGACCCACACCTACTCCTAGACGATTTCTTCTCATTCTCTAAGTTTTTTGCTTAATATCACCTCAAAGAGGGCTTCTCCAGCTGCTCAAAAATATTTGCCTTTTGTTATTTTTTATCACAAAACTCCATTTTCTTCAGAGGACTTATTTCTGTCTGTGATTGATGCATTTTGGGTTTTTTTTGTTTGTTTGTTTGTTGTTTTTTTTTTTTTTTTTTTTTTTTGAGATGGAGTCTTGCTTTGCCGGCCAGGCTGGAGCGTAGTGGCATGATCTCGGCTCACCGCAGCCTCTGTCTCCTGGGTTCAAGCAATTCTCCTGCCTCAGCCTCCCGAGTACCTGGGACTACTAGCACATGCCACCACGCCCAACTAATTTTTGTATTTTTAGTAGAGACAGCGGTTTCACCATGTTGGCTAGGCTGGTCTCAAACTTCTGACCTCAAGTGATCCACCCGCCTCGGCCTCCCAAACTGCTGGGATTACAGGAGTGAGCCTCCATGCCCAGCCTGATGTATTTGTTTAATTGTTAAATGTTTATCTTCCTCCTTAGACTGTAAAGACAACAAGTGCCAGGCACAGGCACAGAGCGTCCACGGAGTGAACAGTTCTGAATGAGGGAATGAGTGAGAGGTCAGCCATCTGGGCATGTGCACCCCTGTCCATCTCCTCCCCTGTATGCCAGGACTGCGCTGTCTGCAGCCAACCACCCCTCACCTGGTCACAGCACAACAGGTGACCGATGCCCCATAGACCCTGGCACATCCAGCGTATCTCAGGGTTCCTTTGCAGCTGCACTCCTGGGTTCCCTCCCCTCTCCAGGAAAGCCTTTTGAGAGCTGACTAGAGGGAAGTAGAAGCCCCTTTCTCCCCTCTCTCCACATCCCACACCCCTCATGGGCAGCCTGTCACACACATGCTCATTGAAGGAACACATCTTGGGTTCCGCAGAGGGAGACACAAACCTGCCCAAGAGCATCTCCTGTAAGGTACAATTTGGGCTTTGTTCTAAGATCTTAAACTCCCAGCCCCTTACTCCTAAGCCTTTGCCCGGAGAATCCTGCATAAGCCTGCAGCAAGTCAGCCTTGGGGACAAACTTTCCACTGGCACTCAGGACATCAAGTGTGACCAGAGCTACTGACAGTGCAGTGAGTGATGGTGGACAGCTGGATGACATCGGACATGACCTAAGTGCTGGACTTTAACGCCATACAGCAAGGGCTTCATCCTGAGGTCCAGAAAATACTGATTTGATACCTCCAGAATGAAATGATGGAGATCTCTTTTCCTGGGGATCAGACAGATTGAGCTGAAATGGGTGTTGGTAATACCTACTGATTTCATCTCAAGGACCATTTCCCTGAACTAAGCCTGGGTCTTACTGTCAGAGAGCTTATTCCTTTATAACTGTGTCCACCGGGGAAATGCTAGTTCTAAAATATGTAGCATTTGAGAAATTTAAAAAAGAAAATTCTTTTATAATTTATAGTGAAAAGGTAAAGGAGATAAAAACTTAATTAATTTCTAGGCTAGCCTGGAGCAGCTTATTGAACAGTAACTCTGAAGGAAAGATGCATTAGCACCATTGGGGATATTCAATAGATTTTGCCATCAGAACCCCACTGTGTGCACTACTACATCAGAACACCACTGTGTTACTACTAACAAAGCCCTTACTCTGGCCCAGGCACTGAGCAAAGCACAAACATTTCTCATTTAAGTAATTTTTTTTTAATAGAGACAGGGTCTCCCAGTGTTGCTCACAGGCTGGTCTCAAACTCCTGGGCTCGAGGGATCTTCCTGCCTTGGCCTCCCACAGTGCTAGGATTACTGGCATGAGCCACCGCACCCAGCCGACATTTCTCATTTAAATCAAGCAGTAGGAATTACTCTCCCATTTTCAGATGAGGACATTAGGGCTCAGAAAAGTTAGGTAGCCACACAACTTCTGAGTGGTAGAGCCTGGGTCTTTGTCACACAGCTCGGCAATGCTTCCTGTGACCATCTCTATGCAAGGAGGCCAGGGTAGGTAACAGCTTGGAAGCCACCATCCACTGCCATCCACTGTCATCCACTGCCATGCTGCCACCATCTAGACGGCCTCATCACTAGCCACCCTAGGCAGATAGTTCTCAAGGCTGCTGCTCCACTCTGAAATAGGACCTGAAGGAGTGATAAGAAAACCAGAGCAGGAGGACAAAAGCCTCAAAGGCCCCTGTCACCTACTCATACTACTCCAATCACCCATCTGCCACACAGGGCCTCCTGCCCTCCTGCCACCCAGGACACGTGATGACTTGGCTTTGACACATTAACAGGACTCAGTTTAGTCATCACGTTTTTCCTGAACCTGAAAACACTACTTTTAAAAGAAAAAAAGTTTCCATTCAAAGCTCCATAGAGAGAGCTGAATCTAATCAGTGCCTTTTAAATATAACCTAGCATAAGTTTCTTTCCTGAGAGAATAACAATAATAAAAAATGTCTATTTACTGAATATCTGTTGTGTGTCAGATACTTTACATAGATATTTCTCTTAAATAGCTGTATCAGGAATAATGTACACTATATTAATATTTTAATAGCTATTAATTTAATAGTTATTACTAGTATCTTAATAGTTACTACTAGTATCTTAATAGTTACAAATATAATAATAAAGTGTTTTCTTTATCCATTTTTAATCATTAGCAAAATTAACAATTTCATTCTTTCAGACTTTTATAGCAATTACAGTTCAGAACAGGGCCATGCACTATGAAGATTAATTCATTTAGTTCTCCTAAAAAGACTATGTTATGCCATTTTTGTGGATGAAGAAACTAAGGCCCAGAGAGGCTAAGTAATTTGCCCAAGGTCACACAGTTTGAAGGTAGCAGAGCTGAGCCTTTGATATGGCTGAGGCTTTGTGTCCACACCCAAATTTAATCTTGAATTGTAATCCCCATGATTCCCATAATTCCTAGGTGTCAAAGGAGAGAACAAGTGGAAGTAATTGACTCATGGGAGCAGTTTCCCCTATGCTATTCTCATGATAGTGAGTGAGTTCTCACAAGATCTGATGGTTTCATAAGGGGCTCTTTCCCCTTCACTGACACTCCTCCTTCCTGCTGCCTTGTGAACAAGGTGCCTTGTTTCCCCTTCGGCTTCCACAAGAATTGTAAGTTTCCTGAGGCCTCCCCAGCAATCCTGAATTGTGAGTCAATTAAACCTCTTTCCTTTATAAATTACCCAGTCTCTGGCAGTTCTTCATAGCAGTGTGAAAATGGACTAATACAGCCTTGAACCCTAGCACTCTGATTTCAGCGTCCATGCTTGGGACCTCTATGCCCTGATACATCAAATGTTTAATGATCCCAATGGCTGAACTCTTGAGAGAGTAAACAATAAGTGCATAAAAATAATACAATTAAAAAAAAAGACAACAACAAAGGGATTAACAGATCAGACAAGAGTTGATCCTGTGACAGTCAGAATCATGTATAATTCATAGAAACACCTTTACACACTGTTGAGATCAAAATAAATGGTAAGTATTTAATGTTATACACATTACAGAAATTCTAATTTTTTAGAATTAAGTAAAGACTTAGAAATGCTTGTAGTATTTATAAGCTTTTCTAATTGTCATTTGTTGTCACCATTTATAAACCAGCAGGAATGGTTTGTAATGTATTCACCAGATGTTCATGCAGTCAGGGGTGATCAGCTGAATCCCATACACAGATGAATCTTGGGAAGCATATCTAAATACTTTATTAATACATGTGTGCATGGATATGCCTTTGTATATGGACACATCTGTGTGTGCATGTCTAACATACAGCAGCCTGCAAGGTTTATGGACGGGAAATAGCAGAGTTGGTAGAATACATAATACATTTCCTGTCACACAGTCACCTGTGTGCTAGAGCCTGGATTTAAAGCAGATCAACTCCAAAACCCATGTCCTATCTACTCACCACCCTGCCTTCCTGAAAGAATAGAATGAGAAGGGATTTCAGTTGTGTTTTCATTTAAAAACTCTAAATTTATGTCTAAAGCTATTTATCAAGAAGGTATAAACAGACCTAACACTCATAAAGTATAATTTATCCGCTGTTCTTTCATCTATTCATTTTCTATCCTCCATGAATTTTGTATGCTTAGGGTCTTTCATAAATCATATTGATTATCATTAAAAAGGTTATCTATTTAATTGATTGCTTTTTAGTGTGAAATTTGCTATAAGCTTGGGATTTACATTTTGCAGTATTTCTTTTTTGTTTCTTGTAGACTAATTATTCCTTTCTTTCTTTTTCTAATGATTTATTTTTAACTCAAATGTGTAGCAACAGAAACCAAGGAGTTTCACAGGAAACATGTCTGTGGATATTGTTATTAATTTATTGCCTATTGTTAGTCATAGAAAGCGTGATCCTTATCACAACAGTGACTGACAGGATAATTGTGAATGAGACATTGTCTGAAGAATAGGCCAAGGGAGAAAGGAAAGGAGAAGGAAAATGTTTAACTCATTGTAATTGGGTCACACAGACAGAACAAAATGCCTAAGCTGTGAGCTTTCCTCAAAATGTGTCTGTTTGTTGTTGTTGTTTTTTAAGAGATGGGGTCTCGCTCTCTCACCCAGGCTGGAGTACAGTGGTGTGACCATAGCTCACTGCAGCCTCCAACTCCTGGGCTCAAGGAATCTTCATGCCTCAGTCTCACAAGTAGCTGGGACTACAGGTGCATGTCACCATGCCTAGCTAATTTTTATTTTTAATTTTATTTTTTATAGAGATGGAGGTCTTGCTATGTTGCCCAGGCTGATCTTGAACTCCTGGGCTCAAGTGATCCTCCCACGTTGGCCTCCCAAAACGCTGGGATTACAGGCATGAGCCACCGCACCCTGCCTCAAAATGCATTACTTAAAAGCGTAGTTTGCTTTTCTTTGCCTTTGACTACACCTTTAAAGCAAGCTTCTAAACCCACCCCTTTACCCCAGCTGGCTGGCTAATCCTGAGGTCACTAAAGATAACTCCGACTGGGCACGGTGGCTCATGCCTGTAATCCCAGCACTTTGGGAGGCTGAGGCAGGTCGATCTCTTGAGGTCAGAAGTTTGAGACCAGGCTGGCCAACATAGTGAAACCCCATTTCTACTGAAAAAAAAAATACAAAAAATTAGTCGGGCCTAGTGGCAGGCGCCCATAATCCTAGCTACTCGAGAGGCTGAAGCAGGAGAATCACTTGAACCCGGGAGGCGGAGATTGCAGTGAGCCAAGATCGCGCCACTGCACTCCAGCCTGGGCAACAGAGCGAGACTTTGACAAATAAATAAATAACTCCAAGAATAACAGCTATGACCTTAAAGACGCAGGCTGCTCCTGACGAGAACTGACCTGCCTGGAGTGGGAGATCTGGCCGCCCTGGCCTCCCATCGACTCAAAGAATAAAGGGGCCCATTTGTTGGGAAGGCCTGTGTCTCCCTCTCAAACTACTTCAGACATAAGGGTTAAGGTTAGGGTCAGGGACAGGGACGAGCCAAAGCAATGCCCTGAATTTTCACAGGCTGAGGCTACTCTCCGCTTGCTGCTTTCCAGGAAGCATGTGGCTTGGCATACGCCAGACACCGCCGAGCCCTTCACCCGCCACTCAGCAGCTCTAGGCCAGGAGGGCTCTGATTTGCGCCCTTTCTCTGGTGTGGAAAAGGAAGCTCAGGTTGGGACGGCAAAATCAGGCAAGCTGGCTCCGGATCTCGCCACCAGGGGCGCTCTTCTGACCGCAGGGTACCTCAGCTCCACCGCAGGTGTTTTGGGGCACTGGGTGGAATAATGGAGAGCATTATTCTACCTCGGAAGGCCAAGGACTTGGGAAAAGAAAGGGAGGGGGACTGAGGACCAAGGGAAGGGCTCAGAGTCTGCAACAGGTCCTCTCCCCACGGGGCCTCAGGAAGGTACATATCAGCTCCCAGACCTGCCTTCAGGCTGCCATCTGAGTCCTCAGAGACCCAAAGAAGAAGCAATGGGACTAAATCTGAATTTCCACATTTTTTTTTATGCTGCTGAAAGCTGAGAAGGGTCTGCTTGGGGGAAATTATAGAGTTTGTCCCTGGAGATGAACTTGATAAGAGAACAGACCATCCTCTCTCGGGTGTTGAACTTCCTTCCTCTCTCGGGTGTTGAACTTCCTTCCTTCAAGCCAGTACTTCCTGCTACTGCCCCACCTCTGCCACCAATGAAGTCCTCCTTTCTTTTCTCCTGTCTGTCTCCTTTCTTTCTCCTTCTCTACAATTCTTCACTAATTTGACATTTTGAAATATCCCTCCACTTGTCTGGTCATACCATCCAATACTTTATTGAGCTATTTGATGTACAGACAATTAAATAGTTCTTGGCTCAGTAATATGACTTACTACGTCAGACTGAAAAAGAAATACTGTTTCAATGCATCTTGCCTGCACAAATCACCACTCTTTCAACTCTGCAACAAATGTCTATGATTAAATGTCCATTAAATAAATAAAATTTCTAAAAATTAAAAAAAGTATTTTTTTCTAATAAACTTTAATTTGGGAGCAATAAAAACGATTCATGTTGATAATATCCCTGTACAACGTTTTTTGTTTGTCTTAATATGTATTGCATTCAGCTAAATATTCATTGTGGGTTCATTTATGAGGTAAGGAGACCTTTAATATCTCCCCCGCCAAAGGTCCCTCTGAGTGATCTCTTAGAGATAATGTGCATCTCTGAAGAATTTTTCCATTAGCCATGGATCATCATCACCCTCGAAATTTACTGTCTGTCTCTACATATGACTCTGTAAGTGGGAGCAACATAAGGTCTTTGGCATTAAGGAGGCCTGGGTTCAATCCCTACCCAGCAATTCTACATGCCCAAGTGTGTGTAAGGAGACATGTACCTGGATGAAGATTGCAGCATTGGTTTTAATAGAAAAACATAAGAAACAACCTAAATGTCCATCCCTAAGGAAATGAATGGATACGATGGAAGGTTATGCAAGAGTTAAAAGAAGTGACTAAGATAATGACAATAGCCCATACTTATCAAGAGCTCACAATGGAATAAATGGACAAATTCTGCTCAGTGGCTAGTGATTTCAAGTTCACCTTCATGCACCAATGTTGGTGATGCTTGCTAAAGAAAACAAGAGGAATTTGGTGGAAATGAATATAAACAATTCAACATTTGTCTTACAGATGGATGCAGGGCCATCTTTAATAACAACAGCAAATATCAGTTATTGAGTGTTTCCTGTGTCAGGCACTGTTCTAAGTGTTCTGCATGTTTTTAACTCAATCTGCTCAACAACCTAATAAAGAAGACACGATTAGAGTCCACATTTCACAGATAAAGGAATTAAGGCATAGAGAAAACAGGAAATGTGTCCGAAGTCACACAACTAGTAATAGTAGGGCTGGATTCAACCCAGCCAGGCAGTCTGGCTCTAGATCCTGTGATCTTAACCACTTTGTTGTCTGTTTCTCTACATGAATTAACATGGAGAGATGTCAAAATAAAATATGAGCAGAAAAAAAGCAGGATGCAGAATTTCACATATCATTTACAAAAACTTTAAGAGCACACGTATGTTAAAAATAATACCATGCATTGGCTACTAATGTATAAATATATTATGCAAAAGTATTTGAAAGTGCACCGGAAGAGGAAAAGAGATGACGAAAAAAAACCATAACTGTCTTTCTAATGTTTTATCTCTTTAAAAAGGAAAGCTAGAAGACAAATATAAATTAACATAGTTAATTCTTGTTGATAGAAATACAGGTGTCTATTCTATTTTTCCTTGGACTTTTCTGAATTTTTTTAATTTCTCAAAAAAAATTAAGCAAAAAAAATAAACAAAAGGAAAACATGTCACAAATTCAGCTGCACTGTTTAGTAGCTAGGATCTTGAATCCTCTCTGAGTATCAGGGTCCTGATGTATAAAGGAGAGCTGCTAAGACTATTAATCACCACACCTCCTAGGGCTATTGCAAAGACTAAACAAGGTCATGTGTGTAAAGTACTTTGTTTCAGTGCCAAGGATATGGTAGCTACCATTTTTGAAATCTAACTATTGTAACATAATAGAGACAAAAGTAGCTGAAAGAATGTGAGGACTTTGGTTTTATGGGATTGCTTTCTTACAATGTTGCAACATGAGAAGCACTTTAAAAAGAGAAGAAAAAGTGAGGTAAGTGCTGGGCTGGCTTTGTCAGAAAAGAAGAAAGCAAACCTAAAAAAAATTTTTTTTCTTTTCCTTGTAAGTCTAAAAGAGAAGCCAGCCTCAAGCTGACCAGTCATTCTACAAATATGTATATGATCCTTGGAGTGACCATCAACTGTTGTCTTCTTGGCCTCCCAGCATCTAAACCACCTTCATGTGCTTGGGAAATTCATCACTGTAGATGTCTTGATAGAAGGCAGGGCCCCAGTTCCCTCCACAGAAGCCCTAAGGTGAGGTGCTTGTTCTCTGGGACACATGACCTCTGGGCCACAGACAACTGGAGCCCTCACTCTAGACCAACAATTGCAAAGAGGCAGAGCAGTTCAGAGTTCACTCTGGCAGTGGCAGCTGCAGCACCCGCTGTGCAAGGGACTGGCCAAACATGCAAGGGCAATGGCAGCAGCAGCCTGGGCGCGGTGTCCTGGAGCAGGGCCCTGGCGCCTTTCCTGCCACCTGGCCCCGCTTCATTCCTGCCCGTCTTTCAAGCCAGGTTCTCCCTACTCTTGTTGATTCTAGGAATGAACCCAATACCCGCTGATCGAGTTGGCTTTCATCATTTCCAATCAAGAACTCTGATGGTACAGCATGGTGACTATGGCTACTAAAAATATACGGTCTACTTAAAAATTGCCAAAAGAGTATGTTTTAAATGTTCTCAGTGCAAAAAGCTATGTGAGATAATGCATGTGTTAATTAACATAATTTAGGCATTCTACAATGTTTACATATATCCAAGCATCATATTGTACACCATAAAGATATACTATTTTGTCAATTTTTAACATTAATTAATTATTTTGTTTAAAAGAACCCTGCTGGGTATATCCTCATAAATGTAATATCTTGTGATCAGTGAATGAGAGCTACTAGTGTAACTGTTAAGGCTTTGGAATGAGAAAGTCTTAGGCTTGAATTTCATCTCTGCTACATATTGCAATGAGACCTTGAGCATTTTATTTCTATATGAGCCTTGGGTCCCTTATCTGTAAAACAATACTCAACCTTGTAGAATTGTTATAAGAACTAAATGAAATACTGCATAGAACAGTGACAAGCTTGCAGAAAGAGCTCCCTCGGTGGTAGCTATGAAGATAATAAAGAAGACAGTGAAGGAGGAGAAGTAGAAAAAGGGAGGAGGAGAGCGATAGTTCCTGTCCTCAAGAAACCAGAGGAAAAAGATTTTTTGTATGCCATATGGATTTATGTCACAAGAAAGGTACTAATAGCGACTGTACCTACTGCAAACAACTAAAATACTGGCCAAAAACATACTTTCAGATGCTGAACAGCAGGCAGTACAGAGCTACGATCCTAGAGAGGAGAAAAACAAGCAGATGAGTCCTCTAACCAGACCCCAGCACGGGGAGGGGAAGCCACACAGAGTACAGAGGTCACTGTGAGCTGCAGATAAAGAGCTCAGAGTGTGGAAGAGAAACATCTGAAATGTATGGGAGCTAGGCGGAGAGGGAGCTCCGGAAATCTGCCTAAGGGACCCCTGGGGACTCTGGCTGAATGTGATGGATATGTAGGGTAAAACTCCATAAAGCCCAGCAAAGAACAATCACTAGGGAAATAACAAACACTAGCAAGAAGAAAAAAAAAAACTGAACAAATACACAAAAAGACAAATCTGTATGATTCCACTGATATGACATATCTAGAGCAGTCACAGTCATATAAACAGAACTAGAATGGCGGTTGCCAGGAGATAGGGGGAGGTGAAAATGCAGGACTGTTGTTTAATGGGTATAGGGTTTCAGTTTTACAAGATGAAAAAGTTCGAGATTGGCCACACAGCAATGTGAATATACTTAACGCTATTGAACTGAACACTTTAAAATTATTTAAATGGTAAATTTTATGTTATGCATATTTTGCCATAACTTTGTTTTTAAAAAATAAACAATTAGGAAAGCTTACACAGGATTGGGAAAATGTGAATTTCAACCAACTTTGTGGAAAGAACTTGCTGAAAACCCAGAGTAATCAACAAAGACCCCAGAAAGAAGACACTGGAAAAATAGGCTAATGTAGCCCTAGAGTAACTCTAGACTCATCCTAATCATGCTTAAAAACAAGGCTGAAGCCAGGTATGGAGGTGAACACCTGCAGTCTCAGCTACTCTGGAGGCTGAGGCAGGAGGATTACTTGAGCCCAGGAGTTTGAGGTGGTAGTGCACTATGATTACACTTGGGAATAGCCTGCACTTTAGCCTGAGCAACATAAGGAAATCCCATCTCTTAAAAAATTTTTTTAATTAAAAGAAAAAGACTCAAAATGATAAAGGTGATGAGCAAGCAAATTAAATGCCTGCTGATCAAAACCCAACATTCTCTAAAGAAAATTTGGGGGTGGGGAGCAAGCCAATGGGTTTAATACTCATCTCAATATTTATTTTGAAAGGCATAAAATTCTTTACAATTTCATGGTTGATATGTCATCAGTGTGCTGTTAAAAAAACATTCATGGTTTAGGGAGCTTATTTTTTACTTGGGAAAGACATACATAAAACAAATAAATACAAAATGTCATATATCCTATGGTGATAAATTAAGTAAAGAAGGGTAATAGGGAGAACTGGGAGAGCTGGGAGAATTTGTCAAGGACAGTCTCTATTACAAAGAATAAGTTCCAGGATTGACATAATTTTATGACCTAAAAACCCTATCACCAACATGGCAAAAATATTTCCAAGCCTCAGCCACAGGTTCAGGCAGATGCCAGTAGAACAGTCAATGCAGAAAGCATTTGGGCAAACTCTTAACATTCATTTGTCCCCATATGGTTTGTATTTTTCATCTGTCCTTCCTTCATTTCCACTAATTTTCTGGTCTTCGTTATATTTTTATTCTCTGGTGTTTGACTTTGTGTAGATTTTTTATTTTTCTGGTCTGCCTTTTACACTTGCCACGGTAGAGCTGACATCTCACAAGCAGGGTATTGGCTCTGTGACGTGGGGTTGGAAATGGTGCTTTTCTAGTGACGGTTCTCTTTTCCCTAAATATGGATCAATGGGTGGCCTCTTCTTTGCAGCTGGCATTGCCCAATATGCCCTGTTAGGATACTTCATCCACTCCTTGGAGGACCCTAGCAGTTCTAGTTAACCTTCAGGGAACAGTGGTCTTCCTTTTATCTTCCTTATTTATTATTTTATTTTATTATATTGTTATTTTATTATTATTATTATTCACTTTTTAATATGTGGAATATAAAAATTTTCCCATAGGTTATTGGGGTACAGGTGGTGCTTGGTTACACAACTAAGTTCTTTAGTAGTGATTTCTGAGATTTTGGTGCACCCATCACCTGAGTGCTGAGTAAGTAGTTTTTCCTCTTGGAGTTTTAATTTAATAAGCCAAAGGACTGTCTTAAGAAGGTGCAAGTCAATGAGCAGCATTATTTCCTTTCAGGAGCTTGTCTGCACTGACTGTGGTAAAGGACTAAATTCTGCAGGTGCTCCAGTGTTCCAGTTCTTGGCAGCTCTTCTCCAACCAGTCTGGCTCTCACCTCTCCTTTATTAGTGGCACCACTTCAATAAATGATCCAAGCCATTCTGCTTTTCTACTAAAAAAACTTTTTTAATCCAGGTAAGCACCAATGTGTCATTCACAATACCTAGCATTTAATCAAAAATTATTACACATGCAAAACAAGCAGAAAAATGTGACCCATAAGGAGGAAAAAATGTACACAATAAAAAAGTCTAGGCCGGACTCCATGGTTTACACCTGTAACCCCAGCACTTTGGGAAGCCAAGGCAGGCAGATCACTTGAAGTCAGGAGTTCAAGACCAGCCTGGCCAACATGGTGAAACCTCGTCTCTACTAAAAATACAAAAAAATTAACCAGGCATGGTGGCGGGTGCCTGTAATCCCAACTACTCAGGAGGCTGAGGCAGGAGAATTGCTTGAACCAGGGAGGCGGAGGTTGCAGTGAGCCGAGATCACGCCACTGCACTCCAGCCTGGGCGACAAGAGCGAAACTCCGTCTCAAAAAAAAAAAAAAAAAAAAAAAAAAAAAGTCTAAAACTGACAGACTTGGCAGACAAGAACTTTAAAGCAACTATTATAAATATGAATTAAAGAAAAATATTAACATAAAAAGAGAGAGAGAACTATGTTTTTAAGAGATGGGGTCTCTCACCCTGTCTCACTCTGTCACCCAAGCTGTTGTGCAGTGGCAGGATCATGGCTCACTGAAGCTTCTAACTCCTGGATCAATTATGCCTCCTGTCTCAGCCTCCTGAGTAGCTGGAACTACAGGCACATGCCACCACACCAGGCTTTTCTTTTTTTCTTTAATTTTTTGTAGAGACAGGGTTTCAACATGTTGCCTAGGCTGGTCTCTAACTCCTGTCCTCAAGTGACCCTCCCACCTTGGCCTCCTAAAGTGCTGGAATTGCAAGCATGAGCCACCATGCCCAGCCTAAACTGAACTTTCAAAGCTGAATATATATATTCAGTTGGTACACACACACACACACACACACACACACACACACAGTATCTGAAATGAAAATTCACTGGAGGAGCTTAACAAAAGATTTTAGGACACTGCCAATAAAAAGATCAATGAACCTAAAAACAGGACAATTTTAACTATCCAAACTGAAGCACAGAAGACACACACACCCAAAAAAGTCTGGCAAAAATGAACAGCCTTTCATTCATAGAATTATACCAAGCGGGCTAACACACATAGAATTTGAGTTTCAGGAAAAAAGGCAGAGGGACATAAAAATACTCAAAGAAATAACAGCCAAAAAGTTTCCAAAATTTATGAAAATTATAAATCCATAGATCCAAGAAACTCAAACTTCAAACATCAGAAGCATAAAGAAAGCCACATCAATGATTTTTAAAAAATTCAAACAACCCATGAAAAAAGACACATTATATACAAGAGACAAGGTAAGAATTACCAGTAACATTTAAAAAAATGCAAGCCAGAAGACAAAGAAATGCCATCTATAAAATACCGGGGTAAAATTAGCAAGATAGAATTCTATGTTCATGAAAATATCCCTAAATATTGCAGGTGAATAAAACTTGAAACATGAAGAATGTATGGGAAATAATCCCCTACTCTGATGGCAGAATTCCTGTAGAAATAGGCAAGTATCTATTTATCTTCCTAATACCAATTCTTATACATAAAAAGAGCCTATGAGAGTTTATTAATGATGATAGTGCTTTAGAAACAATGTGGAATGTTTGCTCATAGGGAAACTGACCTAAGTGTGCAGATCATGTATTTCATTGTTGCACATATTTTAGGTTTTAATCCTACAGACTAAAGCCTTTTCAGTGCTCTGACTCCTGGGCTGATGTTGCAACTTTGAGGGGGAAATGAAGTCAAGGCGCTGTTTTTTCAGTTTTCACAGTAGTCTTAAATAGTTTGTCCAGTTTTCCCCTGTAATCTTTATTTTCAAAGACCAGAATCCAGAAATACGCTTTAATTTTAATCCTACCAATTAACATGTGCATTATTAGGAGAAAGCCTAAATGACATTTACGCTTTTTGTTTTTGTTTTTATTGTTATTCACTTTTAATATGTGTAATATAAAAATTTTTCCCGTAAGTTATTGGGGTACAGGTGGTGTTTGGTTACATGAGTAAGTTCTTTAGTGGTGATTTCTGAGATTTCAGTGCAGCCATCACCTGAGCAGTATACACTACACCCTATTTGTAGTCTTTTATCCCTCGCTCCCTTCCCTTCTTTCCTCCCAAGTCCCCGTAGTCCATTGTATCTTTCTTATGCTTTTGGGTCCTTGTAGCTTAGCTCCCACATATCAGTGAGAACATACGATGTTTGCTTTTCCATTCCTGAATTACTTCACTTAGAATACTGGTCTCCAATCTCATCCAGGTCACTGCGAATGTCATTAATTCATTCCTTTTACCACAGTTTCTTTATCCACTTGTTGATTGATGAGCTCTGGGGTTGATTCCACGACTTTGCAATTGCGAATTGTGCTGCTATAAACATGCATGTTCAAGTATCTTTTTCGTATAATAACTTCTTTTCCTCTGGGTAGACACCCAGTAGTGGGATTGCTGGATCAAATGGCAGTTCAAATGGCAGTTCTACTTTCAGTTGTTTAAGGAATCTCCACACTTTTCCATAGTGGTTGTGCTAGTTTACATTCCCACCAGCAGTGTAGAAGTGTTCCCTGATCACCACATCCACACCACCGTCTATTGTTTTTTTATTTTACTTTTTTTTTTTTTTTTTTTGACTATGGTCATCCTTACAGGAGTAAGGCACTATCGTATTGCAGTTTTGATTTGCATTTCCCTGATCATTAGTGATGTTGAGCATTTTTCCATACATTTGTTGTCCATTTGCATATCTTCTTTTGAGAAGTATCTATTCATGTCCTTAGCCCACTTTTTGATGGGATTGTTTTTTTCTTGCTGATATGAGTTAGTTGTAGATTTTGGATATTAGTCCTTTGTCAGATGTATGATTGTGAAGATTTTCTCCCACTCTGTGGCTTGTCTGTTTACTCTACTGACTGTTCCTTTTGCCGTGCAAAAGCTCTTTTGTTTAATTAAGTCCCAACTATTTATCCTTGTTTTTATTGCATTTGCTTTTGGGTTCTTGGTCATGAAATCCTTGCCTAAGCCAATGTCTAGAAGGGTTTTTCCAAAGTTATCTTCTAGAATTTTTATAGTTTCAGGTCTTAGATTTAAGTCTTTAATCCATCTTGAGTTGATTTTTGTGCAAGGTGAGAGACGAGGATCCAGTTTCGATTCTCCTACATGTGGCTAGCCAATTATCCCAGCACCATTTGTTAAAAAGGGTGTCCTTTCCCCAACTTTATGTTTTTGTTTGCTTTGTTGAAGATCTGTTGGCTATAAGTATTTGGGTTTATTTCTGGGTTCTCTATTCTGTTCAATTGGTCTATATGCCTATTTTTATACCAGTATCATGCTGTTTTGGTGACTATGGCCTTATACTATAATTCGAAATCGGTAATGTGATGCCTTCAGATTTGTTCTTTTTGCTTAATCTTGCTTTGGCTATATGGACTCTCTTTTTGTTCCATACGAATTTTAGAATTGTTTTTTTCTAATTCTGTGAAGAATGATGGTATTTTGATGGGAATTGCAATGAAGTTGTAGATGCTTTTGGCAGTGTGCTCATTTTGACAATATTGATTCTACCCATCCATGACGTGGGATATGTTTCCATTTGTTTGTTTTTTTCTGTGATTTCTTTCAGCAGTGTTTTGTAGTTTTCCCTGTGGAGGTCTTCAACCTCCTTGGTTAGGTATATTCCTATTTTATTGATTTATTTTTTGCAGCTATTCTAAAAGGGGTTGACTTCCTCATGTGATTCTCTGCTTGGTTACTGTTGGTGTATAGCAGAGCTACTGAACTGTGTACATTAGTTTTGTATCTGGAAACTTTGCTGAATTCTTCTTTCAGTTCTAGGAGCTTTCTGGAGGAGTCTTTAGGGTTTTTGAGGTAAATGATCATATCATCAGCAAACAGTGACAGTTTGACTTCCTTTTTACCAATTTGGATGTCCCTTGCTTCTTTCTCTTGTCTGATTGCTCTGGCTAGGACTTCCAGTACTATGTTGAAGAGATGCAGTGAGAATGGGCATCCTTGTCTTGTTCCAGTTCTCAGAGGGAATGCTTTCAACTTCTCCCCATTCAGTATTATGTTGGTTGTGGGTTTGTCATGGATGGCTTTTATTACATTGAGGTATGTCCCTTGTATGCCAATTTTGCTGAGAGTTTCAATCATAAACGGATGCTGGATTTTGTTGAATGCTTTTTCTGCATCTATTGAGATGATCATGTGATTTTTAATTCTGTTTATATAGTGTATCACATTTATTGACTTGTGTATGTTAAACCATCCCCTGCATCCCTGGTGTGAAACCCACTTGATCATGATGGATTATCTTTTTGATATGTTGTAGGATTCAGTTAGCTAGCATTTTGTTAAGGACTTTAGAATCTATGTTCATCAGGGATTCAATCTGTAGTTTTCTTTTTTGGCTATGTTCTTTCCTTGTTTTGGTATTAGAGTGATGCTGACTTCATAGAATGATTTAGGGAGGGTTCCCTCTTTCTCTGTCTTGTGGAATGGTGTCAATAGGATTGGTACCAATTCTTTGAATATCTGGTAGAATTCTGCTGTGAATCCTTCTGGTTCCAGACTTTTTTTGTTGGTAGTTTTTAAATTATCATTTCAGTCTCGCTGCTTGTTATTGGTCATTCAGGGTATCTAATTCTTCCTATTTAAGCTAGGAGGGTTGTGTATTTCCAGGAATGTATACATCTCTTCTACGTTTTCTAGTTTATGTGTGTAAAGGTGTTCATAGGAGCCTTGAATTATCTTTTGTATTTCTGTGGTGTCAGTTGTAATATCTCCCGTTTTGTTTCTTTTTGAGGTTTTTTGGATTTTCTCTCTTCTTTTCTTGGTTAATCTTGCTAACGTTCTATAATTTTATTTATCTTTTCAAAGAACCAGGTTTTTGTTTCATTTATCCTTTGTATTGTTTCTTGTTTCAATTTCATTTAGTTCTGCTCCGATCTTGGTTATTTCCTTTCTTCTGCTGGGTTTGGGTTTGGTTTGTTCTTGATTCTCTTGTTCCTTGAGATATAACCTCCAATTGTCACTTTGTGTTCCTTCAGTCTTTTTGATGTAGGCATTTAAGGTTATGAACTTTCCTCTTAGAACCGCCTTTGCTGTATCCCAGAGGTTTGGATAGGCTGTGTCACTATTGTCATTCAGTTCAAACAATTTTTTAATTTCCATCTTGATTTCGGTTTTGACCCAGTGATCATTCAAGAGCAAGTTATTTAATTTCCATGTATTTGCATGGTTTTGAAGGTTCCTTTTGGAGTTGATTTCCAGTTTTATTCCATTATAGTCTGAGAGAGTGCTTGATATCATTTCAATTTCTTAAATTTATTGAGGCTCATTTTATGGCCTATCATATGGTCTATTTTGGAGAAAGTTCCATGCACTGTTGAATAGAATGTGTACTCTGTGGTTGTTGGATGGAATGTTCTGTATATATCTGTTAAGTCCATTTGCTCAAAGGTATAGTTTAAATTCATTGTTTCTTTGTTGACTTTCTGTCTTGATGGCCTGTCTAGTGCTATCAGTGGAGTATTGAAGTCCCCCACTATTATCGTGTTGCTGTCTATCTCATTTCTTAGGTCTATTAGTAATTGTTTTATAAATTTGGGAGCTCCAGTGTTAGGTGCATATATGTTTAGGATTGTGATATTTTGCTGTTGGAAATATTATATAGTGACCCTCTTTGACTTTTTTAAATGCTGTTGCTTTAAAGTTTGTTTTGTCTGATATAAGAATAGCTACTCCTGCTCGCTTTCAGTGTCCATTGCATGAAATGCCTTTTTCCACCCCTTCACCTCAAGTTTATGTGAGTCCTTATGTGTTAGGTGAGTCTCTTGAAAGCAGCAGATAGTTGGTTGGTGAATTCTTATCCATTCTGCAGTTCTGCATCTTTTAAGTGGAGCATTTAGGCCATTCGCATTCAAAGTTAGTGTTGAAATGTGAGACACCATTCCATTCATCATGTTATTTGTTGCCTGTGTATCTTGGTTTTTTGTTTTTGTTTTTCAAATCATAGTTTTGTTTTATAGGTCCTGTGAGATTTATGCTTTAAATAGGTTCTGTTTTGATGTGTTTCCAGGATTTCTTTCAAGATTTAGAGCTCTTTTAGCAGTTCTTGTAGTGGTGGCTTGGTAGTAGCGAATTCTCTCAGCATTTGTCTGAAAAAGACTGTATCTTTCCCTCGTATAAGATGCTTAGTTTTGCTGGATACAAAATTTTTTGCTGGTAATTGTTTTGCTTGAGGAGCCTGAAGATAGGGCCCCAATCCCTTCTAGCTTGTAGGATTTCTGCTAAGAAATCTGCTGTTAATCTGATAGGTTTTCCTTTATAGGTTACCTTGTGCTTTTTTCTCACAGCTCTTAAGATTCTTTCCTTCATCTTAACTTTGGATAACCTGATGACAATGTGCCTAGGCAATGATCTTTTTGCAGTGAATTTCCCGTGTGTTCTTTGTGCTTCTTGTATTTGGATGTCTAGGTCTCTAGCAAGGCTGGGGAAGTTTTCCTCAATTATTCCCCTAAATATGTTTTCCAAACTTTTAGATTTCTCTTCTTCCTCAGGAACACCAATTATTCTTAGGTTTGGTCATTTAACATCCCAGACTTCTTGAAGGCTGTATTCATATTTTCTTATTCTTTCTTTTTTGTCTTTGTTGGATTGGGTTAATTCGAAGACCTTGTCTTCAAGCTCTGGATTTCTTTCTTCTAATTGTTCAATTCTATTGCTGAGACTTTCCAGAGTATTTTGCATTGCTATAAGTGTCTCCAATGTTTCCTGAAGTTTTTGTTGTTTTTTCTTTATGCTGTCTATTTCCCTGAATATTTCTCCCTTCACTTCTTATATCATTTTTTGGATTTCCTTGCATTGGGCTTCGTCTTTCTCTGGTGCCTCCATGATTAGCTTAATAACTAACCCCTGAATTCTTTTTCAGGGAAATCAGGAATTTCTTCTTGGTTTGGATCCATTGCTGGTGAGCTAGTGTGATTTTGGGGGAGTATTAAAGAGCCTTGTTTTGTCATATTACCAGAGTTGGTTTTCTGGTTCCTTCTCATTTGGGTAGGCTCTGTCAGAGGGAAGGTCTAGGGATGAAGCCTGTAATTCAGATTCTTTTGTCCCATGGATGTTCACGTGATGTGGTACTCTCTCCCTTTTCCTATCCATGTGGCTTCCTGAGAGCCAAGTTGTAGTGATTGTTATCTTTCTTCTGGATCTAGCCACCCAGCAAGTCTACCAGGCTCCAGGCTGGTACTGGGGGTTGTGTGCACAGAGTCCTGTGATGTGAACCTACTATGGGTCTCTCAGCTGTGGATACCAGCACCTGTTACAGTGAAGGTGGCAGTGGGGTGAAATGGACTCTGTGAGAGTTCTTAGCTTTGGTGGTTTAATGTTCTATTTTTGTGCTGGTTGGCCTCCTGAGGAGAGGTGGTGCTTTGCAGAGAGCATCAGCTGTGGTAGTATGGGGAGGAACCGGTGGTGGGTGGGGCCCTAGAACTCCCAAGAGTACATGACCTTTGTGTTCAGACACCAGGGTGGATAGTGAAGGGCCACCAGGTGTAGGCAGGGCTAGGCATATCTGAGCTCAGACTCTCCTTGGGCAGGTCTTGCTGTGACTATTGTGGGGGATTGGGGTGAGGTTCCCAGGTCAATGTAGTTATATACCTAGGAGGATTATGGATGCCTCTGCTGAGTCACGCAGGTTGTCAGGGAAGTGGGAGAAAGCCGGCAGTCACAGGCCTCACCCAGCTCCCATGCCATCCAAAGGGCTGGTCTCACTCCCACCATGCCCTCTCTAACAGCACTGAGCTTATTTCCAGGCAGTGGGCAAGCAGGGCTGAGAACTTGCCCCAGGCTACCCACCTCCCAGCTGGGAAAGAAAGTAGGTTTCAGTTCTTCCCCCGCCTGTGGAGTCTGCACTCCGGATTCATGCCCTCCCCTGAGATCTGGCCAGGAGGCTTCTTGACCAGTTCAAATTGTTACAAAGTTCAGCTGGAGACTTCCTTCTCCTTGTGGCATTTCCCCTATGCCTCTGACCACCCTCCCAAGGGATCCCTGTGATGCCAGGCAGGAATGGCCTGCTTGAGGACTAGTGAGCTCACAGGGCCTTTCCCACTGCTTCCTCCATCCCTGTATTTTGCTCAGCTCTCTAAATTTCCTCAGCTCTTTGTGAGGTCGAAATCTTCTCCCATAAACTAGACCTTCAGTTTCCCCAGTGAGGGTGTGTGTTTGGGGGCAGATGATCTCCCTTTCCCACTTACACAGCTTGGGCACTCACTGTATTTGGGGTGTCTCCCAGGTCCTGTAGGAGCAATCTGCTTCCTTCAGTGGGTCTGTGGGTCCTCTCAGGTTTCCTGATTTATTCCTGCAGTTGTTCTGGAGCTAAAATTCACAATGCAAGCCTCCACATGCTGCTCTGTCCCTCCAAGTTCGAGCTGCAATCTAGTCCTGCCTCCCGTCCTCCATGATGTAATCCATACTAAAAAAAAATTTTTTTTTTTTGACACAGAGTCTCACTCTGTTCCCCAGGCTGGAGTGCAATCTTGGCTCACTGCAGCCTGCAACTCCTGGGTTCAAGCGATCCTCAACATTTACTGTTAAGCAAATTTTGTTAAGCTATGCATTTTAATACTGTGAAAGGATTGGAAGAAAAAAACCAAATAGCCTGTAACAAACAAATTATGCCTTCTTATTACAATAATGATACAGATTCATTTCAGAAATTTCAGAAAATTCCAATAAGCAAAAAGAAGTACTTCATTGATACTTCATTGATATGCCACTGCTTACATGCCCATGTATATAGTGTCAAGCTTTTTCTTTCTTTCCTTCTTGGTTTTTTTGTTTGTTCGGTTGCTTGTTTGTTCTGTTGTTGTTGTTGTTGTTGTTGTTGTTGTTTTGAAACAGGGTCTTGCTCTGTCACCCAGGCTGGAGCCCAGTGGCACCACCATAGTTCACTTCAGCCTCAACCTTCTGGGCCCAAGCAATCCTCCTACCTCAGTCCCACCCCCCCACCACCACCCCCCACGTAGCTGGAACCACAGGTGCACGCCACCACACTCAGCTATTTTTTTGTATTTTTGTAGAGACAAGGTTTCACCATGTTGCCCAGGCTGGTTTCAAACTTCTGGGCTCAAGTGATCCTCCTGCCTCAATCTCCCAAAATGCTAGGATTATAGGCATGAGCCACTGCACTTGGCCAGGCTTTTCTGTCATTAAATATACATATATAACTTCTGTAGAAGAAATAGCGTTATACTATATATCCAGCTCCATAAACTACTGTTTTCCACTTGATGTACAGTAAATGCCTTTAAATATACTTCTGAAATATTATAAACAGTTGCAAATATATAAATATAAAATGTATATACAAACATTATATATAACATATAAATATATTTTATTCTATTGATACACATATTGAACCAACTATTATTGCCCCCACCTAAAAAAGAAGGTGACATTTTCAGGAAAATGAAAGTGGAGAGAACTTGCTGCTAGCAGATCCACATCACCAAAAAACAAAACTGTTAAAGGAAGTTCTTTTGGCTGAAGAAAAATTATTCCAGATGGAAACTCAGATCTAAACAAAGGAATGAAGAGCATCAGATGGAAGCTTTGGGGGTAAATATAAAATACTTTTTTGTTGTTATTTTATAAAATAAGTATACTTCTTTATAAGATCATTTAAAGCAAATAATCATAACAATGAGTTTTGGGATTTATAACACATGTAACATATACGACAATAATAGCACAAAAGATGGCATAGAAGGGAAGCAAACTATTGTAAGGTTCTTAAAGTATTAAGGAGTAGTGTAATATTATTTGCAGGAGAATATGATAAGATGTGCATTGTAAACCTTAGAGCAACCACTGAACAATTAAAACAAAAATATAGCATAACACAATGAACACATGAATCAAAGCAATAACTAATATTTAAAGAAAGGGTCATTGAGAGATGCTGCCAGAATTCTCCAGTATTTTTACCTGCTGCTATTCCAGGAATAGAAATATCCTCTAACAATTTGACTCTAGTCTAATTCCTTGGTCCCACCCTTCAACTCAAAATATGGGGGCAACAAAACCCACCTGAGAAAACTCCTAAAGAAAATGGACATAGACAAATAGTCCAGAGAGGTCCAAAGAGAGAATTGAGCTATGTGAAATCCAAGCATCTTCATCATAAGCCCACGACCTAACCAGAAACGCTTGGGTCCTACAACTTTGACACTAATCACCTTTATTTTCATTTAATGTTTTCACTGGTGAAGAAATAGTTTTGGATTTACTTTTTAATAGTTTCAAATATCAATAACCAAAGGAAACATGCTGACATTTTCAATATCAAGGGATCTTTTTTTAAGGCTCAGTTCCTTTTGCATCCATGTGTCCATAGTAACAAAAACACAATGACTTGGACTTGAACGAGCCCTTCAGGGAACACTGACTTGTTGATGCCAAATACACAGCAGAACTCCAGTGACGGAAATCAGACAGACTTTCTGAATCATCTCATCCTGTTACTTGGATCCAGGCATAGGTCTGACTCTGTGACAAGTCCTCTTGCTCAGTGAGGTGCAGCCAGTTGTTGCATCCTCTGGCAGCTAAGATTTTTTCAATGGTCCTTGAATCCCAGAATATACAGATTACCACCCAAGACGCAGCCCAGACTCCCTTGGTGGCTTCAGGCAAGCCACCTGTTCTCCTAAAATCTTGCATGATTCACCTAGCAATTACTATATTAACAATAGCCAAAATTACACAGGGTTCAGTATGTGCCCTACATGGGTTAAAAATGATTGTATATGATACATATATAAAATAAGTAATACATAACAAATATGTAATATAATAATATGTAATATGTATTCACCTGATCCTCACAACAGATAAGGAGACTGGGACAAAGAGAGTTTGAGTAACTTGCCCCAAAATTACAAAACTAGCAAGTGACAGAGGTGAGGATTCAAACCCAAGATTCACTCTGGCTCCTCTTTTTTTTTTTTAAGAAACAAGATTTTGCTCTGTCACCCAGGCTGGAGTGCAATGGTGTATTCTTGGCTCTCTGCAGCCTTGACCTCCTGGGCTCAAGTGATTCTCCCACCTTAGCCTCCCAAGTAGCTGGGACTACAGGCGTGCACCACCACACCCAGCTAATTTTTTATTGTTTTGTAGAGACCAGGATCTTGCTATGCTACCCAGGGTGATCTTGAACTCCTGGGCTCAAGCAATCCTCTCACCTTGGCCTCCCAAAGTGCTGGGATTACAGGCATGAGACACCACACCCAGCCTTACTACACCTCTTAACATGCACACCAGATGGCCTCTGGTAAATAAATGATTGGAAATTGAGATATCACAGAATCATCTCACTCCTAGCAACAATTCCAAGGTGACGATAGACAAAACCTGGGGCAGAGCACAGTAACCTGACTTCTTGCTCATATTTCTACCACCACATCTGCTGTCATCTCAGTCTCAGTCTCTCACTGACTACTCCAAATGTCCATCTTGTAAGCACTTCCCCTAAAGAGTGGTTGGAAATAGATAGCTCTCCTACAATGACCCCACAGAGGTCAATCTGCATACCAGCTAAGTTCCAGGTGCTGACATGTCCACCTAAATTGGCTTTCTTACCCTTAAGGAATGGATTTATTTGCTCATTTAACAAATATTTGAGCCAGGCCAGGCACTGTGCCAGTGACTGGGAATACAGTGGGAAACAAAGAGGTAGAGACATTGTTCTTGCAGAACATGCAGGCAACTAAAGGACATAGATGTGGAATTCATCAATATTAACTGTTTGAAGAGAGAGAGAAAAATAGGAAAAATTTAATACAAGAGTTACCCTTTGACCAGAATTTTGAGGAAAAGCCAGAAAGTTTGTTGGCCATGATAAGGAGAATGAAATCCCAGGTAGGAGGAGAGCATATGCAAAGGCTTGAAAAAGGGAAATAGATTTGAGGGTCCCATGATGGTTAGCTTGTGGACAGAAGATGAAGGAATAGGAACTTAGGTTAAAGAGATAAGGTAGGCTTTGACTGAAGGCCAAATAAGCACAGCTATATGGTTCCTCACCCTCTTTATATGCCAATAAAACGACAGAAAGGAGCATATAAGGAATAAGCTAACGAAAACAAAGAGCATAGGAGAGAGGTCATCAGTTTATGTACAGAAGAATTCATCAAGCTAGAAAGCAGTGGAAAGGATGTTGACCCACGAAGCAGAGCTGAGGAAGCCTCAGTCTATACACGGAGCTCTTGACAGATGCCAGAGTTTACGGTTTCCCAAAGCAGACTCAGAGACAAAGACTTCTATACATGTAGTTTATTTGGCAGGTGATCTCCAAAAAGCATAGTGAGGGAATGGGCAAAGTGAAATGGGAAAGAAAGAAAGAAAAAGCCAAGAGTCCATGTTAATACGAGGATTACTGCTGTGGGCAACTAGAGAGCTCAAGTCCACTGGAGGATACAGAACGCATCTCAGAGTCATCTCACAGCAATACCAGGGAGCCAGAAGATTTATGCAATGACTTCCATCTCTCGCAGGCTGATTGTTGCCCCTGGAGGCATTACACGCCTCCCAGAACTTTGGGAGGTCGAGGTGGGCAGATCACATTACATGCCTGTAATCCCAGAACTTTGGGAGGCCAAGGCAGGCCAGGAGTTCAAGACTAGTCTGGCCAACATGGCAAAACCCCGGTCTCTACTAAAAATACAAAAATTAGCTGGGCATGGTGGTGCATAAATGTAATCCCAGCTATTTGGGAGGCTGAGACACGATAATCACTTGAACCTGAAGGGTGGAGGTTACAGTGAGCCGAGATCATGCCACTGCACTGCAGCCTAGGTGACAGAGTGAGATTCTGTCTCAAAAAAAAAAAAAAAAAGTCCCCAAGACCTCCAAGCTGCCCTGCACACTGAGAAAAGCTCTCACAGCATAGGAGAAAGCCTCCAAGCAGACTCGAAGCAGAGAGAGGCAGGTACTTCAGATAAGAAACTGTCAATATGGAGAGAAATGACCTCATCTCTACAAAAAGTATGAAAATTAGCTGGGTCTTGTGACCTGTAGTCACAGCTACTCTGGAGGCTAAGGCAGGAGGATTGTCTGAGCCCAGGAGTTCGAGGCTGCAGTGAACTATGATTGCACCATTGCACTCCAGCCTGAGCAAGACAGCAAGACCCTGTCTTTTTCTCTTTCTGTCTCTCTCTCCCCACAAACACACACACACATACACATGCACACATGCACACATACACACAGAATGGCGACTGGGGGTTAACTCAGAGGTGGGCTGCAGGGATGTAGGGCCAGGCATAATCCTTTCCACTACAATAGGCTCCAAACTCAGTGACCAGAATGTGTAAAGGGCAGCAAGGAGATCTAGAACAGGAATCAGCTGAAATTCAGTTCACCAAGCAATGCTCTCCCACAGCCTTATACAGCCAAATGATTCCCCTATTCTTGCTCTGTTACTCATTGCAAACTGAAAGTTTACAAGGAAAAAGGTGGAAATAGCGTTTTCAAATATGTTTCCTCCAAAATCCAAAAAGGCCTACCAAGTGTTATGCCTCCTCTTCTTGGTAGACGCTGAAATGTACAGCAACCCTTTCACCTTGCAGGAGGGTGTGTGAACTGAACAGAAACTTCACTGAGGAGACTTCCCTGAGAAGACTTCACTGAGGAGACAGACCCCTCAATTCTCATGGCTTCACAATTGTCTCATTTAGGTATCATGAGTACTTTCTCCTTCCTTCTCATCAGGTCTAATTAACATAGTCATCAAAATCATAATGTTGTATGGCATGTCAAAATGACGAAGGCTTTTGTGAACTACATTATGACAGAAGCAGGACTCTGCTTCTGATTACACTTCTCAGAAGTGTTATCCTGAGAAAAGGCTATGAAAGTGTACTGTTGTTCCTGCCAGTTAAAAGCAAATGGTTTCTGGTGATACTTGCAAATTGGTAAAGAGAAAAAAAACATTTTCCAGGTCAATATCTGCATACCAGGTGCCAGGAGCTGTATTAATTTGCTCCAGTATGCATACCATACCTGCAAGAGCAGGTAAAATGGAAGTCAAGTATGAGTGACCATCACCCATGGTCATTCTCCAAGATTCTTCTGCCTTCTGCAAAGGCCAAAAAGACAAGTTCAACAGGGATGAGATAAGTATTAGCACCTTGCATCTTTTATGTCTTCAACTGTGTTTCTGCAACTCTTCTGCAGGATTAGCTATTGCCTCCCATGTCAAACTTTATACTTGTCTCCCTAGTTATTGATCTAGGGAGAAAACAAGGGGAGATTGAAGTGGATCTTAAGGACAACAGATATTCTCTTATAAGGAAACTCCCCCAGGTAAGATTACTATAAAGTCTTCAAAGTTGAGAAAGGCTAGTCTACAGAAGGGTAGCCTGCTTCCACCAACAAGGAAAGCTCACAGAAACTTGGGGACTTAAGATTCTCAGCTTCATCTAAGCCTACTAGATATCCCATTCTTCTCAATCAATGTCCTAACTCTCATAACAGAGACATGGCAAGGCTGCGAAGTCACTTAAATTTTGTCCTCAGCAAGATTGATTCTGTGGCTAAAAGAAATAAGAGATTATTTTAGGAATGTATTATTTAGCGGAAACGATTATGCCTGGCACCACATCCCTGCAGCCCACCTCTGAGTTAACCCCCAGTCACAATTCTGTGTGTGTGTGTGTGTGCATGTGTGCATGTGTATGTGTGTGTGTGTTTGTGGGGAGAGAGAGACAGTTCTCTTGTTCTCTATTACTAGAGCTGAGAATTTTAATATCTAAGCTTGCCATTTGCTTTCTCTAAAATACCCAGAAGAATCCACCCCAGGATAGTGTCCTTTGTAGTCATCATTACTGACACAATGGTCAGGGGCAGTAGCCACTTTTTCCCCAAAGGCACTTGCTTCACTAGACACTTTATCATAACTAAGTACATGTAAGATAGTTTAGAGATTGAATTTGACATGAAGTTGGTTTGGGCACCAAACTTACTCTGCCACCACCAAGAAAACCTTTTAGACTTAGTGGCCTTTCAATGATAAAACTGTGGATAAAAGATGATGAATCTGTGGTATTATAACTATATTGAGGGGAGAATGGAGGGGGTTGATTGTGTAACTAAACTCAAATGTTGATTTTTCACAGCAAAAATTAAATAGAAAATTTCTAAGGTTGAAAAGCAATGAAATTGTAATATAGACATTCATATAGGGATATTGTAATCACCAAAGAACAAAATATAGAAATGGTTAAAAGTAAGTATCTCTGAAAATAGATTTCAAGACAAAAACTATAAAAAGAGACCAAGAAGGTCATTATATAATAATGAAAGGGTTAATTCAGCAAGAGGATATAACAATTGTATACACATATGCACCCAATACTGGAGCACCAAGACATATAAAGCAAGTATTATTAGAGCTCAAAAGAGAGATAGACCTCAATAAAATAATAGCTGGACACTTCAACACCCCACTTTCAGCATTGGAGGGATCATCCAGATAGAAAATCAACAAAGAAACATCAGACTTTATCTGCACTGTAGACTGAATGGAACCAATGGATATTCAGAATACACATTCTCCTCCTCAGTACATGGATCACTCTCAAGGACAGACCATATGTTAGGCCACAAAACAAGTCTTAAAACATTCAAAAAATGGAAATAATATCAAGTATCTTATCTGATCAAAATGGAATAAAACTAGAAATAAACAACAAGAGGAATTTTGGAAACTATAAAAACACACGGAAATTAAATATTCCTCCCACCTCAGCCTCCCAAGTAGCTGGGACTACAGGCACACACCACCATGCCCAGATAATTTTTTTGATGTTTTATTGAGACAGGGTCTCACTGTGTGGCCCAGGCTTGTCTTGAGCTCCTGAGCTCAAGTGATCCTCCCACCTCAACCTCCCAAAGTGACGGGATTACAGGAGTGAGCCACTGTGCCTGACTTGATGTATCTTAATGAACTAGAAAAGTCAAAAGCAAACCAAACCCAAAATTGGTAGAAGAAATAATACAGATCAGAGCATAAATAAATGAAATTGAAATGGAGAAAACAATACAAAAAATCAACTAAACAAAAATTTGGTTTTTTGAAAAGATAAACAAATTTGACAGACCTTTAGCCAGACTAAGAAAAAAGGAGAGAAGACCCAAATAAATTAAATCATAGAGGAAAATGAGGACACTACAACCAATACCACAGAAATTCAAAGGATTATTAAAGGCTATTATGAGCAACTGTATGCCAACTAATTAGAAAACTTATAAGAAATTGATAAATTCCTGGACACATACAACCTACCAATATTGAACCATGAAGAAATACACAATCTGAACAGACCAGTAACAAGCAATGAGATCACAGCAATAACAAAAATCTCCTAGCAAAGAAAAGCCTGGGACCCAATATTCACTGCTGAATTTTACCAAACATTTAAAGAAGCGTGAATACCAATCCTACTGAAACTATTCCACAAAATGGAGGACTAGGGGATACTTCCACACTGATTCTACAAGCCCAGTATTATCCTGATACCAAAATTAGCCAAAGACACACCGAAAAAAAAAAGAGAGAGAGGCCAGGCGCCGTGGCTCAAGCCTGTAATCCCAGCACTTTGGGAGGCCAAGGCGGGCGGGTCACGAGGTCAGGAGATCAAGACCATCCTGGCTAACACGATGAAACCGCGTCCCTACTAAAAATACAAAAAAAAAAAAAAAAAAAAAAATTAGCCGGGCGCGGTGGCGGGCGCCTGTTGTCCCAGCTACTCAGGAGGCTGAGGCGGGAGAATGGCGTGAACCCGGGAGGCGGAGCTTGCCGTGAGCCGAGATTGCGCCACTGCACTCCAGCCTGGGTGACAGACAGAGACTCCGTATCAAAAAAAAAAAGAAGAAGAAGAAAAAGAAAGAAGAAAGAAAGAAAGAACAGAAAGAAAGAAAGAAAGAAAGAAAGAAAGAAAGAAAGAAAGAAAGAAAGAAAGAAAGAAAGAAAGAAAAAGAAAGAAAAGAAAAGAAAGAGAGAGAAAGAAAGAAAGAAAAGTAGCCAGGTGCAATGGTTCACACCTGTAATCTTAGCACTTGGGGAGGCCAAAGTAGGAGGATCACTTGAGGCCAGGAGTTCAAGATCACCCAGGGCAACATAGGGAGATCCTGACCATATTAAAAACAAACAAACAAACAAACAAACAAAAACTAAACTACAGGCCAAAATCCCAGATGAATATTGATGCAAAAATCATCAACAAAATACTAACAAACCAAATTTAACAACACATTAGAAAGATCACTCATCATGACCAAATAGGATTTATCCTTGGGATGCAAGATGGTTCAACACATGTATATCAATCAAGGTAATACATCATGTCAACAGAATAAAGGACAAAAACCATATGATCATTTCAATTGATGCTGAAAAAAGCAATTGATAAAGTTAAACATCCCTTCATGATAAAAAAAAAAATACACTCAAAAAACTCGGTATAGAAGAAACTTACCTCAACATAATAAAAGCCATATATGACAGACTCACAGCTGGTATTATACTGAATGAAGAAAAACTAAAAGCCTTTCCACAAAGATCTGGAATACAGTAAGGATGTCCACTTTCACCACTGTTATTCAACATAGTACTGGAAGTCCTAGCTAGAGCAATCAGACAACAGAAAGAGATAAAGGGCATCCAAATTGGGAAAGAAGTCAAATTATTCTTGTTTGCAGATGATATAATTTAATATTTGAAAAAAACCTAAAATGTCACCAAAAAACTATTTGAACTGTTAAACAAATTCAGTAAAGTCATAGGATATGAAATCAACATACAAAAATTAGTAGCATTTCTATATGCCAACAGTGAACAATCTGAAAAAGAAATTGAAAAAGTAATCCCATTTACAATCATTACAAATAAAATTAAATATCTAGAAATTAACCAAATAAGTGAAAGGTCTCTATAATGAAAACTACAAAACATTGATGAAAGAGAGTAAAGAGGACACCAAAAAATGGAAAAGTATTCCATGTTAATGGATTGGAAGAATCAATATTATTAAAATGTCTATACTACCCAAAGCAATCTACAGTTTCAATGCAATCCCTATGAAAATACCAATGACATTCTTCACAGAAATAGAAAAGACAATGCTAAAATTTATTTGGAACCACAAAAGACTCAGAATAACCAAAGCTATCCTGAGCATAAAGAACAAAACTGTAGGAATCACATTACCTGGCTTCAAATTATGCTACAGAGCTTTAGTAACCAAAACAGCATGGTACTGGCATAAAAACAGGCACATAGACCAATGGAACCAAATAGACCACCCAGAAACAACACACACATCTACAGAACTCATTTTTGACAAAGGTACCAAGAACCCACATTGGGGAGAAGACAGTCTCTTTAATAAATGATGCTGGCAAAACTGGATATCCATATACAGAAGAATGAAACTAGACCCCCTATTTCTTGCCATATATAAAAATCAAATCAAAATGGATTAAAGGCTTAGATTTAAGACCTCAAACTATGAAACTACTAAAAGAAAACACTGGAGGAACTATCCAGGATAATGGACTGGGCAAAGATTTCTCGAGTAATACACCACAAGCACAGGCAACCAAACAAAAATGGACAAATGAGATCACACCAAGTCGAAAGCCTTCTGCCCAGCAAAGGAAACAATCAACAAAGTGAAGAGACAACCCACAGAATGGGAGAAAATATTTGCAAACTGTCCCTCTGACAAAGAATTAATAACTAGAATATATAAGGAGCTAAACTATATAGGAAGAAATCTATTAATCAGATTTAAAAGTGGGCAAAAGATCTGAATATACATTTCTCAAAAGAAGACAAATGGTAAACAGGTATATGAAAAGGTGTTCAATATCATTGATTATCAGAGAAATCCAAATGAAAACTACAATGAGATATCACCTCACACCAAGTTAAAATGGCTTTTATCCAAAAGACAGGCAATAACCAACAATGGTGAGGGTGTGGAGAAGAGGGGACCCTCATACACTGTTGGTGGGAATGTGAATTGGTACAAGCACTGTGGAGGACAGTTTGGAGGTTCCTCAAAAAACTAAAAATAGAGCTACCATATGGTCTAGAATCCCACTGCTAGGTATATACCCAAAACAAAGGAAATCAGTATGTCAAAGCAATATCTTCACTCCCATGTTTATTGCAGCACTATCCACAATAGCAAGATTTGGTAGCAACCTAACTATCCATGAACAGATGAATGAATAAAGAAAATGTGGTACACAATGGAGTACTATTCAGCCATAAAAAGAATGAGATCTTGTCATTTGCAACAACATAGATGGAAATGGAGGTCATTATATTAAGTGAAATAAGTCAGGCACAGAAAGTCAAACTTCACATGTTCTCACCTATTTGTGGGAGCTAAAACGTAAAACAAGTGAACTCATGGAGATAAAGAGTGAAGGATGTTTACCAGAGGCTGGGAAGGGTAGTGGGTTTTGGGGGTACAGGCGGAATGCTTAATGGGTACCAAAAATAAAATGAATAAGACCTAGTATTTGCTAGCACAATAGGGTGACTATAGTCAAAAATAACTGTACATTTTAAAATAACTAAAAGAGCATAATTGGATTGTTTGTAACATAAAGGATAAATGCTTGAGGTGATGGATACCCCATTTACCCTGATGTGATTATTACACATTGCATGCATGTATCAAAATATCTCATGTAACCCATAAATATATATACCTACTATGTACCCACGAAAATTAAAAATAAAAAAGTGAGGGTCTCTATGGATAAAGGATGATGAGAAAGGTGGATCAAGGGACTGTTTTGAGCCTCTTTATTTATTTTTTAACCATGGTAGGTATTATTTGATTTTCTAAAAAATTTTTAAATTGTAAGCCAGGCTCAAAACACTCAGGGATGCCAAGGAAAGACATTTAAATTTTATCCCTAAGTGACAGGGAGCTAACAAAGGTATTTAAGCGAAAGAGAGTGGCATGACCAAAAATCATTTTTAAGAGTGCCAGGAGGGTCTGCAATGTGAAGAGAGCATTGGAGGGCGGGGGGAGGGGTGGGACACAGGACTGTGGGAGACTGGTTGGGAGATGAGCCTCCCACATGCGTGAGTCTCCTCACTGAATGGCCCAGGATCAATTTCACCATGCAATTTCAGAGTCACCTTTGCTGAAGCTCCAGCAGTGAGAGTATATAAGTGAATCCCTCAGACAGCTGTCAAGCAGTGGGACAGCACACTAACATGGCTTCTTTGATTCACTATGCTATCAGTTATCATCATTGCCTTGGGATATGGAGACATAAATAGCCCCAGATTGCACTAAGCCCAATCTGTATGGTTAGCAGGAAAGAAACGTCTTCCACTAAGAACCAGAGTCCAGAATGGATGCCTGGGGTTTAATGGCCATGAGATAAAGGTGTGGATAGAATAGGTGTGGATGGGAGCACCCTTCAAAAGGCCTTCGTTGCTTTCATGCCCCTTCCCTGCTGGCATGCATGGAAAAGATGTGGACAGGGAGATAATCAAGGGCTAGCAAACTCGGTCTTAAAACTGATCCAGCTTGCAAATCACATTTTAAAATATTCCTTCTCAAATTTTATCCCAAAATGTTTATGTAGAAAGTATGGATAAAGAAAGAGAGGAAGGAGGAGGAAAAGAGGAGGAAAAAGAGAAGAATTCACCAACAGACTAACACAATCCTGAAATGTTTGTTTTCTGTGAGTTGATATGTCCCCAATTATGATATGCTTACTAACTTTATGTGTCGCCTCTCCAAAAAATATAGATAGGGCCAGGCATGGGAGTGGACACCTGTAGTCCCAGCTACTCAGTAGGCTGAGGTGGGAGAATTGCTTGAGTCAAGGAGTTTGAATCCAACCTGGGCAACATCGCAAGACACTGTCTCAAAAAAAGTCGAGAGCTATAGATCAAACATATCAAGCATAATACAGGTATGTAGATAGTTTCTATTTTAAGAAAGGTTTTAGAGTTACATTCCAAAAAATGGCTTCTGAGAAACTTTTTAGGAAGTAATTCTTTCTTACAAGAGGAGAAAATTCCTTCCCCAATTCATTGCGATTACAGAATATTTTTTTAATCCTCCCACTGCTTTTGGGATGCATCGCTGAAAGCAGAGACATCAGTATTAGTAATGGTACTTTTAGCTAAAGTAATAGAAAACACAACTAAAATGGCTTAAACATTAAAGATATGTATTATTTCACGCAGTGTAAAGTCCAGAGATGCAGCTTCAAGGCAGTGGGTCCATGGCTCAATGGCAGGATCAAGGAGATAGATCCCTCATCCTGCTCGGCCTCCTCAGTGTTGGCTTCATCCTCCAACTGGCAGCAACAAGGCTTCACAGATCCCAGAGTCACATGTCCACATGACCAGATCCCGGAGAAGAAAGAGATCAAATTTTCTAGCTTTTCCTTGGGGCAAAGAAATGTCTCCTACAACCGCCGCTCAACAGACATCCCTTCATGCCAATCCCTGGAAAAGAGAATGGGAAGTTTTTCACCAGTCAGGCCCATCTGGAGCTGTGGGTTCACTGGCTTCCCAAGGCATGTGGATTCATTTGTAGGTATGAATAACAAAAGAAAAAACAACTGGAGTTCTGCAGGAGAGAAACAGGAACAGATGCTGGGCAGACACCTAACAGACACCCGCTCTATGATAACACTAAATCCAAAAAATGGCAATGAGTCCAGGAAATCAAATTATATCCACGGATACTTTTGATCAAAATATGTAGAGAAAATATTTAGTTCTCAATTTGTGAAGGTGAAGGCAAGAAAATGCCAATCGTCAAGACATGAGACACACATAAAAAGGTATTTCCAGTAAACTTACAGAAATATGGGGAGAGTGCCTGGCCTCTGAGAACTCACCATCGTGCTCCATGACATTTACAGAGTTCTCAAGAATACTCCAAGAGCACAGGAGGAGTAGGGAGTGTAGCAATGCAGAGCTGATGCTTGTTTAAATTAATAACTTAATAAAAATCATAATGAAGAGCACATATACATGCTAAGTACTTTACATATAGTAACACAATAAATACTCATATAAAAAGCCAGACACGGTGGTTCACATCTGCAATCCCAGCATTTTGTGAGGATTGCTTTAGTCTAGGAGTTCAAGACCCACCTGGGCAACACAGTGAGACCCCAACTCTACAAAGAATTTTAAAACTTAGCCAGGTTTGCTGGTGCACACATAGTCCTAGCTACTCGGGAGGCTGAAGCAGGTGGATTGCTTGAGCCCAGGAGTTTGAGGTTACAGTGATTGTGACTGGGCAACGACTGAGACCCAGTCTTTAAAGAAAAAAATTAAAACCAGTGAGAGGTTATTACAGATGGAGAAATGAGGCTCAGATGGGTCATTACTTTCTAGCTTCATAATCCTAATAATGGTGAGGGCAATGCATAAACTCAAGTTTATTTTATTCTAAAGCTTATGCTCTTATGCTCTTGATCACTCATCTCTAATACCTAGTTTCTAGAAAATGAAAGAATTAAACTAACCTAATTAAAGCATATTCCACACCAAAAGTTCTCAAGGATTCCAATGTAGTGTTGTTAGATGCTTTCTCTATCTTGAATTAACTTTGCTGAATACCCTCTCTAACCTGAGAGATCACTGAGTTCACCTGGCCTAGACCGGTACTGGAATCGCCTACTGCAGCCTTCTACTACAGCACAATCCACAGCCTGGCAGCACTGACGTCACTGAAAGCTCACAGGAAATGCAGAATCTCAGGCCCTACTCCAAACGTACTAATTAGAATTTGCTTTTTTTTTTTTTTTTTTTTTTGAGACAACGTCTTGCTCTGTCTCCCAGGTTGCAGTGTAGTGGTGCAATCTTGGCTCACTGCAACCTCTGCCTCCCAGGTTCAAGCAATTCTCCTGCCTTAACCTCCCAAGTAGCTGGGATTACAGGTGCACACCATCACACCCAGCTAATTTTTGTATTTTTAGTAGAGATGGGGTTTCACCATGTTGACCAGTCTGGTCTCGAACTCCTGACCTCATGATCCGCCCGCCTCAGCCTCCCAAAGGGCTGGGATTACAGGCGTGAGCCACCGCACCTGGCCTGAATTTGCATTTGCATCAGATCCCTAGGGGATTCAAGCATTCAAGTTTGAAGTACTTCTCTACAGCATCCCTGACATCTGGGCTCCTCTTTACTCTTTCCTGAGATAGTCTGGTCCATAACCATGCAGTCCTCAGTATTAATAAATTCCTTTTTTTAATTTTTATTTTTTTGAGACAGAGTCTCGCTCTGTTCCCCAGGCTGGAGTGCCATGGCGTGATCTCGGCTCACTGCAAGCTCCGCCTCCCGGGTTCACGCCATTCTCCTGCCTCAGCCTCCCGAGAAGCTGGGACTTCAGGTGCCCGCCACCTCGCCTGGCTAATTTTTTGTATTTTTAGTAGAGACAGGGTTTCACCGTGTTAGCCAGGATGGTCTCGATCTCCTGACCTCGTGATCCGCCCACCTCGGCCTCCCAAAGTGCTGGGATTACAGGCGTGAGCCACCGAGCCCGCCAGTATTACTAAATTCTTGTGAAAACTTCCCTGAACACCACGCCTTCTCCTCATTCTGCCACTTAACTTACAAATAACAGAGCTTCAGAGATTAGAAATGCCTATTTTCACCTCCCCATGTCCTTTCCTTCTAGGCTAAACACCCACTTCCTTCGGTATCTTCACCATCATGTCGTTGGTGTCCTCCAGATCAGTGATACCCAATCTAAGATATGTATTAGAATCACCTGAAAATATCCAGGGGTAGGTCCCAGGAATCTCTATATTTTATGTACTCTCCTAGTACAGCCGTGGGGCATTACTCAGGCTTCAGAACCACTGCCCCGCATGCCCTCTAGTTGGTTAATATTCTTCCAAGAATATGACTTACAGAGCTGAAGGCAATGATCAGCCCAAAGAATAGAGATTATTATGGCCCATGATCAGGATACATTTTTTTAATTAGTACAGTCTAAAATGTGGATAGCTAAGCTGGGTGTGGTGGCACACACCTGTCAGCTACTCAGGAGACTGAGGCCCAAAAGTTCAAGTCCAGCCTGGGCAACATAGTGAGATTCCATTTCGAAAATTTTTTTAAAAGGCCTGGTGCGGTGTCTCATGCTTATAATCCCAGCACTTTGGGAGGCCAAGGCAGGCAGATCACCTGAAGTCAGGATTTAGAGACCAGCCTGGCCAACATGGTGAAATGCTGCCTCTACTGAAAATATAAAAATTAGCCAGGTGCCGTGGCATGTGCCTGTAATCTCAGCTCTTGGAGAGGCTGAGGCATGAGAATCGCTTGAACCCGGGAGGTGGAGGTTGCAGAGAGCTGAGATTGTGCCACTGCACTCCAGCCTGGGCGACAGAGTGAGACTCTATTAAAAAAAAAAATGAAAGGAGAGAGAGATGAAAGAAAGAAAGAAAAGAAGAAAAGAAAGAAAGAAAGAGAAAAGAAAAGAAAGGAAGGAAGGAAGGAAAAGAAAGAAAAGAAGAAGAAAGAAAGAAAAAAGAAAGAGAAGGAAGGAAGGAGAAGAAAGAAAGAGAAAGAAAGAAAGAAAAGAAAGAAAGGAAGGAAGGAAGGAAAGAAGGAAGGAAGGAAGGAAGGAAGGAAGGAAGGAAAGGGGAGGGAAGGGGAGGAGAGGGGAGGGGAAAGGAAAGGAAGGGAAGAGAAAGAGAAAAAGAAATAGCTATCATGAGGCATGTCGTCACAGCATTAACCCACGTCAAGCTCGTTGACAAAACTCCAGGATCATTTTATTTTTTCCATATGAACTATTGCAAAGCCAGATTTCCCCAGTTGTGTATGTAAGCTCTTTATTTTCCTAAGTTTAGAGATAGGATTCTGTATTTATTACTCTTAAATTTCATCTCGTTGTTCTGAGCCCTTAATTTAACCTGTCAAGAGTTTTGAATCTTTATTCCATCCTTTATTGTGAGGCTGTGAGTGGACTGGGGAAAGCGTGGCTCTGGAGTCAGACAAACTTGGGTAAAATCAGATCTGTTCGAGACAGATGGCTCAAGGGGTTACGCAGAAGATGGTAATTGAAGAGACAGGCTCAAGGCCAGATGAGAAATGTTCATGCAGTATATTTGTTGGGTGAATTCATGAAATAATGGCTGATGGCCGATAACCAGAGAAACTGGTTAGGGGGCTCTACACTGATCCAAGAGAGAATAAAGGCCTACGCTGAGGCTAGTTCAGTGATAACAGAAGAGGACTTAGCTTTTGATGAGGCAGAATCAATGAGATTTATAGAGCAACTGGATGTCAGGGTAAGAGAGAGGGAAGAATCACAATGACACTCACGTTTCTGGACTGAGCAAGTAAGAGGATACAGTTGCCAGAAGCAGGACTAAATGCACACCACACCAGCCCATCCCAGGGGCTTCCTAAAAGCTCAGGGGAAATAATTGCTCTTTTCATCACTTGTGTGTTTGTTTAACTGAAATGAGACTGACATCTTTATGGACCCAATTTAATTGTGACACGAATATATTTGATCAAAAAATAATCTCTAGGTGAACCTTGATGACATTATACTCAGTGAAATAAGCCAGACACAAAAGAACAAATACTGTATGACTCCACTCATATGAGGTAGAATAGGCAAATCCACAGCGATAGAGAGTACAATAGTGGTTACCAGGGCCTGAAGAGAAGGAGAGAATGGGGAATGACTTTTTAATAGGTACAGAGTTCCAGTTTGGGATGAGGAGACAGTTCTGGAGATGGATGGCGGTGACAGTGGCACAACAATGTGAATGTATTAATACTTAATGCCACTGAGTTGTACACTTAAAAATGGTTATGAGGGGAAATTTTATGTTATATGTATTTTACCACAATAAGAAACAAAAAGATGGCAGGGCCCGGTGGCTCACGCCTGTAATCCCAGCACTTTGGGAGGCCGAGGCGGGTGGATCACGAGGTCAGGAGATCAAGACCATCCTGGCTAACACGGTGAAACCCCGTCTCTACTAAAAAATACAAAAAAAATAGCCAGGCGTGGTGGCGGGCACTTGTAGTCCCAGCTACTCGGGAGGCTGAGGCAGGAGAATGGCATGAACCCAGGAGGTGGAGGTTGCAGTGAGCCAAGATCATGCCACTGCACTCCAGCCTGGGTGACAGATCAAGATTCCGTCTCAAAAAAAAAGATAATAATCTCAAGTTATCAGTCATCCATGTTGGTGATGAATATTTCCTATTTATTTTATTTTATTTTATTTTATTTTATTTTATTTTATTTTACTTTATTTTATTTTATTATTTTTCAGACAGGGGTCTCACTCTGTCACCCAGGCTGGAGTGCAGTGGCATAATCTCAGCTCACTGCAACCTCTTTCTCCCAGGCTCAAGTGATCTGCCCTCCCCAACCTCCCAAGTAGCTGGGACTACAGGCAAGCACCACCACACCTGGCTAATTTTTGTATCTTTAGTAAAGATGGGGCTTCACCACATTGGCCAGGTTGGTCTTGAACTCCTGAGCTCAAGCCATACATCCACCTTGGCCTCCCAAAGTGCTAGGATTACAGGTGTGAGCCACTGCACCTGGCCTAATACTCCCTTTTTTAAAAGTCTAGTCATGGTCGGCTGGAAATGAATGGGCAAGAATCCTCAGAGACCTAAACCCTCTGTTTAATCCACTAAGAAGTTACAACAAAGCCACCAGAGCAGAAATGACTCTGGAGATGATCCTTTGGAAGCAAAATGCCAGCTACTGTGATGGCCCATTATATAAAATCCTTGTCTTTGCTTGTTTGTTTTTGCTCTGATCTCATTTCTTTCCATCACCAGGGATCTCTTTAGAAATGTTTAGCTATCGGTACCCACTTCCAGCAGTTTGCCTGAAACGAGGTAGGTCAAGAAACCAAAATAAGGCCAACTTTTATCTGCGCTGTGAGCTCTATCAGGAAAAACTGTACACAATGTAAAATTTAAGATTTTAAATTCATGAAAGTGTCTTGAAATGAACAGTGCCCATTTTGAAATCTACTGATCTAGCCTTCCTCTGTGAAGTGATTCTCAGCTTTGACTGCACATCAGAGTCACTTGAGAGTGTTTTAAAAACTACTGATACCTGGGTCCTAACCTGAACAGGTCTGTTTAGTTCACCTGGCATGCAGCCAGGGCCTCAGGATTTTTTCTTTTTCTTCCTTTTTTTTTTTTTTTTGAGGCAGATTTCTTGCTCTGTCACCAGGCTGGAGTGCAGTGACATGATCTCAGCTCACTGCAACCTCCGCCTCCTGGGTTCAAGCGATTCTCATGCCTCAGCCTCCCAAGTAGCTGGGATTACAGGCATGCGCCACCACACCCAGCTGATTTTCATATTTTTAGTAGAAACGGGGTTTCACCATGTTGGCCAGGATGGTCTCAATCTCCTGACCTCATGATCCGCGCCCCCCAATCCGGCCTCCCAAAGTGCTGGGATTATAGGCGTGAGTCACTGCACCTGGTCAGGATTTTTCTTACTCAAAGTTTCTCAAGTGATTCTAATGTGCAGTCTGGGCTGTGAATCACTGATCTAAAAGAACACCTACTTACCGAGAAGTTAATACAAACTCACCCTTCCCTGAAAATGGGGGAGAGAAATGTACAATTACCTAGCAAATATGCAAGAATGATAATATCACAAAGCAGAAATTTATCTTAGGATCCTAACATTTTGGAGCTAGGAAGGAATTTAGAGATCATTGAGAGTGGTGGTTCTCAGAGCATGATCCCCAGACCAGCAGCATCAGTGTCAGGTGAAAACTTGTTAGCAATGCACATTCTGGGCTGGACGCAGTCGCTTCTAGCACTGTGGGAGGCTGAGGTTGGCGGATCACTTGACCTCAGGAGTTCAAGACCAGCCTGGGCAACAATTCGTTTATCATTCATAAGACCATCACTGTGGCCTTAAGGCTATACAAAAGCCACTTAAGACTACCCAAGAAGTCACTACATTCTGTCTCCTGGTATGATTGTCTTTAAACTATCCCCAGTGGTAGACTTTCAGATTTTTAGCCAGATTTCCAATTAAAAGTAACCTAACATCTTGCTCAGTGACATATTTCAGTGATCAAAACATTGCAATAAATTGAGTTGCCCTTGTGACGATTTAAACCCTTGATCCAGAAGCCCCACATGGCGGCGCATGCCTGTAAGCTACTCAGGAGGCTGGATGGCAGGATCCCTGGAGCCCAGGAGTTTAAGGCTGCAGTGAGCTATGATCATGTCACTGCATTCCAGCCTGGATGACAGAGCAAGCCCCTGTCTCAATCAATCATTAACTAATTTACATTTAAAAAATAAACATTCAATCCATCCTCACTGGGGATGGTGGTGAGAAGCCACAACCCTCCTCCTTTGAATGTTCTGTGTATTTGAGGACCAAAATTCTCAGTTTACTCTTCTGTCTATACCATCGTTCTTTCACCAAGTTTGAAAACATAGAGTGACTTACTGTAACCTCTGGCTTGCAGAAGAACATGTTGCCAGGTAGGGTTGGTTGCTACAAGCATTGAAACATGACTCTCCTAAATAAATCAATAAATAAGATTGTTGGAAGGATACAGATGCCTCTGACTCACAGATTCTCAGTAATCAGGGTTGTGCCAGGGACCCTGGAGCAGAGGTGAGTGAACGAACAGCTTCTTCAGGTCTACTTGAACTCAGTGTCATTCGTCTTCCATCTTTGTCTCTCTGCTAATGAGTCAAAGCACTTGAGAGAGTCCACCTGGCCAAGCCTCAACATGTGTCCAGCCCTTGGTGTCCAGGGCTCTTTGCTTGCCACACTGGCCAAGACTGTGCAGAACAGGAGAGGGGTAGTTCCCAAAGAGAATGAAAGTACAGTTACCAAAAGAAGACAGAGGGGTACCAAGAGGCTGAAGATAACCCTCAAGTCACTGACCAGATACTGCACCAGGCCAGGAGCCACGTCTTCTTATCTTTGTGTACCATCCCGAAGCCCGACACATAGTGAGCCCTCGGTAAATGTATGCTCATTTGAACAAAACAAGCTGTGACCAACTGGAGAATGGGTCTTCCTGGTAAATGATTGCCACCATGAGTCCCACCGAGCCCTGAGGTACATGCTTTCCTGTGGAATAAAAAAGGCTCTCAGCATACCCTATCTACCCTTCCCTCCAGTCCTCACCCCTCGGCCCACCTTCCCTAGCCATCCACTAGCAGAGAAAGAGGGAATCTGGAGAGGTGGAGAAAAGACTTAGGCATGTAGAAGGAGGGAAGGAAAACAATCACTGGGCCAGAAAGGCTGATTTTAATCCCCTCCCATCCTCCTCAGGTTCATACAGCGCGTTAGTAGCTGAACTAGAGCGAAACCGGTCCACACCCCGCCCAGTGTTCTCTCCACGACCGTGACCTCCCATGCATTAATGCTCAGTCTTCACAACTCGTTGCTAATGTGACATGGTCACTTAGACACAGCTTTTTTTTTTTTTTGAGACAGGGTCTCGCTCTGTTGCCCAGGCTGGGGTGCAGTGGCACGATCACAGTTCACTGCAGCCTTGGCCTCCCGGGCTCAAGTGATCCTCCCACCTCAGCCTTCTGAGTAGCTGGGACTACAGGCACACACTAGCATGCCTAGCTAATTTTTTATTTTTATTTTTTTGTAGAGACAGGGTTTCACCATGTTGCCCAGGTTGGTCTCAAACTCCTGGGCTCGCGCGATCTGCCTGCCTTGGCCTCCCAATGTGCTGGGATTACAGGCATGAACCACCATGCCCCAGCCTAGACACAACTTTTAACAATGAAAGAAAACATTGGTTTCTGCTAAACAATTTAATTCTATGGGAAGCTATTTCTGTATCTAAAAACACCACGGTAACCATTACATCCAGCAATAAATACCATAATATACACTTATAGAGCAAAACTTACCAACAAGTCTTAAAGGTCTGTGTATACTTTAACCTGTACACTTTTATCCAACAACACTATTGCTAAAAATGTATCCTAATAATCACAGATATGTAAAGAAACTAAACAGATGTTCACTGCAGCATTATCTGTAATGTGGGAAACCAGAAAAAACCTACAGGTACAACAATAGGGGAGTAGTTAAATCAAAGGGAGGATTCATGCACTGCATTATCGTGCAACATCAGAGTTATTGCAGAATATTAGGCTGGGTGCGGTGACTCACACCTGTAATTCCAGCACTTTGGGAGGCCAAAGTGGGTGGATCACCTGAGGTCAGGAGTTCGAGACCAGCCTGGCCAACATGGTGAAACCCCGTCTCTACTAAAAATACAAAAATTAGCTGGGTGTCGTGACGCGCGCCTGTAGTCCTAGCTACTCAGGAAGCTGAGGCAGGAGAATCACTTGAACCCCGGAGGCGGAGGTTGCAGTGAGCCGAGATCATGCCACTGCACTCCAGCCTGGGTAACAGAGTGAGATTCCATCTCAAAAAAGAAAAAAATTTGCAGAATATTAAATTTCATGTAAACAGGTCATTATATTTACAATACATTAAGTGAAATGCAGATTACAGAATAACATGTAGCACACAGCATTTTTGCAAAAAAAAAAAAATTCGTAAAGATAGAAAAAGACTAGTACACGAAAAATATTAATAGCAGTTATCTCTAGGTAGTGAGATTATGAAGCTTTTTTTTCACTTTATTTTCTTCACTTTGTCTTCCTAAATTTTCCGCAAGTAACATTGTTAGATTTTTAGATTACAAATAACTTTAAGACAAAAATTATTTCTAATTATCCGGTAGATAAAGGAATGTCATTAACAGTGCTGTGGCTGAAAAATGTTGAATACATTTTCTACAGGAACGTTTAAAATTAGTCTGAGTATTCTAAAATTCTACCTGTTTTTCTTCTGAGTTCACTTCTTACAATCAACACTTACTGAATTACACTTAAAAAAATTGTTTTTCTTGGTTGAGCACAATGGTTCATGCCTATAATTCCAGCACTTTTGGAGGCCAAGGCAGACGGGTCACTTGAGTCCAGGAGTTTGAAGCCAGCCTGGGCAACACGGCGAAAACACATCTCTGCTAACACAAAAATTACAAAATACAAAAATTAGCCGGACGTGATGGCATGTGCCCGAGTCCCAGCTACTCAGGAGGCTGAGGTGAGAGGATCACTTGAGCCCAAGGGGTAGAGGCTGTAGTGAGCCAAGATCACGCCACTGCACTCCAGCCTGGGCACTGGAGCGAGACCCTGACTCAAAAAAAAAAAATTTTTTTTTCTACTCCAGCTTACTTCTAACATCTGGTTCTGGGTATATTTTCCTTGCGATAACTTCTCTGTGAAATCATCACCTTCTAAGACCTTATTCTCCCTGAAAAATACTTCTCTTGCTTACCCTAAAAAGTAGCACAAACATGTGACTTGGTTTGTGAAAGACAAAGCTGCCAGACATATTGAACCACTGATCTCAGAAAACTAACAGCTGGGAAACAAAATCATCCCTGCCCTATGGTAAACTCTCCTCTAGGGTCAATTAAATGACTCCCTAGAATGCTAATGCACACATATTATGTGACTGGTATCATACTGAAATCTATATTGAAAGTCATGAAGCAGGTATCTTGAGCGAAGGCTTCTAAGAATTTTCAAAAGCTGATATGCAAACAAAGTATTCAGTCATGATGATGTTACAGGCAGCGAGCACACATCCCAGTTCAAACTGGGATGAGTCGGTCCCAGTTCAGACCTGTTTCCCAGTGTAGTTATTATTAAGACCCCCTTTTTCTCACTCTCAAAAGCCCCAATGTGGATGGTAAGTTACACAGTCAACTTGATGGAATGTACATTTGCCTAGAAAGGTAAAAGGGGCATAGAAATTTCATTCATCCCTAAGAAAAACTTAGTCCTCAGGATCCTGATTCCAGATACAAGAGAATTTGAAGCACATAAAATAAAAGCACTATTTATTTATTTACCTATTTATTTATTTATTAAGTAGAGACAGGGTCTTGCTATGTTGCCCAGGCTGTTCTCCAACCACTGGGCTCAAGCAATCCTCCTGCCTCACCCTCCTAAAGTGCTGGGATTACAGGTGTTAAGCCAGGGTGCCCCGCTGAAACAAACTATTTTTAAGCGTTTAGTGGAAAGGCACAAAACGTTTTGTCGAAAATGATTAAAATCTATGTCATCATTAAATATTAATTGTACTTAATTGTAACATTTTAAGGGAAATGTTATGAATGACACTAGGCTATGATAACCTAGTTCATCTTCTTGCCATTTTTCCATATATGAAACTTCAGAACCAATCATTAGAAGATCACTAAGAAAAAAAAAATCGCCAAGACTCTTAGTGGAGATTTAATCTTCCATAAAACCAAACTCAATGCATTTTAGAACTAATGTGGCCTCTCAAAAATAATCTTATTAATGTATCATTCCAAAACCTGCTTTGATTTATCCCTGTGAAGGAAACATATGGCCTCTCTCTGGAGAGACATACACATAAGCATGTTGGCAAATGATGGTGTCACTCAAACACTCAATAGTGCCTTCTGCTGGTGCAGAAGTGTTTTTTTTTTTTTAACAAATTCGATTTGAAAATACTTTTCTTATAAACTGAAAAATAGAAGTAATCTTGTCTTTTTCATTCTTTAAGTACCAACAGGGGCAAATTTAGAGACTAACTTGTATATTTCTTCAAATTCCAAGTAGCTCATATTATCCTTGCTGGAATTCATATTTATGATAGTCAAAATGTTTAAAAAGTATTACCTATTTTGGTAAGACAATTATAAATGTTTATTGTTGGGTAAAATATACAAAATAGAGCAAGGCGTAGTGGTGCAAGCTTGTAGTCCCAGCTACTTGGGAGGCTGAAGCAGGAGGATTGCTTGAGCCTAGGAGTTCGAGTCCAGCCTGGGCAACATAGCAAGACCCTGCCTCTAGAAAAATAAGTTTTAAAAAATCCAATTCACTTAAATGTGGTTTTATTGATGGACAGTTTCTTCCCAGAAAAGCAAAAGCAGTCCTAAAATATCCATGAATCCTTGACTTGTTAATGGTTCCTACCAAAGGAATATTACCTAGTCTTTATATAGAAAATCATTTTGACATAGATGTGCATTTTCATTAAAATTTTAATATTACTATTTTAATATACTTAATGTATTGCTTCTGAAAATGTAACCTACCACTGAATTTGATCATCTATCTATATTCTCCCCACAAAAACTAAATTGACTTCCTGGTACACATTGAACATCACACACAAATGTTTAAAATACTAAATATCACACACAAATGTTTGAAATATTGACTTTATTAGGAAAACATTTGATAGTTCTATTCGGTCATATAATCAATCACCTAATTTTAAAACTATGTGGCCAGAGGACATCAATTACAATATGGATTTTTCATTCATTCAACGAATATTTGAGCACCTACAAGTGCCAGACATTGGAGGTACAGGGTAAACAGGAGGATCCTTGCTCTCACGGAGCTTACATTCTAGCAGGAGGACAATATTAATGTTTATAGGAAAATGATGAGTTTATGACAAAGGAAGTAGATAGTGTTTTACAAGAGCATAGAGTAGGGAAGCTAATCCAGCACAGGGAGGTCACAGAGACATCCCTAAGGAAGTGGAGTTTAAACTGAGAGAAGCAAGTGCTTAAACTGAAGGATGTGTTGAAGAAGAAGGGAGAGTAGAACAATTTGGGCAGAGGGAACCTTATAGACCCTAAGGTGGGAAGGTTCAAAGAACTGAAAGAGAGCTAGAACAGCTGGAGCCGTTCTCCGGTGTAAAGAGGAGTCAAAGAGATAAGATTAAAGATGTGAAGATTAAGATCTTGGTGGCATTCAGGGATTGGCACTTCTACAAGAAATCACTGAAGGGAGTAATCTGACATTACTTTTCACTTCAGGATGGCCATTCTAACTCCAGGGGGTAGACTGGACTAGGTAAGACTGGAGGCAGGTAGACCTCTTCTAAGGCCTGCGATAGTGAAAGACAAAAATAAGTGGGGAAATTCAGGGGATAGTGAAAATCAGTAGGACTTAATGAGCAAGCCAGAGGTTCCTCCACAACAACCAGTACAGATGTCCAGTAGACCTACTGGATATGCAGGCCTGCAGCTCAGGGGAGAGCTGGGTTAAGAACCGTCAAGGCAGTAATCATCTGCATTTAGATGGCGAGTGAAGCCATGACAGGGGCTGAAATGGCCCAGCAAGAATAAATCAAACCATGAGAAACACATACATTTAAGAATAAGGAGATGTGGTCAGGCGCGGTGGCTCACACCTGTAATCCCAGCACTTTGGGAGGCCGAGGCGGGTGGATCACTTGAGGTCAGTAGTTTGAGACCAGCCTGGGCAACCTAGTGAAATCCCGTCTCTGCTAAAAATACAGAACTTAGCTGGGTGTGGTGGTGCGTGCCTATAGTCCCAGCTGCTTGGGAGGCTGAGGCACAAGAATCGCTTGAACCCGGGAGGTGGAAGCTGCAGTGAGCCGAGATCACACCACCGCACTCCAGCCTGGGCAACAGAGAAACACCCTGTCTCAAAAAAAAAATAATAATAAGGAGATGTCATGGGCTCGGGGGAGGGGGAAATGGGGAGCGCTGTTGTTTGAATGGTATAGTTTCAGTTTGGGACTGAGAACAAATTCTGGAGATGAATGGTGGTGATGGCTGCACAGCAGTGTGAGGGCACTTTATGCCACTGAAGTAACAGATGCCTTTCAAAAATAAGCCCGCTAAAATATCACCAAGCATAACCAGCAAAACAATCATTTCAGTGAAAATACAACTTTATATTAATCATCTCAATAATACAGATTACAGAACTGAGTTTACAGATTACAGAACTTTTCATACTTTGTGGGTCAGAAAGGATAACCGTAAATTACTGTCTCCGCTTTATGGGTGGTAAAACTGAGCCACAGAGAAATTTCTCTAAGAAAATTTAAAAGGAATTGATGTTCATTAAATAAATATCCTCACTGATTTTTTTAAGGTAGAAAAGTACAATGCACAGTGTTAAAAAAATTACTGTAACAGCCTCATGTTCGAGAAGTCTAAAATTTTAAGGCTACTACATGTGTTAATTTTCAGTACATGTCCAACAGAAAACATCCTTTATTCCAGTTACATCCTGAAGATACCGAAGTCAGTCTTCTCTATTGGTGCGTTGAGGGCTGCACTAAAACTGAGACCCAAGACCAGTCTGGTGTCTGCTGGATCAATGATCCCATCATCCCATACCCTGACAAAAGAACAAAAAAAGAGTTATGAATTTACCACCAAACTACCATTTATACACTCTCCATGTGCAGAAATGCCAAGGAAGTTTTCCTTCAGGTAATATATGGATCTACTGATTAGCATCCATGTACCATAATCTCACAACAGAAACTACGTTCAAGACAGAGGGGGAAAACGTGGAAAAAAATGATATGACCTTCATCCCAGGCCACCACAGAATGTCATGTCAGGCTTAAGGCTTAAGGAACTACTTTTATAAGAGATCTCAAAGTAACCCCTAATTTGACAATACGTTTACTTATTTCAGGAAAAATTTTCCTATTCCTTTTCTTCCCACACAAATATATAAGCCAAGTTGGTGTATTCTGTCATTAATATGCAGAACCACATATACCCAGGTAATAACCTCAAACTTTACTGGAAAATGTATATTCCCCAACCCCCATCCAAACTCTTAAGAAACTATGAAAATTATTGAATAGGCTTCAGTACATTTTATCTTATTTATTATTATTATTATTTTTGAGATGGAGTCTCGCTCTGTCACCCAGGCTGGAGTGCAGTGCAGTGGCACGATCTCAGTTCACTGCAATCTCCGCCCTCTGGGTTCAAGCAATTCTCCTGCCTCAGCCTCCCTAGCAGCTGGTATTACAGGAGTGCGCTACCACACTTGGCTAATTTTTGTATTTGTAGAAGAGACGGGGTTTCGCCATGTTGGCCAGGCCAGTTTTGAACTCCTGACCTCAGGTGATCCGCCCACCTCAGCCTCCCAAAGTGCTGCGATTACAGGCGTGAGCCACCACACCCGGCCAGCTTCAGTACATTTTATTAATAAAATAGATACCTTCAAATGTAGGTCTTTATTTTTTGCTACAATAGGAAAAACAATAACTTTAAACTGCTTGCAGAAGAAACTTTTAAGTAGAAATTTTAGTTTCCTTCTCATTGACAACCTCAAATGTATAACGAAAAATGACTGAGAAATATTACTTTTTAAAGGTTATTAGTAGGTGGCAGTTTGCTTTTTTTATATAAACTCCCTTCGGTATCTGAACCTGGCATCAACTATTAAACCATTCTTACATTGACAGACATGAATCAAACCTTTGCTCATAAAACATTCATAATAGGGACCCTAAAGTATCAACACCCAATAAAAAGAAAGCCACTCTTGTCATCTGCAACCAGGTGAATTGATTACACTCCCTCTGAAGCCTGCAGCACAGCAAGCATGGTGATGAAGGGGCTGCTTAATAATGTTCATTAAAAAGACTGCCCCAGGTAAGAGGCACTAATGAAATGCCGGATAAAAGTTTGATTATAAAAACAACTGAGCAGAAGCAAATTGGCACGCTACATATGTAACCTATTAGGATTAAGGAAAACATTGTAGGTTTCAGTAACTGATAATAACAAGCTCTGTCTCTGAAAAGACAGATCTAGCCATGTTCAAACCTAAGCAGGCCAGGGAATTTTACTGTGAAGCTGAGATTTACTAAACCCAAGGAAGGTACCATAAACTGGCTTGGAAATCCTTTCAGCTTTGAAAGAAAGCTGCTGTCTCCATGCCACCAGCTGTTTCAACAGAAGGGTTAAACATCTACAGATCTGGCCAGGTGCAGTGGCTCATGCCTGTAATCCCAGTACTTTGGGAAGCCGAGGCGGGTGGATCACCTGAGGTTGGGAGTTCGAGACAAGCCTGACCAACATGGAGAAACCCCATCTCTATTAAAAATACAAAATTAGCCAGGCGTGGTGGCACACGCCTGTAATCCCAGCTACTCGGGAGGCTGAGGCAGGAGAATCCCTTGAACCCAGGAGGCGGAAGTTGCAGTGAGCCGAGATCATGCCATTGCACTCCAGCCTGGGCAACAAGAAACTCTGTCTCAAAAAAAAAAAAAAAAAATCTACAGATCCACAGAAAACTTTACTGTCTGTTAACATTTATTTCCAAAGATAAGTCTCTCTGGGCCATTTACTCTTCTGCCTTGAATGTAATCCATTAAAAAATAATAATAATGTTAGTATGAAAATAATAAAAGATGCAATCTTTCTCAAGAGATGATTTATCTTAGCCAGGGCTGAAAAACAAGCTAACAGCTCACACAAAATACACAATTTTTCAAACTTTAATATTTCAGCTGTCCCTGTGTATTTCAGTCAAAATCTTATGTGGAAAAAAAAAACTATAGAAAAGCTTAACAATATATATTTTATATTTCATCTCAAACCTCTTATACGGCTTTCTATTGCTTCTTTCCATTTACTGGCTACTATATGTCTGTTTACACGATGATAAAATCAGGAACATGTTTAGCTCTCAAAGACTATAAAATATTTTGTTCTTAATTAAATGAATCAAACCACCACAATAAAATATACCTGTAAATTTGTTTGTAAAAATATATATTCAGCAAAAAACCTTTAAAAATTCCCAAATATTGGCCAGCCACGATTACAGGTGGCTCACGCCTGTAATCCAAGCACTTTGGGAGGCCGAGGCAGGATCACTTGAGCTCAGGCATTCAAGACCAGCCTGGCCAACATGGTGAAACCCCATCTCTACAAAAAATACAAAAAAATTAGCCAGGTGTGGTGGCACATGTCTGTAGTCCCAGCTTTGGAGGCCGACGCAAGAGGATTGCTTGAGTCCGGGAGGCAGAGATTGCAGTGAGCTGAGATCACGTCACTGCACTCCAAACTGGGCAACAGAGTGAGACTCTGTCTTTAAAGAAAACAAAAACAAAAACACATACACACACCCAAATGGTATTATTTATCTCCTCAAACTAATTATGTTCTTGAAAATCAGTATGTTTTGTCTTTGTATCCACCAAGGAACCATTCAAATGATTGTAATGGACTCTAACTTTTGCTTTTTTTTTTTTTTTTTGAGATAGGGCCTTGTTCTGTCACCCAGGTTGGAGCACAGTGGCATGATCTCGGCTCACTGCAGCCTTGACCTCCCAGGTTCAACTGATCTGCTTGCCTCAGCCTTCTGAGTAGCTGGGACTACAGGTGCACACCATCACGCCTGGCTAATTTTTGTATATTTTTTGTAGAGACTGGGTCTCACCATGTTGCCCCGCTAGTTTCGAACTCCTGGGCTCAAGCAATCTGCCCGCCCTGGCCTCTCAAAATGCTGGGATTATAAGTGTGAGCCACTGTGCCTGGCCTGATTTTCTTTTCTCTCCCCTCTCCTCTCCAGTTTGCCTTCGCCAGCATAAATTACAACATAAGCTAATTTTACAAGATGCAGAAAGAGTTACTTTCTTTTTTCCATCTGCCCAAGGGATGAAAGGAAGACATGAAGCTTAGATTAGTCTTCGGAATGCAGAACACTAAAGTTGTTGAAGAAAGATGTGAAAGCAGGCACCAGCAGGTCTTCAGCTGGGACAGGCATGATAATTTATTACCTCATTAAGTGGTGTAAGAAAAAAACCGAGCCAACAGCGGCAATGGTCTGTGAGGTAATTATTTGGCGCCGACACACAGACCCTGGCAGTGACTAATCACCTTTCAAACGTACAAGCATACTTGTCAACAAATGCCAGTAAGTGTTCAACCAATCTCATGTTTAAAATGGGGTAAAAACAAAATGATCAAGGAGAGGGGTTTTTAAGCAAAAATTAGAACTTCTGAAGTAACACAGCCAAGCTTATAACTTATTCTCGGCTCCTAACATGGCCCACCTTGGGCTGCAGGACCCCTCCAGGCCCCAGACACCTCAACTAGGGGGAAGACAAGGGAAGCGAGAATCAGACCACTGGTGGTGAGTCCACAGTGCAGGGATGCTGGGAGGAGGGGTGGCATTTCAGCAGTAGCCATTCAGATTGTAAAGAAACAACAGTACAAAATTAAGTGTGTCCAAATGTTATTTTCCAGTTCCTATGAATGCTGGACCATCTCAACTACACAGAGCTCTGTAAAGCTGTTCCTCTGACTGCCATCTGCACCCATCAGAGAGTTAGTGATGTTCTGGCCCCCACCTTGCGCTGGAATAGTAAGGGTTTCCTTCCTCTTCAAACTTCTTAATGATGGGCTCTTTTAAAGCCGCTTCATCAGCACTGGAGAACTAAAGGAAAAGAGGCCATGAGTAAGTCAGCTTCAGTGAACAACTGGCCCTGTTTAGATCATCTCAATTCAAAAGAAACAACAGATGTCATGAATAATAATGTTACATCTAACATGTGCATAGTGATGTATAAATTACAAGTGATCATTAACATACACGCTAAGACATGAGTATCAAGTTAGTGCCCCATCCCATCTCTCCTAACAGAGACAATATCCTGAGGCTATTTCACGTAAGGTGAAAGCCCAGGGTACTGTGTATCACAGCAAGGTACAATAATAGATGTGAATTATACAACCCAACAAAAGGGCTGCATTACACTTAGCAACCTCCAGTTAAGAATGTGGAAAAGTATGAGATTCTCATTTAAAATAGCCAAAATTTAAAACTTAAGCTTAAATGTTTAAGCTTAAAGGGGTAAAATACCAACCAAATCTTGAATAACCTTTTCAGTCAAGTTCCCAGAGAACTGAGAGATATTTTCCCCTAATTAAGAATTTCACAGCCTTCCCATCAGTATTACAAGGATCAAGTGATAATTAATTCAGATGTAAAAATCTTCAGAACTTAATTTGAAACCCTGAAAAATACTTTCAACTCAAAAAGCAACTCGACAGCAGAAACAAAGACTTATTTCAAATAAACTCTACCTTCTTTTACGTAAATATGCTAATACCTTAATATCATTTTCTAGGTCACGAATTCTGAGGGAGAACCATTAACACACTGTGCTTTCCTTTCCTGTATAAAAATGAATGAATTCAAGTATCTGTATATTGAAGTAATCAAAGAACAACTACTTAATAAGAGATCACCATGCTAGGCTTCATAGAGTTTCAGACATGTCTTTGAAGTATCAGGTAGAATTTCATATCTCACCTCCCCCACCCACACACCCACACCCCAACCACTCGCACAAAAGCAAAGCTATCTGTTTCCTTTGATACTAGTAGGTACTAAAGTGAATCTGAAACCTCAATGTAAGTCTCCAGAGTTCCGAGTGCTTGGAAAAGACAACTAGGGATGTGAGGCATGGATGGATGCATTCAGGGAGGCAGTACCTCACTCCACAATCTAGGTGGAAGACCTGATGATTCCTGCACAGAGCAGACAGGGCTCCCTCCATTCCATCCCTTCCCATAATGAGACAACAGTGTACCTAAGCAACTTCAGGAACACACAACCATCATCTTCATACTTGGTGCTTACACAGGAGTTAAAAGTTGTAACTAATAAAAATTAATGCAAAATTTCAAACAATCTCCAACAGAGACACAAACAAAAGAATTCATTTTAAAAGCAGCCGCTTGCTGATCTGCCTTTCATCAAGTTTCCACTGCCCTTTCCATTTTTCTTCATTTATACACAGGATAATGTTATTCAATTCTCAATAGATGACGGAGCCCTCCCACTCAGGGTATCCTTAACAACAATCTAAAAGTAAAATAGAAAGAACAAAATTCTGCTGCTTTTGGTCATAAAATCAAAGTAGTACATCAGACTTATTTAAATCTCACTAAGTACAAATGACTAAGAATCAAACATCTTTATGCCTCAGATACTTACTGTCAGTTTCTAAAGTGTTTTCTTGGCTGGGCATGGTGGCACACACCTGTAATCCCAGCACTTTGGGAGGTGGGCAGATCACTTGAGGTCAGGAGTTTGAGAGCAGCCTGGCCAACATAGTGAAACCCTGTCTCTACTAAAAATACAAAAATTAGGCCGGGCGCGGTGGCTCAAGCCTATAATCCCAGCACTTTGGGAGGCCAAGGCGAGTGGATCACAAGGGCAGGAGATCGAGACCATCCTGGCTAACACAGTGAAACCCCATCTCTACTAAAAATACAAAAAAATTAGCCAGGCATGGTAATGGGCACCTGTAGTCCCAGCTACTCGGGAGGCTGAGGCAGAAGAATGGCGTGAACCTGGGAGGCGGAGCTTGCAGTGAGCCGAGATCGTGCCACTGCACACCAGCCTGGGCGACAAAGCGAGACTCTGTCTCAAAAATAAATAAATAAATAAATAAAAATACAAAAATTAGCCTGGCGTGGTGGCACACACCTGTAATCCCAGCTTCTCAGGAAGCTGAGGCATGAGAATTGCTTGAACCCAGGAGGTGGAGGCTGCAGTGAACCGAGATTGCGGCACTCCACTCCAGCCTGGGTGACAGAGCGAGACTCTGTCTCAAAAATTTTAAAAATAAATAAAAATAAAATAAAAAAGTGTTTTCTTGGAAATTCTGAAACAATTTTAAATGGCCACAAAGAAAGTACCCCAAATGAAATGGCTTTAAAAAGATAAAGGACAGAAATCATGTGATTTGCTGGAACAACTTCCAGGGCAGCACAGTCTAAATATGGCCAGGCAGTGTGCGCCAGGTCCCCAGCCATGAACACCAAGGGCTTCCAGGCACGCTGCTCCTTGGCTCCAGGGTGTTTATGGTGAGAGGCAAAACCAGAGAGAAACAAGAGAAAACGACACCGACCTGCTTTCCTTCCCGGGCTCTTTGGTCCTTTGTTATCGTGGCCAACACATTGGCTGCCTGCTCTCCTCCCATCACTGAGATACGAGCATTTGGCCAAATGTAGAGAAATCTTGGGCTGGGGGAAGAAAAGGAAGAATAAACAAATTAAGTCAATATACAACATAGATTTTCAGAGGCCCATGTTTGCCTTTTAAATTAGTGGTTCCTGATTCTGGCTGCACATTACAATCATCTGTAGAGCTTTCACAAATATACAAATGCCTGGAACACACCCCAGACTAGACTCCAGAGGAGGGTCCTGAGCACAGATGGGACTTCTAAGTTCTCCATGTAATTCTGGGTATAAAAGCGTTCATAATATCCTCTCATGATCTACAGTCATGTCCTTTTTTCCATTCCTGATAGTGGTTATATGTGCTGTCTCTCTTTATTTTTTAGTTTAAGCATAAGATTATCAAGTTTGTTGAACTTTCAAACCAAACAACTTTGGGCTATACTGATTCTTCTATCTGATGTCTGCTCTTCATTATGTCCTTTCTATTTGTCACGGGTTTAACGTGCTGTTCTTTGAACTTCCCACAGATGAAGGCTTAGCTCACTGACTTGCAGTCTTGCTTCTTTTCCCGTATATGCCTTTAAGGCTACATACCTTTCTCAGAGCCAGACTTTAGCTGCACTGCACAAATCTTAATGTGTGGCATTTTCATTATCAGCCATTTCAAGTATTTCTTGACTCCCATTGTAGATTTCTTCCAAATAACACCTTTGGCATTAAATTTCATTTCACCCCTCCAAATGATACAAATTACGGTATAATTGATTGAGATCTGGGAATGGCATTCTATATTTCAAATACACCTGAAATAAACTGACCATGTATTTTATACTTGAAGCATGTTTCTTTGTTTCAGAGAAAATCATGACACCTACCTATATGCTCTGCCACACATCCCATAGTTTCCGGCTCCATAGGAGCCCCCAATGATGAGGGTTATCTTAGGCACTTGGGCACAGGCCACAGCGGCCACCATCTTGGCACCATCCTTGGCAATTCCTTCAGCTTCATACTCTCTACCAACCATAAATCCTGAGAGAAAGATCAGAAAGAGAGCCTCTGGGTGATGGGATTAATATGCGGAACGCAATTCCACCAAAAGGACATCTTGTTTTACTAAACTCATCTTACTAAATGCCTCTCGCCTTAAGAAAATGTTTATATGTGAAACATACCGTTAAAAAGTTTGCTTTAAAAGGATAAAATAAAATTTTCTCTAATCACTTTCTAAATTTTCTTAAAGCAGTTCATCTGGATGCACACAGAAACCTTCAAACAATATGAGGATGCAATCTATCTTCAAGAGATGATCTTGGCTGGGTGCAGTGACTCACCCCCATAATACCAACAATTTGGGAAGCCTAAGCGGGAGGATCAGTTGAGGCCAGGTGTTTGAGACCAGCCTGGGCAACAAAGCGAGACCCTACCTCTATTTAAAAATAAATAAATAAAAATTTTAAAAAGGAGATGATGTCAAAGAAGCAGCTTGATGCTGAAAAGAATGTGACATGGCTAGTTAAGGACAAAGTGCTGTGATGAGCCTAACTATGAGGGCTTTAGCTTTCACTGACCTGGTTTTAAAACAGACTGTTCTTTCTAAAGTGATGCTTTGAAACTTTGAAGACATAAAGATGAATGTTTCATAGAGATGCTAACAGTCCCTGCCAGTGACTCAATAGCAAGGTTAAAAAAAAACTATTTTTCCATTTCAATAGAGGATCCTTCTATTTCTTCAAGCCCCTAGCTCTGTGGAGGCTGCTCTGCAACTTCACTGCCTTCCAGAACTTGGGTTCCTCTTTCTCTGCCTTATAACACTGAGTTGGGCTTCGCTTGTCTCCTTACCCCGCAAGTCTCCAGCAAAGGCATTTCTTCCATCTGTGGGCCTGCAGACTCACCTGCCTCATTGACTGCCACTATCCCTGGTTTGCCAAACTCCAGTATCTGGTCATCCAATTCAACCCAACCAGTTCCTCCAGAGCACGTGTGCCTTCTGCAGTCACCACAGGAATGGCAGCACAGCCCTTTACTTGGCACCATCTGCTTCCTGCAGCTATCCTACTCAGCTGGACCCTCAGAAAAGCTCAGAAACTCCTCAATCTCCCCAGCCTTGACTCCATTGTAACATTCCCACCATACCTACTTCAAATATCAGCTGTCTTCAAGTTCTCACCCCACCCAACCCGACCCACCATCCCTCTATTCTCTGGAGGGGATCCTGCCTTCAAAAAGAAGAGTGAGGCATCTCACTTCGCTTTCTCAAATCCTTCTTCTTCCAATCTTAAGAAAACTGCATAATCATGCTCCCCATCTTCCTTTACTCTTGAAGAAAAAGGAAAAAATCAGAGGTACTCGAAGACTGTCACTGAACCTTCTTCTCTTCTCTCAGGGGGGTTCTTATCTATTCCCACAGCTTTAAAATTACCTCCATATTCTGATGATGTCTACATTTGCATCTCTACCTAAAACACCTCTCCTGTGCTGAGACTTATTCACCTGCCCACTATATGCCTCCAGGTGAATATCCCACAGGAACCTCAAATGCAATGCTGAAAAACTAAACTCAACCCAACAGGGCCAAAACAAAACAAAACAAAAATGTAGATATCTTCAAACCACAGAGTTTTAACTGCCTGGTGGTTAACAATCCAGGAATCATTATTAAAAACAAGAACTCTGGTATAGTTAGGCTTCAGAATCCTTTCTATCTGCCCTTTTACATAAGTTACCATGCAGGACCCTCTTAGGCTGCCATTTGGATATAACTTCTCTCAACATTCATCTAACCAAATATCATGAACCTAAGTAGCTCACAGGATGAAGATGCTTTAGCACCAGTACTATTTCAAGCCCTGTTGACTGCCAAGAGCCTGACTCTTCCTTCTCAAAGAGGCTTGCATGATCCCAACAAGTACTAAGAGCCTCTCCTTCCTTTGAAGCTGAGGTAGCCTGGGATGGGGGAGGCTGTTTTCTGCTAACCAACATATCTGAGTGCCCTGTATATCTCAGACACTCTGCAACATATAATGAAGGATACCAGAGAATCAGAGAATTCACTCTTCAACCGTAACAGACCTTAAAAATCAATTTATCCACCATGTTAAGGTCATCTCTGGAGTAAAGTCCAGAGAGGTGACATATCTCACTTTGGTCATACCATTCTTTGGGGCCAAAACTCAAATCCCCAGACTTTGGTTCAGGGTATACACATACATTTTAAAATGATGTTACTTAAGTTGAATTAACTGTACAATAAAAGGGAAGACCGTAGCACGTGCCTGAAATCTTGAGGAGGAAAAGGGTCCTAGGAAAAGCATGATGCTCTCTGCAGTGATCAGATCATGCTCCTGCTGCTTTCTGGGTGTGTGGCTGTGCACACACAGGAGTAAAGGGTGGCCATGTGAATGCTGATCAGGTACATAACTCAGAAATAGCTTCACTTAGAAAATATGGATAATCAGCAAGGTGTGGTGGCTCGTGGCTCATGTCTGTAGTATCAGCACTTTGGGAGAACAAGGCGGGCAGATTGCTTGAGCTCAGGAGTTTGAGGCCAGTCTGGGCAACATGGTCTGGGTGAAACTACGTCTTACAAAAATACAAAAATTAACCAGGCATGGTGGCACATGCCTGTAGGCCCAGCTACTTGGGGGAAAGAAAATATGGATAATCTCCTCAGAATATTTAACATGCATGAAGAAAAGTGCTAACTCTTAAAGGGCCTCCAGAAAGAGCATGTCCAGTAGAACTTCCTGCTCTGATGAAGTGGTCTACATGTGTGCTGTCCAATACATGAGCCACACTGATGGTACAGCTCTGGAATCAATACAACCAAACTGATTAAGCTATTTTCTTACCAGTAATGTTTTGAAGGAACAGCAGAGGAATATTTCTTTGGCAGCATAACTGGACAAAGTGAGTACCCTATAAGCAAATAACATAAAAATCTTTTTAAAAGGGAATTAACTCTATTATCATCATGCATTCTACAAACACCACAACTTCAGCCAAAGACAAGAAAGAATACTCCCCTTTAAAATTTTTTCTCTTCTTATTAATTTTTTTTTTTTAAAGAAACATGGTCTCACTCTGTTGCCCAGGCTGGAGTACAGTGGCACAATTATAGCTCACTGCAGCCTCAAACTCCTGGGCTCAAGCAATCCTCCTGTCTCAGCCTCCTGAGTAGCTGGAACTACAGGTGTGTGCTACCACTCCTGGCTAAGAATACCCTTTGTTTGGCTAGTCTTACCTTATAGAAAGAGTAACAGTAATAGTACAGTGCTACTCCATTATCAATAGGATATGTAACTGTAGGTTTGTACTACACTAGTTTTGCACAATCACCTGTATAATCACTGGCACATGGCTCTAAGACTATTGTTGCGTCAAGGATGAGGTCAATCACTAACACTGTAAACAGCAAGTGAAACTTAAGTAACAGAAAAGAAAGAACTGATGCGAATGAGAATTGCTGAACTCTGCTATATGATAATTCTCTAGCTCTCCACTTTAGAAAAGCCAGAATATAAACCCTCCTGGGATATGAAGATGACATTTCCATTTTGATGATCATCTGAAATTCTTTAATGCATCAGGATTATAGTAAATATATCATCCTTGCCAACATTCCCCAGATAAATGGGATTTTAGATTAGATGAGTGATAGAAATCTTCTAACCTTGAGTTTAGGAAATTATTTAATGATACAAAAATACAACTATTTCTTCCCTAAAGATTGTATGAGTTAGGAAACTCTTATAAACCATTTCCTTTATGTTTTAGTCTATCTGAATTTCTCTTTACTTCTGCTGGAAATGCCTTGTCAGGTACAAAATTGCAAAGTAATTGCTCGACTTCAATATGACTACGTTTACAAGAATGAGAAAATCACATAGACCTTTGGGGCTTATTTCAACAAATGAAACGTCAGGCTGAGGCCAAACATAACTCCTCTGGGGTTTATTTGTACCAAGCTGACAAATAAAGCCAGGCAGAGTTTGTTTGGACTCACTCTGACATTTCCTCTATTGAAATAAGTATATTATATATTCATTAAAAGTCATTATTTCAGGAATATCTAATATTTTGAGAAATACTGTCTATATACTATTAAATGAAAACATGCAAAACCTCTCTATATATAGCATATCAATTTTTTAAAAAAAGGAAACTATTAAGAAAAAATAATAAAATGTTACTAAAAGCTATTTCTGGTATAATTATAAGTGATTTTTTATTTTTGTTACTTTTAATTTCTTGTTCTCATTTTATAATCAAGTTGAAGGAGTAATAATAAGTAGCAGAATACAGAAACCAATTTTATTGATAAAAAATTTCACCAAAGACAAATTCTTCCTCAATTAGGGTATGAAAGAGCTTAACTGCCTATTACCTGCATCAATAAAGAGAACTTTTACCCTGTTATTTCAAGAGAAAAAGCAATACTAAACATATTTTTTCTTAAGGAAACATTTTATTTCCTGAAGTAGTTTGGTGAATTAAAATTTTTTTAAAAGACATTTTTATCAAATAAGTATATGAATTACATTTATCCAAGTTTAGGTAAATCTGAGATGATATATGAAATCAAATAATAACTAAGCCAAAAGATATTCAAGAACTCCCTCTTTTTTCTGATGTCTTGGAGGATTGAATTAAATAATAATAATAATAAATAAAAAGAACTTCCTTTTTTAAAGTCACGGGTCCAGTAACAAAGACCCACTATTCTCATTTCCAAAAAGTAAAAATACAATAAAGTTAAAGCGATAATGGGATAGAAGAGAATAAACAGATCATGTCTCAGAACCACCTGAATCTTTGAACCATGAGACCTCTGAGTCCCTCCAGGACATGAAGCACTTTCAGGACAAGTATTCTCTATCAACTGAGAATATGTACATGTCCTCTATAGCAATTATAACTCAAGTATCTTAGGAGAATTTTCCTAAAATGAGTACATTTTTAATAGTGCTCCAGATGGTTCGTCACAGCATGTTAATGTAAACCACCATAAAAACTGTTTCAAATACTAACATACATGCACATATATACACACGCGCGCACACACACACACACACACACACACACACACACACACATGCCCGCGCACACAGTGTTCTGGTTGCTGAGGCATCTAGTTAAGCATTTTTATGCAATAAATTTTAACTCATTATTTGACCTTCAACGTTATGTTAAATTAAAACAGAAAATCTTGAAATATTTTTAACAGTACTTGCCTTTTTTGCAGATTCAGAAAAGAGAACTCCGTTGTTTCCAACGATACCTACTGGGTACCCAAATATTCGAGCAAATCCTCAAAAGAAAGTTCAAAGAAGATTTATGTCTTGTGCTTTTCCAAGGGCTTCAATTCACAAGAAAGAGGCATATTTACACATTCTTTAATATCAGATCCAAGTTTAAAATGCAAAGAGATTTTGTCTATGGTATAAAACAGCTCATGTCACAATCTTCTTGTTCCTAAGGTCCTAGACTCTGGTTTCTTTTGCTTCTAGAAAGGGTCACGATACATGTAGAGTTATCCATTTGTCTTGATTGATTTGATTAAATAATTGGCTTAGTGTATTATCCATTTATTCATTTAATATATCTGAGTGTCTAGTATGTACCAGACACTAGGGATACTATAAAAATATCATTTTTAATATCAAAATAATTATTGAAGAAAAATTAACAGATAAGAGAGAGTATCAACATACTGATAAGCCAGAAAACTGAATTTTTTTTTGAGACAAGGTCTCACTCTGTTGCCTAGGCTGGAACACAGTAGCACAGTCATGGCTCACTGCAGCCTCAAATTCTCAGGCTTCAAGTGATCCTCCCTCTTACCTCAGCCTCCTGAGTAGCTGAGACTACAGACACTCACCCCCACACCCAGCTAGTTTTTGTATTTTTTGTAGAGATGGGGTTTCGCTATGTTGCCAGGCTGGTCTGGAACTCCTGGGCTCAAGTGATCCTCCCACCTTGGCCTCCCAAAGTACTGGGATTATAGGCATGAGCCACCACGCCCAGCCTGAATCTTTAAAGATTTGTTTTTTTTTTCTTCTTTACTCTGGCTTTGTCTGGGTTTATGACTTTTTAAAAATCATCATGTTCTTATTTATCTATTTATGAGACAGGGTCTTTTTCTGTCGCCCAGGCTGGAATGCAATGGCGAGATCATGGCTCACTGCAGCCTCAACCTCCCGGGCTCAAGTGATCCTCCCACCTTGGCCTCCCAAGCAGCTGGGACTATAGGCCCCAGTAGTCACTACACCTGGCTAACTTATCATGTTTATTTAATGTGATACAATGAAACCCTGATTTGATGGCCACCTACATGTATTTCAGTCCTAAAATCCCAGCCAAAAACTTATGCAGTACATCCTAAATGGCACTGCCACTTACAGAAGCAATTCAGAAAGGGGTAAACTTCCAAAAAGTCCAGAAATCCATTCTTAGTCCTGCTTCACTGCACAAAGACATGGGAATTTAACACATCACTCACTGGAAAGATGCTGCCCCTGCAAATGCGCAACCCTGTTAACTACTTAGATTCAACCCACACTAGGCCCCACTTAGGGATCTCCAGGCACAGACAGGATGCGCTGAGTAGGGAACATGTCCCCACACTACTAGGGACACCCATAGAGGGACGGTCTTCACCAACTGCCTGATCAAACCTGAGTTACAAACGGGAAAGCACAGTGTCCAAGAAACGACTAGAGGCTACACATGGTAAGTGCTGAGGCAGGAGGAAACCCTGAGGAACTTCCAGAGACATTTGAGAACCAGAAAAATCTGTCCTTCCCTCTCACCTCCTCACCCTTTATGCCTCCCACCTTCTCATTCCTCCCATCCTTCTTATCCGCCACCCCCACCCCCAACTCCCACCACCAGCCTCTCATTCCCTTCTTCTCCTTCTCACTCCCCTTCTCTGTCCCTAAATGTATTTGAACTCCAGTACAGTCAAGAGATGGAAGAAACCAGGTTGTGTACTCTAGGGGATAAGAGTGCCACAGGGCTTTTAGCAAGTAGGAGGCAAATCCATAAAAGCAGATGACAAAGACAGCCCATCCATCTTTACAGAAAGCAGAAATGGCTTTGACTTGTTTTAAACTGCTACACAATGACTGTTACATTCTGAACAATTTGGTGACAAATCCTGTCTATATATCAAACAAAAAGCTTTTAATCACTTAAACACCTAAGTACAAAAACATAAATTCTACTCCCAGTGTGAACCCTTCTTTTGTTCACAAATCAAACTAGGACAAAGTACTGTGATTTATCCTTAAGCCTCAATGTATATTTGCAATTTGGATTTCTGCAGCTAGTTTTTTTCCTACTCTGGTATTACCTTTGACTAACTACTATATTTTCAAGTTTTTTATGAACAAGTAAAATTCACAAAATTTGTTCTTCCATTTGTCCCAAATAGATTATTATGGGTCTAGCATCTATCTCAAAAACTCTTCTTCAAAGGCCTATAAACTAAACAGTTTAGATTTAAAAAATTAACTTTTATAAACATCCTTATTTTGTTTTTCCTGACGTGATATACTGAATTCTCAATCTAGTGTCTGCATGAATCAGCTTAAGACCTACACAGAGGCTGTGAGAAGGTTTAACTCACTCTATATCCTTCTGGGAAGCTAAACACAATATAAAACTTCCTCGTTGAATTGGACAGTAAAGAACAAAGGAAACAGTGCTGAAACTTTCAAAATAATTATTGTTATCCAGAAAAACAAAAAGAACTACAAGTATTTTCTACTAATTTTACTATAAGAACCTTTTTATACAACTAATGTCACAAAGTCACAGATAGGGACCCACACCACAGCATCTAGCTATTAACATTTTAAACTATTTGGATCCATGAAGCCATTAAGCTACAAATTATGTTTATAAAGCAGTTCCTTTTAAAAGTGGCTCACACATTTGTAGTGCTCTCAACAACAAAGCCCATGTCAAGTGTATCAAAGTCTTGAAACAAGAGATTCCTGATTTTCAAAGCAGCAGAAAATGTTCGTATTTTCAATTCTTCACCTTTATACCTGTAACTAATGTGTCTCCATAAAAGGCTTTGAACTCAGTGAATCTGCTTCCATCCACGATTCTAGCAATGACCTAAGAGGAAAAACAACAATGGCCTTGAGAAATTATATTGCAAAAGAATTTTTGTATTAAAGTTACTTATAGGAAAACAATTCACAGTGAAGTTGTCACTTTCACAAAATTTCACACTACACAGAAAATCTCACTAGAATTTCATTTGACATGCCTGGTTAATGCCCTGAAGTCATTCTGGGTTCTGATTTTATACTTCACTATACAAGCAACAGCACCATGCTGCATGCAAGAAAAGCAGGAAAGGCTCCAAGGGCTGGTTGCTAGACTTAGAGCTTCAAGGACTGTTCGAATGTACCGGCAGAGGTTCAGGGATGCAATGAGAAAGCTGGGTAGAGACAGGGCTCAGAGTCAAAAGACACAGGCTCCAATCTAAGGTATCAAGTATGACTGGTATGCCCTGGAGTAAGTCACTTCACCCCTCTGAGTCTCAGTTCTCACTTCTGGAATGATGGAACAGAAGAGCTGTGAAGATATGATCTACTTGTAAGGAAGTAGGAACCTACAAAAATCATGCTGACATGAAAAGCCAGCTCTGACTCCCAGCTCTCCGACTGAGAAACTAGAAAATTCTTTAAGCTTCAGTTTCCTCATCTGTTAAAAAAAAAAAAAAAAAAAAATGTAAAAAGTGCTAACTATTCCTTTCAGCAAGAAATAATAAATTAGAAAAAAAAATAAAAGGATAAACAGCACTATCAGTTAACAGGGTAGAAAAAAGAAAAATAAAAAAGTAAAAAATAAAAATAAAGTGCTAACTAAAGCATACTGTCAGGCTCTCATTAAAGTGTAGCTATCACTATTATTAAGCACTTAATAAAGACTCATTGATTCTGAATCTGGTATACTTGAAGGATCATCCACATATGTATAAAGGAGTGGAAATTACTAAATAGTTTATCCCTGGGGCTTATCATTATATATCAGGACTACTGTAAGGAGTTCTAAACAGGAAGCATATTTTCAATTTCAGAAACTATTTTAGATGATACATACTATTTTTCTACATAGTTTGCACTTCGCTTTTTCTGTCTGCCACATCAATCAAAATCTTGTTTTGTATGATGCAAAGGCTGAAAACTGAGTGAATGCTTCCCAACATCTTTCTCACCATCAAGTAAAAGTTTACTCTGAATTATTTTTTACTTCTTTTCCTAAAAAATCCAATAATACAATGGGAATGTAACAGTTATCTGTTTTGGGTGCTATATACCTGTAAAAATTGTACCTTTAACAAGCAATCAACACGTAACAACTATCATTCTTCCACACAGAGATACGGCTGCTCAAAGGGCACAGCAATTTAGGACCATTTAGTGAAAAACTATGTTGTATTTGCATTACAATTAACACCACCAGGCCACATAAAATACATTCACTTATCTTCACAAAAAATCCATAATGTCGAGAAAGCAAAAACAGCCTTGTTGCTGATATGGAGAAGGTTTGAGTAGTCTGGATAGAAAATCAAGCCAGGCACAACATTCCCTTTAATCCAGAGCAAGGTCTTAACTCTCTTCAGTTCCCTGAAGGCTTGGATAGGTGAAGTCGCAGAAGAAAAATTTGAAGCTAGCAGAGATTGGTTCATGAGGTTTAAAAAAAAAAAAGCCATTTGTACCACAAAAGTATAAGGTGAGGCAGCAAGTGCTGATGTATTATAGAAGCTACAGCAAGTTATCCAGAAGATCTAGCTAAGATCATTGATGAAGGTGGCTACATTAAACAACAGATTTTCAGTGTAGATGAAACAGCCTTCTGGTGGAAGAAGATGCCACCTAGGACTTTCATAGCTGGGGAGAGGTTAGTGCACGTCGTCTGAGGACAGGCTTACTCTCTCGTTAAAGGCTAATGCAGCTGGTGACTTTAAGTTGCAGAATTATCCTAAATCTACTCTGCCTGTGCTCTATAAATGTAACAGCAAACCCTGGATGACAGCATACGTATTTGTGGCATGGTTTAATGAATTTTTAAGGCCACTGTTGAGACCTACTACTCAGAAAAAAAGATTTCTTTCAAAATATTACTGCTCACTAACAATATACCTGGTCACTCAAGACTCTGATAGAGATGCACAAAGAGATGAGTGTTCTTTTCATGCCTGCTGTTATAACATCCACTCTGTAGCCCACGGAGCAAGGAGTCATTTTTACTTTTAAGTCTTATTATTTAAGAAATACATTTCCTGGGCCGGGCGTGGTGGCTCACACCTGTATTCTCAGCACTTTGGGAGGCCAAGACGGGTGGATCACCTGAGGTCAGGAGTTCAAGACCAGCCTGACCAATATGGTAAAACCCTGTCTCTACTAAAAATACAAAAATTAGCTGGGAATGGTGGCATGCACCTGTAATCCCAGCTACTTGGGAGGCTGAGGCAGGAGAATTGCTTGAACCTGGAAGATAGAGGTTGCAGTGAGCCAAGATTGCGCCACTGCATTCCAGCCTGGGCGACAGAGCGAGACTCCGTCTCAAAAAAAAAGAAATACATTTCCTCAGGCTATAGCTGCCATAGATAGTGATTCCTCTGACAGATCTGGGCAAAGTAAATCGAAAACCTTTTGGAAAGGATTCACCATTCTAGATGCCATTGAGAATATTCACGATTCATGCGAGGAGGTCAAAATATCAACATTAAGGATATTTAATTAAATTAAAGATACTGGAAGAAGTTGATTCCAACCCTCATGGGTAACTTTGAGGGGTTCAAGATTTCAATGGATGAAGTCACTTCAGATGTGGTGGAGATAACTAGAGTTAGAAGTGGAGTCTGAAGATGTAACTGAACTGCTGCAATTTCATGTTCAAACTTGAACAGATGAGGAGCTGCTTCTTATGAATGAGCAAAAAAAGAAGTTTCTTGAGATAGAATGTACTCCTGGTGAAGATGCTACAAACACTGTGAAATGACAATTACGGATATAGAGTATTACATAAATTTAGTTAATAAAGCAGTAGTCAGGTTTGAGAGGACTGACTCATTTTGAAAGTTCTACCCTGGGCCAGGCGCGGTGGGTGATGCCTGTAATCCCAGCACTTTGGGAGGCCGAGGCGGGCAGATCATGAAGTCCGGAGATCAAGACTATCCTGGCTAATACGGTGAAACCCCGTCTCTACTAAAAATACAAAAAATTAGCCAGGCGCAGTGGCGGGCACCTGTAGTCCCTGCTACTCAGGAGGCAGGAGAATGGCATGAACCCAGGAGGCTGAGCTTGCAGTGAGCTGAGATCGCGCCACTGCACTCCAGCCTGGGTGACAGAGTGAGACTCAGTCTGAAAAAAAACAAAGTTCTACCCTGGATCAAATGCTAGCAAACAGTATTGCATACTACAGAGAATATTTCATAAAAGCAAGAGTCAGTCAGTGTGGCAGACTTCATTGTTGTCTTCTTTTAAGAAATTGCCACAGCCACCCCAACCTTCAGCAACCTCTACCCTGATTAGTTGGCTGTCATTAGCATCAAGGCAAGACCCTCCACCAGCAAAAGATGATTCACTGAAGGTTCAGATGATTGTTAGCATTTTTAAAAGCAATAAGGTATTTTTAAATTAATGTATGTACTTTTTAAAGGCAAGGTGCTCCTGCACACTGAACAGACTACAATATAGTATAAATATAACTTTTATATGCTCTGGAAAACCAAAAAGTTCATGTGACTCACTTTATTGTGATATTAACTTTATTGCAGTGATCTGGAACTGAACCCACAATGTATCTGAGGTGTGCCTGTGCTTTAAAATGTATTTCACACACAAATGACACAAGTTCTAACAATTGTTGACTCTATGAGGTTCATATACAGGTGATCATTGTATTATTCTTTGAACATCTCAGCATATTTGAAAATTTCTTAGGAAGAAGGGGGGAAATGTTAAAATTTCCTAGACTTATACATAGAATAATGTATCTTTAAGCTGAACTTAAAAGCTATAACTTTAATACATTTTTTTTAAAAGAATGTATTAATTGGCCAGGTGTGGTGGCTCACATCTGTAATCCCAGCACTTCGGAAGGCTGAGGTGGGCGGATCACCTAAGGTCAGGAGTTCGAGAAAAGCCAGACCAACATGGTGAAACCCCGCCTCTACTAAAAATACAAAAATTAGCCAGGTATGGTGGCGGGTGCCTGTAATCCCAGCTACTCGGGAGGCTGAGGCAGGAGAATCGCTTGAACCTGGGAAGCAGTGGTTGCAGTGGTTACACGAAAAAGGGTGAATTCTCAGCCAACCAGAGAACTTGGCTACCTGGAACAACTCATTTTTCTCTTTTATTTATTTGTTTATTTTTATCTTTATTTATTTATTTATTTATTTGAGACAGAGTCTCACTCTGTCACCCAGGCTGGAGTGCAGTAGTGCAATCTCGGTTCACTGCAACCTCTGCTCCCAGGTTCAAGCGATTCTCTTGTTTCGGCCTCCCGAGTAGCTGGGATTACAGGCATGTGCTACCACGCCCGGCTAATTTTTGTATGTTTAGTAGAGATGGGGTTTCACCATGTTAGCCAGCTGATCTCCTAGACTCAAGGGATCTGCCTGCCTCCACTTCCCAAAGTGCTGGGATTACAGGCATGAACCACTGCGCCTGGCCCAACACATTTTTCAAGTATGTCAGAGTTTAAGTACCATTTTTTCCTGTGCTTATAATTAATTAAAAGTTAAACTAAAAACCTCATTTAAAAATTTACAATTAACTAAGTCACGTTTGCTAAAGTGAAGTATCACTTGAAGCTCAATAAAATCCAGGATTTAAGACCCACTAGCAATGCTGGGGTATTGCCTAAATAAATCCATACAACAGAACATTATATCCATCAATGCATTCAGAAAATAGTTACTGACTACTTACCATGTTGCCAAGTACTATTATAGGAATTAAGATCTAGCCGTAGAAAATATTTCATGAAGAATTTCTAAAGACATGGGAAAATGTTTATAATTTAAACTAGAAAAAGTAAAACAAAAAAATATACGTATAGACTATCTCAACTACATAAAAATGTGCGTATATACACATTAACCTAAAACATCCAAATATTAGCCACCTTCTCTAGAGGGTGGAATTATATGCAATTTAATTTTTTTCTTTTCTGTATTTTCTATATTTTTCACAACTAATATATAATATTTTATAGTCAAGGGGAAAATATAATTTGAAATATTAAAACTTCCAGTACAGAATTTGATATTAAGATAATTTCCTAATTTAAAAACTACTCTGCCAACTATGGATACTGAACAAAATAAAAGACTATATGCTCTAAACCCTAAAAGTTGTCCATCTAAATTACAGAACACTATGTCGACAATGTGTAACCATAGCAACATTTTCAACTGTAATCAGGTCTAATCATTGCAAATGTCATATTGATCTAAAAGGGTATGTTTTTTCTTCCAACAACTTACTGACATTTCACCCATTTCCCAAAATAAGAACAATGAAAAGAAATAGCTGACAATTGTTAAGTTGCCTTACATCATTCATAATGTGCACAGGACATGGAGTCTTACTTATGACCAAATCACACTTTTTGCGCAATGAAAACTTTCCAATCATTGAGGTCCCCCACTCCCCTCTTTCAGTATTTACTCTGTGCCAATGATATCCACAGTATGGAAAGGTATCATTGCCACATATGTCACTCCTTACTGAGATCCACATCTATTTCTAGGCATGAACATATCTTAACAAACTTTAGCTTTGCAAATAGATACACATACAAAGAGACTCACAGCTGGTCATAAAGCTCACAGTTCCACTTTCACATACCTCTCGGACATCAAAGCTCCTCTTAAGGTTAGCACCAACTATTCCATACAATTCATCAGCAGGAAATAAAGGCTCTTCAGAAGGTTCAATGGTGACCTGCAGAAATATAGATCATGTTAACCTGTTTAAAGACATGATTTCAAGGTGCAGTGAGTCAAAATGCATTTCAGGAAAATAAAAGATATAAGAACATATCGTACTCACATCCAATTTCTTCTGATAATTTAGATTCCTCACAACCTTCCTAGTTAAGTGAAGGGCATGATGATCATCCAAAGCCCAGTGGTCACTTACTCCAGACTTTCTACAGAATAAGCAAACTAAACTTGTCAGAACAGGGAAAAGGAAAATAATTAAATATCTCAGGTCCCAAGTATCTTCTCTCATCTAAAGATGACAGCACTTTTACTTCTAAAACACTTAAAAAATTTGTCATCTTTAATAAATGTCATCTTAAGTAGTCCTTTTAAGAACTCTGGCAAAACTGTATTCCCTTTGTTTTACAAACAGGAAAAGCTGAAGTACGCATAAGTTAAGTACCTTCACCTAAGACCACAAGTAGCTACATAAGAACCCCCGCCTTCTATTTTCTAACCTTAACCTTCCTCTGCTAGACCAAGGGGCCTTGCTGACAAAGGCTTCTATTAAGTACTCATCCCCTGTACCGTAAGCAGAATTGCGTGTGATGAAGGCCAACCACAGACGGCACACTTTCATGATGTAGTTGGTTACGGCATAAACTGTGTACGTAACTGAGCTCCTAATGGAGATGCCAATTCTGGCCTCTCATTTCTGAGAGAACTCTGAGCCCCCTCCCTACAAAGTTACACTGACAGTAAGCCATCACAGGCAACAAATGAAAAGGCTTGAATACATTGGCCCTTGGATTATGGGTAAAAATCGGAACTAGTAAAACGGTTCTGTGGCAGGGGCCATGGAAGTTCCTGTTCAATTTCAAGTGCAGTGAATGAAGTACGGGCTTGCTCTGGTTATTAGTCCTGTCCCAATTAGATGGCCTGTTATTTCAATAGTAGATAAATGTAGATAAACTATGACTTTCTAATAAAGTATTTAAAACTCTGTAAAGTCAGTCAAAAATACATACCTGAAAAAAATAATTTGTTCATTTTATGAGTAAGGACTAAGCTGCTGCAATCTAAATTTTTATGGCTTGCCTGGGAAAACACCAAACTCCTTGGGAGACATATCTTAGAGCTAGGCTCTCAGTGATTTCATGACACTCTACTTTAGGACTGGGAGTTCCTGAGTAAAAGCAGAGACCACGTTTACTCTTTTTCATAGCCCACAGATGCCTCACAAATGGTAGATCTTTTTCAGTTTCTTTAATTTAATACAACATTTTATCATGTTATGACTGACCATATATTTTAAATGCTTCATACATAATACCAGTTATAAATGCTGACTTATAACTACACTGTCAGAAGTCAAATAGAAGCAGAAGGAACAGCTTCTAAATCAGTAAATATTTAAAATAAAATGCTTTTTTATGAAAACTGTCTAGTATTTACCAAAACAGCAGGAAAGGAAAACCTTCAATGATACACTGTATATATAAGTCTTTGTGTCAAATTAGCTCTTAAGGATGACTTAAGAGAGGTATAAAGATGCATTTGAGAGAACACAGAGCCACTTGTGACTAATAAATTTCATGGTACTTTCCAAAAAAAAAAATTCATCACCCCCAATCATTTCCTCACAATTTTAAACAGGTTATTATGAATAACAGTAATAGAGTTATTACTGTTATATGTAGTAGATGCTGTGTTATGAGGCAGGCACTATTCACAATTTTCACTTTATCTATGAGGAAATGAGACTCAGATAGGGTAAGCAGTTTGTCTAAGTCCCAAGGGGAATAGGGGAGGCAAACGGAAGTTAAATTCCAGAATCTACACCCTTAACATAATATATTGCCTACAGCTTTACTTTTTTTAAATAGTCAAACTGCTTAAAAATTTAGTCCAGGTGCAGTGGCTCACTCCTGTAATCCCAGCACTTCGGAAGGGCAAGGCAGGAGGACTGCTTGAGGCAAGGAGTTTTAAACCAACCTGAGCAATACAGTGAGACACCTGTTTCTACAAAAAATAAAAATATATATATATATATATATATATATATATATATATATATAAAACTGAAAAAAAAACCCTCCTCCTCAATTGTTTCCCAATTACTCCTAAAAAAAAAAAGTCTAAAACCTTTATTGAGCAACTATGATGACAAACAAGAAAATAATCATAATGGCAACCAACATTTATAGCTAACTTATCAAAAGCAGGTATAGTTTCATTCTAAAGCAATCCACATGTATTGTATCTCATTGACTTCTGACAACATTCTAGGAGGTAGAGGGTCTTCTTACCCCTGCACTCTAACCTAACATGGTCAGGCCAACAATGTGACGAAGCCAGCTCACAGCTAACTCACAAGAGCCAACTACGTGCATCTGTGTCTGATTCCACATAGAGGCATCATGTTGGCAGCCTGAAATCAGCCATGGTGGGATCACTCATACCACAGAAATTGGCAAATGCCACAGATCGGGGCATTTTTTCCTCCCCAGAGAACCAGTTACTAAACATTTAACTGTACACCCCAGGGCAGACCCACCTCCTCTATGCTCTTCCCTCTTCTCCTTTGTAAGCCTTATCGCGTATCAGCCACATTTACATAATTTTGTGCAATTACTTGCAATTGCCCACCTCCCTGACTAGAATATAAGGTCCTCGAAGTCAAAGATAGTATCTACCTCTTACCTCAGGCACCCAGAACAGTGCCTGCTACATAACAGGTGCCCAATGAATGTTTGTCAAATAAATAAGAAACCTGTCTCTCCAGTCCTTCTTGGCTGATGCTCTAGCTTGGAAATGCAACTCTACAGTTCAAAGAATTGAACATTAAACCAGCAGATCAAGAACAAATAAACTGTGGTGTGGTCTGGCAAGTTTAGCACTGGAAACAAATACGTAAAACTTCTTTTAAACAAACAAACAAAATGACACTCAATCCCGGAAAGAAACAACCATTTCTGTTTCACCTGCAATGAAGATCAGCACCTCCAAGATCCTCAGCAGATACTTCTTCCCCAGTTGCCGCTTTAACCTACAACAAGGATAAAAATCATCAGTGAAATCGGTCCATCAGACATATAAAAATGCTTCCCCAACATGCACAACTCCTCACCTGACTATACCTGTACTTTTTCTTCCATAGAACTAAAGAACACTGTGCTTTCTCATTCATGCACCTAGGAAACCTGGAGACTATTATCTTTACTCTTACAGGTGAAAAATCTAAGCCCAGAGTCACAAAGAACTTGCTTACAGTCCATAGCAAGCAATGGAGTCTCATTTGAGCCCACACGTTTCCAGCTTGAAAGACCTGGCCGGGCGCGGTGGCTCACGCCTGTAATCCCAGCACTTTGGGAGGCCGAGGCGGGTGGATCATGAGGTCAGGAGATCGAGACCATGCTGGCTAACAAGGTGAAACCCCGTCTCTACTAAAAATACAAAAAATTAGCTGGGCGCGGTGGCGGGCGCCTGTAGTCCCAGCTACTCGGGAGGCTGAGGCAGGAGAATGGCGTGAACCCGGGAAGCGGAGCTTGCAGTGAGCCGAGATTGCGCCACTGCAGTCCGGCCTGGGCGACAGAGCGAGACTCCGTCTCAAAAAAAAAAAAAAAAAAAAGAAGAAAGACCTGAAAGGCCATCCTCTTTCCCTATGTCATGCTGCCCTGACACATGTGGTCAAGACTTTGTGTCTGTGTGTGTGTTCCTCCCACTGCCTGGGATCTCTTCTTCTCACCTACCTGACGAATTCCCACTTACCCTTCAAGTCCCACCTCAAGTTGCCTCCTCTACACAGCTTTCCTGACCCGCCCAGGCCTTCTCCATGGTATTAATAGAGGACTGCCTGCCTATCCACGGTCCAAGGGCATTGCACTTACACCTCCAACACGGCATGTGTCAGAATGTAGTTCAGTAATGTGCATGTTATGTCTGTCATCTCCTCTATGCTGTGAATTCCTTGGTGGCAGGAACTGTGATTTATTCATCTTTGAATACTCAATAACATGCTGAAAAATTCCATTTACTATCACAAACTCTGCATAGGAAAGAGAGGTAGGAAAAAAATCTCCAAGATTACCTAAACCTAAGATCTAGCAGAATGTGGCCAAAAAGAAACAAACTCCAGTAATAAATTAAGAATAACTTAATTATAGCCAGAGAAATTCTACCAGGAAAAAGAAAGAAAAATAATTTAAGGCTAAATGCCAATCCAACCCCTTAGGAATTATTTATTGATTCCTATTTCTTTGAAGAAAAAGAAACAAATTAATCAACTCAAATAAGAAAAGCTTTTATTAGAATAATGAACATTAATCTAAAATATAGCACAGAGAGGTTGAAGGTAAAGAAAAAGTCTTTCTTGAGGGGAGCCCTGAAACAAAAAGAAAAAAGAAAAGAAAATACAGCATAGAAACAACTTATTACTCTCTACATCAAAAGCTTTGTCTTAAATATCCTTCTGCAGAGAGAGTTAGTTAAAATTTTCACCTCCAATTATTCCACCCCCAGAACTAAATTCTTGGTTCTTTTCCTTCCAAAACATTTAGTGTAAAATAACATTCAGTCCAGACAATAACAAATTATAAGAGGTGTCTGGATATTTAAAGTTGCAAAAAGGAATAAACAACAGATAAATTATATTTATTTTCAGGGATCTGACTAATATCAACCAAAAAAAAAAATAAGAATTTGTCATCAGTTAATATTTATTGAACACCCACAACGTTTGATAGTGTGATAGGTGCAAAGATGATAGAAGTCAAAGAGAAAATTAAAACAGCTCATTTGACTAAATGACAAGTTCAAAAGATAAACAAAAGACAGGAGAACAAAAAGCGCCTTCAAAAACTTGTCTTACTATCTGTTTTTTTCAACTACTCTAAGCTACTAAAAGCTACAGCACTACACCCCACACTACGTGCAAACCCTTCAAAGCCCTTTCTCAACATTCGGTCAAGCGTGCGTCAGAATTTAGAATTCTCTAAAGGATGAGGCTGCTGCTACTGCCTTTTTCTCCCTGTGAACATGGTCTTTCAAAGGTGGATTGCTGGATGGGGTCCAGTTCTCCAACAGAACTTCAGGCTTCCCTGGCTGCCAAGTGGCTTCTTTATAAGGTACAAGTTAACTGAATGGACATTGTAACTACTGACCCTTAGACAAAATCTTCTCTCTAAAACCCTTCGCATTATTCCACTATTATGATCTGCCTGTATTTCCAAAAAGATGTTTTCAAATTGTAGTCATATCTTTACTCATTTTCTAGTCAAAAAATAAACAAGAATGGCCCATGAAAGTTTGTACCTTTTACTATACAAAGGTAAATTTTGAGTGCATTTTCCTCTCATTAACAAATGACAGCTATCACATACAAGAGATAAATTAAAATAATAATAGTAATAATAATAATAATAATAATAATAATGGCTGCAGGCTTTTAAAATAATGCCTTAAGACTTTTACATTTGAAATGGCAGCCCTTCAGGCCTACCTGATCTTCAGTAAAAGTTATTAAAAATTAACACCCTCTTTTGGGAAATATACTTATTTTACATCAAAACATAAGCTCTATTTAACATATTCTTTCTAATGAATTTGTATTAGTATTCCATAACCAAAGATGATTCTTGGACAAATTTTTGAAGCAACAAACTTTTTGGAATAGAATTCACATACCATAAAATTCACTATTTTAAAGCATACAATTCAGTGGCTTTTAGTACATTCACAAAGTGCACAAAGTGTGCAACCATCACCACTACCCAATTCCAGAAAATTTCATCACTCCCAGAAGAAACCCCATCCTCATTAGCGGTCACTCCCATTCCACCCTCCTCCTAGTCCCTGGCAACAACTAATCTACTTTCTGCCTCCATGAATTTGCCTATTCTCAATATTTCATAGAAGTAAAATCATTTATTTGTCCTTTTCTGTTTCTTTCTTTCTTTTTTTTTTTTGAGATGGAGTCTCGCTCTGTTGCCCAGGCTGGAGTGCAGTAGCGCAATCTCAACCCACTGCAACCTCCGCCTCCCAGTAAAGCAATTCCCCTGCCTCAGCCTCCAGAGTAGCTGGGATTACAGGTGCACACCACCATGCCTGGCTAATTTCTGTATTTTCAGGAGACATGGGGTTTCACTATGTTGGCCAGGCTGGTCTCGAGTTCCTGATCTCAAGTGATCCACCCACCTTGGCCTCCCAAAGCGCTGGGATTACAGGCATTAGCCACTGTACCCAGTCTCAGGGTCAAAAAAATCAAAGGTCTTTCTTCTACCCTGTTTCCTCTCCTCTACATTTTAAGCAGTATTTTCGTATCTTTTCTAGAACTTCTTTATGCATATAGAAGTATACAAATGTATATTTCTCTCCATTTTACACAAAAGTTAATACACTGTAGGAATCTTGCTGCTTTCTCTTAACAGCTTATTAACTTGTTATTGACCTTGAGTCAAACAATTGTATAGCTGAGGTAAAAGAAAAAATAAGTAAAAGTTTTTTTCTGCCAAGACCATTCAATGGGGAAAGGAGAGTCCTTTCAACTAATGATGCTGGAACAACTGCATATCCACATATAGAGCAATGCTGGAGCCCTTCCTTATCCCACACCCAAAAACTAACTCAAAATGGATCACAGACCCAAATGCAAGAGCTAAAATTATAAGACTCTCAGAAGAAAACAGAGGAGTAAATCTTCATGACCTTGGGTTAGGCAAAGGCTTCTTGGATAAGACACCAAAAGCACAAGAAACCAAAGGAAAAAATGCATAAACTGGATGTGATCAAAATTTAAAACTTTTGTGCTTCAAAGGAAGACATCACTAAGAAAGTAAAAAAGACAACCTACAGAATGAGCAAAAATATTTGCAAATCTAATAAGGGACTTGTATTCAGAACACATATAGAATTCTTACAACTAAATAAAAAGACAAATAGCCCAATTTAAAAATGAGAAAGAATCTGAATAGACATGTCTCCAAAGAAGACATACAAATGGCCAACAGGCACATGAAAAGATGCCTTGGCCAGGTGCAGTGGCTCATGCCTGTAATCCCAGCACTTTGGGAGGCTGAGGCAGGCATACCACCTGAGGTCAGGAGTTCAAAACCAGCCTGGCCAACATGGTGAAACCCTGTCTCTACTAAAAATACAAAAATTAGCCGGGAGTGGTGGCGTGCACCTGTAATCCCAGCTACTTGGGAGGCTGAGGCAGGAGAATCACTTGAACCTGGGAGGTGGAGGTTGCAGTGAGCCAAGATCACACCACTGCACTCCAGCCTGGGCAACAGTGTGAGACTCTGCCTCAATAAAAAATAAAAATTAAAAAGTTAAAAAAAAAAAGCCTCAACATCACTAGTCACTAGGGAAATGCAAATCAAAACCAAAATGAGGTACTACCTCACACCCCCAAAGATGGCTGTCATCAGACAAACATACAATTACAAGTGTTGACAAGAATGTGGAACAATCAGAACCCTCACATGCTGCTGGTAGAAATGTAAAACATGTATTGGATAGATTAGAAGTTTTTCAAAATGCTAAACACAGCTACCACATGATCCAGCAATTCTACTCATAGGTACATATCCAACAGAAATAAAAACATTTCCATGCAAAAACCTATACATTCAAAGCGCCGTTATTCATAATACCCAAAAGCAGAAGCAACCTAAATGCCCATCAACTGATGAATGGATAGCTAGAACACAGCATAACCATACAATGGAATATTATTCAGCCATAAAAAGGAATGAAGTGATTCCTCAAAAAGTAAACATAGAATTCCATATGATCCAACAATTTCACTTCCAGGTATATACCCAAAAAAATAAAAGCAGGAACTTGAATAGAAATTTGTACACCCATGTTCATAGCAGCATTATTCATAATAGCCTGAGAGTGGAAGCAACCCAAATATCGATTGATGGATGAATGAATAAACAAAATACAGTGTATACATACAATGGAACATTATTTAGCCTTAACACTGAAGGGCACTCTGACATCTGCTACAATATAGAAGAACCATGAAGACGTTTTGCTAAGTGAAATACGTCTATCACAAAAGGACAGATATTATATGATTCCACTGACATGTGAGATACCTAGAATAGTCAAATTCATAAGGACAGAAAGTAGAATGGTGGTGCCGAGGTGGCAGAGGTGACGGAAATAGGGAGAATTTCAGTTGGGGAGGATGAAAATGTTCTCGAGATAGATGGTAGTGATGGTTGCACAACAATATGAACATACTAAACGTCACCAAGCTGTACTGAAAAACGGTTACAACAGTAAGTTTTATGTTATGCATATTTTATCACAATATTTTTTAAAACATCAAAAAATAGTTTAAATGGTGTATTTTATGTTCTGCATACTTAATTTCCATCGACCAACGTTCTTATGTTCTTACCAAGGGGGGTCCTGCCAAGAAAATGGTACCCTGCTTGCGTACAATGATGTTTTCATCAGCCATGGCAGGCACATAGGCTCCTCCTGCGGTGCAGGAGCCCATGACCACTGCGATCTGGAATCCAAGCACACGACAAACACATGAGATGCAGCTCATGCAGTGACTTCTATAGTGTTTGATCCAGAATCCCACAAACACTGCAGTGACCAGGGGATATTACTGGTTGGTCCCTGAACATCATTTTAAAAACAAAGTCCTCTAAATGTTTGAAATAGTTTTCTGACTTCTTGTATCAAAACATTTTGAAGGGCTTATGTCTCACTTTTACAAAACTTATGGACAATCTCCCTGTCAGAGAGAAGACTGGCCTGATAGACTACTGGCCTGAAAAACTAATGGAGAGAAGAAATCCACAATATACCTATAATTTTGCAAAACTGTATTAAAAGGATGACTTTTATGTCTAATAATAATAATAAGTCCTCTAAACATTTGCCAGTTACCTCACAGGAATACTAAAATAACTCTTCAAATGGATGTTATTAATATTTTGTGTTACGCTGGATGTAATACTTTCTAAATATAAAACTAATGTTAAGATTGCAGTTTAAAGCCTTCCTCAAAAGAAAAGTCGATTGTATTGAAGTTGGGTGATGTGTACATAGGGTTCACAGTACTATCTTCTCTAGTTTTGTGTGTTTAAAATTTTCCATAATAAAAAGCTTTAAAAAAATCTTGCTCAGAAATTAGGATGGTACAAAGAATAATAAATATAGGTTTGGCTGATGACTCCTAAATAGGATTGAACGATACCACCAAGGAAAAATAAAGTATATAATGAATATTTTTTAAATTATCATATGAAAGCAATTTTTGCTACTAATTCCAATATTCCATCAGTTTTCCTTATAGGCATGCAAACAGCATGTTCTGAAAAACAGCATGCCATACTGGTATAATCAAAAGATGAAAGGTAACATGAGTTAGCATTTTTCCATCTAAATGGCCAACACAAAAAGCATTCTTCCTCAACTAAAGCTTTCATGTATGTTATTGAAAGTGGCTTCAACATTTATTTGTCAACATATTACAGAAGTGATTATCACTTACAGTTTTGCTTATCAATCACCCAGAAGTTTGTGTTACAGATTATCTATGGCTACAAAAACTTGCCTATGAGCACAGGGAAACACTCACATAGCATTGTTACAATAGCAAAAATATGTAAATAACCAACATGTCCATCAATATATTTTGAACACATAAATAAACTTTTAAATGAGTACATTCTTTTCAAATCTGTGGCAAAGATAACAAAATGTCATGTTAACACTTAATACACCCAGGGAGTGAGCACACCAGCATTCAGTTCTATTATTCTGTATACTTTCTGCATGTTTGAAACATTTTATGGGCTTTCTTTTTCAAATTTCTGTGGGAAGCAAAGGACACAATTTTACCTTAGCATCCTGTTCTCTGTACCAGAACACTGAGTTCAGCTCAAACTATTTCAGTATCCAAAAAGAAATACAGTCAAGGAACTTACAGAAGAGTCACAGTGATGTCAAATCTAAAAAGGAACAGTTTTCAAAAATAATACCTAAAGAACTAAGCAGGCATGGCAGAGTCCCATGAAAACAACCAGAGAGCAAAAGGAGGAGAAAGCAACTGTCAGCAAGAATTCAAAGACCAAGATGAGGGAGGCAGGTCAGGGAGGAAACAGAGGAAGAGGAATTATTGTGTTGAAATGTAGTTAGACAGGCTGGGCACAGTGGCTCATGCCTGTAATCCCAGCACTTTGGGAGGTGGGGGTGGGTGTATCACTTGAGGCCAGGAGTTCAAGACCAGCCTAGCCAACATGGTGAAACCCAGTATTTACTAAAAAAACAAAAATTAATTGGGTGTGGTGCTGCATGCCTGTAAACCCAGCTACTCAGGAGGCTGAAGCAGGAGAATCACTTAACCTGGGAGGCGGAGGTTGCCCTGAGCCGAGATCACGCCACTGCACTCCAGCCTGGGCGACAAAGCAAGACTCCATCTCAAAAAAAAAAAAAAAAAAAGAAAGAAAGAAAGCAGGGGCTGGGTGTGGTAGCTCACGCCTGTAATCCCAGCACTTTGGGAGGCTGAGGTGGGCGGATCACCTGAGGTTGGGAGTTTGAGACCAGCCTGACCAACATGGAGAAACCCCGTCTCTACTAAAAATACAAGATTAGCCAGGCACGGTGGTGCATGCCTGTAATCGCAGCTACTCGGGAGGCTGAGGCAGGAGAATGGCTTGAACCCGGGAGGCACAGGTTGCGGTAAGCCGAGATCACACCATTGCACTCCACCTGGGCAACAAGAGCAAAACTCCGTCTCAAAAAAAAAGAAAAAGAAAAAGAAAGGAAGAAAGAAATGTAGTAAGACAAAGGTGAGAGAAATGAAACTAAATGCCATCATACCATCTACTACAGACTGAATGTTTGTGTCTCCTCCGAACTCATCTGCTGAAGCCCTGCTCCCCAGAGTGATGGTATGCGGAGGCAGAGGCCTTTGGGGAGTAATTTGGTGGGATGAAGTCATGAGGTAGGGCCCCCCCTCCCCATGGGATTAGTGCCCTTATAAGGAAGAGACAGGAGATCTCTTTGGTCACCATGTGAGAACATAGTCAAGAACAGGGCCCTGATCAAGAACCAGGCCATGCTCGTACCCTTATCTCTGGGGACTTCCAGCCTCCAGAGTTATGAGAAATAAATGTCTGTTTTTTAAGACACCCAGTAGTCTATGATAATTTGGTATAGCAGCTGGAAATGACTAAGACACCATTTGAGTAGGGGAAGAAGGATGGAAGAGAGATCTAGAAAAGTCTCACAAGGGAATAGCTGACAAATTATTAGCATATCTACTTCCGGGAATTTTACCATATGGCTAAGGGCACTTCCGACACATTTCTCCACAGTTCCTCAACAACCAAGGAAACCAGCAATCCACCTCTCTGACACTAGCTACACAAGCTCAGAAAAGGACAGGAGATTCTGGTAACCAGGCTTTTAAAATGGTCCCCCCAAACCCGTGACTTGGTATTCACATTCTGTGCAGTTCCTTCCTCTTGAATATGTGGTGGGTCCAGTGACTCACTTGTAATAAAGAGAATATGGCAAGTGATGGATTGTCACCTCTGTGGTCAGGCCATGAGAAACTGTCTACCATCCTGCTGGCCCTCTTGCTCTTGCTGGCCCTCTTTCTTTTCTTGTCTTCTCACTCTCTCACTTTGATGAAGTCACGTGACATGGTGTGAGCTGCTCTAGGAAGAGGCTGTATGGCAAGCAACTGAGGAAGGCCGCTGGCCAGCAGCTCGTAAGAAACAGGCCTCCAAAGCGCTGGACCCTGCCAACAGCCATGGGAGTGAGCCAGGAAGTGGGTCCTTCCTAGTCAAGCTCCGAGATGACTGCAGCCACGTGAGAGACCCAGAGCTACACTGCGCCCAGACTCCCAACGCACAGAAACTGCGAGATAATCAATGTGTCTTGTTTTACACTGCACAAGTTTTGGGACAATTTGTTCTGCTACAATAGGACAATTAATACAGAGATCAAAAAACATCTGTCTTAAGTGACTACAATTGAAGTGCATCTGAAGACTTGAGACAGACTTTGTTTGGAAGTACTTTTCTATTGTTGTTCTTCAAAGAACCTATCTAACCTGTTCAACTATTCCAGAGATGGCAGACAATATGTAGAACTTTTTTTTTCTTTTTTCATGAACAGTTTATGAAACGTACTGCAGAAATATGTACAACTTTCTGTGCCATCCCAGAGAGCGAAGGAAAACCAGGAGCAAGACATGGAAACCATGTTAGCCAGGATGGTCTCGATCTCCTGACCTCATGATCCGCCCGCCTCCGCCTCCCAAAGTGCTGGGATTACAGGCGTGAGCCACCGCGTCTGCCTTGAAATGCATTTTTAAAACAAGCCAAGCAGGGTAGCACATGCCTGTAATCCCAGCTACTCAGGAGGCTAAGGCAGGAAGACTGCTTGAAGCCAGGAGTTCAAGACCAGGAAACCATTATGTTAAGTGAAAGAAGCCAGTCACAAAAGACTACTTATCATATGATTCCCTTTACATGAAATGTCCAGAACAAGCAAATCTATAGACAGAAAGTAGCTTAGTGGTGGCCTAGGGCTGCAGGGGACTGGGTAGAAATGGGGAGTGACTGCTATTGGGGGAATGAAAATATTCTAAAATTGATTCATTCAACTCTGTGAATATCCTAAAAGCCATTGAATTGTACACATCAAATGGGTAAGTTATATGATATTTGAATTATATCTCAACGAAGCTGTAAAAAAATTTTTTTAATGAGTCAAAAAAATAAGTACAAAGGAGTCAAAATTCTCAAACAAGTATCTAACAGGCAAAATCTTGTTTTTATTTTTAATTTTTGGGGGTACATAGTAGGTCTATATATTTATGGGGTACCTGAGTTTTGTTTTGTTTTTTTTTTAGTAGAGATGGCGTTTTGCCATGTTGCATTCATCTGTGGTACAACAAAGACGTTACATGAGCCTACACTGGACAAAGCTCACTGGACAAGTGATCTGAAACCCTAGAAAGAAAATTCTATGGCATTCTCCACTAAGAGGACACTGAAAGGATGTAAGATGAATGACCAGAAACTTGGCCCAGGCAGGTCCTGAACTCCTGTGCTCAAGCGATCCTCCCACCTTGACCTCCCAAAGTGCTGGGATTACAGGCATGAGGCACCACACCCAGCGAGAGATGTTTTGATACAGGCATGCAATGTGAGATAAGCACATCATGAAGAATGGGTATCTATCCCCTCAAGCATTTATCCATTGAGTTGTAAACAATCCAATTACATACTTTAAGTTACTTTAAATGTGCAGTTGTTATTATTATTGACTACAGTCATCCAGTTGTGCTATCAGATAATAGGTCTTACTCATTCTTTCTTTTTTTTTTTGTATCCATTAACCATCCTCACATTCCCCCAACCTCTACTCCCATTCCCAGCCTCTGGTAATCAACAGGCAAAATCTTAATATTGCTAAAAGCAAATTCTGATGACAGAAATAAAAATTAAATTAAAAAACAGAGATAAAAGAGCTCACTAATTAATGATTAGTCACTGTCACTCAATGTCATACAATCTCTTCTCTCTTTTTGTTTTGAGACTCTGTTGCCCAGGCTAGAGTGCAGTGGCACAAACACAGCTCACTGCAGCCTTGACTTCCCGGGCTCAAGAGATCCTCCCACCTCAGCCTTCTGAGTAGCTGCGACTACAGGTGCACCACCACGCCCAACTAATAATCCTTGTCATTTAGTTCTGAGTCATTCACTTACTCCCAAAAGGTGACAAAGTGAATGGAACAAGAGTTCTGCCACTGTGTCTGCTTTCTTTTTTATTTTTATTTTTTTTAGATGAGGCCTCCCAATATTGCCCAGGTAGCACTCCTGGCTCAAGCAATCCTCCTACCTCTCAGCATCCTAAGAAGCTGAGAGTACAGGCATGAGCCACCGTGCCCAGCTGTATCTGCTTCTTCCTGTATCTGCTTCTTTCTCTCACAAAGCACAGGGATCCCAGGGCCAAACAGCATTAACAACTTGCCATGTCCCAAAGCATTCACTGGTGGTACCACAAAGACGTTACCTAAGGACACTGAAAAGACATAAGATGCATGACCAGAAACTTTTCTGACCAGACTCAGAGGCAGAGATTTGGCTTGTGATGTGGCACAACATAGGCATTGTACCAGGACAGACATCACAGGGACCTGCATCTGCATCAGGACAGAGGTGAACTCCAAAGAACTCCACTGAGAGACTACCGTCCACCCAGTCACCAGTGAGATGGGCCTGCTCTGTGACAGGAACAAACAGAGATCACTCTTGCAAGGTGAGGTGATTCTAAGACTTGAATCAAGAGTAAGAACGTGCAAGAAGGATGAGGATGAGACATACCTGACAGTAACAATACTTGTCATCCCCTCCACAGAAGGCACAGGCAACATTTCCAAGCAAAAGCAAATGAGATGCTACAAAACAGAGGTAATCATCCAGAAAAGCTTTAGATTGAATTTCATTACCCTCTAGGTCTTGCCTAAACAAATAGAGACTGGGTCTCCTTGCACCAAAAGCAAATTACATATTGTAGGTCAACAGCCTGCCCCATGGAAAGGGTCTCTGACAGAGAGCTAAGAGATTTTTTATCTAATTCTGAAAAGCTAGGTGAACTCTAGACCTCAGTTCCTCCCTGCAAAATTGTAGAATACTATCCAATTCATAGAAATGCTGTGATAAATGTAATATAACTTGGAGGGAGAAAAAAGGTCCAACTGCTTGATAGAAAAGCCATTAAAAATATAATAATTTTTTAAATCTGTCACCTTACTTCTTTTTCAATTCAAAGTAGAAAGCAGATATTACTGCCCACATCCCATTTTTCCTGCCCCTACCTGAAGAGCCACCATTAAAAAATAAAAGCCACAAAATATACATCTCAATTCAATAGCTGTCAAGAATTTAAGAACGTTATCAACTATACTGACTGATCAATACCACTGATTTGATAGTAGTCATGCTTACCTATGCCAACTGGATAGATTGAAATGCACAAAGAATCCAAAAAGTCAGTCTTATCCAGTATGTTCTGTTTCCTCCTCAATCTTTTTGTCAGAGAGCCTCAAAGAAATCAAACAGTGATTTTGTTTCTCCTAGGCCCTATCCATCTCCATCACAGGTTGAAATTCATTTTTTTTTTTTTGAGACAGAGTCTCACTCTGTCGCCCAGGCTGGAGTGCAGTGGCGTGATCTTGGCTCACTGCGACCTCCACCTCCCGGGTCCAAGCGATTCTACTGCCTCAGCCTCCCGAGTAGCTGGGACTACAGGCACCCACCACCATGCCCGGCTAATTTTTTGTATTTTTAGTAGAGACGGGATTTCACCATGTTAGCCAGGATGGTCTCGATCTCCTGACCTCGTGATCTGCCCACCTCAGCCTCTGAGATTACAGGTGTGAGCCACCGTGCCTGCTTTGAAATGCATTTTTAAAACAAGCCAAGCAGGGTAGCACACGCCTGTAATCCCAGCTACTCAGGAGGCTGAGGCAAGAGGATTGCTTGAACCCAGGAGTTCAAGACCAGCCTGGGCAACATAAAGAGACCTGTCCCGAAAAATAAATAAACAAATAAAACAACGAGAGGCCACATTGGCTCATGCCTGTAATCCCAGCACTTTGGGAGGCCAAGGCAGAAAGATTCCCTGAGCCCAGAAGTATGAGACCAGCCTGGGCAACATAGTGAGATTCCATCTCTACAAAAATAAAAATAAAAATTAGCCAGGCAAGGTGGTGTGCACCTGAAGTCCCAACCACTTGGGAGGCTGAGGCAGGTGGATCACTTGAACCTGAGAGGTCAAGGCTGCAGTGAGCTGTGATTGTGCCACTGCACTCAAGCCTGGGCAACAGAGTGAGACCCTGTCTTTAAAAAAAAGAAAAAAAGAAAAAGGATGCAGTACCTATCCTAACTAAGCTCCTCAAAACAATTACCAAGGTCAAAACAGTGAAAACCAACAAGATACATTTCAAAAATAATAAGCTAAGGCAAGCGGGGAGGAGGAGGGAGGTAAGGTAGGGGGGAGAAAGGGAAACCTGAGAATAATTTTAAATATGTCTCCAAAAAGAAGTGAAAATAGGCAGAATACAACACAAAGGAAAAGAGAAAGGCCTGAGGAACTGCAACTAAGCATGGCTAGATGAATGATGCCTATTTCAGAAGAAACAAACTGTTCATTCAAACAAAAACCTTGTTGCTTATACTAAAACAAGAAAGAGAACCAATGCACCAGAGCAAAGATCAATCTACAGCAAACTAGACTATCACTCAATTATAAAAATCAAAAGTAATGTGAGACCTAAAGAAAACACACATGAAGATCCCACTTCTGAGGAGGATTCTAAGTCTCACACTTAAAAAGCCAGACATGGAAACCATAATTGGTGTCTTAGACTGTTTGCTGCTGCTATAACAGAATACCCAAGACTGAGTAATTTATAAAGAAAAGAAATTTGGCCTGGCATAGTGGCTCATGCTTATAATCCCAATGCTTTGGGAAGCTGAGGTGGGAGGATAACTTAAGCCAGGAGTTCAAGACCAGCCTGAGCAGCAAGACTTCACCTCTACAAAAAGAAAGAGAAAGAAAGAAAGGAAGGAAGGAAGGAAGGAAGGAAGGAAGGAAGGAAGGAAGGAAGGAAGGAAGGAAGGAAGAAGGAAAGAAGGAAAGAAAGAAAGAATTTAAAAAAGAAATTTACTTTTCACGGTTCTGGAAGCTGGGAAATCCAAGAGCATGGCACTGGCATCTGACAGTCATCCCATGGTGGAACAGCAGAAGGTGGGAGGGCAAGAGAGGGCAAGTGTGTGTGAGACAGAGAGCAAACGAAGGCCAAACTCCCACAATGATAGCATTAATCCATCCATGAGGGCAGAGCTCTCATGACCTAATTACCTCCCAAAGGTGCCACCATTTAACATCACCACAATGGCAATCACATTTCCAACACATAAACTTTTGGGGGACACATTTAAACTGCACCACTGGGAAAATAAAAGAAGAACATTGCAAAGATCATCATGTCATCAGGCCTCAGATATGGAGAAGGCCCAGAGAAGGCATTCTCATGACATGAGACTCAAAGAAAGACCACCAGACACCCACACATCAACTCTTTAAACTCCAGAAACGATTAAGGGGTCTTAAAATCTGCCATGAAGGAAAGATGAAACAGAAGAGAACATAAAAGTAAGTACCTAGTTTAACTATCTTTTCTCCTTGAGAGCAAAAGAAAATGTTGAAACCTGGAAGGTCTATAGTAATCTGTCCACATTTTTATAGCAGCAAAGATACAGAAAACGATACGGGTATGATTGCCAATAGACATACTCTTTGAAATAACTAGGTAAATGAATTTACAATGGGCAAGGCTAGTAACATTAAATAAAAACCAACCTTGGAGAGAAAAACAACTAAATTTGAGTAAGGAAGCTGGTGCTTACTATCGAAATAAATACATAACATAATTGAAGTTAGAAGTGATTAACTTATATAATAAACATAAGGAATTGTTTTATCAGTCTGTCTAAACCAAAGTCTTAAATAAACAACAAAACAAACATTAAACTTAGGAAACAGAACCACTCAATATCTATCATATTACAACTTTAATAGTTATAAGGAGATTTATCTTTTAATAAATATTAAGTAAGTACCATCTCAGGGAAATGTGTGAGGATATAAAAATTCATCTAAATTGTCCCTATTCTCAAGTAGCTAACAGACTAGTAGAGGAAATTAGTCCAGATATATCTAGATTAAAGGGATAAATGCTATTAGTAAGGCACAGTACAAGAACTATGGGAGCTAGGAGGAAGAAAATATTACTTCCAGTAAAGGATTCCGGGATTTCCTTAAAAGGGTGGCATTTGAGATGTGTCTTGGAAGATGGGTTGGAGACTCCGACCCAGGAGGATGAGGGGAAAGAGGACCAGCATGGGCCTGAGCAGATGGTCAAAAAAGGCTATGGTATATATGGAGACCAGTGACTGCATCAGGTTGACTGCAGTTTAGGGTCCAGGAGCAATAAGGCTAGAAAGTTAGGTTGAAATCCGATCACACGGGGGCTTAAGTATCGGGCTAAGAAGTATGAGCTTTGTTTTGTAGCAAATAGTAACAGGAGGGCCACATAAAGAATAACCTTGCAGCATGTGTCCACTGTATGGGAAAGGATAGACTAGGCAGACAGGGACACCAGGCAGGTGAGGCTAGAGCCACAGTCTAGTGGTAACAAAGGCCTGAGCTGCCTCTGGGGGTGATAGTAGGAACAGAGTGGAGAGGAACTGCCCAAGGGTGAAACCAACAGGACTCATCAATATATTAGGCAAAGGCTTAGGATGTGTTCACTTTGTGCCCGGCATCAGAGCAACTGCCAGGGATACAAAAATGTCAAAGATGTATATTTTTGACCTAAAAGGATTAAGTAAGGGAAAATGCAGAGAAAAGAGCCAAGGATGACATCAAGTCCTAGGGAAAGAGCAAGGTAGTGCTAGCAGTAGATGGGAACTCAGGTGAGGGAACAAATGAGTAGGGGAAGTTAATGTGTTCAATGTCTAGTTTGAACCTAAGTCTGAAAAGACAGAGGAAAAAGTGTTTTTCCTACTGTCTGACACAGTCACTCAATACCTCTGACACCAGATATGTGGGGGTATTTCTCCACACACCAAGCAGTTCTCCAGCAGACACCAGCTGTCCTCTAATCCAATTCAGTTCTTACAGTCTACCTAGAGACAGCATCAGATCCCACAGACTAAGGGCTCAGTCCTACAAGATGGCCCTCACTTCAGATGCCAATCCACAAGGAGCAGGTTGTCACCTATATTTCTGATTGACTGTAAATCAGGGCTGCCACTACCCATCCTTGGGTTTGACTAATTTACAAGAGTGGCCCACAGAACTCAGGGAAACACTTTACTTACATTTACTGGTTAGGAAGGATATCATAAAGGATACAGATGAACAGCCAGATGAAAAGATACATAAGGCGAGTCTGCAAAGGTCCTGAGGGCTGGAGCTTCTGTCCCCGCGGAGTGGGAATGCACCACCTTCCTAGCACTTGGATGAGTTTGCCAGCACAGATGCTCTCTGAACACCATTTAGGGATTTTTATGGAGGCTTCATCACAGAGGCATGGTCAATTATTAACTCAATCCCCAGCCCCTCTCCCTCCCTGAAGGATAGGGCTGGGACTGAAAGCTCCAAGTTTATGGTCATGGCTTGGTCTTTCTGGTGACCAGCACCATCCAGGAGCCCACTAAGAGTCGCCTCATCAGAATAAAAGATGCTCCTATCACCCAGGAAATTCCAAGGGATTTTGGAGCTCTGTGACAAGAATGGGGGTCAAAGACCAAATCATAGAACAAAAGATTCTTCTAGTACCCCTATCTACAAGGGTATTAGGAACTCTGTCGGAGGAACTGGGGCAGACACCAAATATTGGAACAAAAGAGCCTCCTAGTGCCCCTACTGCTCAGAAACTTATGAGGATTTTAGGAGCTCTGTTCCTGGAACTGGGGACAGAGATCAATGTGTATATTTCTTATTATTTCATACTAAGGTACCAGCAGGAAATTGACTGAGAAAGCAGAACCCCCGAGGTTCAAAAGTAGAGATGTAGAGGTGGTCAAGACTAGATAAAGATCAGGGAGATGACAGGTAATGAGATCTGGCTAAATCGTTAAAATAAATAAATAAATAAGGGCACCCCAGTGGCATGAAGCATAAGGAGAATTTCACGAAAAGGAAAAAAATGATGATACCAAGAGGCTGTGCAGAGTGGGAATCTGGTCTCTAGGCTGGTGAAACTCTCGTAGGGCATGGAGGTTTGAAGGAGTGAGCAGTTAGAATGAAGACAATGTGCCAATCCTTAAGAATGTTGGCTGGGCGCGGTGGCTCACGCCTATAATCCTAGCACTCTGGGAGGTCGAGGTGGGTGGGTCACCTTAGGTCAGGAGTTCAAGGCCAGCCTGGCCAACATATGGAAACCTCATCTCTATTAAAAATACAAAAAAGTTAGTCAGGCATGGTGGTGCATGCCTGTAGTCCCTGCTACTAGGGAGGCTGAGGCAGGAGAATTGCTTGAACCCAGGAGGTGGAGGTTGCAGTGAGCCGAGATCGTGCCACTGCACTCCAACCTGGATGACACAGTGAGACTCCATCTCAAAGGGGGAAAAAAATGTAGCCACCCAGGTAGGGAGAAAAGCTTCAAAAACAGCAGAAGCTAGAAAAGGTCTTTATCTTTTGGCATCATTTTAGTGTTCTTTTTTTGTTTCCTTTAAAGAAAAGGTATCAACGTGATTTTGGGGTGTGAGAAGAAAAATAAGCAGATAAAAAATTTTTTCATTTTTAAAAGATGGGGTCTGGGCTGGGCACAGTGGCTCATACCTGTAATCCCAGCACTTTGGGAGACCAATGCGGGCAGATCACTTGACCTCAGGAGTTCGAGACCAGCCTGGGCAACATAGTAAAACCCCGTCTCTACTAAAAATACAAAAATTAGCTGGGCATGATGGCATGTGCCTATAGTCCCAGCTACTCGGGAGGCTGAGGCAGAAGAATCCCTTGAGCCTGGAAGGCGGAGGTTGCAGTAAGCCAATATTGCACGCCACTGCACTCCAGCCTGGGGACAAGAGCAGGACTCCATCTCAAAAAAAAAAAAAAAGAGAGAGAGAGAGATGGGGTCTCACTATGCTGGCCACGTTAGATCTTAAACTCCTGGCCTCAAGCAATCTCCCACCTTAGCCTCCCAAAGTGCTAGGATTAGAGGTGTGGACCACCGTGCCTTGCCCAAGAAAATTAATTAGAGTAAGAGAAAGGGAATAAATGATGAAGCAAAAAGGAGAGGTTAGTATTAAAATCATAAATGACGGGTTTAGGTTTTGAGAAGAGGAGAAACATAGCCTGACATCTTCAGTGCAGATATCAGGTTTAGGCTCATATATTCAGGAAAGGCTCAGAACAGATACTATGGAAACTTAAAAATACGGTTCATTAAAATATGAGAAGGCAAACCTTAACCCTAAACCTCCTTTCCTATTTAAGGGAAATAGAAAAAAATAAAGGCTAAGAGAAGTAGCTCAAAGAAATACTGATATATGTGTGTGTGTGTGTGTGTGTATTATATACGTTATACATAATATGAACCATATATATATAATATGAACTATATAATATGAATTAGATATATAATATGAACCTCTTGGAATTTAAAAAGAAATTTCTGTTATCATATATTGAGTCTCCATAGTATCTTTTCTGACCCCTTCCTGAATATATGAGCCCTAAACCTGAAATCTGCACTGAAGATGTCCGGCTATGTGTGAGCACTTTTCTTCATACTGAAAACACTAGTACTTACTCCACCTTCCTTCTCTGATATATTATATATTATAAATATATGTATATTTTCTTGAGACAGTGTCTCATTCTGTCACTCAGGCTGAAGTGCAGTGGTACAATCATGGCTCACTGAAGCTTCAACCTCCTGGGCTCAAGTAATCCTTCTGCTTCAGCCTCCCAAACAGCTAGGACCACAGGTGTGTGCCCAGGCTGGTCTCACCTGGGCTCAGGCAATCCTCCTGCCTTGGCCTCTCAAAGTACTGGGATTACAGGCATGAGCCACCACGCCCAGCCCTAATATTTTTTAAAAAACAAAAATAAAATAAGTAAAAGGAAGACAGTCATTCAGTCAAATGCCCTTCAGACATTTTGAGTTTTTTATCATAAGCAGGTATTGCTTATTCCAAGAAGTAAGTACACTTTTGATTTTTAAAAGATCTGATTTTAAAGCACTTTAAACTTCAAAGTTCCACAGGAATAGAGACTCCACCTGGCAGCAGAAAGACACAGCAAAGAACATGTTAGATGATAGAGGGCTATAGTGCTTAAATAGTAGCCTCCCCCAACAAAAGATAAAAAGATATAGCCATATCCTAATCACCAGAATCTGTAAAGATGGTCTCATTTGAAAAAGGAATCTTTGCAGATATAATTAAGAATCTTGTGGATTACCTGGGTGGTCCCTAAATCCAGTGACAAGTGTTCTTATAAGATAGAGAAGGAGAAGACCCAGATACCCAGAGAAGGTCACGTGAAGATGGAGGCAGACATGGGAGGGAGGTAGCCATAAGCCAGGGGAATACCTGGAGCCACCAGGAGCTGGAAGAGGCTAGGAAAGGAACAGAATGTCCCCTGGAAGCACAGCCCCGCTGCTGCCTTGACTGCAGAGTTATGGCTTCCAGAACTTCACAGAATAAATTTCTGTTAGCCAAGCATTGTGGCTCACACCTATAATCCCAGCTACCCACAAGGCAAAGGTAGGAGGATGATCTGAGGCCAGGAGTTCAAGACCAGCTGGAGCAACATACCAAGACATTCATCTCTAAATAAATACATAAATTGCTGTTGCTTTAAGCCACTCAATTTGTGATAATTTGTTACAACAGCCCTAGGAAACTAATAAAAGGTAAGCTATAAAAATTGTAACACCAGGCCCAGCATGTTGGCTCAGGCCTGTAATCCCAGCACATTGGGAGGCTAAGGCAGAAGGATCCTTGAGGCCAAGAATTTGAGACCAGCCTGGCCAACATAGCAAGATCCTGTTTCTCTAAAAGAAAAAAATATAATACCAGATTAAATGGAGACCACAATACGAATTTCATATAGATAATGCAACGGCCATCTGTGCAAAAGTAAGCAAAGCCGAAGTTTCTATTTAGATAAATAAAGCATATAGGTAGGCATGGTCACTGTGTAACAGTAAAATATACCATAAACAATTACAACCAACTATGTTGATAGAAAAATCAAAAAGATATATAATAATTGCAAGTATAGATTAATCAGAATATTAATAAAAATATGACAAACTTAAATCCAATAAAGAAATGAAAACACAATAGCAGCATCTGTATTATAAATATTCCAACCATGCAAAAAAAATTACAGAATAACAAACATCCATTAGCCTAATACCTAATCTTAATAAACCTTGACATTAAGCAAAATTTACTTCAGATCATTTTTTTAAGGAATAAAGTATTTGACCAGGCGCGGTGGCTCATGCCTGTTATCCCAGCACTTTGGGAGGCCGAGGCGGGCGGATCACGAGGTCGGCAGATCACGAGGTCAGGAGATCGAGACCATCCTGGCTAATGTGGTGAAACCCTGTCTCTACTAAAAATACAAAAAATTAGCCGGGCATGGTGGTGGGCGCCTGTAGTCCCAGCTACTCAGGAGGCTGAGGCAGGAGAATAGCGTGAACCCGGGAGGCAAAGTTTGCAGTGAGCCGAGGTAGCACCACTGCACTCCAGCCTGGGCAACAGAGCAAGACTCCATCTCAAAAAAAAAAAAAGAAAAAAAAAGGAATAAAGTATTTGAGATATAGTTGAAGCGCCTATCTACCTCCTACCTCATCCCTGTCTCTTCCTTCCCACCTCAGAGGCAACCACTGTTCTAAAGCTGAGTGTATCGCTCCCACGTGCATGTTTATACACAAATAATATACAGTAGGATTCGATGTATTTAACCTTTACATACATAGTAAATAGCCATATATTGATTCTACTATGTTTTTTACTCAATCTACTTTTTGAGACTTATATTGACAGATGCAATTTTAGTTCATTCCTTTTAACAGACAAAAACTGTATTATTAATCTCCCATGAATGAACAGTTAGGTTATTCTCTAACTTTTGCTCTAACAAACAATGCTATAATGAACTTTTCTTTTCTTTTTCTTTTGTGAGACAGGGTCTCATTCTGTTTCTCAGGCTGGAGTGCAGTGGTGCAACCACAGCTCGCTGTAGCCTCAAACTCCAAGGCTCAAGTGATCCTCCTACCTCAGCCTCCTGAAAGCTGGAACCATAGGCATGTGCCACACCACACTCGGCTAATTTTTTATTTTTTTGTAGAGACAGGGTCTCCCTATGTTGCCCAGGCTGGTCTCTCACTCCTGGACTCAAGTGATCCTCTCACTTCAGCCTCCCAAAGTGCTGGGATTTCAGGCACAAGTCACAGTGCCTGGCCATGAATTATTCTTCTAAGTATCTCTTCATACATATATCAGAGTTTCCCTAGGGTATAGCCCTAAAAAAGGAATTACTGGAGCCCTTTCTTTTTAAACCCTGTTTTCCTTTTAAAAACCTGTTCTTTGTTTGTTTGAGACGGAGTCTCACTTCGTCGCCAGGCTGGAGTGCAGTGGCATGATCTCAGCTCACTGCAACCTCTGCCTCCCAGGTTCAAGCATTTCTCCTGCCTCAGTCTCCCAAGTTGCTGGGACTACAGGCATGTGCCACCACGCCCAGCTAATTTTTTGTATTTTTAATAGAGACGGGGTTTCACCGCGTTAGCCAGGATAGTCTCGATCTCCTGACCTCGTGATCCCCCCACCTCGGCCTCCCAAAGTGCTGGGATTCCAGGCGTGAGCCACCGCGCCTGGCCTAAAACCTGTTTTAATAATCTTATTACAGTATAGGAGTATTCCTATAGTTAATAAAAAGCTCTAATTGGAGACAACCTTTAGATACTCTCTGTGGAAAAAGATTAGATTTTGGGGAGGAGCCAAGATGGCCGAATAGGAACAGCTCCGGTCTACAGCTCTCAGCGTGAGCGACGCAGAAGACGGGTGATTTCTGCATTTCCATCTGAGGTACTGGGTTCATCTCACTAAGGAGTGCCAGACAGTGGGCGCAGGTCAGTGGGTGCGCGCACCGTGTGCGAGCCGAAGCAGGGCGAGGCATTGCCTCACTTGGGAAGCGCAAGGGGTCAGGGAGTTCCCTTTCCGAGTCAAAGAAAGGGGTGACGGACGCACCTGGAAAATCGGGTCACTCCCACCCGAATATTGCGCTTTTCGGACCAGCTTAAAAAACGGCGCACCAGGAGATTATATCCCGCACCTGGCTCGGAGGGTCCTACGCCCACGGAGTCTCGCTGATTGCTAGCACAGCAGTCTGAGATCAAACTGCAAGGCGGCAGCGAGGCTGGGGGAGGGGCGCTCGCCATTGCCCAGGCTTGCTTAAGGTAAACAAAGCAGCCAGGAAGCTCGAACTGGGTGGAGCCCACCACAGCTCAAGGAGGCCTGCCTGCCTCTGTAGGCTCCCCTCTGGGGGCAGGGCACAGACAAACAAAAAGACAGCAGTAACCTCTGCAGACTTAAATGTCCCTGTCTGACAGCTTTGAAGAGAGCAGTGGTTCTCCCAGCACACAGCTGGAGATCTGAGAACGGGCAGACTGCCTCCTCAAGTGGGTCCCTGACCCCTGACCCCCGAGCAGCCTAACTGGGAGGCACCCCCCAGCAGGGGCACACTGACATCTCACACGGCAGGGTATTCCAACAGACCTGCAGCTGAGGGTCCTGTCTGTTAGAAGGAAAACTAACAAACAGAAAGGACATCCACACCAAAAACCCATCTGTACATCACTATCATCAAAGACCAAAAGTAGATAAAACCACAAAGATGGGGAAAAAACAGAACAGAAAAACTGGAAACTCTAAAACGCAGAGCACCTCTCCTCCTCCAAAGGAACGCAGTTCCTCACCAGCAACGGAACAAAGCTGGATGGGGAATGACTTTGATGAGCTGAGAGAAGAAGGCTTCAGACGATCAAATTACTCTGAGCTACGGGAGGACATTCAAACTAAAGGCAAAGAAGTTGAAAACTTTGAAAAAAATTTAGAAGAATGTATAACTAGAATAACCAATACAGAGAAGTGCTTAAAGGAGCTGATGGAGCTGAAAACCAAGGCTCGAGAACTACGTGAAGAATGCAGAAGCCTCAGGAGCTGAAGCGATCAACTGTAAGAAAGGGTATCAGCAATGGAAGATGAAATGAATGAAATGAAGCGAGAAGGGAAGTTTAGAGAAAAAAGAATAAAAAGAAATGAGCAAAGCCTCCAAGAAATATGGGACTATGTGAAAAGACCAAATCTACGTCTGATTGGTGTACCTGAAAGTGATGGGGAGAATGGAACCAAGTTGGAAAACACTCTGCAGGATATTATCCAGGAGAACTTCCACAATCTAGCAAGGCAGGCCAACGTTCAGATTCAGGAAATACACAGAACACCACAAAGATACTCCTCGAGAAGAGCAACTCCAAGACACATAATTGTCAGATTCACCAAAGTTGAAATGAAGGAAAAAATGTTAAGGGCAGCCAGAGAGAAAGGTCGGGTTACCCTCAAAGGGAAGCCCATCAGACTAACAGCGGATCTCTCGGCAGAAACCTACAAGCCAGAAGAGACTAGGGGCCAATATTCAACATTCTTAAAGAAAAGAATTTGCAACCCAGAATTTCATATCCAGCCAAACTAAGCTTCATAAGTGAAGGAGAAATAAAATCCTTTACAGACAAGCAAATGCTGAGAGATTCTGTCACCACCAGGCCTGCCCTAAAAAAGGAAGCGCTAAACATGGAAAGGAACAACCGGTACCAGCCACTGCAAAAATCAAGCCAAAATGTAAAGACCTTCAAGACTAGGAAGAAACTGCATCAACTAGCAAGCAAAATCACCAGCTAACATCATAATGACAGGATCAAATTCACACATAACAATATTAACTTTAAATGTAAATGGACTAAATGCTCCAATTAAAAGACACAGACTGGCAAACTGGATAAAGAGTCAAGACCCATCAGTGTGCTGTATTCAGGAAACCCATCTCACGTGCAGAGACACACATAGGCTCAAAATAAAAGGATGGAGGAAGATCTACCAAGCAAATGGAAAACAAAAAAAGGCAGGGGTTGCAATCCTAGTCTCTGATAAAACAGACTTTAAACCAACAAAGATCAAAAGAGACAAAGAAGGCCATTACATAATGGTAAAGGGATCAATTCAACAAGAAGAGCTAACTATCCTAAATATATATGCACCCAATACAGGAGCACCCAGAGTCATAAAGCAAGTCCTGAGTGACCTACAAAGAGACTTAGACTCCCACACATTAATAATGGGAGACTTTAACACCCCACTGTCAACATTAGACAGATCAACGAGACAGAAAGTCAACAAGGATACCCAGGAATTGAACTCAGCTCTGCACCAAGCGGACCTAATAGACATCTACAGAACTCTCCACCCCAAATCAACAGAATATACATTTTTTTCAGCACCACACCACACCTATTCCAAAATTGACCACATACTTGGAAGTAAAGCTCTCCTCAGCAAATGTAAAAGAACAGAGATTATAATAAACTATCTCTCAGACCACAGTGCAATCAAACTAGAACTCAGGATTAAGAATCTCACTCAAAACTGCTCAACTACATGGAAACTGAACAACCTGCTCCTGAATGACCACTGGGTACATAACGAAATGAAGGCAGAAATAAAGATGTTCTTTGAAACCAACAAGAACAAAGACACAACATACCAGAATCTCTGGGACGCATTCAAACAGTGTGTAGAGGGAAATTTATAGCACTAAATGCCCACAAGAGAAAGCAGGAAAGATCCAAAATTGACACCCTAACATCACAATTAAAAGAACTAGAAAAGCAAGAGCAAACACGTTCAAAAGCTAGCAGAAGGCAAGAAATAACTAAAATCAGAGCAGAACTGAAGGAAATAGAGACACAAAAAACCCTTCAAAAAATTAATGAATCCAGGAGCTGGTTTTTTGAAAGGATCAACAAAATTGATAGACCGCTAGCAAGACTAATAAAGAAAAAAAGAGAGAAGAATCAAATAGACGCAATAAAAAATGATAAAGGGGATATCACCACCGATCCCACAGAAATACAAACTACCATCAGAGAATACTACAAACACCTCTACGCAAATAAACTAGAAAATCTAGAAGAAATGGATAAATTCCTCGACACACAAACTCTCCCAAGACTAAACCAGGAAGAAGTTGAATCTCTGAATAGACCAATAACAGGAGCTGAAATTGTGGCAATAATCAATAGTTTACCAACCAAAAAGAGTCCAGGACCAGATGGATTCACAGCCGAATTCTACCAGAGGTACAAGAAGGAACTGGTACCATTCCTTCTGAAACTATTCCAATCAGTAGAAAAAGAGGGAATCCTCCCTAACTCATTTTATGAGGCCAGCATCATTCTGATACCAAAGCCGGGCAGAGACACAACCAAAAAAGAGAATTTTAGACCAATATCCTTGATGAACATTGATGCAAAAATCCTCAATAAAATACTGGCAAAACGCATCCAGCAGCACATCAAAAAGCTTATCCACCATGATCAAGTGGGCTTCATCCCTGGGATGCAAGGCTGGTTCAATATATGCAAATCAGTAAATGTAATCCAGCATATAAACAGAGCCAAAGACAAAAACCACATGATTATCTCAATAGATGCAGAAAAAGCCTTTGACAAAATTCAACAACCCTTCATGCTAAAAACTCTCAATAAATTAGGTATTGATGGGACGTATTTCAAAATAATAAGAGCTATCTATGACAAACCCACAGCCAATATCATACTGAATGGGCAAAAACTGGAAGCATTCCCTTTGAAAACTGGCACAAGACAGGGATGCCCTCTCTCACCACTCCTATTCAACATAGTGTTGGAAGTTCTGGCCAGGGCAATTAGGCAGGAGAAGGAAATAAAGGGTATTCAATTAGGAAAAGAGGAAGTCAAATTGTCCCTGTTTGCAGACGACATGATTGTATATCTAGAAAACCCCATTGTCTCAGCCCAAAATCTCCTCAAGCTGATAAGCAACTTCAGCAAAGTCTCAGGATACAAAATCAATGTACAAAAATCACAAGCATTCTTAAATACCAACAACAGACAAACAGAGAGCCAAATCATGAGTGAACTCTCATTCACAATTGCTTCAAAGAGAATAAAATACCTAGGAATCCAACTTACAAGGGATGTGAAGGACCTCTTCAAGGAGAACTACAAACCACTGCTCAAGGAAATAAAAGAGGATACAAACAAATGGAAGAACATTCCATGCTCATGGGTAGGAAGAATCAATATCGTGAAAATGGCCATACTGCCCAAGGTAATTTACAGATTCAATGCCATCCCCATCAAGCTACCAAAGACTTTCTTCACAGAATTGGAAAAAACTACTTTAAAGTTCACATGGAACCAAAAAAGAGCCCACATCGCCAAGGCAATCCTAAGCCAAAAGAACAAAGCTGGAGGCATCACACTACCTGACTTCAAACTGTACTACAAGGCTACAGTAACCAAAACAGCATGGTATTGGTACCAAAACAGAGATATAGATCAATGGAACAGAACAGAGCCCTCAGAAATAACGCCGCATACCTACATCTTATCTTTGACAAACCTGAGAAAAACAAGCAATGGGGAAAGGATTCCCTATTTAATAAATGGTGTTGGGAAAACTGGCTAGCCATATGTAGAAAGCTGAAACTGGATCCCTTCCTTACACCTTATACAAAAATCAATTCAAGATGGATTAAAGACTTAAACATTAGACCAAAAACCATAAAAACCCTAGAAGAAAACCTAGGCATTACCATTCAGGACATAGGCATGGGCAAGGACTTCATGTCCGAAACACCAAAAGCAATGGCAACAAAAGCCAAAATTGACAAATGGGATCTAATTAAACTAAAGAGCTTCTGCACAGCAAAAGAAACTACCATCAGAGTGAACAGGCAACCTACAAAATGGGAGAAAATTTTCACAACCTACTCATCTGACAAAGGGCTAATATCCAGAATCTACAATGAACTCAAATTTACAAGAAAAAAACAAACAACCCCATCAAAAAGTGGGTGAAGGACATGAACAGACACTTCTCAGAAGAAGACATTTATGCAGCCAAAAAACACATGAAAAAATGCTCGTCATCACTGGCCATCAGAGAAATGCAAATCAAAACCACAATGAGATACCATCTCACACCAGTTAGAATGGCAATCATTAAAAAGTCAGGAAACAACAGGGGCTGGAGAGGATATGGAGAAATAGGAACACTTTTACACTGTTGGTGGGACTGTAAACTAGTTCAACCATTGTCGAAGTCAGTGTGGCGATTCCTCAGGGATCTAGAACTAGAAATACCATTTGACCTAGCCATCCCATTACTGGGTATATACCCAAAGGACTATAAATCATGCTGCTATAAAGACACATGCACACGTATGTTTATTGCGGCATTATTCACAATAGCAAAGACTTGGAACCAACCCAAATGTCCAAAAATGATAGACTGGATTAAGAAAATGTGGCACATATACACCATGGAATACTATGCAGCCATAAAAAATGATGAGTTCATGTCCTTTGTAGGGACATGGATGAAATTGGAAATCATCATTCTCAGTAAACTATCGCAAGAACAAAAAACCAAACACCGCATATTCTCACTCATAGGTGGGAATTGAACAATGAGATCACATGGACACAGGAAGGGGAATATCACACTCTGGGGACTGTGGTGGGGTGGGGGGAGCGGGGAGGGATAGCATTGGGAGATATACCTAATGCTAGATGACGATTTAGTGGGTGCAGCGCACCAGCATGGCACATGTGTACGTATGTAACTAACCTGCACAATGTGCACATGTACCCTAAAACCTAAAGTATAAAAAAAAAAAAAAGATTAGATTTTGTGTTAAATTCTGTTTTACTTTCAAGCCATCCCAGAGTACCTAATTCGTAAAGATACTTAAGAGTAAAAAGCACCACTGTACACTTTATTCATGAAAAATTACCTGTGCAATATTTTTAGAAGACATAATTGCCTGATTATAGAATGTACGGCCAAAGTGGTCTCGATCTGGAAACACATCTGCTTGTCGAGGTAAGTATGCTCCTCCCGAATCAACTGAAGACAAGAAATGAGAAACATAAGCATCTCTATGAACTAAATGTGCTACGCAGAGGGAAACTTGTATCAATGACAGCATCAGTTCTTAATCACATTCACAAAAAACTTGCCCTGTCTTTCTAAACTGTTATAGAGCCTCGTTCTCCAAACCCCCAATGCAGCCAAAAGGATTCATTGCCCCAAACCCATCAGGCTTTCCCACCTCTGTGCAAAATTCTTCTCGAAATGGTTAGAACCTTCTCTCCTTTGAGGACCAGCTAAAGCCCCAGAAACATCATAAATTCTTAAAGAGTTAAGGTGGAAAAGTATCTTTCCTTCTTCTAAACCAATACAAAAGCCATCCACAGAATTCATATAATAATTTATACATATTGCCTTCTGATACTGTTTTCATTGCAGATTGGAGTGGTGGGTACACAGGTCAGTTGCGTTCAAAGCAGAGCTCATGACTTCACAGCTGTGTGATTATAGGTGTGTTTCCTAGCCATCCTATGCCCCGGTTTCCTTACCCACGAAATGAAGATAAAAAAAGGAGCCATATCATATATTAGGATGACTTGAAAAATGTATAGAAAGCACTTAGTTCAGAATCTGCAACCATTAAGTCTTTTGTTGGTTGCACATTATATGCTGTGTCCAATTCATTATGAGCTCGCTGAAGACAGAGACAACAAAATCCTCCTCACTGTATCCCCTATAAAGACCAGCACAGCACCTACAAGCAGCTGGGCCTCATTTGCTGTTTTCTCTACGTGCAGAGCAGTTCGTATTGTGAGTTAATCAGGTAAATTCAACTTCACAGAAAAACACAAAACAAAAAATACCTCTACATCAGTACCCGTTCAAATACCTGCATACATGAACAACGTATGTTGGAATTTTATCAGACTAACCCAGTATCAGGAAAGGCCCATTTTTTTTTTTTTTTTTTTTTTTTGAGACAGTCTCTCTCTCTGTCGCCCAGGCTGGAGTACAGTGGCACGATTTCAGCTCACTGCAAGCTCCGCCTCCCAGGTTCACACCATTCTCCTGCCTCAGCCTCCCAAGTAGCTGGGACTACAGCTGCCTGCCACCACGCTCGGCTAATTTTTTGTATTTTTTTTTAGTAGAGACGAGGTTTCAGTGTGTTAGCCAGGATGGTCTCCATCTCCTGACCTCATGATCCGCCTGCCTCGGCCTCCCAAAGTGCTGGGATTACAGGCGTGAGCCACCGCGCCCGGAGGAAAGGCCCATTTTAAACTGCTTTGCTTTCAGGTTCTTTGATTTAAATGTGTTTTAATTTCAAATATAAGTTTACTTTCACTGGAAATTAAATTTACTTTAAATTACATCTGCTCAAATTATATAATACTTGCACATTTAACTCAGTACCTGGCACTCAAGAGATCTATAAATACTTGCTACTATTTTTTTCATAGTATGATCCATAAAGTTAAAAGAAAAACAGGATCTAGAGAACAAAAAAAAAAAACCACACAACACATAGAGAAAAAAACTGGCATGCGTCAAAATGTATGAGTATTATGCACTAGTACTATGAACAGTTCTTGTTTACTTTCCCCCAGAGTTTTCAGCAAAGAACCTGTGTTTCCTTTATAATTACAGGAGAAATCAACAGGTTTATAAAATACCCATCCCAAATGTAATACATACAGCCTTCCAAACTATCTTGCATTTTACCAGCTAATAATAGTTTATTTTACCACTCTGGTGACTTGCCTAAGTAGATGCAGGGGAGCCTGTTTTGCATGGCAATTTCTTGGGCCCGTAATTGTTTTTTCACAGTCACTGGGTAGTAGGCACCTCCTTTGACGGTGGCATCATTGGCAATAATCATGCATTCTACTCTGAAAGGCAGAAATTTCATTGGAGAGAGAATTTAAGAGATTTCTTCAAAACTAATTACACTCATTACAAGATACCCCAATACAACCTTCAACTTCTAGTACGTATCACTATTAACATCCATTAGCAGACAGCAGTCTTAGGATATAAATGCAAACTTTAATCACAGTTCACATATTAATTTATATAATACAAAACAATTACTTCTAACAAGTTTATAAACTCACACTTGGTTTTTGAAAAGTCATCAGTCCTAGATTAGTAATAAAAAACTAACAACCTAAGCCTTGTGTCATAATGGTTCTTTGAATGAAAAGGTCCTAATAAGATGAAAATAATAATGAAAAAAAAAATCCAAGTCTCAAGGGAAAAGAATTCCCTCATAATAAACCTTCAAAGTCTCCTTTTAGGAGGGTATTTTGCAAAAATGAAAACTGACCTTTAGTACTAAGATTTATTTTTTGTATTCTTGTTCTTCAACATTACAGCCCCATGGTTTTCTACAAAACTAAATGTAGTCTAAAATATAACGTTCATCTTAACTGAAGTCAGAATGAATGCAAACTTTAATATACTAAAAACACATGAAAGGTATCCTGAGTCATCAACAGTGCCCTTTCTCACCAAAACCAGTTTATTGGGTATGAGTCACAAAGAGCAGGGCGGCCAACAACCACAGCTGGTTGGGGAAACTGTACAGCACTGGCAGGAAACCTTAAGGTCAGAGGTACCCTTGAAATCTGAGATGACAACAGTGTGCTCTTTACAAAATTCAATTTTCTTTATGTTTCTGATGTTTGTGTTACCTCACTTTATGCTGCCTACAACTCTAAAGAGTGAGTCATTAAATCCCTGCTGAAAATAGAGAACGGCAACTGAACACCCAGCACAGGGTAGTGTTGAGCTTCTCATACTAGGATATGTGGCCAGCAGGGCTCGCCACAAGACAAACAGGACTCTTCTTTGAGCATCAATTTTATTCCCTAGGTCATATAAAACCTTTTTCTGCACTGCAATGAACATTTTATAGAGTAGAATGCAAACTTTTAATGATTTAACATTAAACGAACTAGACTTCAAAGGAAATGTAGGCTTCTCATAGGTTGCTGGGCCATAACCTCACACTCCAGAGTGTGTGCTCATACTTCCTACCACTGGGGGTGCTACGCTAGAAAGTTTAAGAAGCTCTGGTACTGGAAAGAGGCCAGGCTGTGAAGTCAGACAAAGTTAGACTGAAATTCTGGCTCTGCCAACTTGTTAGTTATGTGACCATGGACAAGGGACATAGCCATATCTGCTTGTCTATTAAAGGTCACAGACTTGTTACAGAATGAGAAATCAAATTGGCCCACAAAAATACTAGATTGCATTTCTATTGGTTTTGCCTACCCAGCATCTATTATTTTGGCAACAAAACTAAACCTTCTTTCAGAAACTGCCTCTTATCTTTAATCCAGGTGGCTCAAGTAGGACTGACCCCAGAGCCTGCCTTAAAGGGGGGCACAGGGACCAGGTCTTTCTACCCAGAGTTCCCACTGAGGCTCGGCAATGGGACAGGCTCTAAGCCTAAGCAGATCTTGCCTTCCACTGCAGCTGCTAAACTTATAGAATATAAACCAGGAACTGCCTATGACCATCACTGCCTCTGGATTTAGAGAGGCTGCCTAGAAACAAAGCTGACACACAGCAAGTCAGGGCCAGGAGTAGAAAACAGCCTGGGACCTAGTAATACCTAAGACCATTTGAGCTCCCAGATACAGCCATGCCCAGACTCACCAGATAAGAGAATCAATATATCCTCTTTTTTGCTTAATTTGAGCAAATTCAGCTCATCTGTCATTTGTCAGAGAAAGAGTAGTGATGATATAAACCATTCAACAATTTTTATGTAAGAAAGGTCAATTTGAATTATAATAAAGGCCAGAGCAATGGCTCATGCTTGTGATCCCAGCACTTTGGGAGGCCAAGGCAGGAAGATCATTTGATGCCAGGAGTTTGAGGCTACAGTAAGCTATGATCATGTCACTGCACTCCAGCCTGGGCAACAGAGTAAGACCCCAACTCAAAAAAAAAAAATTATAATGATGTGCTAGCCTATATTCAACATCGTTTGAGCCCAGAAGTTCGAGATTAGCCTAGGCAACAGAGCGAGACACCATCTCTAAAAAAAACAAAAAAGGAAAAAAGAAAGAATTTATAATTAAGTACTACTTTATACCTATTAAATGACTGAATTTTTTTCAGCCATAATATCCAGTACTAGAGCATCTCTAGTTAAAAGATAAAGACTGGTCTCCTTCCTTGCCCTTGTCTCCATGGAAAGACATCTTTTTGTTTTTTTTTTGAGACGGAGTCTTGCTCTGTCACCAGGATGGAGTGCAGTGGCTCCATCTCAGCTCACTGCAACTTCTGCCTCCCAGGTTCAAGCGATTCTCCTGCCTCAGCCTCCCAAGTAGCTGGGACTACAGGCGTGTGCCACCATGCCGGCTTATTTTTTTATTTTTAGTAGAGACAGGGTTTCACCACATTGGCCAGCCTGATCTCAAACTCCTGACCTCAGGTGATCCACCCACCTCAGCCTCCCAAAGTGCTGGGATTACAGGCGTGAGCCACCACACCCAGCCAGTCCTACATAATATAAATAGCATACAAATCGCATGCTAATATGCAAAGTGAGTGCTGGATGCCTGTGCCTCATCAAAGTCTTCTTCTCAACCCACATTATGAAGCACAAGTAGAATACTCACCCTGATACTCTTCCAATGCCTGTAATAATGCCACCTCCTGGCACCTCCTCATTGTCATATAACTGGTAACCTGCAAACTGGGATAATTCCAGAAATGGAGACCTAAAGCGAAGAAAGGATGTTGTTTGAATTAATGTCATTAAAAACTACACATTTAAACAGTTACACATGGAAAAGGAAAAGATTTTTCCTCAATGGGACAATATTTCAAATACACATGTTGTATATAAAATCTATTTTTAAAAATCTAAAATGGGTGTGGTGGCTCAAGTCTGTAATCCCAGTTATTCAGGAGGCTGAGACAAGAGGACTGTTTGAGCCCAAGAGTTGGAGGCCAGCCAGGACAACATAGTGAGACCCCATCTCTTTTTTGTTGTTGTTGTTGTTTTTTGAGATGGAGTCTTGCCCTGTCACCCAGGCTGGAGTGCAGTGGCGCGATCTCAGCTCACTGCAACCTCCACCTCCTGAGTTCAAGCGATTCTCCTGCCTCAGCCTCCCGAGTAACTGGGATTACAGGCATGCGCCACCACAACCAGCTAATTTTTTGTATTTTTAGTAGAGACGGGGTTTCACCATGTTGGCCAGGCTGGTCTCAAACTCCTTACCTGAAGGTTATCTGCCCACCTCGGCCTCACAAAGTGCTGGGATTACAGGCATGAGCCACCACGCCCAGCCAAGACCCCATCTCTTAAAAACTTTTGGAGGTAGGTGGGGTGGCTCATGCCTGTAGTCCTAGCACTTTGTGGGGCTCAAGTGGGTGGACTGCTTGAGCCCAGGAGTTTGAGGCCAGCCTGAGCAACACGGGGAAACCCCATCTTTACAAAAAAAAAAAAATTTTCAACACAGCTGGGCATGATGGCACATGCCTGTGGTCCCAGCTACTTGGGAGGCTGAGGTGGAAGAATCACTTGAGCCCAGGAGGCCAAGGCTGCAGAGAACTGTGACTGTGCCACTGCACTCCAGCCTGGGCAATGGAATGAGACCCTGTCTCAAAAAACAACTAATGGCCAGGCACGGTGGCTCATGCCTGTAATCTCAGCACTTTGGGAGGCTGAGACAGGTAGATCACGTGAGGTCAGGAGTTTGAGACCAGCCTGGATAACATGGTGAAACCCCATCTCTACTAAAAATACAAAAAAAAAAAAAAAAAAAAATTAGCCAGGCGTGGAGGCACGTGCCTGTAATCCCAGCTACTCGGGAGGCTGAGGCAGGAGAATCACCTGAATCCGGAAGGCAGAGGTTTCAGTGAGCTGAGATCATGCCACTGCACCCCAGCCTGGGCAACAGGGCAAAACTCCATCTCAAAAAATAAATAATTAATTAATTAATTAAAATAAAAATCCTTTCCAAATACCAGGCTCTCTTCTAAAGGCTTTAGAAACACTCACTTATCGGCTGGTGTGGTGGCTCATGCCTGTAATCCCGGCACTTTGGGAGGCCAAGGTGGGCAGATCACGAGGTCAAGAGATTGAGACCATCCTGGGCAACATGGTGAAACCCCGTCTCTACTAAAAATACAAAAATTAGCTGGGCATGGTGGTGCACACCTGTAATCCAGCTACTCGGGAGGCTGAGGCAGGAGAATCGCTTGAACCCAGGAGGCGGAGGTTAAGTGAACGGAGATCGCGCCACTGCACTCCAGCCTGGTGACAGAGTGAGACTCCGTCTCAAAAAAAAAAAAAAAAAAAAGAAACACTCACTCATGTCCTCCTTAGAACCACCTTCTGAGGTGGATCTTATTGTGACCCTCATTTACTGATGAGGAAACTGAAACACACAGAGATCAAGTCACTTGTCTAAGGTTACACAGTAAGTAAGGGGCAGAGCCGGGAGCTTCATAAGCAATCTTGCCCCAGGGGCCAGGCTCTTAACCACTAGTCCGCCTCTCACTTACTTACATGGTCAAGATACATTAGGAGGGAAAAAAGAGAGCTGGCTACAAAACAGCAAATTTAGTACGATTTCATTTGCATTTTTAAAAAATGTAGGTGTCTGGTATATATATATGCATACAAATGGCCTAGAAGGATAATATACTAGGTGTTAACAGTGCTGTCTCCAGGTTGGATGTGTGTGCACGTGTCAGGAGAAAAAATACTTTGGGAGTTTTCACTTACCCCTCTTCTCCCCCTTACACTCCATATCCAATCCTTCAGGAAATCCTGTTGGGTTGGCTCTGTCTTCACAATACATCCAGAACCCTGCACTCCTGCCACCACCACTACTACTACCCTATGCCGAGTCCCCATCATGTCTCCCTCAAATCCTTGCAATCGCCCTCTACCTGGTCACAGGGCTTCCACCCTTGCTGCTCCATCTACTCACAACACAGCAGCCAGAAGCACTCTTTTAAGCTATGTCAGATCATAATCATCTCCTGTTCAAAACCCTACAATAGCTCCCCATTTCTCCCATGGTGAAAACCAAAACCTTTATGATAACCCACAAGGCCATACAGGATCTGACCCATCTCCTACTCCTCTCCCCTCACTCCCTCCACCACAACCACCCCAGCCTCCTGGCTGCCCCTTGAGCATACCAGCATTACCTGGCACACTCCCACCTCAGGGCCTTTGCACTGGCCATTCCCTCTGCCTGAAACACTCTTTCCCCAGAGAGTTACAAGGCTCTCTCTCTCTCTCTCCTCCTTTAAATCTTTGCTCAGACATCACCTTCTCAATGCGGCCTACCTTGGCACCACCTCTTAAAACTGCAACTTGCCCTATATCTTCCTCTCCTTTACCCTGGGCCACCTTTTCTTTTTCTCATGACATTTGTCACTTACTAACACACTACAGAATTTACAATCTTTTTTTTTTTTGAGACAGAGTCTCGCTCTGTCACCCAGGCTGGAGTGCAGTGGCACAATCTCGTCTCACTGCAACCTCTGCCTCTGGGGTTCGAGCGACTCTCCTGCCTCAGCCTCCCGAGTAGCTGGGACTACAAGCACATGCCACCATGCCCAGCTAATTTTTTGTATTTTTAGTAGAGACGGGTTTTCACCATGTTAGCCAGATGGTCTCAATCTCCTGACTTCATGATCCGCCCACCTCGGCCTCCCAAAGTGCTGGGATTACAGGAGTGAGCCACCACACCCAGCCAGAAGTTACAGTCTTTACTGTTGCTTTCTGTCTCCCTTTGCTATGATGTAAACTCTAGTAGAGCAAAGATCTGTGTCTGTTTTGGTCACTGATATATCACTAGTACCTGACCAATAGTAGGCTCTCAATAAACATGTCAACACATAGTGCTTGACACATAGTAGGCTCTCAATAAACACATGTTCCTGAATCTTACGATGAGAACTAGAATTCAAAATAACTGATTTACAAGACTGTCTAATAAAGTACTATGGAACAGAGAACACTCTGAGTCAGTACTTGGCTATGTACGCACCCTGGGTCTATGAGATTGTCAATTCTTTCTCTGGGCAATAGTTTTCCTCTTGATATGTGAAGTGCTCGGGCTTTCTCACCACCTCCTATGATAGAAATGTGATTAGATTAGATTAGATTGACACGATAAAAAGGTCTCAATGCCAGAAAAACATAATACTTAATCCAAAATATAGCACTTTTTAAAAGTTCAACATATCCTCTGAGAAAAGGCTAATAATCATTCACTCAACTTACAAGTTGCCAATTTTCTGAAGTAAATGTAAAAACTGGTATTAAAAAAAAATCAATCTATCCCTGATTTTAGAGTATATCCTAGAGTCTATGTTCTGAATTCACTAGTAGTTACATAAATTACAGAGTATTTTCTCTGCAGCTCACATATTGCAAATAATGCCTCATCTCCACCACATTTATTAAATACATGCTATGATAGATCTGGAAAATTCCTATCTTCATTTGTACCAGGTAAAAATAAAATTTTAGAAATTACTTCCATGATAAGTGCAGTAAATTTACCTAAAGATGACATTAGTGATCCGTAACTTTTTAGGCTTGCAACTGGGTGAGTTGAACACTTTAGCAATTTAAAAGTCCCCTTCCTTGACTCAGAGATTGTCTTCAGTGCTTCTCAACATTGCTCACATCATGACAGACAAAGAAAATTATAACTGAAGAGCCCACTGGAGTATTCTTGGGAATATCTATAACCCACTCTCGGCAAACCAAGGTAATGGAGCAAGAACAGAAGTATCAAATTGTACCTTTAATAATTAAAACATTAGTTTATTTTTATTGGTGTCCAAGAATTTCATCTTAATATAGTCTTTGTCTAATGAAATGTTCAGCTATTTCAGAAAGCTATTTCTTTGTTTATTTAGGCAAGAAAATAATCTCAAACGATCTTCCAAGTAGGACCTTTTTTTTTTTTTTTTTTGAGACAAGATCTTACTCTGTCACCCAGGCTGGAGTGCAGTGGTGCCAGCATGGCTCACTACAGCCTTGAACTCCTAAATTCAAGTGATCCTCTCACCTCAGGCTTCCCAGCAGCTGGGACTACAGGCATGTGCCACCACTCCAGCTAAATTTTTGTGATGAGGTCTCACTCTGTTGCCCAGGCTGGTTTCAAACACCTGGCTTCATGCAATTCTCCTGCCTTGACCTCCCAAAGTGACAGGTGGGTCATGCCTGTAATCCCAGCACTTTGGGAGGCTGAGGTGGGTGGATCACTTGAGGCCAGGAGTTTGAGACCAGCCTGGACAACATGGTGAAACCCCATCTCTACTAAAAATATGAAAAATTAGCTGGGTGTGGTGGTGCATGCCTGTAGTCCCAGCTATTCGGGAGGCTGAGGCGGGAGAATCGCTTGAACCCGGGGGGCCAAGGTTGTAGTGAACTGAGATCGCGCCACTACACCCCAGCCTGAGTGACAGAGCAAGACTCCGTCTCAGTAAAAAAAAAAAAAAAGAGAGAGACTTAAGACAACATCACTCTTTAGCAATTCTGTCTAGAGTGGGGCCTTACAATTTGGAGCAGCTGGTGAATTCTGGTTTTATTAGGAAGAACCAGAAAGAGGGTTATCCTTGATGCAGGCTCACAGAGCACATAATTAAGCTCCCCTGACATTTAATTCTTGGCAAAGCTGTGACAGCCAAGTTTGTCCTTTCCCCCTTCTCCCTACCTCCTTCCCCAGGGAGTCCGGCTCAGTCCTCTACCCTCCTGTGGCCACCAGCCTGCACCACGGTTCCTCAGCATCCACCATCCCCAGCAGGCACCTGATGCCACAGGACTCCTCAACCCTCCATTGAGTCAAACCCACCTCTTTTTTTTTTTTTTTTGAGACGGAATTTCGCTCTGTTACCCAGGCTAGAGTGCAATGGCACCATCTTGGCTCACTGCAACCTCCGCCTCCCAGGTTCAAACAATTCTCCTGCCTCAGCCTCCCGAGTAGGTGGGATTACAAGCATGCGCCACCACACCCAGCTAATTTTGTATTTTTAGTAGAGACAGGGTTTCACCATGTTGCTCAGTCTGGTCTCGAACTCCTGACTTCATGTGATCCGCCCACCTCGGCCTCCCAAAGTGCTGGGATTACAGGCGTGAGCCACTGTGCCTGGCCCCAAAACCCACCATCTTAATGTCTAAGGGGGACAGTGAGTTCACCAAATCAAACTCTCAAAATGGGCATAACAATTGAGTTATCACCCCTAACAAAACACTTTCATTTCAGCAAGAGTTTGAATTCTTTTTCTGGAGACAACACCTTGATCTAAAATGGCTTCAAAAGTATGAATTCCATAGCTGCGTACAGGGGCACAGGTACAGTCTCAGCTACTTGGGAGGCTGAGGCAAGAAGATCACTTGAGCTCCCGACTTCGAGTCCAGCCCGAGCAACAGAGTGAGGAGACCCTGTCTCTAAATAAACTAGTAAATAAGCAATTCTAGACCATACTTTCCAAATCCAGTCTTCTTCACTATTTTTATACTCCTGAGATCCAGTATTTAAACTACTCTAACCTAAATGTAAAATTTTACATTAAAAGTATTATATACAATTTTAAGTATTATATACTTGTTGATAAAAGTTATCTGAAACAGTCTATCAAATATGAAGAATGCTTTCCATCTGAGATTCAGCACTTAGGGAGGAAATATTAAATGCCTACTAAGAAATCACTGGCCAGGTGTGGTGGCTCATACCTGTAATCCCAGCACTTTGGGAGGCCAAGATGAGAGGATCGCTTGAGCCAGGGGTTCAGTCCAGCCTGGCAATAGAGCAAGAACCCATCTCTTAAAAAAAAAATTAATAAAAATTAAAAATAAATTATTTATTCATAAAATTTATGAATTTGAATCTTTACTTTTCCCCCCAAAAGTGGTAGTACTCTATGAAGAGAAAAACTGGCCAAGTAATAGGAAAAATAAAATTAAATGCCTGCATACCAACAAATGCATAGTCTTAAGAGTCAAAAGCTCAGCCAGGAGTAGTGGCTCACGCCTATAATTGCAGCACTTTGGGAGGCCAAGGCAGATGGATCACTTGACATCAGTAGTTCAAGACCAGCCTGGCCAACATGGTGAAACCTTGTCTCTATTTAAAAAATACAAAAATTAGACAGGCATGGAGGCAGGCACCTGTAATCCCAACAACTTGGGAGGCTGAGGCAGGAGAATGGCTTGAACCCAGGAGGCGGAGGTTGCAGTGAGCTGAGATGGCGCCACTGCACTCCAGCCTGGGCAAGAGAGCAAGACTCCATCTCAAAAAAAAAAAAAAAATATCAAAAGCTTAATTCCAGTATTTTTCCTAAAAGCAATAACTATTTTAGGACATCTTAAGTAAAGGCATAAGCTGTGGAATAAATGCTGTGTTTACCTAGTTTTATATGCTCCACTCGTTCATGGAGCTGATTTACTAGTGCTTTCATCTGCTTGTAGTTCTCCTAAAACAGAAATAGAGGAGACAGGGGAGAGAAATATTAGAAAGCAATTCCTTTTTACCAAAATAAAGGTCAAAAAAAAAAAAAAAACAGTGGTCTGTGCCAACTCTGTGTGGCCGCCACACTGGGCCACCCCATCTGTGGCAGCCACGCTGGGCCACTGGATCGTATGGAAAAGATTCACCCCTGCCTGTCTTGTTCAAGCTCTTCTTCACCACCCCACTTGTCCATCTCTCCATATCTTACTCCTCTGTAAGCCTAATTCATGTTTTATCTCATCTTCAACTCTACTTCTGGCCACTCCTACTCAATTTAACATCTTTCTTCCTTAAACACCTTCTGAACTTAAACTGATCTCTATTTGTTTTCCTATTTTAAGGAATATAAGCTTTTTGAAGGTTAGAATACCATCTTATTTTTCCTGTCCCATCAGTCACTATCTGAGATTCCAACCAATGCTTGCTTACTGACAAAGTACACTTAAAAACAAATCCCAGAGGGAGAAAAAGGATCTTATTTTTATTTTTAATTTTGTATTTTTATTTTTTGGGACAGAGTCTCCCTTTGTTGCCCCGGCTGGAGTGCAATGGTGCAATCTCGGCTCACTGCAACCTCCGCCTCCCGAGATCAAGCGATTCTCCTGCCTCAGCCTCCTAAGTAGCTGGGACTACAGGTGTGTGCCACCATGCCCAGCTAATTATTGTATTTTTAATAGAGACCGGGTTTCGCCATGTTGGCCAGGCTGATCTCAAACTCCTTACCTCAAGTGATTTGCCCATCTCGGCCTCCCAAAGTGCTGGGATTACAGGCATGAGCCACCGCACCTGGCCAAGGATCCTATTTTATGTTTTAAAAAGAACAGGCTGAGTGTGGTGGCTTATGTCTGTTATCCCAGAGCTTTGGAAGGCGGAGGCAGGAGCATCGCTTAAGCCCAGGAGTTTGAGACCAGCCTGAGTAACATAGGGAGACTTCCATCTTTACAAAAAGAATAAAAATAAAAAGAATAAAAATTTAAAAATTATCTGGGCATGGTGGTGTGTCCCAGCGACTTGACCAACTAAGGTGGAAGGATCTCTTGAGCCCAGGAGTTTGAAGCTGCAGTGAACTAGGATCGTGCCATTGTACTCCAGCCTGGGTGACAGAGCAAGACTGTTTCAAATAAATAAATAAATTAGTAAAAAGAACAAAACTCGGCCAGCCGTGGTGGCTCACGCCTGTAATCTCAGCACTTTGGGAGGCCGAGGCGGGCAGATCACCTACGGTCGGGAGTTCGAGACCAGCCTGACCAACATGGAGAAAACTCGTCTCTACTAAAAAATACAAAATTAGCCAGGCAAGGTGGTGCTTGCCTGTAATCCCAGCTACTCGGGAGGCTGAGGCAGGAGAATCCCTCGAACCCGGGAGGCGGAGGTTGCAGTGAGCCAAGATTGCATCATTGCACTCCAGCCTGGGCAACAAGAGCAAAACTCCATCTCAAAAAAAAAAAAAAAAAAACAGAACAAAACTCTATGCTGGCATATATACACAAATTAAGTAATACACAAGGAAATATTGACAGTGAGAAGTAGAAAAGAGGTAGAGGGACTAACTTTTCACCCTTCTGTATTTTTAAATTTTGTTTGGTCAGCATATTACTTTAGAACAATACTTAACTAGCTAATTATCTTTGAAATTCAGACTTGGCCCACTAATACATTTTGCTCCCCATGTGATTAGCATCTCTAGTTATTTAGTTCCTTCTGTTTGACAGAACACTAAGCAACTTCCTAACTGTTCAAACTTAGATGAATATTCAGTCTACAGTATATCTCCATTATTTCCTATTTTCTACAGCTCCAAGAGCTCTGAGGGTCATGATTTCTGCTACATTCTCTTGCTCTGCAAAATCCAGAAAATAAAAAACAAGGAAGCAGCATGGTATTAGGGAAAGAACCAGTTGGAGCTAACACAATATACAGAACTTGTCACCCTACAACAGCAGAAAAAAGTATGTAACTTTTCTCAAGTGCACAGGCAACATTCTCCAAGATAGACTACATGTCAGGCCACAAAACAAATCTTAATAAATTTTAAAAGACTGAAATCATACAAAGTATCCTTTTTTTTTTTTTTGAGACGGAGTCTGGCCGTGTCGCCCAGGCTGGAGTGCAGTAGCACAGTCTCAGCTCACTGCAACCTCCGCCTCCCGGGTTCAAGCGACTCTCCTGCCTCACACTCCCAAGTAGCTGGGATTACAGGCGTGCGCCACCATGCCCAGGTAATTTTTTTATTTTTAGTGGAGACAGGGTTTCACCATGTTGGCCAGGCTGGTCTAGAACTCCTGACCTCAGGTGATCCACCAGCCTCGGCCTCCCAAAGCGCTAGGATTACAGGCCTGAGCCACCATGCCTGGCCCAAAAGTATCCTTTCAATCACAATGGAATGAAACTAGAAATCAATGGCAGAAGGATGACTGGAAAATTCACAAATATATGGAAATTAAACAACGTACTTTTAAGCAACCAGTGGGTCAAAGAAGAAAAGCACTGACCCACTGAAGCTGACATTTGCCTCTACAGACTGGGCAACATCTGTGCCAAGCTCAGCCCATCAGACTTAAATCACAGAAGAGCCAGTACTGGCTACAGTTCACCTCCCAGGCAATCCTTTATCAACCAACCTAGCCTCCTTAGGATGAGACTCACTAACCAAGAGGCAGTGTAGTTTAGTGGCAAAACCAAGTTCAACTTTCAGTTTCCCTACTTACTGATACTGCATTTGGCAAATCTTGATCTCTCAGGACGCCAGGTGTTTGTGTTTGTGTGTGTGTGTGTGTGTGTTTTAATCACCTGCGAAACAACATTCTACAACCTAGTAATTTTCTTGTGAAGCTGAGCAACCACAGAGGTTAGTGCCTGACAGTCATAATGAATTGGAGCTGAGCCACTGACAAGTTTCCCACCCCATCTTTTCAACCATAGAACCCACCTAGGTAGAGCTGGGTGAGTGAGAAGCATTATAGAGCAACAGTTAAGACCCTGGACTCAAGAGTTATGAGCCAGACCACCTGGCTTCAAATTCAGGCTCTGTGTTATCTCAGACAAATTTCTTGGACCCTATATACCACAGTTTTCCCATCTATAAAACAGAAATAACAATTGTACCTACTGCACAGGATCATTATGATAAATACATGAGTAAAACCACATAAAGCCTTTAGAAAAATGGTGGGTACACTATAAAATTCCTGCCATTATTATTACTTATTATAGTTGCTTTTATTTGTAATCAGGAAACACAGCTAAACTGGATCATTCATCCCATTCTCCCCCACCCTCATGGACTTGCTTTGTCTAATGTGAGCACACATTAATTTCATCACATGCCAGCAAGGATTTTAAATCCAATTTGTGTTCAGCCTCTTGCTCCTGTGCCTTCGGCCATGAGAAGGGCATGTTTAATTCAGGGCTGCTCTTCAGCCTCAGTCCAGGAATGGGAAGACACATGGAGCAGACCTGAACCTACCCTGCAGTGGAACAGTCACAGCAGCAGCTAACCAAAGGCCACCAACACGAGTGAGAGATTAAGAAACAAAACAAAATCAAGTGAGAGACTAATATTTACTGTTGTGAGTTACTGAGATTTTTTGATTATTTGTTACACAAAGCGCAACCTAGCAAAAGGTGATTCATACAAAACCCATCACCAAAGCCTTCTTTGTATTAATGGCAGTTCCACCTAACTAAATATTCTGCCCAGTTGGAAACTCCAAAGTCATCCATTTTCCCCTTCCACTCAGTTATTAACTCTATAATCTTTGCTCCTCAGGTATTTATGCCCCCCTCCTACATACAACTCTAACTTTGACTCCTTCATCTCAAGACTCAACTCTCCACTGTCACCTAGGTCTAGTCTTTTCCCTATATCAATCCATCCTCCACATTGCCACCACACTGATGATTCTACCATATCCATAGGATCATGCCACTTATCTACTTAAATATTTTAATGGACAACCTGCCAAATGGAATCTAAATGTGGCTTTTGCATGGAAGATCCTCCTCTATCTGGCCCCATAATCAATCAATCCCATCACCAGACACTATTCAATGAATTCCATGTCCTAGACATGGAATTCAAGTCCTCACACCAGATATACACTTTCATAACTCAGTACCTATGTTCTTGTAACTCTCTTGGTTTATACAGTCTTACCTTCCATCCTGCACCCTGAACTTGGCCAGCTCTTACCCAAGATTCATCTCACCCATTACTTCCTATCGGTAGCTTTCTGTAACCACCTTCTCAAGCTTTAGACAACCCTTCTTACACTGTACCACAGTTACCTGCTTTCTTGTCCATCTTCCCTACAAAATTATTAGTTCCATTCCTACGCATCCATGCCAAATATCTAAAATAGTGCCTAGACCACAATAACCACTTAATAATTCTGAATTAAACATTCTGGACTGACAAACAATTGTGTGTTGTTTGCACTATTTAGATGTTATCTGTATAGGCTTAGAAATCGTGGGAACACAGTGAAATTTTCCAGCTCTGATATTTCGCAAGTTTTGAGTTTTTTGGCCTTATGATGCCTCCTAATTCCAAGAAAAGCCACTCAAAGATACTGTGGGATATTTTCTATTAACATAACCAACTTTTTTTTTTTTTTTTTTTTGAGACAGAGTTCGCTCTTGTTGCCAAGGCTGGAGTGCAATGGCACGATCTCAGCTCACTGCAACCTCCGCCTCCCAAGTTCAAGCGATTCCCCTGCCTCAGCCTCCCAGGTAGCTGGGATTACAGGCGCGCGCCACCATGCCCGGCTAATTTTTGTATTCTTAGTAGAGATGGGGTTTCACCACGTTGGCCAGGCTGTTCTCGAACTCCTGATCTCAGGTAATCCACCCGCCAGGGCCTCCCAAAGCGCTGGGATTACAGGCGTGAGCCACTGGGCTCGGCCATCATAATCAACTTTTAAACTCAAATTTCCTAAGCACAGCGCCCCTCGTTGGGCTGCTCTAGGCCAGTGGTTCCCAAAGCTGGCTGCCAAAAGTCCCCTAATGAGTTCACTAACAATATAAACACAGCGACTCCACCTGAGACCCACAAGGTCCAGAGTAGGGCTCAGGCAGCTATTCAGCTAGCTCCCCAGGTGGCAATTCTAAACCAGGCTTTAAGAACCACTGATTTCAAAGACACAAAGTACAGTGCCAGCTCTAAAAGTGAACTAAACTTTCTTGTATCTGTTAGGCTTTTCTTCTTCAAACTTCACGTGCGTCACAGAATCAACTGGGGCTCCGGACAAGAGAGCAGCAGTTGTTGAAGCGTGCCCCTCCTCCACTTGCTTCCTAGCCTGGCACCGGCGGCCAGGCCACCGGGGCGCTCAGCCTACCTGGTAGAGGGCAGAGCCCAAGTCCGGCTGGGTGCCCAGCGAGGCCACCGAGTCCCCGTGATAGGCGCGCGGCCCGGCGGGAGAGGCGCGGGCACACGGCCGCAGGGCTAACCTCAGGACGGCCCACATGGCGGCGGGCACCGAGCGAGAGAGCGGCCCACGCTGGCCTGGAGCCGGTGCTTTCCCCTGCCGCTTCCCTGGCTGGGGCGGAAGCTGAGCTCAGGTCCTTGCAGCCCCAGAGAAGGTTTCTCTGATTCTCAGGCCTGTCCACACACGTGCCTAAGCGCGCCGCCCGCGATTGGTCAAGCCGCGCCACGCCCCCTGACCCAGCCAATAAGGGACAGAGCCTCAGCCCCGCGAGGTCGCGTCTAGTCCCGAGCGCAGGAGAGCAGGTCTCCCCGGCGGATCGACCCTCACGAAGCGGTGCGGCAGTGAGAGAGCTGCGGTTGGGCTTGGATTGGTGTTGTGTTGACACAGCGATAGATAATATCACGATAGTGACTGTACCTAAGGCAGGAGAATAAGTCTGGAAGCAGGGAACCTAAGGCTGTCTCACGCTGACTTCCTAGAGCTAAACTGAAAGGAAAACCCTAACTTTCCATGCCTAAGTAACAAAAGGACCAAAGGCTACTCCCTTTGCAAACCCCCCCACCTTTTCCGCAGGGCAGATAGGAAATTGGCTGTCCCCGACAAATCAGACTTACTGCTGGTGGAGGCTTGCTTTGCCAAGTTTGAACCTTAACTCCAGCCTCTGAATGGTTGCTGTCCACAACCAATCAGACTGATTGGGGGTCCAGTCTTCGTTTGCATAGAAGTATAACTTTGTAATTTCACCCTAGCCTCTGACTGCTTGCTTCTTGCAACCAATCGGGTTTGAGGTGAGCATAAAATGGCCAATAGGAAACTTCTAGTGGGTATTTGGACCCAAGAAGATTCTATATCCGGGCCCTTGAGCTCTGCTCGGTCCGCTCCCACATTGTGGAGTGCACTTTCGTTTTCGGTAAATCCCTGCTTTCGTTCTTTCGTTGCCTTGTTCTTTCTTTGCTTTGCTGGGCGTTTTGTCCAATTCTTTGTTCACAATGCCAAGAACCTGGACAACTTGCAGTCACAACCCCCAGTGACACACCAACAACATGAGTGAATCGCATCTAACACGTGCTTGCGAACAGCACAACAAGCCTGTTGTCCTTTCACTGGAGACCTTAAACATTCTTCTGATTATTTTCGCTATGTAGTTATTTTTATTTTTTACTTTATTTCATTTTTTGAGACAGGGCCTCACTCTGTCGCCCAGGCTGCAATGCAGTGGCACGATCACAGCTCGCTGAATCCTTGACCTCCCACCTCAGCCTTTCCAGTAGCTGAGACTACAGGTTTGTGCCACCAAGCCCGGCTAATTTTTTATTTTTGTAGGGGTTTCACCATGTTGGCTATGCTGGTCTTGAACTCCTGGACTCAAGCGATCTGCCCGCCACAGCCTCCCAAAGTGCTGGGATTACAGACATGAGCCACCACACCAGGCACTATGTAGTGACAGATTGTGGACATCAGCACTGTGGTCTTAAATAAAGGACTCCAAATATACCCATAAAAATTAAAACATTCTATACAAAATGCCTTGAACTTAAGGTTTTTCATTCACATATTTATTGAGCACTTACTACTTCTACTCCATTGGTTGCTTAGTGGGGCAGAGTAAAGGGGGAGGATGGGGTAGAGAAAGGGTGCGTCTACACCTGGAGGTAAACTTAGGTTCAGACTTCAAGGTACTTATAAGAAAATAATACAAATGGCCACATGATTTCTTACTGAACTGTGTAGGACAGACATTAAAGGAACAGAATGCAATTGGGAAAGGGTTGCAGCTGAGCCTTGCAGAAGCGTTGAGAGTGGACTGAGCAATGAACATGGCCAGGCTTTGTGCAAATGGAGGAGAGCATGAGCTAAACTGCAAAGGTATGATTTACACTGTGCTTGCCTCCCATGGTCAACAGAAAAAAAGGCCAGTAAAAACTGACTTTTCATATGTATCAGGGTATCAGAAGAGAGGGTTTGATATTTTAATTGCCACACTTTATTTTTCTCTAAATAGTTCTTCAATGATGCAAAGTACTTAAAATCACCACCCGAAGACAGAAAAGACACAATAGGATATGATTCCTTGCTTTCTTTAAAAGTCATACCTGTTTTGGCCGGGTGCAGTGGCTCATGCCTATCATCCTAGCACTTTGGAAGGCCAAGGCAGGTGGATTATCTGAGGTCAGAAGTTTGAGAGCAGCCTGGCCAACATGGTGGAACCTCATCTCTACTAAGAATACAAAAATTAGCCAGGCATAGTATCACGTGCCTGTAATCCCAGCTACCTGGGAGGCTGAGGCAGGAGAATCGCTGGAACCCGAGAGGCAGAGTCTGCAGTGAGCCGACATGGCACCACTGCACTCCAGCCTGGGTGACAGAGCAAGACTCTGTCTCAAAAAAAAAAAAAAAAAAAGTCATACATGTTTCTTATTTCTTGTAACTTTTGTTACAAGAAGCTCTTTGGAAATGTATAATGTTCCCAGAACAGCTAAGTAGAAAAATGCAAAAGGTGAAGTGCAAATGCACAGAAGGCCAAAAGCAGTCACCTAGCATCTGTTAGTGTCCAGTGTCTCTCTACCCCACTATTGAGATTACAAGGAACATAATCTTTGCCATCTCTGATTTTTTAAAATAATGTTTTATTGAGGCCAGGAACTTGAAACTAGCCTAGGCAACATAGTGAGCCCATGTCTCTGAAAAATAAAAATAGCCATGCACAGTGGCATGTGCTTGTAGTCCTAGCTACTTGGAGGGTGAGGTGAGAGAATCACTTGAGTCCAGGAGTTTGAGGCTGCAGTGGGCCATGATCTTGCCAAGCACTTCAGCCTGAGTGACAAGAGCTAGACCCTGTCTCTAAAAAAAACAATAAAAATAAAATAAAAATAAAGTAAAATAATGTTTTTATTTTATTTATTTATTTATTTATTTTTCTGAGAGGGAGTCTCGCTCTGTCGCCCAGGCTGGAGTGCAGTGGCACGATCTCGGCTCACTGCAAGCTCCGCCTCCCGGGTTCATGCCATTCTCCTGCCTCAGCCTCCCGAGTAGCTGGGACTACAGGTGCCCGCCACCACACCTGGCTAATTTTTCATATTTTTAGTAGAAACCGGGTTTCACCGTGTTAGCCAGGATGGTCTCGATCTCCTGACCTCGTGATCCACCCACCTCGGCCTCCCAAAGTGCTGGGATTACAGGCGTGAGCCACCGCGCCTGGCCAAAATAATGTTTTATATAATAAAAATAAGAGAATTAATTGAAAAATGTAACCGCCAGGGCTGATCTCTGCAGCCTGGTGCGCTGCCTTTCATCTCACCCTCAGTTCCTTCCCATGCATTGCTCATTCCCATTGGCTGCCATCTTCCACTTGCTCTCCTTCCTTTATCCGCACCGTTCCCTCTGCCCAGGGCATCTTTCCACGACCAGACTTGTCCGTTCCATCTTCTCCACCTGGTGAGCCCATACACATCCTTTAGGACTTGGCTCAGGAATCTCCTACTCCAGAAGCCCTCCCTGACCCCACCTCATTACCTCTTTCTCCCTTCAACAGGCCTCTATTGTGGCTCGGGTCAGCACTTGTTGTTAGGGCTCATTTAGTTTCTCCAACTTGGGGTCTTGTCAGTGTCATCATTTATGGCCTATGCTGGGCATATTACAGACGCTAAATTTGTTGAATGAATACATAAAAAATAACTGCTCTGGAATCAGAGCAAGGAGACATTCCAGGACACCTAAGGGAGGGTTATTTAAAGGCCAGGCAAGAAGCTGGGAGGTCAGGATGAGCAGTTAGACCTGGCAGGCTCTCCTTTGCTATCAAGTCTCTTCTGTAGAAACTTAATGACCTTACCTGGGATATCACATGGTATTACTTTGGTTGTACTCTATTGGATTCAAGGGGAGGGGACATAGACCCCACCACTCAATGGAAGGAGTGTCAAGGCCACTGGCAGAAAAGATGAGAGACATTGTGTGACTATCTTTGGAAAACATGACTGACATGCCAGCACATGCACTCATGTTTATACATTTATCCCAATCCAACCTTATATTTGTTTTCCTTGGCGTAACAATCCATTTCCATATTCCCTAACTCTTGCCAATACACACTGGCAAGAAACTATCTCTTTCTGGGCCACGTTCAGTACTTTTTGGTTTGCACTGGAATAACTAACTTCTGTTAAGATCCAGAGGCAAGGAGGCAGGGTAGGATCAGTCCCTTACAAGAACTAGCATCAGCTCATAAGGCAACTGCCCCAGATGAAGCGACTAAGTGCCTTTTACACAGGGAAAGGCTGGTCAGGAATGGGGAGTGGATATGAGGGTAGGTTGCCTCCACTCTGAGAAAAGCTCAAGGGGATTTGGGCATTTGAGAGTCTGGGTCTTGACCACATCTGCCCAAATGTGTCCATCCTATTTCTCAGCTTTCCATTCCTTCCTGTGTAGTGTCCTTATATCATACTGTACCTTTCATTGACCCTTCAACTCCCTTCTTGTCAAATCCTGGCTTGATTCTCGGCCAAACTGCCCTGCATCTACAGAAGATAATAGACTCCAAGCTGTGATAAAGGCTTTTTTACTTTTCACTATTATAAGAATCTACTCAAGGTAAATAAAATTACGTGTGCATACAAAAACTTGAACAAAAATATTTATAACAGCTTTATTTGTAATACACAAAATCTCTAAACAACCCAAATGTCCATTAACAGATGAATGAATAAGCAAATTATGGTAAATCCATATGACACAATACTGCCTGCAATAAAAATGATGTAGGGCACGGTAGCTCACACCTACAATCCCAGCTACTTGGGAGGCTGAGGCCCTTCAGCCCAGGAGTTCAAGACCAGCCTGGGCAACACAGCAAGGCCCCACTCTTAAAAAATTAGCCTGGTATAGTGGCGCGTACCTGTAGTTCCAGCTACTTCGGAAGCCAAGGTGGGAGGATCACTTGAGCCTAGGAAGTCAAGGCTGCAGTGAGCTATGATTGCACCACTGCACTCCAGCCTGGGCAACAGAACGAGGCCCCAACTCTTAAAAAACAAAAACAAAAACAAAAAAAGTTAGATTTTATGTAAAGCACAATCTCTAAAGGTTATCCAAGACCACTTTTAAGCTTAATGATTAACTAGAAAGACTCACAGAACTCAGAAAAGCTATGTTCAGTTATGGCTTATTACAGTGAAAGGATACAGTTTTAAATCAGCATAAAATTAGCATAAACTATCTGTCATGGCTGAAGGCCCCAGGTATACAAAAACTCTTAAAAGGCAGGACATTTATTTCAAGGGCTTATAGGTTAAGGAACTGGTCAAGTGTCAGTTCCTTCTTTGGAATGTGTACAACCCAAACCTGCTGAATTAACCCTTTATTGCACAGTTACATACTGTATGATCCCATTTTAATGAAATGAAAAGTTGTGGGCCCAGCATGGTGGCTCATGCCTGTAATCTCAGCGCTCTGGGAGGCCAAGGCAGGGGTGGGGGATCGCCTGAGCCCAGGAGTTGGAGACTAACCTGGGCAACATAGCAAAACCCAGTCTCTACAGAAACTTTTTTCAAAAAAACAGCTGAGCGTGGTGGCATGCACCTGTGGTCCCAGCTGCTTGGGAGGCTGAGATGGGAGGATTGCTTGAGCATGGGAGGTCAAGGCTGCCATGAGCTGTGCACTCCAGCCTAGGTGACCAAAAAAAAAAAAAAAAAGTTGTAGTGGAGAACAGATAAGTGGTTGTCAAGGGTTAGAGCTGGAGGAGGGAATGACTATAATTGACAGCATGAGAGTGACTTTCGGGGTGATGGAACAGCTCTGTACCCTGACTGTGGTGATGTTACATAAACCTATACATGGGATAAAATTTCATGGAATTGTATATACACATGCACTGCCTGTAAGCATGATATGTAGCCAGCTTTCTGTATCCCCAGATCTCACATCGGCAAATTCAACCAACCACAGATGGAAAATATTGGGTGGGAAGAGACAATAAAAAAATAACAATACAGGCCAGGCGCAGTGGCTCACACCTATAATCCCAGCACTTTGGAAGGCCAAGGTGGGCGGATCACTTGAGCCTAGGAGTCTGAGACCAGCCTGGGCAACATGGCGAAAAACCCATCTCTATTAAAAATACAAAAATTAGCTGGGAGTGGTGGAGCCTGTAATTCTAGCTACTCGGGGGCTGAGGCAGGAGGATCACCTAAGCCATGGGAGGTCGAGGCCATAGTGAGCTACGATCTCACCACTGTACTGCAGCCTGGGCAATAGTTGAGACCCTGTCTTAAAAAAAAAAAAACCACGCAACAATACAATAAAAAAATACAAATTTAAAATGCAGTATAATGACTATTTGCATAGCATTCGCATTTGTATTAGTTATTAGAAATAATCCAGAGAAAATTTAAAGTACATGGGAGGACGTGCATAAGACATATGCTCATACCATTTTATATAAAGGACTTGAGCATCCTGGGGTTTTGGTGGAGGAGGAGAGTTGTGGAACCAATCCTTGAGGATATTGAGAATTGGCTGTAATTTGAATAAAATCTTTAGTTAATAGTATTGCGCACATGTCAATTTCCTGGTTTTCATCATTGTACTAGGATTATATAAGATGTTCTTGGGGAAATATAATTTAAGACAAAAATTCCTGCCACAACAAAAAACCTCTCCATTAAAGTAGAAGAGAAAAAAACAATTTTAGTATTTGAAAACCTATCAAACCAGAATGTGATGTGCATTACAGGCAATCTGCTAAAGAGATTGCAAAGACAACCTAACCCTCACCCCTGGAAGGCAGAGGTTGCAGTGAGCCGAGATTGCGCTACTGCACTCCAGCTTGGGTGACGGAGTGAGACTCTGTCTCAAAAAAATAAAAAACACTCACCCCTTTATATAACCAGGCAGATGCAACCCATGTCATACATGTTTTCAAGATAAACAACTAGTCCTCAAATAAGATGACTTCACAGCACCACCTGTCACCTGCGAATCGGAGTAGTCACCTGTGTTTGTTAATTGTCTTTATCCAAAGGAAAATTAAATTTCTTATGTCTTTATGGTAGGTTTGTAACTTAACAGGTGCCAGCTGAAGTTAGGTTCCTACCCTTCCATAGGACTAGGAAATAGGAATGCTATTTCCCTCGATGATTTCATTTCAAAGAGAAGGCTTCCAGGTCCTTAAGGATAAGATTATGGGGTTGGGGAAAAAAAAAACTGACAAGAGATTTATTTATCTTTTTTTTTTTAAACTAACACCTTTCTCATGGGTTATTAAGCTTATTTAAAAAAAGATGTAGGCCGGGCATGGTGGCTCACACCTGTAATCCCAGCACTTTGGGAGGTGGAGGCAGGCGGATCACGAGCTCAGGAGATTGAGACCATCCTGGCCAACATGGTGAAACCCCGTCTCTACTAAAAATACAAAAATTAGCTGGGCATGGTGGCCCGTGCCTGTAATCTCAGCTACTTGGGAGGCTGAGACAGGAGAATAGCTTGAACCAGGGAGTCGGAGGTTGCAGTGAGCCGAGATTGTGCCATTGCACTCTAGGCTGGCGAAAGAGCGAGCCTCATAAAAGAAGATGTAAATACATCTTCAAAGGGCAGAGAAGGAATTCACAATTACAAGTTTTCTAAAGTAAACGCTCTGAAGACAGACTGGGGGATTCTTTCTTTTCTAGGAAAATTCAATTTTTAATTGTTTTTAGATTTTTATTTACACTTACATAATCATGGGGGAAAAGTGAAGGATACAAGGGGAACTTTTTGTATTATTTTTGCAACTTCTATGTGAGTCTAAAATTATTTCAAAGAAGCTATGTGCAGTGGCTTGTGCCTATTGTCCCAGCTACTTGGGAGGCCAAAGTGAGAGGATCACTTGAGCCCAAGGGTTTGAGGCCAGCCTGGGCAAATAGTGAGACTCCATCTCCAAAAAAAAAAAAAAAAAAAAAAAAAAAGAATTATAGTCAAATTGAAACATGTTGAGAGGAGAAGAGGAGATTGGGAAAGAAACAAAGAGACTAGAAATAAGGAGTACTTGGTATATACTTATGCTATATGGCTAACCTTTAAAAAATACAATATATCCACTTTATGAGAAAAGCCATACAAAATATAAAGATTAAACCATATTTTTAAAAAAGAATAAATTATTAATATATTCAACAAGGTAGATGAATCTCAAAATAATCATGCTAAGGCTGGATGCGGTGGCTCACGCCTGTAATCCCAACACTTTGGGAGGCCGAGGCAGATGGATCACCTGAGATCAGGAGTTCGAGAACAGCCTGGCCAACATGGCAAAACCCCGTCTCTACTAAAAATACAAAAATTAGCCGGGCGTGATGGCGGGCGCCTGTGATCCCAGCTACTTGGGAGGCTGAGGCAGGAGAATCACTTGAACTCAGGAGGCAGAGGCTGCAGTGAGCCAATATTGCACCACTGCACTCCAGCCGGGGCAAAAAGAGTGAAACTGTGTCTCAAAAACAAACAAACAAACAAAAAATCATGCTAAAGGGAAGAAGTGAAACCAAAAAGGAAAAAGGGTATATATGATTTCATTTATATAAAATTCTAGAAAATGCAGGCTATCCATCGTGACCAAAAGCAGATTGTTACCTTGGGATCTGGGAGGTGTTCAGGAGAGAGGGAGGAGCAGGAGGCCAGGGTAGAAGAGGCAACTTTGGAAATGATGGATATATTATTATTATTGTGGTGATGGTTTATGGGTGTACACATATATTAAAATTTAATTGTATTCTAAATATATGCAGTTTGTGTGTCAAATATAGCCAATAAAGCTATTTAAAGGAATCCCAAGCCAAGCACTCCATACCAGTTAAATGATCATTTCTGATGTTGGAACCTAGGAATGAGTATTCTTTTAAACATCTCAGGTGATTCCAGTAGGCAGCCAAGTTTGAGAATCTGCTATAAAACAGTGATTCTCAAATCGTGCTCACAGGCCAGTGGCATCAGCCTCACCCAGGAACTTGTTAGAAATGCTCATTCTTAGGCCCCAGGCTGATCTGCTGAATCATAAACTTCAGGATTGGGGCCCATAGTGGTGGCTCATGCCTGTAATCCTGTAGAGCACCTAATTCTGTCGCTGTTCGAGGCGCCACTTGTAGTCTGCCAGGATCCATGGTGGACTGAACAAAGGGGGATGAATGCGGGAATAAAGACAAGAGACAAAAGAGTATGTTTGGAAGAAGGGTCAGGGGACACCTTGCCTCTAGTGGACAAGGGCCCTGAGCTTTACACAGCCCTCCATATTTATTAGGCAAAAGAGATAGTGAGAAGGGGTGTGGAAGAAGAGGTCAGCTGCTCGGTCCAGAGTAGGCTTGCAAGACTGCATTCCTCGAACAATAGGCTCTAGATGTCCCAGTAGATAACCTCAAGGAGCCGGGGCCAGGGAGCGATGGCCCTCAGCAAACCTTCTGGGCAGGCACAGAAGCGAGTTTGCCCACATTCTGTATTCATGATAAACAGTTTGCTGTTTGATCATGTAGCCTCCAGTGGAATGCTGAGTTGGTCACCATCCCTTTGGCCTTTTTGGCTCCCAACATTTCCCCCTTCTTGTTTATGTATTAAGTGAAAGAATGTAAGGCCAGGCTGGGTAGCTTTCATTCTCCGATTGGCAGTCCATCCGATTTTACAGACTATGAACAGAAGACAGAGACAAAACAACATTATTCCAAGAACTATATATAAGATGTTAATGTGGTGCTTTAGATAGGTCCAAGGGTTGACGCTCTCCAGGCCTTGCTGGAATTCAGTCCAGTCTTCTAAAGAAGGCTGAAACTCTGGAATTTGTTTATTTAAATCAAGAATTTTGTTTTGTAATTCACCAATATCAAAGGTGATGTCGGATGTGAAAGCTCCCTGCAAATGGGCTTTCACAAGATCCCATGGATACTCACTTTGGTTATATTCTAAGTTGGTTACACAAATATGAGTGTGATTAAAATGACAACACAATTACTGCTGCAATTGCAAGCTTTGTACTTGTTCCCCTAACCATAGAATCGTGGATTATAACACTGCCACTTCAGTTTGTAACTCAGTGTTAATTTTATTCTCAAGTAGCCACCCTTGGTTGACTGTGCGTGTCCAGTTCTCCACATACTGAGCTGTTTGAATAGAACTATGCAAAGCTACAGAGGACATCACAACAGAAATTATTAGTGTGACCAAGTAAACAATAGCAAAAATTATCATGCCTAAGCCTCTACGGACACAATGAGTAAACTGAGTTAGAAGAAGTTTCACAAAATGTAAAGCAATTGTGGCAGCCCATGGCTCAGACAGATTAACAGGAATCCATAGCCCAGGGATGCAACCTAAAATCATCAAAGTAGAGATATTATGTGTTTGCAATGTGCTATGATTAATGCAGTGATATAACTGGCAAGATTTACAGGTCAATTGGGTATTGTTTACCTGGAGCTGGTCCTTCTTAGCTGCCAAAAACACATAAGGATTAAAAACACAAACTGTAAATTGAGTGGTGATATTCTTTACAAATGTAACATTAAGACTGTGTTGCTTACTATTGCTATTATTGGATAGTATTATGGCAACCCAGATGTTGCCATTCATAAATGGGAATGCTGCCTTCCATATCATCTTTTGAATTGGTCCTTTCCTCCCTAGATAATGCCACTGAGGAAGAGGCGGGCTAAAGCCTGCTCCATGCCAAGCAATCTGGGCGGCCGACTGGGATTGGATCCCAGTGTTATATAAAGAAGAAGCATTAAAAGCTTGCCACCAATGCCAGCAAAGTTTGTGCCACGATTTCTGATTTTCTTCTTTTCCATCTAATTGGCCTTTAGGTCCCCAATCCACAATGTCTCCAGTTAACATAGATTGTTTTCTAGCCAGTGGGCCAAGACACTGGGTCTATGGAGGGGGGTAGGAACTATTGAAGGGAATCCATTCTGTATAGTCAGCACAATGAAGGCGATTGGGCCAGGAATGGTTGGTTAGCACACCGGTTACATTAATATAACCAAGACTTAATAAGTACATGATTTTCCCATAGTGACTCAACCATGTGTGAGCTTGAACTGTAAGACAGCTATGGCTGAGTGATGTCTTTGTGGTGACACACAAAGGAAGTCCTTCCAATGGAGCGGTATAATTAATGACATTATTCTGAGAGTCTAACTGTTCTATGTCAGGTGGAGTTAGGGGTCCTGGAGCCCATGCTCCTTAATCATGATAAATCTTAGGAGGAGTGTCACTCCAAAGTATGGGTCATACTGCTGGGGACTTGGGAACATATGCCCAATATGTTTTTGCCTCTGCACAGGAAAAACATACTGCACAGGATATTATGGCTAACATGGCCAAGAACACGGAATCAGGGGTTTTTGTCTGGCCTTGACACTCCAGTAGTTTCTCAGCTTCCTGCGTAGTTTTCTTGAGTTGTCCCAGGTTATGGGGGTTGATGTCGTCGTGACTCTGGTCGATCTTCTCTCTGTAACAATAGTTCCTAAGTATTGGTATGGGGAAGTTGTTTGTACCTTCTCTGGAGCAATGTTGAGATTCCAATTAACAAGAGCTTACTTTACTTCTCTGAATAATTGATGCAATATTTGATCTGTAGGAGCGGCCAAAAGAGTATCAGCCATAAAATGAATGATGTAAGCAGTAGGAAACATATTCCGAGGCTCCTTTAATGCCTGTCCTACAAAATGCTGACATAGCGTAGGACTGTTAAGCATGCCTTGGGGTAAAACTCTCCATTGATAATGAGAAACAGGTTCTCTTTGATTAATAGAAGGCACAGAGAAGGCAAATTGAGGCTTATCCTTCTCATGTATGGGTATAGTAAAGAAACAGTCCTTAAGATCTATTACTACAAGAGGCCAGTCTCTTGGAATAGCCGCTGGAGATGGTAAACCTTTCTGTAAGGTGCCCATCAGTTGAATTTTTGCATTACTAGCTCTTAAATCATGCAGCAGTCACCAACTTCTGGACTTTTTTGGAATAACAAACACTGGAGAATTCCAGGGGCTAACTGACTCCTCTATGTGTCCTGCATCCAATTGTTCTTTTACTAGCTGCTGAAGTTGCGTCAGCTTCTCCCAAGATAGCGGCCATTGATCCACCCATATGGGTTTGTCACTGAGCCATTCTAATGGTAAGGCAGAGCGTGGAGAAGAAATATCAATGACCTCCATCAGAAATCCTGAGGTCCTAGCCCTTTTCTATTTGTTTTTCCAGTTATTGATATTGGATTAGGGTTTCATTGTAGGAACCTCCCCAGACCTTTTCCACTGTGATATCCCATGTTCTTCAACATTTTAAATCCTGGGTTATCAAAGTTTTCATTTGTAAGTTTCATATCCCATGCTGTAAGTCTCGACCCCATAAATTGATAGCTGTATTTGCGACATAAGGCTGAAAAGTACAAGACTGTCCATCCGGACCAAGACAAGGTAAAATCTCAGCACTTTGTTGAACACTTTGAGCTGTTTCTACTCCCAGTAAGTATGCAGAAGTTAATTGCAAGGGCCAGGATGGGGGCCAATTGTCTTTAGATATTACTGACACATCAGCTCCCATATCCATAAGCCCATAAAATTTCTTTCCTTTAATTTGTATTACACAGGTGGGTCTATTAGAGGCTACTGGTTGGGACAGACTTCCCATGTAGTTGTGCTCCCAAACCCTTTATTTCCTCATTTCTCCTTTCGTGGAGAAGGGTGTAATTTGCAGGGAATAAGCAATAATTGAGCAATATATTCTCCCAGTTCAAAAACCCAAAGATCTTGTGACATTAAAACTACTTGAATTTCTCCTTCATAATCAGAGTCAATCACTCCTGGGACTACAGTAATGCCCTGTAAGTTAAGACAGCTTTTGCCTAAAATTAGTCCCATGTATCCTGTGGGTAAAGGACCACAAATACCAGTGGGAACTTTGATGGGTTTGTCTCCCCCAACTAACATGATTCTTTCTCTAGCGGGTAGATCTAATCCTATATTTCCTGGTGTTCCTGGGGTGAAGGAACCAATGTGCCTCCGGGAACCCATCCCTGAAATGGGGTTGTGGTCTGAACTGGGAATGCCCTCATTGTTTGAGAGGCCCAGGGCCAGGCCCCGTCTCGTTTCCTGACAGGGGGGTGCCATTCTGATGAAATTTTGAGCGGCACTGATTAGCCCAGTGATTTCCTTTGTTACAGCGAGGACAAAGTCCTGGCATTTTTTTCTGCTGGGGGAGGAACTGCATTGTAAGATCCTTTCTGTCCTGAGATCTGGCGGCATTCCTTTTTTAAATGTCCAGTTTTTCCACAATTATAATATTTTCCCATTTTAGGGTCTGACCCTTGGCTCCTTTTAGATTTGTCAACAGCTAAATTAGCCATTGCTTGCACTGACATTGTAGATCGATGAAGCTCAGTTCCTACATCTTGACAAGCTCTGAGGAAATTTCCCAAGTTTTTGTACACCTCACTGGTGCCAGGGCACATTTACAATCCGCATTTACATTCTCAAAAGCTAGAGTTAAAGTTAGCATTTCTGCAGCCACGGTATGAGGAATCTGACGCTTCACTGCCTCTTGCAATCTTGCAAGAAATTGTACATAGGGTTCCTGCAACCCTTGCATGATATGTGAAAAGGACTGTACTGGGACTCCCTCTTCAGGAATTGTGGCCCAGGAACGTTTAGTGGCCTGTACACACTGCTGATAAGCAGTATCTGGGAGTGCCATTTGACATTCCAGGTCTGAATAAGGGCCTTTACCCAATAGCAAATCCTCTGTAATGTCTCCGGGTCCAGCAACACGGTTCTGTCTAGCCTGGTCTGCACACAGTTCTTGCCAATTTAAATTCCACGTCAGATATGCACTAGCAGACAAGCAAGTTCACGCCAATTGTTTTACATCAAAGGGTAAAAGACGCATAGCACCAAACACAGATTCTAGTAATCCTAAGGTGAATGGGCTCTGTACGCCCTTACTTACCACACTCACTTTTAATTCCTTCAACAACTTAAACTCTAGTCGAGTGTGTTCATGAATGAGCTGCTGTGCATTATTTGGATCAGGTCTTATGGAAATAGGAAAAGCACAAGGTCCTAAGGACTCTCCAGCTATGGCAGCAGAGCGTAAAATTATTTGTATTGGGGTCTCTATTTCTGCTACCTAAGGAGGTGGTGCAGATGGTTCTGCAACTGGAGCAGGTGGTATAGGCCAATTTTCATCCTCCCTCTCCTGTTTTTTCTTTTCTTTTCTTTCTTTTTTTTTTTTTTGAAACAGAGTCTCGTTCTGTCACCCAGGCTGGAGTGCGGTGGCACGATCTTGACTCACTGCAACCTCTGCCTCCCGGGTTCAAGCATTCTCCTGCCTCCGCCTCCTGAGTAGCTGGGACTACAGGCACATGCCACCACGCCCGGCTAATTTTTGTATTTTTAGTAGAGACAGGGTTTCACCATGTTGCCCAGGCTGGTTTTGAACTCCTAACCTCAAATGATCCACCCGCCTTGGCCTCTCAAAGTGCTGGGATTACAGGCGTGAGCCACCATGCCTGGCCCTGTTTTTTATTTTCAGCTGGAGCTGTGGGTGGGACAACAGATTCTTTCAGATTTTTAGACTCAGCCTGCTGTCCCACAGAATAATAAGGAGCTAATGGTAGAAGTACAGTACAAATTAAACTCCAAGTGGAAAAAACAGAAGAATCAACTTTAAGACCTTTTTTCATGAGGCTGTTTTAATCGTTCTCCTGCTCTGTCCCAATCTTCCACATCAAGAGTTTTAATAAGCCGTGGAAACCATGGGTTATGCGTAATAACCTCCTGTAGCATCTTAATGAATGTCTGAGAACCCGAGCACCAGTTTGTTTCAACGAAACTTTAAGCAACTGCACATAATGTTTTCCTTCAATAGACAAATTCTGCTCCATGTTACCCTGATTCAGAAAACTTCCCATTCCCAGTACTTCTTTAAAGCACTGCTCCTAGTACCTTTTTAGGGCACTGACCTTATATCCGCTGCCAGCAGACTCATCCCGGGGTCCCCATTCGCCTTGTCAATTTCAGTTCCTCTGCTCTAGCAGACATTCTTCATTCACATCCTCGAAGCCCCTGTGTTTGGACGCCACTTGTAAAGCACCAGATTCTGTTGCTGTTCGAGGCACCACTTGCAGCCTGCCAGGATCCCTGGTGGACTGAACAAAGGGGGATGAATGCGGGAATAAAGACAAGAGACAAAAGAATATGTTTGGAAGAAGGGTCAGGGGACACCTTGTCTCTAGTGAACAAGGGCCCTGAGCTTTACACAGCCCTCTGTATTTATTAGGCAAAAGAGATAGTGAGAAGGGGTGTGGAAGAAGAGGTCAGCTGCTCAGTCCAGAGTAGGCTTGCAAGACTGCATTCCTCGAACAATAGGCTCTAGACGTCCCAGTAGATAACCTCAAGGAGCCGGGGCCAGGGAGCGATGGCCCTCAGCAAACTTTCTGGGGCAGGCACAGAAGTGAGTTTGCCCACATTCTGTATTCATGATAAACAGTTTGCTCTTTGATCATGTAGCCTCCAGTGGAATGCTGAGTTGGTCACAATCCCTTTGGCCTTTTCGGCTCCCAACATATTCCCAGCATTTTGGGAGGGTGAGGCAGGTGGACCTGCTGAGGTCAGGAGTTCGAGACCAACCTGGCCGACATGGTGAAACCCCACCTCTACTAAAAATACAAAATAGTGGGGCATGCCTGTAGTTCCAGCTACTCGGGAGGCTGAGGCAGGAGAATTTCTTGAACCTAGGAGGTGGAGGTTGGAGTGAGTTGAGATCTTGCCATTGCCTCCAGCCTGGGCAACAAGAGCAAAACTCCATCTCAAAAATAAATAAATAATTAATTAAAATAAACTTCAGGATTGGGGCCCAGCAATCCGTGTTTAATAAGCCCTCCAAGGTGATTCTGATGCTCACTACTATACAGAGGAAGCCATGTACAGGAAGCCATCTGAAGACTCAGGAAAATGAGGATGTTGGAATGGATTCACAGTTGTCCCTGGGTATCTGAGAAAAACTGGTTCCAGGGGCCAGGTGCGGTGGCACAGGCCTGTAACCCCAGAACTTTGGGAGGCCGAGGCGGGTGGTTGGTTCACTTGAGCTCAGGAATTCAAAACCAGCTGGGCAATATGGCAAAAACCCATCTTTACAAAAAATATAAGTATTAGCCAGGCACGGTGGCATGCACCTATAGTCCCAGCTACTTGGGAGGCAAAGGCGGGAGGATCCCTTGAGCCCAGGATGTGGAAGCTGCAGTGAGCTGAGATCGTGCCACTGCCCTCCAGCCTAGGTAACAGGGCCAGACTTTGTCTCAAAAAGTAATAAAATAAAATGGGATAGTATTTGCATATAACATAGCACTATTCTTCTATATACTTTAAATCATCTCTAGGTTACTCATAATACTTAATACAATATGAATGCTATATAAATAGTTGTCATACTTATTTTTTATTTGTATTATTTGTTATAGTTGTATTGTTATTTTTATGTTTTATTTTTCAAATATTTCTGATCCTTGATGGGCTCAATCTCAGGATATGGAACCTGCTGATAAAGGGGGACTGGCTGTATTTATGTGCATCTTATTCAGACACCCCCTAACCATAACTCCCAAGAGGGCCTGGAGGACACTCTTTTCTTTAAAGTCTTGGTAACAGAAGCATCAGCCTCTTTAAAGAGCTGATGCAGCCACTATGATGGTTGTCCTTTGCAGACTGGAGATGATGGTGAGAGGTACTGCCAAGGAATTAGGCCCCTTGACCTCATTGGGAATACTGGAAGAAGCCAGGCAGCAATGCCGAACTGTTTTAGACCAGGTAGGCACAATTACTGTAATAAGCCATAGCAAAGGATTGACATAGTGTATTTTTACATGTGGGGATCTGTGATGATGGCTAATTGATCCCAAGGTTCCTGTTAGACTGACAGCCTTCTAAAGTGTTGCATGACACCTATAGACAAAACAATTCTAGGTCTGTTGTGCAAGAACCAAACTCAAGTCTCCATAGTGGAGAGAGCCTCATATCCAGTTTCCAGACTAAATAAATCAGGTTATAGACCCAAAGTCCCTTGACTGAGGGGGCAGATGGGAGCCTCTGAGGAAGGATTTTGTAATTGTGGCTTCATGGGTATACCATAAATCTTCCCCCAAGCCTTCTGCAGAGAGAACTATGGTTATTCATCAGGGTCTTTGCACTGGGGAAACAAAAATACTCAGCTATTTCACGGTTATTAAGATAGTGACTCTGAAATTATACTGATTTCCAGAGACCTTAAAAGCCTCTGTGATCCAGTTTTCAGAGTGAAGGCTAATGGAGGTTGCGTGAAAGATGGATTCTTGGTCTGACTTCTCACAGGAGCCCATCCTGTAATTATTTCCTCAGTCCCAGAATACACAGAAGTAGGATATAGCAGAATCATCACACAGTTTCCTTAACCCATGAGATAAGGCATTAAGGAAAGGCCAAGTAGAAGGTTTAAACCACCCCCATTCTCTGACCCACATAGTGAGTGGGATCTGTTGATTCCTACTACATTTCCATTTGATTCACCAGCTTGGCCAGCTGTTCAAGTCAGACAGGTCCGAATGAACAATGTTTCACATTTTTTTGTTTTGTGTGTTGGTGTTGGTGTTACACCTTAGGATCACCTGCAGATTTTTTTTTTAAATGGAGATGTCTGACGCCCACCCCCAGGCACTGCGAGTGTGTGTGTTTTCTAATTATTTTGAGACAGGGTCTCCCTCTTTCACCCACGCTGGAGTACAGTGGCACAATATCAGCGTACTGCAACCTCCACCTCTGGGCTCAAGTGATCCTCCCACCTCAGCCTCTCCAGTAGCTGGGACCACAGGCGCGTGCTAGCACACCTGGCTAATTTTTGCATTTTAGTAGACAAGGGGTTTTGCCATGTTGCCCAGGCTAGTCTCAAACTCCTGGGCTCAAGCGATCCTCCCATCTCGGCCTCCCAAAGTGCTAGGATTACAGGCGTGAGCCACTGTGCCTGGCCCTATTATTTTTTAATGTTTTTTAGCAACAGGGTCTCACTCTGTGACCCAGGCTGGCACGATCATACCTCACTGCAACCCTGAACTCCTGGGCTCAAGCAATCTTCCTGCCTCAGCCTCTCAAGTAGCTGGGACCACAGGCACACACCACCATGTTCTGCTAGTTTTTGCTTTGTTTTGTTTGTAGAGATAAGGTCTCGCTATGTCTCGCCTCAGCCTCCCAAAATGCTGGGATTACAGGCATGAGCCACTGCACCCAGACACTGATTTAACAATAAGGGATACCACTTGGACACAGAAACTTTTTAAAGCTTCCCAGGTGAGTCTGATGTGCAATAAAGTTTGGGAACCACTGGTCTTGGGGAATGACAATAAGTTATCACAGATTTAACAAATGATGTCAATCACAGCTGCAGTTGGCGATTGGTACCTTTATTAGACCAAATCAACACAACTCCTAATACCTGGAATAAAGCTAGTGCCATGAAAAAAATGCAACATTTTCCATTCCAGTAAGAAAAATTAAAAGAACTTGAATTATTGTGGCAGGGACAACTGATTTTACTGTCTTACTTCAGAGTGATATGAATACCCTCATTTTCTTTCATTATATAGTCTGGAGAGACTTTTATTTTCTTGATTTTTGACAAAAAAATGAAATGTGACATGTATAACATTATGCTAACTGGAGCTGGAAAGCACGAATTAGCAAGCAGCTAGATGTCTTAGGAAGACATACATATATAAGAGGTTGGGAGGTAAATACTGTTAAAGTTCAGGAGCCTGCCACATAGGTGAATCTCCTAAGGGTCTAGTGGTCTGAGGACATGGGATCTATTTTTGAAGGGAAGAAACAAGCTACCCAGGCATGACGGCTCACCTACCTGGGAGGATTGCTCGCACCCAGAAGTTCGAGGCTGCAGTGAGCTATGATCACGCCACCACACTCCAGCCTGGGCAACAAAGCGAAACCCCATCTCTTAAACAAAGGCAGTGGGGAGAGGGAGACAAGATTCTGCACCTTGCACTGGTCACCATGAAGACAGAAGCAACAATGTTTGAAGTCGCCCTTTGAGTTTGAGATAAAATATATTTGGGAATACTACCCCAACCTACTTACTGGGTAGCCCGTAAGACTGCCGATTTTTAGTGAAACCCAATGTAAGACAGGGCTCTCCAGCAGATTCAGGATGCGATGCTGCAGCAAACAGAGATGCTGTGTGGAGTCTCTTCCAAATACTATTAGGACAATCACATTGCAGACTCCTACAGCTTTGAAATAACGACATGCACACCTGTCAAAAATTTGTCTCCTCCCCACAAAGACAGGGTCTTCTTCTGTCATCCAGGCTGGAGTGTGGTGGGGCAATCACAGCTCACTGCAGCCTCAACCTCCTCCTGGGCTCAAGCGAACCTCTCATCCCAGCCTCCTGAGTAACTGGGACCAAAAGCACACACCACCACAGTTGGCTGATTTTTAATTTTTTTGTAGAGATGAGGTCTCATTATGTTGCCCAGGCTGGTCTTGAACTCCTGGGCTCAAGCAATCCTCCCACCTCGGCCTCCGAAAGTGCTGGGATTACAGGTGTAAGCCACGATACCCAGCCAATTCTTTATTTAGTCATCTTAAAAGGACACAACAGAAATGATATAAAATAACTTTTATTTACATAATTTATATATATATATAACTGCTTTCTTTAGAACAAGAAAATTTATAAATGACATGATATTGCTTTTTCTGTCAAAGACTTCTTCAAGCAAGATAGTATACATGGTCACTTTTGTTTCAAATAACATGATGGTAAACAGTGGATATTAATATTTTTGTCATGCCTCAACCATTTACCAACAATTAGGCGTTCAAATCCTCATGTTGACCACTTGCTAAGACATAAGTGTTCAGGAGAAAAAGTCAAGAAAAGATAAAAACTTTTACTCATATCTCCTTTAAAATTTGTGAAATAAATCCTTTGCAACATCTTCTTCACATGAATCAGACCTAACATAGTTCTTTCCAACATGTAAGGTAAATACATTGATTAACTTTCTCTTTTCCAAAATTAGGTTTAAGGATTTAACAGTAGGATACTTTAGCTGGCTGACTTGATTCTCTAATACAATGAGTCTCTGTATTCTTTATATAGTAAGAAATTCCATTTTCCATAAAACTAGCTCATTATAGATTAAAAAGAAACAGATGTTAAAGTTAAAAACTAATATTACACAAGGATAAATAATAGTTTAATCATGGCAATCTAACTCCCAAGCTAACACTAAGAGAATGAAATCTTTTCAGAATATGAGTTTTAAAAACTTACAAAAACAGGGTATTCAAATAGCAATGTGATTTACTACCATGATTTCTGTGACATATCAATCATGAAATAAATGCCTACTTATAGACAATTTCCGCTCCGAATTATATAGCCTCCTCTCTGACAAAGTGTTACGCCATAAATTTCACTAAAAGACAATGAATAAGAAGTGCTCTAACAGCAGTAGTTTCAATAAATTAGCATTACTGTTATATGTGCTGAGACATAATTCTCTTCTATTAAGGAACTTAAAAACTGGCCACCATTTTTTCAATATACAAACATAATTATCTAGACTCTAAAATATCTTCCCAACTGAAATACTGATCATTACATAATACAGTCAACAGTTTTAACTTTTAGGCACAACTCATAACTTTAGTGACAAATAACTCATCCATACAGATATCAGCACCTCAGGGTAAGAAAATTTGGGGCCTAATGTAGGGGGTCAAACTAAAAGGCCAATCCAGCCACAGTCCTTCATTCAAGTACTGTCTATGGCTTCTTTCACACTGAAATTGCAGAGCTGAGTAGCTGCCACAGAGACCATCTGGCCTGCAAACCCAAAACAGTTTGCAGAAAGTTTCCAATGCCTGAGCTACTATACTATCAATCCAAGAGGCTTTTCAAATAAAATCAGGATAAATTTGCTGTTTGAGAAGTCTAATTGGAACCACTACAGATCTGCTTGGGTAGATAATAGAATTACACGTATAAAAAATCAAATCTTGAAATTAAAACAAACCTTAAATTCATACTGATGATAATCATTAACTTTATAAAGCCTTATTTTCTCTGTTTTTAACATCATGATTATGTTCCGTGCTTAAAGATCCAAGTGTTCCTTGAGAATTTAATGGGAAAAAACTATGAAGAAATTGGCTTTTTAAAAACTAATATTATGTCTGTGGGTGTATAAAGGAGATTGAGCTTTGTATGGAAATTTTGTCTCATAAATAAAGTTGAGTTCCCCCTATCCTCATGAAAATCCTGAGATTATCCAAGAAAAGCAGAAAAATTTACAGTACAAAGTCAATATACTAAACTGAGGGGAAAAAGGTATTCAAAACATATACACCAGCTAAACATTTTTAGTTATATCATTTTAAATATCTTTAAAATTAAACAGAAAAAGGAGACAAACATAAATTTAATGCCTTCTTTATCTACAATCTGAGGGGTAAAAATAGCTAAAACTGAATATCCTTTTAAATAAAAAATTTAAAAATAAATAAGCCCTTTGATGTGTCATCTTTATAAATAATTATGTTTAAATACTAGTTTTTCAATTAGGACTAATGTTACATCACCATGAATTAGAAAAATATGTATTTTTCAGTCAGACAAACAGCTGATAATAGAAAAGTTCTTTAACATTTGCCATACTAAAGTGAAGTTTGACAATTTGTTTTCACATATAGTCACGTGTCCCTTAACTACATGTTCTAAGAATTGCCTTGTTAGGTGATCTTGTGTGAAACAACGCAGAGTGTACTTACAAACACTGAGATGGTACAGGCTGCTACACACCGTACAGACTGAGGCTATGTGGTATAGCCTATTGCTCCTCGGCTACAAACCTCTACAATGTGTTACTATGCTGAATACTGTAGGCAGTTGTAACACAATAGTAAGTATTTGTGTATCTAAACATATCTAAACATAAAAAAGCAATGCACTGTGTTATGATGGCTATAATGTCACTAGTTGATAGGAATTTATCTCCATTTTAATTGCATGGGACCACTGTAATATATGTGGTCCATCATTGACTTAAACTTCATTATGTGATACATGACTGTACTTAGAAGCAAATGAAAAAGCCTTCATCCTTCATCATCTCCCCCTAAAAATAAAAAATCTTCACAAAAGAAGTTGCTAAATGTTAAATATGATACAATTAACCCCCAAATCTGTCTGCACTGCAATTCATACAGAGACATATATCCACAACATTCCCAAATGTCCATGTGTGCTTAGCACAGGAAGAGTCAAAATGTAAACAAGAGTTGTTATTTCTGTCTGAGAAAGCAGTCTTAATTGCTTGCTATTTGCAAAATGCTGAATCAGTCAGAATGAAAGGAACCTCAGAAATGTTTTCCACTGATTATAAAAGCTTCAAATCAAGCTCATTAAGTATTCAAAATCAACCTAAAGAAAAATAAGACAGTGATATTTTGCTCTAAATACTGTTTTGTTGATGTAATTGACTCTGGAAATCCTAGACCTAATTTAAAAAAGAAAAAGAGAAAAGATTGTTTTATTCTGTTTCATCCACTTCAATGAAGATATCATTGAAGAAATATTCAGAGACTGTGGTTGCCTCCCCTTGAGGGGCCCGCTTTTGGGCACTTTTATATCCTTCTTTCAGTAAGGGCTGATCACAAGAAACCTAAAAAGGTAATAAAAATAAAGTAAAAATAAAACTGTAATACAACATTTATATATATATGTGTGTGTATATATAGCAGTCTAAACCAATATGATCTGTTTGAAAAGCAACGTGGCAATAAATATTGAGCTTTAAATATGTTCACAATCACTGACCCAAAAATTTCACTTCTATGCTGTTACATTAAGTAAATAATCCTAAACATAGTAGGAGTTTTATGACTAAGATAACCTTTGTAGCATTAGTTATAATAATAAAATAGGAAGCAACTAAATATACCACACTAGATATAATTAGGTAAATTACAGTGTACCCATAATCCATTACTTCATCCTAATTTCCATGAAAAATTTTAATAAAGAAAAATATAATATGGTTAAATCTGTCACTAAATAAAGTAAAAATACTTTAATTATTTGCATAATAGACAGACCCATGACAAAACAGCACCTAAAGAAAACATATCAAAGATACCTTATCAGAAATTAGCATACTTACAAATCTATAAACAAATTAAGACAGCATGGTATTGGCACACGAATGACAGATATATCAATGAAACAGAAGACTAGAAATAACCCCAATATATATAGAAATTTAGCATCTGATAAAAGTGCCATATCAAAAACAGTTATTGTATTATTAAATAAATGATGTTGGACAACTATATAACCATCTCAGGGGGAAAAAAGTCAGACCAATACCTTACCAAAACAAATTCTAGATGGATCAAAAGATTTAAATGTAAAAGTATTTTTTAAAAAACTCTACTATAAAAATGCCATGGAAAAACACTTTTATAATTCTGGACGGAGGTAGGTGGGGAAGGGTACCTTTTTATTTATTTATTTATTTTAAGACAAAGCCAGGCTGGAATGCAATGGCATGATCTCAGCCCACTGCAACCTCCACCTCCCGGGTTCAAGCAATTCTCTTATCTCAGCCTCCCAAGTAGCTGGGACTACAGGCACACACCACCGTGCCTGATTAAATTTTGTATTTTGGTAGAGATGGGGTTTTGCCATGTTGGCCAGGCTGGTCTCAAACTCCTCACCTCAGGTGATCTGCCCGCCTTGGCCTCCCAAAGTGCTGGGATTACAGGCGTGAGCCACCGCACCCAGCTGGGAAGAGTACCTTTTTAAACTATCTGAAAGCAGAAAGCTATAAAAGATTGACAAATTAAACAGAAATAAAAAATGTCTGCTTGACAAAAACCACCATAAATAAAATCAAAAGACAAATGACATACAGAGAAAAAAAAAATTGCAATCTTTATCACAAAGGGCCTTTTTCCCTGAATATAATAAGAACACTACAGGCCAGGCACAGTGGCTCATGCCTGTAATTCCAACACTTTGGGAGGCCAAGGCTTGAGGCCAGGCATTTGAGAACAGCATGGCCCACATGGCGAAATCCCGCCTCTACTAAAGATACAAAAATTAGCTGGGTGTTGTGGCATGCATCTGTAAGCTCAGCTAATCGAGAAGCTGAGACAGGAGAATCACTTGAACCCAGGGGATGGAGGTTGCAGTGAACCAAGATCACGCCACTGCACTACAGCCTGGGTGACAGAGTGAGTGAGACTCTGTCTCAAAACAAACACACAAAAAAAACAAAACCCACGACTTTGGCAATGATAAGCTAGACTGATATCTTGATCTCAGAAAATAATTCTAACAAATAATACAAAATGTTTTTAAAAAGTTTAAAGATGTTCTTTACAAAAGTACCCCTTCCAAAGGCTCATGCTGTTCAACAGATGCTCACCAGCCTTCTCTTTGTCAAGATCTTAAGTCACCCCAATATTTTTACAAAGTCTTTGATACAGGTTTACAGAGTTTTCCATCCCAATACTTGCCATTGGACAGCTTCAGGAGACATAGAAATGAAACATGTGAACAAATTCTAGTTTTACAGTTCCTTAAATTCTTGTGGGTGTCAGCACTGCTTCCTTTTGCTTCCACAAGTCAGAAGGGTCTCTAGATTAAAGGAATGGCTATTAAGTGTCCATTTATGGTTAGTTCAATGGCTCTGTACTAATCTAACTGTAACTTCCTGACTCAACACCTTTTCTTCTTCCATTATGGAGGAACACGATGGAGAGAAGGATGGGAGTTGCTCTAAAATAATTTCTGACATCAAATAAAAATAACAAATTACTATGTTTTCCCTAGTTGAATCTCATATCCAACCCATCTCATACAAACTATAAAATACAGTAGTTATCACATACCTGAGTTGCTGAGCTGCTAATATTCTCAGATTGAGTAGTAATAACACTTGGAGATGGAAGCAGATCAGAGGACTCTCGATTTTTTTCCTGGCTTTCATTGAATGGATTAGATCTTTTCAATTTCTTTCTTAATCCAGGTATAAGAGGTTTTAGGCGTTTCTTACTATGGACTTGCATAGGTTCATCAGACTCCAAACTATTCTTTGAGCATATTAAAGATAAAAATCCCAGGGGTCTTCTGCCAGGTCTAGAAATACAAATGTAACGATATTCAAGAATACCCAGGAAGACACATTCTTTTTTTTTTTTTTTTTTTTTTTTTTTTGAGACGCAGTCTCACTCTCACCCAGGCTGGAGTGCAGTGGCGCAATCTCGGCTCACTGCAACCTCCACCTCCCAGGTTCAAGAGATTCTCCTGCTTCAGCCTCCCAAGTAGCTGTAGTAGAGACGGGGTTTCACCATGTTGGTCAGGCTGGTCTCGAACTCCTGACGTCGTCATCTGCCTGCCTCAGCCTCCCAAAGTGCTGGAATTACAGGCGTGAGCCACCGCACCCAGCCAAGACACAACCTTAATACCTGCTTCTGCTTTGGGAGGCTAAGGTGGGAAGACCACTTAAGGCCAGGAGCTCAAAAACAGCCTGGGCAAAATTAGCAGGACCCCGGTCTCTAGAACATCTCTAGCATTCAAATCACTTGGGGATCTTATTAAAATGAAGATTCGCACAGTTGGTAGCGGGCATGGCCTGAGTTCTGCATTTTATCAAGTTCTCAAATGATGTCCATACTGCTGTTGTCAGGACTACACTCTGAGTAGCAAAGCTGTGGAACAGTGGTCAGCACAGTATGCTCTACAGGCCACATGCAGCCCCGCACCCAATTCTGTGAGTATGTTTTACTGGAACACAGCTATGTTCATCTGTTTACATATGGTCTATGGTTGCTTTTGTGCTGTAACTGCAGAGCTGAATAGCTGTTAACAGAGACCACATGGCTTACAAAGCCTAAAATATATACAAATGCCATTTTACAAAAAATGCTGACTTCCGTTCTAGAACACTGCTTCTCAACCTGTTTTAATCCAAACTCTCATGATGTTATTATTTTATTTTAATTTATTTTTTGAGACAGTTTCGCTCTTGTTGCCCAGGCTGGAGTGCAATGGCACAATCTCGGCTCACCGCACCCTCCGCCTCCTGGGTTCAAGCGATTCTCCTGCCTCAGCCTCCTGAGTCACTGGGATTACAGGCATGTGCCAACATGCCCAGCTAATTTTATATTTTTAGTAGAGATGGGGCTTCTCCATGTTGGTTAGGCTGGTCTGGAACTCCCAACCTCAGGTGATCCACCCACCTCAGCCTCCCAAAGTGCTGGGATTACAGGCATGAGCCACCGCACCCAGCCTTTTTTTTTCTTTTTTCAGAGACGGGTCTGGCTATGTTGCCCAGGCTGGAGTGCAGTGGCTATTCACAGGCACAATCATAGCTCACTGCAATCTCAAACTCCGGCCTCAGCCTCCTGAGTAGCTGGGATTATAGGCATGTGCCACTGTACCTGGGCCTCATTCTATTTTCAGCACATATCTAAGGCCAGAAGAGATACCACTGAGCTTTACCTTCTATAATTTAGATAACAAAAACAATAGATCTATTAAATATGTCTTTTAAGCTACATGTGTCCTTTCCCCAACCCCTTCCCCTTAGTGGAGACTAGTGCATGTTCCCCCACCTCTTTCAGTTCAGCAACACCACATTAATCTTCTGGATGCTGCTGACAAGCCAATAATTATTGATAATCATTGCTTCTAGAATATGAGGAAATTGTGAGAGAAGTTGGCTCTTGCTTAAATTCCAACACTTATTCTTATGGGGAGAAAGCCATGGTTTACCTCTTTGGTTTGTCACAAGGGAGAAAAATGACACATTATTTGGGACTTCAGTAAAACAACTTCTGATGTCAGCATCCATACATATGTGCATTAGTAGCTACTGAACATGGTAGATTATGTAATGATCAAAATAACCATGGATAATCTAAAAAAATAAGTGTACAAAATATTCTAAAGATTTTCTATCTAAAAAAGTTTTAGCACTTAAGCTCTTATTGTACAGAATGTGTATCTGCAATATTACTGTATTTCCTTGGCTGAAACTTTTTCCTTTACATTACTGATGGAGGAATATGTTTATTAAACACCATCCTTAGTACTGGATCTAATCTGTTCTGTATAGGTTATATTTATTAAGACAGAGAGCAAAACACTTATTAAAGATTTGTTCATGATACCTGGATAGTGAGGCTTTAGAAGACGATGTTCTGCTATCCATTTGCTGAGACTTAGGAGCAGCATCAGTTCTTTCTTCCTTATCAGACACAATCATTTCATCCTGAGGTAACTGAGGCACATTCTTGTCCATGCATGCATCAGGAGATCTAGATCCTCTACTCTGAAAAGCTGCTTCAACTTGCTGTCTTTGAGGTTCTGGAGTTGTCAGTGTGCTTCCTGAGGTAAGAAAAATATCTTGTCCCTTGTGAGACTCCCCTTCAAAAAAAAGAGCAAATGGAAAGCAAGGATACTGAAGTTAATACACTCCATGTAATCCCAGCATTTGAAAAGAAACCCATGGTATTCTATAATAAACCTACCCTAATAAGAGTAAGCTAAATTATCATTAGTGGAGTTACTTGGATTATTAAGAATATTATAATTGGTTAATAAGGTATGCTAACAGCTTCTGCATTCAGAAACAAAATAGTTATATCAATATATTTTGGCCTAGAAAATATTTTCCCAGAAATATTTCCTGAGCAATCAAAATGGGAGAGTGATTACTTTCTAAAAAAGCTAAGGTTTGTTAAAATTTAGAAACCAAACCAATCCAAAATATAGGTGGTAACTCAAGTACCTGTGGTCTCCTGAAAAGTAAAACCTACAGACTCTCAAATACTCAAGTTTAGCTAAAGAATTCTCTTTCCTTAACTAAATAGTAGACAAAAGCCAAAGTAGCCAAAGATTAGGACAAAATAACTAAAGCTTTCTTGCTCAATAAAAAACCTGTTTTCCCTTAGTATAGCTAAGGCCTTGTTCTCAGAGAGAGTGTTTTAGCTCTGTGAAGGGAGAATGAAGTTGATAAGTAAACCTGCTAAAAGAAACAACCTAATTAAAGATAGCATAGAACAAATTCACTAACACTTCACTGTATTGTGGTTTGCTTAATGCTTTTATTGGAGAGCAGATGGATGGGAGCAATCTTAGAACATCTCTAGAGGCTGTAAACTGTAACCATATTACAGTTTCACAGTCAAAGTTGGGACAATTAAGTCTAAGACTGTATTAACATTATAAGAGTTTTTTTGTTTTTGTTTTTTTGAGACAGAGTCTCGCTCTGTCGTCCAGGCTGGAGTGCAGAGGCGCGATCTCGGCTCACTGCAACCTCTGCCTCCCGGGTTCAAGCAATTCACTCACCTCAGCCTCCCGAGTAGCTGGGATTACAGGCATGCACCACCACACCTAACTAATTTTTGTATTTTTAGCAGAGACAGTGTTTCACCATGTTGTCCAGGCTGCTCCCGAACTCCTGACCTCAAGTGACCCACCAACTTTGGCAACCCAAAGTGCTGGGATTATAGGTGTGAGCCACTGTGCTCAGCCCATTATATGTGTGGGGTTTTTTTGTTGTTTTTTTTTTTTGTTTTTGAGACAGAGTTTCGCTCTTGTTGCCCAGGCTGGAGTGCAATGGCGCAATCTCGGCTCACCGCAACCTCTGCCTCCCAGGTTCAAGTGATTCTCCTGCCTCAGCCTGCCGAGTAACTGGGATTACAGGTGCCCGCCACCACGCCCAGCTTATTTTTGTATTTTTAGTAGAGATGAGGCTTCGCCATGTTGGCCAGGCTGGTCTCGAACTCCTGACCTCAGGTGATCCACCTGCCTTGGCCTCCCAAAGTGCTGGGATTACAGGCGTGAGCCACCACGCCCAGTCAAGTATTTTTTGTTTGTTTTTTGAGACAGAGATTTGCTCTGTCACCCAGGCTGGCGTGCAATGGCGTGATCTCAGCTGGCTGCAACCTCCGTCTCCCAGGTTCAAGCAATCTCCTGCCTCAGCCTCCCAAATAGCTAGGATTACAGGCGCCCACCACCACGCCTGGCTAATTTTTTGTATTTTTAGTAGAGATGGGGTTTCGCCATGTTGGCCAGGCTGACCTCAGGTGATCCACTCACCTCGGCCTCCCAAAGTGCTGAGATTACAGGCCATGAGCCACTGCGCCTGGCCCATTATAAGTGTTTTTAAAGAACCAGAACCATCATAGGTTATCAAACCCTTCTCTATCTTGTAACTCTAACTCTGTAAGATGCCATCAGCAACATTTTTATTCTTGAGTGCCATTGCCATGGTAAAGCAATGGCTATAGGTGTGAATGATAAGCCTAACTTTGAGAGAAAAGAGAAATAATGTCATAAAAGAAATGAAAAACAGAGTTGTATAAACACAGGATAAATGTGACTGGCAGCTTTAGTCATGAGGGAAATAGATCCTAAGTGGTTTAATGTCCCACAGAAATTTTAGATTCCTATAAAAATAGAAGACTCTAAGATCTTTTCAGCTTCCATAGGTGGCTTAAGCCTGAAAAAATCTCTAGAACTAAACTAATTTTCAGGGTAAAGAACCTATTATGAATGCCATTATAGGCCACAGGTGGTGGCTCATGCTTATAATCCCAGTACTTTTGGAGGCTGGGGTGGGCAGACTGCTTGAAGCCAGGAGTTCAAGACCAGCATGGGCAACATGGCGAAACCCCATCTCTACAAAAATACATTCAAGACCAGGCTGGACAACATGGTCTCTACAAAAAATACAAACTCTGTCTCTACAAAAAACACAAAAATTTCGAGGCCGGCAGATCACGAGGTCAGGAGATCAAGACCATCCTGGCTAATACGGTGAAATCCTGTCTCTACTAAAAATACAAAAAATTAGCTGGGCGTGGTGGCAGGTGCCTGTAGTCCCAGCTACTAGGGAGGCTGAGGCAGGAGAATGGTGTGAGCCCAGGAGGCAGAACTTGCAGTGAGCCGAGATCGCACCACTGCACTCCAGCCTGGGTGACAGAGCGAGACACCGTCTCAAAAAAAAAAAAAAAAAAAAAAAAAAATTAGCTTGGCATAGTGGCGCATGCCTGTAGTCCCAGCTAGTTAGGAGGCTGAGGTGGGAGGATTGCTTGAGCCTGGGAGGTGGAGGCTGCAGTGAGCTGTGATTGTGCCACTGCACTCCAGCCTAGGTAACAGAGTGAGAACCTGTCTTGGCGGGGCGGGGGAGAAAAAAAGCCATTACATTCAGCTAACTCCTAAAGTGTAGTTATTGAGCTTACATAGAAAATCCTTGTAGCCACATAGTCTTCAACTGATGACAGGATGAAAAGACCTTCTTTTGCCTACCAAACTGCCAAATCCAAGGCCTTTGCAGGAAAGAAGTGCTGATAATACAAGTATTACTCTTGGAGAAAAGGAATACTCAGTTTCAATCTCATATTTGAACAAGGTATATCCCAAATAATCAGGAGTATTTAGCAAAATGCAATCATGTTAAAATGTATTTCACTTACCTGTTTCCTCAAAAACATTTGTTAATTCCTTTGAGTGCACCTATTTTAAGAAAATTTAAAAAAAAATTTAGAAATTTATCAAGTAAAACTGAAATTAATTTTATTTCCTTTTTTTCTTTAAGTAAAGAAACTATGTTATCTCCCAAAAAGCTCTTAGAGGAATTCTACTAAACATTTATGGCAAAAATATTGCTACTATTTTAAAATGTTCCAGAGCCCACTGGAAGAGAGAAAGCTGCTAACTGCCTTTTATAATCAGTCTCAATATCAGTGCAAAAGTATCAAAGAAATAGTACAAGCAGCACATCAAAAGACTACTACATCACAATCAAGTAGAGCTCGTTTCAGGAATGCAAAGATGATCTGACACTATGAAATCTAATATAAACCAACAGACCTGAGGAGAAAAATCATCTGTATTTATAGAAAAGGTACCCAATGATATTCATTCTTGAAAAAAACTTATAAAATGGAACAGATATTTTCTTAACACTATAAAATATAACTATTGCAATCTAGAAGCTAGCATCCCACATAATAAACACTGGAAGTTCTCCTATTAAAATCGGAAATTAAAAAAAAAGATGTGCACTATTTGGATCACTTTTTAATATTATTTTTTAGTTATATTAGCCACTATAATTACAAAAAAATTAGAACTACAAAAAGTAGAAGAATTAAAATTATATTTGCAGATGGTATGTCTGTTTACCTACAAAACCCAAGAGAACCAACTGAAAAATTACTGCATACAATGAGGGAACTCAGTAAGCTCTCTAAATAGAAAAGAACTTAATGATAACAGCAACAAAAAAGATAAAACTCATAGGGGTAACCTATAAGAAATGTGTAAGATTTATATGAAGAAGAGTTTAACACAAAATAGAAAGACACAAAACAAGACTTAAACAAATGGAAAGACATACCATGTTTTTGAATAGGAAGATTCAATATTATAATTATGCTGTCAATTTCCCCTAAGTTAATCTAAGTTAATATGATTCAAATACAAATACCAATAGAACTCTTTTTTAAAGAGCTAAACAAGTTAATTCTAAAATTCATATTAATTTGAGAACATATAAGTAATGAGGAGAAACTTGAAAAAAGAAGAAAATTGTATGGGTTTGGGAGAGATACTGTCCCTATAAGATACCAAAGTGCATCATAAAGCTACAAAAATTCGGCCGGGCGTGGTGGCCCACACCTGTAATATCCCATCACTTTGCAAGGCCGAGGCAGGCGGATCATCTGAGGTCCGGAGTTCGAGACCAGCCTAACCAACATGGAGAAACCCCGTCTCTACTAAAATTACAAAATTAGCTGGGCGTGGTGGCGGCTGCCTGTAATCCCAGCTACTCGGGAGGCTGAGGCAGGAGAATCACTTGAATCTGGGAGGTGGAGGTTGCAGTGAGCTGAGATCACGCTATTGCACTCCAGCCTGGGCAATAGGAGAGAAACTCCATCTCAAAAAAAAAAAAAAGAATAAAGAAAACTACAAAAATTCAAACAGTATGATGATACTGGCCCCAGAACAAATAGGTGAATCAACATAAAAGAAAAGGAAGTTTTAGGAATATATCCAAACAAATATGAAGATTTACTGTCTTACTGATAAAAGCAGAATTTCCTATCAGTGGAAATAAGATGAATTATTCAGTAAACGGTAAAAGTCATATGAGGAAAATTAACTTGGCCCTATTCCTTACACCAAATCAAATTCGCAACAAATCAGTAATATTAACATTAACTAGGAAATTTAAGTCTCAAAGGACTTTCAATGTATAACATAATCTCCAGAAGCCATACACAAAAAGACTGATAAATCTGATTATGGAAAATAAAAAATGTCTTCTATCTGAATACAGTGTATGTGTATCCTACAATTTTGTACAGGCTGAGCATCCCAAAGCTGAAAATCCGAAATGCTCCAAAATTCTAAACTTTTTGAGTGCTGACATGACACTCAAAGGAAATGCTCATTGAAGCATTTCAGATTTTGGCTTTTCAGGTTTGGGATGTGGAACTGTTAAGTATAATACAAATGTAAGTATAATGCAATTATTCTAAAATTCAAAAAAATCTGAAATTTGAAACACTTCCGGTCCTAAGCATTTCGAATAAAGGATACTCAACTAGTAAAAGCAATTTTTAAAAAATTGTTAAAATGCTAAAAACAAAGTTTAGAAAATAAAAATCACAAATAAGCCAAATGGACATTATACTTTTCTTACATATTCACACCACTGTATAACTACCATTTTTTAAATGGCGTATCATAGTCTGGTGACCTAGTTTTGTACTTAGTAAAGTACTATGGTCTTTTGTCCATGTCATTAAAGATATTTTTAAAACAAAACAAAATAATGTCTGCATGGAATGCTGATAAATTATTGAAACTGGGTGACTGGTACATGGGGGCACATTATACCTAGTCTATCTTTTAATATGTCTGGAAATGTTCATATAAAAAGTTAATCCAAAAGTTCTGCATGAGAAAACAACAACAAAGAAAGCAGAGTCAAGAGACAATGACAAACTGGGAAAAAAGATTTGCAACTCATTACCACAGACATATATAAGAGTTCTTCCAGTTCTCTAAGAAAAAGATCAATAATCTAATTGAAAAGTGGGTAAAGGAAAAGTCAGTTCATAGAAAAGGAAATACACATGGCTCTTAAGCATATGAAAAGATGTTCAATCTTACCCATAACAAGAGAAAATAAAACAGTTCTGGGATATGCCATTTTTTTACTCACCAAATATATAAAAGCACACTTGCTCTTTGTCAACTATTACTCAAGAACTATTGGTCTTTAACTTTCTCTTTGAGAACACGGGTTTTAAAAGGACTTTTCCATAGTGTAGTTACAAATTATGATGAGTACTAGATGAGTATAAAAACAAGAGGGTACTAGGAAACCTACAACATAGTGGTTGGTGACTGAATTCGCATGGTCTGGCCGGACTTCCCTGAGGCACTGATGACTGAACTAAAGAAGTCTGTATGTTTTTCAAGGGAATGTTTCACACAGAAGGTACATCAAATGAAGTGTCCTGGGACATTTAAGGAATTGAAAGATGGCCAGTGTGGCCAGAAAGTGAGGCAGAAGCTGGCACAAAATGAGACTAGAGACAAAAATCAGCAAGACAATGTGGGGCACTAAAGGCTGTGGTTTTACTCCTAAAAGCAATGGGTAGCTTTAGGCATGATGATGATGATGATGATACTAGTATTATCATTTTACATATTAGGAAACCTGATCAGAGAGAGAGGTGAAGTATCTTGCCTAAGGTGTTACAGCTACTAGGTGGTAGAGCCAAGATCCAGACATATATAATGCTTTTGGTCTTATTTTTAGCCACCAATACAGAGCTGGGAATAAGTTTCTTGATTACTCTCCATCAATTTTCATTTACCATTGGTTAAAAGTGATAATCCAAAACCAGTTTTACTTGAATAACTTATGATGATAAATGTCAGAACTATCTTTATATATATCTAAAAGTTTAAAGAGAATAAAGGAAAAAATAGGAACAGATCTGTTGCAATATGGCCATCTTACTTAATGGCCATATTGAGTGGTACTTAATATACCACTTACCTCAGTGGTATATTCTTGACAGTCATCTCTTAAAGTGAGTGAACGTTTTTTGGCAGGAGGAATGTGGTCATTTTTATCAAGCCTGCATTGAAATCTCTTCCTAGATACAAGATCCAAATTATCAGGCGGCTTTTTAGAATTATCTCTTCCAGAAATAGATAAACCCATGGCATCTTGACCAACTGAAGTTGCTGGTAAACAAATACTGCATAGAAAAGAAATACATACTAAATTACTGAATTAGAAGTTATTTAACACTTTTTTTTTTAAAGGATCCTAGAAATCCTTCCAATAATAAAGTTAAAGGCTGAGGTATTCCAATGAAAATTCCAATAAAACCAAAAAACTCCAAACTAAGAGATACACGGCCATGGCCCCAAAAATGCTATTAATAGTTTTGAGCTCCATTCATACTTCAGGGCTTATAACTTAAATTCCATAGTATTGAATTAAATCTGAATATTACCCTCTCCCTCTCCCTCTCCCCATGGTCTCCCTCTCCCTCTCTTTCCACGGTCTCCCTCTGATGCCGAGCCGAAGCTGGACTGTACTGCTGCCATCTCGGCTCACTGCAGCCTCCCTGCCTGGTTCTCCTGCCTCAGCCTGCCGAGTGCCTGCGATTGCAGGCGCGCGACACCACACCTGACTGGTTTTCGTATTTTTTTGGTGGAGACGGGGTTTCGCTGTGTTGGCGGGGCTGGTCTCCAGCTCCTAACCGCGAGTGATCCGCCGGCCTCGGCCTCCCGACGTGCCGGGATTGCAGACGGAGTCTTGTTCACTCAGTGCTCAATGGTGCCCAGGCTGGAGTGCGGTGGCGTGATCTCGGCTCGCTACAGCCTCCACCTCCCAGCCGCCTGCCTTGGCCTCCCAAAGTGCCGAGATTGCAGCCTCTGCCTGGCCGCCCATCGTCTGGGATGTGAGGAGCCCCTCTGCCTGGCTGCCCAGTCTGGAAAGTGAGGAGCGTCTCTGCCCGGCGGCCATCCCATCTAGGAAGTGAGGAGCGCCTCTTCCCGGCCACCATCCCATCTAGGAAGTGAGGAGCGTCTCTGCCCGGCCGCCCATCATCTGAGATGTGGGGGGCGCCTCTGCCCCGCCGCCCCGTCTGGGATGTGAGGAGCGCCTCTGCCCGGCCGCGACCCTGTCTGGGAGGTGAGGAGCGTCTCTGCCCGGCTGCCCCATCTGAGAAGTGAGGAGCCCCTCCGCCCGGCAGCCGCCCCGTCTGAGAAGTGAGGAGCCCCTCCTACCGGCAGCCACCCCGTCTGGGAAGTGAGGAGCGTCTCCGCCCGGCAGCCACCCCGTCCGGGAGGGAGGTGGGGGTCAGCCCTCGCCAGGCCAGCCGCCCCGTCCGGGAGGGAGGTGGGGGGGTCAGCCCCCCGCCCGGCCAGCCGCCCCGTCCGGGAGGGAGGTGGGGGGGTCAGCCCCCCGCCTGGCCAGCTGCCCCGTCCGGGAGGTGAGGGGCGCCTCTGTCTGGCTGCCCCTACTGGGAAGTGGGGAGCCCCTCTGCCCGGCCAGCCACCCCGTCTGGGAGGGAGGTGGGGGGGTCAGCCCCCCTCCCGGCCAGCCGCCCCGTCCGGGAGGTGAGGGGCACCTCTGCCCGGCCGCCCCTGCTGGGAAGTGAGGGGCGCCTCTGCCCGGCCGCCCCTGCTGGGAAGTGAAGAGCCCCTCTGCCCGGCCACCACCCCGTCTGGGAGGTGTGCCCAGCGGCTCATTGAGAATGGGCCATGATGACGTGGCGGTTTTGTGGAATAGAAAGGGGGAAAGGTGAGGAAAAGATTGAGAAATCGGATGGTTGCCGTGTCTGTGTAGAAAGAAGTAGACATGGGAGACTTTTCATTTGGTTCTGTACTAAGAAAAATTCTTCTGCCTTGGGATCCTGTTGATCTGTGACCTTACCCCCAACCCTGTGCTCTCTGAAACATGTGCTGTGTCCACTCAGGGTTGAATGGATTAAGGGCGGTGCAAGATGTGCTTGTTAAACAGATGCTTGAACGCAGTATGCTCGTTAAGAGTCATCACCAGTCCCTAATCTCAAGTACCCAGGGACACAAAAACAGCGGAAGGCCGCAGGGTCCTCTGCCTAGGAAAACCAGAGACCTTTGTTCACTTGTTTATCTGCTGACCTTCCCTCCACTATTGTCCTATGACCCTGCCAAATCCCCCTCTGCGAGAAACACCCAAGAATGATCAATTAAAAATAAATAAATAAATAAATAAATAAATAAACAACTAAAAAATAATAATAAAATAAATCTGAATATTTAATAGTATTTTCCCTAATTGTAAAGTTAAACGTTTAACCTAAAATGTCCCTTCTAGTCCAGGCGCAGTGGCTCACGTCTGTAATCCCAACACTTTGGGAGACCGAGGCAGGTGTATTACCTGAGGCCAGGAGTTTGAGACCAGCCTGGTCAACATGGTAAAACCCCATCTCTACTAAAAATACAAAAAATTAGCCAGTGTGGTGGCACGCACCTATAGTCCCAGCTACTTGGGAGGCTTAGGCACGAGAATCACTTGAACCCGGGAGGTGGAGGTTGCAGTGAGCTGAGATCACGCCACTACACTCCACCTGGGCAACAGAGCAAGATTCTGTCTCCAAAAATAAAAATATTAAAGTCTTCAATTTCTAATGCTACACGATGGACAATTATCTTAATTAATGGTAGTTAAGATATAACTTACTTCCAAAATAAAGAATTAAAATAAGAGTATCAAGAACAGCTGGGCACAGTGGCTCATGCCTGTAATCTCAGCACTTTGGGAGGCCAAGGTGGGAGGAATGCATGAGGCCAGGAGTTCAAGACAAGCCTGGGTACCAGAGCAAGACTCTACCTCTGAAAAAAGAAAAAAAAAATTTTTTTTTAATTAGCTAACCACAGTGGTGCGCACCTGTAGCTGAGAAGCTACTTGAAAGGCTGAGGCATGAGGATCTTTTTTTTTTTTTCCTCACTCTATCACCCAGGCTAGAGTGCAGTGGTGCAATCTCAGCTCACTGCAACTTCCACCTCCCGGGTTCAAGTGGTTCTCCTGCCTCCGTCTCCTGAGTAGCTGGGATTACAGGCGCAGGCCACCATGACCAGCTAATTTTTGTATTTGTAGTAGTGATGGAGTTTCGCCATGTTGGCCAAGCTGGTCTTCAACTCCTGACCTCAGGTGATCTGCCCACCTTGGCCTCCCAAAGCCCTGGGATTAAAGGCGCAAGCCACCACGCCTGGCCAGGAGGATCTCTTGCGCCCAGGAGTTCGAGGATGCAGTGAACTATGATGGCACCACTACACTTCAGCCTGGCACTCTAGCCTGGGCACCAAAGCAAGTCCCTGTCTCTTAAGAAAAAAAACTGTATTTATTACCACTGTACTATTTTCACAACTTTCTGTGAATGCATATTTCACAGTTTCATATGTGTATGTTTATACAAAGTAACCACACTTTTAACAGGTATCATTTTATGATCTAGACTGTTAATTTTTTTAGCTTTCAAAATAACTTAATAAACAAGTTTCATACAAAACTAATACATGAAACATTTAAGTGGCATCTTTATCAGATATAAAATCTACCACATTACATTTCTTCTCTAACTTACCACATAAATGATAAATAAGATCTCCACAACAATAACAACTAACATTGGTGAATGGTTTGTTCAATCAATGCTACTTAGTTCATAAATCACTTTTCCTCCTAGCAAAAACAGTTTCACTCATTCGTTACCTCATGTCACCCCTTTCTTCGGTATTCACTGATTTGACCAATATGGGAGCTGGCAGTAAAGGGTTTGGCATGAACTGTGCAGTGGCATCAGTAAATTCTTCTACTGCATTGGCTGGGATTTCCACCAGAGTTAAAATAAAGGCTTGTTCATCTTCTCCATCTTGAGGTACATTAGCAACTAGATTCACTATCAAAGTTTAAAAGTTAGTAATAAAAAAGCTCAACTATGAAATAACAGAGTATCATTAATTTATTTCATTTCTAAAAAGACAGTCTCAGGACAACTTATCATCAAGACTAAATAAATAAATGCTCCCCCCAACAACCCCCCAGCCTGAGGAAGTAAGTTCCCTCCTTTTTTGCGGGGGGGAGACAGAGTCTCGCTCTGTCGCCCGGGCTGAAATACAGTGGCACAATCTCGGCTCACTGCAACCTCCGCCTCCTGGGTTCAAGCGATTCTTGTGCCTCAGTCTCCCAAGTAGATGGGATTACAGGTGCATGCCACCGTGCCTGGCTAGTTTTGTATTTTTAGTAGAGATGGTGTTTCACCATGTTGGCCAGGCTGGTCTCGAACTCCTGGCCTCAAGTGATCTACCCACCTCCGCCTCCCAAAGTGAGCCACCATGACTGGCCCAAGAAGTAATTTCATAAAGGATAAAGGTGATATACTAGGGAGAAGATTTATGACTCTGAAAAACAAAACTGATACACAAAATACTTCAAGGTGTTTCTATAAAACGTTTTAAATTTAAGGCCAGCATAGACTAAAATACAACTGTTTTATGTTTTTCCATAGTTAAATAAGGGGTAAAAATCATACAACTAAGTTCTATGACATGTCACTGAAGCATATTATCATACCTGTTAGGTCTTGAGGATTGATTATATTCTCTTGTTGGACTTCTGGAATACTTGTTGGTGTATACTGCCATAAAAAATTAAAATGAAAGAGTCAGGTTGGCCAAATCTTACATTTAAAAAGTTATTCCTGTCAATATGATATAGTGAAGAGATTAACTCAACAACATCTAACCATATACAGTTTTCAAGTGTTTGAAGCTTTAGGCTGTTCCAATAAACTTTTGATTCATTTAAATAAATATTAATACAAAGAATCCTGACTACATTGTTAAATATGTGCATTTTATGAAATGATTTTTGAAGTGACAGGATAGGGAGACCCAAACCCCACAACTTTTTCTCTACTCCCATCACACCAGCCATTGTACTATTAGTAGGTGACATCTGAATGAAGGCAAACTGCTTTCCCTGCATGCAGTATGGTTCCCTCCTGTTTTCCAAAAAACCACAAACATGGTTTTTCTAAAATGCAATCCTGACTGTAATTCTCTACTGCTTAAAATCTCTCAGCTCACCACAACCTCCGCCTCCTGGGCTCAAGCGATCCTCCCACCTCAACCTCCTGAGTAGCTGGGAGTACAGATGCACGCCACCACACCTGGCTAATTTTTTTGTATTTTTCAAGGGTAGAGATGGGGTTTTGCCATGTTGCCCAGGCTGGTCTCAAACTCCTGGGCTCAAGTGATCCACCCACCTAGGCCTCCCAAAGTGCTGGGATTATAGGTGTAAGACACTATGCCGGGCTTCTACTGCTTAAAATCTTTTATTATTTTATTTATTTATTTATTTTTTTGAGACAGTCTCGCTCTGTCGCCAGGCTGGAGTGCAGTGGCACAATCTCGGCTCACTGCAACCTCCGCCCCTCTGCCTCCTGGGTCCGAGCAATTCTCCTGCCTCAGTCTCCTGAGTAGCTGGGACTACAGGCACACACCACCATGCCCAGCTAATTTTTGTATTTTTAGTAGAGACAGAGTTTCACCATGTTGGCCAGGATGATCTCAATTTCTTGACCTCATGATCCACCCGCCTCAGCCTCCCAAAGAGCTGGAATACAGGTGTGAGCCACTGCGCCTGGCCTGCTTAAAATCTTAAAACTTTCATTTTGTAACCAACAATGTCAGTAACTGATTAAGGCAGGAATCATCAGTGGATATTAAAACTACAGGGTAACAGCTTGCTGCGTTGGTCTCATTTGACAAGTTACTAATACAGAATGGAAAAGATGCCATTATAATGAAGAAATCTGGTAGGTACCATTCTAGCCAAGTGATCAGTCAGCATCACCAATAATGGGACAAACTGACATTATGTGTCTCCCGATGTGATATAAAAGGAAGAACACATTATTACCTATATAGTAATCTTGCCCTAAAATATGTAAGTTGAATCTAGTAATGAGGAAGCAATTAAAAAAAAGAAATCCAGACTGTAGGCCAGCCTAGACTGGTCTAAACTTCTCTTGCTTTTTCTCTTTTGTGAACAAAAAGACAAGAAAAATACTCTAGATTAAAGGAAAATAAGGAGAAAGGATAATCAAATGCAATGTGAGAGCCCTGATTGGATCTTGAATTTAAGAAAAATAAAAAAAAAGCTGGCCAGGCGTGGTGGCTCACACCTGTAATCCCAGCACTTTGGGAGGCTGAGGTGGGCAGATCATTTGAGGCCAGGAGCTCAAGACCAGCCTGGCCAACATAGTGAAACCCCATCTCTACTAAAAATATTATACGAAAAAATTAGTCAGGTGTGGTGGGACACACCTTTAATCCCAGCTACTTGGGAGGCTGAGGCACAAGAATCACTTGAGCCTGGGAGGCAGAGGTTGCAGTGAGCTGAGATCGTGCCACTGCACTCCAGCCTGGGTGACAGAGTAAGACTCTGTCTCAAAAAGAAAAAAAGCTATAATGGACATGATTGGGACAACTAGGGAAACTGGAATGAAACTGTATATTACATATTGTTGAGACAATGTTAAATAGTGTAGTAATACTGAGTGTGACAACAGTACTGTCCTTTCTCTGTAAGAGAACTTCCTTGTCCTTATTAGATACAAGATGAGGTATTTATGGACTCAACCTACTTTCAAATGATTCAGTTTTTTGGTTTTTTTTTTTTTTTTTTTTTTTTTTTTGAGACAGAGTCTTGTTCTGTCGCCCAGGCTGGAGTACAATGGCACGATCTTTGGCCACTGCAACCTCTGTCTCCTGGGTTCAAGCAATTCTCACACCTCAGCCTCCCAAGTAGCTGGGATTACAGGTGCATGCCACCACGACTGGCTAATTTTTGTATTTTTGTAGTGATGGGGTTTCACCTTGTTTGCCAGGCTGTTCTTGAACTCCTGACCTCAGGTGATCTGCCCACCTCGGCCTCCCAAAGTACTGGGATTACAGGCGTGAGCTACCCCACCCAGCCAAGTATTTATCTATACAGATGGAGAGCAAGACAGAGTAAAAAAACAAATGAGGCAAAATATTGACAATTAATGAATCAAAGTGAAGTGTATGGGATAATTCTTTGTAAGATTTTTGTAACTTCTAAGTTTAAAATTTTTCAAAATAAAAAGTAAAAATTAAAAAGTCAGGGTGGGGTAAGGAATCTCGTAACTTTAAATGTAACCAAACTCCTTAGCAAGTCATAAAAATCCTTTTATGATCTGTCTGCAGGCTATCTTTCTAAGTTCATCTCTAATCACTTTCTTCATTAATATTCCACTCATACTGCTTACATGCTGTTTCATACTGGTTTGTTCTTGGAAACAGGGTCTCACTCTGTCTCCCAGGCTGGAGTGCATGGCGACCACAGCTCACTGCAGCCTCTACCTCCCAGGCTGAAACGATCCTCCCACTTCAGCCTCCTGAGTAGCTGGGACTACAGGCAAATGCCACCATGCCTGGCTTTTTTTTTTTTTAATGGCATTAAAAGTGTGAGCCACTGCAACCGGTCCACACCTGTTCTTTACACACACGTTCCTCTCCCTTTAACTGGATAATGTATACATGTTCTTCAAGTCCAAGGCTTCTCTCACTTGGGGAACTTTTTATGGAACTGTTCATGTATTGGTTACATGACTGCATAGTTATAAAAACCTGAAGAACTGTACACTAAAAAGGGTGAAGTTAGCCAGGCACAGTGGCTCATGCCTGTAATCCCAACACTTTTGGAGGCCAACGCAGGTGGATCACTTGAAGCCAGGCGTTCAAGACCAGCCTGGCCAATATGGCGAATCCCGTCTCTACTAAAAATACAAAACCTAGCTGGCTGTGGTGACACATGCCTGTAGTCCCAGCTACTTGGCAGGCTGAGGCAGGAGAATCTGTTGAATCTGGGTGGCAGAGGTTGCAGTGAGCTGAGATCATACCACTGCACTCTTGCCTGGGCAACAGAACAAGACTGTCTCCAAAAAAAAAAGAAGAAATAAAGAAAAATGAAGATAAAAGAGGTGAAGTTTATTGTATGTAAATTATACCTTTTTTTTTTTAAATGGAGGAAAACACCTTGCTATCCCTTATTATACTGTACATTCTTTTACCTCTGGCACAGGAAGTGTAAGCACACTGTCTCCTTTAGAGTCCTTTATCTGGGGCTCTTCAACAGAATTTTCACCAAGACCCCTATCCAAACCAAGTGTGCAGGGCCCTGTCTCAGAGGAAGCAACTGGAGCAACTGACAACATGTGAACCTCCTGAGAGCTCTCTTCTTGATTTTCGTTTCTGAAAGAGAGTTTAGCATGCATGTCATTTGAAATCAGGCAAATCATGGAATTATTTTTAGAGCTAGGTGTGTAAAAGATCATCTAATTCAATGGTTTTCAAACTTTTAAAACATATTTAATGCAATAGGACTTTTTTTTTTTTTTTTTTTTTTTTTTTGAGACAGAGTCTCACTCTGTCGCCCAGGCTGGAGTGCAGTGGCGCGATCTTGGCTCACTGCAAGCTCCGTCTCCCAGGTTCACACGATTCTCCTGCCTCGGCCTCCCAAGTAGCTACAACTACAGACGCCCGCCACCACGCCCGGCTAATTTTTTGTATTTTTTAGTAGAGACGGGGTTTCACCGTGTTAGCCAGGATGGTCTCGATCTCCTGACCTCGTGATCCTCCCGTCTTGGCCTCCCAAAGTGCCGGGATTACAGGCGTGAGCCACCGTGCCCGGCCAGAACTTCTTTTTCAAATTCTTACAGCCACAACTTAAGGCTATAGCTGAAACAATATAAACTGAATCTCAGAACCTCTTCACTCTTTTACCTTTCAGTTAGGTTTACTTCTGAAGAAATACTGGTCCCTTTGATACCATGTACACATGCCAATTTGCTCTGATCCTTATTCTCTGCTGTTGTAACTGGTCCGAGGTTTTTATTTTCCAATTCTGTTGCTTTGGAAGCATTTTTCTCTGTTTCTTAAACAAAAAGCACACTTACGATATAGACCAAAATAATACAGCTAAAATCCCTGTATTAGAAACATATGCCCTCTTAAAAGGAAGATTCCTATATAGTGACTCTTCCAAACTTCTCTTATTCCACAAATCAGGCTTATACACATGGCAGAAAGTCCTAGCTAATAGATTTTTGAACAGTAAAACACATGATTAATAAATCCTGTTCTACAAAAATTTCACTCATGGCTGCCATGATAATTGTATCCTCATTTTATGGTACTAGCATCAATAATTAGAAACTCAACATATAAAAGAGACTTCGAGGTGGGTACACCGAGGTTGGGCTAGTTCCACTTTAGAGGAAGTCTTGGAAAAGGAGCTGCACTGCAAAGAATAATATCACAAACGGGGAAAAAAAGACTTCTATATAGAAGAGGTAATTTGAGACTGCACGTTGAGAGAGGTTTTAGAAAAGGTGACCTCTCATGGTTCTCATGTATTTTTCATCATGTTTAGTGCAATATTGTGAATAACCCCATGGGACCCATACAAAGTATCATTAATGATGTTGGAAGCACTCCCAAGAAGCAGAGAGAGTCATAACATTGTAAGAAAAAGCTGAATTGCTTGATATGTATTACAGGTTGACACCTGTAGTTGGGGTTGCCCACCATTTCAGACAGATGTTTCATCTTGTAAACAGATGACATAAACTTTTGGTACTAATAAATACAATGCAGTACTGAAAATGTATTTTCTCTTCCTTATAATTTTCTTCCTTTTATTTTTCTTTGAGACAGGGTCTTGCTCTGTCACCCAGGCTAGAGTGCAGTGGCAATATCACAATTTACGACAGCCTTGATCTGGCGAGCTCAAACCTCTGAGTAGCTGGGACCACAGGTGTGTGCCACCACGTCTGGCTAACTGTTAAAAATTATTTTGTAGAGACAAGGTCTCCCTATATTGCCCAAGCTGGTCTCAAAACTCCTGGGCTCACGTGATCTTCCTGCCTCTGCCTCCCAAAGGGCTAGGATTTCAGGTGTGCACCACCACCGTGCCCAGCCTGATTTTCTTTTTTCTTTTTTCTTTTTTTGAGATGAAGTCTCACTCTGCTGCCCAGGCCGGAGTACAGTGGCATGATCACAGTTCACTGCGACCTCAACCTCCCCAGGCTCAGGTGATACTCCCACCTCAGCCTCCTGAGTAGCTAGGACTACAGACATGCACCACCATGCCTGGCTAATTTTTGTACTTTTGTAGAGATGGGATTTTGCCTTGTGGCCCAGCCCAGTCTGGTTTCATCAAATGAGCCACCCACCTTGGCTTCCCAAAGTGCTGGGATTACAGGCATGAGCCACTGTGCCCAGCCCCAGTCTGACTTTCTTAGTAACATTTTCATTTCTCTATGGCTCATAACATTTTCATTTCTCTATGGCTCATAACATTTTCACTTCTCTACGGCTCAAGGACATGAGTTGAAAAAACAGAAAAAACAATTTTTTTTTAATTTTCTCCAGCCCATTTTATCATAAGAATACAGTATATAACACAAATAAAATACAAAATATGTGTTAATTAACTATCTTATCAATAAGGCTTCTGATCAACAGTAAGCCATTAGTAGGTAAGTTTTTGGGGAGTCAAAAGTTATACATGAATATATATATATATATGTTTTCAATTCATAAGAGACAGGGTGTCACTATTGTCCAGGCTGGCCTCGAACTCTTGGGCTCAAGCCTCCCAAAGTGCTGGAATTACAGGTGTGAGTCACTGCACCCAGCCTATACACAAATTTCTGACTGAATGGGGAGGTCAGTGCCCCTAGTTCAAGGGTCAACTATGAGAGAGAGAGAATGAGAGAAAGAGAGAGACAGAGAGAGAATAAAAGGACAAAAAATTGATCAAACAAATGTAGCAAAATGGTATTAATTACTAAAACCAATTGGTAGATTTATGGGTATTTATTTTATAGCTCGTCTTACTTTTTAATTTGAAACTATTTTATTGTAAGTTAAAACAATTTAATGACCAAATATTTCTTTGAAATGTTAATGTAATTTCTTGTGTCAAAATGATTTTGCAACATATTAAGAGAATAAAATTTACCTCTTTGAGTTTCCATTTCTGCCCCTTTGGTTACACACAAACTGGAAACTTCCTGATAATCATCAAGCCTGTTGGTCCCTAAAGTCTTCTCAAGATTTGGTTTAGGCTTAGCAAGCCTACTTCTTATTCTCAAATTACTGGTCACTTTAGAAATTGTATTCCTAAAAACAGAAGATAGAGAAATTCATGAATCATGTTAGATCTTGCTCTCTCACATTAATACAGTCTGTCTAGCACTGATAGAGTGAATGACCTGTTAGGTGCCACACTGTCTACAAGTGTTCATTTCTTAATACTAAAATTACAAAGTAGTAACTTTACTAGAGGTCTTAAGAAGAGAATTTAGTCTGTATTTGTAAAACAGAGACATTTACATAAATCTATTTCATTAAAGCTTCAAAGATACACAACATTTACTACTATAATTTAAACATGCAAACCACTAACCTAAAATCAAAATCAGTCTATCTTTAAAGGGTAAGAAATTAGCATTGCCTACTTTACATTTAAAGCATTACTCAAAGCTATTAACTAATTTGATGGTGGTTTTAGTAATATTTATTAATTGAATACTAAAATAAACCTGGTTGGTGTAGCATTCTCCTTTACTTTCTCCATTAAACTTATTTCTTCTCTGGAACTTTGTTCCTCCAATACAATCTTGTTTTCTTCAAATGATGCAGGAGATGTAGTAATGACAGGTGAAGAAAGTTCCTGACATTCATGAACAATTTTGTGATTTACATTATCTAGGCTAGAAGGAATATGGCTTTTATCCTTTGAATGAACATGAGGAATTATACATACTCCTACTGAAGAAAAAAAAAAAAAACAAAATTAAAATGGACCAAATTATAGATGCTCAAAATAAATTCCTCAACATTTAGTAATTGTAAAATTCTGTATTATTAAAGTTTGCTTCATTTGTGTGGCAGCAATAGAAAAAGATTTTAGAAATAAATAAATTTTGCCCTTGTTGGCTGTAAATTTATGATCTCCCTATTTCATGCCAGGGATTTGACCTGTTGTGAGCTTAATAATCCTTACAGACTGGAATTTTATCCGATTATTAGTAAAAATGAGTTCTTTTGTTACTTTCAGTAATTATATAATCTCAGATGGATTTCAAGACAGCACTGTCAGCATTTAAGATTTTTAAAACCTTTATGTTCTATATGTACTTTATGTTCTATATGTTTTTGACAGGCTGTACTGCAATACTCTGCCACTAAGAAAGGAGCCCTATACAGAACACAAATCAGAGACTTTCCTGATAAATACATGGTTCCAAGCCTAAAAGTCTAATATGTCTTTATTTATCTATTTTTGAGACAGTGTCTCACTTTGTCACCCAGGCTGGAGTGCAGTGGTGCGATCTCAGCTCACTGCAGCCTTGACCTCCTGAGCTCAAGCGATCCTCCCACCTCAGCTTCCCAAGCAGCTAGGACTACAAGTGTACACCACCATGCCTGCCTAATTTTTTGTATTTTTTGTAGAGACGGGGTTCCACCATGTTGCCCAGGCTGGTCTTGAACTCCTGAAGTCAAGCATTCACCAGCCTCAGCCTCCCAAAGTGCTGGTATTATTGGCATGAGCTGCTGCATCTGGCCCAAAAGTCTAATACTTAAAATGAATGGAAGCTGGGTGCGGTGGCTCATGCCTGTAATCCCAGCACTTTGGGAGGCCAAGACGGGTGGATCACCTGAGGTCAGCAGTTCGAGACCAGCCTGGCCAAGATGGTGAAACCCCAACTCTACTAAAAATACAAAAATTAGCTGGGCATGGTGGCATGCGATTGTAATCCCAACTACTTGAGAGGCTAAGGCAGGAGAATTGCTTGAGCCTGGGAGGCAGAGGTTGCAGTGAGCCAAGATCGCACCATTGCACTCCAGCCTGGGTGACAAGAGCGAAACTCTGCTTCAAATAAATAAATAAGATGAATGGTAGGCTACTCATAACCAAACTCCGTCTCAAATAAATAAATAAGTAAATAAAATGAATGGTAACCAGGCAAAATAATTACCAGGAATAGTATAATTATTCATTTCATGCAATTAAAAGATATTGAGATAGTAAAGATTTATCACTTGTCTGTGATTTCCATCTAATAAGTTAAAAATCTTGGTTGATATATCTTTTGGCTCTGTCCAAACTGAGAACAGTTTAAACTAAATTATTTCAATGAGTGCTATTGTCTCTTTGTGCTCTATTTGTCATCTAATTGTGAATACCATCCCAAGCAGCAACTCCTTTGCAAAAGACACATGTATAAACTATATCAGTGATCAATGAGCTCAGTTAACCAATGACATTTATGATGGTAAAGGTAGTATTCACTACCTTTACCATGCATACAACTATTCCATGCATACAACTATTCCATGAATACAAATTATTCTTAATAAACCAAGAGCATGATCTTGAATTAGCTGTCACTACACCTAAACAGTAGTAAAATAGTGGATGGATCAATACATACATATCATATTTTATGGAAGAACAACAAAATGGAGACAACTTCAAAGGTAAAAGGGTTATTACTCAAATGTGGGTATAATTTCTTAAGTTAGGTTTTAAAAGTTTCTATTTTTGATAGGACTTAGCTTTCATTCTTACCATCACCCTGTTCACTACTGATCTCTGACTGCAATACTAGATCTCCCATTGTAAGTAAAGTTATTGCAGCTTCGGTGCTTCCATCATTGGTACCTTGTGAGGAAATATATCAACATTAAAAAAAAGAATGAATCCGGAAATCTGTTCACTTAAAAAAGATTTTTAATTAAGGTGTTTATCTCCTAGGAGCAGATTCCAATATCCTCTGAGCCATTAATCCCTTACTAAGGTAGTCTTTTGTTCAGGTTATATGCTACAAATAAATAAATCATCACTGTTGGTTTTGACTCACTGACCATGCCTCCCTCCCATTAAATAATATCTTCAAGGAAAATGCTCTCCCATTTGTGAAGATCCAGAGGAAATGCTCAAATACTTCTTAAACATTTTTTTAATTCACCTTCTAAAATAACATTCCAAGAATCCACATTTCTCACAGAGACAACACATTCAATAGCTGAATCTTTTTGTTAAACTCTCCAGCAAACTGATTCATTTATTATCCCCACTATTAAATCACTGTACTAGTGTTAATCAAGGTAGTCTTAGCAGTTTCCTTGATAACAGTTACCTGGTTCATCTTGGATATGTTCACTTGTGGTCATTTCCTAAAAAGGAAAAAAATAAGTAACATCTTAAAATACTTCCCCAAACATGTTCTGTTTCTCAGCATGCACTACATTTTCAGAGGTCTTTCCATACTTTTAGCTACAATAGTGTAAACTGGTTTGTCTTAATTTATAATTATTCACAAAATTTCACCAGCAAGAACATAAACAATTTAAAGGCAAAATTCTTGTGTCTCTTGCTCCTGACTTTATCTTTTTCTTGTATTATGTGCAAATTTTAACTCTTATCATTTTGTTATGTACGTCTACCATTCTTACTTTACTTCTTCATTTTCATAATCCTTCAACTCTAGTCATATCTGCTGCCAATTTTTACCCAATGGAAACCAAGGCCTAAAGGGTATTGCAAAATTTTTATACTACTACGTAGCTTAAAACTTAAATGCATTTTAATAAATTAAGAAGTTACAGAACCAATGTCCAGAGCGACAGCTTGAGAAGCTTCACTGACCCACTCCTCAGTGAAACTGATTTTAAAAACAAAACATTTAAAAGCCTCTGAAACTGATCCTAACGACAAAAAGCAAATGAAGAAATATCTGTTCAAGAAAATCTGAAAATTTGCTAACAAAGGTGAGAGTCTATGTGAACTAACACTGCTCTTTCTCTCTCCTTCCTCCCAGCTCAGCATGGCAGAGACTCCACCTCAAACTGCTGCACCCAAAAATACAAGGCCCCCAGTCCCCAAGGTCCCACCTGGAGAGCATTTTTCCCTAGGGGAGTAGGACTTCATCTCCTGACATCACAAGAAAAGTACAGACCAATATCTATTATGAATATGGACATAAAAATCACCAATAAAATACTAGCAAGCTGAATCCAACAATGAATAAAAATTAGACATTATGATCCTAGAATTTATCCTGGGGAAGCAAGGTTGGTTTAACGTCCAAAAAATACAATGAAAAACAAAATTCACATGATCATCTCCATAAATGCAGAAAAAGCATATGACAAATTCCAACACCCTTTAATGAAAGAAACATTCAACAAACTAGGAATAGAAAGTAACTTCTTTAGCCTGGTAAAGGACGTTTATGAAAAATCCATGGTAACATCATACTTAATGATAAGACAGGATGGGAGGAGTGGTAGCAGCCAGGCAGCCCAGCTTTGAGAAGGCTCTCAGCATGGTGCGGCTCACAGGCACCCAGCATGCACACTCCTGACCACAAGATGCCCAAGAGGAAGATCAGCTCAGCAGAAGGGCGGTGAAGGAAAGAGCCCAAGATGAGATTAGTATGACTGTCAGCTAAACCTGCTCCTGCAAAAGTGGAAACAAAGCCAAAAAAGGCAGCAGGAAAGGATAAATCTCCAGACAAAAAAAGTGCAAACAAGAGAAAAACGGGGAACAAAGGGAAAACAAACCAAAGTGGCTAACCAAGAAATCAGATTTACCTACAGAAAACAGAGAAACAAAAACCAAGGAAAGTCCAGCCTCTGATGAAGCCCAGAGAGAAAAAAAGCCAAGTCTGATTAATATCATATACTATGTCTTACCAATAGTACCTGTCTCCCTTCTTGTACATTCCAGAGGAATATTTTTCTCAACTATTTCACAAATGCAAGTTTTTTAGTAACTCTAGAAACATTTTTAAGAAGAAGGAAATCCCACCTCATCCCATTTTTTAAGTGTACATGCTTTTAAGGGTAAAAATCATTTTCCAGTTGTTTATTTTTTGGTACAACCAGAAAACAGTGTGCGATATTGAATTATGGGAGGCTTTGACTGTCTTGGGTATCATCTTAACATTCCACTATATTAACTGGCAATATGGAGTCACAGTCCTGTATCTGATGTCTTGAAATTTTTAAGTTACTTTTATTCCCATGGTTTGGTTCTGGTTCTTTTTTTTTTTTTTTTTTTTTTTGGTTTTTTGGTTTTTTGGCTTTGAGACAGAGTCTTGCTCTGTTGCCTAGGCTGGAGTGCAATGGTGCAATCTCCACTCACTGCAGTCTTCGCCTCCTGGGTTCAAGCAATTCTCCTGCCTTAGCCTCCCAAGTAACTGGGATTACAGACATGTGCCACCATGCCCGGCTGATTTTTTGTATTTTTAGTAGAGACGGGGTTTCACCATGTTGGCCAGGCTGGTCTCAAACTCCTGACCTTGTGATCTGCCTGCCTCGGCCTCCCAAAGTGCTGGGATTATAGGCGTGAGCCAACGCGCTCGACCTGGTTCAGGTTTGTTTGAGACAGAGTCTTGCTCTGATGCCCAGACTGGGGTGCAGTGACGGCGATGACAGCTTACTGCAACCTCAACCTCCTGGGCCCAGGCGATCCTCCTGCCTCAGCCTCCACAGTAGCTGGGACCACAGGCGCATGCCACCATGACTGGCCAACTTTTAAAAAACATATTTGTAGAGACAGAGTCTCCCTCTGTTGCCCAGGCTGGCCTTGAACTACCATGTGATCCTCCCACCTCCCAAATTACTGAGATTATAGGCATGAGCCACCGCGCCTGGGCCCATGTTGTTTTTTAGCAGAATTGCTTCCTAAAGAAAACCACTCCTTGATCATGGCTCTCCCTGTCAGAATTGTATGCACTCTATAAATCTTTGGTTGTGGTAGTCCTGTTTTCCTAATAATTTTGTTAATGTGCTGTGAAAGACTGAAAATTTGAGTATGCAGTATATATGCTATTTAACTGCAAATTGTGGAAGTATGTAACAGTTTATCAACATGTAAGGATACTGGTACTTGATAGCCTTTTAATGAAAACTTGCCTCCAAATTTTAAGCTGGAAAGTCACCAGAGTAACTTAAAAATAATTACAATACATGGCTTTTTAGATTTTCGGTATAAATGTGAAGAATTGTGTACTGATCCTCAACACAACCAATAAAATCTCAATTATGAAAAAAATAAATGATGAAAGACTGGATACTTTACCCCTAAGATCAGGAATAAGACCAAAATGCCCACTCTCGCTTCTATTAAACTTTGAACTATAGGTTCTAGCCAGGGCAGTTAGGCAAGAAAAAGAAATAAAAGGCATTCAGGTCAGAAAGTATCAAAGGTTGAATTGTGTCCCCTAGAAAGATATGTCAAAGTCTTAAACCCAAATAATGTGAATATGACATTATTTAAAAATAGGGTATTTGTAGATATAATCAAATTTAGATGAGGTCATATTGGATTAGAGTTGGTGCTAATCCAATATGACTGGTGTCCTTTCCTTATAAGATGAGAGGTTACACATACACAAGGGGAAAATGCCATGTGGTAATGGAGGCAGAGGGTGGAAGTATGCTGCTGCATGCTGAGAAATGGTAAGGACTGCCGGCTACCACCAGAAGGCAGGAGAAAGGCATGGGATGGTTCTTCCTCAGAGCCTCCAGAAGGAACCAACATTGGTGACACCTTGATTTTAGACTTCTAGACTCTAAAGCTGTGAGAGAATAAATTTGTTTTGTTTTGTTTTTCTCATCTCCATAAGTGCCTGGAGAATTCTCTGTGGTTATAAGCTATCAAGTTTGTGGTGCAAAGAGTACCCGACTTAAAATTTTTTTATTTTAGGCCGGGCACGGTGGCTCACACCTGTAATCCCAGCATTTTGGGAGGCCAAGGTGGGCAGATCACCTGAGGTCAGAAGTTCGAGACCAGCCTGACCAACATGGTGAAACCCCATCTCTACTAAAAATACAAAAATTAGTTGGATGTGGTGGCGGGCGCTTGTAATCCCAGCTACTCTGGAGGCTGAGGCAGGAGAATCACTTGAAACTGGGAGGCGGAGGGTGCAGTGAGCCTCCAAGATTGCGCCATTGCACTCCAGCCTGGGCAACAGAGTGAGACTCTGTCTTTAAAAAAAAAAAAAAAATTGTTATTTTATGATGGGTTTATCAGGACATAATCTCCTCATAAGTCGAGGAGCATCTGTACTTTGTTACAGTGATCCTAGGAAACTAATACAGAAAGAAGTAAAACTATCTTTATTTGCAGATGACATGATTTGACAAATAGAAAATCCTAAGGAATCCACCAAAGAAGTTGCAGGATATAAAGCTAATATACAAAAATCATTTTTATTTCTACACACTTGCAACGAACAATCCAAAAATGAAATTAAGAAAACAATCCCAGGCCGGGCACGGTGGCTCATGCCTGTAATCCCAGCACTGTGGGAGGCAGAGGCGGGTGGATCACCTGAGATCAGGAGTTCGAGACCAGCCTGACCAACATGGAGAAACCCCGTGTCTACGAAAAATACAAAATTAGCAGGGCGTGGTGGCATATGCCTGTAATCCCAGCTACTCGGGAAGCTGAGACAGGAGAATTGCTTGAACCAGGGAGACAGAGGTTGTGGTGAGCCAAGATCGCGCCATTGCACTCCAGCCTGGGCAACAAGAGGAAAACTCCGTCTCAAAATGTGGTGGGCGCCTGTAGTCCCAGCTACTTGGGAAGCTGAGGCAGGAGAATGGTGTGAACCCAGGAGGCGGAGCTTGCAGTGAGCTGAGATCATGCCACTGCACTCCATCCTGGGCGACAGACGAGACTCCATCTCAACAACAACAACAAAAAAAAAACTTACTACAAAGTAACAGTAATCAATATAGCATCACCAGCATGAGAACAGACATATAGATCTATGCAACAGAATTGAGAATTCAGAAATAAACCCATACATCTATGGTCAGCTGATTTTTGATAAGGGTGCCAAGACTATTCAATGGGGAAAGAATAGTCTTTTCGAATAAATGGTGATAGGACAAATGGATAGCAACATGCAAAAGACATAAGTTGGATAATGAGGTTATCCATGTATAAAAATAAACTCAAAATGGATCAAAGACTTAAACGTAAAAGCAAAAATCATCTTTTAGAAGAAAAATGGGTAAATCTTCATGACCTTGGGTTTGACAAAGGACTCAGATCTGACAACAGAAGCATGAGCAACAAATGAAAAAACAGATTAACTGAACTTCATCAAAATTTAAAACTTTTTGCTTTAAAGGAAATCAAGAAAGTGAAAAGACAACCCCACAGAAAGGGAGGAAATATTTGCAAATCATATACCTGCTAAGCAACTTTTATCTAGATTATATAAAGACTCCTTACAACTCAATAATAAAAAGACAAATAGCACAATAAAAGAAAAACAGACAAAAGATTTGAATAGACATTTCTCAAAGATGATATACAAATGGCCAATAGGAACATAAAATGTGCCTGACATCATTAGTCACCAAGGAAATACAAATCAAAACCACAATGTGACACCACTTCACACTCACTAGGACAGCTAGATCCAAAAAGTCAAGCCAGACACAGTGGCTCATGCCTGTAATCCCAACACTTTGGAAGGCTGAGGTAAAAGTATCACTTGAGGACAGGAGTACGAGACCAGCCTGAACAACACAGCAAGACCCCACCTCTACAAAAAAAAAAAATTAGCTGGGCATGGTGGCACACACCTGCAGTCCCAGCTACTTGGGATGCTGAGTGGAGAGGATCATTTACACTCAGGAGGTCAAAGCTGTAGTGTGCTACAATTGTGTTACTGCACTCTAGTTTGGGTGACAATGCAAGGCCGTCTCAAAAAAAAAAAAAAAAATCCACCGAACAAAAAAAAAAGTGAAATAACAAGTGCCGGCAAGGACATGGAAGAACAGGAACCCTCATAAACTGCTGGTGGGAATGTAAAAGGGTATAGCTACTTTGGAAAACAGTTTGGCAGTTCCTCAACTGATGAAACATAGAGTTACCATATGACTCAGCAATTACATTTTTAGAAATGTACCCAAGAGAAATAAAAACATATTGTACACAAACACTTCTACATGAATGTTTACAGCAGCATTATGTATAACACACAAAAAATGAAAATAATCCAAATGTTCATGAATGGATGAATGGATATACAAAATGTACCATATCCATATGGAATATTATTAGGCTACAAAAAGTAAGGAAGTACCACTACATGCTGCAACATAGATGAACAGTAAAAAATGTTACATTAAGTGAAAAAAGCCAGACACAAATGATCAGATTTTATAATTTCATGTCTAGGAAACATCTAGAACAGGCAAATCTATAAAGACAGAAGGCAAATTATTGGTTCCCCAGGCCAGTGAGGGTTGGGAGGAAAGGAGTAGTGACTGCTAATAAGGTTTCTTTTTGAGGTGATGAAAATGTCCTAAAATTGACTGTGATAATGTTTGCACGATACTAGAAGTCACTTAATTGTGCACTTTAAATAATGAGAAAATCATATGGTGTGTAAATTATATGTCAATAAAGCTGTTTTTAAAAAGTTACAATTTCAAGCCTCCGCTTGCAAAGGCAAATAAATACCAATAATGGAAGAGTGCAAATAAAACGCAACAGAATATATTTTAACTTGTTTATACTTAGTATAAATTTAATGCAACTGAATTTTAATGTAAAAGTCTATGAGGATATTAAGAGCTCTGCCCACAAACAAACAAAATCATTGCTTTCACTAGTTTTTACTACTCAGACTAACAGCTCCTTACAAAGAGAAATTAGCTAAGTAAAGTGTTTATAAACCTAAAGCTATCAAAAGGAACCTCCAGTCTTTTCAAAGTAAACAAAGAATAAAAGGCCAAAACATATTAAAATGGATGCTTACAAACGGTACACTCAAATTTTCTTCTTGTTTCATTTCTTCAGTAGTCACATCTGTGTTTGGTAGCTCATGTTCAACAACAGCTATGCATCCTACATCTGGGACATTCACAGTTATTTCAAGCTGTCAAAATAAAGTTTTATCATTTCATTTTGGCATATTATAAACAGCAAAACAAAGCCTCATCTTCAACATGAATAAGTAAGATGAAACGCTAAAATGAAGAAATAATCCACATTCATACATAACTTAAAAAATGGAATGGAGTAATTCTTTTATTGACTGACAGCAACTTGGCAAAAGTAAAACATTTAAAATTTTTGAGGTGGCTGTGACTATTAAAACCAGTAAGCAAATTTTCTAAGACTCATCTTCTTAGTGCCTGGCATTTCATTTTCCATTTTCTTCACTTTGTCCTCACTTTCCCCCTAATTTCTCTGTTCAGTCTGTTAACATTTATAGAAGGCTAGGTGTACAGGGATATAAAGTCAAATAAGATAAGTGTAGTCCCTATCCTCAATGAATTCACAATCTAACAGAAAAGCAGACATGTAATCAACTAATTATATACGGTCATAAATGCTATCTATAATGAGTTGAAAGCCCTTAGAAGTATTTATCGGGCCAGGCGCAGTGGCTCACGCCTGTAATCCCAGCACTTTGGGAGGCCGAGGCAGGTGGATCACCTGAGGTCAGGAGTTCAAGACCAGCCTGGCCAACACAGCGAAGCCCCATCTCTACTAAAAATACAAAAATTAGCCGGGCATGGTGGTGCCTGCCTGTAGTCCCAGCTACTGGGGAGGCTGAGGCAGGAGAATCGCTTGAACCCAGGAGGTGGAGGTTGCATTGAGCCGAGATTATGCCACTGCACTCTAGCTTGGGCAACAGAGTGACAAGTTGTTCTCAAAAATAAATAAATAAATAAATAAAATATTTATCATACCACTGCCCCCACACCAACTCCCTTCTCCCAAAACCCCAAAGCCTGCACGATTCTTGATACCCAGGGCAACAGCCATGTAAAATAAGAAGTTCACTCATATTTACTCTTCATTTGTGAGTCCTATTACTTAAAGAGCCGTGTAATCTGAGCACTAAAAAGGTATTTACCTACTAGAATACATACAATATAGTCTGGTTCTTATTATCTTATTTTTTTGTTTTTCTTTTGTTATTCTGAGGCAGGGTCTCACTCATGTCACCCCAGCTGCGGTGGTGCGATGATGGCCACAACACCTGGGCCTATTCTCTTATTAACAGAAAAAAACAGTATAAAACGTTGTATGGCTGAGTAGAAACTGTGAGTAAAGAGTCAAGTCTGAGAATCTGCCTTCAAGACATACGTTATTTTTTTTTTGAGACAAAGCCTCACTCTATCGCCCAAGCTGCGGTGCAGTGGCACTATCAGGGTTCACTACAGCCTCAACCTCTCAGGCTCAAGCAATCCTCCCGCCTCAGCCCTCCAAGTAGCTGGGACTACAGGCATGTGCCACCATGCCTAATTTTTGTATTTTTTGTAAAGATGAGGTTTCGCCATGTTGCCTAGTCTGGTCTCGAACTCCTGCACTCAAGCGATCTGCCCACCTTGGCTTCCCAAAGTGCTGGGACTATGGGCATGAGACCCTGTGCCCAGCCAACATATTTGTTATAATTACATTTGTATGTACCACATCTGTTTCCTCAGATACAAAATTTAGAGAAAAATCTTTGGTAATATCTGACAGGACTGGGATGAACCAAAAAATTCAAGTGAGCACGGGGGCACATGCCTGTAGTTCTAGCTACTCGGAGGCTGAGGTGTGAGGGTCGCTTGAGCCTAGGAGTTTGAGGCCAGCCTGGACAACACAGCAAGATCTTGTCTCCAAAAAAATGAATTTAAAAACAATAGGCCAGGCACGGTAGCTCATGCCTGTAATCCCAGCACTTTGGGAGGCTGAGGTTGGCAGATTGTTTGAGCTCAGGAGTTTGAGACCAGCCTGGACAACATGGTAAAACCCCATCTCTATTGAAAATAAAATAAAAAAAAAATTAGCCGGGTGTGGTGGTTGTGCACCTGTAGTCCCAGCTACTCAGGAGGCTGAGGTGGGAGGATTGCTTGAGCCTGGGAGGCGGGGGTTGCAGCAAGCTGAAATCATGCCACTGCACTCCAGCCTGGGCAATGGAGTAAGACCCTATCTCAAAAAAATAAAAATAAAGAAAAGAAAAATAAATAAATGTAACAAAAAAAAATTTTAAAGTTCAGATGATTTGAGAAGAAAAAATACTTCTTGAAGAGTTGGGACTGGATGGGAAAAGGGAATATTCTATAAAGTAAAAGTTGGTTTTTTAAGCATCATACAGTTTATTTTAAAAAAGACTTGCAATTCACATAACATACAGTTAACCCACTTAAGGTGTACAATTCAATGTATTTTGGGATATTCACAGATATGTGCAATCATCACCACATTCAAATGTGGAACATTTTTGTCACTTCAAAAATAAACCTTATACCCATTAGCTATCTCTCCCTTAACCCCTCTCTTCCCCATCTGCCAAAACCTAGGCAACCATTAATCTACTTTCTGTCTCTGTGGACTTCCTTATTTTGGACATTTCATATGAATGGAATCACACAGTATGCGATACTTTGTAACTAGCTTCTTTCACTTGGCCTAAGGTTTCCAAAATTCATCCATGTTGTGACACATATCAACACTTTATATCCCTTTAGGGCTGAAAAACATTCCATTGTGCTTCAAAGCTTTTGTCTCCTCCTGTTGTCCAGGCTACAATGCAGTGGCATGATTGTAGCTTACTGTAACCTCAAACTCCTGGGTTCAAGCAACCCTCCCCACTCAGCCTTCTGAGTAGCTGGGATTATAGATACGCACCAACACACCTTGCTAATTTATTGACTGAATGTAGAGACAGGGTCTTGCTATGTTGTATAGGCTGGTCTTGAACTCCTGCCCTCAACTGATCCTCCGCCTCAACCTCCCAAAGCACTGGGATTACAGACATGAGCCACCATGCCTGGCCTTTCAATGCTTTTGTTTTTTGAGACAGAGCTTCGCTCTTTCGCCCAGGCTGGAGTGCAGTGGTGTGATCTTGGCTCACCACAACCATTGCCTTCTGGTTTCAAGCGATTATCCTGCCTCAGCCTCCCAAGTAGCTGGGATTACAGGCGCCCACCACCACGCCCAGCAAATTTTTGTATTTTTAGTAGAGATGGGGTTTCACCATGTTGGCCAGGCTGGTCTCGAACTCCTGACCTCGTGATTCGCCCACCTCAACCTCCCAAAGTGCTAGGATTACAGGTGTGAGCCACCGTGCCTGGCCTCAATGCTTTTTAAAGAACATTTTTTCTAACATATATATGAATTTCCCTGTTTAGTAGGCTGGCCATAAGGAATAGAATCTAAGGAAAGCCTTGTCAATTACTATGATTAATGCTATTAAAAAAGATAGCCTGTATTAATTCAGGGATACAGTCTGGAATCTAATTTTCAGAAATTAATTACTGATAGTTTCACTAGCAATTTGCCTTCACTTAAAGAAAAATACAAAATATATAGCTAAATGAACTCTCATGCAGCATTAACCAGATATCTTTCCACAAAATTACTCTTCCTTCTGCATTTTCTTGGTTTCACATAATGCTTACATTTACTATCTTTACTTTGAATTGTAAGAAACAACCTCATTTTGCATCATTTAAATTAGCTTCAACCATTTTATTAGTTCATTTACTCTAAAACATTTACCAGGTTATTATTAACACTGAATAAAAGTAGATTTTGACTTCCCTTCATAAATGTGACTTTACAGATTCAGATAATCCGTTAATTCTTAATGGAATTACATTAACATGTAAAGTTTACCTTAATTATCTTAAACATTACTTGAATTGTTTACTGTTTCTTACTGCTTCTTTTATTGTTGCCACTATCTTAGTTAACTCTGATTCATTTCAAATTACTCAGAAACTATCATGAATGCTTACACAAAACTGACTCAGATATGCTCCTCAGTAAGCCAAAGAAGTGACTGAAAATTAAGGCAGAACAGAAAACTTTGAAGTTACAAAGTTGGAATGGCAGACTAACAGGCAAAAGTGTAAGGAAGCTAAATATGTTCAACACGTTTCTCTAGTTCACAACCCTTAGGATGATTACTAGCCAAAGTTACAACATAGCTACGACTGGTGAGGATGTAGCGAAACTGCAATGCTTGTACACTGTTGATAGGGATGTAAAATGATAACAGCCCTATGAAAAACAGTATAAAGGTTGCTTGAAAAGTTAAGTATAGAATTAACATAAGATCGAGGCCGGGTGCAGTGGCTCACACCTGTAATCCCAGCACTTTGGGAGGCCCAGGCAGATGGATCATTTGAGGTCAGGAGTTTGAGACCAGCCTGGCCAACATGGTGAAACCCCACCTCTACTAAAAATACAAAAAAATTAGCTGGGTGTGGTGGCAGGTGCCTGTAATCCCAGCTTCTTGGGAGGCTGAGGCAGAAGAATTGCTTGAACCTGGGAGATGGAGGTTACAGTGAGCCAAGATTGCGCCACTGTACTCTACTCCAGCCTAGGCAACAGAGACTCCATCTCAAAAAAAAAAAAAAAGAATTAAAAGAATTACCATACGATCCAGCAATTCCACTTCTGGGTATATCCCGCAAAAAGTAAAAGCAGAGATTCAAAGAGGTATTTATACAACTATGTTCATACCAGCATTATTTCTAACAGCCAAAAGGTGGAAGCAACCCAAGTGTCCATTGATGATAAAGGAATAAACAAAACATGATACACACACACAATGGAATATTATTGAACCTCGAAAATGAAGAACACTCTGACATAAGCTACAACATAGATGAACTGTGAAAACATTATGCTAAATGAAATAAAATGGTCACACAAAAAAATACTGTATGATTCCACTTACATGAGGAGTCAAATTAAAGAGACAAGATGTAGAAAAGTGGTTGCCAAAAGGTTAGGGGGTGGGAGGAATGGAGAGTTACTGTTTAATGGGTATAGAATTTCAGTTTTAACAAAATAAAAAGAGTTCGCCAGGGGTGCAAGGCAGACCTGAGAGTGACCAGGCCAGACGGCATAGAGATGGGGCTCAAGGGACAGGTGTTGGGTGTTTGTATCTTGTATCTTGGTTTTTTGCCAGGCTAGGGGACAACCACTCATTGCGGGATGTCTTAATCATCTTAAAAAAGAACGCAGTAGCTCGTGCCTGTAATCCCCGCACTTTGGGAGGCCGAGGCAGGAGGATTGCCTGAGCTCAGGAGTTTGAGACCAGACTGTGCAACATAGCGAAACCCCATCTCTAAATTAATTAATTTTAAAAAAGAGTTCTGTGGATGGATGGTAGTGATGGTAGCATGACAACACGTACATGTGAATGTTCTTAATGCCACTGAAGTGTACACTTAAAAATGAGTAAGATGGCTGGGCATGGTGGCTCACGCCTGTAATCCCAGCACTTTGGGAGGCCGAGGCAGGTGGATTGCTTGAGGTCAAGAGTTCAAAACCACCCTGGCCAACATGGTAAAACCCTGCCTCTACCAAAAATACAAAAATTAATCAGGCTTGGTGGTGCACACCTGTAGTCCCAGCTACAGGAGGCTGAGGCAGGATAATCACTTAAACCTGGGAGGTGGAGGTTGCAATGAGCCAAGATCCCACCACTGCACTCCAGACTGGGTGACAGACTGAGACCCCGTCTTTAAAAAAAAAAAAAAAAAAACAGAGAGAGAGATAGTAAATTTTATGTTACATGTATTTTAGCACTCTTCTTTTTTTTTTTTTTTTTTTTTGAGATAGAGTCTCGCTCTGTCTCCCAGGCTGGAGTGCAGTGGCACGATCTCAGCTCACTGCAACCTCCGCTTCCCGGGTTCAAGCAATTCTCCTGTCTCAGCTTCCCCAGTAGCTGGGACTACAGGCACCTGACACCACGCCCAGCTAATTTTTGTATTTTAGTAGAGACAGGGTTTCACCTTGTTGGTCAGGCTAGTCTCAAACTCCTGACCTCAGATGATCCACCCACCTCGGCCTCCCAAAGTGCTGGGATTATAGGCGTGAGCCACCATGCCTGGTCCAAATCAAAAAAAAAAAAGTATGTCCCTTCTAGCTTCTCTATCAACCAGAAAACACCAAAATGTTTGAAAGATTAATCAGAGGTTGGCTGGGCTGGTCTCCAGCTCCTAACCGCGAGTGATCCGCCAGCCTCGGCCTCCCGAGGTGCCGGGATGGCAGACGGAGTTGCGTTCACTCAGTGCTCAATGGTGCCCAGGCTGGAGTGCAGTGGCGTGATCTCGGCTCGCTACAACCCCCACCTCCCAGCTGCCTGCCTTGGCCCCCCAAAGTGCCGAGATTGCAGCCTCTGCCCGGCCGCCACCCCGTCTGGGAAGTGAGGAGCGTCTCTGCCTGGCCGCCCATCGTCTGGGATGTGAGGAGCCTCTCAGCCTGGCTGCCCAGTCTGGAAAGTGAGGAGTGTCTCTGCCCGGCCGCCCCGTCTGAGAAGTGAGGAGACCCTCTGCCTGGCAACCGCCCCATCTGAGAAGTGAGCAGCCCCTCCGCCCGGCAGCCACACCGTCTGAGAAGTGAGGAGCCCCTCCGCCCAGCAGCCACCCCGTCTGGGAAGTGAGGAGCGTCTCTGCCCAACAGCCACCCCGTCCGGGAGGGAGGTGGGGGTCAGCCCCCCGCCTGGCCAGCCGCCCCGTCCGGAAGGGAGGTGGGGGGTCAGCCCCCCGCCCGGCCAGCCACCCCGTCCGGAAGGGAGGTGGGGGGGTCAGCCCCCCGCCCGGCCAGCCGCCCCGTCCGGGAAGGAGGTTGGGGGGTCAGCCCCCCGCCCGGCCAGCCGCCCCATCCGGGAGGGAGGTGGGGAGGTCAGCCCCCCGCCCGGCCAGCCGCCCCGTCCGGGAGGGAGGTAGGGGTGTCAGCCCCCCGCCCGGCCAGCCGCCCCGTCCGGGAGGGAGGTGGGGGGTGTCAGCCCCCCGCCCGGCCAGCCGCCCCGTCCGGGAGGGAGGTGGGGGGGTCAGCCCCCCGCCCGGCCAGCCGCCCCATCCGGGAGGTGAGGGGTGCCTCTGCCCGGCCGCCCCTACTGGGAAGTGAGGAGCCCCTCTGCCCGGCCAGCCGCCCCGTCCGGGAGGGAGGTGGGGGGGGTCAGCCCCCCGCCTGGCCAGCCACCCCATCCGGGAGGTGAGGGGCGCCTCTGCCCGGCCGCCCCTGCTGGGAAGTGAGTAGCCCCTCTGCCCGGCCACCACCCCGTCTGCGAGGTGTACTCAACAGCTCATTGAGAACAGGCCATGATGACAATGGCGGTTTTGTGGAATAGAAAGGGGGGAACAGTGGGGAAAAGATTGAGAAATCGGATGGTTGCCGTGTCTGTGTAGAAAGAGGTAGACATGGGAGACTTTTCATTTTGTTCTGTACTAAGAAAAATTCTTCTGCCTTGGGATCCTGTTGATCTGTGACCTTACCCCCAACCCTGTGCTCTCTGAAACATGTGCTGTGTCCACTCAGGGTTGAATGGATTAAGGGTGGTGCAAGATGTGCTTTGTTAAACAGATGCTTGAAGGCAGCATGCTCGTTAAGAGTCATCGCCACTCCCTAATCTCAAGTACCCAGGGACACAAACACTGCGGAAGGCCGCAGGGTCCTCTGCCTAGGAAAACCAGAGACCTTTGTTCACTTGTTTATCTGCTGACCTTCCCTCCACTATTGTCCTATGACCCTGCCAAATCCCCCTCTGCGAGAAACACCCAAGAATGATCAATAAAAAAAAATAAATAAAAAATAAATAAATAAAAAATAAAAAATAAAAAAAAAGAAAGATTATCAGAAAGTAGACTAAACAGCTTCCAGGTACAAGTGTAAGCAGATTTCTCTCGTTGTTACACTGACTCCCTTGCTGGGCCTGGGCCATAGGGACTGAGCAATCACAAAAGGTTATACAAGGCCCCAAATTATATTTGGTAGAGGTTATTTAGAGAATGAACTCTTCAAATCCTAATAATCACTACGAGAAGAAATAATGATCCCCTAAAAGAAACAAGAGGTGAAAACCAAGTAAGATAAAGTACCAAGGTTTTAAAAAAAAACCGAACCTCTTCCATTGTTTCCTCAATCTGAGCAGAAACAGGTTCAGGAGATCTGAGACCAACAGGTACAAATACTGGAGCTTTGTTTACTTCTTCGGGAGCAAGATGATAGCTTTCTTCCTCATAGTCAGACTCAAAATCGTCAGCATCATCATCTTCTTCCTGGGAAGCCCGAAGAGTCACCAGCATGGCCTTGGAAGCTCTAGGTTCCTTCTTAGAGGTCTTACCCCGAACTCGTTTTGATCCACGACCTCTGGTGACATTTGGTTTGAACTTTTTATGACTTCTCCTTTCACCACGATTTCTCTCATACTCAGATGTAGAAGAGATAGTTGTTTTCCCATCCAGGGCAATTTTAGAGTAACTTGTTTCGTTTAACGGTTGTGGACAGCTAGATATTTAATCAAAACAACAATAAGGTCATATGCATGCAAGGATAATTTTAATGAAAACCAAACTTTTAGAGTGAAATTCCAGTTCCAGTCATTAAAATGAAAATTCCCACCACCCATTCTTTTAAAATCTTATGCTGTGAAAATAAAAAAGGAATTAACTACTAGTTTCTCACTCAGAGTTAATTCTTAGTTATCTACCTACAAATTTTTCATAGTAAGTTTTTAATTCTGGACCATTCTTTCCTGTAATATGAAAGTGAAGATAAAATAAACACAAAACTGAAAATTATTAGAAGAAAAAGGGATAAAAGACACAGAACCGGCTGGGCGCAGTAGCTCACGCCTCTACTCCCAGCACTTTGGGAGGACGAGGCAGGCAGATCACTTGAGGTCAGGAGTTCAAGACCAGCCTGGCCAACATGGTGAAACCTGATCTCCACTAAAAATACAAAAATTAGCTGGGCACGGTGGTGCACGCCTGTAATCCCAGCTACTCGGGAGGATGAGGCAGGAGAATCACTTGTACCTGGGAGGTGGAGGTTGCAGTGAGCCGAGTCACGCAATTGTACTCCAGCCTGCGCGAGAAGAGTGAAACTGTCTCAAAAACAAAAAAAGACACAGGACCAATAAATACAGAATATGAGATCAAATGTGGTATTAGTTTATCCTACTGGGTAAACAGATAGGTTAAAAGAAAAAGGAGGCAGCAGAAATCCACTAGAGCAGTGCTGGTTTCTAGAACTTAAGTTTCTTTCCATTTTCTTTGAAAACTATAGAAGTAGGGTATTCTTTATTTGTGTTTGTGACTCCATTTGAATGAGCACCTTAATTACTTAGCTAATACATACATACTCCTCTTTGGTCAAGTTTCTACCCATGTCTAATGGACTCAACACCCAAAAATTTTGTTCTACCAGTAAGTTAAGGTAAAAGTTAAGTGATTTTTATTTCTTATTGTGAAACATTTTGTTAAATAAAATGTTACCTTGTTAGTTTATTGAGATATTGCTCTTCAACAACTGAAGATGGTGAATTATCTCCTACAGTTTCCTCTCCAACCCTTCTTGATGGTCCAACTTCTTCTAATTCCGCATCTATTTTTGCCAAAGCAGACTCTTTGGAACCTACACAATCTTTTCTTGCTGAAACCTCCAGAGATGTCAGAAGCTCAGCTTTTTCCTTAAATTTAAGAAGAAATTAGCTAGTATTACTACAGAAACAATCTCTATGTTAATTTGGTTTGGTAGTTTGGCCTAAACCTCTAAGTTTACACATATCTACAAGCAGTTGGTTGCTCATCTTTTACAACACTAGAAAGTCACTTTTCATGAAAATGGTTACAGTACAGAAGTCAAAACTGTATTTTACTCATGCTCTTCATGATCTTGACAAAACAGACCTCATTGAGAAAAAAAATTTTTTTTTTTTTTTTGCCCAAACTTACTTTTAGAAGGAGCTGGGTGTTGGAAGCTCCTTTCTGCAGCAAATGATCTTCTGGCTTGCCTTCCTTGCTCTGATCTGTTGTGACTTTTTCTAAAACTGGTTCCTCTTTCTTACTGTGTGCTCTTCCCAAATTTGGCTTAGCCTTTTGGAATTTCCTTCTTGTCATTTGTGCTGAACTAGGAACATACGGTTTATTTTCATGTCTAGAATGAAGTATGAATCATGTTGAAGAACAAAAATCAGAATTTCTTGTTGATATAACAGCTGTTACATCAAACAATTTTGGATACAAATCAATTCTATGTTCAAAGGACTATATATAAATTGGCAATAAAATCAAGCATGTAAAATGAAACCACACATTGCTGATATGAAAAGAACTTATAAAGCATTTATAGCTTCCATTTTCTATAGAGCCTGAAAAAGTTTTACAATAATATTAATCTTTTTAAACTTTCATTTATTCATTCTATTATATGATTTCATGCTACTTTAATTTTCAGAGAAATCACAGGATACCAAAAAAAAAAAGGCAAGTAGCTGAAGATGGATTTCATAATGGCACTTTAAACACATGCCTTCAACTGGGCCCCCAAAGCATGAACAAATATATGACAGTTATAACCAACTCGATACTTCTAGTTCTAAAGTAGACTTGAAGGGTAGAGTCTATTCTCCTAACAGATGCCTGAACTCTCACTAAAAAGGGTTTACTGACAACCAATGTCATAAGGTTCTCAATATAATCCGTCTGTATCTGCCAAATAACAAAAAGACGTTTTAGCATTCAAGAGAGTAGCCAGAGCTCCCAAGGTAACCTGAATAGCTATCTAATGGTTTCCTGGACAATATTTTAGCAACTGGCAAAGATCTGAATTAGGAAGCTTAAAAACTAATAGAGACCAGGCACGGTGGCTCACGCCTGTAATCCCAGCACTTTGGGACGCCGAGGTGGGCGGATCACCTGAGGTCGGGAGTTTGAGACCAGCCTAACCAACATGGAAAAACCCCATCTCTACCAAAAATAAAAAATTAGCTGGGCATGGTCGTGCATGCCTGAAGTCCCAGCTACTCGGGAGGCTGAGGCAAGAGAATCACTTGAACCTGGGAGGTGGAGGTTACAGTGAGGCGAAGTTGCACCACTGCACTCCAGCCTGGGCAACAAGAGCAAAACTCTGTCTCCAAAAAAAAAAAAAAAAACTAATATAAACCTGAATATTTATAAAGAATAACTGGATATATAAGTACCTATCTTGAGTTCTCTGAAAGATCTGCATTAAAAACTAATCTTTTTTTTTTTTTTTGAGACGGAGTTTCGCTCTTGTCACCCAGGCTGGAGTGCAATGGTGCGATCTCGGCTCACTGTAACCTCCGCCTCCAGGTTCAAGCGATTCTCCTGCCTCAGTCTCTCAAGTAGCTGGGATTACAGGCATGCGCCACCACGGCTGGCTAATTTTGTATTTTTAGTAGAGATGGGGTTTCTCTATGTTGGTCAGGCTGGTCTCAAACTCCCGAACTCAGGTGATTCGCCCGCCTTGGTTTCCCAGAGCGCTGGGATTACAGGTGTGAGCCACCATGCCCGGCCTTCAATGCACCCTTTCAATGAAGCTTTCTCTGGTCACTGCTGATTAAAAAGTGAATCCCCAGTCACAACACTCCCTACTCAAAACTTTATTTTTCTCTACTGATTTATCACTTATTTATTCAACTTATTTCTCATTTATAATCTGTTTCTCAATTAGAATATAAACTCCACAGTGACAGCATTTTTTTCTTCATTTATTCCTACATCATCAGCACTTAGAACAATGCCTGGCACACAGCAGACACTAAAATGTTTGTGGAATAAATGAGTATATAAGGTTATTTTCAGTGGTAAAATTCTATAATTCTTTGAGATCAAAAAGGGATTATACATAGAAAATAATCCCATAATTAGTAATTAGGAGAAGTGAATGATGTAAACAAATTCATCTGTAATGTTTCCTAGACATTATCAGAGTTAAATTGCTCTGAGATCAATCATCAACCTAATCCAATATAGCATTTGTAATATAAGTCTAATGCATTTTAGTAAAAAACATTTCAATAAAATATCCAGTTTTAAAAACTGAAAAAATGGCTAAGGGAACCTAAAATTAATGTGAAGTAAAAATTGGCCTTAATCTTAAAATAAAAGCAATATGGAAAGACTTTTCAATGCATAGCACAGGGAACAATCAACAAAGTGAAGAGACAACCTACAGAATGGGAGAAAAAATTCCCAACTATCCATCTCACAAAAGTTAATAACCAGAATATATAAGGAACAAAAACAACTCAATAGCAAAAAAACAAATAATCTGATTAAAGAATAGGCAAAAGAGAACAGACAGTTCTCAAAAGACATACAAATGGCCAACAGGTGTCTGACAAAATGTTCAACATCATTAATCATCACGGAAACGCAAATCAAAACTGCACTGAGATATCCTACTGCCGTTAAAATGGCTACTGTTAAAAAGACAAAAAATTACAAATACTGGTCAGGATGTGGAGAAATGGGAAAACTCATAGGCTGTTCGTGGGAATATAAAGTAGGAATGCCATTATGGAAAAAAGTATGAAAGTTCCTCAAAAAACTAAAAATAGAACTACCATTTGATTGAGCCATCCTACTGCCAGGTGTATGTCCAAAAGAAAGGAAATCACTGTATCAAAGAGATATCTGAACTCTCATGTTTACTGCAGTGGTATTCACAATAGCCAACACATAATATCAACCTAAGTGTCCAGCAACAAATGAATAAAGAAAGTGAGAAAGTGTGGTATATATACACAATGGAATATTATTTAACCATAAAAAAGAATGAAATCCTGTCATTCACAGTGACATAGATGGAACTAGAGGTCATTATGTTAGGTGAAATAAGCCAGGCACAGAAAGACAAATATTGCTGGTTCTCACTCATATGTAGCAGCTTAAAAAGTGGATCTCATGGAGGTAGGGATTAGAATGGTGCTCACCAGAGGCTAGGAAGGCAAGAGGGAAGGGAGTAATGAGAAGCTGGTTAGTGTGTATAAAAATACAGTTAGATAGAAGGAATAAGTTCTGGTATTCAGTAGTACAGTAGGAAAAATTATAGTTAACAATCATTTATTGTATTATTTCAAAATAGCTAGAAAATTATGTTGCCAATATAAAGATAAAAGTATGAAGTGATGGATATCCCAGTTACTCTGATCTGGTAATTATATATTGTGTATAATGTATCAAAATATCACATGTAGTCCAAAAATATGTATAACTATTATATATCAAAAAAAAATTTAAGGCTTTTTAAGACAAAAAGCAGGGGGAGGGGCTGTAATATTGAAAACAAAAGTAATCCAGGTTGGGCGCAGTGGCTCATGCCTGTAATCCCAGCACTTTGGGAGGCTGAGGTGGGTGGATCACCTGAGGTCAGGAGTTCGAGACCAGGTTGGCCAACATGGTGAAACCCCATCTCTACTAAAAATACAAAAATTAGTAGGGTGTGGTGGTGGGTGCCTGCAATCCCAACTACTCGGGAGGCTGAAGCACAAGAATCACTTGAATCCAGGAGGCGAAGGTTGCAATGAGCCACGATCAAGCCACTGCACTCTGAGACTCTGTCTCCAAAAAAAAAAAAAAAAAAGTAATCCATACTAAAATAAAAACTTCACATTAGAAACTCGTCTAAATGAAAGCAAACTGCTTCAAGCATCTAAAATTAACAGAGGTCGGGCACGGTGGCTCACCATGTAATCCCAAGATTTTGGGAGGCCGAGATGGGCGGTTCACTTGAGCTCAGGAGTTCAGGACCAGCCTGGGCAACATGGTGAAACCCCATCTCTACAAAAAGATACAAAAATATTAGCCAGGCATGATGGTGTGCACCTGTGGTCCCAGCTACTCGAGAGGTTGAGGTGGGAGAATTGCTTGAGCCCAGGAAGTTGAGGCTGCAGTGAGCTGTGACTGCGCCACTGCACTCCATCCTGGGCGACACAGTGAGACACCTTGTCTCAAAAAGTAAATATAATAAAAAGAAAATATAAATCAATAGCACCTGTTTTGACAGATGACCTAACATGCCCAAATTCTAGCTTCACCTAACTAGAGAGGGTTAAAAAAGGATACAATAACATCTCCTCTGCATTTCCCAGAAAGCCAAAGTCACTCTACCTAATTAAAGGAAGCTGAAATATTTAAAGTATATTCATAAGTGCTGAAAACATCCTGGAGGAAAATTAATAAATACTTCACTAAAACATGTTCTAGTTACTAAGACAGTAAGTTAGATGGACCAAGAACTATATACAGAAAGGAAAGGCGTTTTTACTAAAGAAAAGAACACATCTTGCTTTAATAATAAGAAGGCAGATAGCAAGTAATAAATAAAAGTGGTAATGTTAAAACTTCTTCACCCTACTAGCTCATCTCAATTAAAAGATATCATTCTTACCATTTGGCTTCGATGTAGTTACCTCTAAATATAGTATACTGTTAAGTATACTTTATAGCACTACCTATTAATGAATTTTAGTCAGTAGGTTATAAACTTCTTTTCTTTTTTTTATTTGTTATTTTTATAGAGACGAGGTCTCACTATGTTGCCCAGGCTGGTCTTGAACTCCTGGACTCAAGCGATCCTCTCGTCTTGGCTTCCCAAAGTGCTGGGAGATTACAGGCGTGAACCACTGCGCCTGGCCTAAATTTCTAAAAAAGATACAGAGAACTTAAGAATCTTTGTCTACTATTAAAAATTTAGTTTTGGTACCAAAAAGTAGGATGCTTGTCAAACTTTTCAGAGAAATTACATATACTTAAGGGAATATCATATACTTAAGAGAATATCAGCCATGCAATTCATACAGTATTCGAGAAGCAGATTTAAAAGACTCTAGTATCACAAGTATTTATTACTTTATCCTTTTAACATTTTCAGGATGTGAAGTTATTAATATATAAAGTCAACTATGCAAAAATATAACTTTTATCTTTGAAAAGTCTTATTTTTTCTCATTAAAAGCAAACTCACCTGATTGTTTCATTTGTTTTGTTAACATGAAGGTTTTCTACAAGAACCACCTGACTTTGATTTTCATACATTCTGTGTTCTGGAACTGCGGACGATGGAACTTCAATTTCAGTTTCAATTTGAGAATTTGACTGAAAAGACAAAATCATATTAGTATGTTATTTTTATAGCAGAATATACCTCTTAAAATATTTCCACCATTAAGATATTTAGTTTTTTAAAATCCCTTTTCTTTTTTAAATTTTTATTTATGCATTTTGAGATAGTCTCATCATACTGCCCAGGCTAGTCTCAAAGTCCTAGGCTCAAACGATCCTCCTTCCTCAGCCTCCTGAGTAACTGGGATTACAGGCAGATACCACCATGGGTGGTTAATTCTTTAAAATTAGATTCAAACTGGATATGTAATGTTCACATTCTGTTGCCAAAAACAAGGATGCCTAGTTCAGAGAAAAGTTTCAAAGATTATTGCAGTAATATGTTTACATAATACTTTGAAAACTATAATAGTCACCTGCTATGAAATTAAAAATAAACAAAGTTTAATTTTTTTTTTTAAGAAAGAGCTTTTTGGTTCAAATAAAGATTATTTTAAATCTAGACTTTGCATTGTTTAACAGAAAAATAAGAACTACCTAAAATGAACATTTTTAGACATTACACTACTTAGACTTTTTCCCTAATACCAAAAGACCCATTAATAAGAGATTAAACTGTTACTCAAAACAGCATGTTATACAGCAAAAATGATGTAACTAACATATTTCTTGATCCAGAAAGCCACTTAACATAGTATTCAGTGAATAACAGAAAGTTATAGTACGTAATGACTTTATTGTTTAAATTTGCATAAGTGTGCACATAATGTGTGCATGGAAATAAATCCAGTAAGATATGTCAAAAGGTTTTCAGTGGTTATCTCAGAGTAAGATTTGCGGTATTTATATTATTTTGTCCTAATGGAACATTTTACGATGAATAGCTTCATTAATTAGAAAAGAAATAAATCTATTTTCACTTAAAAAAAAAATCCAGAAGAGCAAATCTGAAACAAAACTGGAAACTGTATTCATTGAGTAGAATAAGTGTCAGATGCCTGTATTTCTAAGCTATGTCTGAGCTATAACTTGACATTTTAAATGCATTAAAAGGCTAAATTTAATTACATAACAATAACTCACCACAGTTAAGACTTTCTTTTCAGTTTCATCTTTTGGTAATATCGTTCTTCCTTCCTTAATTATGCCTTTGGCTTCACCTTTGTCTACTATTTGCCTCTGTCCTGTCTTTCTTATATTTGGTCTCGGTCTCTGAAGTCGGCCCCTTACTTGTCGAGCAGTTTGGATAACACTTTCCTTCATTTCTTGCTGGAAAGTGTTTACATTATTAGTCCTAAACAAGGGGACAGGGAGAAAGGCAGGGCGCTTGACTGTAAAAAGCTGAAAACTAATGTAAAAATGTAAAATTTGGATCTCCTCTAATAAACACTCTAAAAAATACTTTGTACCATTAAAGGGAAATTGCTTTCTGATTATAAACATCTTATTTTACAAAAGAAAACAGTTATGTCAATTCTTAAAAGGTAATAAACTTATATAATATGCCTAAAGTAGCTAAATATACAGATAGAATGGTGGTTGCCAGGAGCTGGAAGAGGAGGAGAATGAGTTAGTATTTAATGGGTAGAGAGTTTCATTTTATGAAGATGAAAAAGAAAGTCTAGAGATGAATGGTGGTGGCAACGGGACAACAATGTGAATACACTTAATGCCACTGTATATTAAAAAATAGTTAAAATGGTAAATTTTATCTTATGTGTATACTAATTTTTAAAAGTTAATGAATATATATAGCTTATATACATATAAGCTGAGTAGCCCTATCCAAAATGCTTAGGACCAGAAATGTTTCAGATTTCAGATTTTTTTAGATTTGGAAATATTTGCATTATACTTATCAGTTGAGCATCCCTACTTTGAAAATCCAAAATGCTCCACTGAGCATTTCTTGAGCATCATGTCAGCTCTCAAAAAGTTTTAAATTGTGGCACATTTCAGAATTTTTTATTAGGGATGCTCAACTTGTAGTTTTTAAATGCATTGCTTTGTATACACTCTTACGCAGCTGACAATGCAGATAAGCAGGCAACCATTAGAAGGTGTTGAATTCAATCTGATATTATATTTTAGGCAGTCTGCTGTATCAATAAAATTAAACCAATATTCTTTATGTTCACTTTTTAAATGCATTAACATATCTCAATAAAAATTAGAAATATTTAAAAGAAGTATCTCTCTTATTTTATATTGTCAAAGAAAATCACTGTTTACCCCACAGAAACAACTGAGTCATTTTTCTGGACTGGTGCTGACTGAGACTCCTCTTTAGGTTCACAAGAATTTGAAGGTGAAAGGTTCCTTTCAGTCTGTGTACATGGCAATATCACAGCCTCCTCATTCCTGTGACCTAATGTGTCTTTTTCTCTTGATATCATTAGGGAAGCTTCATCCTAGAAGACAGAAAAAAAATTTCATTCACAGTTGCTAAAAGTATAAGGAAATAAGAACTTTACAAGTATAAACTGATATCATCTTCGTGAAGAATAATAGGGTAGTCTATACCAAAATTCTAAATTCCCAGCAATTCCACTTCTAGAAATGTATCTTATAAATACTCAACAAGTAGAAATATACACACAAAAATATTTATTGTAACAATTTAAGCACCACCTCCCTCACCGGAAAAGACAAACAAAAAAATCAGAAATAAAACAGATATATCATTAGGGGATGGAATAAATAAATTTTAATTTCTTTACAATGCAATAGTACCTAATCATTTAAAAGAAGATATATCTCTTTGTACTGATCTAAAAAGAAGCTCACAATACTGTAAGTGGAAAAATCAGAAAGCAAGAATTAATGTCATTTTGGAAAACAATAAAAATACCTTCCCATTTTATCATTTTATAACTGTAAGACGAAAAAGTGTAAGTGGATATATTCAAAATTGCTGTATGATTAACTTGGGGGAAAGGGACGTGACATTATAAAAGACTCTCACTTTTTAGAATACATATATTTTTCCAAATTAAAATTTCTATAATCAGAAAGTATAATACAAATGTAACTTATCTTTTATGAATATAAGCTTAGGAGAAATAGTACAAATGTTGATGCACAGTAAAGTACTGAGCTATTTTAAGACATCAAATAAGAATTTTAATTCTAAGAAGGACTTCCACTGAATGTGGAAAACATTCAGTTTATAATTATTCATTTCGTTTCAATGTTTTTTTGATGGTATGTCACACAATCTTAATCTGTTATGGACCAAGTTAATAAAGTAAATAAAATATCACCTTTAACTCAAATCAAGCTTTTAACTCTTCATTTCACCTTCACAAGAGAGTGAAATAAAAAACGATTATTCTCGCTGGGCGCCACGGCTCAGCGTAATCCCAGCACTTTGGGAGGCCAAAGCAGGCAGATCACGAGGTTAGGAGTTCGAGATCAGCCTGGCTAACATAGTGAAACCCCATCTCTACTAAAAATACAAAAAAAAAAATTAGCCGGACATGGCAGCACGCGCCTGTAGTCCCAGCATTCAGGAGGCTGAGGCAGGAGAATCGCTTGAACCTGGGAGGTGGAAGTTGCAGTGAGCCGAGATCGCGCCACTGCACTCCAGCCTGGGAACAGAGTGAGACTTCATCTCAAAAAAATAAAAATAAAAAAAATAAAAAACTATTATTGTCATTTTTTCTATGAAGAAAATTGTTTAATCAATGGTCACATAGCTGGAACTGGAACCAGAGCCCAGACCTGAACGCTTTCCCACAACACGTTTGCCCATTATCAGATATCTGAGATTCTTACACAAATTATGTGGAACAATGAGGCACATTAAGCATGGGAGCAATATCACATGCAGCAAAAATTACACAGAAATATTTGTAGAATTTTAATGCCAGGTGCTTTTAGTAGTCCTAATAACTTAAAAAAAAAAAAAAACACCCACACAGAACTTCCATCTCAAATACACTCACATGTTGAGAAGGGAGAGTATCAGTTTGTTCATTATTTTCTTGCATCACAATAGTCTCCATTTTCTTGGTTTCTGATTTCTTCTCATATATATATTTTTCTGATTCTGTAGTCTCTCTCTTCAAAGCTGCTCTTGCTAAGTTTGGTTTTGGTCTTTTGAATCGGCTCCTCACAAAAGGTGCTGGTTTAATTTCAAGTGGCTTCTGTTCTTGAGGAAGAGATTTGCTTTTGGAACAAGGATTATCAAGCTTTAGAATGAACTGAAGGGGCAGTGGAAACGGAGTCTCAGTACAACCTTAGAGACTGGCGGTAAACATTTAATTTTTTTTTTTTTTTTTTTTTTTTTGGAGACAGGGTCTTGTTCTATCCCCCAGGCTGGAGTGCAATGACACAATCATAGCTCACTGCAGCCTTGACCTCCGCGGGCTCAAGTGATCTTCCCATCTGAGCCTCCCAAGTAGCTGGGACTACAGGCATGTGCCACCACACCCAGCTAGTTTTTGTTTTTTTATTTTATAGAGATGGGGTTTCTACAGCGTGTTGCCCAGGCTGGTCTCAAACTCCTAGGCTCAAAGGATCCACCCACCTCAGCCTCCCAAATTGCTAGGATTACAGGTGTGAGCCACCATACTTGGCCTAATTCTAATTCTTAACAGGAAAACAAATCGAACTATCTGGCAGATCCTGAAAACCATGAGTGGTACAATCCAGGTATGAGCCTAGGAATTACACCATCTCTGCACAAAGAAAATATGAGTCTATCAAACCTGTATTGATTTAAGACTGTTACATACAATTTTGTATGTCAGTAACTTTCACAATTGACTGTCAGAGTGACCTCAATCCTCTCTCCCAGTCTTCCCAAAACTATCTTAAAAGCTCTAACACTATCCTGTATATGTTATATCTTGAAACCTCACTTAGTTTAACGTAATCTGCAACTATAACTTAATATCTTTTTCTTTAAAAACACACTTGTACCTTAAATTAATATCTGAAAACTGCTCTGGAACATCTGGAGATTGAATCCCCTGGACTTCTGTTTTATCAGATTCATGAGTCTGTGAAGAAATCTTGAAATGACTGAAGTGACTTGATACTTCTTTTTCAGAATTTCTTTTTTCTTCTACAGGTGTATGCATCATCGACAGTACTTCACTGCTAATGTTCTAGAGGAACAGTCATAGTAAATCAGCACAAATAAAAGAGTATTTAAACATCTTATATATTTAAAACAAAAGTCTACTAAATTCTAAACACTTTCCTTTAAAACTTTAGAAGTTTTTAATTTTTGAATAAAATTTAATTTCCAAATGTTAAAACTTGGAATTCAGGAAACCCTTTTATGTTGCATATTATTACTTTCCCAAACCACAAATGTCATTATCTATTTTTAAAAGTTAGAAAAAAAAAAAAGTCCTTGAAAATGTTAGAAGATCATGAACTTCAAAGTAACTTGAAAAAACAAAAAGAACTTTTAGAAGTGAAGTAAGTCAGGTGGGGCAAGAAACAAAAGCAGATACAGATGTGGCCAAAAGAAATAATGTGTGTTCACGCTAGGGTTAGTACAAATTCAGTCTAATTTCCTATTCTTCTTTTACCTAAAAGAGTAACTTCAAATGATATTAAGAACAGTGACATTTTTGAGATCTCAAACCTAAGCCAAAAGAAAAGTTTGATCCTTGCCCATCTGACTTAAAGAAAAAAAATAATAATAATAACAGTGACTTTTTCACAGTTGGAAATTATTTTTATTTCTTTTTGAGACAGGGTCTCACTCTGTCACCCAGGGTGGAGTACAATGGCACAATCACAGCTCACTGCAGCCTCAACCTCCAGGGTTCAAGTGATCCTCTCACCTCAGCCTCCCAAGTAGCTGGGACTACAGGCTTACACCTTGTTATTGTATTTTATTTTTTATTTATTTTATTTATTTTTATTTTATCTTATTTTTTGTAGAGACAAGGTCTCTCTATGTTGCCCAGGCTGGTCTCAAACTCCTGGGCTCAAGTAATCCTTCCACCTTGGCCTCCCAAAGTGTTGGGTTTAAAGGTGTGCCCAGCCTAAAGTTATCTTTTTAAAAAAGAACATACAGTTTCTTCAAGGCACTGAAACATAGAAACTTAGGGCTACAAAAGACTTTAGACTTTTAGAGATTTTTAAGTGTTGTTGGACTTAAGGACAAAATAATCATGGAATTATTTATTTCCTCTGAAAAAAGCATTCAAAAAACTTTTAAAGGACAGAAAAATACATACCTGAATATCTAGTGAAGGCACAGCACTGAAGTCATTGCTACCGCTCTGCATTAAATGTGTGTCAGTTTGTCTTGAGGTACTGGTCTCCTCTAGCTCGTTTTCCCTTGGAGAAATGTCTGTTTTTCCAGTTTGTTTCAATTCTGCCACCTTTTCCTCAGTAACACAGATCTCTTCAGATCCTCTCTCTCTAAAATTTTCTTTTCCAGTTTCTTTCAAATCTGCCTCCATTTCTTCAACAACAGCCATCTTTCCTGATACTTTCTCCATGATGGGAATGTCTCTTTTTCCAGTTTCTTTCAAATCAATCTCCTTTTCCCTTATAGCACTGAACTCTGCTAGCACCTTTTCCCTTTGGGAAATTTCTTCTCTAATTTCTTTCAAATCTGTCTCCATTTTACCTACAGGCTTGACCTCCTCTGGGCCATTTTCCTGTGGCGATATTTCTCTTTCAGTTTCTTCCAAATCTGTCTCTATTACCTCAGCAGCATCAATCACCTCTCGTGTCTTCTCCCTTGAGGAACCCTCTCTTCCAGTTGTTTTCAAGTCTGTCTCCATTTCATCTACAGGCTTGACCTCCTCTGGGCCATTTTCCTCTGGGGATATTTCTCTTCTTCCAGTTTCTTCCAGATCTTTGTCTATTTCCTCAGTGGCATCAATCACCTCTGGTGTCTTCTCCCTTGGGGAAATCTCCCTTCCGGTTGCTTTCAAATCTGTTTGCATTTCACCTAGAGGCTTAACCTCCTCTAGGCCATTTTCCTGTGGGGATATTTCTCTTTCAGTTTCTTCCAAATCTATCTCTATTTCCTCAATGGCATCAATCACCTCTGGTGTCTTCCCCCTTGGGAAACTGTCTCTTCCAGTTGCTTTCAAATCCGTCTCCATTTCACCTAGAGGCTTGACCTCCTCTAGTCCATTTTCCTGTGGGGATACTTCTCTTTCAGTTTCTTCCAAATCTATTTCCTCAGTAGCATCAATCACCTCTGGTGTCTTCTCCCTTGGAGAACTCTCTCTTCCAGTTGCGTTCAAATCTGTCTCCATTTCATCTACAGGCTTGACCTCCTCTGGGCCATTTTCCCTTGGGGATATTTTTCTTCTTCCAGTTTCTTCCAAATTTTTGTCTATTTCCTCAGTGGCATCAGTCACCTCTGGTGTCTTCTCCCTTGGGGAACTCTCATTTCCAGTTGCTTTCAAATCTGTCTCCACTTCACCTAGAGGCTTAACCTCCTCTGGGCCATTTTTCTGTGGGGATATTTCTCTTCTTCCAGCTTCTTCCAAATCTTTGTCTATTTCCTCAGTGGCATCAATCACCTCTGGCGTCTTCTCCCTTAGACAAATCTCTCTTCCCATTGCTTTCAGACCTGTCTCCATTTCTATGGTGTCATCAATCACATCTAGAATCTTCTCCCTGGGAGAAATGGCTCTTCTTCCAGTTTCTTTTAAATCTGACTGCATTTCTTTAGTATTAATCTCTGCTGGTACCATCTCCTTTGGTGAGGTGTCTAGTCTTACAGTTTCTCTCAATGCTGCCGCCATTTCCCCAGAGACAAGAATCTTCTCTAGTACCTCTTCCTTTGAGGAAATTTCTCTCCTTCCAGTTCCTCTTCCTATATTTGGCTTTGGTTTCTGAAATCGAGTCCTTAGAATTGGGACTTGGTTAAGTTTATTTGCCTTATTATTCTCTTGAACGCTATAAAAAAAAAAGGGGGCACACAATCAAGTTTTAAACCAGACTGCCTGCTGAAGAGATGATGTTTGAGAAATCACTACAGAAACACCAGAAACTCTCAAATTCAAAAAAATTAAGGAAGGCCTAGGAATCGCTGGGTAAAATTTAAAAATTAAAAGAAAAAAAATCCCACCTTTTGAAATCACAGCAATAAGTTTAAATATATATATATATCTAGTAAGGTCAATCAGTATAGAAGCTATTTGATCCTAACAGTGTCTTTCCAATTGTCATTCACACTACCATTTATAAATACTGACTGGGAAAGACTCTCCAGTTCTCTGCATTGGAGCTAGATTGATGTATGTCTGCTATTTCTACCTCTTCATCCCTTCTATCTTTTATACAGACAAATGGTTTGCCATAATAGACCTGACCACCTCAAATACCTGGATACAAGTATGACTTGACCAAGATTAAATCTTAGGACTACAAATGAGGTCTGCCCTCCTCACCTTTTAAAACCAATTTTATATGAGATTTCCTATACAGATAGTTCTCTAAAGGCTTGTTATTTCATAACATAAGTAAAGAATCAAAGGACAGACCAAATACACAATAATACTTTGCTGAATGCTACTGGGCACACAACCACTATCCAAAGCAAGCACCTTGCTCTCCAGAAAAGCAGCAGCACTTTTTGTTTTGCTTTCTGTTTATTATAATAGATGGTAAAATCAATAAACATATAAATGAATGAAAGGGCTTTTAAATGACTGGTTAGGAAAAGTTATTAATATTGGGCAAAAGCTAGATCAAATGAAACACTAGATTGTATTCGGCCATGTCGGACTGAACAGGTATATAACTATACATTCAACAGCTTAAAAAAAGACGTATTGAGCTGGGCATGATGCTTCATGCCTGTACTCCTAGCACTTCAGGAGGCTGAAGCAGATGGCTTGAGCCCATGAGTTTTTGGTAGAAATCCCATCTCTACAAAAAAAAAAAAAATTAGTCAAGTGAGGTGGCGTGCACCTGTAGTCCCAGCTATTCAGGAGGCTGAGGTGGGAGGATCACCTGAGCCCAGGAAGGATGAGGCTGCAGTAAGCCATGATCATGCCACTGCACTCCAGATTGGGCAAGAGAGCAAGATCCCATCTCAAAACAAACAAACAAAAAACAAAACAAATAAGCAAAAGATTTACTTAAAAGTATGCTAGGCTGGGCATGGTGGCTCAGCCTGTAATCCCAGCATTTTGGAAGGCTGAGACAGGTGGATCACTTAAGGTCAAGAGTTTGAGACCAGCCTGGCCAACATGATGAAACCCTGTCTCTACTCAAAATACAAAAATTAGCAGGGCGTGGTGGCACGCGCCTGTAATCTCAGCTACATGGGAGGCTAAAGCAGGAAAATAGCTGGAACCCAGGGGGCGGAGGTTGCAGTGAGCCAAGATCATGCCACTGCACTCCACCTGGGCAACAGAGTAAGACTCTGTCTCAAACAGAAACAAAAACAAAACAACAAAAGTATGCTATTGCTTGTTTCAACTTCTTTAGGTCCTATACTATCCTTCCTCACTGAAATAACTGTTTTCAATAATGCAATTTTTGATACTGTAAGACAGGTCCTTAGGAATAAGATTGCTTTTCAAATTGTACTTGTTTACATAACTGAAGTGTTTATATCCATCATTAACTTTAGCAATTGACAACGTTAAATGTAAAATTAACAGCAATCAATAAAGGAAATTTAATTTGATTAGTCCTGAATGGACCGCATTCCATTTTTTGATTTATGATACTTTTCATCTCCATCCAGAAACATCTAGCTTTTAGTGAGATTACTGTGCTAGCAATCTTGGTTTGGGTACCATGGGAAGAGATAAAATAAACTATCTTTATAAAGTCACATTTTGAAAACAGGCGTATTATTTAAACATATAAATGCTTGAAGCAAAGGCTTTATTAATAATTTCATTATTTCCATAACAGTTCAGATTGTAAGATACAGATATGCAATGTTATAATTATATTCTATGTGCTTAGATTTTTTAAACTGCCATTCCACCAAAGCAATAGATTGATTGTTTCTAAGTAACAAAAGAAGTACAGAATTAACTGAAGGGCAGTATCTGAGACTGGATATCAGATATAAAATTGAACTAGATTATTTCTCAACTTAAAATATACAGTGGATCTACGAACTTTCCTCAGATCACAAATTTGAGAAGAAAGGCAAAACAAGAGGATCATGAATGGAGAAAATAAGGTATGGAATGAGCACAAAACTATAAATGTGCTTTAAGGTCTGCATATGTGTTTTTCTAAAACACGGAGTTTAAGAATCTATAAAATATTCATGGCCAGGCGTGGTGGCTCACACCTATAATCCCAGCACTTTGGGAGGCCAAGGAAGGAGGATCCCTTCAGCCCAGGAGTTCAAGACCAGCCTGGGCAACATGGCGAAACCCTGTCTCTACAAAAAAATTTAAAAATTAGCCAGATGTGGTGGCATGCACCTGTAGTCCCAGCTACTTGGGAGGCTGAGGCAAGAGGATCAATTGAGCCCAAAAGGTGAATGCTGCAGTAAGCCATGATCACACCACTGCACTCCAGCCTGGGTGACAGAGCAAGACCCTTGTCTTTAAAAAAATATGGGTGTGTGTGTGTGTGTGTGTGTGTGTGTGTGTGTGTGTTTCAAATATATATATATATATATATATAAACCTCCAAACAAACATCACCAAATCACCAATCATGACAAAAAACTTAAAATATTTATATGAAGTAGGTAAGATGCAAAATTAACCTAGAAGATTAAATTTCAAAGAAATACTCACTAGTTTATCTAATAAAGTACCTTTTCTTTAATAGAGATGGGTCTTGCTATGTTGTCCAGGCTTGTCTTGAGTTCCTGGCCTCAAGTGATCCTCCTGTCTCAGCCTCCCAAAGTGCTGGGATTATAGGTGTGAGTCACCATGCCCAGCCTAAAGAATTTTTAATGCATTCTTTGAGAGACTATTTTCCTACTATCTCTCTTACATAGCATCTTGAACAGGCCAACATATGTGGAGTAGGAGAGGGGGAAAACTTTCTGTTAGACATAGGTGTATAATTTGATAAAACACAGAATCTTAGAATTGCTTTTGAGGATTCTGGAGATTCAAAGGCTAGAAAGGTCACATGACAAAGCAAAAATGACACTGCCCATGGAGAGGAAAGTTGTTGAGATCAGATTGAGTATTAGTTACAGTGTCCACCAGTGTTCTAAAACCCAGAGGCCATTCAGAAAAGTTTAATTTTCTACCAAGCCACAGTATCTATTAATAGACTCTAGTTTAAACTGAAAAAATATAAATAAAAAGAATAATTTGTTAGCTAACTGTAATTAAAATCCATATCAGAGATATGCAGCAAGCAATGTAGTCATACAAACTTCTACCTAGAGACTGTGTGCACATTAGTAAAATAATCCGGGCAGTGGGGAGGAATAAGAAGCAAAGGAATAGTGAAGGCAACAAGAAATAGAGAAATTTTTTTGTCTTCCAATGAAGATCTTTAAAGTAGTTCAGGAAACCTAGCTTTCACTCTCAGGTTAGGTACTTTTCTTTTTTGGAGGGACAGGAGTCTGTCTCACTTTGTTGCCCTGGCTGGAGTAAAGTGGCCCATTCATAGCTCCCTGCAGCTTCTAATTCCTGGGCTCAAGCAATCCTCTTCCTTCAGCCTTCCATGTAGCTAGATAGGCATGAGCCACCATGCCCAGCTAGGTACTATTTAAATAGGCTAATACAGCTGTAAGAAAGTATAGCATAGGCTAGCCTTTAAACGTAAAGACTGGTAAATATTAATTACTGAAACTGGACAGCAGGTATATGGGAGTCCACTACTGCACTTTTGCGCACATTAAACATTTCCAAGTTGAAAAGTTGAAATAGTATACCAGTAATTCCATCAGTCTGGCTTGGTACCCTCCAAGGAAGAAATAAAAAATAGAAAAGACTTTGACTATAAGCAGTATGGGTTTCTATACATAAGTTTTAAATAAAATTTATAAATCTTAAATAAAGGCAATATGTGCTCAATCTAATTCCAAAGAAACAAATATTTTAAAAATAAGTAGCATTTTACATTTGAACATAAACATATATTTCAATATGCATGTTAAGTGATAAAGCTGGCTGGGTGTGATGGCTCACACCTGTAATCCCACCACTTTAGGAGGCCGAGACAGGTGGATCACTTGAGGTCAGGAGTTCGAGACCAGCCTGGCCAACATGGTAAAACCCTGTTTCTACTAAAAATACAAAAATTAGCTGGGCTTGGTGGCAGGCACCTGTAATCCCAGCTACTCGGGAGGCTGAGGCAGGAGAATTGTTTGAACCTGGGAAGCAGTGGTTGCAGTGAGCTGAGATTATACTCCAGCCCAGGCAAGAAGAGTGAAACTCCGTCTCAAAAAATAAAAAGTAAAATAAAATAAAATAAAGTGATAAGGCTATTCATGTTAACTCAAGTACTAATTTACGATGAGTAGCTTTCTTCAAACCATCTGAGAAATTCACATAAAGGCTACAACATAAACTTTCTTGAAAGGTGAAGTTATATTTTTAAACACTACATAACTAGACACGCAGACAACAAATCCATCTAAATTGCTTCTGCTTTAAAAAACTGATTGAGTTCTAAAACTTTTTACAAAATCCAAAGATTATATATCAACAAAATGATGCTTACCTTAGACATTCATTAAGAACCTTGGGCTCATCTGGCTGCACATTTTGAAAAGAATCATTTTTCTCAGGCTGTAATATGACATCTTCCTCTTCAAAATCTTTACGCGATTGATCTTCCATGTGTTGAGGAGTCTTAAAAACAAACAAATTTTTCTAATGTTTTAGGTTTCACAATGAGGCATAACAGATTTCATTGAAAATGTCCAATTTAAGTATAAAATGGTAAAAAATTCAACATTATAAAATGGAGACTTTAAAATACTTTTAATGTTTTTTCTTTAGCTATCTTAGAAAATTTCATGAGTTACTCCTTTTAGGATATCTCAAAGCCCCATTCTTTTCCTCCCAATCAAAAAACAAGTAACTGCCTTGGTTTCATCTGTTAGAAATACCCCTGTGGGGTCTATCTTTCTGAATTCTTTTGATTACTATAAATGCATTATAGATCACGGGAATTTTTTTTTCTTTTTTTTTTTTTTTGAGACGGAGTCTTGCTCGGTCGCCCAGGCTGGAGTGCAGTGGTATGATCTCGGCTCACTGCAAGCTCTGCCTCCCAGGTTCATGCCATTCTCCTGCCTCAGCCTCCCGAGTAGCTAGGACTACAGGCGTCCACCACCACACCCAGCTAACGTTTTTGTATTTTTAGTAGAGAAGGGGTTTCACCGTGTTAGCCAGGATGGTCTCAATCTCCTGACCTCGTGATCCGCCCACCTCGGCCTCCCAGAGTGCTAGGATTACAGGCATGAGCCACTGCGCCTGGTCAGAATTTTTTTTTTTTAAGACAGGGTCTCACTCTGTCACCCACGCTAGAGTGCAACGGCATAATTATAGATAGCTCACTGGAGGCTTGAACTCCTGGGCTCAATTGATCCTCCTGCCTCAGCCTCCCAAGTAGCTGGGACTATAGGAGCACACCACCAAGCCCAGCTAATTAAAAAAATTTTTGTTTGTAGAGACAGAGTGTCACTATGTTGCCCAGACTGGTCTCAGACACCTGGCCTCAAGCAATCCTCTCACCTCGGCCTCCCAAAATGCTGGGATTTCAGGCATGAGTCACCATGCCTGGCCTAGAGACCATGGGAATTATAAGAAATTGAAATCTCAAAACATGACAACTTTTATCTTTATCACAAAGGCTATGTAAATAATCTAAAATTCACAGTCTTTGTTCTTGGAATTGTATCTTACTAGGGAGCTTTTAACACTTTATGCTGTTTAAGCCAATGTTAAAACTCACATATGTACTTATTTCTTCAAAACAAAAGATTAATTCAAACATCCACTAAGTGATACGGAAAAGCAACTCCAAATATGAGGTCAGGTGAAACAGATTATCTATCATGTAAATGCCCAAAATCTAAAATGGCTTTACAACTAGCAAAGCTGCTGGCTATGAGATTTTGACCAAAAATGTAATAAATGATGCACACAAATTGTGCAGTACTGTTTTGAAAAGGGGGTAAAGGGGTTGGGCACAGTGGCTCATGCCTGTAATCCTAGCACTTTGGGAGGCCAAGGCGGGTGGATCACCTGAGGTCAGGAGTTTGAGACCAGCCTGGCCAATATGGCAAAACACTGTCTCTACTAAAAATACAAAAATTAGCCAGGCGTGGTGGTGTGAGCCTGCAGTCGCACAACTAAAAATACAAAAACATTATAGATCATGTGAATTTTTTTTTTTTTTTTTTGAGACAGAGTCTTGCTCTGTCGCCTAGGCTGGAGTGCGGTGGCACGATCTCAGGTGGCTGAGGCAGGAGAATCACTTGAACCTGGGTGGCAGAGGTTGCAGTGAGGCAAGATCGCGACACTGCATTCCAGCCTGGGCGACAGAGCAAGACTCCGTCATAAATAAATAAATAAATGTATGTATGTATGTATGTAAGTATGTGGGTGAAGGGAAGCTTATATTAAGGCTCATGTACTTGCTTACCAAAAATGTGAGGAGGAATCAGAGTACTTACATCTCTATCAGCACAGGATTCATTTTCATTCTTCTCTACATTGGCCCCAATTTCTTCCTGTGATATGAGAATTTCTTTTCTTTCAGCAGCTTTACCTGCATTTGGCTTTGGCTTTTGCAATCGGCCCCTCACTTGTACAGGTCTTAAAGCCTTTAGTTGACTCCCTTCCTGCAGACAATTTTTTTCACCCAAACTAGAACCACAAAGAAATAAAATTAATGTTTATTTTGAAGTCACCAATTTCCTTCTCCCTGGCATGAATAAGTAAACCATTTGGAATATGAAATAATTCACAAGTTTCCTGAAAAGACATAATCCGCCCGGGCGCAGTGGCTCGCACCTGTAATCCCAGCACTTTGGGAGGCCGAGGCGGGCGAATCATTTGAGGTCAGAAGTTCGAGACCAGCCTGGCCGACATGGTTAAACCTGTCTCTACTAAAAATACAAAAATTAGCCAGGTGTGGTGGTGGGCGCCTGCAATATCAGCTACTTGGGAGGCTGAGGCAGAAGAATCGCTTGAAACCGGGAGGCAGAGGTTGCAGTGAGCAGAGACTGCACCACTACGTGACAGAGCGAGATTCCATCTCAAAAAAAAAAAAAAAGAGAGAGAAAAAAAAAGACATAATCCTGGAAGCCCTCTTGAAAAAGCACTTTTAAATAGAATTTTATTACAAAATTGGAAAAATCTACATCTGCCAAGCATAGAATACTACTCCTGACTAAGGATACTATAGAATAATGTAGAACTCCAGGGGATTAGTCCCAAATCATAGTATAAATGGTAACCCCTGGAAGAGCCCAGAATCCACCAGTCAGATTCACATTCTATTTTAGATTTCTATTTCAAGTTAAATATTCCCTTTTAAAATCTCTTAGTATAAATAAAATTATCCAGGGGCATATACTGTAAACATTCAAATGTAATGGCTAACTCAATAGACTCATAAAATTTATATAAGCAATATCAAGCAGAGAGAGTATTATGAATGTTTCAAAACCACCTATGGTTGAAAACGAACTTAAAGTATGCTGCTTGAAAATTAAATTCAGACCTTATTAAGTAGAAAACAAATTATTACCATCATTCCTAAGAGTTACTTTTTTTTTTTTTTTTTTTTACTACTTCCTGAATACTCACACAGATACAGTTTCAGCTTCTGGATTCTCTCTCTCTGTAGTCTCCATTCTCAAAATGTCCAATGTATTCATTTTATCTTTTTCCACGTGGTTCTGTGAATTTAATTTGCTACAATTTATCTACTTACAATAAACAGTTCAAACTTTGTAATAAACAAATGGAAATTAAAACAACAGAACTGGCCGGGCACGGTGGCTCAAGCCTGTAATCCTAGCACTTTGGGAGGCCAAGGCAGGCGGATTGCCTGAGCTCAGGAGTTCAAGACCAGCCTGGGGAACATGGTGAAACTGTCTCTACTAAAATACAAAAAATTAGCCAGGCATGGCAGCGTGTGCCTGTAGTCCCAGTTACTTGGGAGGCTAAGGCAGGAGAATTCTTTGAACGCAAAAGGTAGAGGTTGCAGTGAGCCGAGGTCACACCACTATACTCCAGCCTGGGTGACAGAGTGAGACTCCATCTCAATAAATGAATAAATAAGAACTTCATTTTTTGTACTTCTAACTAGAGGAGATTTTCTAAAAATCCTAAATGCAGATGAGAATTTTTTTTTTTTTTTTGAGACAGGGTCATGCTCTGTCGCCCAGGCTAGAGTACAGTGACATGATCATAGCTCACTGCAGCCTTGACCCCCAAGGCTCAGGTGATCCTCCCACCTCAGCCTCCTGAGTAGCTGGGACTACAGGTGCACACTATGCCCAGCTAATTTTTTCATTTTTTGTAGAGACCAGATCTTGCCATGTTGCCCAGGCTTGTTTCAAATTCCTGGGCTCAGGTGATTAGCCCGCCTCAGCCTCCCAAAGGGCTGGGCTTACAGGTGTGAGCCACCACACCTGATGTACATTTTTTTTTTTTAAGAAAAATGGAATCACACTAAATATTTCAGAAAAATATTTCTGAAATGTTAATTACCAAAGGATACAAAACTGTATTGAAACCATGATTCAGTTGTGTAAAAGAAAATCTGTAAGGAGATATGTGAAAAGATTGGTTGCAAGGGAATAATGAAATTACAAGTATTAGAAGGAATGGCTGGGCATGGTGGCTCACGCCTGTAATCCCAGCACTTTCGGAGGCTGAGGCAGGTGGACCACCTGAGGTCAGAAGTTCGAGAGCAGCCTGGCTAACATGGTGAAACCCCGTTTCTATTAAATATACAAAAAATTAGCCGGGCATGGTGGCGCATGCCTGTAATCCCAGCCACTCAGGAGGCTGAGGGCAGGGGAATCGCCTGAACCCAGGAGGCGGAGGTTGCTGTGAGCCGAAATCACACCATGCACTCCAGCTGGGGCAACAAGAGTGAAACTAAACCTCAAAAAAAAAAAAAAAAAAAAAAAAAAGAAACAAGATTACAACACTTCAAAGAAAAAAAGGTAAAGAAAAAAATTACAAGTAATTTTTGTTTTAACTTTTACATGAATCTGTATTTTCCAAATTTTCTACAATTCAATAAACATAAGATTAGAATAATGTAACTGTACTATAAAGATTATGATAAAAGATATTTCACAAAACAGGAAAAGAAGCAAACCAACATCTTAAAAAGTGTTTTAGTTTAAAAAAAATGGTAACAATAGAATTCTGGAAAAGTTATAAGGAAACAGAAAGATTCATTTAGCAATGTAAATAGATTATTTATGACTGTCAGTTTCACAATGCATAACAATTCAGGAGACTCAGACATACCAGAAAATTTTTTAAAGTAATAAAAATAACAAATAACAAAAGACAATGCATAACAAGAATCACAAAAATATTTAAAACATTATTTGACCCAACGATCCCACCCGTCTCTAGAAATTTATACTTTGTTTCCTTGAGAAAGCCTTACTTACAAAATTGTTTGCTTCTAATGTACAAGAGTTAAAAAAACAAACAAAAATAGAAACAATCTGAACATCCATTAGTAGAGAACTGATTAGGTAAATCAATAACATGTTAACATGACACAGCTATTAAAAAGATCAATTGGACCCAAAAAAATGTAAATTAATAGTTTCAGAGGAAAAGGGTTTTTTTTTAATTTTTTATTTTTTTGAGACAGAGTTTCGCTCTGTTGCCCAGGCTGGAGTGCAGTGGTGCAATCTTGGCTCAATGCAACCTCTTCCCTTCCGGGTACAAGTGGTTCTTTTGCCTCAAACTCCCGAGTAGTTGGGATTACAAGCATGTGTCACAATGCCCAGCTAATTTTTTTGTATTTTTAGTAGAGATGGGATTTCGCCATGTTGGCCAGGCTGGTTTCAAACTCCTGGCCTAAAGTAAGCCACCAGCCTTGGCCTCACAAAGTGCTGGGATTACAGGTGTGTGCCACCGTGGTCAGCTGAAAAAGGTTTTGGCAGGGCACGGTGGCTCAATATGGTGAAACCTAGTCTCTACTAAAAATACAAAAATTGGCTGGGCATAGAGGCGCGCGCCTGTAATCTCAGCTACTTGGAAGGCTGAGGCAGGAGAATCTCTTGAACCCAGGAGGCAGAGGTTGCGGTGAGCCGAGATCACGCCATCGCACCACAGCCTGGGCGACAGGGCGAGACTCCGTCTCAAAAACAAAACAAAGAAAAGAAAAAGGTTTTAAACATTATACACATTATGGTTAAAAATTATAGAAATGTGTGCATACATAGATAAAGTTATTGGCCAGGCATGGTGCCCTCATGCCTGTAATCCCAGCATTCTGAGAGGCCAACGCACACGGATCACTTGAGGTCAGGAATTCAAGACAAGCTTGGCCAACATGACAAAACCTCGTCTCAACTGAAAATACAAAAATTAGCTGGGCGTGGTGGTGCATGCCTGCAATCCCAGCTACTTAGGAGGCTGAGGCACAAGAATAGCTTGAACCTGGGAGACAGAGGCTGCAGTGAGCCAGGATCATGCCATTGCACTCCAGCCTGGGCGACTGGGCGAGATCCTATGTCAAAAAAAAAAAAAAAAGACGGCAGGCGTGGTGGCTCACGCCTGTAATCCCAGCACTTTGGGAGGCTGAGGCAGGTGGATCACATGAGGTCAGGAGTTCGAGACCAGCCTGGCCAACAAGGTGAAACCCTGTCTCTACTAAAAATACAAAAATTAGCCAGGCATGGTGGCAGATGCCTGTAATCCCAGCTACTTGGGAGACTGAGGCAGAAGAATTGCTTGAACCTGGGAGGCAGAGGCTGCAGTGAGCCAAGATCGTGCCACTGCACTCCAGCCTGGGCAACAGAGCAAGACTCCATCTCAAAAAAAAAAAGAAATAAAGAAAGAAAAAGAATAAAGAAATTTATTGACCAGGTGAGCTGGCTCATGCCTATAACCCCAGCACACTGGGAAGCTGAGGCAGGAGAATCACTTGAGGCCAGGAGTTAGAAACCAGCCTGGTGAACACAGTGAAACTCCATTCCAAATTTTTGCTAACTTAAAACAGAAAATCAGGCCGGGTGCGGTGGCTCACGCCTGTAATCCCAGCACTTTGGGAGGCCAAAGCAGGCAGATCACGAGGTCAGGAGACAGAGACCATCCTGGCTAACGCGGTGAAACCCCATCTCTACTAAAAATACAAAAAATTAGCCGGGCATGGTGGTGGGCACCTGCAGTCCCAGCTACTCAGGAGGCTGAGGCAGGAGAATGGCGTGAACCTGGGAGGCAGAGCTTGTAGTGAGCCAAGATCACGCCACTGCACTCCAGCCTGGGAGACAGTGAGACTCCGTCTCAAAAAAAAAAAAAAATTATCTGGGTTTGGTGGCACACACCTGTAGTCCCAGCTACTGGGGAGGGTGATGTGGGAGAATCACTTGAGCTCAGGATTTCGAGGCTGCAGAGAGCCATAATACTGCCATTGCACTCCTGGACTCTGTTGCCTGGGCAATAGAGCAAGACCCTGTCTCAGAAAAAACAAACAGAAAGTTTGTAAAAGACAAACAGAAATGAGACTGCCTGTGTGTAGATGAGAATGTTGTGGGCAGAATTTAATATATAGCTGGTTTATGAAATATTTTAAATAAAAATTTTATAGAAGTAAACAGAAGACAGATTTATCACCACTGAGGATATCTGAAATGATTACATCCCAGGTTAAAGAAAATGTGTAAACAGGAGACTAATAAGATACGAACAAATCTAATGTTAATGTAAGTTCTTGTATCTGTTTTAATATCAGTAACAGTACTTTGTAATTTCAAGTCAACAACTTTTATTCCCAACTATCTAAAGAAAATTTTTATAATTTTAATTTCCATGAAATCTCTTACCCCATACCTTTTCAACTGAAGTTTTTGAATGTGAATTCTTGCTCTCTGACTCTGTTTTGCCTTGTGAAAGAACTGATTTCTTCCCAGCCCTTGACAAATTGGGTTTAGGTCTTTGGAAGCGACCTCTCAACATTGGTTTAACATTTTCTGTTTGATCAATTTCCCTGAAAAATTAACATTATTTAAATAGCATCAAACATGCAGTCATGTCCAAATGAACTTCTAAAATAACCTACTGAGAATTAGGAAGAACTCCTTTAAGAGCTTACTTAGAACAAGAGTAGCAAAGAAAACTTAAAGAGACTAACTTGTTCTATCTGATATTAAAAATACACCATTCATCATCAGTAATTAAAACAGTGTGGTACTAACATATGAATAAACAGATAAATGAAACAAATTTAAAATCCAGAAAATAACTTCAAAATAGACATGATTTTGGTATATATTGAAGGTAGCAACTCATAATAGGGAGGATAAGATGAAATGCAATACAATACAGTGAGGATAAAACGTAAGAAATATTAAGTAAGATTAAATGATGATGGGAAGGCCGGGCGCAGTGGCTCACGCCTATAATCCCAGCACTTTGGGAGGCTGAGGCAGGTGGATCACCTGAGGTCAGGAGTTCGAGACCAGCCTGGCAAACATGGTGAAACCCCGTTTCTACTAAAAATACAATAATTAGCCATGCATGGCGGCACGTGCCTGTAGTCCCAGCTACTTGGGAGGCTGAGGCAGGTGAATCCCTTGAACCCGGGAGGCGGGGGTTGCAGTGAGCCAAGATGGTGCCACTGCACTCCAGCCTGGGTGACAAGAGCAAGACTCCGTCTCTGGATGTGGTGGCGAGCACCTATAGTCCCAGCTACCTGGGAGACTAAGGTGGGAGGATCACCTAAGCCTGGGAGGTTGAGGTTGCAATGAGCTATGATCACACCACTGCACTCCTGCCTGGGCAACAGAGTGCAACCCTGTCTCAAAAAAAAAAAAAAAAATTCATAAATGTTTAAATGTGTATGTGTGTGTGAGGGAGAGCTCAATCATACCTTTTTATACTTTTCGATGTTTGAACCCTATGAATGTATTGTCTATTTCAAAGACTGACATTTTTAAGTTTGATTTCCATTGTGACAGTACTTTACTGAAAAATAAGAATTTATGAACTGAATAGCTTTCTTTTTTTTTTTTTTTTGAAATGGAGTCTCGCTCTGTCGCCCAGGCTGGAGTGCAGTGGCATGATCTCAGCTCACTGCAGGTTCTACCTCCCAGGTTCACGCCATTCTCCTGCCTCAGCCTCCCAAGTAGCTGGGACTACAGGTGCATGCCACCACACCCGGCTAATTTTTTGTATTTTTAGCAGAGACAGCGTTTCACTGTGTTAGCCAGGATGGTCTCAATCTCCTGACCTCCTGATCCGCCCGCCTCGGCCTCCCAAAGTGCTGGGATTACAGGTGTGAGCCACTGCGCCCAGCCCATAAACTATTAATAGCTTTTAAGCCCATATGAGATGAGGAATTACAAGGAAGACTAAAAGGAAGTATAAAACTTTCAGATACCTCTTCAAAGGGAGATTTTTATGATGTTTTTAATCGTTTCTTGGGAAGATACTAATTTAACCAGTATCTGCATACTGGAAGATATACTTCCTTGAAATCACCAATATCAAAATATTATTTTGACACCAGGCATAAAAAATAACTCAAACCAAGTAAAAGTAAAATCTCATGGCAAATATTTAGGCTTCCAAATTGTTTTAGAATTTCGTAAGTTACCACCTTCCTAAAATTCATATCATTATTATATAACAGATATGAAAGAGAATCTTTCTGCAAAGAAATATAAAGTAAAACACCTGATGTTACACTCTGAACAGACTACAGTATAATTACATATTAAATGATTCCCTCTACTATTAATAAAGTATGTATTAATAATCCCCTCGAATCCCTAAATGAAGCAACATTATTATCATTTAAGAACCTTATCAAAATTTTATAAATAAATCCTATCGTATAAAATACTTACAGTGAATTATTTTTTAGGTCAACATTTCTTTCTTCTATACAACTACCCTCAGCATTATTCACCTCACACAATGCTCTAATTCCAACTTCGAATGAAGGCAAATCTGAAGTGCTTGATTCTGAAGACTCAGTTGCTACTGATGTGGCATCTTGTTGATTACTAAAAAAAAGAAAATATTTCAGAGAGAAAAGAATTCCTAATGATATATATTTTATAATTATTTTTAAAAATGTTAAACACACAAAATCACCATTTTGCAAGATGCTGCTTCACATTATAGAGTAATACAAACTGCTACATTAGCTTTTCTATGATCCATCTTGCATCATGTTATAAAAACTGTACCTCCAGAGAAAGCAGCAGCCACAAATTTACACGCTTAGGAACATGCTCAAGAAGTTTCAAAATGAAGGCCGGACAAGGTGGCTCACGCCTGTAATCCCAGCACTTTGGGAAGCCAGGGCGGGCAGATCACTTGAGGCCAGGAGTTTGGAACATCCTGGCCAACATGGTTAAATCCCATCTCTACTAAAAATACAAAAACTAGCTGGGCATGGTGGTGCAGGCCTATAATCCCACCTACTCAGGAGGCTGAGGCAAAAGAATCACTTGAACCCGGGAGGTGGAATCACACCACTGCACTCCAGACTGGGTGACAGAGCAAAGCTCTGTTTCAAAAAAAGAAAAGGCTTCAAAATGAGAAATTATTAAATGTGGTTCACAAATCAAACATGCGTAAAATAATACTAATATTTAGGAATTAGCTTTCATTAAAATTTATATAGGCAATCCTTGCTATGCAGGGTACTGTGTAACCAAAAGTCAAATAAAGCAAAGATACAGCTCCAATAAGCTCAAGTTGAGTTAACATAGTCCTACGCAAAGTGAGAACTACTATATTAAAAAATATTTCAAATATCAGCCAGGTGTGGTAGCACGTGCCTGTAGTCCTAGCTACTCAGAAGGCTGAGGTGAGAGGATTGCTTAAGCCCAGGAAGTCAAGGCTGCAGTGAGCTGAGATTGCACCACTGCATTCCAGCCTGGGCGACAGAGCAAGACTCTGTCACAAAATAAATTTCAACTAACAATAATATAACTGATAGCCACGCACTGACCATTTCAACACATATTCACATTTAGCCATACCTTTTTCTTTTTTTCTTGTTCATTTTTTCTACTAGGTGTTTATGTTTTCCTGACTTATCAGCAAGAGTTCTCTATATATTTTTATTGTCTAGATATTACACATAAAATCTCCCGATCAGTAACTTGCCTTTTATTTTCTTTATGGAGGATTTGTTAACAGAAGTATTTAATTTTACTACCATCAAACTTATCAATCTTATCTTTTAAAGTCTGTGTTTTCTACGTCTTAATAGAAATGTCTTACCTGAGGCCTTCACATTACAAAGATATTTTTCTACATTTCTTCTAAAAGTTGTAAAGATTTGTTTTATACATGTAGTCTTCAATCCATCAGGAAGTTAGCGGATATGGTAACACAAGGATCAAATATTATGTTTTTCAAATCTCAGCTCAATCTAATGAAGTTAGTTCTATCTTTGCCCGCTAATTTCTAAAGCTACCTCTGCCATATAACAGATTCCTAAATGTCTCTTCCTAAACTCTATATTCAGTTCCACTGAGTCAATTCATCTAACCCTACACCAATACCATGCTGCTTTAGTTACTCTAGCTCGAAAATTAGTCTACTAGCACAGTCCCTCTGCAAAGTTGGTGTTTTTTAAAACTGTCTTTACCATTCTTGAGCCTTTGTTCTTGTGTACATGACAATTTTAGAATCAACTCTTTGTTTTCCAAAACCAACTGGGACTTTAACAGTCATTACAAGGTTGTTTTTCCCCTAAATTAGAAAAAGCTAGGGCCAGACACAGTGGCTCATGCTGAGGTGCGAGGATTGCTTGAGCCCAGGAGTTTGAGACCAGCCTGGAAAACATCTCTACTAAAAAATGTTTTTAAAATTAGCCAGTCATGGTGTCCCATGACTGTAGTCCCAGCTACTCGAGATGCTGAGGTGATAGAATCATTTGAGCCCAAGAGTTCAAGGTTGTGGTGAGCTGTGATCACGCTACTACACTCTAGCCTGAGCAACAGAGTAAGACCCTGTCACAACATTTTTTAATTATTTTAAAAATTAGAAAAAGTCACGAGTACAGTTTTGTGTAGTTTATGAAATTAGGTGTATCTCTGAACTCACACTTTAGATTATCTGTCACCTAGGAACAAACAACTATGAGAAATAGCATATGATTCCACTTATGTGAATATCTAGATTAGACAGAGTCATAGAGACAGAAAGTTGTCTACATCCTTACCGCTCTCAATGAGCCTAATTTGATCTCAAACTAAGCAAGTCTGGTCCTGATTAATACTTGGATGAGAAACAGAAAGCAGATTAGAGATTATCAGTGGTTGCAGGGAGGGGAGAATGAGGAATTACTGCATAATGGGTACAGGTTTTCTGTTTCCAGTGATAAAATAGCTTTAGAAATAGTGCTGATGGCTGCACAACAATGTAAATGTAAATAATGCCACTAAATTGTATGCTTAAAAATAGTAAACAGCTTTAAGTTTGTTTTTGGCAACAGTTTCTTAGATATGACACCAAAAGTATAGGCAACAAAAGCAAAATTAGACAAATGGGACTACATTGAACTAAAAAACTTCTGTACGCCAAAGGAAACAGCAGAGTGAAAAGGCAACCTATGGAATGGGAGAAAATGTGTAAATCATATTTCTGATAAGGTCCTAAAATCCAAACTATATAAATAATTCTCAAAACTCAATAGCAAAAAAGAAAATAACCTAATTAAAAAATTGGGCACAGGACCTGAATAGACATGTCTCCAAAGAAGATATACAAATGGCTAACAGCTATGAAAGATGCTCAACTCAATAATTATCCGGGAAATGCAAATCAAAACAACCATAAGAAACCACCTTCTACCTGTTCAGAAGGACATTATTAATAAAATAAAAGATAACAAGTATTGAAGAAGATGTGAAAAAAACTGGAACCCTGTACATTGTTGGTGGTTATGTAAAATGGTGTACCCGCTATTGGAAACAGTATGGAGGGTCCTCAAAAAATTAAAAGTAGAACTACCATATGATCTAGCAACCCCACTTCTGGGTATTTATCCACAAGAACTGAAATCAGGATCTCAAAGAGATATTTGCACTCCCATGTTCAGTGATGCCAACAGACAAAAACAACCTAAATGTCCATAAAGAAAATGTGGTCTATACATGTACTAGAATATTATTTGCTCATAAAAAAGGAAATCTTCTCATATGCTACACCATGGATGAACCTTGAGGACATTACATTAAGTGAAATAAGCCAGTCACAGAAAGAAAAATACTGCATGAGGCTGGGCGCTGTGACTCACACCTGTAATCCCAGCACTTTGGGAGGCCAGGGCAGGTGGATCACCTGAGCTCAGTTCAAGACCAGCCTGAGCAAAATGGTGAAACCCTGTCTCTACCAAAAATACAAGAAATTATCCAGGTATGGTGGTACATGCCTGTGGTCCCAGCTTCTCAGGAGGCTGAGATGGGAGGATTGCTTGAGCCTGGGAGGTGGAAGTTGCAGTGAGCTGAGATCGTGCCACTGCACTCCAGCCTGCGTGACAGAGACCGACCCCATCTCAAAAACAAAACAAAACAAAACAAAACAAAGAAAGAATCATGATTGCCAAGGGCTGGGAGGCGGAGGAAATAGGAGTTGCTGTTCAATAGGTATAGAGGTGCAGTTATGCAAGGTAAAAAAAAATTCCAGAGATCAGCAATACAACACTGTGCTTATAGTTAACAACACTGTATAGTACACATAAAAAATCTATTGAGGGTAAATCTCATGATTTTATATTACAAAATAAAATTTAAAAACACACACACACACAGCAAGACACATCACATTCAAACTAACGAAAACCAAAAATAGAGAAAATCATTACAGAAAATGATAAACCCATGCAAACGCCAACCAAAAGAAAGCTACAATAGCAAAGTAAACATCAGAAAAAAAGAGCAATACCAGAAGGATAGTACATAATGATAAAGGGAATTTCACCAAGACAAAACAATCCTAGATATGTACACACCTAACAACAGAGCTTCAAAATATATGGAGCAAAAACAAATAGAACTGAAAAAAAGAAACAGGCAAATCCACAGTTACAGATGGAGACTTCAACACTCCTTTCTCAGTAATCAACAGATGTGGATAAAACCAGAAAAGACACAGAAAATACCTTAATGAAAGGATGGGGTCAGTTCTTTTCTCAACTTTTTCAGTGGAGGCAAAACCCACAATGCCATCTATGTTTTGTGTGCAGGAAAGCATCTGCTCCTTACTGCATTCACCTTCCTTTAGCTCAGGCCTTATAGCCTGACATTTATCTACAAATACAAAATGCATGTTATTCTAAAAAATGACAGCAAAAACATCTTTTTTAGAGCACAAAGGAATTTACCTATAACACTCTTTTCCTACAAAACCTTAAGCAACATTCAAGTCCCTATTTGCAAGGCACACATCTTATTTTTAGACCATAATAAAAACTTAACATATATGAGGATCAGCTCAAGCTTCTTGGGCAATTTGTAGCATCTTCCTTTTATCTTAAATTCTAAGTATTTAAAGTGGCTTATTTTATATGTCAAGTAGGGAAACTAAAAGTTGACTTAACTATTCTTTTGCTCCTTCAGAAGTATACTAATTAGTAACACAGTAATAGCTATCATTTATTAAGTACTTACTAAGCGGCAGGAACCCTTAAGTCCATCAGATGCATTATCTCATTTAATACTTGAAACAATCCTATTAAAATATATTAACATTAACCTCATAGAGAACCCCCTGAGTTCAGAGATCTTAAGTAACTTTCCCAATGCAATACTTAAGCAAGTAAAAAAGCTGGAATTTAAAGCAAGGTCTGTTTGATTTCTAAAACCTGGTTGTGAATCATTAAGCTGTTCTGCATTATACGTAATGACTCCAATAAGCCAAAAAAGAGCATAATATTGAGATGCCTACAAAGCATACTATGTTAGCTACCAGTACTCTTTTATTAAAATCAGATGGGTAAATCTGAACTACAGAAAACATAAATTTTATAGAAAGGTTGTTCTGGTCTGCTCCTACCTTTTCCTTGGTTATCAGCTTTAAATAATCTACATATGAACTCTTAAGGAAAGGGACCAAGACTCCCCCTCAAACTCTTAGCCCTCATCCCCAAGCAACTCATAAGTGGCAATATGTTTGCATTCAAAGAGTAAAAAAGAAAAAGGGAAGGAATACATATTCCACTAGTTCTTTTATAGGAACTAACCCCTTGTGGGTTCACAGAGGTGCTCTGTAGAGGTACAACATGAAAATCTGTGCTTTATTGACAGACATAGCAACATACTTTTAACTCTATATAGATGTGATTTCTAATCATAGTTAATGGGAATGCACAGGAGGTGATACATCTTAGAAACAAACTTTAGAGAACAATCTCCCCACTTTAATTTGTTTAATTTTTTTACATAAACTTTTTTAATTAAAAATAAACAGCGTTAGCACAGTACCATTAGTACAGAACCAATTAATAAGCATCATTAATTGCTATCTAGACAGAAAATTAAGTTACATACCATATTACTGTACATGTCTTCTCAAGTAATATAGAGGCTTTTTAAATATGTAAGAAACTTACTCTTGTGTTTTTCTCCTTTAGAAGGACCCGCCTGAACAGTGGCATTTTCTAAAAGATTGTTTACTCCCAGTTCATTAGCTCCATCTTGCTTCTTCCTCCTTCTTTTCTTTTGATTTAGGTCTACTTCTAATGCAACCTGCTCTGCATCCTCCCTTGATAAGGTCAGAGACTCTTCTTCAACTGTCTGAGCATCCTTCTGAGATCTTTCCGTGTCTGAAATTCTAGAACTCATAGACTCATCTGGATCATTATTCACTCCTTCACAGGCAACTTTTTTCACTGAAAACAAGAGAAATTACTATAAATATTTAAACAACCTAAAGAAAAATTTGTAAAGGTGGGAAAGAGACTCAAAGATGTCCTCTGTATTATTTATTTGTATGAACAAAAAACCTAAAGACAACCTAAAATGTCTAATGGGAAATGACTAAATAATATATAAAAATCCACGGAGCCAATAATAATAATGAGGTAAGATTATATGTAGTCATGTGAAAAATTTCAAAGCATATTGTTGCATTTAAAAAACCAAGCAGAACAAGATACACATAAAATCTCATTTTTATTAAACAAAAACAGTTACATATAGAGATGCTCCTTGACTTACACTGGGTTTCATCCCAATAAACCCATCATAAGTTGAGTATACTGTAAATTGAAAATGCATTTAATACAGGCTGGGCATGGTGGCTCACACCTGTAATCCCAGCACTTTGGGAGGCTGAGGAGGGTGGATCATCTGAGGTCAGCAGTTCGAGACCAGCCTGGCCAACATGGTGAAACCCCATCTCTACCAAAAATACAGAAATTAGCTGGACATGGTGGCAGGCGCCTGTAATCCCAGCTGCTCGGGAGGCTGAGGCAGGAGAATCACTTGAACACGGGAGGCGGAGGTTGCAGTGAGCCAAGATCGCACCATTGCACTCCAGCCTGGGCAACAAGAGCAAAACTCTGGGCTGGGCATGGTGGCTCACGCCTGTAATCCTAGCACTTTGGGAGGCTGACACAGGCAGATCACTTGAGGTCAGGAGCTCAAGACCAGGCTGGCCAACATGGTGAAACCCCGTCTCTACTAAAAATACAAAAATTAGCTGGGTGTGGTGGTACTTGCCTGTAATCCCAGCTACTTGGGAAGCTGAGGCAGGAGAATCGCTTCAACTGGAGAGGTGGAGGCTGCAGTGAGCTGAGATGGCACCATGGCACTCCAGCCTGGGCAACAAGAGCAAAACTCCGTCTCAAAAAAAAAAAAAAGTTCTGGCTGGGCGTGGTGGCTCACACCTGCAATCCCAGTACTTTGGGAGGCCAAGGTGGGCGATCATTTGAGGTCAGGGGTTTAAGACCAGTCTGGCCAATATGATAAAATCCCATCTCTACAAAAAAATTACAAAAATTAGCTGGGCATGGTGGCACATGCCTGTAATTCCAGCTACTCAGGAGGCTGAGGTGAAAGAACTGCTTGAACTCGAGCAGTGAAGGATTCAGTGAGCCGAGATCAGGCCACTGCACTCCAGCCTGGGCAACAAAGTGAGACCCTGTCTCAAAAAAAAAGTTCTTACATTAAGTAAGATACAGTGAGTTACTCATGTTATCACCTGTAACATACAAGAAGATACATAATCTTCTACGATTATGTGTAAGTAAAAAAAAAAGACTACTAAGAATAAAGGTATTTTGTAGTTATCAATACTACTTTTTAAAAGATATGCCCCAGAAGAAGAAATTCTAGCCTAGCTTTGAACAGTAAAGAGTTAATTTTGCAGGCTTGACTGCTATCCTTTGAAAATCCTTCTTATAAGGTTGGCCCTTGGGCCATGTCTCAGAATTTGGTTCTGGGAAGGGTTCCTACCACCCTAACTGATAAGAGTGGCTCACTGTGCCTTAGCTGTACAATGTGGTTTATGCTGAACTGCTTTTCTTTTGAAAATCCGAAATTTTTGTATGTTCCAGGCAGAGGATGCTGAATCCTTAGTCTTCCTAGTGGATAATCGAACCCCGGTGGTGGTCGTGGGGACCCCCAACACAGGCTCTCACCATCCCAGGTTTCAGTTCTGCCTCTGCCACTACACACACTGTGAGTCCTTAGGAAAAAGTGTCTTACGATCTCTGGGGCTGTTTCTTGGTGATTAAAACCAATACAAAGGGCCGGGCACGGTGGCTCACGCCTGTAATCCCAGCACTTTGGGAGGCCGAGGCAGGCATATCATGAGGTCAAGAGATCAAGACCATCCTGGCTAACATGGTGAAACCCCGTCTCTACTAAAAATACAAAAAAAATTAGCCGGGTGTGGTGACGGGCACCTGTAATCCCAGCTACTCGGGAGGCTGAGGCAGGAGAATGGCGTGAACCCGGAAGGCGGAGCTTGCAGTGAGTCGAGATCGTGCCACTGCACTCCAGCCTGGGCAACAGAGCGAAACTCTGTCTCAAAAAAAACAGAAAAAAAGAAAAAAACAACACAAAGGGGGCTAAAATGTAAGCTAGCTAACATATAAGGTTCCCTATAGTTCCGAGCGTCTTCTTTATGTGATTATAGCTAAACATTGTCCTTATAGACCAGAGTTCAAATAGTTAAGAAAACATAAGCCTAAAAATAAAAATACCTACATATATACAATTTCTACCTGTTACAACTCAACATTAGCCTTCAGAAATAAGTTACGCTCAACCAATACAGTCTAGTCACAACCCCAGAAGATTAGAGTTCCTTTTTTTAATCCTAGAATTTTATACCAGATTTGTTTTACAGAGGAAAATGATAATAAATAATCAAACATGAAATACAACACTCCAAATTCTGATGCTCTTTGACTGGCTACAACTATCCTCTATGCTAGAGAGATATCAAATAACCCAATCACGCCAGTTAAAAATTTTAAAAGAAAGCTATTGTTTTGGACCAGATAACTAGTTGATTGAAAAAACATATACTCCCTCCAACTGGATGCTTTGATGATCTTAACTACCTGAGCTACACATGAACTCTCAAAGGCCTGAGGGACAATATTGCAAGTTTATTACTACTAAGTAAACTATCACACTTCCTTTTAAAATCAATACCTTTTACATTTTTCCGTGGTTTGGTGGATTTCTTCTCCTTTAAACTGTGATTTTTAACAGATTTTTGTTTTCTTTTCTCTTCTTCAGCAAGAACTTTCTGAAGCAAATGAGCAAAAAAATCGAAGTCAAAAGGGCGCTTTTCCTCTGTTTAAAGAAAAGGAAAAGAACTTTCAAGTTTTTATTTTTAAAAGCTACTTCTAGCTTTTAAAGTATCATAACATCAAAAGCAAATGGGTTTGTTTATCAGTAGGAGAACAGAAAAACAAATACACAACAGAACACCACTCAGCAACAGAATAGGTTGGTCTTAGCAGGGAAATAGATTAGTTCACATCAGAACACCACTCAGCAACGAAACAAATAAACTAGTTTATTACAAATAATAATTTATTACAAATTTGTAATAATTTGTTTATTGCAAATAAACTAGTTTTAAACAAAACAAAAGGAACAAACTACTGATACATGCAATAATATGAGGGAATCTCAAAAACATACTGAGTGGAAGAAAACAGATACTAGGGTACATACTATATGATACCATGTATAAGATATTCTAGAACACACTAAGCTATCTATGGTGATTAAAATGAAAATAGTGGTTGCCTTGGGCCAGGAGGACAGCATTTGATTGTTCAGAAAGGGACATAATAGACCTTGTGAAGTGATGAAAACATTTCCTCTATTGTTTGGGGTAGTGATTACACAGGCATATTCTTTGTCAAAACTTGAACTACACTTTGAGCTGTGTATAAATATAAATCAATTTTTTTATGGACTGAGAAGTCCTTGAAATGCCTGTTCACCACCATATGCCCTACCTTTATCACAACCATTTCACCATTTACTCTTATAAGTATCAGCAAAGTGGGAAGTAAATGAATTTAATCAGGAACATGCCCACTAAATACCTATCAACAGCATTATATCTGAAAGTAATCAGTGAACACTCCAGGAATGAATCCAGACCAGGAGGCAAATCCTTGCTTGAACTTAAAGTCAATGTAGAGAAAATGGTGCTCTATGCACATAAGCCAAAGACTGGTTTGATTACAAGATAGCCTCAGAAAAGAAGGTATATACTAAAATAAAAAGAATCTCTGGAAACTAAACCCAAATCTGGGATTCCTGAAGACCCTATTTCACTGTTGACCCAGACTTCATTTGTTCTGACTCTCCACAATGATTCTGAAAGACATAGCACTCAAAGAATCATAAAGGATCTCCACATGGTTCTCAGAGAAATTCAAAACATAAGTTCTCTCAAAAAACTTATATAGGTTTTAATTTAAAAAAAAAATTTCCAATAGAAAGCCTCCAAATCAATGAGTTGTTTCTAGTTTTGAGATAGGATCTTGCTGTGTTGCCCAGGCTGGCCTCGAATTCTTCGGCTGAAAAGATCCTCCTGCCTCAGCGACTCCTGAGAGTAGCTGGGCCTATAGGCATACAACACTGTATCCTGTTTAAGATCAATAAATTTTAAAAATATCTATTATAATAGTCTATAAAAATGCTTCACAATCCAAATAGACTGTTTATAGATTTACGAATTATTTTCTGACTATAATGTGTTACACTTAATGAAGTTTCAGGACCACTTCTCTAATATGGAATGGGCTGAGGAGCACAATATTCCAGATCTTCTAAGAGCCATTCCTCAAAGCAGTTTCCCTAAAGACCCGATAAAACACTGGGTGTAGGATCCACCCACCTACCTTAGTGTCTACTCATAAAATAAATATACATGCTACATAATGTAGGTACTCTCTACATTTGGATTTTTTTTTTCTAAAATTAGCACTATGGCTAATCTTACGACTAAATGGACATTGAATACATTTATTAATCATAAAATACTGATAATTGTAAATCCACAAAAAATATATTCCTGTCCACAGCTGTGGTGAAAAAAAGACCTATCTTGTAATCAAAAAATACAAGAACTATTTTTAACAGTAAATGTATTTTTCTTTATAGATCCTTTGATATCTTTCTCTAGACTTGAAGAAAAATATGTTAATTTTAATGAGGATTTTAGTTAGAAATTGCAAGATATCTATCATTCCTTCAGATGAGATCTAAATTCAAATGCTAGTGTATCTCTTCAGACAGAACTTCCCTAATGATCCAATGATCATTAGGAAAAAAGAGACCTAAACATCCACCCTCTCTTTTTTCTTCTTTTTGGAAATGAATCACTACCTAAAATTATGCTTATCAACTATATTTCTTCCGCCATCCAATCAGACTTAAGGTTCTAAATGCAGGATTCTCATCTGCCATTTATCTTCCACCATTACATGCTCAATACCTAGAACAATGACTACCATATAGTAGGTGGTCAGTGTTATTGACTGAATGACTGATTAGTCATTCAGAACCAGAAAGAACCATCTATATAACTAATAGTACTGTCTTCCAGAAACAATGATCTCCTCCCATACAGTTCCTTCAGAATAAATAACACTTAGAAGTGGTAGCATCAATCCCTCCATAACTTCTTGGACTTAGAACTGTTTACCTGCACCTAGATGTTCTGGATAATCTCCTGCCAATATATTTGTAGCAAGTGCCAGACCCATACTGCTAAACAGAAAAATTTCAGACTGCTTCCTCTTAATGCCAATACAGGAACAAAACAAATCTAAAACACACTAAAGCCAAAGACAAAAGACTGGTCATTTTTTAGGCTCTTCAAGTAATACTTTGTAAAAGAGGTCTTAATACTTACGGAATGCTTTGTCTATTCTCCATCCATTTGTTTTCTCTTCCCGTTTAAATTTATTCTGTTAACAACAAAAAACCCTATGGTAATTTTCTCTCATAAAACAAGCATTTTTTTTTAAATGCAGTAAGCATTAAAATGAAACTCTTAGGAATAACATACTGCTCTCTACTTAATATGTCTTTGCCAATAGGCAAGTTACTTAAACCTTCGGCTTTTTAAAAATAAGGATGAAAGATTTTTACTGAGCTTCTTGATTCTCATTACCAATAGCATGAATCAGCAATGGAAGCTGGATTTACAGAGGACAGAAAAAAATAAAGTCAACAAACATGAAAGCAGATCAAACCTATGACTAAGCTCACTGGTATTAACTTTTAAAAAATTAAGTATTCGTAACAGGTTAAACCTCTGACATCATTGTTCTAATATATTTCAAGTAGCATGGAGAGAAGACTATAGAGAAACAACTAAGTGAAATTTTGAAGCAGGCCAAGTTTATCCTGACAAACTTCTATATATTAAGGCACATTTCCTCACATTTTTCTCAGCCCCAAAAATCCCTGTCCTCAGTTTACTACCAGATTACTTCCATTAAGAGGGAGATGTTTAAGGCTTAAGGCTCAATCCATCCTAAAGTCATTAGGAAGACTGAGGGCATAAGTTTGTGTCTGAAGACGTCTGATCACGCAAACACATCGTAGGAGAGGAAACAAACAGCCAATGTTTCCCATCTACACGTCAGTGATCTACAAGTTTTTATTAAAAGCACAAAAATAAAGCTTTTTAATTGCAAAAAAGAGAGAGAGAATATCACATAAAACAAAGGAAGTACTTCATGCCCCCTTCCTCCCTTCAAAAGAACTTAACCACTAATATGACTTGTAAAGCAATCACTTTCTTGTATTTCCTTATTGTTTATGACCCAAGTGTGTATTCTTAGATGATACAGTTTAGCCTTGCCCATATTTTTAAAACCTGATATGACATTAACATCTTTTAATGTACAGGTTGCCCTTCTTTCCCATTCTTTTGTTTTTCTTCACAAAACTTATTATCAATACAGAAGTTTTCAAAGATAATCTTATTTCTGCCTTAAAAGATCATACTGTTATTTAAACATTTCCTCAAAAGTTAACAAATGTTACCTCCACAAAAAATGATTGGCTATAAACACTAAATTAAATGTCCTAAAAGAAATATCAATAGGCTTCAGGCATTTAATTCTAAAACAGTGCTACCTCATATTTTACTTAATTGGTAATATAATTCAGAACAATTTAAAACTTTCTCAAAGAAATATATTGAAACTAGTCAATGATTTCATAGGTAAGAACCAGTAACAGGCCAAATTCCATGATCACAAAATAAATCCCATAATTTCCACTTCTGGCCTTGGCAAAGTAACTCATTATGGACAGGTCCTACATATCCAACTCCACCACGAATGACTTTTAACACTGACAAAATATATGCATCAATTATTTTCAAGCAAAGGACAATAGTGAGAGCAAGACTACAATCACGGAGAGAAGGAAAACAGACAAGATGTGCCCATGTTTACCTTGGCTCTCTGCCTGGGCTCAATTTCCTAACCAAGGAAAGGGAGGTGAAGGCCAAACAGGGTACAGCAATCCAACTAGGCTGCAGAGGTAGGGAATCTTTAGGAGCATAGTTCTAAAAAGGAACTGTGTAGAGGGGTACCTCACAGGCCTGGTGGAAATACCCCATGATACCTTGGCCTAAGTATGGGTTGCATATGTCCAGAATATAAGGCTTAAAAGAGAACAGCTGCTAAAGCCATGAAGGCAGAAGGAAGATGCTAAAAGTCATAAAACACCATATGACAATAGAGTTCAGGTGCATCCTAATGGAAAGACCTCATTAATACCCAAATACATTCACCTCAGACACCAGAAAGATCACCATTAGAGATAAAAACGATACCCTAGAGTAGCCTTTCTCTACCAGGGATGTAGCATGAGAATTAAGTACTAATGCATTAAAGCAGCCACTGTATGCAATGCATTCCCTTCTCTCACTTATCTATTAATAGTATAGTATTAGTATAACCATCCTTAGAGAACTTAGAAAATAATAACTCATGCCTACCATGAGACTGTTCTGGGAAAAGAAGAAAATAATAAAATATAATAGTAATTCAAATTATTTTCTGTAAATCAGATGAGAAATCCCATTGGAGAAAGGATGTCCTAGATTAAAGACCAGTCTAGATCTGCCTCAACAAAGCTTTAAGACAAGCCTTAACAGGAACAAAGAAGTTGGCAGTACATTAACAGTTTTCCAGAACAAAAGTCAACACTATTTTTTATTCTGTTTTGTTTATTGAAACAGAGTCTTGATGTCTTCCAGACTGGAATGCAGTGCTGTGATCACAGCTCACTGCAGCCTTGATCTCCCAGGCTCAAGCAATCCTCCTGCCTCAGCCTCCTGAATTGCTAGGGGACGTGTGCCACCAAGCCTGGCTTTTTTTTTTTTTTTTTTTTTTTTCTTTGTAGAGATGGGATCTTGCCATGTTGCTCAGTCTGGGTTTGAACTTCTGGGCTCAAGCAATCCTCCCGTCTCAGCCTCCCAAAATACTAGGATTAGAGGTGTGAACCACCGCGCCTGGCCCACTGCGCTTTAAAAAAAAAAAGAAAAAACATAATCCAGACACTCTACAACACATCATTCACAATGTCTGGTATGTGATTTCATTTTTTTTTTTTGAGACGGAATCTTGCTCTGTCTCACAGGCTGGAGCGCAGTGGCGCGATCTCAGCTCACTGCAACCTCTGCATCCCGGGTTCATGCCATTCTCCTGCCTCAGCCTCCCAAGTAGCTGGGACTACAGGCGCACGCCACCACGCCTGGCTAATTTTTCACATTTTTAGTAGAGACAGGGTTTCTGTGTTAGCCAGGATGGTCTTTATCTCCTGACCTCGTGATCCACCCGCCTTGGCCTCCCAAAGTGTTGGGACTACAGGCATGAGCCACTACGCCTGGCCTAGTATGCAATTTCAAAAAAACTCACGGTTGGCCGGGCATGGTGGTTCACTTCTTATAATCCTAGCACTGTGGGAGGCTGAGGTGAGTGGATCACTTGAGGTCAGGAGTTCGAGACCAGCCTAGCCAACATGGTGAAACCACATCTCTGCTAAAAATACAAAAATTAGCCAGGCATGGTGGCATGCACCTGTAATCCCAACTTGGGAGGCTGAGGCAGAAGAATCACCTGAACCCAGGAAGCAGAGGTTGCAGTGAGCTGAGATCATGCTACTGAACTCCAGCCTGGGCAACAGAGTGAGATTCCATCTCAAAAAAAAAAAAAATGGCCGGGCACAGTGGCTCACGCCTATAATCCCAGCCCTTTGGGAGGCCAAGATAGGTGGATCACTTGAGGTCAGGAGTTCGAGACCAGCCTGGCCAACGTGATGAAACCCCACCTCTACTAAAAATATAAAAATTAGGCTGGGCACGGTGGCTCACGTCTGTAATCCCAGCACTTTGGGAGGCCAAGGCGGGTGGATCACAAGGTCAAGAGATTGAGACCATCCTGGCCAACATGGTGAAACCCTGTCTCTACTAAAAATACAAAAAAAAAAAAAAAAAAAAAAAAAAAAAATTAGCTGGGCATGGTGGTGCGCGCCTGTAGTCCCAGCTACTTGGGAAGCTGAGGCAGGAGAATCACCTGAACCCAGGAGACAGAGGTTGCAGTGAGTTGAGACAGCACCACTGCACTCCAGCCTGGCGACAGAGTGAGACTCCGTCTCAAAATAAAAAAAAAAAAATTAGCCAGGCATGGTGGTGCGCACCTGTAGTCCCAGCTACTCAGGAGGCTGAGGAAGGAGAATCGATTGAACCTGGGAGGCGGAGGTTGCAGTGAGCCAAGATCACGCCACTATACTCTAGACTGGGTGACATAGCGAGACTCTGTCTCAAACAAAAACAAACAAAAAAACCCGTGACGGAGACCAAAAAATTAATTATTTTTTAAAACCCACATGACATGAGAAAAGATAGGAAAATGTGATAGGAAAAGAAAAGAAAAAGTCAAGGCTGGGCACGGTGGCTCACGCCTGTAATCCCAGTACTTTGGGAGGCCGAGGCAGGCAGATCACGAGGTCAGGAGATCGAGACCATCCTGGCTAACACAGTGAAACCCCGTCTCTACTAAAAATACAAAAAATTAGCCGGGCGTGGTGGTGGGCGCCTGTTGTCCCAGCTACTTGGGAGGCTGAGGCAGGAGAATGGCGTGAACCCGGGAGGCGGAGCTTGCAGTGAGCCAAGATTGCGCCACTGCACTCTGGCCTGGGCAAAAGAGCGAGACTCCGCCTCAAAAAAAAAGAAAAAGAAAAAGATCCCATTCCCTGGCAAGCAGACTCAGAAAAAAAAGAAAAAAAGAAACAGATTCCAATATGATCTAGATATTAGAATAAACAAACAAAAAAGTTAAAGGAGCCATTCATTATAGAGATGTTTCACGATTCAGAGGAAAGTATAGTGAAGAGATGGGGAAATCTCAGCAGAGAAATGGAAACTATAAAAAATAACCAGGAGGAGGCCAGGTGCAGTGGCTCACACCTGTAATCCCAGCACTTTGGGAGGCTGAGGCAGGCGGATCACTAGGTCAGGAGATCAAGACCATCCTGGCTAACATAGTGAAACCCCGTCTCTACTAAAAATACAAAAAATTAGCCGGGCGCATGACGGGCACCTGTGGTCCCAGCTACTCGGGAGGCTGAGGCAGGAGAATGGCGTAAACCTGGGAGGCAGAGCTTGCAGTGAGCCGAGATCGCACCACTGCACTCCAGCCTGGGCAACAGAGCGAGACTCCATCTCAAAAATAAAATAAAATAAAATAAAATAAAAACCAGGTGAAAATTACAGAAATAAGAAATACAGTATCAGAAATAAAATATTCACTAAATGGGTTTAACAGCAGATTGAAGACAAAAGACAGAGTCAGTGAACTTGACGCTATGACAATAGAAACTATCAAAACTGAAATGGAGGAAAAAAGATTGGAAAAAGGTGGTCAGAGCTTTGGTAACCTGTAGAACGTCACATGGGGTAAACTATGTTGGTGGAGTTCCAGAACGAGAGGATTAAACAGAGAAACTATTAAAAGTAATTTAAAATTTCCCTAATACAGTAAAAGATGCAAGAAGCTGAGCAAACTCAAAACTAAAGCTAGGCATATCATCGTCATACAGCTGAATACTAAAATTAAAAAAAAAAAATCCTGAAAACAGCCAGAGAAATATAATTAATCATATATGAGGCAAGAACGATATGATTACTGTCGACTTTTCATCAGCAACACTGAAAGCCAGGAGACGATACAATGACATCTTTAAAAGACCAAAAAGAAAAAACTGTCAAACTGGCAAAATATATCATTCAAAAACAAGGCTGAAAGGCTGAAATAAAAACATTCAGATAAATGAAAGCTCAGAAAATTTTTCAACAGTAGACCTGTCATTTGGACCTACAGGAAGAAATGAAAACACCAAAAATGGTAAATAAATAGTTAAATGCTAAAAACTAGCTTTTTTCTACTTGATTTCCTTAAAAGACAAAAGACTCATATATATCTATATGTAGAGAGAGAGAGCTGTTTTTTTGTTTGCTTGTTTTTGTTTTTGTTTTTGAGACAGAGTTTTGCTCTTGTTACCCAGGCTAGAGTCCAATGGCATGATTTCGGCCATCGCAACCTCCACCTCCCGGGTTCAAGCGACTCTCCTGCCTCAGCCTCCCGAGTAGCTGGGATTACAGGCATGTGCCACCACGCCTGGCTAATTTTGTATTTTTAGTAGAGACAGGGTTCCTCCATGTTGGTCAGCCTGGTCTCGAACTCCCAACCTCAGGTGATCCGCCTGCCTCGGCCTCCCAAAGTGCTCGGATTACAGGCGTGAATCACCGCACCCGGCTGTTTATTTTTGTTTTTAAGGCCAGTAGAGTAGGATAAAAGAAATTTATCTGGGCCAGGTATGGTGGCTCAGCCTGCAATCCCTGCACTCTGGGAGGCTGAGGCGGCAGATTGCTTGAGCCCAGGAGTTTGAGACCAGCCTGGGCGACATGGCAAAACCCCATCTCTACAAAAAAATAGAAAAATTAGGTGGGCATAGTGACACATGCCTGTAGTTGGGCACTTGGGATGCTGAGATGGAAGGATTACTTGAGCTCAAGAGGCTGAAGCTGCAGGTAGCCACAATCACACTACTGCACTCCAGCCTGGGCAACAGAGAGTGAGACCCTATATCAAAAAAAAAAAAGAAAAAATTTGTCTGAACATGGGTCAGCTGGTGTTTAAAAAAAATTTTTAATATTAAAAAAGAAATCTGTAATCAGTTGTGATCATTTAGTTGTAAACACCAGTGCACTTGGACCAGCTGCCTCATTAAACTATTATAAAATAAGTTCACTGTAAGGTGAATTTAAAAATATATAGGGCTAAGTGCAGTGTCTCATGCCTGTAACGCCAGCACTTTGAGAGGCTGAAGCAGGAGGATTGCTTGAGCCTAGGAATTTGAGACAAACCTAGGCAACACAGTAAGACCTCTTCTCTACAAAAAATAAAAAATTTAGTCAAGCACAGTAGCGCACACCTGTGGTCCAGGAGGCTGAGGCAGGAGGATTGCTTGAGCCCAGGAGGTCATGGCGGCAGTGAGCTATGGTTGCACCGCTGCACTCCAGCCCGAGCAACAAAGACCCTGTCTCGAAAGAAAAAAAAAGAAAAGGAAAGGAAAAAGAGGCTGGGCTCGGTGGCTCATGCCTATAATCCCCGCACTTTGGGAGGCTGAGGTAGGCAGACCACTTGAAGTAAGGAAGTTTGAGACGAGCCTGGCCAACATAGCAAAACCCCATCTCTACTTAAAAAAAAAAAAAGGTGGGGGGGCCGGGCACGATGGCTCACGCCTGTAATTCCCAGCACTTTGGGAGGCCGAGGTGGGCAGATCACGAGGTCAAGAGATCAAGACCATCCTGGCTAACAGGGTGAAACCCCGTCTCTACTAAAAATACGAAAAATTAGCCAGGCGTGGTGGCGGGCGCCTGTAGTCCCAGCTACTCGGAAGGCTGAGGCAGGAGAATGGTGTGAACCCGGGAGGCGGAGCTTGCAGTGAGCCTAGACCGCGCCACTGCACTCCAGCCTGGGTGACAGAGCGAGACTCCATCTCAAAAAAAAGAAAATTAGCTGGGCGTGGTGGCACGCGCCTGTAATTCCAAGCTACTCAGGAGGCTGAAGCAGGAGAAGGGCTTGAACCTGGAAAGCAGAGGATGCAGTGAACTGAGATCGTGCCACTGCACTCCAGCCTGGATGACAGAGCGAGACTCTGTCTAAAAAAAAAGGGAAAAAAAAGTCAAAGCTGGCCATGTTATTTGGGGCTATGGAAAAAACAAACAAATAAAAGGCTGAGATTTTCAGGAGCTTCGTGGTTGGTGAATGCAACCACGTGCTGGGAGGTCAGTGCACCCCAACTCCTCCAGCAGAAGTGCCTGCATTCAAGACCCTTCCAGACCGTACTCTATGAATCTCTTCATCTGTATCCCTTATAATATCCTTTATAATAAACCAATAAACAGCTGGTTCAGTGTGCTGAACTTTGCTAGCAGCTGAGAAAGGAAGCTAGAAAGAGGCAAGCTCCTGATGCAAAGGTTGGCGTGCAGCATAATTTAGGCCTTAGAGAAGCTGGGGTTTTAACACTTCACAAGATGTGTTTTCTCAAAGCTGCCAGTTCTTTTAGAACTCATCAAATTAGGCTGCTCCAACCAGCTTTACAGGGAATGGATTTAAGGCAAATCTTGTGTTTAAAGAGATTTAGAGGAAGCCTGAAGAGGAAAGTGGACAGATTGTGAAGAAAATCCGTGGTATTTTTGCCTTTAAGGTGAAGAATGAATGGCCTAGGGGGTAAAGAAGCCACCTAGTGGTGGAGGTAAAGAACACAAAGGATCAGTGCTTTCTAACTCTAACTCAGATGAGAAAGCTGACCACACAATCACAAAGACTGACTAGGATTTACTGGCTTTAGTGATTGAAGTGGTAAAATGAATCCTCAGTTCTCCTTCTTTCAAGGCAAAGGGAAAATCACTGGCAATATGAAGTTACAAAGTTTTCAGCTTCAGCCGAGCAAAGGTAAGCTGCGAGGAACTCCCTTTGGCTACTTTTGAAAATCAAGATATCTCATCTCACAGATAGGAATTCATACAATTTCATTGTCAGAATTTAGGCTGAAACTACACATTGAAAAATAACATGAGATAGATTTGTTTTAAAAGGTGTGACCAATCCTGGTTTTCCTAACCTCTGGGTGAATACAGCCTGATAATGAACTACTGCTTTGCTGAACTGGAAACAACTGTGCATTACAAAGTTAATACGTTATTTATGGCCTGGAGTAAAACTGAGTTTCAGAATAAAATTAGGAACAGCAAAATACAAAAAAAGTACATAAACAAAAGCTCCCATTTTGCTTATGAAGTGCACTGAAGGGCCAGGCACAGTGGCTCATGCCTGTAATCCCAACACTTTGGGAGGGCAAGGCAAGAGGATCACTTGAGTCAAGGAGTTCGAAACCAACCTGGGCAACACAGTGAGACTTAGTCTCTACAAAAAAATTTTTTTAATTAGCTGGGCATAGTGGCATGTGCCTGTAGTCCCAGCTACCTAGGAAGCCGAGGTGGGAGGATCATTTGAGCCCAGCAGGTAAGAGGCTGCAGTGAGCCAGGACAGAGGCTGCAGTGAGCCGTAATCATGCCCATGTACTCCACACTGTGTAACAGAGCGAGGCTCTGTCTCAAAAAAAAAATTAAAATAAAGTACATTTAAGGATTATTCTGCTGAAGATGTAATTTAAGAGTTCCCTGGATGAACTAGAGAAGAAAAAGACTACCAATAGCTGGCAAGTAATTAGTGTTATGCATTTAATAACCTTAATCAGTAATAATTAATAATTCTTAAAATTTTATACTGGGGGCCAGGCATGGTGGCTCACGCCTGTAATCCCAGCACTTTGGGAGGCCAAGGAGGGTGGATCATATATTTTTTTTTTTTTCAGACAGAGTCTTGCTCTGTTGCCTACGCTGGAGTGCAGTGATGCAATTTCGGTTCACTGCAACCTCTCCCTCCCGGGTTCAAGCAATTCTCTTGCCTTAGCCTCCCGAGTAGCTAGGACTACAAGTGCCTGCCACCACACCTGGCTAATTTTTGTATTTTAATAGGATCGGGGTTTCATCATGTTGGCCAGGCTGGTCTTGGACTCCACACCTCAAGTGACCCACCCCCCTCAGCCTCCTAAAGTGCTAGGATTACAGGCGTGAGTCACCACGCCTGGCCAACCTCAGGAGTCAGAGACCCACCTGAGCAACCTGATGAAAACTCATCTGTACAAAAAAATACAAAAATTAGCTGGGCATAGTGGTGTTAGTGGTGTGCACCTATAGTCCCAACTTCTTGGGAGGCTAAGGCAGGGGATTGCTTGAGCCTGGGAGGTGGAGTTTGCAGTCAGCCAAGATCATGCCATTGCACTCCAGCCTGGACAACAGAGCAAGACTGTCTCAAAAAAAAAAAAAATCAAAATTTGTGGGACACAGCTCTAGTGATGCTTAAAAGGAAATGTACAGGCCAGGCACGGTGGCTCATGCCTGTAATCTTAGCACTTTGGGAGGCTGAGGCAGGAGGATCACGAGGTCAGGAGATCGAGACCACCCTGGCTAACATGGTGAAACCCCATCTCTACTAAAAATACAAAAAAATTAGCTGGGCATGGTGGTGGGCGCCTGTAGTCCCAGCTACTCGGGAGGCTGAGGCAGGAGAATGGCATGAACCCGGGAGGCGGAGCTTGCAGTGAGCCGAGATCCGCCACTGCACTCCAGCCTGGGCGACAGAGCAAGACTCTGTGTCAAAAAAAACGAAATGTATAGCTTTAAATGTCTACTTTAAAAAAGAAGGCTTTAAAATCAGTGCTCTAAGTTTTCATCTTAAGAAGCTAGAAAAGGGAATTGAACAATGAGAACACATGGACACAGGAAGGGGAACATCACACACCGGGGCCTGTTGTGGGGTGGGGGGAGGGCGGAGGGATAGCATTAGGAGATATACCTAATGTTAAATGACGAGTCAATGGGTGCAGCACACCAACATGGCACATGTACATATATGTAACAAATCTGCACGTTGTGCACATGTACCCTAAAACTTAAAGTATAATAAATAAATAAAGAAGCTAGAAAAACAAACACAAAGTAAATGGAAGGAAGTGCTAAACAGTAACAAAAAAAAATCAATAAAAACACACCAACAATTGGAAACCTAAAACTTACATTAAGAAGCCAGGCGCAGTGGCTCACGCCCATAATTCCAGCACTTTGGGAGGCCGAGGCAGGCGGATCACAAGGTCAGGAGATAGGATCATCCTGGCTAACACAGTGAAACTCCGTCTCAACTAAAAATACAAAAAATTAGCTGGGCGTGGTGGCGGGTGCCTGTAGTCCCAGCTACTCGGGAGGCTGAGGCAGGAGAAGGGCATGAACCCAGGAGGCGGAGCTTGCAGTGAGCCCAGATGTCACCACTGCACTCCAGCCTGGGCTACAGAACAAGACTCCATCTCAAAAAAAAAAAAAAAAAAAAAAAAAAAAAATTACATTAAGAAAAGTTGGTTCATTAAAAAGATGTTTAGATTAATAAACACTTAGCAAGATGAATTAAGAAAAAAAGAGGCTAGGACAAGTGGCTCACACCTGTCATTCCAGAACTTTGGGAGGCCAAAGCAGGCAGATCACTTGGGCACAGGAGTCCCAGACCAGCCTGAGCAACATGGCAAAAGCCAGTCTCTACAAAAAAATACGAAAAATTAGCCGGGCATTGTGGCACGTGCCCGTAGTCCCAACTACTCAGGAGGCTGAGGTGGGAGGATCACTCAAGCCCAGGAGGTGAGCCATGATAGCACCACTGCACTCCAGCTTGGGTGACAGAGTGAGACCCTGTCTCCAAAAAAAAAAAAAAAAAAAAAAAGAGAGAGAGAGAAAATACAAATTATCAATGAAAGAGTATATTTATAAAATAAACTCTTCCTCCAAAGAAAACTACAGGATCATATAGTTTCACAGGTAAATTCTATCAAATATTAAAGACAGAATAATACTGATCTTCAACAAATTATTTCAGAAAATAGAAGAGGGAACACTTTTCAGCTCAATTTCTGTAACCAGTATAAGCCTCATATCAAAATAGGACAGACTTTGTAAAAGAAAATTACAAATCAGTATCCCTTATGAACAAAGTAGCAAAAAAATCCTCAAGAAAATGTAGCAAAATAGAGCAACACAGAAAAAGAATACACTATGACCAAATGGAAGTTATACAGGAATACATTAGTCCAATATTTGAAAATCAAGGTAATGTAATTCAGTAGCTTTAAATACAGTCTATTCTCATTTTTGAGATGGAGTCTCACTCCCATTGCACAGACTGGAGTGCAGTGGTACAATCTCAGCTCACTGCAACCTCCACCTCCCGGGTTCAGGCGATTCTCCTTCCTCAGCCTCCCGAGTAGCTGGGATTACAGGCATGCGCCACCACGTCCGGCTAATTTTTGTATTTTTAGTAGAGACGGGGTTTCACCATGTTGGCCTGGCTGGTCTTGAACTCCTGACCTCAGGTGATCCACCTGCCTTGGCCTCCCAAAGTGCTGGGATTACAGGCGTGAGCCACCATGCCCAGCCTACTCTCACTTTTCTACACTTTACCCAACGACCTGCTAGAGCCATAGTAACCTTTCAGGAAAAGAATATACATGATTTTTGAGACAAATAGCCCAGTGACAAATTTATAATTAATTACACAGATCAGCAGAGCACTCCAATTCCAGAAAATCAATTTCTAGCCTTCACAGAATTTTAACATTTTGTTCTTTTATCAAAGATCAACATTAGAAAATGAACATGAAGAATATAAAGTTCCTCATCTCTTGCAGAAATAACAAGACTATTTCATTACACTGTACAATGCCCCTTATGTAATGTCCCCAGACAATCCATGCCTAATTTAGTTCTAGTGGAAAAAACATACCTTCCTAATGGTTCCTTTTATTAATGTAATGAACATGATAGGGATGAGAAATGAAGTAAAAAGCCCATGGTTGAGTAAAGATCTCACTATCAATTGAGAATGCATTATGGCAACATAGTGTGATGACACTCAAATGCACTTAAACCCAGAAAACTTGTATAAAGTTTCTCAAGCAAAGAAACTAAAAAACAGAGAAAGCTCATCCTCTTGGGCATATAATAGCTGTAACTGACATCACTGTTGTTATTAGTGCCACTGGTTGTCCCAAAGTTAAGGGGGCCTAGGAAAGCAACGGATCAGAAAATGAGAACTGTGTAAACTCAGATTTCTTCTCTTTAAGCTTTCCTAGGAAATTCTGAAATACATTTTGCATTGAAAAAGCTACCCTCAACCGGGCATGATGGCTCACGCCTGTAATTCCAGCACTTGGTGGGAGGCCAAGGTGGGTGAATCACCAGAGGTCAAGAGTTCAAGACCAGGCTGACGAACATGGTAAAACCCCCTCTCTACGAAAAATAAAAAATTAGCTGGGCGTGGTGGTGTGCGCCTGTAATCCTAGCTACTAGGGAGGCTGAGGCAGGAGAATCACTTGAATTTAGGAGGCAGAGGTTGCAGTGAGCCGATATCGCACCACTGCACTCCAGCCTGGGCAACAGAGCGAGACTCCATCTCAAAAAAAAAAAAAAAAAAAAAAGCTACCCTTAACCAAAGTACTCTGGTACATTTATCTTCTCTTTTCATTATGTAACTCTTCTTATATCTTAGTTGCAGTGCATTTTTATTGGTACTGCCTCAAATTCATTTTAGAAATGAAGAAGATATAAGAAAATATGAAACTAACATAAAGAAGATTATACCCATATCAGAACTGATAAATATTACTTTTCAATAAAGAGGGATAAATGTAACAAAACCATCATAACAGTTTAAAAAAAAAAAAAGGGCTGGGCACGGTGGCTCTAGCCTGTAATTCTAACACTTTGGGAGGCCAAGATGGGGGGATTAACCTGAGCTCAAGAGTTCGACAGCAGCCTGGGCAACATGGTAAAACCCCGTCTCTACTAAAACAGTAAAAAAATCAGCCGGGCGTGGTGGCAGGTGCCTGTAATACCAGCTATGTGACATGCTGAGGCATGAGAATTGCTTGAACCCGGAGGCAGAGGTTGCAGTGAGCCGAGACTGTGCCACTGCACTCCAGCCTGGGCAACAAAGTGAAACTCTGTCTCAATGAAAAAAAAAAAAAAGATGAACTAAGATTTAAACCAAAGGTAAGCGAATAATACTACTAACATTTGTAATGTTTGGTCTCTTTCCAATCAACAAATGTGATGGGTTTACTTTACCTTAATTTCTATCCTTGCTCTGTGAGGAAAAAGTTGTCCGATCATAGAAAAGTCAGTTCCTACCATGCTGATGGCTAAAAAAAACATATCTGTTTCTGTGAAAATAAAAGATTTAGAATGATTGAAAATTAATTATATCAATATTTCAGAGAAAAGAAATCTTACAGAATTTGACAGTACTTAATTTTACTAGAAAGATCCCCATGCAATACCTAAAAACACCTTATTATAAATAAAAACTTTTCAGTATAAGAAATCGTAGGCTGGGCATGGTGGCTCACACCTATAATCCCAGAACTTTGGGAGGCCAAGGCAGGCAGATCATTTGAGGACAAGAGTTAGAGACCAGGGCCGGTCGCGGTGGTTCACGCCTGTAATCCCAGCACTTTGGGAGGCTGAGGCGGGTGGGTCACCTAAGGTCAGGAGTTTGAGACCAGCCTGACCAACATGGAGAAACCCCGTCTCTACTAAAAATACAAAATTAGCTGGGCATGGTGGCACATGCCTGTAATCCCAGCTATGTGGGAGGCTGAGGCAGGAGAATCGCTTGAACCCGGGAAGCGGAGGTTGCAGTGAGCCGAGATCGTGCCATTGCACTCCAACCTGGGCAACAAAAGTGAAATTCCATCTCAAAAAAAAAAAAAAAAGAGTTTGAGACCAGCCGGGCCAACATGGTGAAACCCTGTCTCTGCTAAAAATAAAAAAAAAATGAGCTGGGCGTGGTGGCGTGCACCTGTAATCCCAGCTACTGGGGAGGCTGAGGCAGAAGAATAGCTTGAACCCGGGAGGCGGAGGTTACAGTGAGCTGAGATGGCGCCACTGCACTCCAGCCTGGGCGAAAGAGCGAGACTCCACCTCAAAAAAAAAGAAAAAGAAATCATACAAAAGCATCTGGAATTTTTTTTTTAAAACATTCATTCTGCCTAGCTGATCTTATTCAAAGTGCTCTGAAGAAAGCTATGAGTCATACTCAGGATAGGGTTACACTACATAGGCAACTAAGATGTGCTAAGTAGTATATAAAGAAAGTAGCTAGAAAAATACACAAGAGGCCACGCACGGTGGCTCACGCTTGTAAATACCAGCACTTTGGGAGGCCGAGGCGGGCAGATCACTTGAGGTCAGGAGTTCCAGACCATCCTGGCCAACATGGTGAAACCCCGTCTCTACTAAAAACACAAAAATTAGCTGGGCATGGTGACATATGCCTGTAATCCCAGCTACTCGGGAGACTGAGGAAGGAGAATCACCTGAACCTAGGAGGTGGCGGCTGCAGTGAGCCAAGATCGCACCACTGCACTCCAGCCTGGGTGACAGAGTGAGACTCGGTCTCAAAAAAAGAAACTACTAACAGAAGTTACACTTCAGGAGAATAGGAATAGGGAAGTGAAAGAAGGGAAGTATAGAATCTTTTTACTCTATATCCTGCTGTTTGAATTTTTCCTCAAAACTACTGTTTTTAAAATAAAAACAATAAGCACCAACATGCAACAGATTTTTAACAGCATATTTATCTATAGAAGCTTTATTATACAATATTATCTGAGGTAGAACATTATTCGCATTAGAAATATTGTATTGTTGGCTGGGCACAGTGGCTCACGCGTGTAATCCCAGCACTTTGGGAGGCTGAGGCAGGCGGATCACCTGAGGTCAGGAGTTCGAGACCAGCCTGGCCAACATGGTGAAACCCCATCTCTACCAAAAACACAAAAATTAGCTGGGCATGGTGGCAGGCGCCTGTAATCCCAGCTGCTCGGGAGGCTGAGGCAGGAGAATCGCTTGAACCCAGGAAGCAGAGGTTGCAGTGAGCCGAGATCGCGCCACCGCACTCCAGCCTAGGCGACAAGAGCGAAACTCCATCTCAAAAAAAAAAAAAAAAGGAAATATTGTATTGTTAATTTTTATTTAAATGGTATTTACTGTAGAGATTTGACAGAGAGGAACATTCCAGCCAAAACGACTATAAAGGTAATTCTTAAAAAATATTTCTTTCAGCAGAACAGTGACTGAAAGAAATTAAAAAAAAAAAAAAATTTCTGGGCTGGGCACAACGACTCACGCCTATAATCTCAACACTTCGGGAGGCAAAGGATCGCTTGAGCCTAGGCATTGGAGACCAGCCTGGGCAACATACTGAGACCTTATTTCTTCAAAAAATCCAAAACACAGGCCAGGTGCGGTGGCTCATGCCTGTAATCCCAGCACTTTGGGAGGCCAAGGTGAGCAGACCACCTGAGGTCAGGAGTTTGAGAGCAGCCTGGCCAACATGATAAAACCCCATCTCTACTAAAAATACAAAAATTAGCTGGGGGTGGTGGCAGATGCCTGTAATCCCAGCTACTTGGGAAGCTGAGGCAGGAGAATCGCTTGAACCCAGGAGGCAGAGGTTGCAGTGAGCCGAGATCGTGCCATTGTACTTCAGCCTGGGCAACAAGAGGGAAACTCCGTCTCAAAAAATAAAAAAATTTTTTTCAAAAAATTAGCTGGGTTTGGTGGCACACGCCTGTAGTGCCAGCTACTCTGGGAGGCTGAGGCAGGAAGATCACATGAGCCCAAGAGTTCAAGGCTGCAGTAAGCTAAGATAGTTTCACTGCACTCCAGCCTCGGCAATCAATCAAGACCCTATCTCTACTTTCTAATTTTTTTTCTTAATTTTTTTGTAGAGATGAGGTCTTGCTTTGTTGCCCAAGTTGGTCTCAAACTCCTGGCCTCAAGTGATCCTCCTGCCTCAACCTCCCAAAGTGCAGGGATTACAGGTGTAAGCCACTGCACCTGGCTGAGACCCAGTTGCTATAAAAAATAAAATTTTTTTGAAGATTTGTAAGACAAAGTCAGAGATACCATTCCATGGAGGGCATAAGATAGAGGTGTCAATAAAATTAGCTGGAATAAAATGGTAGTTTGCATTTTATGTACTTAGGGGAGAACTGATTTAATTCAGAAACAGTCAATTCATTTCAAATAGAGAACTTACACATTTTTAAATGAAAATTAGTTACCTTTATTTGACCATGGTTTAGAGTAATAGTTTTTCCTAAAGCTGGAGTATGTAGTTGTAGAACCGCGCTCAAATATGGGGTCATTTTCTTCAACAACACAAGGGCCTTTTGTTCTTAAAACTTCTACAGTTAAACTGAAATAAACACATTTTTAAATAGATGTATACTAAAAACAAGGAAACAAATAGCAAATGAGATGTAAATAGTTATATTTTGAGGTTTAGCATGGCAATCATATCAAAGGCATAATAATACCTATGTGAAATATGGGTATTTTCCAAGCATCTGCTAAGTTTTACCTACAATGTGATTCCAAGAGGGTAGAAAGAAATGTCAACTCATTTTCAAAATCCATAACAGCAATATAATATTTACAAAACATCTTTGGGCTACGTATTATAAAACGGTATTTGTATTATTGACTTGCACATGTCTTTGATATTCAATATGTATTACTGTGCTGGACTCCATGGAAATTTTGAAAAACACAAGCACTTTATATTTTACATTCCTGCAGAGAAAGCAGTTAAATATGCTCTAACTATTTAATGACCAGTAAAATCATCATCACAAACTAATGGAAAATAGCACACAAAAACAACTATTATTAGCAGTATTACATTTATGTTTAATTATAGAATGTGAATGCTATAAAATTATTTTTCACTGGCTAAACTTTCAAAGACCTTCCATTGCTTTATTTATTTACTTACTAATTTATCATCTTTTAAAAAAAAACCCTTAAGACAACTAAATTCCACAATGCCCAATGTGCAAAATTTAATGTTATAACTGAGAAATTAAACCAAAAGATGAATTATACCTCACCATAACAAAAATCATAAAATATGTTAAACCTACATTTCATTGTATATCCATTAGTTATCACCACACACCAGGATATGCTCTTAATAATATGAGAACTTGAATATTGACTTCAAGACTGTGTCAATCTTAGAAATTTATCCTCAGTGGAAGACAGCATATGATTAGTTCAACAGCCTGACTCAATGACCAGTAAAGATAATAAAACAATGGTGTTAGGTTAATAGATGATAGGGCATCTTCTCATACAAAATAGTTATAAAAATTACTAAAATTTACAAATTAATCTAACCCACTTTTCTATTTACAATATTCATTATGCAAATAAGAACGTCAAGGTCTAAGTGACAAAGGCCAATACAGAAAGAGGACCTCTTTCACTAGACAAAGCATGTTTGTTCTCATGTAACCACAATCTCACTTTTTCTCTTTTCTAAATACCTTTCTTCATCCAAAATAATGGAACCATCTTCTGCCACTTTTACTCGAGGAACCAGTAATGGCCCATCATCTGTCTCTTCTTCCATTTCATTATCTTCAGCATTAGGAGTACTCTTACCTTCTTGCCTACCACATATAAAGATAAGTTAATTCACAAAGGCATGAAAAGTGTGCCTAAATAGTATAAAACTTAAAATAAATGATTACAAACTCAACCTTCTAGCTATTTCCAACTTTCCCTATAATCCAAATGAAAACAGTATGTGTTATTAAGGACGCAATTAGAGGATTTTCTCAAGTTTTATCTCGAGACATTTAGTAAGAAGTCTTATTTTTTTTTTTAGATGGAGTTTCGCCCTGTCACCCAGGCTGGAGTGCAGTGGCATGATCTCGACTTACTGCAACCTCCGCCTCCTGGGTTCACACCATTCTACTGCCTCAGCCTCCCCAGTAGCTGGGATTACAGGCGCGCACCTCCACACCTAGCTAATTTTTGTATTTTTAGTAGAGACGGGTTTTCACGATGTTGGCCAGGCTGGTCTCAAACTCCTGACCTCGTGATCCACCCGCCTCAGCCTCCCAAAGTGCCGGGATTACAGGCGTGAGCCACCGTGCCTGGCCCAAGCAGTCTTTACTCTCTTTTAAAATAAAGAGAAACAGACAGGACATGGTGGTTCAGGCCTGTAATCCTAGCAATTTCAGAGGCCAAGGCAGGAAAATCACTCGAGGCCAGGAGTTGAGATCAGCCTGGGCAACATAGCAAGACCTTACCACTACAAAAAAAATTTAAAAATTAGCCCAGCATGGTGATGCGTGCCTATAGTCCCAGCTACTCAGGAGACTGAGGCAGGAGTATCTCTTGAGGCCAAGAGTTTAATCACACCACTGCACCCCAGCCTAGGTGACAGTGCAAGACCCTATCTGTAAAAATAATAATAATAATAATAATGCTTATAGTTATATAGCATTAGTTTCTAGATTATTTGATTAACTTTTCAGTACAATCCTTCAGGGTTAGTATTTTCATGCTCATTTGAGCCTTAAGGAAAATGGCCAAATGCAGCAGCTCATGCCTGTAATCCTAGTACTTTTGGAGGCTGAGGCGAGAGGATTACTTGAGCTTAGAAGTTCAAGACCACCAGCCTGGGCGACATAGTGAAACCTTATCTCTATGAAAAAAAACTCTTCAAAAACTAAAAACTTTAGGCTGGGCATGGTGGCTTACACCTGTAATCCCAGCACTTTGGGAGGCCGAGGCGGGCCGATCACGAGGTCAAGAGATGGAGACCATCCTGACCAACGTGGTAAAACCCCGTCTCTACTAAAAATACAAAAATTAGCTGGGCATGGTGGCGCACACCCGTAGTCCCAGCTGCTCGGGAGGCTGAGGCAGCAGAATCGCTTGAACCCGGGAGGCAGAGGCTGCAGTGAGCCGAGATCGCACCACTGCACTCCCGCCTGGTGACAGAGCAAGACTCCATCTCAAAAAAAAAAAAAAAAAAAAAACTAAAAAATTTAGCCAACCGTGGTGGCACACACCTGTACTCCCAGCTACTCAGGAGGCTGAGGCAGGAGGATCACGAGCCCAGGAGGTCAAGGCTGCAGTGAGCTATGTTCACACCACTGCACTCCAGCCTAGGTGACACAGCAACATCCTGTCTCAAAAATTAAATTAAAATTTTAAAATTACAAAAACAATAGCCCAACCAAATGTAATTTTTTTTTAAGAGACAAAGTCTTGCTCTGTCACCCAGGCTGGAATGCAGTGGCGTGATCATAGTTCACTACAGCCTTGAACATGTGGGCTCGAGCGATCCTCCCACCTCAGCCTCCTGAATAACTAGGACTACATGTACACACCACCATGCACAGCTTATTTTTACATTTTTTGTAGAGACAAAATGTCACTATGATGCCCAGGCTGGTCTCAACTCCTGGCTTCTGGCAATCCTCCCATCTTGGCTTCGCAAAGTGCTGAGATTACAGGAGTGAACCACTGTGCCCAACCCCAATCAAATGTAATTCAACTATAACAGGAAGCACCATTTGATCTCATTTCTTAAAAAATGTAGGAATAGAATATATTCAAAAATAAAATACTTACTCTCTTGTCTGGACTGGAGTCGATGGCTTTTCAGTTTTCTTTTCTTGTTCCAGTGAAGAACTATTGAACATAAATAACAATATCTTTAATAAATTATTAATTTATATCTTCCCAATTCTATCTGTAGGCAAGAAGAAAATTATTCTAACTTCTAATTTTTAATGATATATCACAGCATTTCGTTAATGACAGTACAATCCAACAATCAACTTTTCAGTCAAAAGCTTGTCATCACATACAAATAATTTGTTAGGTCCTAAGTAAAGAATACTTTTTTTTTTTTTTTTTAATACAACAACAGGGTCTTGCTGTGTCAGACTGAAGTGCAGTGCTGTGATCTCAGCTCCATGTAACCTCTACTTCTTGAGCTCAAGCAATCCTCCCACCTCAGCCTCCCACGTAGCTGGGACTACAGGTGCATGCCACCACACCAGGCTAATTTTTGTCTTTTAATTTTTTGTAGAGACGAGGTCTCACCATATCGCCCAGGCTGGTCTCAAACTCCTGGGATCATGCAATCCTCCCACCTTAGCTTCCCAAAACACTGAGATTACAGGCATGAGCCACCACGCCCAACAGAGAATGTTCTTATCCTCTAACTTCTCAGTGAAAGGAGGCTCCCAATCCCAAGGCATGAAGCAGCTTACTTAGGTGACTTGTCTCCAACTCCTGGATGTTAAACAACTCAAAACCTAGGTTTCTGGCCCTTTCTTCAACAGGGCCAAAGACCTGGTGAATCTGAAAAAGGGCTATGCTGAGGAACTGTCCCAACTCCTACCTCTACCTGCTAAACCATCAACAATACAACAATGAGATTTATTATAAACCTGCCTCAGAAACCCCAGGCTAACTTTAATAAAGAAGCTTTGTTCTTGGAGGATTTATTAATCACACTACTACTGTCTTTATTAGAAGGCAGGGCATAAAACTTGGATCACTCCTTTAGATCAGTTTATAGTATGTTAAAAATAGAAATTCCAATCCTTTCAAACATTTTTTTTTTAAATGAGACAGAGTCTCGCTGTCTCCCAGGCTGGAGTGCAGTGGTGCAATCTTGGCTCACTGCTGCCTTGAACTCCCAGGCTCAAGTGATCCTCCCACCTCAGCCTCCTGTGCGCCACAATGCCCAGGTAATTTTTGTATTTTTTGTAGAGATGGGGTCTCACTACATTGCCCAGGCTGGTCTCAAACTCCTGGGCTCAAGCAATTCTCTCGCCTTGGCCTCCTAAAATGCTGTGATTACAGGGATGAGCCACCTCGCCTGGCCAAAATTGCAATCTTGATTACAGAAAAGTGGCTTAGTTGGTTTCACTATGCCTTGGTAACTAATATAACAAAGAAAAAACATTTTTTTTTTTGAGACAGGATCTCGCTCTGTCACCCTGAGTGCACCCAGAATGCAGTGGCATGAACATGGTTCACTGCAGCCTCAAATGCCAGGGTTCAAGCAGTCCTCCTGCCTCAGCCTCCCAAATAGCTGGAACTACAGGCACATGCCACCATGCCTGGCTAATTTTTGTACTTTTTGTAGAGACAGGGTTTCACCATGTTGCCCGGGCTGGTCTCAAACTCCTGGACTCAGGCGGCCCACACACCTTGGTCTCCTAAAGTGCTGGGATTACAGGCATGAGCCACTGTGCCCAGCCAGGAAATTTATTTTTAATCTCAGAAATAAAGGGCATAATCTACCATCCCCAGAAAGCAGTTACTTGAAATACTGCTACTTTTTGTTATGAAATTCTATTTAAAAGGACATATGTGTTCCAAATTTTGTCAACATGTTTTTGGAAAACTAAAAAATTTACTATAAAAGTGCTATTTATATAACTACATACCCAAATAAAGTAAAACAGAAGGCCAGGTGCAGTGGCTCACGCCTGTAATCTCAGCACTTTGGAAAGCCGAAGCGGGTGGATCACCCGAGGTAAGGAGTTTAAAACCAGGCAAGCCAACATGGCGAAACCCAGTCTCTACTAAAAATACAAAAATTAGCCGGGTGTGGTGGCGAGCATCTGTAATCCCAGCTACCCGCGAATCTGAGGCAGGAGAATCGCTTGAACCTGGGAGGCAGAGGTTGCAGTGAGCCAAGATTGCACCACTGCACTCCAGCCCGGGTGACAGAGCGAGACTCCACCTCCAAAAAAAAAAAAAAAAAAAAAGAGATAGTAAAGCAGAAATAAATTTTACTTACGTCATTGGATTATTATCTGGTAGATAATATATGAAGTCTCTCATAGTCATTTTTGAACGATCTGGTGGCCTCTGACTTTCATTTATAGCATATTTGTTTTTCCATTGTTTCTGTATACATAAACACACAGATCCACTTTTATAAATATTAAAGAATTTCAGATGTACTATATGCAAATATACAGTCCACTGTTGCGTTCACTGTAAGTGCTTTAATATTATTCTCACCCCAATTATGTAATTTTGTAGATGGAATATTAAAAAGTTGTAGCACATTACCCTCAATAGCTTTTAGTTTTTATTTATCTACTTTTGAGATGGGGTTTTGCTCTGTCATCCAGGCTAAAGTGCAGTGGCGCAATCATAGCTCACTGCAGCCTTGAACTCCTGAGCTCAAGCAGTCCTCCCACCTCAGCCTCCCAAGTAGCTGGGACTACAGATGCTTGCCTAACACCTGGCTAATTTTGTGGGGTTTTTTTTTTTTTGGTAGAGATGGAGTCTCCCTACGTTGCCAAGGCTGCTCTCAAATTCCTGGGCTCAAGTGATCCTCCTGCCTCACACTCCTAAAGCACTGGAGTGAACCACACACCCAGGCAGTATTTAGATTTTAACAATTAAAGTGACTAGGACTAGATAAAAGCTCAATGTGGCCAGGCACAGTGGCTTATTTCTCTAATCCCAGCACTTTGGGAGGCTGAGGCAGGAGGATCGCTTGAGCTCAGGAGTTACCAGCCTGGGCAACATAAATGAGACCCTATCTCTACAAAAAAATACAAAAAAATTAGCTGGATGTGGTGGCATATGCCTATAGCCACAGCTACTTGGGAGGCTGAGGTGGGAGGATCACTTGAGCCTGGGAGGTTGAGGCTGCAGTGAACTGCAATTATACTAGCGCACTCCATCCTGGGTGACAGTGAGACCTTGTCTCAAAACTAAATAAATAACCAAAGAATAAAACTAATAAAGCTCAATGTATAAAATGCTTACTGATGCCTTCTAACTAAACATCTTAATAGCTCACTGAGAATTTATGCTTACACAGCTTTTTTTTTACCCTGTAGTGACTTGAAATTCTGTGTATTTTGTAAAATTCTTGAAGCAAATGTTTAATCTTTAATTCCCCAAAATAAATTAAATAAGCAAATAAGCAGTTTCTGTAAAATACAGAACTTTTTTTTAATCCCCCCACCCCCAATTCCCAACCCATAAAACATTTTTAGAGGCTTTGATCTGTCGCCCAGGCTGGAATGCAGTAGCACAATTTCAGCTCACTGCAACCTCCGCCTTCCAGGTTCAAGCAATTGTTGTGAGGCTTACATTTTAGAAGACATAAATTGAAAGCTTGTTTTCTCCTGTGTGAAACAGTGATATCTACTTCACATAGTTGATATAATTACATAAGATAACAGATATAAAGCACCAAGCAAAATGCCTTCCCTTAATTTAAAAAAAACTAAGAGGCATTTTATAATTCATAACAGAAGCTGACACTGGTTGGACACTTACTATTTTCATGACACTAGTTTTTTTGTTTGGTTGGTTTTTTTTGAGACGGAGTCTCGCTCTGTCACTCATGCTGGAGTGCAATGGCACGATTTTGGCTCACCGCAACCTCTGCCTCCCAGGTTCAAGCGATTCTCCTGTCTCAGCCTCCTGAGTAGCTGGGATTACAGGCGTGCACCACCACAACCAGATAATGTTTGTATTTTTAGTAGAGACGGGGTTTCACCATGTTGGCCAGGCTGGTCTCGAACTCCTGACCTCAGGTGATCCGCCCACCTCGGCCTCCCAAAGTGCTGGGATTACAGGCGTGAGCCACTGCACAAGGCCCAAGACACCAGTTTAAGTGTGTTTTACATGTATTGACTCATTTAATCTTCACAACCCTCTAATGAGCTAGATAGAGGTTGAGCATCTCTTATCTGAAATACTTGAGACCAGAAATGATTCACATTTTGGATTTTTTCACATTTTTGAATACTTGCAGAATACATGCTGGCTGAGCATCTCTAACCTGAAAATTTGAAATCCAATATGCTCCAATGAGCATTTCCCTGGAGCATCACTTTGGCACTCAAAACATTTTAGACTTTGGAGCATTTTCAATTTCAGGGATGCTCAACCTGAACTATTATTGGTCTATTTTACAGATGAGGAAATAGATTAATTAAATTACCCAAGGTCACAAAGCTAGTAAAGAAATGAAGCTGAGATTCAATCCCTAAGTATTTAACTCCAGGGCCAGCATGCTCTACTGCTGTTACCTGCCCTTCTAGAAAAGAAATCAATCCTCAAGATTAAAAAGAACATGGACTCTAATATATGCATAACACAAATTTTTCCCACTTGTAATTTTCCATAGTCAATTTAGAAAACATTACCAATTCATTCTGCTCAACTATATTCGTCTTTTTTTTGGAGACAGTTTCACTCTATCACCCAGGCTGGAATGCAGAGGCACAATCTCGGCTCACTGCAACTTCCACCTCCCAGGTTCAAGCAATTCTCATGCCTCAGCCTCCCCAGTAGTTGGGATTACAGATGCACGTCACCAGGCCCAGCTAATTTTTGTATTTTTAGTAGAGACAGGGTTTTGCCATGTTGGCCAGGCTGGTCTTGAACTCCTGACCTCAAGTGATCTGCCCCCCTAGTCCTCCCAAAGTGCTGGGATTACAGGCATGAGCCACCACGCCCGGCCTATACTTGTCTTAATTCAAATAAATATATCACTTATCACTTGGACATCTTTATGTGAAAAATCAGACTGAAGGTTTATTTTATAAATATGTTTGTGTATGTGCATCTATGTGTATGCGTATGAAACTTATTTGTGGTCTTCACCAAAAACAGTGAAAACATAAATAAATAATGTAAAAATTACTATCAGTGAAAAATGTAATTTAAGTCCACGGTGTATCAATCAATCCATTAACAAGAAGGGATGTTCTATTGACTAAGGGATGTTATGTGGTTTTGTTCCCCCATCAAAATGCTACAAATGCTTTTCTTCCCAATGATTCCTTACTAACATAAATAGAAGGCAACATCAAAATCCTGATTCTCCTCCCTTACCTTCTCTTTTCTCAATTCTTCTTTTAACATTTCCCTCAGTTTCTGGGCTTTGTATATTCGGTATCTGTCTGAGCATGGCTGTTTCTCTTTTGTTGAAGTGGCAGTTGGCTGTGGAGCCTCTTGATTAATTGTAGATAAGGGATGAGATTCTGAAGGAACACTGACACTAGACTTAACCAGGCTAGAAGTACTTGATATTCGCTTTCTTCTCTGTGAAACAGTAGAGGAAGATCTACTGGATTCTTCAACATCATTGTCACCACCAGTCTTTTCAGTACTGTTGAAATTAAAAAAGAAAAAAGAGGGCACATGAATCTTCTGTTACACATGCTAGTTTTAAAACCTAGTCTGGTGAAAATCCAAAACTGCAATCTCGTAATTAAAAAAAAAAAATTAGTAACTTGAGATTTATGATAATTATGACAGGTTACAAAAAAATTTGTTTAGTAAATCTTTTAAATATACGTAAATTCTAATAGACTCTTAATCTTTTTCAAACATAAAGTCCCTAGGCACATTACAGCACATAATTATAGGCTTACCCCCCTCAAAACAAATAACCAACTTACAGAACAAAGCTTAGTCAACCTAATTTGAATTACTAAGTAACAAAGTAATAATTTATAATTAATTTCTATATAAAATTTAAAAAAATTTTAATTCACTCTGACATTTTAAACTGGTCTAAACTACCGGCATTTTACTTTACTTATCAACCCGAGGTCAGTCAAATCAAATATGCAAAACTCCAAACCTCTGAAATATCTGTATTGCAGTATTTGAAGAAAAACATTTAGTTACAGTAGCCAAACCCAATTCCCTTTGAGGCAGAAATCATTTATCTTTTGTCAGGTACAACTCTACTTATACAGCCATCAGAATAAACTTCAGTCAAAAAAAGTACTCAGTCACCCCAAATTGCATATTAGGTATGGTATACCTCAGATATAAGTATTTCAGGAATGGTCTATAAATGCAACTTAAGTCAAGAAAAGAGGTGGTATAAGTCAATAATTAAAAACAGTCTACTTTTTTCCTATTTTATAATTACTTATAAAAAATTAGAAAATGCCTTAACTTATAGAATAACCTTTCCAGGAAGACTTCAATTTAAATTCGTATCTTAGCTGTTATGGATACATGCATTATCTGCATTTCACCCAATTATGTTGAATGCATAATGACAGAATATATATCCTATAGAGTTTTACAACTAGCAAAGACCCACAAAAAAATAAAAAGAGGCTGGGCACGGTGGCTCACACCTGTAACCCCAGCACTTTGGGCTGAGGCAGGTGGATCACTTGAGGTCAGGAGTTCGAGTCCAGCCTGGCCAACATGGTGAAACCCTGTCTCTACTGAAAATACAAAAATTAGTTGGGCGTGGTGGGGCACGCCTGTAGTCCCAGATACTTGGGAGCCTGAGACAGGAGAATTGCAAGAACCCGGGAGGTGGAGGTTGCAGTGAGCCGTACCACTGCACTTCAGCCTGGGCGACAGAGCAAGACTCCATCTAAAAAAAAAACTAATTAAAAAAAAAAAAAAAAACCACTTTCCCAGAGTCAGTAATGGCAAAAAAAGTGACTAAAAAACAAATTATATTCCCCAAACGTAAATGTCAACTCAAAAAAAAAAATTAAATATCCTTGACCATAAATATCTCAAAACTACAATCTTTGGGCAATTTATTAAATTATCAACCATCACGCACTCACACATAATTAACGAAATCTCTGAGAACTTTATTAATGTAACAGCGACTAGTATCGGTATCTCCTTTCTGTGTAGAAATTTTGAAACAGATTCATGTAATAAACTTGGAAATTACTAACCATCACTGAACTATCAACGTAACACCATACACTCAGCACCAGTTCAGGCCAATAGAGGAAGATGTTCCAAAAATAAATAAATGTTTCACCTTCCTATCACAGCATAAACAGAATTTGTACTATCTCACTTCACTTAACAAGGCTGTTTACTGATTTCCTCATATATATAGAAACAGAGACCATCTTAGCCTAACATGTCTTAAATTTACTCCATCACCTTTCTAAAAAACTAGTAACTTTTTGCGGGCAACTATTCTGCTATATCCCCTGCAAGGTAGTTAATATGAATTATCTCCAATCTGCACCAAAACGCTCCAAGTAGGCAATATTATTCCCATTTTGCAGATGAGCAAATTCTGCCTGAGAAAAGTTTACCTGTAGACTAAAAGAGTCCTGAATCCAAATATGATACATGACGCTAAAGCCATGCTTCTCTATTCAGGAAACACGGTCACCATAGTTAAAGAGGCACACTTCAATTAAGTGACCAGAACTCTTACTCACTGACATAAATCGGTAAAGCCAAAGCAATACTTATCTTCTCCTTTAAAAAATAAATATTTTATAAATTGAAAGACAAAAACACTTCCCTGCAAAGCACTCCAGAAGGATGAAAACTATAGTGACCTAAATTCTCAAATGAATAGTGTGGATATTCTTCACTTCAGGACTGCCATACCCCGATTCTCCCTACCACCACTTGAAGACATGGTCTCCTCTCGGAGAATCTATAGACCGTGACAAAATCCACACAAGCCACACCCTGCAGGTCAGACAACTAAACTGCAGTTTGGAGTGGTTTCATCAAGCCTCAACTGAAAGGCTTACTGCAAACGAGAGCGGACTCCTGTGATAAAATTCATTTGCTCAGCTTCCAGGTGACATGCCCGGAGAGGCGGGACAAATGAAAATTCTTCCCTCTGCAACCTCTTACCTGCTCCTAGGAGCCTTTTCTTGGGGCTCCGCTCCACCGAAATCGACTGTGGGCACATCTGTGGGCTCCGCGGGCTTGGAAGCAGAGTCCGTGGCAGGATCCGGCGGCCTGGGAGACTCCCGTCCACGCTGGGGATTGGAAGCTGTGGAGCCCCTGGCGCCTACACCAGGCCTGACATTCGGCTTCACGCTAAGGCGTGCCCTGCGGAACATGGCGGAGGCAGGGGGCCCGGGGAGGCAGCCTCACGGCCGCTCACAGCCCCGAGCCCCGGCGGCTGCCCGGAAAGGGGATTAGGAACTACGCCCTCCCCACAAAGCCACACCACCAGCTCAGGGGGCAGCTACCGTAGTTTCACTGCCCCGCCGCCGCCTCCTCCTCTCTCCCGCCGCCGCCGCTTTTTCATGACCCTGCCACACACCGATGGCTAAATTTCACCCTCCTCCCAGCATCCCCGCGCTCACAGGACGCCGCAACTGATTGCGCCATCAGCCAGCGCCGCAGAATGACGTCAGACGCACAGCACTGGGAGCCATGGTAACTACCAAGCTACTGAGACTGGGTTACCTGCGGACCAGAAATTGAGATGCAGAGATATTTGCTCTTTCTTCTCCAGGAGTCCTTAGGAGTAGTTGAAAAGAGGAACAGAAGAAAGTCCACTTCTCTGCTCAAACCTTTACTGGAACTATTAAAATCGCTGGCCGATTTTGTCTTTTGAAGATCCTGAAGGGTTTAGAAATTCTAAATTGAGTAGACATAGATTAAAAATGCTGGTGTGAAGAAACTGATAATAGTTACCTCCCAGGAGAGGAATGTGTTTCTGGAAAACACGTCGTGGTAGGAAGACCATTTACCGTACGCCTTTGTGTACTTTTTTGTTTTTGTCCTTTGAGACAGGGTCTTGCTCTGTCGCCTAGGCTGGAGTGTGCAGTTGCGCGATCTTGGCTCACTGCAGCCTCCACCTCTCGGGCTCAGGCGATCCTCCCGTCACAGCCTCCCAAGTTGCTGGGACCACAGGCACGCGCCACGACACCCGGCTAATTTTTTTTTTCTCGTATATTTAGTAGAGACGGGGTTCATCATGTTGCTTAGGCTGATCTTGAACTCCTAGGCTCAAGCGAGCCACCCATTTGGCCTCCCAAAGTGCTGGGATTACAGACGTGAGCCACCACGCCCAACCTCCTTGTGTACTTTTTAATATGAATGTATCACCCGAGATCGTACCACTACACTCCAGCCTGTTTAAAAATTATTATAGTTGAAACCTTGTAAATTATTGTGAGTGTTCTTAATCTGCTTCAGGAGGTAGCAGTAAACAAGACGTTCTGGATTTGGGAGGAGAAAATACAAAAAAGAAATGAACAAGATATTTTTAAAATGTATCAGGCCCGGCGTGGGTGCCTCATGCCTGTAATCCCAGCATTTTAGGAGGCTAAGGCAAGGCAGATTGCTTGAGGTCAGGAGTTCGAGACCAGCCTGGCCAACATGGTTAAACTCCATCTCTACTAAAAATACAAAAATGAGCCAGGCCTGGTGGTGCAAGCCTGTAATCCCAGCTATGGGAGGCTGAGACAGGAGAATGGCTTGAACCCTGGAGGTGGAGGCTGCCGGGAGCCAAGATGGCACCACTGCACTCTAGCCTAGGCAACAGAATGAGTGAGACTCTGTCTTAAAATAAATGAATTAATTAATTAATTGCAATAAAATAAAGTATATCAAATGTCATGAAATAAATTTAAGGGTTGAATGCCGGGTATGGCGAGGCACGCCTATAATCCCAGCTACTGTGGAGACTGAAGTGGGAGGATCTCTTGAGCCCAAGACTTCCAGACCAACCTGCTCAAAATATTGAGACCCCTAAAACAAATTACCTACATGCGGTGGCTGTGATGGCTCCCACCTCTAGCTCCAGCTACCTGGAAGGCTGAGGCAGGAGGTCCAGGCTGCAGTGAGCTATGATAGTGCCACTGCCCTCCAGCATGGGTGACAAAGTGAAACCTTGTCCTTAAAACAAAAATTTAATAATAAGAAGAAAAAAAAGAGAGAAATGTACAGGATGATGTGATAGAAAGTAATGGGAGGGAGGCTGGCAGTAGAGTGGCTAGGGAAGTCCTCTATGATGAGAGGAAAAATAGCCAGAGCTGAGGTTGGCCTTGGAGGTATTGGGCCAATGTTTGAACCAGTGATACAAATCCCCTGACTCATGGGAACACAAAGGCCTGACTTTCTTCTTAGAAGGAAAAGAAAATCCTACAAGAATATGGTGATACATTAATAACAAAAGGTCAAAGGAATAAAATTCTGAACTGACTGAAGAAATTGATCACCTAAAGGGAGAACAAAAAAGAGGCAAGTGCTTTTGAGAGTAGGAAGGCAAGACTGAAAGCAGAGAAGAGAAAACATATATCTCTAAGACTATGAAGAAAATGAAGGTCTGGAGGCCAGGCACAGCTCGTGCCTGTAATCCCAGCACTTTGGGAGGTTGAGGCAGGCGAATCACTTGAGCCTAGGAGTTTAAGACCAGCCTAGCCAACATGGTGAAACCTCATCTCTACCAAAATTACAAAAATTAGCTGAGCATGGTGGCTTCTGCCTGTAATCCCAGCTACTCAGGAGGCTGAGGTTGGAGGATTGCTTGAGCCCAGGAGGCGGAAGTTGCAGTGAGCCAAGATCACACCACAGCACTACAGCCTGGGTGACAAAGTGAGACCCTGTCTCAAAAAAAAAAAAAAAAAGAGAGAGAGAAAGAAAGGAAGGAAGGAAGGAAGAGAAAAGAGGAGGTCTGTGGATTCCGTGGGCTCCCTGCAATACTCTGGAAAAGGAACAGTATCTCAGTTTTATCTTCTTTATTTAAAGAAGCTCAAGAATTCGAGAGAATACCCTGCTAAAGATGTCTCAGGAATCTTGGAGCCACTGCCAGGTCTACACAGCTTTGAACAGCATATTCTGATACCAACTGAAGACACAGGGCCTTTCCCCAGATGGTCTTCTGTTCCACTTAAGAGACTAGGGCATTGTCCCAAGTTTTTACAGGTCAGAAAGTAAATAGTGACTAAGATTTAATTTCCCACCAGTAAAGGGATGGGAACAGAATCAGATTAAATTTTATTATTAAATATAAAGTCATAAGACATTTGTTACACAAGTTTGTGGAGTAAATTCTTAGTGGCATCATACGAATTTTTTAAATCTCTACTTTTCTCTGAGAGACACACACAACACATTTTGTGTACATGGGGTATATCATGTGTAGCCCTACAACTTAAGAACTGCAAAATTTCAGCTGCAAAGAAAAATGTTCAATTAGATTAAATTGAGAGCACGTACAAAAACAACTCTGCTACTCACCGGCCGGGCGCGGTGGCTTGCGCCAGTAATCCCAGCACTTTGGGAGGCCGAGACAGGCGGATCATGAAGTCAGGAGATCGAGACCATCCTGGCTAACACGGTGAAACCTCATCTCTACGAAAAAAAATACAAAAAACTAGCTGGGCGTGGTGGCGGGTACCTGTAGTCCCAGCTACTTGGGAGGCTGAGGCAGGAGAATGGCGTGAACCCAGGAGGCAGAGCTTGCAGTGAGCTGAGATCGCACCACTGCACTCCAGCCTGGACGACATAGGGAGACTCCGTCTAAAAAACAAAACAAAACAAACAAAAAAACTCTACCACTTACCTTCCAATCCCACCCCATTCCCTCTTTAGATGACCTTATCTCTATAAAGAACTGTGCCAGAGGTTGGAATGGTTGAAATCTCATGCTTGAAATCCCAGCACTTTGGGAGGCCGAGGCAGACAGATCACACGAGGCCAGGAGTTCAAGATCAGCCAGGCCAACAAGGCAAAAAACCGTCTCTACGAAAAATACAAAAATTAGCCGGGGCAGGGTGGCAGCCGCCTGTAATCCCAGCTACTGGGAGACTGAGGCACAAGAATCGCTTGAACCTGGGAGGCTGAGGCTGCAGTGTGCGGAGATTGCGCCAGTGTACTCCAGTCTGGGCAACAGAGTTAGATACTGTCTCCAAAACAAAACACGGTGCCAGAAAGTCAATCTTTTCCCTTCAAGTTACTTCACTAAGTGGAAGCAGAGGCTAGCAGTATTAAGGAAGAGAGGTGGGGTGTGGGGATAGGATAGTGATGTGTGCGAGGCTCTCTGAATTTGAAAGAATAATGACAGTAAGAGCTAACATATTGAGTTCTACCATATGCTGGGGACCTAGTACTTCACATACGTTAATTCAGTTAATGAAGAAGGTACATACCTCCCCATTTTACAGGTAAGAACGCTTTAACATAATGAAATACTGTCCAAGTTGACACAGCTACTAATTAGTAGAGATGGACTTTCAACCCAGACAGTTCATCTCCAGAGCTCCTCAGTCTTCACTTTCTCCACCTTCTCTAAAATAGACGATTTTATGAGGTAATAATTGAAGTTTGGTCGCATCTCCTTGAGGATTCGTTATCCTTGTTACTAATGCTTTTGTACTGTATAAATTTCAGATCTTCCAAAATAAAAGTTTTTAAAATATAGGGCAATGTGGGGTATCCAAATCATCTCAGTTTGTAACAATGTTATCGTTTTGTTTTTATTTTTATTTATTTATTTTTTTTGAGATAGAGTCTCACTCTGTCGCCCAGGCTGGAGTGCAGTGGCGCGATCTCGGTTCACTGCAAGCTCCGCCTCCCGGGTTCACACCATTCTCCTGCCTCACTCATCCTCCCCAGCAGCTGGGACTACAGGCGCCGGCCACCACGCCCAGCTAATTTTTTGTATTTTTGTATTTTTTTTTTTTTTTTAGCAGAGGCAGGGTTTCACCGTGTTAGCAAGGATGGTCTCGATCTCCTGACCTCGTGATCCACCCGCCTCGGTCTCCCAAAGTGCTGGGATTACAGGCGTGAGCCACCGCGCCCGGCCTCTTTTTGTTTTTATTCTTTTGTGTGTGTGTGTGTGTGTGTGTGTGTGTGTGTGTGTGTGTGTGTGTGTGTGTATAACAATGAAAGAGATGAAGTAATTATACGCTACATGAGCCACAGAAGCATCTCTACACGTGTTTCTACCAATGGCAGATGGTCCACAGCTTTTACTAGGTTCCGAGGTTATTCTGGGCTATTCTGAATTGTGGTTAAGACTGCACTCCCTGCCATTCTCTCCCCACCGAACAACCTAAGCACAGTCAGTAGCCTAAAACTCCTGAAGCACTGTGGATCGTGACAAGGGCACTGGAATAAACTGGAAAATAAATATGCTTTAGAGTCCGTCTTAAATTTTATTCTCATATCAATTCCTACGCAGTTAAGTCTGTCTCTTATGCAAAATGAAAACAATGAAGCCTAACTTGCAGAGTTGTGTTTAGAATAAGGAAGGAAAATATGTAAAGGACAGTGCCTTTTGCAGTTACCCTCAATCTGTTCAGTCTCCATCCGCCCCTCTCCGCCTCCGCAAGGGGATGAATGAAAGCTAATGTGCTTTGCCAAAAAGTAAGATATTGTAGTGTTTATTGTGATTTCCTATTAAAAAAAAAGTGGGGAGCTGGTGGAGCCCCTGTGCCTGGCGCACAGTGGGGAAAATCCACACACGCCTATCCCTCCGGCAGAACAGAACCCGCTTTCTGGGCTCTCGCTGGGCTCTCCCAGGCGTGTGTAGCAGCAGGGCTCCCGGCGCCGCCAAGTCTCCACGGGCTTCGGTTCTCGTTATAAGAAACGTGTTATAATTATTTTAAAACATTTAAAGAATATTCTTGACCTTAGCAGTTTTTTTATCTACTCCATTTACAATTTCAAATCAATAATTTCTGGCTGATTTTTTAATTACTCGAACTATGAAATCAACACATCCTTGCTATAATGTTATTTATAGTATAAAGTAAGTTGTTTGGGGCACCGAAGGGTGTGAGAAGGGAGAAAACATGTATTTGCAGACAATAATTCCTTCTTAATTGCTTGATTATTTCTGAATTAGGTAGAAAGAACATCACAAATTATTAGTCAAATAGATGTATTTTCATAACTGACTGAAATCCTAGAGATAATATAGTTTAATTTCCTCAAATTTTCCAATGAAATTATTAAATAGAAGCTTTTTAAATGGCTTCGGGTTAGAAAACTACTCACTGCTAGAATTTTGACTATAGTCTAAGTTTTCTGATATCCAGTTTAGCTTTCTTTTTTATCTAAAATTTCATCTTATCTTAAACTCATGAGTATATGTGTGTGAAACCGGAATCAAAAATAAAAATTTCTCTTGAAGGCTGGTGAGTTTAGTCATTCAGCCTCCATGATTTAGACATAAGCAGAAATATGTATAATACATGAGAATCTGTTAGCATTCAGCAAACCTCTGTGTGATAGTATTAGCTTGATGCTGCTGCTGCAAGATCAATTTGTTATTAGTTAGGTGGCTTGTTTATGTATATGTATTTATAGATCCATTTAAAATAATTAACGGTAATTTTTCAAGGTCTGTTCAGATAAACCACCACAAACAGTGGTAGGGAGGTAATAGCTGAATCTACATTGGTATACAGAAGCAAGATTCTATTTGTGTAAGAATCATAAGACTAATATTTGGGAAATATCTTCATATATCCCCAATTTAAATAATAATAGCCAAGATCAGGAAAAGTCTGTAGGAAATCTAAGGGTTGTTATTCCAGTATACATAAATCACAAGTTCCCTGTCAGCTCAGAGTAATTTTTTCTTCAATAAATCATAATCACAATTTACACTGTTTGGAACAAACCTAAGTAAATGAAGAAAGACTGGCTTCTGTTTATATAGCCACTTAAGATCCTTTTTGACAAAAAGATGACTCAGATAAACATATTTATTTGACATAGTGGGGAGCAATAGGACTTATGTAAAAAGGAAGACATTAGGTTTTCCGCTATCGAACACCAAAGGACAATCACTTGCTCTTTTTATTCCTCATCACTAACATATGAGAAAAATACTTATGGTAACCTATTTCACAGGATTCCCGTAAGAATCAAATGAGAGAATAAGTTCTTGGCAAAGTTTAAATGTTGCATTAGTTTGCATTATCATCATTTATTTTATTAAACATCTTGAAAGAGTGTGGTCACAATGCTTCTGTGTAAAGTTATGGATGTGTCTGAGAATTTCAAAGAGCCATATGAAATGATAGGATTCATGTGACTTTTAAGAAACCTGTAGATAAAGCATGAACAAATCAGAGATAAACTTTAGCTCCCTAGTACATTTGAGCTTTGCTGTTACATTATGCCACTTGGAGAACTAGGATAGTAAAAATCATCATAATTTTGGCCTAATATATTTTTATGACTGTTCTTGAGATATTCATTTACTTAGAGTGGAGCTATTTTCTTGTTTTAAAAAAGCAATAATTATTATATTTGAGTGGGAGAGCAAATGAATTGCAGAAGGGATTTTTAAAAATTTGAAATTGAGTAATTTGTGCTAATGGAATTATATATTTGGAAGCTCTGGATGGAATCTATTTTTTAGCCTAAAGTTTTTTTTGTGAATTTTTTTCTGCTAAATCATACATAACTTTTAATAGCAGAACTGTTACAATAGTTTATCAGTTATAAAATGGTTTTTAAAGATGTGAAAATGATTTTTGTTAATCATAAAATCTAGAAAATGTTCCCATTCTGTTGGAAGTAGGGATTTTGATCAGTTTTAACATTTGGGAACTTCCAAATATTTGTTAATTTTATAGTTACAGTAACCTGACTTTTAGTGGTGGGTTTCTTCTGTACTGACTATGCAACATTGGCAAATTTGCTTAACTTCTCAGAGCCCTAACTTAATTAATTAAAAAAATAAAATATTATAATGTCTGCTTAATAGAATTGGACTAAGGGGTTCATGGATAGCTATAGCTGAAGTGCATGCCAGTCACTTACTACATAGCAAGCATGTAATAGACAGTACCTGTTATTTTCATGTGACTACGGTCTCCCCTCACTCCTCCAACAAAATGGTCTTATTTTGCTTTGTTCTTCATGTGTGTAGTTTCACATAAAATCAATTAGTGTTCCAACACAGGTTAAAAAAACTACTGAAGAGTCATCATACTCTCTGTAGAAACCATTCAGGGTTTTGAAAGACCTCTGGATTTTATGAGAACAGAAAGGCTGATTATTTGGAAATGTCATCAGGGCAGTCTCATGGAGTTGGAGTTTCCAGATAGAACCCATCTACTATGGCACAGAGTTTCGTGTGCACCTGTTTTAGTTGGTGATGATGATTGCAGGTTGGCTGGCAGGGTTCAGGAAAATAAGCCGTGTCTTAATGTTTTAATAAGTTTTAAAAATAGTTCACAATTTAAGATCCTCAGAATGGGACTTAGACCAATATGAGAAACGGAGTGCTTTAATTGCATGACCAACTACACATTAGAGCCCTGGAATCTATCCCACTGTTATTTACAAGTATTGTGTTAAAGACTAGTTGGAACCCTCTCAGGAGAAATTAGCAGTTACATTTTCTTATTTTTACAATTTATGCTCAAGGTGCATTTACTTCGATGTAAGCAGCCTCTTTTCTACTATAACACTCTCATGCCAATCTAAAATTGGACAATGGGTTTCCTGCTTTACAGCAGCAAAAATTGTTCTCCCTCTCCTGAAGTGGTTGACTGGGTTTCTTCACATTCGGCTGTCACCCTCCACCAGCTGAGGGAGCAAGAGACCTCTGCATGGGAGGCTACAGCCCCACCTCCTGGGTCTCCTGCAGGGCCGTCTCCGTTTTCAGAGTAGGATGAGTACCTGCCTTAGTAACAGCAATTCAGTTACCCTGAAGTTTTACTTTGTCCAAAAAGTTTCACCAAGAGCTTGTATTTTAATGAGATACTTTAAAAATATATTTGGGAATGTATAAGGCAAACGGATTCTCTATTATTTATACTTAGTGCATTCGCCTACTGAAATTTGAGGGTTTTCTAAGATATATATAAATATCACAATGTAAATATAGCTTCTCGCTCTTCCTCTCTCTCTTTCTCACACACACACGCAAGCACACGCACCCACCCACACACGCACACACACATCAAGGAAATGCCATATGTCCCAAGTGAGGCCCACTGGAAAAAAACAAAAGTGCTGAACATATCACTCAGGATCATTGTGAGAGGACAGTCGTCAGCTTTCTCTCTGGCAATGAGAATTTTCTCACCCTCAAGACATGCAAATTACTTTTTTCATCTGTTCTTTTTATGTTATTTGCATAATTTTCTCCTGCAAAAGTGAGAGCTGTCAAAAATTAACCATTTGGGGCTTTGGCATTCAGTTATGTGACCTTTTCCAGAGAGTTAGATCTCTTCAGGGAACTAGGAACTTGATGAGGAAGTGCTGAGAAGGTGATCAGTGGCAGAAAGAGCGGATGACGGATGGGGACCAGCAGGTTGGTAACGGCACATAACTACGTTTAAAAAGTTGTTAGATATTTTCGATCCTCTCATATGCTTGTTTGTTTTTGTTTTAGTAAATCAGTGTTTCAACAGATAATCAAAGAGATGATTCGGTTAGGTGTAGTGCTGTATTCTCCTACGTTACTCTGGTTAATGGTACAATGCAAACATTTTTTGCAAGTTTAATGCTAATTGAAAATGCCGTTTGGAAAACTACACAAGCAAGGCTGTGTTCATGCCGTGGTTTGAGTGCTTGTGTCTGTAGCAATCTGCCAAATATGCTTATTTAGTATGAATACTTCCTTTTTATAAATTCAGAGAGTTGCACTCTGGAGGGCTGTAATAAACCTTTAAATTCATTTTACTTCGACAAAGGTTGAAGTATGTAGCAGGCGAGCGTCAGGGACAAGTGCAGCTATCTCTTTGATCACATCGCTTTAAACATTTTTCAGCTTTAAGCTTGTCTTACAAGTCAGCTCTATCAGTCTATTAATTGTTTCACTGTACCTAATATCTTACACGAAGGCACCTTGAAAAACAGCAGGAGAAAGCACATTTGTTTAAGTCCTGCGATGGCTAGCACGGCAGCTAATCTCCTTGCAAATTATAATCATAGTTGTAGTTCATCCATTAGGCTGGAAAAGACAAGATTCCCAAGTGGCCTTGGTGCCTTTTCCAGTTCCCGGGAGACCCACCAACCCTCGGCGTGTGTTGCCTGCGCACCCGGAGCGTTCTTGCTAATCAGGTCAATGATTAGCGCCTGGCTCCAGGGACCTGCCAAGAGTGTTAGGGAGCCTCCAAACGGAGCACGCTCACGGAGAATCTCCCGTTCAGAAACATCGCTTAGTCCTCATTTACTCACTGGGAACCTCGGAGGATTTCAGCTGATGTTTTTCTCTCCTTAGACAGTGAGGAGCTCAACATAACAGGGAAAAGGAGCACAGGATGCAGCTACTTAGAGGGTGTTGATTGAAAACTTCGATCTCCCCACCCCATCACGGTTGATTTGACGGATTTCTCACCTCGTTCACAGAGAAAATTTCAATTAAGGTAAGTGCTGCTTTATCCGGGTGACTGCATGGCACTGAATTTCTGCATTGAAAGTTCTAACTGACTAAACTGACATTCTGCACTGCAGCAAGTGACTGTGTCAGGAAAAGCTTAATTTATAAGCAAGTTTCCTGGAGTAAAAACGGCGTTGGAGATAATGATATCTCAGGGCAATTTCTTTTGAAATACATTCATTCTGCCTTGTATCCAGAGAAAATAAAAGGGAACATGAAAAGATAGTTAATTTCTCATTTTACCTTTTTAATAATCTATCTGGAAGGGTTGTGCATTGCCAAGGTAAATTGATTTTGATTGAAGTGATTTGTTGATGTCATATAGTAAAATCTGAGTCTGAAAGCTTCAAAGTTAAATCAGATGGAAAGAAAATTTGCAAATGCGAGTTGAGATTTTGTGCAGCTTTCTACTTTAGCAATATTCCTGAGCTCCCTTTTGGTTTAAGGATTTAGGACTAAATCCCTGAATATTTTAATAGTATCCATTTGGAACTTAAAACTTAAATGTTATAGTTTCTGATGCAAGTATTAAGAAAAATGAAACTAGAAGACTTATTATACCATTCATATAATTTATAGTCCTTATTCAACAGAAGTGGATTTCTTTTATGACATGAATAAAAAAAGAAAGCAAAGGAAAATTAAGTGCTTTCTAAAATGCTTGTTTTTGAAAGAATTCTTCAATAAGAGATTATGTGTTTGTAAAAAAATCTTTTTTATGTTTTATTTCATTTTTATTATTAAGATATAATGAATCGAAGTGAAGCTTACATTTCCTATATCACTTAGGGCAATTATCCAGGTAATTCAGATTAAACCATTCCATATTAATTCTTTTTTACCCATTTTCTTGTAAGCTTGTTAAAAATATCTAGAAAGGTATTGTAAGCAACTTTTTTCCAAAGTTTAATTACCTGAACTTTTTCTTTTCTACCTTACTAAGCGCATACATGCCTGATGGTTTTACTCCATATTATGATAAATTTTTATGTAATTAAGAGTAATTAAATAATTATATCACTATAATTATGTGATCTATTAGTCTGCACTCTAAATACTGAAGAATAGCAATCACTTACCTTGATACTGTATGACATAAAAGTTTTCAAATAATGAAATAAACATTATTTAAAATATCACATATAATACTGAAACAGGTTGATTTTTAACAATTAATTTCTATTGTTAAAGCAAAATGTAAATATCTAGCTGCTTTTGTATAAAGATTTATAATGGTATCTCAAGTGTGCTTTTCAGAGTGAGCACTCGTATTTCCTGAAGTGCTGACTTCCCTTTTCTTCTATGGATCTCTTGAGATGGGACATTTTATAAAGATGTCAGAACACTTTCTAATAATTGGCTATCATTCTGAAATTCTCTGGAGAGCTTTTCAGGCTGATGTCGATGTTACTGCTTCTTCCAGAGGAGTAAACTATTTTCAAGGTTCCCAAAGGCTGATGTGTACTTGGCTACCAGTATGTTTGTAGCTAAAGCCTGAAGACTTTTATCTACTTCTCTTGTTCTGAGACGTCTATCTCTTTTCCCTGGGGAGATGATTTCTCAATAGAATTAAAGATAATTGAGAGAAGAATGTGTTGACTACAGTGATTGTCCCTGGGTCTTTGGCTTCTTTTTTTTTTTTTTTTTAAGCAAACTTGATAAACAGAAAGAGGCAACATTAACCAAACAGGGACACACACTTGCTACTAGCGAACTTGCATGTCGCTGAAAACATCTCTATCCTTGTGCCAACTTCAGAATTGATGGTGGCATCAGACCCAATGAACTTTTTTGTTGGATGTATTGACCACTGAAGTGTCTGACCAGAGTACGTCCATTGAAGGTTGTGTTTACTGTCTAATGAAATATCTATGTTTAAAAATTGAGGGAATTGTAGTTCTCATTCAAAAAACAACAAATCCCCAATACACATGTTTACTTATATAACAAACCACCATATGTACCCCTGAACTTAAAATACAAATTTAATTTAAAAAATTAAAAATGCAATTGCTTAAAGGAGTCTTACCATTGTCATAGTTGTCTGAATTTGCAATATACTGATAAGAGGATGAAGAAAATCTTGGGTTCAACTGAGAATTAGTAACAGTTTATTTTACTTAGCATCTGCCTCCTTAATCTATATTGAATTCCATTTTTCATTTGATTGAGGGTAGTTTATTTCTTCTGTAAGATGGGAAAACATCTCATAGGATAACCTCACTTAGAGTAGGAAGTCTCAAAATTTAAATAAAATAATCTTTTAAAACTTTACAAAACTTGCTTCAAGTTCTTCTATAACTTGCTCCTCAATAAGTAATATGTTCAATAAAAGACACTAGAGATAGGCAGTATCTAATCTAGCTCACATGCTTCCTCAACTCAGATAGCTGAGTTATAAACTTTTTATATATGAATAAATGATAAATATAAAAACATATGAAAGTTGAAATGTTAACATGGATGTTATTTGCCCTCATTTTCCAGAAGGAAAGCTGGAATCTGAGAGAGCATATGTAACTGGGCCAAGGGCACACAGTAATGAACCTATAACTAAAATTCAGATCTGGCTGTGTTTAAAACTCATACACTCTATACCATACCTTTTTGTTACCTCATATATGGTGACTGTTTCCAGCACTTGACATGATACTCATGAATATTGTAAGACTATTTTTAAGATAGTACAGAGTAATCATATTACCTTTAGAACAGGTTAACTCTTGTTTACACAAAATAAATGATTTTGTAAATTCCATCACCACCAGTATTGGAAACCAGCATGTACTTTGTTCTTTTAGTTTCTGAAAGAGGTTAGTGTGCAAGTCTTTGCTTCCAGCTAATTCTGATTACTACTGACAGAAAAAGCACTCTACTGTAAGCAAAGTCTCTACTGAAATTTAGTATTTGTAACATATACATCTTTCCAAGAGAGGTTGACACACTCTCAGGATAAAATAAAATAAAATGTAGAGATATAAATTCAGTGTTAATTGTATTGAAATGCGATTAAAAGGAAGTTAAGGGAACTCAGGTTAATAGTGAAAGATATTCACAATATTAGAAAAGGTAGAGAAACTAACTGTTGGAATTGAATGTTGGAAGTGGACTTCAGAAAAAACAGACTTACATATTCAGCAGCCTATTTGCTATGCTGACTTTACATAAACTTTCCCATATGTCCACAGAGGTTTGGTGTAGCTAATCGTGTTGATATTGTGGTAATATTTTTCAATTAATATTTGATCTAATCCTGTGACAAGAAGGGAGGGATGTTATAAGATTAGAGGTGACCTGGAAAATTTAATATGATTAGCTGTCATATCCAATGATGTGCTAAGATGGTAACTAGAAGTTAGGTTGTATGGTTATAAAATATGATAATTTATTGTGTTCCAACATGTTCCCAAATCTGGAAAGAGATGACGTTGTACCAGATACTGTAAATAACAGGTTCCACAATGACTAGAAATATGTTCAAGGCATATATGTGTATAATCTCCAACAACCAACCAGCGTACTTTCAATTCTCTAGGTTGTTGGAAAATGGTTGGCTTATCCTAATTGTGTATAAGAATAACAGAAAAAACAAAGTATATGTACACATTACCTCCTGTATTACTATTCCAAAAGAATGAATATTATCTATAAAGAACAATATTGTAGAAGAGCTTGTAATGGTAACAGTTCACAATGCATAGGTGTTTCCACCAAGAAAATATGACCATGTGTCTAGGCTCTACTGGCCGCAGTAGATTTGATGAGAAATGAATGTGCCAAGGTCTAAGAGAGCCCTCTCTAGACTGGCCAATGGCCACCATGTGGCCTTCCAGGAGAACCATGCCAATAAAAATGTTCTGTGTGAAATAACAAATATTTGACTTGGTTATCTTAAATTTGAAATACCATGTGGAGCCTCAGCAGTTAGTGGCCAGGAAAAGAAGTTGAGAAACATAGAAAGGACAGTCTGTGGAAATCATGAATAAGCTGCAGTAATGAGGCCAGTAGAAAAGAAAGAAAAGAGGTTAATTGCATTAGGTCAGTAAGAACAGACACATTTTCTAACTTACCCTAATAGCTAAGCGCAAGAAGAAAAGAGTGCTTCTCAGAGGAAGTACTGTGTTATCCTGGGTTGATATCCCGTATCGTATTCCAGGCATACCATGCAGTGGTGAGACTTCCCCATTTTTCACATTCACATTTTTCTCTGTAGTTTTAGTCCTGTTAATCCATTCAAATTGAGCACATCTATTTCCCTTACAAATGAAAATATTACAACTAACTCAGTATCTTACATGTTCATAGTTCTGGTAGACAATGGATAGGGCAGTAATGTTTAGTGGCTGTACGTGTTCTAGGTTCAACTACCTGGTTCAAATCCAGCTGAGGGCATTTTCTAGCTCTGTGGCCTTGGACAAGTCAGTTAAGGTGTCTAAACTTTGTTTTTATGTTATTTAAAATTGAGCCAATCACAGTACCTATCCTATTGTAGTGTTCTGAGAAATAAAGGAGGGAATTGATATATCCACAATTGCTCAGGTCCTCAGAAAATGATAGTTGTTATTATAAATAGAGAACCTTATTATTAGCTGTCACCTTACCTGTAAAGTAGCAAAAATTAGAGATCTTTTCTCTCCTAAGCAACAATGAACACGTGGATCTTGCAAAACTTCCAGGAACAATTTCATAACACTGTGTTTATATAAGTACATTTTGAATTTTGGGGCATACTCTTTTTTGGGGGTCCTGTTGGATTTACACAGATGAAGTGGATGTTTCTTAAAAGAATGTAACTTAGGAGCCATTTTAGAGAAACCATCCTATTTGTCATGAGGACTAAATTAGCAACTGAATTCTTTGACTCTTTCTTACGTACATTGAAAGGAATTGAACAAGTCTTGAAAAAGAAGTTCCATTTGACCACTGGTAGTCAACAATCTAACTTGGTATTACAGGGGCCAGAAAAATAGCCCATGATTTGTTTTTGTAAATAGAGTTTGGTTGGAATACAGCCACAGCTATTCATTTCCATCTTGTCAATGGCTGATTGCAAGCCACAAAGCCAGAGTTGAATAGTAGAGCAGAAAAAGATTGTAGAGCCTGAAAAGCTAAAAATATTGGCCATTTTGTCTTTCACAGAAAAAGTTTGCTGACTGCTTCTTTAGAAGAGAAACATTCATCTTGCATGATTTTTTTATTATCAGCATAATGAATATTTGGTAGAATTTTTTTTCTTTTTCTTTTTTTTTTTTTGAGGCAGTCTTTTTTTTTTTTTTTTTTGAGACGGAGTCTCGCTCTGTCGCCCAGGCTGGAGTGCAGTGGCGCGATCTCGGCTCACTGCAAGCTCCGCCTGCCGGGTTCACGCCATTCTCCTGCCTCAGCCTCCCGCGTAGCTGGGACTACAGGCGCCTGCAACCATGACCGGCTAATTTTTTTTTTTTTTTTTTGTATTTTTAGTAGAGACAGGGTTTCACCGTGTTAGCCAGGATGGTCTGGATCTCCTGACCTCGTGATCCATCCACCTCCGCCTCCCAAAGTGCTGGGATTACAGGTGTGAGCCAACACGCCGGACCGTGGTAGAATATTTTTAAATGTCTTGAAGATAACTATCTAAATGTCTGTCTCTGGAGAGACTCAGTATTTTTATTTCCTCACACTCACTAATTCATCCATATTTTTCTATGGTATTTAAAACCTCTAATTATAAATTTTGACAAAGTTATCAACTACCAGTGTATATATGCAAAAGTATTCCATTGCATACTTTGCATATTGATTCAAATAATAAACATAGAGAAACTCTTTTTTTTTTTTTTTTTACAGTGGAATCCATTATTTTTCATCCTCCAAGCCACACCTTATATTTTGGTACATATAGGAATCAACTGCTATGTGACTTAAATAAAGAAGCAGATTCCTGGGTCTCATTCCTGGAGTGCTGATTTCACAAGTCAAACCTTAGTGGGTTTAGTAGGTCAAAACTTTGGTAGATTTCTTTCAGTTGTAGAAAAGAAACCAGGAACCACAGTTTGAGACATATACAGTTGATTCTGACAAAAACAGAATATATAAGAATGTGGCCTAATTATTGGGATTTAAAAAAAAAATTTCCCAGGTAACTCTATTATGTAGCCCCAGTTGGACACTGCTGCTGTCGACCAGCAACTCTCAAACCTTAAGAACAGGCACGCAAGTTACCTGGGGATCTTTTTTAGAGGTTTTAGAGTGTGCCTCAAGATTCTGCATTTCTAACAACCTGCCAGAGAGGTTGATGCTACTGGTGATGAGAAATGCTGCTCTCATATCACCACTGCCCCCTACTCTGCCCCATGGCTGCCATGGGTGGACGAGTGTCTACTGGAGGACGTTTCACAGGATGAGACTCACTGCCTAGCTCACCTGAATCAGATGTTGATCAACCTTCTTGAGAAGCTTTTCCCATCTCAGGAAGGTGATGAAAAATTCTGAACCAGGTCAAAATTGAGAAATATGTATATTATATTTAATATATAATATAAAATTTTGTGTGTATATTTAATCTATTGTTGATTTCTACATAACTATTTTGGACATAGAATAGTTGGATGTCTTAGAAAGCAAAATATTTAGGTAAGTATCGCTGACATATTTAATTCCTTGCAATTAAGAGGGACAGGGTGTTCATTGCTTCTCCAGTCTCCCTTCCCAATATCTAGAAGTTTTTGGCTATAGCATTGCCCAAGATAACTCCATACTGAAGTTCAAAACTTATCAGAAAATGCTGACTTCTCTGGTAACATCTCAGTTCTCTGTATTCTAGCAATGTAGCCTTAAGACTTTCTTCTTTGTCAGTTCAACTTTCTTCTCTCCCAAAACTGAATTACAAGGATATTGATTTCATCTCTCTTCTTTATTTAAACTTTTCTCCCTTTCTAATCTCAACTGCCATATTTCTTTCTTATTGCCAAAATCTATAAACAATAGAGGGAAATATATTTCATTAATATAGATATAAATTTTGGATAATTTATATTACCATCATTATGGTAATATAAATTAAAAATTACAAACCTGCCCCCATAATTTCCTATTACTCTTCTCTATTATTTTCTTGTGTAATGTTTAAAATCTTATCAACCGTATTCTTTTAAATTTATTTGATTATTGTTTTTCTCCCCACTCCCCATTATTAGAATGTGAGCTCTATGAAGGCAGGCTTTTTGTTTCTTTTATTCAAAGCTGCAACTCAGTACCTAAGATAGTGTCTGTTACAGAGTTTATCCTCAGAAAATATTGTTGACCAAGATTGAGTGAATATTCCAAATTAATTTCTGTGGCTGTTGTATTAGAATTGAGGCAATTGCTTTTGCTTTTGTTGTTAACGTTTTAACACATTATAAAATCTTAATGTGTAAGATTCAACCATATTTGTTCATTGACATTCATCCATTGAATTTACTCAGTAACTATTGTGTACCTCTTAAGTGTTAGGTGCTGTGCTAGGTGCTAGGGATACATGTTGACAAGGCCTAGTTCCTATGCATAATATGCTCAGCCTGATGGTGGGAGAGGGGAACTAAAGAACGAGTAGTCACAATGCTTGTGGTCTGCCATCATGGAACATATGTACAGACTGCTGTCAATGCACAAAAAATAGCTCCTGACTTAAACAGAGAGGCCAAGAGGAATTCCCTTATCTGTAAATTAAAGAATAGCTTGAATTTAGACAGACAGGAAAAGAGAGACCATTAGCTCCTAATGGAAATCACACTATGTGCTAAAAGCACAGAGATATGTTGGGTGCATTCCTGACACCCTCCAGCACCACATTAGTTTGATAGAACATGACAATGGAGTGGTGAATATGTAAAAAAGAGCAGCTTCATTGATGCCTGTGTAAGAGGTGCGAACTTTAACCCAGGAATAATGAGAACTCATTAAAGAATTTTCAGAAGGGCAAGCTAGATTTATTGCTGCTCTAGTCTGAATTTTACATTTTATTTTTTACTACTTCAAATAGAAATACATGTTATTAGCTACTTAAAAAAATACACGTGAATTGGGCTGGGCGCGGTGGCTCACGCCTGTAATCCCAGCACTTCGGGAGGCCGAGGCGGGTGGATCATGAGGTCAGGAGATCAAGACCATCCTGGCTAACACAGTGAAACCCCCGTCTCTACTAAAAATACAAAAAACTAGCCGAGCGTGGTGACGGGTGCCTGTAGTCCCAGCTACTCGGGAGGCTAAGGCAGGAGAATGGCGTGAACCCGTGAGGTGGAGCTTGCAAAGGCTGAGGCGGGAGAACGGCGTGAACCCGTGAGGCGGAGCTTGCAGTGAGCTGAGATCGCGCCACTGCACGCCAGCCTGGGCGACAGAGGGAGACTCCGTCTCAAAAAACAAAAAACAAAACAAAACAAAACAAAAACACGTGAATTCTATGTTTCTATTTCATTGAGTTGTTTGAGTTCCTTATAGATTCTGGATATTAACCCCTTGTCAGATGCATAGTTTATAGATATGTTCTCCCATTCTGTCAGTTGTCTCTTTGCGCTGTGGATTGTTTCCTTTGCTATGAAGAAGCTTTTTATTTTGATGTAATCCCATTTATCTATTTTTGCTTCTAAATCTGTGTGTTTGAGTTCTTATCCCACAATCCGAATAGAATTTCTCAAAAGGGGGACATACAATGGCCAACAGGCACATGAAAAAATGCTCAACATCACTAATCTTCAGGGAAATGTAAATTACAAACACAGTGAGATATCATCTCACCTCAGTTAGAATGGCTATTATCAAAAAAGCAAAAAGTAACAAGTGCTGGCAAGGATGTGGAGAAAAGGGAATTCATATTGCTGTTGGTGAGAATGTAAACTCGTACAGTCATTATAGGCAAGAGTAGGAAGGTTTCTCAAAATATTAAAAATAGAACTACCATATGATCCCAAAATGCCATTGCTGGGTCTGTATCCAAAGGAAATAACATCAGTATGTCAAAGAGATGTCTGCACTCCCACATTTATTGCAGCACTATGTACAACAGCCAAGATATGGCATCAACCTAAGTGTCCATCAGCAGATGAGTGGACAAGGAAAGTGTGGTATATATACACAGTAGAATACTATTCAGCCATAAAATAGAATGAGATTCTGTAATTTGTAGCAACTTGGATGAGCCTGGAGGACAGTATGTTAAGTGAAATAAGCCAGGCACAGAATGACAAATACCTCATGATTGCACTCATATGCGGTATCTGAAAAAGATGATCCCATAGAAGTAGAGAGTAGATTAGAGGTTAGCAGAGGCTGTGGCGGGGGGAGGGAAAAAGATGTATAGAAACAAATTGGTCAAAGTTACAGTTAGATAGGAGAAATAAGTTTTAGTATTCCATTGCACAGCATGGTGACTATAGTTAATATAACATATATTTCAAAATAGCTACAAGAGAAAATTTTGAATGCTCTCACCACAAACAAATGATAAATTTCTGAAATGATGGATATGCTAATTGCCCTAACTTGATTATTACACATCGTATACCTATGTTGAAACATCACACTGTTTCCCATAATTATGCACAATTATTATGTGTCAATTAAAAAATAAATTTTAAAAAATTTAAAAAGGCACATGAAAAACAAAAATATGTATACTATAGGAGAAAATAAGTTTTAGTGGAGTTGAAGGGAGAGAAAGTCACTTACCTAAATGCTGTGCCAAGAATATATGAAAGTTCGCGTGTAGAGCTTTGAACCAAATAAAGTTGAATGAGCATAAATTTGGCAAAGTTATAAATCCATAGGTGATTTTCAGGGGTTCTGTATTGCAGGATTAGATGAATGAATGTATTTCAGTTTCAGAGTTCAGGAAAAGTGAAGAATATGGATGGCCATATCTGCTAGTACTGACGTGGAGAAGTGTTCACATCCTCCCACCTCCTGACTGCGACCTAACAGAAAAGGCCACTTTTTTGCCTCTACTCTTGCTGGATAATCAAAGTCAAACTGAGCTATTTAAATTTAACACCATTGACATTCTTAGAAGGAGAACTTCTGAGCTTTTTATTTCAGAGATAGAACACTAAGGGTTAACTCTGGCAAAATCTCTGACCCTTTTGTGCAGAGCTTGTTGTCGCTAATATTAGCTGAAACTAATTTTTCAGTTTTCCCTTACCATTCTACCTAAAATATCACCCACCCTATCTCTTTCTCCTTATTGTTCATCTCAGATTTACTGTCTTACCTGCTGATGGTTGCTCCAATGGGACTGTAAGCTCTGTGAAGATGAGAACCTTGCTTTGTTTACTGCTGCAGGCTCATCACCTAGATCAGTGTCTGTCACAGAGGTAGTAACTATATGTTGAAAGAAGGAAGGAAGGAAGGAAGGAAGGAAGGAAGGAAGGAAGGAAGGAAGGAAGGAAGGAAAGTAGGGAGGGAGGGAGGGAGGAAAAGAGAGGGAGGGAGGGGCAGAGGGAGGGAGATATCAGTGCATTCCCTAATCTCGCCTCAAAACCTTTTCTATGTCTTCTCTCTTTACCATCTCAGTAAGTGGCACTCTAATCCACCCAATGTGTCAAGTTAGGAATCCAGCAAACATCTTTGCCTTCCCACTTGTCACTTCCCACAGATCCAATTAACATGTGGTCCTTTCAATCCTGCCTTCTAACTTTCTCTCCCCTGGCTTTCCCTCGTTGTTTCCCCACAGTTCTTATCACCTTCATCTGTCACTTGCCTTATGGCTGCATTACCGTATTCCTTTTCTACACAAGATAATGCCATATACTGACAGAAAATTGATATCTCTGAATACAAGCTTGCCCTATTACCCCCATGTTAAGGCTTCTCTTGTAGTTTCCCTGCTTTTTAAAGACATAATTAAAACCCCCACTGGACACCCATTTTTTTGTATATATTTAAGGGGTACAAGTACAATTTTGTTATATGCAATATATATTGCATAGGGTGAAGTCTGGCATTTTAGGGTATCCATCACTCAAATAATATACATTGTACCCATTAAGTTATTTATCCTCCCTCACACTTTTCCATCCCCCAAGCTCTGAGTCTCCAGTGTGTATCATTTCATACTCTATGTTCATTTGTACACATTATTTAGTGCTACTTATAAGTGAGAACATGCGGTATTTGTCTGTTTCTGAGTTATTTCACGTAAGATAATGGCCTCCAGTTCTATCCATGTTGCCACAAAAGACATGATTTAATTCTTGTTTATGTGTGAATAGTATTCCATTTTGTATATACACCACATTTCTTTATCCAGTCATTTTGTGATGGATTGATTCTGTATCTTAGATATCTTAAGATATGGAAACTTAGGTTGATTCCATATCTTTATATGGTGAATATGGCTGCATCCATTTCAACGTGAGGTTTGGATGCTGCATCATATCTGCTTTTTCTTAATCTCAAGCAGTCTATGACCCAGCCATGGTTGCTATCATTTGGTTCCTATGTCTGAGATTTCATGTTTGCTGTCTGTCACAGTAAGTTGACTTTTTGTCTGACTAGATCTATTGACCTTCAGAACTCAAGATACATTTCATACAAGTGTTTTTTGGCCCCTACAAGTGGAGTTCAAATGTTTTTTCTATCAGTTTCCATAGCACACTCTATGTCCCTTATAATCCAATCACAGAACTCATTACTTCATTGAATAATGCCACACTTCAAACTCTTTGATGGCAGGTTCTATGCCTGTGTCATTCACTACTATATTCCCAGTGACAGGCACTTATGTGCCCAAATCCTTTGTAAAAAGAATAGTTGGTGATCTTCTTCAAATTAAAAACATAGTTATTTATTCATAAGCCAATGCTTCTTCCTTCTACTTGGGCAATTAAATTCCTGACATTCTGAAAAGAATTTTGCTTCCCTATGTCCCCTTGATGAAATGTCAGAGAACACAAAGTATAGTAACAATTAGATTAATTCAAAACACTTATCATGGTAGTAACCACTGAAATCTGTTTAATGCATTTCCAACATCATATCCACCTTATGGATGATGTAGATATCTTGTACTTTAATGAACAGTGGAAATTGTTCACACACGTTTGGTAAAAGTCACCTATTTTCAATCAGCTCTTTTCTGTGTAATAACTGGGTGACATTTCTCATCCATTTGTGATCAATGAACATGCATATTTTAACTCACACGTCAATTTTCTTCAAAAGCACCACTCTTATAGCTTTGTATTTCATAACTGGATGATAATTAGTATAGGGGAGCTACACTAATTCCTATTCTCCAGCTTTTTGATCTTCAGAGAAGTGTAATTGGTAGAACAAACAACTGAAATTGGCTATATTGTACTTGATAATCAGTAGTCAAAAAGCACATCCTGAAGAGATACACTTTGATCTCTTGTGTTTGAGAAATAATTACACTGTTATATTTAATATTACAATAATTAAATGATATTTTATTATTTGTCCTTTATATGAAGTGAGGTAAAATACTCTAAAAATCAATATAGAGTAAACAACAGCAATAATTCTGGAAAGTATTTCTCTCACAGATATTTAGAAGCAATCTTCCCTGGAACCATAATCCTCAAAAGGAAATTGCAATCCTTGCAGAAACACAGTTTGGGTCATCTGGGTCCAGGTCTCTGTGTTTTTCTAAAAGCCTTCACAAGGCACAAGTGACATTTTAAATAGCTTGTCAGGAAAAGAAGTGATTTCTAATGCAGATCCACCAAATAAAATGTTTTTTGTCAGCGCCCCTAAAGGCAAACATCTAAAAGGCAGAGAGAAAAAGAATGCAAAGAAAAATGTTGTGACTAGTGTCCAAGGGGGAACATAATAGAAAAATAATAGAGACATATCTCTTGTCAAACAAAAAGTAAACAGGTTTAATATCCCACAATTCTACATCTACTGAGAAGTATAATTAAACATCAGGAATGTTTTTCTCTATGGGATGCTAAGCCATTTTGTTCTTGAAAATATTTTAGGGAAAAAGAGCAGGTCCAATTATGCTCTGATCTGCAGGCATGAAAAGAGGAACTCAGCCCAGAGGTAAGCAGCGGGGAATGAAAACAGTTAACACAAAAGTTTAGTTAAAGCTATGAATGCTTCACACTGATTCTTTTAACAAAGTAAAGCTTGTTGTGTGATAGTGTTTATATTACCCTTGGTCTTAAACAACATATGAACTTAGGAAGCTACCGGCCATCTCCCACCCTCACGCCTCTCCTGGTCTTTTCTAGTCTAGTTTTTACAGACTCCTGAGTTATCTAACCCTCATGACTAAGTAGCCACACATGTATCAACATAGAGTCTCTTCATTGTCTTTGGTTTTGTTTGTGTGTCTGTTGTATTAGTGTCCTATTCAAGAAGTTTGGTGATCTTATTTTGAAAAGAACCAGTAAAGTTAAAATGTGTTGCTTCCCCAAGTGGTTTGTTCCATATTTGGAGGAATCTGAGTAAGCATTTCCTCGTTTTAAGAATTCTGTACTCCCAGGTGCAGAGCTGGGTGCTCTGGCACTTTCTCTATAATCATAATTCAAGTTCATGTGCCTCTCCAATTTCCCCTTTTGAACACATTGTAGTTTGAGGTTATTGAAAGACCATTCACTCTCTCTATCTCTCTAGTGACCCATACTAAGTACAAAAAATAGGCCGAATTTTCCTATCTGCTTTTTTTACTAAATAAATAAATAAAAATAAAAAATGTCAGGTTTGTTAAACATTTCAAAATCTTGAGGATTGGTAAAGAGGGTGATTCTGCTTGTGTTATATTTATTGAAATGTTTCATAGGTTTTGCATTCCGAAAGGAAAATTCAGAATTGATAGCATTTTTGTCCACATAAAGCCATTACCAATGAAAGTGTAAGATGTATTCAAATACTTGCCTTGAGTTTTGTGCATAAATCACTTACTAGATAGAGCAGAATTGTTGAAGTCATATAGGAATAGAAAGTAGAGTTTTCATAGGTCCTGGAGTTACTCATCTCAATCTGACAACAGCATAACTACTTATACAAATAGAGCAAATTTAACATTCCAGTTGCTAGGTATCTTTTAAACAGCAGAAATAGTTTTGTAGACATTAAGTTCCTTAGGCATTTGTTATGATTCCTACATAAAAATAAAAATATTGAAGAGTGTCAGAAATGCCTGTTTCTAACATTGTCAGATAACATAACTATCATGTATGTAACATGTTTATACAATATGCTTATTTGGTGTGTAAAATAAATCTGAAGCATTTTTTTAACATTATTAGTTATTACATAAAATGCAAGTAGAATAAAAGTGTTATTGCATTATTCATTTAGCCAACACTATCAGTACGTTTTTGGGGTGACTGACAGAAGTACAAAAGAGAGACTACTGAAGTGCTAGAAATGAACACCCCGACACAGATGGTAATTACATAGAGACACTCACCCAGACACACACACTATGATATTTTAGTAATGAAAAAAGTTATTCTGCATGGTTTGCTAAGAACTTTGTTGTAATTATAAGTAAATTATCTTTTTATTCTTTTAAATATGATTAAGAATAATATTGTTGTGAATAAAATCATACTTATTTTACTGTTATTTTTATCATAATGAATGTTGTCCCACCAATTTGCAAGTGAAGAGCACCATGTAAAGCCTTTTAATAACTTTCAAATTGATTTCACACTGATACATAAGAAAAGAAAAAAATAAGAAAGGTTTAAGGATTTTCTGCAAGAAGCATACAAATTTATAAATTAGAAAAATCCATACTTTTTGAGAGACTTTATAAATATTAACAGTAATGATTTTGTGTTTGAGATCATCTTGGGAGACATTGAGCCAGAAATAAAGTAATTGCCCCAAACTTTTTATGGTATAGATGTATTTTAGGAACAAGTGATAATAACATCATAGTTTCAGATTAGGAAAATGCAATAAGGAGTCCTTACCAATACCTGATCTTCACAAAAAGCAATGAAAGCTAATTTAGAATAAAACAGAAGAGCTGACTAATCAGAAAAGAAACAATGCTGCTTAAAGCTGCTTCTCTTTAAAAGCATCTCACTGATACTCTCTGGCAAAATCTACCTTGCCAATATTCTTTCCATTCTTTTTTGTTTATTTATGTATTTATTTATTTATTTTGAGATGGTGTCTCGCTCTGTTGCCCAGGCTGGAGTGCAGTGGTGCACTCTTGGCTCACTGCAAGCTCGCCTCCCAGGTTCACACCATTCTCCTGCCTCAGCCTCCCAAGTAGCTGGGACTACAGGCACCTGCCACCACGCCCAGCTAATTTTTTTTGTATTTTTAGTAGAGACGGGGTTTCACTGTGTTAGCCAGGATGGACTCGATCTCCTGACCTCATGATCCTCCCCCTTCGGCCTCCCAAAGTGCTGGGATTACAGGCATGAGCCGCTGCACCCGGCCTATTCTTTCCATTCTTTAAGTTGAGGTATTGAAGGCCCCTGTGTTAGAAATGCAACAAACAGTTTCTTATTAATGAAAATCTTACCATAATCTATTTTTTAACTCTTATTTTAAGTTCAGGAGTAGAAGTGCAGGTTTATGTAGGTAAACTTGTATCATGAGAGTTTGCTGTACAGATTGTTTCATCACCCAGATATTAAGCCTAACACCCATCAATTATTTTTCATGATCTACTTTTTTGTCTGATTGAGGATTAAGAAATTCGACTGACCCACTCTGAATCCCTTTCCTTGGGGAAAAGAAGCAAGATCTATCACATGAAATAATTAAAGGGAGAGAATACCCAACAAGGAGCTACAGTGATGTCCCAAAGCCACAAGAACTTTAGGCTGAGATTGAAAGGAGAACACAGGCAACAAGGAGAAGTGGGACAATAGAGCCCTCTGGGTGCCTGAGGACACCTCAGAAGTTGTTTGAGTCCTGATGCACATGTTAGAATAAATGTCTCTAGTCCCCTTGCAGATATCCTTTTTTGATGAGAGCAAATGAGGGACTTTTGAAGCTGCGTAAAGCCTTCTACCTACTTGAGGTCAACTCAGCGTAGGCAGTTTCTCACTGTATATGTGGCTTGTGTATAGGATGTCACCTGGAATGGAGTGCATGAGAAAGCAGGAGAGAAAATTCTAATGATCTCTGTAAAATGAATAAACGATTACATACAGGCCAGGCAAAGTGGCTCATGCCTGTAATCCCAGCACTTTGGGAGGCCGTGGTGGGCAGATAATGAGGTCGAGAGATCGAGACCATCCTGGCCAACATGGTGAAACCCCATCTCCACTAAATATACAAACATTAGCTGGGCGGGGTAGTGCGTGTATTCCCAGCCACTCGGGAGACTGAGGCAAGAGAATCGCCTAAACCCGGGATTCGGAGGTTGCAGTGAGCTGAGATCATGCCACTACACTCAAGCCTGGCGACAGAGCAAGACTCTGTCAAAAAAAAAAAAATTACATGCAGATAGAATAGACAGAGATATACATACATATGCACACACACCCACATACATACACGCTGTAATATACACACACTATTTCTACCAAAACTTCTGTAATATAGGATAGAGAAATGAAGACGTGTAGAACGTTCTTATTTAAATCTATGTAAACATCTAGGTTAAATTCTGTGATTAATATGTATATATGACTCTTTTTAAAAATTATTACTACTAATAGGTTGAAACTGAGAAAATGAAAGACAGAAAGAAAGAGAGGGAGGAGAGATGCCACCTAGGAAAAAAGAGTTTTTCACACCAGGCTTTTATTCCCTCATATTGAGCTAAATTTAGGAACAAGAAATAAAGGAGAGAAAATGGCAAAACATGCTCTCTTTTGCAGAAGATTGTAGAGAAAGAGAAATCCCCATAAGAAATAAATTTGGTGGCAATAGAGTGAGAGTTGGAGAATCCTTTGCTTCTGTGTGTTTAAAAGGTATAAATACACATTTTATATTTTCTTATTCATTGTATTGAGAATTAAATGAGGTAAAGTATGAGAAAGCACCCATCTTAATGAATGACAAATAACAATTTTTCAAAGGAAAAATAATAATTGTTTTTCCTTTGGCTTTCCCAGCGTTAACAGTGTTACCAGGTAGCACATCCAAGTTTGTAAAGTAGAATTGGAAAGGCATAATGGTTAAAAGAATGGCATTCACAATTCAACACATTGACATTTCAATCTGAGTCTACCACTTACTACCTATGTAGCTTTAGACAATTTTTGTCACTCTTTAATGCTCTGATTTCCTTTCATAGCATAACACAGACAATATTAACAGGTAGTTATATAATGAGATACTATAATAAATGTGCTTAGTGAAGCACCTGGCTTACAGCAAGCACACTACTGCTGAGGAGGTTATTATTATTTCAGCAACTGGATAGCCCATGTCCCAATATTTCACTGACATTGCCCTGTCACTGATTCTAGCTACAATCTTGGTCTCAAATCTCCCTAATAATTTCAAGTTTAAAAAGCCTCTGTTTACCTAGAGGACAGAAAACTAACTTTTATCAAGAACCTATGGCAACCCATATTTCTAGGCTTGGGATAATATCATCAGGTCCTATTTTCATCAACTGACACCTTTACGATAGCTCAGGATCACTGCCTTGATTGCTGCCCCTGAGTCACTTGATTTCTCTCCTGGCTGTTTGTGAAACTCCCAAGGTGCTCGCTTATACTCTTAGAAAAAAAGTCTTGTATTTCCCTGTCTGACCTCCTGCCATCTGCCAGGCAAGACCACAACTGCTGATGTCTCTTGGGAGATCACAGCTCCTCTGGGTGAAACTGTCCCATGCCCGTGGTCCCCATTACTCACAAAATTGTAGCTACAGGGAAAGAATAACATATTGCCTTTTATTTCTTTTTTACTCACAACTTGAACCTGGCCTTTTCATTAAGACCACACTGCACCGACAGACCAAGTGGCAAGTTTTTTTCATAAAGTAAAGAAATAATAGTGGGGAGGCCAGTCACGGTGCCTCACACCTGTAATCCCAGCATTTTAGGAGGCTGAGCTGGGCGGATCCCTTGAGGTCAGGAGTCCGAGACCAGCCTGGCCAACATGGTGAAACCCTGTCTCTACTAAAAATACAAAAATTAGCCGGGCATGGGGGCGGACGCTTGTAATCCCAGCTACTCGAGAGGCTGAGGCAGGAGAATCGCTTGAACCCAGGAGGCAGAGCTTGCAGTGACCTGAAATTGTGCCACTGAACTCTAGCCTGGGAGACAGAGTGAGACTCGGTCTCAAAAACAAAAAACAAAAAAAAACAAAAAAAAAAAAACAAAAAAGAAGAAAGAAAAAGAAAAGAAAAGAAAGAATAGTGGGGGAGGTAGGTTACATAAGACACCATTAAGTAAGCAGTGTGTCACCTCTCTAGCTCACAAGCCTGGTACCTGAATGTCTCATCTCTGTTAACCCCTATTTACCATTGGCTAGGGGCCAGCTTTCTTTTCCTACCAGGACTGCACTAAAATAGATCTTCTAGCACAGAGGACAGGACTCATCTCCAATGAGGTGTCAGAGACAAAGCCCTAGACTCCATCCTGGGTTTTGATCATAGAAGCCTCATTTTCATTTCCAAATTCTAACATTTGTAAGTATTGGCTATGATAATGTCCACTTATTTCAATAAAACATTCCTTTCTCCCTTGCAGTCCCTAAGTTATTCTTAATAGGAAAATTAAAGGAAGATAATCCTACACAAATTCAATTGTATTAGTAAGTCTTAAATAATACCTTGTGTAGGCTACCACTGAGCTAGTATGTTGTACTGAGCCAAACCAAGTTCTTACTATATTCTCTACTGCAGTGAAAGAGTACAGTGGAGTCTGATGACTCAGCAACCCTCGTGGGTTTTTCTTCTATAAAACAACTACATCAACAATTGTGCAAACATGGATCTCCCCAAGAATTTGCCTGATACATCTGGCTGCTTATCCAAATTTGTATACCTACAAAGAAAAAAGTTTCAAAGAAGACAACAGCCAGAATAAAAAATGAACTATAATCTCTGATAATAACACACAAATTAGCTTTTTTTCTGAATTATGCCCATTCAAGGAACAGGTTGACATTCAGCACTAAGTGAAAACCTACCCCAAAGGTAATATATGAATTCACCTGTACTCCTCAATGCCTAGGAAAGTAACCAGCAAAAAGAGACAAAAATACTTACATGTTATGTAAAGCAGAAAAGACCTGGGAGTTTCCCCATCGTCTAACATTCATAGCTTCAAAAAACATGACATCGAAATCTAGTTTTAACAAAGTTATGTCATTACATTTCCTTATGCTCTTGGTTAGAATTCTGAACATGTTTACTCCTAGAAGCATTAAGCCTGAATTTGAGAAGTTATGATATCTTTAGTTCACATTAAACTTTATAGCCATCCAAATTGGTGTTCAAAACATTTAGTATTCAAAAACAAACAAACAAACAAAAACAAACAAAAAGACATATGTAGGGCTCAGATTCATGAGTCAGAGAAGCTAAAATACATTTGTTAAAATTGCAATTTTCTCCAGCATGTATGTTTGTAACCTGAGTGTCTTACTAAACTATGATTTTTTTTTTCCACACTCCATTCCAGTATCACAAATCTCAGTTTTTTTCCGACTTCCTTAACTATGTAGCCATGTCTGCATACCTACTGCATCTCTCTTAAGTACAGGCCTTCACTCTTGCCTATGCAGGCAAGTATAGCAAATTCTTGCCTGGACTCAGCCTCTTCTTCAATATTCTGGCCTCCAGTCTCTTCCCTTTCAAGTGTAGCCTCCCCAGCTGTGTTCTGTTTCAAATACAAATATAACCTTACCACTTACCTACATGAAATCTCAAATGGCTCTCTGTTATCTACAAAGTGAGCCACAGTCTATTCTGGGATAAGAGGCCTACTCTGACATCCCCCCAGCTTATCCCACCCCTCCTTACCTCTCACCATTCTTTTCTTTTCAGTCACTGTGAATAATTTGTAGGCACATGCATAAGCCTGTGTGCACAAATGTACACACACACACCCCTAATGGTGCTTGTGGACCTCTGTGACTTTTATCCATGCTGTCCATAGGGCCTTAAATGTGTCTGCTCTTCTCCTTCTTATTCTTCTACATCTGTGTAACTTGTCTGGCTAATTCCTACTCTCTTTGAAACCCAAACGTGACATTACATTCACCAGAAAATGCTCTCTCATTTCCAGCCACCAGCCTCGTTAACTCATTATTTTATTAGTTTGTCATGGCTCCTAATTTTGTCTTTAGAGATTTGTATTACTTGAGAGATTATAAGTTCCTTGCAGGCCCAGACTACATATTAATTATGTGTATATCTTCAAAGACCTGTATTGTGTCAGTCACATATTAATATTTGACTGCCAGGCATGGTGACTCATGCCTGTAATCCTAGCACTTTGGGAGGCTGAGGCAGGCAGATCACTTGAGGCCAGGAGTTTGAGACCACCCTGGCCAATATGGTGAAGCCTTGTCTCTACCAAAAAAACGAAAATTAGCTGGGCATGGTGGCCCTCCTATAATCCTAGCTACTGGGGAGTCTGAGTCAGGAGAATCACTTGAATCCTGGAGGCAGAGGTTGCTGTGAGCCAAGATCAGGCCACTGCGCTCCAGCCTGGGAGACAGACCAAGCCTCTGTCTCAAGCAAACAGACAAACAAAAAACATGAGTATTAATTTTGCCATACATGAACACATATATGAAAGAATCTGTTCTTTAAAGACCATTGGTGTATATAGACAACTTATAAATAAATATTGAGTAATTACTTCTGAAACCTTTTTATCCTTAGTTGCTGAATCACACAGTTTAACCCATTTTCAATATGACACCATTTATCATTCATTAATTTAAGAGCATAGAGTCTCTTGTGTGTCAGAAACTGGGTCGATCCAGTGTATCTGTGAGCTGAAATGATTAACAAAAAAGCTCATATAACTACAAAGTGAGGAAAGCGCTAAGAGTGAAATGAGAAGGAGGCTGTAAGAGAGTATAAAGGAAGGGCTTGGCTTGGTCTAGAGGGACAAGAAACACCTCTTGGGAAAATTGATGGCCAGAGATCTGAGGATGTGCAGTTTACTAGATGAAGAGGGAAGAAAGACTGTTCTAGGCAAAGGGAAGCGTCCATGTAGTAACACTTGGGATGTTGGTTTATTCCTAGGATTGAGAGAAGCTACAGCAGCTAAAATGCAGCGATGGAGGAACACAGTCATACAGAGAAGCCTGTGCCAATTTAGAAGGAAGTTTGGAATGGGACAGGAATAGGAAAGGAAAACTATTACATTACTTCAGAAAGATATCACGATATTCCCACATTGAGGCAATGGAGCGAAATACATAGTGGTGGGAGTTGAGTAACATTTAAAGAGAAAAGTGAACTTCATTTGGCAACAGATTGGCATGCGCCAGTTGTGGGAGTGTGCAGTCAGGGATGAGTCTGAGACCCTGATTTACGGAGCTGATTGATCCTTTCATTGAGAAGATTAATTGAAGACAACAGGCTTCTGAGAGGGATCTGCAGAGACAAGAGCTCTGGCAGGTCTGCTTGGCACTGTTGGCTTTGGATGTCTTTTCGCAACACACTCCTACCAGATGACATTCTAGGAGTCACAGATATGGACAGTATGTGGAAAGAGTAGAGACAAGAGGAGGAACTCACAGCCAAACCATAAGAAATTCTAACATCTGTGGCTTTTTTGTAGACAAGAGAAGGGAGAGGGGTCAACTTCAGTTTGTTTATATGTATTTGTTTTTATGATATGGTAAATTTTTGAAAAAGGAAAGAAAACACTCATTTTAAAATATAGGTCACAGTTCCAAAACAGTGCAGAAGCCAAAGTGGAAGTCTTTGGGAAAAAAAGATGGATAGACGATTGATAGATAGATGATAGATAGATAGATAGATAGATAGATAGATAGATAGACAGACAGACAGACAGATGGAGGCATGAATTAAATTGAAATGAGTTCTCATCATCCAACAGATCACTGTAAAATGTACTTGAAAAATGAAAATTGTGTGTCTATATGTAGTGTCATATTTATTTTTTCTAGAGGAGAAGTGAGGGAGTATTTTTGCTAATGCTTTGCTTTTAATACTCACTACCTCTATTTGAATTAAGTATAAGCCAGTGGTCATCACCCCAGACATGATCATGATGACTCAGTATGAGGATTAATTACAAAAGTAATCATGTCCGTTATCTAATTATTCAAATCTTAATTGCAACTCTGTTGGCCCAATTAGTCCAGAACGCAAGGCTAATGTTAGGGATGGGTGGACACTCAGCATCTGTGCCTAACTGAGAGGCATCTGTTGCCAAGAGGTGAAGTGATGGAAAGTGTCCATTCACCAGCTGTGAAGCAAACACGTCTTAGAAAAGCACACAGGAGTCACAACAAAATGCAGCCCACGGGGCTGGGGGTAGGGGAGGGGAAGATGTGGTAATGCTTCTGAGGCATCTGTTATCCCCTGGATGCACCACAGATCTCAAGCCATTGCATGTGCCACTATTGAGCACTATGATTAAAAATAGAAATTTTTTTTAAAAAGATATTTCTATTTCTTGTCCTTCACTAGTGGATAATGCTATAAAAAGAAACGGGCTAGCTACAAATTTTTAACAAATAAATGTTTTTATAAATTTATTAGAACCATTTATGGCTCCTTTCGTTTCCTTGATCCATGTTATGCCTAATAAAAGAAATAGAATTGTACAGATCGAATATCTACTTATGTTAAGTATAAGTAATAAAATAATAGATCTCCTGATTGTTACTATTGATTTTGACTTTAGTAGCATACAGTATGCAATATCTCAGCATCTGATATATTTATATGCTATTATTGATTTTGACCATATTCTATAGGAAAGATTCTCTTAATAATGTTATTGATTTTTAAAATATTATTAATATTTATCAACCTCTCATGTTGGTATATAATCATTATTGAACTATAATCAATTGTTAGTGAAAGAGAAGCAGCTGTATAAAGCATGACAAAACTGATTAGAAATTTAAGTACATCAGCTTTTGACCTAGCTGTGGATTTGCTTTCACTGTTTATCGGCAGTGTCATGGTTTCAAGTTTTTATTAATCCACATTTTGAAACAAACAAATGGAAGAGTGTTTAAGTTCACTGAAGTTGGAAAATGTTAATTTACAGGAAATGTATATACATCTTGCTTCTGAGTATAATAGAAATGATTTCAGCTTTTCACATTGGTTTCACAGAAGAAAATTACACTTCAAGAAAATTAAAAGAGTTTGGGGAGCATTTTCAGCATTGCATCTCCATGCTCCCTTGTTATTGAATCACAATAAGAAACCCTGTTAGTTCTCCTGAGCAAATTGCTTTCCACAATTATGGTTTATGTTTTAATGGAGATAGCTTCACATTAGGAGAATTATTCCAAACCAGCATCGCTTCTTGATGCAGCACAGAAGAGCACCCTGCCTCCTTTACAGAATCCATGCCTCCCATGTTGCCTCTAAGGAAAATATATAAATAAATGCTTGCCAGTCTTGCTTCTGAGAGAGTTTTAATTGAGGATAATGAAACATCCCTAGCTCCAAAGCGAGAGTATGATGGCCACAAAGCCCTTTAAAATGCTAATAGGCACAGGACACTTGTGGACGTTATGTGAGATTACATGGTGTAGAAATGGTGTACGTAGGTGACAGTTTGTCAGATTTAGCTGCAGCAATCATACTTATTTTCTCCATTTCTATTTGTGATGCCAATGTGAACGAAAAATGTAGGATGATACAAAGTTGGACCCTCAGCACTAAGCATCCTGCCTCTCTCTCTCTGTCTGTTTTGTGTTGCTCTAAAGGAATACCTTTGACTGGGTAATTAGTAAAGAATAGAGATTAGTTTAGCTCATGGTTCTGCAGGCTGAGAAGTTCAAGGCCATAGCCCTGGTTTCTTGCAAGGGCTTTCGTGCTGTGTCACAACATGGTGAAGGCCAAAGGGGAAATGAACTCATGTGAAGAGAGGGAAACCTGAGGGGCACCCTGGCTCTATTACAATCCACTCTCACAAGAACAAATCCATTCCCAAGGGAAGTAATCCAGTCTTGTGAGAGTGGGAACTCACTACTAGGATCACAGCACCAAGCCATCCATCAGGGATCCACCCCCACAACCCAAACACCTCCCAACTAGACCCCACCTCCCAACACCTACATGCTGGGAATCAAATTTCAAAATGCACTTTGGTGGAGAACAACCAACCCTATTCAAATGACAGCACTGCCCTTCCTGCTATAGGGCATCTGCATAACACTCATAAAAAGAGTTCCAGAGGACCAGCAAGACAAAGAACCATTAATTACGCATGGTTTAATGTTTCTAGTTCCCATTTCCTCTATTTCAGTTGTATTCCACCTGCAGAACTCCTCTCTCATTTTAAATCAGTGACAACGTGAACAGCGCGTGTATACTTTAAGCAACTTACCAATTCAAGTGGGTTGCCTCAGCTGTAAGACATGAACTCAGAAGTGATAAAGCTTGGCACTGCTTCAGTAAAATGGAATAAGAAATCACTTTGACAGAGCTTAGATTCTAGTCTGGGTTGCTAAATGTAGTTTTTTCTTTCTTTCTTTTTTTTTTTTTCCTCTTTCAAGGTTGATGTTCTTTATTTTTATGTGGAGTATATCTTATGTGACAGCACAGGAAGAAATGTAGGCAGCCCAGGTTAATGCATTCGTGGTCACAATGAACTTGAAAGTGAAGGAAATCAGCTCTCTTGAGACATTCTGCTAGCATTCACCAGTTTAAAGGGAATCTTGATTAAATGGCAACAGTTATGGTGATGCCAAGAAATATGAGAGGCATGAAAGAAAAACTTTCAGTTGCTTATTAAACAAAGGGGACCTCTTTATTTCCTCTTGACTGCAATACAACACAAAGGCATGGCTTAGAATGCTTTCGTGTTGCAGCCTTTTCCACCTCAGGGATTTATAATTGGGACATTTTCATTTTTAAGTTGAAAGCGTTGGTCTCTGGGATTTAAGATGATAAGTGTCTTCCCTCAGCTTCATCACCTGCCAGCAATATAAGCACCATCTGCCCAGATGCCAGAGACTGGTCTATTACTCCTAGGGGACCTCACATGTGTTCGTGTGAGTGTTTGCATAAGAGCAATCAGTTGCAAACCACGTGCACTTATTAGTAACACCAGTAACTTTGTATATGTTTCCGTTCTGAATTTCCACGCTGAATATCTATTTTGTTTTATAAATTTATATTGTAAATAAATTTAAATATTATGGAACATTTAAACTTGAAGTTTAGGTTCAATCCCTAAAACTGTACTTTAAGTATTTTCTTCAAGATATTTACAGTTAGATATTTTTCATTAATATTTCTTATTTATTTAGTGCTTTTACGAGCATGTTTTGCTATTTTACTCCACATTGGAAGGATACATTTTCCAGTTTCTATCAACTGTGTCATTACAACTTATTTGTTATTTCAAAGTGTCTTTTGCAGGTATATAAAAATGCTGGCCGGGCTCAGTGACTCACACTTGTAATCCCAGCACTTTGGGAGGCCAAGGCAGGGGCATCACTTGAGGTCAGGAGTTCAAGACCAGCCTGCCTAACGTGGTGAAAAGCTGCCTCTAATAAAAATACAAAAATTAGCTGGGCATGGTGGTGCGCACCTGTAATCCCAACTTCTCAGGAGTCTGAAGCAGGAGCATCACTTGAACCCGGAAGGCAGAGGTTGCAGTGAGCTGAGATCACATCACTGCACTCCAGCCTGGGCAAAAGACGGAGACTCTGTCTCAAAAAACAAACAAACAAACAAAAAACCAAACACAAATCCGTAGATTTTGGCTGCTGTATCTCTCACACTACTGAAAAAATGTGAATAGATTTTCACTGGTTAATCTACAATCATTTGGCACAGCTTGACTATATGGTTAGATATTAATTTCAGAACTTTTTCTGATAAATTCAAATCAAAATGAAGTGGGTGAAGGACTTGGTATTATTACATTTCTTTTGAGGATTTTACTGAATGACAATAGTTATTGACTTTTTAAAAAATTCTTCATATATGTGTGTTTCAAATTGACTTTGAAAGAGGCAGTGTTACTTTTGCCTAAATCTTATGCCGCGCATACAAGAAGTCAGTACAAAATTAAGATTCTTAATAATGTCAGGCACTTAACTGTAGAGAGATCTTACTCAAGGGCACTTAAGGAGAGAAGATTCCCCTGAGAAGATGCCCAGATGCAATTCTGTCAGGTGTACTTAGAACCAAATGAATGACTCAAGTATTTCTCTTCAGAATGTTCTGGGAATCACAAATGTGCTTAATTTGACCAGGTTCTCCTACTGGTTATGATGAAGTCCTTCAATATTGTTTTTTACTGTTCTTAATGCAAATCACAGAGGATTTTCTTCCTTTCATACACCTTAGCATACACAAAGAAAGAGTGGCATATAGATATAAATCTTTTTTGTGGAATAAATGTAAATGGAACTGATTTCCCAAAACCCACTTCATTCCCTATTTTAGTGATAATCAGTAAAACTCCTACCACAATAGAAAATTTAAAAATCTTGCTGCATTGTCAGATTTCTTTTGTCCCATGAAGCATCTTCACTTACCTTATGACAAATAAGCACTAGGACCTTCTCACTTATACACGGAAATGTGTTTGAGACAATGAATAGTAAATAATGTCATCTACATGAAAAGGGACACACTGTGAATGTCAAGGTAAAAGTCTTTGATTCTATGGTACACAATTTCTATTTCTCCCAACCAATTTAGGATTCAGGTTACATGCCAGCAGCTCACGTGTGCCATTTCTGCATAAATAGTTTTGTAACATGCCTTGATATGTGAATCAAAGACCAACCTGGCCAACATGGTGAAACCTGCCTCTACTATAAATAAAAAAATTAGCCAGGCATGGAGGTGCACACCTGTAATCCCAGCTACTTGGGAGGCTGAGGCAGGAGAATCGCTTGAACCTGGGAGGCAGAGATTGCAGTGAGCCAAGATTGCACCATTGCACGCCAGCCTGAGCGACAAAAGTGAAACTCCTTCTCAAAAAAAAGAAAAAAAAAACAAAAGAGAGAGAGAGAAGGAGGACTCTGTTTCTTTCTGCAGATGAACAAAAAGAATATTTTATTTGCCAGAAGTAGAAGGGAGAAGGAAGATTTATAAGCACACATCTTTAGATAAACTGTGGGAGCTAAATGATGAGAACACATGGATGGATAGAGAGGAACAACACACACTGGGGCCTTTCAGAGAGGGTAGGGTGGGAGAGGGGAGGGGATCAGGAAAATTAACTAATGTGTACTAGGTTTAATACCTGGGCAATGAAATCATCTGTACAACAAACCCCCATGACAGAAGTTTACCTATGTAACAAACCTGCACTTTCACCCTTGAACTTAAAAGCTTTTTAAAAAATGACTTTAGTGCTGTGTACTAGGTATTGTGTGACTTGGCAACATTTTCCACATGGAGAAATGAAGAGTCTGAGACTACTGTTGGGGGGAATGATATTCACAGCAGAGTAAGGGGCATGGCTGGCTTACATCCGGACTTTGAGCTGGTTCTGCACATGTGAAGTAAGGACAGGAGTTCTAAATAAGAAGAAGATGTAGTTCTCAGGAGGATTTATTTTTCTCTGTTCCAATCCATTCTTTCTTTCTCAGGATTTGCTGTGTTCATTGTCGTGCATATACATATATCAAGGCAGTTATTCTTCATTTGCTTTGGACCACTAGTTTCACAATTACTAGTTATGAAAATTTTAGACACAGAGGACAGATCTCGCTATAGTTGTTGAGGAATGGTTGAAGAAGGAGCTCTAGGCAAGAGATATTTAAGGCTCTGAAATTATCTTTTGCCTTAACTTTGCCTCAGGGGAAAAAAATGTTGTTATACGTGTTACTAGTGATATTTACATGATATATATTTTTTGGAAATGGAAAACTATTTTTAGTTTCAAAAACCAAGGGTCAATTTTATGAACCCATCTCACTACTTCTAATCTAGGACTCTATCAAGAATAACTTTATTATCTCTTAGGCGTGTGTTACATGCCAAAAACTTTGGATTTATTGTCTTAGTCCTCTCTACAGTCTTAAGAGTAGCCATTGTTGCCCATTTAATAAAGTAACAAAAAAAAACCGAGTTAAGAAACATTTCATGCCTTATCTAAAATCATACCCTTAACCACACAACTGGAAGGTCACACCCAGGTTTCTCTAATTCCATACTTTGTAATTTTTTTTATCACTAGGGTATTTATTCTTCCTTTGCAAACTAGCCATTCTTCATATATTAGGACAGAAAATAAAAATAGGCCATTAATGACTCTACTCTAGTTATTTTCGTGTAGAAAGGACCCTTTCTAACTGTCAAGTCTCTTGCTTTTGGGGGATATTTCTGACTGTATCACTGCTTTCTTTATCCTTTCAGTTTGATGACTTCGCAGAATGCCTTATGGCTTTCTGGGATTTTTTAACATTGCACTTGACTTTCAGTCAATTCTGTTTAGCTCGTAAGATTTCTTGTGTCCTGTGGGTTTGAGTGAGATTGTCCCTGCTGATCCTTAGCAGTAGTACCTACAGGTGCCCCTTCCTTCTTACGGCAAGGTCAGGGAGAATTCTTAGTGACTTGCATGAAATAGAGTAAATGCTGTATTTTAAGGGTAAAATGTTTGGTTTCATTAAATTTCACGAGAAGAAATCACCCGTTTCCATGTGCTTTCTTATCTGGTTACCACCATATAATTCTTTCTTCTTTATAAGAAAAAAATATTTTAAAAGTAGTCTGTGCTATAACTTCTGATTCTTTTCTGTCCCATGCACTTTACAACAGGCTTTATAGGTGCCTGTCTAGCTCCAATAACAACACACTTGATAATCCTAAAAACAAATTCTGATCACCAAATATTATAAGCAATATTTTATTTAGTCCTCATCTTGATTCACCACTCTCTCCTTGAATGTCTCTCACTTCGCTTGGTTTTTATTCCCAAATTTCTTGCTGTTTTATTTCTACCCATGTAGCCATTTCTTTTTAATTTTCTTTGGCTCAAATTCTTTCATTCTCCTTCTAAGATTATTCCTGTGGTTGAGCCAAAGCCAGTCTCTATGTGTTCCCAGCCACATTCATAACTTTATCTGCAACTTGTACCAATGACTGTCAAATTTGTTTCATCAGTCCACTTCTCTCTTTGAGCACCATGTAGTACTTATCTCTATTATTCTTCTAAACTTCTCCATGCTAAACAACTAAAGTTCCGCCTTTGGAAAATGTAACTGAGAATTCACCATAAAATGCTTCATCGCTATCTTCTTATTGGCACTATAAGCTCTAATCAGTTGTAGAGAAAGTTCTACAACTCATTAGAACTTATAGTGTTGATCATTTGCTCATGAGGCCTCTCTTACCTTGGGTCCAGCCCAGCCAGTCAGAAACAATCACTACATTAATCTAAGTATCTCTCAGTTGCACTTTCTCATCTATAACCCAACTGCTGTGCCTTCATCAATATCTTCAGTCCAGGCAGGATCTTGGGCTATTAATATAGCCTCCAAAAATATTTCCCTATTTTTAGAACACCCGCACTCCATCTGTTCCTTTTATTTTCCTATTGTGTAAAATTTCTAAAAACAAAAATTAACTGTGCTCCCACCCTGCATAGTTATCTCAATACAGCTCATTCTAACAGGCAAAATATTCTTTTAGCTGAGCATTTATGGAGAAACAAACATCTACCAAACTAGGTACTGAAGAAACAGTGGTAACGCTGATGCAATCCTCTTATGGTAGGTAAAAGGGACTGTAATCAAATCACTTAGCAAACAAAGGTACAATTACAACACCAACATGTGGAATGCATATATTGAGGTGACTTGAGAAACCTGGGAAGTCAGAGAGGGAGACTTTAAGTTGCAAACTGAAAAATGATAAAAGCTAGGTTAGAAAAAAAGGAATCTAAACAAGGGAAACAAAGTGAATACAATTCCTTAAGTAGGAAGAGGCTCGGAAAATTTAAGAAATGAAAGATCAGTATATTTGAACAGAGAGAAGAAATAAGAGAATGTGACTAATTGTTCAGGTCGTAAAAACTATAAACCTAGTCTTTATTCTAAATTCAAAGAAAACTAATTATAGGGTTTAAAGATGGAGCGGGGGAGTGATATACTTAGAAAACAGATTGAAAAAGTCAGAGTGCATGGAGTGCAGCAGAATAGAAGATATTGCCAGAAAGAGATCAAGATAGCTTGGGATATAAAGATTGTAGTGAGTATGGAGAGATGTGGCAAGACTTCCGGGATGATTTGGGAGTAGTTTCTTAATATGTGATTAAAAATTTTAAGTACTCATATATGGATGGCATGGGGCACAGAGGAATCAAAGAGAGAGAGAGAGATCAAGGATGACTCCCAGATGTCTAATTTGCAGAAAGGGAAATTACCATTCCCTGAAATTAGGAGCCAAGAAAAAAGACAGATATTGATGGAAGAAACAGGGCAAGATGATAGTGTCTGCTTTTGTGTACATTATATTAAATGTGCCATAAAACATAACACCAAAGAGTATTTGGAAATTGTTAAGTGCATGCGAATAAAACTAAAAAGAATCTCAAAATAAAAAATATAAATAAGCCCGAGATTGAAATATAAATATTGGGAACATTGGCACAAAATAGCAAATAGAACTCTAGACATAAATGTGCTTATGTGGGGAGAGAATATAGATCTCTAAGAAAAAAAGGCAAAGATGAGTCTTTCAGAATTTCACTATTTTATGTTTCCATAGAAGATGAGATGTCTAAGGAGACTGTAAAGGAGGATGGGGAAGAATGCTGAGGAGAATAGGGGACTTCTATGTGATAAAGGAGAGGGAAGACTTTCTAGGTGAAGGGGGTCATCAAGTATCTCTAGGAATATGAATGCAAAAAAAAAGCTTATTAATGTTTATTAGATTTGTTCACATGGAACTTTATACGTGACCCTATCAACAACTTTCATAAGTTAATAGGAATTTGAAGGGAAATTACAGCCAACTGCAAATGTTAGTGGGAGAGAAAGAAATGAACAGAGATTCAGACGATATGCAATGCTTCATGATAATTTTGCTTGTGAGGGAGGAGAGGATGATCTGCTGTCCAACAGAGGGTCTGTGTGTCTATTTTTGTAAGTAATCTGAAGGGGTTTACATACACAGGGGAAGGATTTAGTTAAGTAGTCAATGTCAGATACATCAAAGAGATAACGTAATTCAAGGTACCCCAAATTATGTGCCTTTTGATGTCTAACAAATAATCTGACTCAATACAAGCAAGACAACTAGATATAAAGTCATAAACAATTATAGATTCTGTGGGTAACTGCAGTGTATTCTCTATGGGCATTCAAATTCAAAAACTGGCTGGGCACGGTGGCTCATGCCCATAATCCCAGCACTTTGGGAGGCTGAGACAGACAGATCACTTGAGGTCAGGAGTTCGAGACCAGCCTGGCCAACATGGCAAAACCCCGTCTCTAAAGTTAGCCAGGCATCGTGGTGCATGCCTATAATCCCAGCTACTCGGAGGCTAAGTCAGGAAAATCGCTTGAAACCCGGGAGGCAGAGGTTGCAGTGAGTTGATATCGCCCCACTGCACTCCAGCTTGGGCGACAAAGTGAAACTCCGTCTCAAAAAATAAAAAATAAAAAATAAAAAAAATTAAAAAAATTAAAAACTGTGATTTTTGTATTGAGTATTGAAAACTTTGGCAAAAGGATAGTCTTACAGACACAAATAGATGATTGATGTACTGTAAAAGGAAAAAAAATTAAGTCACTGTAGACTTAGGTGAGTTTGTTGTAGGTTGCGGGAAGAAAAGATTAATTGGTTCTCTATCAATAGGTCCAGTTTTCTCTAAGTAGATAACAAAGTCATTTCCTGAAACTGGAGCTGAAATGTAAAAGGACTGAGGAAAGTGAGTGGCTGTAGGGTGAGTTAGGTAGGGAAAAAAGCAAAATTAGCCAGTGGAATGGTTTATGATCTAGGTTATTTCCTGTGGCATTCATGATGTGATCCATGTTTGCAGTAGATGTTATTGGAGAGAGAAAATTTCTAAGAATGTCCAAGTTCCTTCATAAATGAGGGAAATTAATGAGATATAATCTCCTTAACATAATTCATCCTTAATTATCTTTCTGACTTGGATTCATGGTCTTCCATGTTAGGCTTCCCACACAACAACCACAAGTACTCTGAAGTCACCGTGAATTTACCCACTCTGTTTGCATGTGTTAGTGGCTTCCTCTACTTGGTAATACCACTCTGTTTGGTGAATTAATGTTTCTTATTTTTTAAGATGCAGATGACACACATTTGCCACTCTTAGTACCTTCCTAAATCTCTAAACTTTAGAACTCTATAGGTGCTAAATTAATAGATGGAAGGCCAATTTGTTTAGTCACTTAAGTGTGAGTTTATTTTGAATTTGTTTCTGAAATCGTTGCTTAATTCTGTGGTACCATTCATTTTTATCCAGTGCAAATGCTAATGTGATCAAATTGAGAAACTTTAAAAACATATTCTGACCCACAGGAGCTATGTACCATCAACTAAAAAGTTGTTATTAAGGTAAACTTCAAGCCGTTATAATCTTTTAATTTATTGCATTTTAGAAGAATAATGATTGAATTTTAGATTTGTATTAAAATAACTTCTGAAACTTTTAATTTATCTTCCAACTTTACGATAATGAGCAAAATATCATAGTTTAAACTGAAATTTAATTACTTTTAAGACAAATTCTGAAAAGCTTTAAGCATTTTCTATTTATAGTACTAAATCTCCTCTTATTGGATGAAAGCAATAACCTGCCTCCAAAGAATACTCTATAGTATGTCATAAACCCATACTTGATAACAACACAAATAATCACAAGCAAATTAATTTTGCTTTCTTACATTCATTATCTATGGAAGAAAACCTCGTAAGAAATACATGTCCATGTACATAGATGAATTCTGTTTTGTTTGGAAGAATGCGTAAGTTTGAAATGCTATGTTTACCAGGAGTCTCCTCACTGCTACTATTTATTAACTGCCTATTATGTGCCAATACTTCTTTCAGTACTCAACATTTATGAGATCATTTTAATCCTAGAAGAGCAAGGATTATCACCCTTGTATTCCAGATGATAAAACTGCATTTTAAGTGCATACGCTTCAATTTGAACTCAGACCCACTTGAGTCCTCACCTCACAGTCTTAACCATTGTGCAAGTCTGTCTTTTCAGAGTTAAAATATTAAAGAGATTTTCAAATGCAAATCATTTTAGTGCATTTTTTATTAAAGTGCAATATATTCCTTAAATCAAATTAGAAAGCAGAAAGGGAAAGTTCCTTTAATTCCAGACTCATAAAGATGCCAACATTTTCATGTCTATTATATCTTTTCTTGGTATAGTAGAACCACAAAACAACAAGTTTATTTGACTCTCAGTTTTACAAAGTTAAAAAGATTGATAATACCTAGAGTTCACAGTATGTGAGGAAAAGGGTACCCTGAGGACTATTGGTAAGAGTATGAATTGGTGTTACTCTTCAGAATGGCAACTTGCCAATATGTGTTAAATGTTAACAGCATTTATCTAGCAGTTTCAGCTTCTAAGAGTTTAATTAATAGAAACAATCAGAAAAAGACACAAAGATTGATGAATAAACTATCTGTTGCATAAAGAGATGTTCATTGTTTATAACAGAAAAGTGATTTTACAAATTAGAAATACATAGATATTCAAAAGTAAATTTTCTGCAAAAAAATTACTATTAATACCATAGGTATTTATAATTTTGAGGATATCTGATATCCCCTATCACAATAATCTATCACAACAACCCAAGGAAGGCTTTAATCAGCATAAGAATAATTAAGTCAATGATATCTCTGGTATCCATGGTATTTGAGCTGAGTCCACATCTGAAGGAGTTTAACTTTGAGATCTAATCTGAAATCTAAATAGAAGTTAGCATGAGAAAGGATAGGTGTTAAAATTCTGCTGGGCAGAGAGGCATGACCAATTAGATCTAAGGGATGAGAAGTAGCCTTGACTATTTAGGAAATAATAAATATCTTGGTATTCCTGAAACACGGTGTGGATACATGCCAGTGAGGGAAGATGCAGCTGGAGAAGTCAACAGCAATCGTGTTACTTTCTCTTTCTTTCACCATCAGTAGTGATATCTTCATTTACTATCGTCTGTTTTTCACAATTTGAACATAGTAAAATGTTATTTTATGATTGGAATTAAGTGTTCACCGTGCTATGTTTAGTAAGCTAGCTACCTTTTAATTTGTCAAACCATCTCTCTATCTACTTAAAAACCAACAGAGTCGTTGAAGCTAAAAGAGAAATGTCCAGAGGATGTTTTTAGAGAAAAGAACACATGAAGCAACCCCTCTCTCAGTTGTGTGTCTATATAAGTGTTTGATGGTGTGATAGGTGGGTGGCTCTCCTCATATTTTTCCAAGTCTCACAGAGAGAGGTTGCTCTAGAATAGCAGCCCCCATGGCCGTGATCCAGCCATGTGTGATTAATTTCTAAATGTGGAAATCAAAGCCAGCTTTAATCAGTTTCAAAGCTATATAGAGATCCAATAGAAGAGTAACTCCAGATTAAAGTCTGTGCTTGAATATGGATTTTCTTTGAATAGTTGGATTTTCAAAGAATTTGTGAAATTTTTTAGGTTGATACTATATCTACTTGTGCTACATAATTTAAACATGAGATTCATTATTCCTTCCCCTGTGAAGCAAGGTTTTCAGGCACTAAGTTCTACAGAGGGATTCCCACACCCAAATTACAGGAAACTTACTCCTGTTTCGGCAATATATTTTCATTTCATTTAGAAGATAAATACAACTAATGAGAAAAAAGCAAAGCTACTTCTGTGTGAAAAAAATAGGTAGGGAAATTTGTGATTTCACCATAAAATAATCATGTGATTTGTGTCAGCATTTCCATTAATCAGGATTTCTGCAGAACCTGCAACGTGCTAAGTACTGAGGGTAGAGTAACCACCTAGGAAGTCAAAATCCCTGTTTCATGCCATTTATAATACCATTTACATTCAGTGAAGCAAGAAACAAATATGTATTATGTCAGGTTATCATAAATACTATTGATTACAATAAAAGGCAGGGTTGGAGGGTAGCAGATATGAGCATATGCCTGTGTGTGAATCAGTAGTGTGGGTAGCTTGTCTGATCATATGGCAGCTTGGTTGAGGCATGAGCAAAGAGGCAAAGCATGAAGATATCGAGGGAAAGGCATTGCAGGCAAATGGGGCTGCAGGATAGTGAGGGAAGTCAGAGGTGATACAGGAGGAAGTGAAAGAGGTAGAAAGTGCCCCAACTCTATGAGGGCTCTGAGTTTGGACATGCTCCTAGCAGAAGAGTGATATGATCTGATTAAATGATCACTCCCACTCCCCTGTGGAAGAGATCTGGTTTGACTGGTAGGAGAGCAGAAGCAGAGAGACAAGATAGGGTGGCAGTTAGGCAGAAAGTGACAGTAGCTTGGAATACGGTATTCATAATGGAGAGATACCAAGTGCAAGGATTGAAAAGACACTTGGGGTAGAACTAACCAGACTCTGCTATTGGAATAGATAAGGAAGGAATAAAAAGATGACACCTAGCATTTGGTATGAGAAACAAAGCTGCTGGCTTATTTAGGTGAGGAAGGCAGGAAGAAAGCAAAATAGAAGATAATTGAGCAGAGAATGTTATATAACAAACGTGATCATCTGAACACAGCTATTTAAAGTATCAGAAAGACTGTTTCCTAAAACACATGGATTAAGATACTATATATTGATCAGTTAAACTTAATCTGGAGACAGACTTTCAAAAAAAGAAACAAAACAACAAAACAATGAAGGGATTTACATGTTTACATGGTTTTGAATCTTTCATTCAAATATGAAAAGTGAAAATCTTGCCACTGCATTCAGATATACAAAGTTTGTCCTGGATTATAAGGATGATATGGGCATTCACACCCTAATACCCCGAAGTGTATATATGTGATAGAGTTTGTTTGAAGATAATGTATACACTGAGAACTAGGACGACTCAAATGAGCCCCAGTTGCTCAATAATCCATAGAGACGTGTTAAAGCAGATTGAGCTGGACTGGATTCAGCACAGAAAGGGTTCCGGGAAGGAGATACCAGCCCTCTAATGATCTACACATTTTTAGGAGTGGAGAAAGGAAGAAAATAAACATCTAGTAACCCTGTGATGATTGGTGCTTCTTGGTTTAGGAAGTGGCCGAGTTAAAAGGAGAAAGCTCCTGAGCTCAGCCTCTGGTCCTATTTATTGCGCTAGTTCAGGTGAGCTGATCCAGTTTCTTGCTAAGTCACTGAAAGGGTGGAGGAGATGAGCCATCAGGGATATCTAGAATTTTCTCTCCTTACCCTGATTAGACTTCATTCTGCCATCAGCATTCACGCTCTCTGTTGTAGGTTGACCTACATAGATACCACCTATACAGATTCCTTTTACAGGCATGTCCCATTCAACCTATAAATCTTTAGCTGCATTATTTTATTTTCTATTCTTTTTAATTAACGCCATATATTTCTTAATTTTGGTTATAAAAAATTTACATTTCCTTCTGATACTTAGGAAAACTCAAGCCTGGGAAATCCGCAAAGAAATGCATTTATATATATATATATACATATTTTTTTTTCATTCTCAAGTTTTCCAAATAGATTTATATTAGCTTTCTGTTTGATCCTGAACTTCTGAGTCCTTCTGGCATTTAACAGAATAACCTGATAGACACAGAAGAAGCTACCATATTTTGCTTTAAACAATTTTTTCTACATCTGACATGGATAGATGGTTTACTATTTGTGAAGAAGAAAAATGTGTCTGTACATTAAATTTTCTAAATTAATGCTATTACACACAATGTGTAACAAATACTGATAATCTGTTAAACCAGGCATGTTTAGAAACCCTATTAAACCTAAAAGAGAGAACTAAATTTATTTACGAGACAATTCACAAAGTAAAAGCATTTCTTTAAATCTGAAATGTGATTGAGAATGAGGGTTTTTGTATGTGCTAAATAATTAGGCGTTTAATTCATTAGTATTTATTTTAAAATATTAATTTAACTCTAGGTAAGTAGGTATAGGACATTTATAATAATAACAATGTGGAAGACTAATAAATGATATAAATAGAGTCATTAGAGCCTTGAGATGGTTGCTAGTGTCTTATATTCCTGGCACAGCAAAATTTCTTTCAAAATTAATACAATTTAAAGACAGTTCATTAAAATGTATAGCTTTGCAAATTGAGTTGACATTAGTTATCTGTATGGTTGTGCATATATAAAGCATATTTGCAACTTTTTACCATTGATGACCAGAGTGTGGTGGATTCGGTTAATTAGAAATCCACATTAATATACCCTCTTTTTAGTGTATTTTGACTCAGTCTTTACTTGTCCTCAAGATAAATGGTATTGACTGATTCCCATGGTTCACTTAATAGAACAGGTAGAACTCCATTTGTATTCATTATGGTCGGTCTATATTAATCATTCCATTTCTTACCTAAAGCTATGTCAGGACATATTTTCCAATTCATGATTTCTGCCTGATTTTTCACTAAATTCTAGGCTTGTAGTTTAGTTAAAAAACAAAACTTAATTACAGTTTTGAAAAGCTTTTAGAAATGCCATTGGATCTTGAACTGATTAAACAAACCATTTTGTTATATCAATGTGTTGACAAACTATTAGGGACATAGTCATACTTCTTGTTTTTGCTTTAATTTTAACTTACTATTAAATTAGACGAAATTTGAAGCAAGTTTTATTTTTGAAGTATTTACAAAGTTCAAGGTACTGCGCAAGGTACTGAAAGAAATACAAGAGAAGTAGAGCTTTAAGCATGTGTTTAGTGTAATGAAGACAACACAGGATTTAGTCAAAGTTGAGGACATTTTATTTTGAATTTCCAATGAATCTTGTGCCACATTTTTTACATCAACCTTGTCATCTATAGAATGAGAATACTAACAATTATTGATCTACTTACTTCAAATGTTTTGTGAAAATGAAATGATATTTATTCCTAAAGCATTGCATGCATTACAAATCACAATACTTATATTCACCTAATGTGTTTCACAGAATACTAGTAATTCTATGAGTATAACCACAAGTGATTCCTGGCCAAACATGTTTGGGAAATGCAGCATACTATCTCCATTCCACTTGGAGTGGCATGTGGCATATCAGCTTTTACAGGCTCAACTATTTTTTCTAGACTAGGATTCTCCACATTTCTTTAAGCGTACTTTATCATAAAATACTAATTAGCATTGCAAAAAATTATGGTAACATCGAAAATACTAAGGAAATTACACATTATGTAAGTGTTAGCTGTGCTTTTACTATCACAGTGTATGTGGTAGGAGTAACAATTTTAGTATATGAATAGCTACAGCACACAGCAGGCAAACAGTATAATAAAAGTAGTAAAAATTACATCATACCATCTCATAGGAAGGAAGAGTTAACCAAGGTTGTAAAAATCGAAGTAATTCTTCAAAATATTTGAATATCTAATCTGTATATAGGATTCTATTTGGATGTCTGGGATATCCAAGCCTAATCCTATATAAGGGTTAGATATCTAAGTCTAATTCTATATACAGGTTATTTCAAATATTTTAAAGCATTTGAAATAGTTATTAGTATTTATTTAATATTTATTAATAACTATTAATAAATATTAATAGTTATTAATATTTATATTATATAAAAGTGTATGTATTATAATTATATAAATTTCATAAATTATATTATATTATATAAATTATATAAATTATATTAGATTTATAAAATGTAAATTATATTATATAATTACATAAATTATATAATTATAAAATTTAAATTATATAAATTATATAATTATATAACATAAATCACATATATGTAATTAAATGTGTACATTTAGCACATGTATGTACATACATGTACACACAGGCCACCACCACTGCCAAAAGTATTATGCTAAATAAAAATCAATAAAGCAAAATGTAAATGATGTATTACAGAGGACAGAACATAGAAATGGGCAGCCTAGTTTGATAAAGTTTGTTTTGTGGATATGTTAATCCTTACATGTCAATTTGACATCTAGAAGAAAACACAAACCAGACAAAAATGTCATTGGTTCTGATTAATGAGTCTTGGGTAATGTCTGTATTTGAGTTTGAGAAAAGATGGGTTGTGGGTCATCCTCAGAATTACAAAATTAGGAGAAAATTCAGTACAATACAATGACACAGCATCTAATGAACTAAAAATTTCTTTCATTTTGCTATGTAAAATTTGCATTAATATATATTTAAAATTAAAATCAATTGAATGAATTCACTCTCACCATGCAAATATTAAAAAATAGAGAAAAAAGGAAATGCATTCAATAAAGTATAAGAGTAACAGTAGACAGTATACAGTCATCTACCCAATAGACATCCCTCTTCCCTGTTTAGAGACTATGACTTATGTTCCGAAAACCACATTCATTCACAAAGCAACGGAATTTAAGGAAAGAGACCTCCCAGTTCCTGATGAAAGAAGTGAATCTTGACTAATTTAGCTAACTGTGAACCTTTTAGCCCTCTTGCTATTTGTTTTAGGAACAAACATGCTGCAAAGTTTCAGCCAATGAGATACAAGGGAAATGATTTCTTGTGGGGCTTTAAGAGAGAAACAAGGAAGATTGAGTTCTTGTTCTTGCAGATCCTGATGTGTGTCAATTGGTAGATGGAGCTGCTTCAGTCATCTTCAAGGAGCAGATAAGAGGCTCAGGTAACATGCTGAGGAGTCTAGTGAATAAAGAGGGAAAAAGTGTGGATCCTTGATGATGCTGTTGAGGTGCTGAATTTAAAATTAAGTTAGTTTGCCTTGGATGTCTTGTTTGGAGAGATGATAATTTCTTTTATCATTGAAAATATATTGTACTAGCACTTTATTTACAGCCCAAATCATTTCACTTGATGAAACATTAGAGAAGAAAATACTTGTTCTTTTTCCCAGATGCTATAACTTCACATAGCATTTCTATAATTTGTTTTCTGCATTTTCAAAAAATTGGAGGCATCTAAATTCAAAATCACAATGAACTTAAAATGTCTTCCCCAATTAATAGGAAGTGATGACACCTGTACATAGACAAGGAACTCAGGTTACCTTTCTCACTCCTACACCTGCTTTCTTTATCTCTCAATTCTCCTTAACTGATTTTCCCTAGGGGATCTTCCTGGATTAACCTTGCACAATTTGTCTTTAAAAAGATAGATCAGCAAGTTTTCCAGGTGATATATAACCAAACACTTCCACTTTCTTGAGCAAAGGGATAAACACAATACAAATGTAAATATAGGAGCTATGCAGTCTAAGGGAGTGGTTAAGCATGAGTGGTTTGAAGCCAATTTTAAAAGGATTAAGTTCTGACCCTACCACTTACTAGCTGTGTGGCCTCAGGCAAGGCATTTATGTTTCTGTGTCCTTCCTATAAAAAGTGAGGATATATCATTGGCATTCAGTATTATCGTAAGGATGAAGTGCTTATAAAAGTGCCACACAGATAGTATGCACTCTTAAATAAGCAACTAACAAACCATATAGAAGGCCGCCCTTTGCTTAGCTCATTTGGAAAGTCTAAATGTATGCCAAAGAATGTATATTTTAAGTCAATATGTGTTACACTCATATTATCAGAGGAAGTAATTTTCCTCATAACTATGGAGCAGTCAGTCACTGGTATTACATCTAAGCAACATCTTATAATAACAATGCTTAATAGCCATCTAGTACATTTATTCTAAGTAGCTGGGAGCACTTAACGAACATTATCCAATTAATCATTAGAGATTCCTGTGTGGTAAGTCGGAATTGCTATCTCAGCGTTAGTGATAATGATAGGGATATGCAAAGCCAGTCATCTGCATGATAAATCTGAATGACTTTCGCAGCATGTGGCCAGGAATAGAAGCAAAGGCCTGATTCCTTGTCAATGATGCTGTTCAGTGGACCACGCAAGTTCTTGGACTAGATATTCTTGGATTGTTTCTTTCCAAATAACATGGAAGCATATCTAATTTTAACTGTTAAAACTGGCAAAAAGACCCAAGTATTTGTGGACCTCTGACAGCACCTATTTTTAAGCATGTGTCTACTAACATTTGGGTTTTAGATGATCACGAATTCTAACAACTTAAAACTAACTGCTACCAACTGCTGCTTAATTAAAATTCTACTTAACAGTAGCTATGGACAAAATAAGTAAAATAAGATAAATGTTAATTTTAAAGTTCAATCTAATTGGAAGTTAGAAAAAAGTCATACTATTAAGATCATAATTATCACAAAAAATGTGGCACCAGCTCCCAAATTCAGTGAATTCGTGGTTCTGCTGCCAGAGGTTAGATTGTACAATGTTAACTGAGACATATTACTTTGACATAGAAAAGTGAGTTCAGAAGTAGACTGGGAAGAACGATAATTAGAGGAAAGCACTGAGTTTGAAAATTTAAAAAAGAAGCTTATATATAAGTTATATATAAGAAGCTTATATATAAGTTAACTCATCATTTGAATTGCCATTTCTCTAAGTGAACGTAAAACAAACCCTCCCAGCTTCAGGTAATCATTTATTTAACTACAGTAAATTATATCTACAATTTAGGATTGTTGTTAGCCTTAAAAATGTCAAAGAAGTACAATTGCCTTAAAAGTATTCAGGAAATGTTAGTATGTGAAATGTGAAAAGTCAATTGAATTATTCAATACATTCAATTCCCTCAAACTAACACACCTAGAAAATACATCGAGAAAATCAGAACAACTTAAAGTTTTTGATCATTATTATTATCTTTTGCCTTTGAATATTGATATCTTCAATAAAATGTATTCAAGAGAAGCAGGTCTGGCTATTATCATTCCCCCTCCACAGCCCCAGTAATTGTTTCTACTATTCTGAGGGACATTCAGCTTTCTGCCTTTGTAGGTGTGTTATTCAACTACACATTTCACCCTTTCACAATTTGCTAGGTGTCAGCTTTTTGGAAAATTAATCCAAAGATTGTAATGGCAAATAAAATTGTAGTGGTTTATTTCAATTAGGGCATATTTTAAATAAGCAGTAAAGTTATATAACTTTAAGAAATAGGACCCTCATAGGAATATATGGAAGACATATATTAACAAGTATAGAACCTATATTTTCAGTACACATGGCTCAGGATGGAATCTCAAAAATACCACTTCCTAAATCTGTGACCTTAAACAAGTTAATGTACTATTTTAGAACTCTGGTTTTCTCGTGTATAAAACAGAGGTAACTCAGAAGGATAAGCATGTGACATAGAGAATACAATGAGATATTATATATCAATTAGCATTGTGCTTAGTCAGTGATATGCACTCAACAAACAATCATTTCTATCTCTCTCTTTCCCCTTGCATTATAAAATGTAGCCATAGATTCAGCCCTGAAAAGTAATGTCTATCATGGGTGTAATTATACTCTAGAATGCTAGGTGTAAATTATTTTATCTTTCAAGTGTGATTTTCTCAGAATGAGACTTTACTGTGAGGCTCGTCAAGGTCATTGTGTTAAACAATTCTGTCTGCATCCTCAAAGTCAGAGGTCTAACTAGGCTGCATAACAGTTTGACTGAAAAGGCACTATGCAAATCAAATGCATGCTGTCACTGTTATGGATACGACTGTTCATTTTTAGACGCATAGAAGGTTTCTCAACTGTAAGGAAGAACTTCGGCTCAGTAAGCAGGTTAGTGTGATTGATATTTTACTATGCAAGAGAGCAGAACAGAAATGAGTTCAACTTATAAAGTGTAAATTCTGTATCTCTTTATATGCATATATAAATATGAGTAGAAGAGGATAAAGTGAAAAAAAGACAGAAAGACAAACCAAAAGAAAACAAAAGTAGAGAGAAATTGAGAGGCAAAAATAGGACAGAAAGGCAGAGAGAGAGGGAGACAGGAAGACAGACATGGACAGGAGGAGAGGGAAATGAGCAGGTCTGAATTAGACTAGAGAAACAGAGATTGGATGGACAAAGAAGCAGAAAGACAGTTGCAAAGACAAAAGATAAATGCATCTAGTGTAGTTGTACTGTTTTCTCATCTGAGAGAAAAAGAAATGATCCTTATTCATCCTTAGTGGAGCGTAGTTATTGTCAAGGGGAGGTCACTAGGGAAGATGTGTGCCTCACAGCAAAGACTGCTGTCTCTTTGTAGTATTTATTTGAACAGTGTGTGCCCCATGCGCACATTACTTACCTTGATTATTCTTTGAAGGAATATATTAGACCCTTTATTTTTATATATGACATATATCAGACATTGTACAACATAACTCAAAACAGTATTTGAATCATGTTCAACACAAATAATATGTGTCCATATGTGAAAGCTGCAAGGAGAGTCAGGATGGAAAGAACTTGAAAAGTAAAAATCACACAAACAGAAGCCGAATTGTGCTTATTTGCTCTTAGTTTTAATACAATGAGAAGGAAATGAGAGAAATAAGCATTATTACCATAAATGTGTATCCATCTGTCTTTGTTAGACTCTAATGCATAGTAAACAAATTATTTTAAAATTAAATGACTTCTTCCTTCAGCACTTTTATGCAGCATAAGTCCGTCAAAGATTTCTGACAAGAGCAAAATATATGAGCAATCACTATGTAAACAGAAAATACTATATTAGGCAGAGAATTGAGCTCTAACTCTGGAATCAAATTCAGAACAATGGACAGTGTCAGTGGGTTTAGAGAGGACTAGTAGTGTAATAACGGAAGAGGGGACATGAGAGAAAAAAGTCACATAATTTTAATTTCGATTCATTCAAATTAATGCATACTATAAATATACATATTATCTTTATGCACATGAACATATAGCACATTATTCCACAAAGTCAGGAGGCATGCTCAGCTAGGACAAAGATGATATTGGTACAGAACTACAGTGAATCAAAAGAGAAAAGAAAGAAAAATAAACACTCCACCTTTCTCTGACAATCCTCAGCTTCTCACCTTGGGTGCCATGAAAATTCTCTTATCATCCTTCGGTTGCTATATGTGGCAGTTACATGTATTGAGAGGAAAAAGAACCTTATAAAAATGATGGAAAATGTGTCCATCTAATGGTGGTGTTTTGACCAGAGTTTGAGGAAAATCAAGATGATTGAGAAAGTAAAGGATGATGTCACCCTTTAGATCAGGTGTACTCATGTGCCAGAGGAAAGCTATTAGAAATGGAATATGGATTTTCAAAGCTTAACTTTAATGTCATGAACAAAGCAGACCTAAGGGAGTCACAGACATAATACATCGTAAAAGAAAATAGCCAAATCTATGTAAAATAAGAGTATTTAATACTCATCATGATGTTATTAACTATTTATAGCACTATAAATTTATAGTATCTGTAAGTATCAAAGTAGAATTATAGTTTTAAATTATGTCTTTGAAAAATATATATGGCTATGCTTTCTTTTCTCATAGTTGATTCCAGGCCTACAGAAGAGAAATGGGGCATGGCAGAGCCATTGAGTCCAAAGAGCTATATATTTGAAGAACTTGTCATGATAAACAAAAATCAAAGCTTTTAAAGTTATAACTCCCCAGAGTAGGAACGAGCCAAGGACACCAATACCATTACCACTGTCAAAATCTGTCCATGGCATTAAACTTTTCAATCTGCTTTGGTTTGGCAGCGTAAGGTCATTCCAATTCCCTGGGGTATCTTTCTTTCAGCGATGCTTTGGCTCTTCGTGAGTGATTTACTTGATTGGCATTTATATATTCTGCTGCTTAAAATCATTCACATGACTAGCATCCTTCAGAATATAAACAGAGAGATTCTAACACAGTGTTTCACAAACCACATCCATTCTTACATGTGTTTTCTCCTGCTGATTGAAATGGGTCTAATCTAAACAAATTGAGGTCTCTCTTTTCTCATCCATATGTATGTTTCATGCCTGTCAAAGGTATATTACTGCAAAGTGTGAATAATCATGTTTAGCCTCCTTTATTATGCTCAGTTGGAAAACACTTATTTTCTTTTCAAAATATTTTCATATAAAACATAGGAATTGAAGATCAACAACTGAAGTTTCTTCTGAAACTGAAGAAACAGATATTTACAGAGTATTACTTATCAGTTAAATGATTACTTCAACTGGGTTCAAATTGACTTTTGCCATCATTTTTTGCTTTTTTTAAAAAAATGTAAGATATATTCTTTCTCGCTAGGGAGCGATCATTTCTAAAAGTAAGAATTTTTTCAATTATGAGCATTGAATTAACAGTGTATCTCAAATTTGATATATTAGAGAAACAGCATTTTTATGAAATGAAGCTTTTCTTGGTAATCATTTTACAGTTGTTTTACTATGTAGTTTTTAATCTGTCAAAATATTTTAAAAGCATGTGTACATATTTTTGCATAATTTGGCAAACTTGTGCCATATAAGAAATTGGCAGTGCATGATAGTAAAAATGCTATTCTTTGGATTTATTCTAATTGACCTACTTTTAAAATCTTTTTAGCAAAATACTTGAAGCATCTTAATTTGGTTGCTGGTAATTTAGAAGGAGAAAATATTTTTAAGAGAAATATATTCCAGGGAAAATCATCTTAATCAACTACCAGACAATATGGTATGGGCATAAGCAAAAAAACCCATTGACTTCTATTCAAGGGATGACCAGATGTCCAATATAAATGAACAGCTATATAATTCCCAGTGCAGTCAGATATTCATTAAAAAATACTTAGAAGCTACTATCTAACTAGGTCCTCTTCCAGGGATTTGGGATACATCAACGAACAAGAGAGATAAATATCCTTGCATATCTGAAACTTGCATTCTAACAGTGTAAGATAGGAACTAGCCATTATGTATTTTTTTTAAAAAAGTGATAATTGATAAGTGTTACTGAAAAGGGGCCCTGATCCGACCCCAACAGAGGGTTCTTGGATTTCACACAAGAAAGAATTCGTGGTGAGTCCACAGAGTAAAGTGAAAGCAAGTTTACTAAGAAAGTAAAGGAATAAAAGAATGGCTACTCCATAAGTAGAGCAGCCCTGAGGGCTGATGGTTGCTTGTTTTTATATTATTTTCTTGATTATATACTAAACAAGGGGTAGATTATTCAGATTATTCATGCCTCCCCTTTACAGACCATATAGGGTAACTTCCTGATCTTGCCATGGCATTTGTAAACTGTCCTGGTGCTGGTGGAAGTGTAGCAGTGAGGACAACCAGAGGTCACTCTCCTCGCCATCTTGGTTTTGGTGGGTTTTGGCTGACTTCTTTACTGCAGTCTGTTTTATCAGCAAGGTCTTTATGACCTGTATCTTGTGCTGACCTCCTATCTCATCCTGTGACTTAGAATGCCTAACTATCTGGGGATGCAGCCCAGTAGGTCTCGGCCTTATTTTACCCAGCCCCTACTCAAGATGGAGTTGCTGTGGTTCAAAGGCCTCTGACATAAGGAAAAAACAAGTGAAACACAGAGTGTTGACCACAAATGCTTGGAATGTGTGTGTGTGTGTGCGTGTGTGTGTGTGTGCGTGTGTGTGTATGTGTATGTGTATGTGTATGTGTATGTGTGTTGGGAGGCTGGATATTTGCAATTTTAAATAGGGTCATCAAACATTCACCCACTGAAAAAGTAAGAGTTCAGAAAAGATTTAGAAGAGGTAAAGGAATTGTCACTGTGTGTATCTATGAAAAGCACAGCAGGAACACACCTAACAAATCCACAGAACATCTACGAGGCTAGTGTGCCTGTCATGGAGAAAGTGAAGGGAGATTAACAGAGGATGAACTCAGAGAAGTAACAAGAACTGATCACGTGGGGCTTTCGGGGCCATTGTCAGGAGTTTGACTCTTAGCCTGAATGAAATGTGGATTAGTTGCACGGTGATGAGCAAAGGAATGACATGATCAGACCAACATTTTAACCAGCCCCTTTGGCTGCTGTGTTCAGAATAGAATGTCGGGGCCAAAGTGAAAGCAGAGACATTGTTATGCGGTGAGATGAAAATGTTTACACAGCAGGTCTGCGATGAAATGATGAATTAATTCCCTTTCGCAAGGCAGTGCTCCTGGGAAACAAACACATTCAGTGAGAAGTCTAATCTCCTATTAAACATTGTCATGTTTAATGACAGACCTCCTGGCAATTAAACTACATGGTTTGTGCTAGTGAGAGACAAGACTAGCTGGATTTCCTAGGCTGACTAAGAATCCCTAAGCCTAGCTGGGAAGGTGACCACATCCACCTTTAAACACGGGGCTTGCAACTGAGCTCACAGCTGTCCAATCAGAGAGCTCACTAAATGCTAATTTGGCAAAAACAGGAGGTAAAGAAATAGCCAATCATCTATTGCCTGAGAGCACAGTGGGAGGGACAAGGATCGGGATATAAACCCAGGCATTTGAGCAGGCAAAGGCAACCCCCTTGGGGTCCCCTCCTTGTATAGGAGCTCTGTTTTCACTCTATTTCACTCTATTAAATCTTGCAACTGCACTCTTCTGGTCCGTGTTTGTTACGGCTTGAGCTGAGCTTTCACTCGCTGTCCACCACTGCTGTTTTGCCGCCGTTAGGGACCCTCCGCTGACTTCCATCCCTCAGGATCCAGCAGGGTGCCTGCTGTGCTCCTGATTCAGCGAGGCGCCCACTGTCGCTCCCCATCGGGTTAAAGTCTTGCCATTGTTCCTGCACAGCTAAGTGCTTGGGTTCGTCCTAATTGAGCTGAACACTAGTCACTGGGTTCCACAGTTCTCTTCTGTGACCCACGACTTCTAATAGAGCTATAACACTCACTGCATGGCCCAAGATTCCATTCCTTGGAATCTTGAGGCCAAGAACCCCAAGTCAGAGAACATGAGGCTTGCCACCATCTTGGAAGTGGCCTGCCGCCATTTTGGAAGTGGCCCACCACCATCTTGGGAGCTCTGGGAGCAAGGACCCCTGGTAACACTAGGAGGAGAGTATTTACTATGAAAAGTTTTGGGCAGGATGTACTTGCTTCTTCTGTAATTGCTTCTGGTAAATAAACCTGGAATCTACAGATTCATGGGACATACTTCCTGATTAACATAATGTGAATTATGTAACTATATGAGTATGAAATTGTGATGTTCTATAATCTAAATGGCTTTTTCTTTGTAAGTGAGGTGACCATGTACTTTATTAGAAGTCTCATCTATTACTTGAAAGACATAACGGTGAGATGAAAAAATGACCTAGGGAGTCATACTGGTTGTCATGGAATTCTTCCTGCTTCACCTGTATTATGCATTTATATGTACCCTTGAAATTATTAATAAGCTCAGTACTGGATCAAATTTCTAATTCTTGGGAATCTCATTGACAGTGTGATCCTGGGTGTTGTTACAAATGGCAATACTTCAGGCAAGAGACAATGGTGTCTCATGTCAGGATAATTCTAACAAAGATGGTGGAAATGTTCAAATTATGAATATTTGGGGCAGTATTCTACCCATGGCATGGGTGTAGCATGTAAAATAAAAAGAAAATTCAAGAACAACTTAAAAAATTTTGGTCTGAATGGTTGTGAATGTCAACTGAAGTGGGTAAGACTACAAATAGATGGGTGTGTGTGAGTTCATGGATTGAAGGTGCAGTTTTGTGCATGCCAAGTTTGAGATGCATTTTAGACATCCAAGTGGTAAATATTGATACATGATTCTTTGTGTTATGTCCATGCAATATACAGGAATGGAGGGAGTCTGGGCTGGAAATATGTATTTGGAAGTTGTCATCATATTGAGGATATCGAAAGTCCTGACATTGGACGAGAAGTCCAACCAAATGTATATAAACAGGATAAACGAGGGCCGAAGACTGAACCTTGAGATGCAACATTAAAACGTCAGTGGGGGCCGGGCGCGGTGGCTCACGCCTGTAATCCCAGCACTTCGAGAGGCCGAGGTGGGCGGATCACGAGGTCAGGAGATGGAGATGGTGAAACCCCGTCTCTACTAAAAATACAAAAAATTAGCCGGGAGCGGTGGGGGGCGCCTGTAGTCCCAGCTACTCAGGAGGCTGAGGCAGGAGAATGGCATGAACCCGGGAGGCGGAGCTTGCAGTGAGCAGAGATCGCGCCACTGCAGTCCTGCCTGGGCGAAAGAGCGAGACTCTGTCTCAAAAAAAAAAAAAGTCAGAGGGAAGAGGAAGAACCAACAAAAGAGACTGCGGAGGAATAGCCTGCATTATAGGGTGTATTGAGAGCTAGGTAAGGGAAAATAAAATATTCCATGATGTCAGAGCCCCAGCTAAATTATGGGTCCAGTACTAGAGCAGCTGACAAACCTGCACTAAGGGCAAATGATGAGGAGTTGGATGTGGGTGTATACAAACTTTATTTGTAAGTTTATTACAAATAAACTTAATATATGCATGATGTTATTTTTAAAAATAAACACATCATACCTGCGACCAGGGAAAACTTACACTGGCAAGCCACCTGTGATTCTTGTCTGACCTGTGTCTGGTTTATGCCTGCCTGGTCAACACTTTGGCATTGGGAGCTTGACCTTTTATTCTCCCCAGTGTTCCAGGGAAAACCCAACCTGAGGCAGCTCCTGATTCTTCAGATGGAAAGTGCAAATTTAATGTAACACCAAAATAAGGAACAAGTTCAAGGACTTTTCCTTGCAGACTCCAGGATCCAAGTAAGGGTGTGTGGGAGGGTATAATGAGTCTGGAGGGCAGTTCTTTATCCTGGAGTCATGGCAGGCAGAAATGAAGAGTCAGACAAAGAGAGAGAAACGGGTGGCAACTAGCACACTGTATAAAGATTAGGGTGTGGGCCTTCAAAGTTCAGAGCAAATGACTGAATGGTCCCTTTAAAGAAAGGGGCAAGAAAGCAGTGTTCAGTCTGCTAGGCAGAAGAGATGCCTCTAAATTTTTATATATGACCACCAGTTTCAGCCCTTTGGGTATGCTGTAGGATGAAAAACTGTGTAAAGGGTGACTGAGCCCTGCTTCTAGTATGAGAAAGCAATACTAGTATTCAAAATGGATGCTGAAGCAACATAAACTGATAAGAAGTCATTATACAGACATGGCTGGGAACTGAATGTTGTAGTGACTTCGACAAGACCAGTTTAATGAAAGATTAATCCCCCATTCTATAATAAACATATGAGTCTTTACAAATAAATGTAATAAAGTTATTATGCATGTTATTTTTTAAATATATATTTCTCTAGTATCTCAGATTTCAGAAAGCTCAAATATAAAGTGAATTCCCAACTGCAGTTAACCACACTTGAGGTGTTTGGATTTTTTTCTTTTCCCCCCTCCCTCTCTCTCTTCTTCCTTCCCCATCTTTTTTCCTTCTTTCCTTCCTTCCTTTTGAGAGGTTCTCGTTCTGTCATCCAGGCTGGAATTCAATGGCACAATTATAGCTCACTGCAATCTTGAACTCCTGAGCTCATCCAGTCTTCCCACCTCCGCCTCTTACATGCACGTGCAACCATGTCTGGCAATTTATTATTATTATTATTATTATTATTATTATGATACAGACAGGGTCTTGCTATGTTGTCCAAGCAGGTCTCGAACTCCTGAGCTTGAGTGATCCTCCCATTACAGCCTCCAAAGTGCTGGGATTACAGGTGTGAGCTAACATGCCCAGCCAGATATTTTTCTTTAGGTTGTTTCTGATTATTCTTGCAATATGATATTCTCTTTTAAGTGTTTTAGTATTTTAAATTTCCAGAGTTAGCTCATTTTTTCATAAGGATTCTTAAATCATCTAAAATTTTTATCTTTAATTTTCAGAACACAGGACCGAAGAGGAGAGGTGAAACAAAAAGGTTTAGGGGAACTCCATAACATAGTGTTGACAAAGAGCTCACTGGGGTTAGCAATCATAGTTAAGATATAAGAAATGAGAAGAGAGAGGATGAGAATAGTGAAGCTTCTATGACAGCTGAATTCTATACACTTTTATATCTTCCCCTTAAATTATGGAATGAAAGCTTCAGGATTTGGGCAAGGTCACAGAGCGTGTGCATTCCAAGGGTCATGAGTGTTAAATGAGGGCCAGGCAGAGACTCCGTGCAGAGCCATGCATGACTTTCCCAAACACAGTTGTCGAGGACCCTCTAGCATGAATCATCTTCTGCTTCTGATATTGAATATTGCCATGATCTAAATGTTTGCTTTTCCCCCAAACTTGTATGTTGAAAACTAACCCCTGTGGTGATGGTATTTGGAGGTAGGGTCTTTTAGGAGCTGATTAGTCATGAGGGTGGAGCATTCATAAATAGGATTAGTGCCCTTATAATATAGGCCCAAGGGAGTTGAGCTCCTTGGTCCCTTTCACCATGTGAGAACACAGGACACAGCCAAAAGGTGTGACCTACGAAGCAGGAAAGGGGCCCTCACCGGACACTAAATCAGCCAGCACCCTGATCTTAAACTACCCAGCCTCTAGAACTGTTAAATATAAATTTATGTTGTTTATAAGCTATCCAGTATATGCTATTTTAGTTATAGCAGCCTGAATGCACTAAGATTAATATTACAATTCATTTTGGTTTGTTTCTGTGAGGTAAGGCCAATTCCCATGGACTTCTTTATCTCAGAGAATGATTTACTTGGTTCACCTCCTTTTGCTAAACAACGTTCATGTGACTACTCAATGTTCAAAAGTCTAGGAGAACCAAGGGCAGTAAATAAGAAAATACACTGAGATGTTCTGAAAATATCCAGCCACGAAGATACCACAGTGTCCCTTGGGAAACACATCTAACATATCCAAAGCAGCATGTTAATAATTTATTTTGTTTTGCTTTATCTTGTTTTTCTCTAAAAAGAAAAAAAAAAGAGAAAAGCCTTCTGTGGACATTTTTCTGCCAGACTGAATCTATTTTCAATCTCAACTGTATGGGTCCGATGATGGATACCCTATTGAACTGAAGAGTCTTTGAGGAGTTTTGCAACTTTCTGGAACACATACCTGTTTGAGCCAGAACAGAAGAGCAACGTATATTGCAATAGATAGGTGAAGTTTTTCTAACTTTCATTGGCCTGGTACATATTTTATTTTTACTCCGTCTATTACCGTTTGTTGTCTCTAACATTACCTTAAAGAATCATACACACGCAGGCACACACATGTACATGCACGCGCGCACACACACAGACCCTTTTTGCTACTGTCTTGACTATGTCCTTGTATATAGAGCTGCCTTTTTCAGTAAGGAGTAATAATTTTGATCTTGTTAATATCTTGTTAATGAACTATTAAACTATCTAAATTATGTCATGGTAAACCTGATTCCAGTATATTTAAACTCATCCAGTTGATAACGCTGTAACAAAGTTTATGAATTTAAGCTAAATAGATAAGCCATTTGTCTACAAGGTAAACACCGAAGTGAGTTTTTGCTGTGGTAGTTGTTGAGTATTTAAATATGTGCAATGCAGACAAAATGCGTCAAGATGAAAAATTTTATTTGGTGGGTAAAAAATGAGTGATAGTGTTTACCAGCAGCGATTAAGTCAGAGAGCTGCCAGAGAGGAAATTCATCTGAACCATGTAAGCTATAATTATAGATCAGAAAAGACGCAATATAATATGGTTTTATTAATATACCTGGCAGAAAAACATGCTACCACACTACAAAACATTAAAGAAAATTTTACCCATGCACCATTTTCTAATGAAAATGTGTAGGCATATCCTCATGATCTTAAGAAATTTGGAGAAAACTATTCATTTTCAACATTAAGGCAGTTGGATAAGAAGTCACCATATTAAACCAGAGTTGAAAATCAGTATTTTCTTTCTATTTCCTTCTTTGTGTACCATTGTCAACAGATCCTCTCTTGTCCTGTCTCTCTTTTGTCCTTGCTGTTGAGTGGTGTGCATTGATAGTTTCTTTCTCTTCTGCTGATTTTTTACTAGGTCTTTGTTTTGCACATTGACAGTCCTCATCTGTTTTCTCCCTCAAAATTCACCACTGCTGTAAAGTCTGCTCTGCTAAAACTATGGACCTTTTCAGGAACCTGTATATTCAAAAACATAGAGGAACCGATGCCAACAATTTAACTGTGCTCAAATTTTTAAATAATGAAGTTTTATTTTATATGCTAATTTTAAAATAATGCAAAGCTATTATGAAGAGTCACAGAATTTCAAAGCTGAAGGGACACCATTATAATTCTTGTTTTTATTATTTGTATGTAGCACTAGTACATTAGATAATATAAATGATGACCTGAGCTAATTTGTCAACATATTGTAAATCAAGCAGGTGTTCAAGTGGATCAGAACACCTGTGAGTGCTTTTGCTGATGCATAGACTTTTATTTAAACATGTATTGTCATCATGCAAAGAAAAAGTGTATTCTGTCATAATGATATAAAAGTAAGGTGTACACGGCTAATATTGGGAAGCAAGCCACCAAATACAGTGCAGCAGAGATAGGTTTAGAAATTCATTCTAAATCAAGCTGAATTACCACCGTGATATTTCTAAAGAACACCCCCATTCAGCTTTTTATTTGCTCCTGCGGGAAATTAATCTTTCATTTTGTGAGTACAAGGTCTTCATGAATGGATCCTTCGATAAAATGGAGCTGTGTTGTACCAACCTCCCAGTGGTTTTCTGGGGACTAATAGAAAATGCTTCTGCATCACTTAACAAGACAACTGACTTGTGATAAGTGCTCAGTAAATATTATCTATTTTATCATATGCAAAAATAATGAGGGGAGTGTGCATGTAAAAACACAGATACAGCCATTTTTCCTTTCCAAATGGTGTTTATCACCAATACTATTTCAGAATACTTTGCAAGATATGGTGGGCTACTGAGGCCAGGGTGATTAGTATTCAAGTTAAGTAGTACTAAGTAGCCTTTTCTAGGTTAATGTTGGTGCGTTAATAACATAACCATTTGTCTAAGGAGATTCATCCCAAATTGCAAAGAGAAAAAATATGAAATGGATATATAAAACACTTTAAAGTTGTACTCTCCCTCTATTTTATATATGAGGACCTCACGACTAGGTATGAGTACACATAGTGAATTGTAATAATACGTTCATTTACACCTAGACAATTATTTTCATGAATACAGGATGAAAATTATTACATTTGAATCTCATTATAATCTTTATCCCGGAAAAAAAAACATTGGAATAAAGTGGATTTAGACTTCGTGCCAAATATTTATTTAGATGAATTTGCAAATAGACCCATGCTTAAAAGTATGTGAGATTTAAATAAGCATATTAAAGACTTAATTATAATTAAATGCTATTGCATTCTATTTTTGATTCAAAAAGTTTTCAGCATTGCCTCCTTGGTTTTTATTTGTTTTTAACTGAGCTTACAGAACTAACTAGGAAAATATATGCCAGGCATTATTAGCATATCATAATATAAACATTTATTTGACATTCAGATCTTGTGTATTTTGAAGGGCAAAATAAAATAGAAGGGGAATTTTTTTTTCAGATTTTATGAGAGGTAAGCTAAATGTCTATCTTCTTGTATATTTTTGTTAGCAAAGAATCTGGATATCCATCTTGAGGTCATATTTGCAAATGACTTTGATGGAACACTTAAATTTCATTTGGTGAATGACAGCTCAGAAGCTTCAAATGTGCCTGGGTGTATGTTACTTTCATTTCCTGGTGTGTGCATAGGTCTGAAGAGCTATGAGAAAATATTATCATTATATGATACTCTTGCAATCCAAGAACACCTACAAAATTACTCTTCTCAGCTGAGACGTAATGAGATTCTCTTTATGACCAGGTTCAATCTTCTTTCCTCATGGAACAGGTAGAAGGAAAGAGAGAAATTGCTCAAGATGCAAATTATGTGTACTCCTGTGACCCAGGTGAACCAGACCTTACAAACTGCCTGTCAGGGAGATGTAAATTTCTTGTAAGCAGCTAGATCACTAGACTCAAAGGAAGTTATTGATTTTCCTATAGTGTCTCCAATGCAGAAATGAAAGACTTACAAGTTTGTGATGTAGATGCTTTCTAGTCTTTCTTTTGTTAAACATGTCACTTTTCACCTGTTAATACTAGAGTTCAGATAGCATAGAGACTTGTTGGAAAATACATGCTTTTCTTCCCCCTCTGGTTATAAAGAAAACAAAAAGAGCAGAGAGAAACATTCAATAGGGTCACAGTGGGTAAAATTCCAACATCCTCGCATCACTGTCTACTTTAATCAATATGCATTAACACAGGCTACATTATGCATATGTAAAAAATGCTTGCCATCTCAGTGAAAAATGGCACAGCAATTAAAATGTCAAAAGGCTAAGGAGACAATGTGAGATTAAGTGCAGTTATAATTTTATTTTAAAACATCTCAGTTCTCTGGTGCTCATTGGAGTGTTCTTTTTAAAATGATTTCAAATTTGGGAACATTAGCAAAACCCAGCCAGCTACTTAGTATCTTATGTAAAAACTGTATTTTTCAGTCACCTTCCTTCTTTAGCTAAATTAAATGACACATGTAGTCTTTTATTTTTTTCTCAATGATTTAAAGACAGCAAATATGCCATTATTTTTCTTTCTTAAGTATATGTATATACAATTTTATAAAGTATTAAAATGAGGACTCCTTAACATGTATCTTAGCATTTTTTCATCAAGTTGAGTAAGACTTTATAGGCAAACATTGTTCAATAATAAAAATTATGCTCATTAGATTTTATTTGAGAAATCTCTATTAATTCTCCTTTTCATATTTTTTCTCATTAAGATGCAATTTAAGTGTACCTCTCTTTCATTAGTAGGGCCATTTAAGCTAGGTGGTATACCTTTAATCTCTGAGAAAGCTTAGGTGATATGCTTGTCTACAGACAGAAGAAGGTTAGAAACTGACTTCTGATGAGACATGTAAAATAGAGTGTGCTCATGCACAATTCCTAGGCCATGCCACACAGTTCCCACTTTCATCATTCTTAGTGAACGCATAAGTGAAACAGGAATAGAATATTTAATGTTATCTTTTTTATATATATCAGTAAGCAAAGAAGCAAACCTGCACGGCTCCACCTCAGGGAACCCCAAGGGGTACATATGTGCAGGGACTTAACCTCCCATATCAGACTCTAAGGAAGCAGAGTAATAAGACCCTGACATGCTACTGGCTGACATATAGGTTTTATTAGATTAAAAGCTCTGAAATGGCCATAAGGCAGAATGAGTCGTTGCATATTTTCTGCTTCTAGAAGGCATAGAATTCTAGTCCATAAACCAAGTGCATGCAGCTCATGTCTGTAAATCTTTTTTACATCAGTGTTGCCTGTGTTTCTTCCTATTGTTTAGGAATATATTTCCTTAAACATATGACTTATGCTAATACAGTATTTCTGATTCAATATCAACTATTTCTGTTCTGTATAAAAATAACTTTATTTATAAAATATTTTTAAGTACTTTAAAACATATATGGTCAATGATCTATTCCAATAACCCAAAGTCTGCACATAATAAATCATTCCAGAAAAAATTACTATATTTCTCTAACATATAGACTAGGCTTAATTGTTCTTCTTTATCTAATATTGTAATTAGGTGGTAGCATGATTAAAAGATCTTTATATCTGCTTAAAACCCTAAATTTCTAACTATGTTTCCTAACATTTTAAATACAATTACAATTTTTATTTTTTTAGATGTTGAGATATTGACGGTTCTTAGCTCTCCAATTATATGCCAGCTCTCCTTGAACATGGAATAATCAATAGTCTAAGTTGGCCCCAAAGATTACCCCTCCAGCAATAGTTTCGCTTCTACATAATTCCAGGGCATGTCACTATAATAGATTTTACTCTCATTATTTGGTCATGTTACATAGCACACTTGACCTTAAAATAGAGCACAATTTAATCACATGAGCCTTTCTATAAGCAGAGAGTTTGTCTAGTTGAAAGCAGAAGGGAAATCAGATAAATCTGAGGTGTGATATGGATTCAATATGAGGGCAGTTCTTTATTACAGAAACGGAAGGGGCCTGTGGCATAACCTGATAGCAGCCTGGAGGAGGTGAGGTCACTCCCAGCTGACAGATAGTGAGGCAAGAGGGACCTCAATCTTACAACCACAAGGAAACAAATGCTGCCAACACTCTGAGGGGCCTTTGAGCCGATCTTTTTGTAGTCAGGCCTCCAGATGACGATGCAGTTGGCCAGCACCCTGACAGCCTTATGAGACCCTGAGAAGAGGACTTGGCCAAAATGTGGCAGGCTCCCGACCAACAGAAATTGTGCAATAATAAATCTGTGTTAAGTGGCTAAATTTGTGGCAATGCAATAGACAGAAAAATACAGTGCTATGTGGATTAAGGAAGTTCAGTGGAAGGTATTGTATTTTGAAATTTCTAAGCAATTTTTATTTTATTTTTGATATTATTATTATTATTTTTGAGATGGAGTCTTGCTCTGTCGCCCAGGCTGGAGCGCAGTGGCATGATCTCGGCACACTGCAACCTCTGCCTCCCGGGTTCAAGCGATTCTCCTGCCTCAGCCTCCTGAGTAGCTGGGATTGCAGGCAGGCACCACCACACCCATCTAATTTTACACATATACATATATAGTGTATATATACACATATATATGTACACATATATATATACACATATGTATATATGTATATGTGTATATATACACTATATATGTATATGTATGTGTGTGTGTGTGTGTAAACTGGGGTTGGGGAAATGGAGAGATGTTGGTCAAGGGATAGAAATTTTCAATTATGCAGAAAAAGTAATTTCTGGGGACCTAACGTAGAGCATGGTGACTATAGTTAGTAATACTATATTGTATAATTGAAATCAGCTTAGAGAGTAGGTCTTAAATGTTCTCACTACACAAAGAGATAATTACGAGAGGTGATGTATATGTTAACTAGCTTGATTGTGGTAATCATTTCATAATATATACATATATCAAAACATCACAGTGTACAGCATACATAAATATATTCAATTTTTTTGTCATTACACCTCATTAAAGCTGAACAGAAAAGCATCACTGATAAATTTCTAAAATAATAATGATAATTGGCCAGACGAGATGGCTCACGCCTGTAATACATATATACATATATACATATATATCTGTGCATGTATGTGTGTATATATACACATATACACAGATATATACATATATATGTTTGTGTGTGGGTGTGTGTGTGTGTATATATATATATATACACACACACACATATATGTATATATATATAATCTTTTCTTTATCCAGTCATCTGTTGGCAGACATTTAGGTTGATTTCATATCTTGGCCCCTGTGAATAATGTTGCAATGAACATGTTTTACTTAAAAATACTCATGAATGTATATATTGAACTTTCACTATGTACCAGGCATTAGGTTCCTATTTACATCAAGTTTCTCATTTGGTCTTTAAAAATACAGTGAGAGATAATACTACTGTAACTCCCACTTTACAGATAAAGAAACTGAGGCTTACAGAGCTTAAGGAATTTCCTCTGGGTGAAAATGGTTACTAAGTTTCAAATCCAAAATACAAAACCAAGCAGTTGGATTGCAGAGCTTATATGTTTACCTCTCCCTTCAGGGTTTCATAGAGCCTCAGAGCATGGGTGACCCAGTTCCAAACTCTAATAGAAAAACAAGCAATGTGGTTAAGACCCTAGATAATACATGGGAAATCAGTGAGTGGAGTAGGAACATCACACGGGATGGGAGGGGGGTCTTAAAAATGCATCAAAATCAGCACACCTTCTAAACCAGCATTTGCAATTTATAAAGAATTTTAGGTAATTCATCTGCACATTGAAGTTTAATTTGGGAATATAGATTGGTGCAGCCACTGTGGAAAACAGTATGGAGGTTTCTGAAAAAAAAGAAAAGAAAAGAAAAGAAAAAAACGAAAAGAAAAGAACTATCGTATGACCCAGCACTTTCTCTTCTGGGTATATATATCCAGAGAAAAATAAATCACCACCCTGTAAAAATATCGGTGCTCCAATGTTCACTGGAGCATCGTCCTCAATAGCTCAAGTACAGAAACAATTGAAGCATCCATCAAGAAGTGGATGGGTAAATAAATTGTGGCATATGTACACAACAGAAAACTATTAAACCTTAAAAAAGGACATGAACCTAGGGGGTTGCACATGGATGAACCTAGAGGACGTTATGTTAAGTGAAATAAGCTAGGAACAGAGAGACAAATGCCACAAGATCTCACTCTTGAAAGCTGATATCCTAGAAGTAGAGAGAGGAGAACAGTGGTTTCCAAGGGTAGGGATATTTGAGGAGTGAGTAGGGTGAGGAGACGTTGGTCCAAGGATACAAAATTTCAATTATATAGGAGGAATACTTGAAGAGATCCGTTTTACAACATGGTGACTATAGTTAGTAATATATTGTATTCTTGGAAAATGTTGAGAGTGGATATTAACTGTTCTCACCACAAAAGTAAATATGTGAGACAATACCTATGTTAATTAGCTGGATTTAGTCATTCCAGAATGTATACATGTTTCAAAATTTCATGTTGTACGTGGTAAATACATAAAATTTTATCTGCCAATTTTTAACAATTGAACACATGTAATCATTATCCTAAGAATTCCAGAAAGGTGAATATGAATTTCTTGTTTGATGATACGGCCTCAGGCAAATCATTTCATCTGTCTTCCTGACAGTTTCACACTTCTATAAAACAGAGATAAATTATCAATTTTTAAAAAGAATTTAATTATGCCTAATGTTCAGCATATTGTCTGCCACAACATAATTAATAAACAATAAGTCGTTTTAGTTTTGTTTTTTGTTGTCGTTGTCATTGTTGTTTTTTAATGATGGAGGTAAACCAAGGAGGGCGGGGGTTTTAAAACCGCTTAGTTTTTCCTTCTCTCTGGAGCCCAGCAGTGGCTTCATGAGACCAAGTGTCTACTTTGCGGATCCAGTCTCCTGGTAGTACGGATGGGCTATAGAGGAATTCCAGAACGAGGTGGGAAAGGCTTAGCAGGCCCACAGCTCCGTGAGCTGTTATCATGAAATAGCAGCTTGGAGCTGGAGTTAGCTATGGGCTTACCTTTCCCCCTGAGAACCGAACTGCACTGATAACGTGAAATCGTGCCATTTCTCAACATGTGAAGGGCGTCTCTTTACATTCTCAAAGCCTTGAGTCATAACTATCTGTTTTCAAAAGTTGACATTATCAGATCAGTTACTGTGAAAACCAGAAACGTTTTATTTTAGTCTTTTTATGTGAGTAAAAGATACAATAAAATCTTGGTAATTAAATATATTTACTTAACTGTTTTCACTTATACTCCTTTAAAAAGCGATTTTTTTAAAAGCCTGAATCATTGCTTCTCTGTATATTTAATCTTCAGTCTTGGAATTGCTTCTGAGGGGAAAATTACTTTTAAAATAATTTTCTTTGCAGTTAGGAAAATGAGGACCTATAGTCCTAACATGCTCTTAATTTGGGAATTACTTGTTTCACTGCTCAGAGAACAAAATTATTGGCAGTGGAAAAATTGCACACAAAACAAAGAGTTAACCCCTTTGGTGATTTAATCTCTTGAGGAAGGATTTCAGCCGGGTACAAAAACTGATAAGATATTTATCAACAAGTCACAGAATGGCTTATCAACTTGATCCTTTGATTGTTTATAAATACCATCATAAGCCTATTAAGTTCTAAGCTGGTATTTCCCAAAGTGAGTTCCTTTACTTAATAATGCCTCCTTCTTACAGCTTATTACACTTTTTTAATAGTTAGTCCCAGGAATTTCCATTTATTCTAATTTCATCTGTTTAAAGGCAGTAAAGTGTTCACGAACAAAGTTTCAGTATCAGGCTGCATGTATTTGAATCCGGAATCTACCACTCAAAGGCTGTGTGACCTTGGACAAGCCATTTAACCTCCCTGTGCCTTGGTTTCCACATGAGTAAAATGGGTGTGGTAGACTCATGGCAGGTAGAATTAAATGGATTAATTAATGTAAGGCACTGATGTACAAAAAGTGCGTAAAACACCTTAAGGATTTATGTAAGCTGCTAAATCTCACTTCTTAACTAAACAGTTCTTTTCATCCCCTCAGCTAAGGCCAAGACTACTCCGTGAGGTTGTGCAATGTGTGTGCTGCACAATAGTGCCTTGTGGAGGGAGCCGGAGAGTCTAAAATTCCTTCTCTGCCACCATCACCAAGCCATGTGCTCTTAAGCTTGACCTGTTAACAGCTGGTCTGTTTTTCTGATTTGTCCACCTAGAGGGGATATCTTTTTTTCTAACCAAGGTACTAGTAAAGGTATACCATATTAGAATATCTAAGCACAGGTCTGTCTGGCCCAGTGCTTATGACTGATAAGATTTGGGGCATTACCTATTAACAAAAACATCTGATTCCATTTCTTTTGGCCACCCCAGATCTAGGAGCAATCTCAGTTTTTCTGTTCTTAAGTATTTGTAAAGCTACAGTTTTATCTGATAGCCAAATGTTCAGCTTAGCTATACATAAATTCTTATGTTTCATATATATATATATATGTGTGTGTGTGTGTGTTCTATATATATACATATATATGTTCTATATATACATAAATGTTCTCTCTATATATATACACATATATAATTACATTTGCTGTTCATTGCTAGTTATTGAGTACCGAACGAATAGTAGGCTGCAAAACCATAAGGATATTATATTATGCACTTGACTCTGAGGGCTTTGCATTCTTTTCAGAAGCCAGGTACAGTACGTTTAAAATAGTGAAACAAATTAGACATTAAATATGTAGCAAATATTAACTCACTTTGTGAATAATTAATGATAATTGTCATATTAAAAAGTGTTAGCAGACAAGGAAGACAAACATTTCACAAAAGAATGGAAAGGGAAAAACCAAAACTTTTCTACAGAATATTCATACCTGAGTGGATGTCGATGTAAATGTAATATAGAATTAAAGCTATTTCCAAGGTTTTAAATCAAGGATCATTGAAACCATGTACTAATGTGTACGTACTTGAATGAAACATTTATTGAATCAATTAATTTATGAGTGAAATATTTTATTTTATTATTTATTATTATTTTTTGAAACTTGCTCTGTCACCCAGGCTGGAGTGCAGTCATATGATCTTGGCTCATTGCAACCTCTGCCTTCCAGGTTCAAGTAATTCTCTGCCTCAGCCTCCCGAGAATCTGGGATTACAGGCACCTGCCACCATGCCTGGCTAATTTTTGTATTTTTAGTGGAGACAGGGTTTCACCATCTTGGCCAGGCTGGTCTTGAACTCCTGACCTTGTGATCCACCCGGACGTGGTGGCTCACGCCTGTAATCCCAACACTTTGGGAGGCCAAGGCAAGTGAAATATTTTAAACATGAGTCAAAGTTTTTCTGTTTACTTATTACTGACTTGAAGTCTGTTGAGGTTGGAGATTAGATCATTCATGTAGGATGTATAGAGACTCTACTGAAACTCAGGTGAGATCTTTCTAGAGGTTCAGAAGCAGAAGAAACAGAATAGAACTAATCAGGGAAAGCATTGCTTATTCTGCATTGACTGAGTACTTATACAATTTGGGAGATTTTCTTAAGATTCTTGCTAAGGATGGCTTGAGATTGGGTCTAGAAAAACATATAGGACAACTCAAGCAAAATAAATTGAAGAATTACGGTAAAGACCATGGCAGGCCTTTAAAAGAGAGTCACCCAGTAAAGCAGTAGGATGTAGTTTAGTGCTGTATACTGTAAAATTGAGCATGCAATTTGGAATTACACATTTTAGTGGGTAGACTTGTGTCCCTCAAGAATATATGTTCACATTCTAATCCTTGGTACTTATGAATGTGACCCTTTTTAGAAATAGGGTCTTTTGAGATGTAATCAAGTTAAAATGAAGTCCTACTTAGTTAAGGTGGGAGCTAAATTCAATGATTAGTATCTTTTGTTTATTTATTTTTTGAGACGGAGTCTTGCTTGTCACCCAGGCTGGAGTGCAGTGACAAGATCTTGGCTCACTGCAACCTCTGCCTCCTGGGTTCAAGCCATTCTCCTGCCTCAGCCTCCCCAGTAGCTGGGATTGTAGGTGTGCACCACCACGCTCAGCTAATTTTTGTATTTTTAGTGAGACGGGGTTTCACCATGTTGGCCAGTTTGGTCTTAAACTCCTGACCTCATGTTCCGCATGCCTCGGCCTCCCAAAGTGCTGGGATTACAGGCGTGAGCCACCATGCCCAGCCAGTGGTTAGTATCTTTAAAAGAGAAAGGAGAGGAATATTTGAATACAAAGATGCAGGGGAGTTATACAAGAAAGAAGGCCATTCAATGACAGAGTTGGAGATTGGATTGATACAACTAATCAAGAAATCAAGGAATGCCAAGGAGTGACAAGAACCACCAGAAGCTAGGAAAGAGGAATAAGACAGGTTTTTCCTGAGAGGCTCCAGAAGGAACCAACTCTGCTGCTTTCTGACTTCTGGCCCAAACTGTGAGAAAACAGATTTCTGGCCTTCTGAACTGTAAAAAAAATCAATTTCTGTTATTTTAAGATGCCAAGTTTGTGCAAATTTGCTATGGCAGCCTTAGAAAATTAATATAGATCTCTTCAAATGCATTCCCACCTCTGCTATGTGATACTAGTTACTTCTCAAAATCTTCATTGGCCATTTAATTAAAATAAACTAAAATCCATAACTTTAGTGAAGGAATGTGGACAGTAGCAACATATAATGCACAACTCAGAAAACTGTGAAGATTACATGAGACAATGTAGACAAAGTACTTAGAGTGATTTTGGAAATGCAACAAATACTTAATAAATAGTAGCTTTTAGTTTTAGAGGGAGCAGTTGGGACATATGGATGAGACTCAGAAGTGTATGAAATTGGCATAGAAAGAACAAACAAGCATCAAAATCCCCATCACAGGAAAAAAGTCTTTAAGTACTTAATAGATTTGTAGGTGGTCGTGAAGAAAAGGGGCACTGTACAGGAACACAGTCCTAAAGTAGCTGGTATACTGCTTAGGAAATCAAAGAGCAGAAAAATAACATGGTTTGTGTACTTTAGGATGGAAACCACTGGTGTGAGATAGCAAGGATGGAAAAGCAAAAATCAGCCAACTCTGAGATTGTGCACAGATTTACTGACCACTACCAGATGAATACAATATCTGATAATGATACAGCTTGGCTGTGTCCCCACCCAAATCTTATCTCGAATTGTAGCTCCCATAATTCCACATCTTGTGGGAGGGAACTGGTGGGAGATAATTGAATTATGGGGGACAGTTTTCCCCATACTGTTCTTGTGGTAGTGAATAAGTCTCAGGAGATCTGATGATTTTATAAGAGATTTCCCCTTTCTCTTGACTCTCATTGCCTTTGCCTGCCACCATGTAAGATGTGCCTTTTGCCTTCTGCCATGATTGTGAGGCCTCCCCAACCACATGGAACTATGAGTCCATTAAACCTCTTTTTTTTTTTTTTTTTTTAAGATAAATTACCCAGTCTCAGGTATGACTTAATCAGCAGCATGAAAATGGACTAATACAGATACTTTTCAAAAAGATTAGGGATTAATTAATTACCAATACCTACTCTTGGAGATATGATTTTCTTTTTTCTTGATAGGGCAAATCCAGTGGATTCCAATTGTTCTTTATAGAGAAAATGTGACTTCTGTCAACTCCACTTAATTAAGAGTTTACCTTGGATTTTAATGTTGGGAGCGGGCAGAGAAAAAAAGAACAAACATCCTCCAAAGGGAACAAGAATGCATTATAAACTGACTGAAAAGTCAGAGACAAATGCCCAATGTGATCCTCGAGATAAAAACGAAAATGGCCATTGGTGATCAAATGGCATTAGTTCACTAAGAAAATGGTCCTGGAAATTAATTTTGCTAAAATGTCTTTGATGAAAGCAAAGTAAGTACAGAATGAGAAAAACAAAGAGTTGGAGAATAAGATATTAATTGTCACAGTAGATACATTTCTGGAAATCTGACTGGATGAACAAAGTTAAATTTCCATAAGAACATACTTCAGGAAGTAATATCACAAAGATGTGTCTGTATATACATTTATAATATATGTCCATTTGCAATAAACAATATGTCTGAAGCTTCCTGAAGGTAATGGCTAAGCTGATCCTATTTCATGTGGTCTTATCTTGTTTAGCAGGTGGAAATAGACAATACATAGTCATTCAGCAGGCTGTTGTTTTCATATGATACAAAGTAAAGTTGATATAACTGTTTAGATGGAACAATCACAGCATGGCTTACTTTAAGAGAAAACCCAAGCTTCCCGAGTTTAGTATATGATTTATTTTTTCTTCATCTATATTAAGCAATAGTAAAACTAAGCCTTGATAGGGGGACACTTCCAATGTTTTACATTTTAGTTGAATTAAAAGATATCTCCTTTTCCAAAAATAAGACCTATAAATGATTTGTTTTCTAGGTAACTAGTGTACAATGCCCCTTCCCTCTGTTTGGTAGCTAAAGGTCTACAGTTATGAGAAAATGGAATAACATAATGGGGTAGAGGCCATAAAATATTTTAAACACATTACCAAGTTATTTTTTCTATCTTCTATTTTTAATGTATACAAAACATTTATTCATTTTGTGTTAACAACTTTGTTATTTATTCAGTCTGTTGTTAAATGGTATGAATATTTGAAAATTTAATCCTGATTGATACAAGGAGGAACATAAAAATATCTATAACAAAAATGTTTTCATGACCCCATTGTTAAAAGATTAACCTTTTTTAAGGCCATGTTATGGGGACTTTTACTTGAGTGCTTACTATAAAGTGTTTTAGATGTATTTCATTTATATTATTGCAAGGATTAAAATTAAATATGCTGTAAGTGGGAAAATTTGTATTATGATGGCCACTAAGAGTATTTAAAAGCATTATAAGTTGTCACACACCTCATTAACTAATATTGATTAGAATTTCGGAGTTAAAAATGTTGCTCATTTTACAGGTCATTACAATTAAGTGCTTACAGCCACCAAAATCATATTTTGGTAAAGTGTGTATTGCATAACCCAGGCACATTTTCATGCTAGAAAAATGTTTAAATGATATGCATTGCTTTGTATGCTGGAAAGATAGGCGATCATTATGGATCTATTGCAAGGCACTGAATTGGAATATATTCAGATTGAATTTCTGAGCTGTGTTGTGCATCAGAAATTTCTATATTCTCATCTCAATATTTAGACCTTCTCTTTCTCTACTCATCTGTGAAGATGATAATTCACTCCTTCATCAGTGCTCTATTTTGTACCTTCGATGTCCCTACTGTATGTCTGTCTCGAAACTATTGATTCAACAAAGTACTTTCTGCCACAGTTTATACCATTTTGGAGATGAGATACTTAACTGAATGTTCTCTTGTTCATTTAGCCACTGCTCACCGTTAACCTTGCTTTCTTCCTTTCTATATACCCATATTTCTACCTAAATGGGTTAAAAAATTGATATATTGTGTGTTTATTCTTTGGAAGAGTTAACAATTAAGATTGTAGACAAAAGCATCACAATGGGAAAAACTGCCTTATAGTTTTATTTGTGGAGAGTCAATATGAATTTGTCAAGGACCTATCAGGATCAATGTGGCAACCTAGCTCACCATCACTTTTGTGATATTTCAGTAAATAATTAAGAATCTCTTTCATGAACGAGCTGACAAATGTACTGGAAAGAACAAAGGCCTCATAAAAAGGTATCATGTGATAGAATCCTAGATCCCCCTCATTGCTAGCAGCTATACGGACTTTGATAAATATTGATAGTTTATATATTGTACACGCACACATACACAGATACATATACACAATTAGTTTCACATAATTGCATATATGTGATTTTACCACAAATGGCCGTAGCTATTTTCTCACACAATGCAACTGTCTTGACGTGGAGTTGAAGAAAACTGGATTCAAGTTTCTATGTTCCCAGAATCTCCCACCTTTTCCAAAAAGCAATTTAATTTCTGAAAACCTTAGTGTCTTCTTCTGCAAAATAATGAGAAATGCTTGTGCTTGAGTCCAACTCTAGGATTGTAGTCCCCTTTATATAATATAATCAAGTTCCTCCATCTGGGCATTCAGTTAAATTCTACAACATTGCCAAAATCTGATTTGACTCTACAGAATATGTATAGTTTATTTAACCAGATAGTAATTTAAAATTTTACAACATGCGTATTTCATGTAATATTAATAACAGTAATTTAAATTAATATTCAATACATACCGTTTGAATTTTTATAAGGTAATATTTGTTTTTAATTTTTTATTTTAATTTGTAATAAGCTCAAAATTATTACGTCAAAATGTGGAAAGATTGCCATTTTTGGTTTATAACAGATAGTAAGAAATGCTTATAAAATTCTTACCAGTTAATCTAAGCAGGTAGAGGACCAGTATTAGTTAAACTTGGATATAGGAAAGATGCCTCCACATAATGAATAAAACACACTGCACATTTTTATCCCAATTTTCTTTTTACTTTTAGTGCAAAATCTTAATTAAAATTTTGACTATGAGGCATTGACCAAGAGGCCAAAAATAATCAAAAGAGTTCAAATCTATGTGTCTTTATTGTACTTGAAGACAAAATTGTAACTAACACTGTTATGATTAGTAGTACATTAATTAAAATGGTTTAAGCTGGCAGTAATATAAATCAATGATCCTTTTCAAGTATTAGTTGGATAAAATTAACATTAACTCAATTCTGCTTATTTCCTGGAAGTATTTTAAACTTTAACCAATAGATATGACTTTTAAAATTTACCGTTTTTCAAATCTTAGAAGCTAATTATATTTCTAAACAGTTAGTGGATAAATTAAGAAAAGAACAACTTATATTTCTAGGGAAAATTATTTTCTAAAATTTGCACTTACTTGAGTAGATAAAAGGACTGACTTTCAGAGATCACAATCACAGATTTATGTTTTGGTAGAAGTGGTCTGAGAATACTGGTAAAAATATACAGATGTTAGAGTATAACAGAATGAATAATCAGTACGTCAATAAACATTCTGAGAATCTGCAGTTTACTGGTTGACTGCACTCTCCTTGACAAAGGTCTTTTTTTTTTTTTTAAGTGACAGTATGACTTGTCATTTATTTCAATGAAAATTTAAATGTTTCTTACAAATCCTCTGAAAATAAAACCGATATTTTTACAAACAGAAGTATATGCAAACAGTCACAATATGCATTAGGACACTGACGCTATTTCTTACATGCCAAGTCGTTCTTCCATTCTGGAGAACACCTCTTATCTGAAAGATTTTTTTTCTTCTACTATAAATTTGAATCTAAGTTATTTTTAAAGAGTCAAAAACAGTGCAGAGCATTTTTGAACTGATAAACAAGAATATAGGCTGGACTCAGTGGTGCACGCCTGTAATCCCAGCACTTTGGGAAGCCAAGGCAGGTGGATCACAGGGTCAGGAGTTCCAGACCAACTTGACCAAGATGGTGAAACCTTGCCTCTACTAAAAATACAAAAACCAGCCAGGCATGGTGGTGGGCACCTGTAATCCCAGCTATTCATGAGGCTGAGGCAGGGAATTGCTTGAACCCGGGAGGCAGAGGTTTCAGTGAGCCGAGATCGTGCCATTGCACTCCAGCCTGGGCAACAGAGTGAGACTCCATCTCAAAAAAAAAAAAAAAAAGAATATTATACATTTGTATTATAGTTCCACTCCAAATACGATAGCTAAAAGACAAATCAACCTTCTCTTTACAGAACACAGGCTCCAAACATAAATTTTTGTCTTATATGTTTTAGGTTTATGTATATATAAAACCATTCACCAAAGACATGCTTAATTTTTGAGATTAAGGTGTAAATTATGATGCCTTATTTTGGTCTAGAGTGTATGTAAGGTTAGTATGTTAAGCATTGTTCAAAAATACTAGTAAGTCAAAATTATACAGCATTTTCACAAAGTTCAATGCACAGAAAAAGCCTATGATTTTGGTTACTGATCTATCTTAACGCTACTTTCTTTTAAAACAGACAGTTAACATAATACCCAAGTTACAGTAACATTATGGGCTTCTCCTCCCATTGGCAATTAAATGCTTTTCTTCTGAAAAGATGATATGGACCAACAGGTCCATATCAAAAAAAGAATCAGACTTGCCAGCAACGTTGGTAGACTCTTCCCAGCATACATCTGAGTGCTGAAGGAAGAAGAAAGTTTAAATTGTTTAAAGGACTATAATTATCACACAAAATTTATTAAGAAAAAAGAATAATGGATCTAGTATAACTAATTCTGAGTAAACCAAAATGATAAGAACTAATTAAACACTTCTTAATCCCACATTTTTGGCAGGTGTAATTGAGCCATGGTCGTATTTGATTTTGTTATGATTGCATCCAAATTTGCTTAAACTCAGAGTTATGTTTAATGGTAGGATGTAAGAACTGAATTTTGAAAAACTACTCACTGTCAAAATCTCTCCTTCCTATAGGAAATTTAGCTGAGTTTTCTTCATCCCCAGTTTCTCTCTTTTCTAGTGTTGATTCGGTATCCTGAACCCCATTCTCAGCTGGAAAAGCTACAGATCCTTCTAGTGCAAGATAAGGTTTTATAACCAGATTCAGTGACAGACCATGATTTAAGAAATTATGTTTTTTCTTTGTTTTTTGTGACAGCATAATCCCATTGTTCTACTACCCTAGCAGTTCCTCCCTAGACAATGAGGCCAATACCCCTTCCTCTACTTCATATAGGCTTTCTTTTTTTACTCTATACTGTAATCCTGAATGCTTTCATGCATCTCATGGCTTTCATTATCATTTCTACTTTGATAAGTCCCAAAATGATATCTTCTGTTTATATTCAACTTTAGAATGCCAGACCTGTCATCTCTAGCTGCCTATCTCAGAGGCACCTTAAATTCAACCTGTTCAAAGATCATCTTGTGCCTTAACCCAGATTCACTGCTTCTCCAATGTTCCCTGTTCCAGTTTATAGCAACACCATCCTCAGTTTCTCATTCCAAAAGCCCAGGAGTAATGTGTAAGTAATAGATTCTGGAACCAAACCACCCTATGGCCGTACAACTTTGGGCAAGTTATTTATTAACCCTTTGATTTACTTTCCTCATCGATGATGTTTGAGTAATAATAGCACCTACTTCTTATGGTTATTGTGCAAATTAAATCTACTAATACATGTGAGAAACTTAATGATTAGTACCTAGCAAGTGCATTATGAGTGTTAACTATTGCTTTTCCTCTTATATTTTTTAACTTTTATCTTCTTTGCCTCAGACCCACAATCAGTGAATCGATAAATTCTCCTATTTTTAACTCCAAAATATTTTTCAATTCTATTCTGTTTGTTTTCACCATCTTGGCCAAGTCCACCATCATGTTCTAATTGCAGATCTACTCATATTGCTGCCTTGCTTATGGCTTCACAGTATTCTCATGGAAAAAAACCCAAAAGATTCGGTAATATAAAATCCTTGCTGGCCAGCCTGGCTTTAGAATACTTCTTCTTTCAGAATGTGTTTCCACCACCTCCTCCTCTCTAAGGCTTCTACTCCACACACCTTCCAGTCTCACTAAAGAACTAAGGATGCTCTTCTCTCCTAATGAAGTTGTGTTTACTTCTCAGGTCTCAACTTACATACAAATTTTTCCAGAGAATTTCCTGAAACACTCACCTCTCTCACTAGACTAACTTGCTCCAACTACTCACATAGATAGTATAACACTTATCATTCTAATTAAGTAATAATGTGTGGCTTTTTTATTCACATCTGTCTCAAAGGTAGGGACAGTGAGAGAGAATCATGCCATTCAAATAGAAGTTTTATTCTCAGCATCCAGCACATCAATTCACCATAGTAGAAGCTCAGTGAGTATCTGTCCAATTAATGAATAAATGTTGAGCACTGTAAGCTACGCTTATGGATACCATAGTTTAGTAAGGAAGCAGAGAGTTGGCAAAAATAAATTTGAGAAGTATGATAATGGATACATTAAAAAGTGCCTTGTTGTCCACTGGGAGGAAAGGTTTTAATTTAATCTGAGTTGATAAAGAAGGCCTACATAAGGAAGCTTTGTGATTTCAGGCTGAGGATAACAGTGAACAGGAGTTGGCTCTGTGAAGGACCTGAAATGTGAGGAGGACAGACTGAGAGAAGATCACCTGCAAACTCTCTGAAGCAGATGGTGTAGTCTGTGTAGCACTAGAATGCAGATGTCCACTTCACATGATGGTGTGAGTTTGCACAGGGCCATTTCCTTGGTGACCTGTGTGTCCTAAATCCAAGGGGACTCTCCCAGAACATTCTGTTGTGATAAAGATTCTTGGGATTTTCTGATTCCTGAGATGGGAAGAACTTAGTTCATGTAATGGCAAGTTGGGGGCTCAGGATATGATTCAATTTTAATAAAAACAATAACAGCAATAAATAAATGTGTCAATATTTGCTGTAAGTTTATAGACTAAAATTCTTAGTTTATACATATGCAGCCACAAATACACATACACACATGCACAGAGGCAGTTGTGAAAAAACACATACAAATATACAGGATTGGATGAATGCGAAAGGAAACTTACTTCTCTTTTTACTTTATACACTTTTAAATGTATACATTTCTCTGTTGTTTGAAATTATTGTGTGGCATTCTTTTGGCATTACTTATGTAATCAAAACTCTCAAAAGCTAAGTAAAAATTAAGTAGAAATACATTTCAAATTTAGCCAGTAGCTTGTCTAGTATGTCTGACTTAAGTTGACTTTATGGTATGAAAAATGTGCCTTTTTTTAGCTGAGAAATCATCACACTTAGGTATACCTTGGAGAAAGGTAATATGGGACAATAGCACTCGGCAAATTTATGATGAGCTATTGTTTGTATAATTTTTAATCACTCATATTTAAGACTTGATTTTCTATGCTGATACTAACATGGGATTTCTCTGCTTCAAGCCATCTAAATTAGCTATGCAAAGGGGTGAAAGTTCCCGGGATTTGTTTGGCAACACGTTTCTGAAAGGCCGTTTGGTGCAGCTGCCTTCCATTTGTTTCATCAAGAGACTAAGCTAAACTAAAGTAGTTCTTCATGATGAACTGGCAGGAAAGTGCCAAGATAGTTTTATTGCTTAGCAACTTGGCAGGAGGAAATGTTAAAATATTACAATCTCTCGTATCTATGAACTGAGACAGGCTTTCAACTGATGGCTCTCCAGCTCGAACGTGATTAAGATGCAGCCACATGGCCCGGGCTTATATTTTGAGCTGATAGGAGGAAGATAGGGAAGTTGGATACTTTTAAATGTATAAATAGTAATTTCTCAGAAAACATTTGCTGATCTGAGCCAAATGCTAATCTGAGGAATTAAGCTGTCTCCGTTGTGATGTTGATAAGTACTGCAACCCCTATTGATCAATGGGATTTCCTTTGCATTTCAGAAGGAAGGATACGTCTATTGAGAAATTGCACGCCAAGTAAAATCCTGAGATAAACAACTTCATACAAGAGAAACTGACAGTTTACCATACATTTTTGGAATTTAAAGAGTTGTTGTGGTGTGCTTTCTTTTTGTGCAAATTATGGAATAGATGAAAGTGACAGAGTGATGACACCACCTAAATGGAAGCATAATGTAGACGGTTATTGCAGATGCCTTACCACACAGCTCTGCCAGCGCACATGCTTCCTGCAAACCTCCTGCAATTTAAACCCTTGGGCTCCTTCAACTAATGACGCTAATTTGCCAATGGAGCAATGGCTTTCTTCGCTAAACACTCACCTACAAAGGAGTATGTATTAGCCGACAATGTATGTGCTCAGTAAAAACTGGCAATATAACATGCACATTTTAAATATAAAGACCACTTTCATCACTACATTAAATCATAGGGATTGATTTAATAAATCACAGTGTAAATAACTCTCCAGAATTATTACTATTATTTTTAATAAAGGTAATATTTGGGGGAAAATTATATGGTACTAAATTTTTCCAAAAAATCAAATTATTGGGAGAAAAGTTATAAGAGTACCTGGTTCCCTGTTTTGTCTTAAAGGATTTCGGTTCATAATTGAATTTATATTAAGCATGAACAGCAGTTTGCAATTGACATTGTTTCATTCAAAGCTAGTATCTTCATGTACATTCATGAGTCCAACATATATATATATATCTACGTATATATGTACACATATATATTCAATTATATATATAATTATACATATATAATTGAAACTCAATAAGATAAAATGTGTCATGTCCAAAATTAGAGGGAAATTTGACAGCAAAACAAAAGATTAACTAAAATCTTTGTCTCTATGATGTTAAAATTAAGATCCTGCAGATATGACTCAAGACCTATTTGATCTTATTTGTATTCAAACATGCATCTGATGTGTTAAAATTAACATAATTTAAAAAATGCTTCCATCAAATTCAAGAAGAATTCATTTAAATAACCTTCTGATAAATATAAAAGGAAGACATTCATTTTGTTTTTTTCCCCAACTTTATAAAATATCAATTATTATGGCCACTTTGGGAGCAAATTTTAAGAAAGAAAAGCAACTAAAAATGTCACCGACATTGAAAAAGACATTTAAGTGATACCTACTTGTGTGTTCTGAATTGGTTTTAAATATAGTTTTAATCTTTCTATATTTTGTATTATAAAATAAATATAATTCTTTCATATTTCTAACACTTTCACATTGCAAATGAGGTACATAGGCCACTTTATTGATGAACAACTTTCAGAACCTAAATCTTTAAAATTGCTGAGCCAAGCTGCAACACTAAAATACATTATCTAAATTGTGCATGAAAACAATAAAAGACCATGAGTACTATTTTTTAGTACTACAAGTCAGGGAAGATTAACTTGAATTTAAATAACAAATAAAAGTTACCACAAAGGGAGCAAGCTTTTAAACTGTGAAATAGCTCTAGCTCTACAGTAGAAATCTTATGGTTTTCATATGATAATTTTTTTCAACATATCTTTTTCTATTTTTTAATTCAAAATGTAAAAGTAAATTATACCTCCAAGACCATGTTTTTCTCATTCTTTGTTTCAACAAATTGCTGATCTCTTTCAAAACTGTCATTTTCTGAAATGAGCAGTAGTGTACACAGAGAAATAAAAGAGGTTATCCAGAGAAATTGCAGGTGCTTCTCCAGCCTAACCTTAATGACAGTTTATTGCTGGTCCATGGGGCCCAGTTTTGTTTAAGCAATTATCAGACTGCTTTATTTATGGCGCCCTTGTGCCTGTTTTTGGCAATGGGGTCGCAATAAATTATCAAAATAACGTTAATGTTACAAGAATAGGCTACTTTAAAAATAGGTGGCACCAATTACAATTGAAGGAGAATAGTTAGATGAAGATTTAAATTATGCCAATTGCTCCTGGGAAATTGATGGGATGGATCAAGAGGATCTTCCCTGACTTCTAATACATGCATGCGCAGGGTTATTTCTCACAATTAAAATCAGAAATGTTAAAGGGGAACTTACAATGAAAGAGAAAGCCAATTAATCTAGTCATCATTAATCACTGAGAAAGACACAGTAGTATACTTAGTAAGTGTCCTAAAGCAGCATCCAGAGAGAGGGAGAGAGACCATCAATCCCAAAAGACTCAAAAAATCTTTAGGGAGATGTAGAATTATGCCAATAGTTTGCATATTATAACGATAAGACAAAGCTGGGAAGGCCTGTTCTGATATAACTTGCATGCACAGTCACACACCTGGGACCACGTAGAATTTACTACTAAAACGTGAATGGCAATTAATGTACAAAATATGAAAAACAAAGTTCAAACAATATGTGTTTGCTGTCAAGATTACTTCTAAGAAAATTTGTAAGGCAAGTTTTGAGTTGTAAGAGGCTCTTAGAAATAGAAACTGTGCTTTGTAAATCATACTGTAAGGCCAGATTAAAGAATTTCATAGAGAGATATTCACACTTAAGACTAACAAATGCTTCGATTTTAGAATAATTCATGAATTTGCTATTTTCTTCATGATGTCAGCTCATGTTTGGTTATTTGCTACTGATCATTTCATCTTCCCTTGCTTACAATTCCAGAATCATTTTATTAATTTATTTAATTATTTATTCATTCATTTATTCTGCTTGGTCAAAGTTTCAGGTGTTAAATGATATAGGCTTCATCACAATAGCAGATTTCTTCCCACTTTTGTTTATGTCTATCTGATTATGGTATCAGCATTATTTTTTCTTTCCAACTTTAGAGCTACAATACTCAGGTAAAGTCGGTCCCTGGGATTTAAAACTCAAAATAATTGAATAATATGACACCACAGTGGTAGAAACATGCTTCTATTAATATGAATAAAACAGAATCACAGGGTAAATGCACATATTAGACTTTTGTATGTGGTTGATTATAATGTATATATAATTGAGGATTGACCAAAGCATGGGTGCAATTAGGCATACAAGTTCTTCTTCATAATGGTATTTTTAGTGCCAAATATAGGTCTCCAAAAGGTTCTTGGTGGGTATACTTATTGTGAGATGGCATGATTTGTCTTTGATGCACACTACCCCATGTTAGAATGAGCTGTTTCATTTGGGGACACAACACAAGTAACAGCTCATCTGCTCTCATTTACAAGAGCTTCTATGTAGTAAAATTGAGAGTTGTGTTTTTTTCCAGCGAGTTCAATTATTTAGGGTAACCTCACTCCACATGGAACTCTTCCCCCAGATGTCCATGTTGTCCATATTGACAACTCCTACCTTCCAAAATGTTTGTTGACTTCTTACCTTCTGGTTGAGCCTGCATTTGCCTCCTCTCCTTCCACCACACCTACCATCTTAATTTCTTTTTTCCTGCTCTACTTCTCTTATTTTTCATCACATATTTCTTTCAAATCTGCAATATAACTTACCTATCCATTATACTTATGACTTATTTGTTACTTTCTTCTTCAGGGTCAGATTTTCTTCTGTTTAGTTTATTCTTGAATTCCAAAGTGTTTGAGAAAAGAACTGGACCATAATAGGTACTGTGAAAGCTGATTATTTGAATTGGGGCATTCTCGTCATACCCAGTGAAAACAGAGTCAAGAGGGCAGGGGCAAAAAGCACTCAGGACACAAAACATTGCTCTCCCAAAATGTAATTCACTGCAAGTCTGGCTGCTGAAAGTGCCTGCTGTAACCTCACAACTGTTTTATCTAATAGTTGCCAAACAAACCTGCTACAAATCTAAGATTTACTTTACCCACCATCAGTCACCAGTCAGACGTTCCAGCTTCCCAGAACCTTACCAATGCTAATGAACTTTCTCAAAGAGCAATAATTAATATTTCTTTTTTTAGTAAAACCTCCAGCCTTCTCTTCATTCTTCAGACATGCTGAAGACCACTCGGTCTGAATATATGCCCTGATTTGCAAATTATTTATTTCTTAATTAAATGTTAAATTTAGAGATTCCTCTTTACATTTCTATTTTGACTTCAACAGTCCTCATTAATATTTCCTGAATAAATGAATAAAAATATCAGAATTAATGTGCATTTTGAAAAATCTCTTATGAAATATGAGAGAAAAATCTGTTATACGCTTAGATCCTTAACTTGATCGGTATTCACCTTGTAATATGCTTTTATCTTATGTAGTCTGGTTTTAAAATGTTAAGGAAAAAAATACACTTAAAAATGGACCTAGTCATTTTTACTCAGCAGTACCATATCATTTGAAAAACGAAAACACTCTAAGGCGGTTTTGTTCCTTTGTTTTTGTTTGGTCTGATTTTCTTTCTTTTTTTTTTTTCCTTATGTGTTCAGCCTCTTTAATGTGAATAACTGCTCTTAGTTAAACAGTCTCACAGCATCCACTTACAGTCTCCAAGTTGCTTTCACATTCTTTGTAAAAATAAAAGCTCAGTTAAAGACACTACTTTCTTTTATGGTGCAATTTGTTTGCTCTTACACTGGTTCACTCTCTTTGCCATTTGATTTCCTCAGTTGAGCAATTTATGACAGATTTTTAAGGTCTACTGTCCATTACAAAGAGCAGGTTTTAAAAACTCCATCATCATCATAAGCTTAATGAGTAAATGGCTGGAAGCTCAGCAGCTTGGTGGGGGGAGTGTGTGGAGGTTTGACTCTGACAGCCAACTTGCTGTTGCTGTAATTAATAATGAAATGTTAAGTCTCTTGCTTTTTATGTGGAGACAGGGAAAGTGACAGGGATTATGGAGAGAAATAAATTTACATTGTAGCTTTATAAAGCATCCATAGCTTTAGGAGCTCAATATATACAAAATTACTGTTAACATGACAGTTCCCCAAGAAAGTAGTTACAAAAATATTTAAAGCTCTGGGCTGAAGAATCAGGACATTGTAAGAATGGAGAGGAAGAAAAGACACTTTCTTGTATCCTGTCCCTCCTTTCCTGCTGCTCAATTTCTTTCTACTCAGCTGCTTATAAAAAGATGAAAGATATGCTAACTTGTCTCCCTGAGTGAATCTATTCAATGTCACCACCCACGCACTTTCCAACAGTGACAAAAGTTCCTATCACATTCCTCTTCTCAACTCACCTGATGGATCCCCCAACTACACCCCACCCCCTATCCTAGAAAATATTATATTAAGAAGTAGAAGAACTGTGGGATTATCTGAATGAGACCTGCCAGTGAAGTCCATATCACTGACTATTAAGTCATGTTTACCACAAGCTAATAGCCCATAGCTCAAGCGGAACGCTCACCATCTCTAGCCTTGTCCTTCTTCCAAATCAGTGCATGTAGGCATGTGCTATCTTTGCCTATTAGAAGTGATGGGTAGAACTCTTCATCTACCATTCGTGGAATCTGAAGATGGTACAAGGTCATGATGGTCACGCTAGCTTGGTAAACTGGTGGAAAATTAAGTGCAGGCTCTCATAATGAAACAAAATATTATCTGAACTGAAGCATCTTGGATACTGTTCTCTGTAATTCTTCTCCCATTTGCTTATTTATTCCTTCTTGTTTTCCCTGTGCAAACTGCATCATTGCTAATATGGCTACTTGATCAGTGGTAGTTCCTCATCTTCCACCATTATCCCATTTCAGATCTATCTAAAAGCCTTACTTGTGGATAAGAATAACCAAAAAAAATCAAATTAACTAGTTAGATAATGACTGTATCTATCTTTTATGCTGAATTAAAATAACATGATTAAGTGAAGACTAGCATACTTTATTTTAACCGTTCACTTCATCATCGACAAGGGTATAAGTTTAATTATGTATATGTACATGTAATTATGTATAGATGTATAGAATACAAACAAATTTAACCATTTTACTTATCCACATGAAATTGCTTCTTTTACATGCAGGATGACTTGTAAATACATTCATAATAGAGAAATTGCAGTGGTTCTGACAATCAGATTTTTGAATTATTTTATGTAGAACTTACTGGTAAAAATTTTATGAGGTAGTTAAAAACCAGATTAAAATCTGTAACTGAAAAATTTGTCATTTGGGTTGAATTACAAATATAAGTCTAAGTTTTATCTTCAGTGCCTCAGAAAGGCTGAATTCAATCCCTTTTAACTAGTTTCTAAAATTTCAGAAGTGCTAAGTTTTCCCACAGATTTCTGAACTGGATTTATGGCAAAGTACAACTTGAAATAGATGGATGGATATGAGAATTCACTAATGATCATTCTCGACTATCTGACTACAACATATTCTGAAAGACAAACTTGCCAAGTTAAATGATCAGAGGTATGCTATGAAATTCTTTTGAAGACCCAGATACCTTCTAGTTATAAGGTACTAGTTAAAATAAGCACCTCTAGAGATATTAAATAACAAAATCAATTTTACTCATTTCTTTTAGAAGAAAAATTAAGAATGTTTCAATGAATCTGAAAAACAATTTTATTTATTATCAATCTTTAACTCTTTATGTTAAATTTCTGCTTATGTGTCTGAGATGATCATCAAAGTATTCAAACAGATAAAATCATTTCAGAGTTGTATCAATTTCTAAAATGACAAATTATTTTCGGGAAATAATATTTAGTTTTGGAGTGGAATGTGTGATAATCAAAAACAAAACATGTTTGATCAAAACTGAAGCCTCTGTGCAAAACACGGAGCATGGCAATGTGAAGCAGTGGCTCCTTGGAATTTGGTTCAGTTAGTGATGGCTGGAAGGAATCCTGGACCTGAGTTGCATAGACAAGGTGGATGAAAAGCATATGTAGCCTAAAACCCTGAGACTCCCTCACTCCTTCAATGGTCTCTCTTTTTGAAAGTATTTGGGGAAAAATAAATGTGCCTGGATTAGGCCCTACCTTTTGGTTTTACTTGTATTTGACTACAGGTATGAACCCCACCTAGGGATTTTCCTTTCCTGACCTGGCAAGGCCTGGAAATTAACTATTAGTTGTCTAAACAACTACTCCCCGTTTCCCCCTCCTGTTGTTCTTAAGGAGTTTGTTATTTCTTCCTCTCCTAGTCATGCACAATGCCTCTTGCACAAGGCTGCTGTGTTCTCGGGGGAAATAAAACAATGCATCCCAAAACTGCAACATCTTGAAATTGTGGATGCGTAATATAACCGTGGCAAGTATCTAATGGAAAAAGACAAATAATGTAAACACAACAGCAAAGTCACTTCATGGATGTGCCCTAGTTCCTAGCAAGGGCCCCCTGTTTGCAGGTCTATTCCAAACTCTCTGTGCTCTCAATCACTTCAGAACATTTTATTTTTTTCCTCCATCAGACTCCCCTCCTCATTTCCTCCTCCTAACTAAACTGGTACATCCCTCAAGCAGGTGCTTCCACTCAACAGTGGAAGGAGGTTGTAGCACTTTCAATCAAGGCCTTCCATCTATATATCTATGTTTATCTATACCTGTATCTATGATCTATCTAATTAGAAATAGAGACAGAGAGGGAGGTGAGGAGATTGAAATAGTAGTATAAAAAAAGAAGTTCCCAAAGGCAAAATATCCTATAAAGACTTTGCAGGCCCTCCATGGAGATACATGTTTTAAATTTTTATAAGGAAGAACTTAAGTTTTCCTTTCCATAAGTTTTTGCCTCCTAATCGTGCCCACTGCTGTGTAAGAAAAAGGGGGCACATTACAGTGCCTTTCAAAACAACCCAGCTCCCCTTGGCTAGTAGATCTGAGGTTGCAGTATTTCTTTACCTTGGGCCAGATTAAATACTTAGGCAAGACTCTCTACCAACCAAACATTTCTGTAAATTGAGAGGGAGCTATAGATGAATGTATCCTTCCTTAGGTCTGGATAATCTGAGAATACTTCCTTCAGGTTCATGTAGCAGAAAGAATAATACTTCCATTCTACCTAAAGAGTTTCTTGCAACTGAGATTTGCCTATTGACAGTGGGTGCAAAGCTGAGAGAAAAGAGCCACATTCAGGATGTGGCTATCTCTCAACAAGGAACAAGGTGACCTAGAATAGTAGGAGTGGAGCCATTTAATCACTCAGGAAATAAATTTTGCCATTCCAGTTCTAAAACTCTAAGAGCATTTTTCGACAGGCATGTGGGAAGTAGAATACTGATACCAATAGCTAAAATCAATCTATCTTATCCCAGCAACTATGGAGCCAAGTTGGGTTAGGACTATGGTCAGAGATAAACAATTAAGTCTGCAGAGCCTAACTAGGTAACTAATTGGTGAAGATGCATTTTGTAAGCTGTGACAGTTGTGTCTAAATCATTGAAAAAGTATGTTTCATCTACAATTGGTAGCCAATGCCGAATTCCAGATGTTTGATTTCCTAGTTTTCTTAGAGATAGTGATTTTTAAAATGTTTATGTAGAAGCTGACAGTTAGACATATCTATACATAGAGTCGTACCTGAATGTTCATAGCAGCTTTAATATTAGCCCCAACCTGGAAAAACCCCAAATTTCCCTCAAAATTATAATGGATAAAATGGATAAATTCAATGAACATTATTCCTAAAATGAAATACACTAAGCAATAATAAGGAGCTGACCACTGATGTACTCAATAAGAACAAATTTCAAAAAACAAGATGCTGAGATAAAGAAGACAGAAACAAAATAATGCACATGTATGATGTCACTTATACAAAATTTAGAAAAGATATATCCTGTACATAATGACAGAACCTCCATCAGTGGTTGCCTGTGATCAGGGATTGAGATGGTGAGGGCATGTGAGAAGTTTTCATATATGATGGAAATGTGCAGGGGATATACAATTGTCAATATGCATCAAACTGTCTAATTTAATATATGTTTTATTGTATATGATAAATTGATTTTCTAAAAATCATATACACTAACTCAAACTTCTTATAGCTGAACACATTTTATATTAGGTGTTTATCTTATATTTACAGATGATGTCTAGTAAGCCTCAGAGATGTCCAGTGGGATCTGGGATTTGAACCCATGTCTATTTCAATTTGTCCTCTCATTCCCTTTTTACACTCAGCTTTTCTTTTAACATGCTCACATTTTCCCTACGACTACAAAATGAAAATAAACAGAACCTTTATTTTTAAGCTCTTATCCTACTTTGCTTCTTCTGTGCAAATGTTTTAAAATAATAGTTGACATTTATTCCTTCTACTTCCATACCTCATCCATCTCTTGCATTCTAATGTCCATCGCCCGCTTACTGAAATAGAGAAAAAAGTCACGATCATCCAGCACTGCCAGTGATTCTCAACTTTTTAAGTAATTGACTTTGTGTGTTTCTTCAGAACACTTTCTCCTCTTAAGATTTCTGGTTCCCTTTTATGTCTCCCACTGCCTTTCCATCATCTTTTTGTTTGACTCTTTAAACTCCTCCCTTTTTCCTTTTTTCCCATGGTCTCTTCAAATATATCTAAACTAATGCGTTCTGCATACTTATTTTGAGTCTTTTTGTGAGGTCTAGTCCAACTGGCAAAATATGGTATCTCAATTTCCTACCATAAACTCATCATATCTCAAATTTAAATTTCTCATCTTTCTTCATGCAAAACACCTTGAACCTCAATTTAAACTTCATCATATTCTTCAATTTCTTCTCCCTTTGTTTTATTACACAGCTTATTTTGGCAAAATCCTAGGGTATTTTAATGTGTTTTTCATGTGCATCACCTCTCCATATATTTACAATTGTTCTGGCAAAAGTTTATATTGATAATTAGTCTTAGTGATTATAATTATGCCCTACTTTTGCTTTCTGTAATTCATCCTACACACTGTTGCTAAGTAATAATACCACTAAATCACAGCTCAGAATATATATTTTATTGCCTGCTGGTTTTCTATATCTATGAGAACACTTATTTCGAATGAAACAAAAACGATTAAACACGTAAAGCTGGAGCACTGAAAAGCACCAGGCATGCTAAGGGCCAGGGATAGACAGATGAAAGAGCATGCCCGCTATCTTTGTCTTAACATTCAAAGACCCGTTAATTTCCATTTCAACATGCACTTTTTGTCAATTTTGTTTTCCACAGATTACTTTCAAGCATCCTTTGAAATAAACCCACTAAGATCATTTTGCCCAGAGCTTGCCCGTTTTGTACCTCTGCTGAGATTTTTCTCATTTCCTGGAATTATGACAATATTAAGCATAACTGTAAAAATTCTAAGTATCATTTGTATAGCGTAATAGTAGATCCAGTCCAACACTGCCTAGAAACTTGCACACACCATTGCATTTCACCCTCGCAACAATTCCATGTGGTTGGTTCAGCTATGTCTACTTCACAGATGAAGATATGGAAACTCAGAGGTGTTACATAACTTGCTTCCATCACACAAGTCACAAAATCAAGCCAGTCTGTCACCTAAGAAACCCTAACCCTTCTCACTTTAATACACTACCTTTATTATCCTACATTTAATTTATTTTTTATACAACTTTGCTCATGACAATCTTTGTTCCTTTAGTTGGAAGTTTTTATTCCTCAATTTCCCAAGGGGAAGATTTTACAGGTTAAACATTTTTGTCACTTGTCACTTAGCAACTTAACATTCTAGTCATTTATGCACAAGTTACTATCTCTACAAAACGTGAACAATTTGAAGATGAAAAATTATGTATTATATATCTTAAATCCATCCCACTGTAGTTCTTTACAGAGAGACAGTACTCAGTAAATATTTATAAGAATCATGACATGCAAATGTGCATATTCTCTCTTATTAGAATATAATTTAGAAAATGTACTTGACAAATGAAAAGTAGCATCAGATTATTCTTGTTCAAAATATTCCTCCTTGGTAAACACTAATACCTGGACTAATTTTTGAAGACTGTACTTCTCAGTGGGGGAGAAGAATTGGGAAAAATTCTTTAGTGTGAGAATATCTTAGGGGAACAGCTATAGTTTTAAAAAATACTGCTTTGTTTTATTCCAGTTATTTCTCTTTTATCAAAATTTTAAATTTGTATTTATAGTTGATATAAAAGGATATGTATCTTGAGAGATCGTGTGTCAAAATAATTGAAGGACATTTTTTGTCATTTGTGTGAAATAGAAGAAGTGTTTTATTTCTTCTTCTATGTGTTTTATTTCACACATTTGTGTGAAATAGAAGAAAATGATACCTGTGTGTGATAGAAATAAGTTTATATCCTATGAGCAGGTAACAAAAAAGAAAAAAAAAACTAGCTGGACTTTTTCTCTTAGGATTATATTTTCTTTGGATGACAATGATAAAAGTTCTCTTTACTATGTAAATTTGCCAGTCTAAGAATAGAGTGTATTATCTTACTGAGTTTCATCTTGTACCCTCAGCATCTATTATTCCTATTAACTCCAAGTTCAACCTCCACCTTGCCCTTTTCTTCTTCTAATTGGCAATGGGCAAATCATTTCTGGTCAAGATCAGGAGCTCATCTGTGGCTCTAACCTTGAACATCAATCCAACTCAAGAGTGAATCCCATTAACATCAGACTAATAAATGCAAAGATCCAGTGAAGAACAATAATGAACTTTGGCTCACACATCAGTCTTTGGCACCTCAGAAACTAAGTGTAATGAACAGTAGGTCACAACCTATAGCTTTCATAAAATGTCCCAGTTGAGATAGCATATTACACATTTAAAACAGTAATGGTGCCAGGTCATTCTGTCAGACATTTGTCAAGTAAGGATGTGCTCCTACACATCTAGCTCTTCTGGTAAACCAATATTCAGACACATAATGGCTGCTTGTATCTTCAATTATCTCCATCCTATCACATTCAGAGCTGCTTCCAGAGAGTCCAATACTACAGCCTTAGGCTATGGGATGATGATAGCATACCCTACAAACACATGAGAGCAACCTCAAACCTTCTAAATTGTGCCAGTTCTGGGCTTCTTTTGCATAATCATTTATCTGAAAGGACAAGAAATAATTTGCAATTTCAGAGTGTGATGCAAAAGACACAGATATTGCTCAACTTCAAACTACTGAGGGGAAGAAAAATAAGATTTTGGTTAATGTTCTATGGTTCAAATATAGTAAAGTCATCCTGGATTCCTGTCCTGACCTATTCTTTCCTTACCATTTAATTACTTCTTTTCACCTACTTTTCTCTTTTATTTTTATTTTTTTTTTTTTTCGAGACAGAGTTCCACTCTTGTTGTCCAGGCTGGAGTGCAACGATGCGGTCTTGGCACACTGCAACCTCCGCCTCCCAGGTTCAAGGGATTCTCCTGCCTCAGCCTCCCGAGTAGCTGGGATTACAGGCATGAGCCAACATGCCCAGCTAATTTTTGTATTTTTGTAGAGACCAGGTTTCACCATGTTGGCCAGGCTGGTCTTGAACTCCTGACCTCTCGGCCCCCAAAAGTGCTGGGATTACAGGCTTGAGCCACCGTGCCCAGCCATTTTTCTCTTTTACTTATTTATTTTAGCATCCTTCTCTCTTCTTATAGCTCATCTTTTATATGTGCTTATTTGAAAATGCACAATATAGTTGTTTTTGATAGACTTAAAATGATTTCTGCGGCATGCTATGAATATGTAATACCCCCGCAATCCACCCCACACATATTTTGAGAATTTTTATCCTTCTTTGTAAAATTAGCCAGAAGTCCCTCTGTTAACACATGTTCGCTTCCTCATTCTTTGGTGAATTTTGTTTTTCCCATAAGACGTATTTTAACACGGGAATGAATAAATGTATAGGGAACATGAGACAACCTGTTTAACATCCTTTTTATACGCCATTGGGGATGATAAAGAGCAATGGTCATTTACTTAACATCTTGGTAATTAGCCGCTTGGAGGGTGCAAGGCCTGTAACCAGTCTTTTTGATGCATCCGCCATTTCTGCAAGTGGCTGGAGTGGAGGTACAAATGAAGCTGAATAGAGGAGAGACTCTGCAACTGTATTCACTGATAGAGTAATTGCCTGCTTTGTGAATAGGATGCATTCTGGAAGTATATCAAATATATAGAGCAAATACTCAAATAGAATAGAACAAGAAATGGTTACAGTAAAACAAACTTTTCCTGATATTTACCACTTTTTATATTTTACTCAAAGTGTATATATGTTTTTTTTATATGCAAGATAAACTGATAATTTCAACACAATCTGCACTACTTTGAAAAATGTACACCAGGGCCTTTCATGACTTGTATACAGTTCTGGCCATTCTCTTTATCTCAAACCG